>NC_000022.11:38709564-39959564 GCF_000001405.40 Homo sapiens
CAAGCCATAGTTAGGTCTAGAATTAAGCTTATTCCTGGGCAGCTGGAGGTCTTCCCTTCCAGGCCCTGTTTACAGATCCCATTGCGACTTATTTTCTGCTTAGCAGAGGACCTCCGTGATTCTTCTTGGTGTCAGCAGAGAAAAGATGCCCAGAATTCCTCTCTTGTCAGGCTCCTTGCCCCAGACCCTACTGACTATTTAGTCTGGATAGCTGGGATAACAGAGGTCGTCCTCTCTCCCCACTGGATCCTGTCAGACACATAGGCTTGTAACCATTCTGAAAGGGACTGGTTATTGTTCTCCAAGCTGCTTATTCCTTGTAACAGAACCTACTATTTTAGAGGAAGGCAGCCCTCACAACAATCCCAGAGTATATTATGGTTTCTTCCCCTGGTCACTCCTAGTTAGCAACTTCAATACAAGACCTGCTTACCTTCATCTTCATTATGGGATTATCTTTGCTGAAATGACAGCTGGGGTTGTTAACGATTATGAATTCAGCCCATACCAGCACTTGTCTCTGTCATCTTTGCAGGAAGCCCAGGTGGGCCTGGATGCATCATTAAAGAAACACTTTTCTTTGCTGAATGTAGGCTTTGTAAAGCCAGGTAATAATTCTTTTGTAGTTTGAGTTGAAGATTGAAGAAATCTCAAAATCATTCTTAAACTATTTTATACATATCTATTAAGTATCTTCTAAGGCCTGCCACTGTTGCAAAGCTCTTTTGGAAACTTAAAATCTGATCCCTGCCCCAAGGAGGAAAGATGGCATATACACAAATAACCTCCATGGGAAACAGTATTTGGAAATGTTGTAAGAGTGACATAAAGAAGAAGGATTTGCTCTCCAGATGCAGCTGTGCCTTCCTTTGAAATATCTTTCGTATCTGTTCTTTCCTTCCCATCCTTGCTGCTACCTCTCTAGTTGCGGGTCTTACCACCTAAAGGAAGGCATGGTCAGAGAGATAGGCAAACTAAGAGGTTGCGTATCAAGAAAGGGAGAGAGTTGATTAGCATTATCAAGTGCTACAGAGGCAGCAATGAATGCCAGGTTCAAAAAAAAAACATTCCATTTGTTGACTAGGAGATCATTGGTAGCCTTTTGAAGCTTTGATGTCAGGTACACATCTGGCCTGCTCTAATAAGATGAACCACTCAAAGATCACTTAATAATTGTAGAATTTCAGGAACCACATATAGGTCAATTTTGACAAGTGTTGAGTCTGTTTTTGAAGACCCAGATTCTTAAGACTCCTCTTTCCCCTCATCCTTTTATGTGGACTCAGTGAATTTTACCATGCCTTGACAACTCACACCCCACCCATGGCAATTAACCCACCCATGGCAAACCCACCCATGGCAAAGCGTAAGATGTCAGACATTTATTAACACATCTGTACACCCAAGCATCATCCTCGAATCCACCAGTTGGATGCTATTAGATTCATAGTGACTCCTCCTGCTGGAATTCTTTACAAATAGAAAGAGATCATAACTAGTTAAACAAGTTGAACAATAATCAGAAGACTAACCCAGATACACGGCCCCAAGGAGTCAGTTTCATCAGTGGTTTCCTTGCTGCTTCACCTCTGTTTATCACATCCTTTCTCTGTAAAATGGGAATAATGATACCTTCCTCATCCTACCTCAGAGAAATTTTGTATAGATAAATAAGACATTTAAAATTGTAACAAATGTAGAGGAATGTGCTCTTTAAGAATACATTCTTAATGTTGATATTTTAAAAGGGGGCAGTCTGGCCTAATCTATAGGATCTGGAACCTGGCAGGCCTGGATTTGCCTACTGACTCTTTTCCTTGTCTTAAAATGGGGATAATAATGGAATCTCTCCCATGGTGTAGTAGTGAAGATTAAATGAGAATTCAAGGAAATCATCGTGAATAGTGAGCATTACATAAATGTTAGCTAATATTAGTAGTTGCAGTAATAATTTTTTTAAGGGTCCCAGGTTGTAGTTGATTTATCATGAGATTTCTTTGAAAAAGAAGACTCATGCCTATAATCCCAGCACTTTGGGAGGCCAAGGTGGGCCAATCACTTGAGGCCAGGAGTTCGAGACCAGCCTGGCTAACATAGTGAAACCCCATCTCTACTAAAAATGCAAAAAATTAGTTGGGCGTGGTGGTGCACTGCTGTAATCCCAACTACTCAGGAGGCTGAGGCATGAGAATCACCTGAACCCCGGAGGTGGAGGTTGCAGTGAGCTGAGATGGCGAGAGTGAGACTCTATCTCTAAAGAAAAACAATTAAAAAAAAAAGTTCAGGGGACATAGGAGGAGTATTAAGTATTTTAAAATTATTATTATTATTTTTGAGACAGAGTTTCTGTCTGTCATCCAGGCTGGAGTGCAGTGGTATGATCTCGGCTCACTGCAACCTCTGCCTCCTGGGTTCAAGCAGTTCTTCTGCCTCAGCCTCCCGCGTAGCTGGGACTACAGGTACCTGCCACCACGCCTGGCTAATTTTTGTATTTTTATTAGAGACGGGGTTTCACCATGTTGTCTAGGCTGGTCTTGAACTCCTGACCTCAGGTGATCCCCCTGAGCCTCAAAGTGCTGGGATTACAGATGTGAGCCACCGTGCCCGGCCAAGGAGTACTAAGTCTTTGTGGAAGAGTCAGGAAAGGCTGTGAAGAGGAGCTGCCCTTTAATTGATTCTAAAGGATGAGTAGGAATTTTCCAGGTAAATGGAGGGAATAGTGAATGGGCAGAGGAAACCATTCTCACAGAGGCATGGAGGCATTGGAGACAGGAATATATAGTGGACCAAAAGTAATCCAGTAGGATGAGTGGAGAGTATGAGGTCCTGAGTGGTAGGAGGAGAGGCTGGGCAGAGGAAGGCAGGGCTCAGATTCTGAGGGTCCTTAAATGCCATGCCAAAGAGGTTAGACTTTTATTCTGAGAGTCTAGGGAGTCTTTGCAGCCTGTAGAAGAGGAGAATACATATAAGAAAAGTGAATGAGCCGGCAGGATGGAAATCTGATTAGCGTCTGGCATGGCTGAGTATGTGGCCTTTAGTAATTGGACCTCTGCAGCTTTTCTCCTCCACCTTTGTCTCGGCTTCCACAGAGTGAGGAATGTGATGCATGCTGGAGACGGGTAATGTGACTGACCGAGAGCCCTGATGGACAAGGTGACGTTGGTGATAGCCCTTGGTGTGGAACAGGACCTGAAAGAACAGGAGCAGGGGAGGTTGAATAGAATTTAGCCAGCCTTCTTAGGAACACTCCCAGCAAACCCTTCTCTAACCCTGAAGGCTTTCACAGCTCACTTTGCCGTGCATTTAGAAACTCCTCAGCCCAACCGCTCCCTCTTTGTTCATTTGTTTTACATTTTACAAACATTTGAGGAAAGGCACTGGTTGTGGGGCATCAGGAAATTGTTGCGGTATGTTCCTTGTTTTCAAGATGCTTATGTATTGTGCGGGGAGGGGAGGATGTGTATCCAAAACACTGTTGCACAAGGCAGTACATTGCAAATGTAAGGGAGACACAGACATTTGTGGGCAGAATGAGTAGGATTTTGCTAGGAGGAGGTGCGCTGTTGGGCTTTCAGGATAGGAAATCCATGAGCAAAGGTGTAGAGCTAGGACCCTGCAGAGAACCCCAGCACAAGGAAGGGGAGTGCTGTGTGTGTGATGGGGCCACTTGCACCATGACAGAGCTTACAAGAAGAAAGTGAGGAGGGAGTACGGCACAAATGGGGAGGCTGTTAAGCAGTTGGGCCTGGGGAGCCATTCATAAGCTTTGACTTGAAGTGACGGCGTCAGAGTTGTGCTTTATTTAGGACCTTAAGGGGTTGGTTGGAGGGAATAGAGACTGAATTTGTAAAGACAAAAGTTAAGAGTCTGTTGTGGTGGTTCAGGTAGAATAACAGCCTGAATCAGGCTGGTGGCTGCGGATTGGCAAAAAGGGCAGACATCAGGGAAGGAGGCAAGGTAAAATGCTAGAATCATCAGGACTGGACTGAGGAGACTGGTGGCTAGAGAGATGGTATTGTCATTGTCAGAAATAAAGAAGGAACTGGTCAGGCAGTAAGAGGAAAAGGCTCTGGTTTTGGAATCTGAAGACCTGAACTCATGGCCTCCCCCAAGCTCTGAGATCTCCCTAGGTTCTTTTTACCCCACTGTTAAAAGGGAACAGTAATGCCTACCTCATAAGATTACAGTGAGAAATAAAATGCTTTATTAACATTGTTAGTGTCTGTGCTGTTGTTTAAAAGAGGGTTGGGTTGGGTGTTGAGTTTGGATATCAGACTTCTAGGAGTTATCCAGGCAATTGGAAATTCAGTCTGGAGTTCTGGGCATAGGATGGTGTTAGAAATGAGTGTTTTTATAGTTTTCAAAATGACAGCCAAAGCCATAGAACAAGATGGCCAAGGGGAAAGTTTGGAGGAAACAGAACAGGGCCACTGACAGACTACTGGAAAAAACTGGCATTCAGGAGACAAGAGCGGGGGACGGGGTGGGGAGGCACATCAGGAGAGGTCAGGTGATGCGTGAGCAGGGTGGGAGGGAAGTGCTTCAAGAGGGAAAGGCTGAGTGGCCAGCAGTATCGAATGCTGTAGGAGTCAAGAAGAGGGCATTAGAGAGTTTAGAAGGCCACTGGTGGGCCAGGCATGATGGCTGACGCCTGTAATCCCAGCACTTTGGTGGGAGGCCAAGGCGGGCAGATCACTTGAGGTCAGGAGTTCGAGACCAGCCTGGCCAGCATGGTGAAACCCCGTCTCTACTGAAAATACAAAACTTAGCCAGGCATGATGGCGGGCGCCTGTAATCCCAGCTACCTGGGAGGCTGAGGCAGGAGAATCGCTTGAACCTGGGAGGCAGAGGTTGCTGTGAGCAAGGATTGTGCCACTGCACTCCAGCCTGGGTGACAGAGTGAGACTCCATCTCAAAAAAAAAAAAAAAAAAAAAGGCCACTGGTGGCATGTGACAACTGCGGTTTCTTCTGTAGTGGGCAGATTCCCATTGAGTAGATGGTGGGATAGTACAGTCAACACGCGTTGATGACTCTCGAGATGTTTGATGGTGAAAGGAAAAACAGGAGATGGTAGCTTTGCAGATAAGCAGGGGCAAGGGAAGGGGGGTGGTTTTCCTTTCCTTAGTTTAGGAGCTTGTTTGGAGTGGGAGGAAGAGAAGAAGAGACAAGGAGAATATTTGGTGCGGGGGAAGAGAGTCACACATGCTGAAGGGGTTAGCCAGCCAGGGAAGGAGCAGGGGTGCTCTCAGAGACAGGACAGCTGGGAAAGGCTGAGGGAGTGATTGTGGAAATTAAATCCAGCACCTCATGGAAAGCAGCTGACGGGTTGTCATATAGTAGGAGCTCAGTAACTGTTTGGTCGGTTGGTCCTGCCTTCTGTCTGATTCCCTTCCTTGTCCTGAGCTCAAACTCATTTCTCCAGCTGCTTGCTGGACATGTCACCTGAGCCACCTCAGTTAAAAATCTTATCTCTAAAATGTTTCTGAGTTCCTCCCCCATTTTCCTCCATCTTTCTGTCGTCATTATCTCTTGCCTGCATTATTAGAATTACTTCCTAACTGGACTCCCCCCTTACTGGTCTCTCACTTGCTGGTGCACACTTGGCACTGCTACTCAGGAGATCTTTCTAACCCACAGCCATCTGATCATGTTACTCCCCTGCCTCAGCCTACGGGTGTCTCAATGCCTGGTGCAGAAGGTGTGTCGCTGCTGTCCGTCTGTTGTGCTGCTTCCACCTCTCATGTAGTCTCCCGACACTCCATGTCACCCATGCTGCTCCTCAACACACTGAGCTGCTTCCTGGTCCCTGAACTTGCCATGATCTGCCACGCCACGCTTTGTTCCTCTGGCTAGGATGTCCTTCCTCCTTCTGCAGGCCCAGCACTTGTTGACCTAGCTTGGCATCAGCCCTTTGCAGAACTGTCCTCGGCTTCCCCAGGCAGTGCTTTATGTTCTCTTCACACAGTCCTAGAGTGCAGCACTTGAGCTGTATTGCAATTAATTAATTTCCTGTCTGCCTCCCCCACTGGGCTGTGAGCTCACTAGGGGCACCTGTAGTCCTAGTACCCAGCATGAGGCTTGGCATAAAACCTGGGAGAGCCTCGGTGGCTGTTGTTGAATGAAGTAGCGAATGCTCTGCTTGATGGAGAGGTCTGTGGCACTGTCATGTTTTAACTTGGTGTGTGCCCAGGTTTTCTCTCAGGTAGAGAGGACCCCTGTTCCTCTGCAGTGCTGGGGTCGGGGGGTGGTGGCCTTTGTTAGGTGGGGTTCCTGGCTGGCTGGTTGGCAGGCTGGTTGGTCAGGACTCCCTCTCCTGCTGATGTCTGGGCTCTTGTCACCAGATGGGACTGAGTATGGGCTGAGTGAAGCTGACATGGAGGCCTCCTACGCCACAGTGAAGAGCATGGCGGAACAGATAGAGGCCGATGTCATCCTTCTGCGGGAACGGCAAGAAGCTGGGGGCCGCGTGCGTGATTACCTGGTCCGGAAACGAGTAGGAGACAATGACTTCCTGGAGGTCAGGTGAGGAGGCCGCGGGACATTTTGGGGTCCCCATTCTTCACAGAGGTTGGTGACTGAGCCTGTGGCACTTGGCGTGTCAGCTCCATCCTTTCCCCTCCTGAGGCGGGGAAAGAGTGTCCAGGTGTCTGGAGACGTGGGCTCCTTGCTCTAATTCTGCACTTCCCTGTCACTTTGGGAAGAGCACGAGAGAGGCCAGCCGTGCATTCTGTGGCCATTCTCTGTGGGTGTGTTTCTTTTCCCTTCAGCCTGTGAGCCTGGAAACCAGGGTCATGGAGAAGAGCCTTTTGTGCCTCTGGTAGCCTTGCGGCTCTTCCTGGCAGCACCCAGAAGCTAGTGGGAGTTAAGGGAGATAGCCGCTGTGGGAGTCTGGGCCCTTCTGATGACTCTACAGCAGCAGCTCTAGGAACCTTCCCACTGTGCTCCTCCGGCTCAAGGAGGAGCTGTGAGCCGGAGGGGATCGGGGCAAGCCTGGACTTGCGGATCCAATTACTGGGGTTATGATGGTCGCTCCACCTCACTCATTCACTAACTCTCACATAGATGTATGGGTTCATCTACACGCAGGGTAGCAGTGGTGGGCAACGTGGATGCTGGCAAAAGCACGCTTCTGGGGGTCCTGACACATGGGGAGCTGGACAATGGCCGAGGCTTTGCCCGCCAGAAACTCTTCCGCCACAAACATGAAATTGAATCTGGTCGCACCAGCAGTGTGGGCAACGACATTCTGGGCTTTGACAGTGAAGGCAATGTAGTGAACAAGCCTGACAGCCACGGCGGCAGCCTGGAGTGGACCAAGATCTGTGAGAAGTCCACGAAAGTCATTACCTTCATCGACTTGGCTGGTCATGAGAAGTACCTGAAAACCACTGTCTTCGGCATGACAGGCCATCTGCCTGACTTCTGCATGCTCATGGTGAGTGGGAGGCGCCCCAAGGAGGGGAGGCGTCAGCAGGGCTGCTTGGGTCTGGTTATGTGCAAGTCTGAAACTGTTCTGAGACTGAGGCCTGTTGGTTTGGGGCTTTGACATCGGGTGAGGCTGGCGAGTTTTGCAGGGGTGCCCAGTCCTCTGAGTAATGGTCTTCTCAAGGCTTGAACCTTGATCTCTCCCTTACATTAGACTAGGGAAGGTATCCTCTTGGTAAAAACCAGGTACCCTTGAAGACCTGTCTTATTTTTTGCAGAGGCATAGAGGAGGGTTTCTCCTGGGCCTTACTTGTTACCTTCAGAAATGTTTTCTGCAGAGGATTGGGCTACTTTGAGGAGGTGACACCAGGTAGGTAGTACCTTCAGAGGGGCAGGCCTGGGGAAGAAACGGAGAAGACAGCCATAGGAGGCACAGGCCACAGTCGAGAGGCCCTGAGAGGTGGCCTCCTGGAGCCTGGGAGGAGGATCGGCCAGTGCACAGCCCTTGTTGAGAGGCTCCTGTGTGTCTGGTACTATGTGAGGTCTGATGATACAGCAATGAACAGGGCTGTCCAGAGGCTCCCAAAAAGCTTAGGGTCGAGCGTGATTAAATTTTTAAGCAGCTATTCCTGCTCGGAACATTAAAAACAACCAAAAAGTGTTTAAGCAGCTCATCTAATAGATTAACTGAGAAAGAAAGGGAGCAGAGGGCTCTGTGTTGGATCTCATTGCTAAGCTTGCCTTTGTGACCCACTGATCTTCCTCCCTGGACAGACAGTGGGAGTGCTGAGGGGAGCGGCAAGGCCTGTAACCTTGTGCACATCTCCACAGCTTTCACAGCAGGAGTAAGGAAGAGGGAGGGCGGGAAGGGACAGAGTCAGAGACACACATGCCTCGAGTGTTCCCTCGGCAAGGCCTTCCCAAAACCCTTCCCCATTTCTCGATTCCTTCAGCTGCCTGTATTAATAAATGTAGTAAACATAAGCATCTGTTCATAGCAAACTTGATCAAGTTGCTGCACAAACACAGGTTCTCAAGCAAATTCTCCCTAAACTGGAGAGCAGTAAAGAGAGGCAGAGCCGTGTGAACACTCGTAGGCTCTCTGCCTGAGGCTTTTGGGACCTCAGCATGCCTTCATTTCCCATTTCCTTCAATGTTGCAAAGGGCCATGACCAGCTTCTTGACTGGGCTGAGGAAAGCTGCTTGCCAGGAAGGGATCTTAGTGGAAGATCCAGAGGGCGTATTTAGGGGAGTTGTTGGGTTGATATTAAGAAGGGTATAGAAACTGGTTGAGAATAAGCATTTTTCCAGCTGAGCTACAGTGAGTAAGACCAATTAATGGAAATATCTTCACCCTGGACAAAATGTTACATATATATTATCTGACTTTTTGGTTGTGATCCAAATGTTAACCTTTCTGTAGAAAACAATGAAATATTTCATTATAGTCCCATGGCATTTGACTTCTAGGAAAAAATATTTAAAATATATAGAAAACAGCCGTAGAGCACTCTCTTCTCCAGGTTGGGAAGAGCAAAAGCAAGTCTGCATTGGGTTGGAAAGGTGGCCGAAGGGCACAGGAAGACGTCGGGAAGACTGTGGAAGTGTCCTGGTGGAGGGAGAGGGAAGTGCCAGCTGGGGTGACTCATCTAGGAGCCATGGAAACTCAGTGGGCGTCTCCGTGACACACTGGAATGGATAGGGCACTGTGTAAACACATCATGGCAGCTTTTCTTTCAAATTTTCTTCTGGTTTAGTATGGTACAAAATTGTGAAAAGTTTCCTCCCAGAGGCAACCAGTGTTTCCAGTTTCCTGTGTACCTGCCAGAGATATTTTGTACTCAGATCAGCAAATGTGTATATGTTCTCTCCCTCCAATTTTAAACATTCAGAAAAGGTGAAAGAATAGTATAACCAATACCATAAATCCACCACTTAGATTTAGCAATCATTAACATTTTGCCATATTTATGTGTCTATATGGTGGGTACATATGTGTATATATGTTTTTTATTTATTTTAATTTTTTTTTTGAGATGGAGTCTTGCTCTTTCGCCCAGACTGGAGTGCAGTTGTGCAATCTCAGTTCACTTCAGCCTCCGCCTCTTGGGTTCAAATGATTCTCCTGTCTCAGCTTCCCGAGTAGCTGGGATTACAGGCACGTGCCACCACACCCAGCTAATTTTTAGTATTTTTAGTAGAGACGAGGTTTCACTATGTTGGCTAGGCTGGTCTGGAACTCCTGACCTCCAGCAATCTGCCCACCTTGGCCTCCCAAAGTGCTGAGATTATAGGCGTGAGCCACCGTACCCAGCCTGATTTAATATTTTTTAAAGAGACAAAGCCTCACTCTGTTACCCAGGCTAGAGTGCGGTGGTGCGACTGTAGTTCACTATAACCTCAAACTCCTGGGCTCAAGGGATCCTCCCATCTCAGCCTCCCAAGTACCTAGGACCACAGGCGTGCACAACCATGCCTGGCTAATACTAATTTTTTTAGAGACGAGATCTTGCTATGTTGCCAAGGCTGGTCTCAAAACTCTTGGCTTGAAGTAATCATCCCACCTTGGTGCCTCCCAAGGTGCTGGGATTACAGGTGTGAGCCACCGTGCCCAGCCAAGTATATATGTTTAGTTTGGTTTTTTTTTTTTGTGGCTGAATCACTTAAAAATAGTGGACATGTCTTCATCCCAGACAAAGTCACAATGTAGACATTGTGACTTTTCACTGCTAAACACTTCAGCATACAGCTCCTAAAAGTGAGGCCTGTCTCCTACTGTTTTTACAATCAAGAAAATGAAGAATAGTTACCTAATATCCTCAAATATTTAGTCTGTATTTATATTATTTCAGATGTTTCCCAAATATCTTTCAGCTGCTTTTTTTAAGCCATGAATCAGTCACCAGTTATCCCCCACTGCCTTTTATTTTCTTTCTTTCTTTTTTTTTTTTTTTTTGAGACGGAGTCTCGCTCTGTCGCCCAGGCTGGAGTGCAGTGGCGCGATCTCAGCTCACTGCAAGCTCTGCCTCCCGGGTTCATGCCATTCTTCTGCCTCAGCCTCCCAAGTAGCTGGGACTACAGGCGCCCGCCACGATGCCCAGCTAATTTTTTGTATTTTTAGTAGAGACAGGGTTTCACCATGTTAGCCAGGATGGTCTCGAGCTCCTGACCTCATGATCTGCCCGCCTCGGCCTCCCAAAGTGCTGGGATTACAGGTGTGAGCCACCGCGCCTGGCCTTTATTTTCTTTGAGATGGAGTCTCACTCTTGCCCAGGCTGGAGTGCAATGGCGCAATCTTGGCTCACTGCAACCTCCGCCTCCTTGGTTCAAGCGATTCTCCTGCCTCAGCCTCCTGAGTAGCTGGGATTACAGGCAACTGCCACCACATGCAGCTAATTTTTTTTTTTTTTGTATTTTTAGTAGAGAAGGGGTTTTCACCATGTTGGCCAAGCTGGTCTCGAATTCCTGACCTCAGGTGATTCACCCACCTTGGCCTCCCAAAGTGCTGGGATTATGGGCATGAGCCACCATGCATAGCTGAACACTCACCTCTTTTTATGATAGCATTCTATATGCAACTTACTTTTTTTTTCCCCTTAAAAGCATATTTTGGAGATTAGTCCATATCAGTAGATAAAAATTTCTTCTTTTGTACAGCACATTTCATACACGTGCCCTGATTTATGTAACCAGTCCTTACGGTGATATTTGGAAACATTTATTGTTACTGGAAGGATAGTAATAGTAATAACAGGTGCAATTGCTTAAACACCTAGTTCCTGCTAGTTGTGTGCTGGACACTTCATGTGTGTTGTGACATTTAAACATCAAGTGACCCTCTGAAGTGGATATTGTTATCTCCCCATTTTACAGATGGGGAAACTGAGGGCCAGTGATGTTAAGTTGAATCCACTTTTTGTTGTTGTTGTTTATGAGACACAGTCTCGCTCTGTCACCCAGGCTAGAGTGCAGTAGCTCGATCATGGCTCACTGCAGCCACAACCTCCCAGGCTCAAGTGATCCTCCCACCTCAGCCTCCCAAGTAGCTGAGACTACAGCGTATCCTGCCACACCCAGTCAATTTTTCTTTTTTTTGTAGGGTGGGGGAAACAGAGTTTCGCTCTTGTTGCCCAGGCTGGAGTGCAATGGCACGATCTCGGCTCACCACAACCTCCACCTCCCAGATTCAAGCGATTTTCCTGCCTCAGCCTCCTGAGTAGCTGGGATTACAGGCATGTGCCACCACGCCTGGCTAATTTTGTATTTTAGTAGAGACAGGGTTTCTCCATGTTGTTCAGGCTGGTCGCGAACTCCCGACCTCAGGTGATCCGCCTGCCTTGACCTCGCAAAGTGCTGGGGTTACAGGAGTGAGCCACCGTGCCCAGCCTTAATTTTTGTATTTTTTTGTAGAGACGGAGGTCTTACCAGGTTGTCCTGCCTGGTCTCAAACTCCTGGCCTCAAGTGATCTGCCTTCCTTGGCCTCCCAAAGTGCTGGGGTTACAGGCATGAGCCACTGCTCCTGACTTGGATTCATTTTGATGGCTCAGGACAGTTGTTTCCCTGACTGGGTTTATCTTTTTTATTGTTTGCAAGTCTCCTCCGATTTTGACGCCCCACATCATCGAGTCAGGGGTTAACGTGATTTTTGCCCAGCCCAGCTTTCATCCACATCTGCTTTTGAGCCCCTGTGTCCACCCAGCAGCAATCTCTTTCTCTCTCGTCCTGACACTTCCTTTCTGTGTTGGGGCAGGTGGGCAGCAATGCTGGCATCGTGGGGATGACCAAAGAACACCTGGGCTTGGCACTGGCACTCAATGTACCTGTCTTTGTGGTAGTCACCAAGATTGACATGTGTCCTGCCAACATCCTGCAAGGTAAGTGAAGCCTCCAGCTAGCAGCAGCCCCTCTGATTGGGGCTGTCACCTGCTGTGCCTTCAGGTGGTCTGCTACCACGGCTTTAGCCCAGAAACTTCTTTTCTTTTTTATTTTTATTTTTTTATTTTACAATATGTTTATTTTTATTATGTGCTCTACATTGAACACTTCAGCAAAGAAAATAATTATAATAATTTCAAAATGCAATCCCTGGATCCAATAACTATCCTTTATAATCCGTTACACTGGTCAGTATCTAGAAATATATGTAGACAAAGTTAGCTAATGAATAAAATAAGTAAAATGACTAGGTAAACTATAAATTTCAAGCATGAGGGATCATGCATGATCAGTTAAGTCACTCTGCCACTTTTTAAAATAATATTCACATTTGCTTCAATCACATAAACATTCATTGCAGGAGTTAAATTTGACTGCTGATAACAATTGAAAGCTGTGATCTTTGTTAGCTTAAAAGAAAATTCAGCTTAATACAAAGACATTCAAGATGAAAATTTCAGGACCCTTGATCAGAAGCTTTCAATGTGTGTTGCTCCACTTTGTTGTAGGCAAGCTTCAAGTAAGGCTAAGACAGAAGAGTGTTTCTACTGAAGATGTGATCTAAGAATTGCCTTCTACAGAGGCGAATTATATTCTGTAGAAACTAGCTAGCCACCAAGATGTTACCAATAAAGGATTCCTTATACTAGCAACTAACCATGTTTAAAAGGCCTTAGCCATTTAGAGTAATATTTATGAGTACAAGCATAATTGGTTCCTTGCCTTCTACAGATAATCATCTATAAAATGATAAAAGCAGGCTTCAACTGTGTTTCTTCTCTGGGGTGAGAAGGTGCAGATACACATGGGTGATCTACTGATTTACCTTCTGAAAGTACTCTTTGGAAGCAGCTGGATTTGGCTTGATTGTAGGAGAATCCAGTGTCCAGTTTGCTGGGCAGACTTCTCCATGGGTTTCTACATACTGGAACGCCTTCACCAAGTGGAGGGTTTCTTCCACGCTTCGGCCCACTGGGAGGTCATTGACGCTCAAGTGCTTGATGACTCCATTGGGGTCAGTTATGAAGAGACCTCTTAGTGCAAGACCAGAACCTTCTAACAGCACACCGTAGTCTCAGGAAGTTTGCTCAAATCTGACAAGAGTGGGATGTTCATGTGGTCCAAACCACCATTATTTCTTGGTGTATTTATCCAGGCAAGATGACTAAAGTGGGAATCCACTGAGACCACAACTTCACAGTTCACATCATGAAATTCCTTAGCTTTGTCACTAAAAGCAACAGTTTCTGTAGGACCACGAAGGTGAAATCCAAAGGATAGAAGAAAAGCACCAAATTATTTCCCCTTAAAGTCATCAAGGCTTAGGTCTTTGAACTCTCCATTGACAATGGCTGTACCCTTAAAATAGGGTGCATGCTGGGCGACAGCAGGTGCATGGTATGAGGAGCTGGTGCTAAAGAATTTTGCTTGACTGGAACCAGACCATAATATGTTTGTCAAGCTCGTTCTTCCAGAAGCAGCAAGCTTGAGGGCTGCAGTGGCAGAAATGCCCCAAGGAATGGCACTCACATGTCGGGCAGCCGATGCTCAGAGTAGCCTTCCCACAGCAGCTACCATCTTCAGTGCACGCGGGCGAAACTTCCTTTGTCTTGTACTTAGGTCTTGGCCTGAATTTCCATCAGCCCAGAATCTTCTGCTACTTCCTCCCCTATTTAGTTCTTGGTCTGAACACAGCCTAGAATTATCCTCTTCCTTGTTCCTTCTGGTTCCAAATGCAGAAATCTTGAGATCCTGAATCTGGCACCTCTTTTCAGGTGACCCCAGGCAGAAGGAGTTGGGCTCTACCAGCTAAGCTGGATATATACGGGGAAGTTTGGACAGAGGGTCTGATTACCTTTTGCCACCAAAGCTTTGACACAGGGTTGCAGGACTAAGCCTTCATGCCTTTCTCCCTCACTGCTAAAGATTGTAGAAAAGTATCCCTTTGGGAAGCCTCATAATAAGGGTCTCTGTAGACTTCTAAATGTCTAAGAGATCCTTTTTGTTGGATGAGATTTTTTTCCAGGAAGTAGTGCATTCTGAGAACTGAAGTGTGAAGTGAATTGTTTTTCTTGGGGACCCTCAAGTCACATGCTTACAGGAGGCAGGTCGTCTAGACACAAGAGAAATCTGCCAGGTTTCAGACGCAGAACCCTAGAAAAGAGGCCCCATCTGTGCTTTTCTTACTCTAGCAGCACCCAAAGTTTTGATCCTCCTTTTTGCTTCTCCAGGCATTGTGGCATTTAACACTGGTCCATCTATCTGTCTGTCTCCTGCTTGCATCAGTAATGAGTGGACCCATCTTGCTCTTAAAGCCTGGCCAAAGAGAAGGCTGTGTCCCCCTAATTCTGTTCCATTGCACCCTTTAAGAAACCCTGAAGCTGTTACAGCGCCTGCTGAAGTCACCAGGCTGCCGGAAGATCCCCGTGCTGGTGCAGAGCAAAGATGATGTGATTGTCACAGCCTCCAACTTCAGCTCTGAAAGGTAACGCGTGGGGAGCGCACACTTCAGACAGGCACCCTTGCAGGCAGGACCACAGTGAGTGATGGGCCTGGAATGGCTGTCAGTTTGGGCATAAGGTCTCATGAAAACACCACATCAACACCTCTCCCTATTCAGAGATCGGAGGAAATAGAAGCTTCCAATCTTAGCGCAGGGTCTCCCAAGCCAGCATTGTTGCCCAGGGGTAATATCACGTAACCCAGATTGTGAGGTGCTGGCATTCCTGGGGTTGGCATCCCGGCTGAGACTTCAGTGTCCTTATCTGTGAAATGGGAATAACATTCCCTTCCCTGTAGGGCTCCCGTGAATGTTGGAAATGAAGTATGTAGAGCACTTAATGCCCTGCCTGGCTGATGGATGGTAAATACACAGCCATTTTTGTAACTCAGTTTTTTATACTGTTGTTCCTCAAAAGCTCACTAATCAGATCAGTTTTGGCATTTACTCATTAATGTATTCTTTCATTCCATAAATATTTATTGGATGTTTGTTCTGCGAGACTCTTCATCTAGATGTTGAGGATTCAGAGTTGAATTGAACACAATCCTTGTCCTCAAGGTGTTCAGCTCCTTGGTGAGAGATGCTCTCTCGATAATGGTGAACTCTACTAACTCTGCCTGTTTGCCCAGAGCTTGGTCTATAGCGCCAGGCCCAGAGCAGCCTGGCTTTTTGCCTATGCCTCTGCCCTGATGTGATCTTCAGTACCATCAGTTAGCCTGCAGAGGGGGCACATTTCAGACAGCCCCATTTGAGCTTGTTGATATTCTTGAGTGCCTATTCTGTGCAGGCACTATTCTAGGAGCTGTGGGGAATGTGTAATTCGTGATCTCAAGGATTTTAATTCAGTCACCCTGAATAGGAGCAATAGAGGCCATTTACAGGACTCTGATGAAAAATCAGATGCAGTCATGTGTAATAGAGAAAAAGCTCTCCAGGAACTCAGAGGAGTCAAGAGTGTCCACCCAGGAAGGATTTCATGGAAGAAGTGGTATTTGAGATGAGCTCTGAAGGGTGAGAGGGCCTGGTAGTTGCATAAAAGGGAAAGAATTCAGGAAGGAAGGTCAGAGTGAGCAAATCCACAAGGGCAGAAAAGTTCCAAAGTTTTAGGAGAAGGGAGAGTTCTCTGGTGTGGCTGGAATATAGGAATTTGCGAGAAGTGAATCTGCAGAGATGGCTACAAGCCCAAGCCAAAGGGCTGTGAGTGTTGGGAGAGGGATTTGGGGTATCTTCTCTGTGGTGGAAAGGCGGTTAAGGATTTTAAGCAAGCATGCGTGTGTTTTAGGAAGAAGCAGTCATGAGGTTCCAAACTAGGGCAGTGGTGGAGGACAGAGAGGAGAGGACAGGTGTCAGAGACAGAACTGAGTGAGAGAAGAAGGCCTCAGAGTAGGGCTGGCCAGGAGCTTGCTAGGTCAGGGCAAAGAGGTCAAGCCCTTGGAGGCAGGTGAGGGAGAGGTGGAGTCATGAATAGTGGCATCTGCTCCTCGAGCCCTGTTGCTGCCCCTGGTCTGTGTCAGGGCAGGACCTGGTCTCCTGAGTGCCTCTCTCCTTTTTTCCTTCCTCTTCTCCCTCTGCTTAGGATGTGCCCGATATTCCAGATCTCCAACGTTACAGGCGAGAACCTAGATCTGCTGAAGATGTTCCTCAACCTCCTCTCCCCCCGCACCAGCTACAGGGAGGAGGAGCCTGCTGAGTTTCAGATTGATGACACCTACTCCGTCCCGGTAAGTGGCTCTGGGCGGGTAGCTGGGTGGGCACTTCCTACAGTGGCATCAGGGGGTGGGTCTGTGCTGGGGATGCACTTATGAGGCCAGGGTCTTCTCCTTGGCAGGGTGTGGGGACAGTGGTTTCGGGGACAACACTGAGAGGCCTGATCAAGCTGAATGACACGCTGCTGCTGGGCCCAGACCCCTTGGGTAACTTCCTGTCCATTGCTGTCAAATCCATCCATCGCAAGCGCATGCCTGTCAAGGAGGTGCGGGGTGGCCAGACAGCATCCTTTGCGCTGAAGAAGGTGAGTAGCGATGATACTGAACGCTCCCCTCAGACTCCATCATGCTAGGCTCTTGGCCAGATGCCCTGCTCACCCACTCTAGTCCTCATGGCTGCTCTGCAAGGTCGGGATTACTGGCTTCATTTTTACAGATGAGGAAACTGAGGCTCAGAGCCCAGGGACTTGCCCAAGACACACAGCTTGTAAGTGCTAGAGCGAGGAATGCCTCCTTCTAAGCTCCGTTCCTCCCTCTGGTGCCTGAGCAGGGTGGCCTGAGCTCAGTGGTGAGGTCAAATAGGAGTATCCCTGCTGTGCAAGGATCCTTCTACATAGGACCATTGGGATCTGCGCCACATCCTCTTCCCATTCAGCCTTCTATCTCCTGGGGTTTGGGGTGGGTTGTAGTTCAGGGGTCACCTACCTTTACCCACCAACTAAATTAACCAGGAATAGTAGGACTTTCTTCCCCACAGTGGTCAGGTCATGCCCACCTGTTGTTCCCCCTGAATGCTTGCCTGCCTTTGCTTCCTCATGCGTCCTTCATGGCCGAGCAGCTGAAGTGCTGATTCCCGCATGAAGCCTTCCTGACCCCCAGTAGTAGTGTTGAGTCTTCCCATGGAGCACTGAGGGTGCTCGTGCTGTCCACCCTAGAAGGCCTGTGGTCCAGTTGGTGAGGAAACCAGGCAGAGTTGGGGTGGTCCCTATCCCTAGAAAGACTCTTGGTCCCTGGGACCAGGGGTGAAACCAGAAGGCATAATTGTCCCTGAGGGCTGGGGCTCCCTCTTTCTTTCAGATCAAGCGCTCGTCCATCCGGAAGGGCATGGTGATGGTTTCCCCACGTTTGAATCCCCAAGCCTCCTGGGAGTTTGAGGCCGAGATTCTCGTCCTCCACCACCCCACCACAATTAGCCCGCGCTACCAGGCCATGGGTAGGTGTCTAAGGCCCTGCCAGCCCAGGAGGCCGTCGTGTTAGCTCCCCTCAGAAGGTGTTCCAGCAACCCAGGCCCCCTAGTTCCAGCTGCAGCTGGGTGGTAGGCCTCCTTCCTGTTTAGTGATGCCGTTCCTTCTGTTCTACCCATGAGCCGCAGTGTTGATTCCTTCCCACAAACACTGAGGGCTGGGCTCTTGAGACCCAGACCTGTCCTCAGGGACCTCACATGCAATCCTTCAGCAAGGTCTGCTGAACGCTGCTATGTGCCCAGCGGTGTTGCTAAGGTGCTGGGAACAAAGATGAAGTAGATGGGCAAGGATCCTTCCCCGCAGAAGCCCACAGTCCAGCGAGGAGGTGCATGTGCAGTGTGCTGTAATCCCAGGAACTGGGACCCTTGTCTGCCCAGGGCCTGGGGGTGGGGGATGACGGGTGGGCATTAGCTGGAGGAAAAGGTGGGAGATGGTAAGGCAGGATCAGAGCCAAGAACAGGCTTCACGGGGGTCTGTAGCCCCAGAGATAAGCCCCCACCCTTCCACAGCTTAAGCGTATTTCATGCTTTCACTCACTGCCTCCCGTTGTCCTGAAGCCACCAGGTGGCTCCAGCCTATCCTGACCTCTGGCTTCCTTGACAGTGCACTGTGGGAGCATCAGGCAGACAGCCACCATTCTGAGCATGGACAAGGACTGTCTGCGCACTGGGGACAAGGCCACTGTACACTTCCGCTTCATCAAGACCCCTGAGTACCTGCACATAGACCAGCGGCTGGTGTTCCGGGAAGGCCGCACCAAGGCTGTCGGCACCATCACCAAGGTATGGCCAGGACAGACCTTGCCTGCCTCCAGGAAGCACCAGGGGCCACTCCTGTTCTGTGACCCTGAGTGCAGGGCAGAGGTTTAGTCACTGCCATGGGAGAGCTGGACCCACTGAGGTGTGGCCTCGGTGCCATCTCTCTACTCCCTTAGAGGTATCCTGTGGCCTCCTGTCCTGGGCAGTGGTGGTGACCATGGAGAGGAGAAGGTAGGGTTAGGGTATGATCTTCCTCCATAGAAAACTGGTGACAGAATGTCTGGGCCCAGCCAGGCTCAGCCTCCAGGGTGCTGTCACAGGTTCCTATGGCCTCACTGGGACCATGTCTAAGGTCTCCTCTCAGAGCAGAGGTCTGGTTGGAGTAAGTGCAGGGGGTTATGGGCGTGAGTTCTCTTGGGGCTTAAGCTGTTGGTGTATCCTGGACACTTGCCCACTGCAGACCTTGCCCCTGGTCTTGGAGGGGCATTTGATAGAGGGGTTTGACCCCTGCTCCGTACAAAGGAGGTACTGGCCCCAGCCTATCTGAGATCTTGGAATCAGTCTTTGGCTGGCCTTGCCTCCAGAAAAGGCCCCCATCCATGGTCACCCTGGGGCTACAGATGTCCTTGAAGGCCTGCATGCTCCTGGGACTGCTGAGTTTGGCCAAGGCTGCAGCAAACACTGTAATGTCCTCTGGGACTCACTGGGCTTCTTTTGTGCTTTGTATGAGATAGAACTTGGGCCACAAGGGAAGATTTCAAGTCAGTTACTTCTGGCCAAACTCCAGATGTTTCCAGCTGAGGAGACATTCACTTGGTCTCTTCGGGAGGCCCTGAGTTAACACTTGCCCTAGACTTGTTACGGGGGCAGCAGCAGCGTGCTGGGGCTGGAGCTGCAGCATGCTCTGAGGAGTCTCCACCAGCTTAGCAATCAGGAGATCCCGGAGCTCCACTTGCCAGGCTCTGTGCAGGCTCTGGGCTCTGGGGGCTGGACTGAGCGGGAGGTGGGAGCAAGGTTCACCAATTTCTCTGCAGGAATAGTAGCTGCAGCAGAGAACAGGATGGAGCCTTTCTGGGCTGGGCAGAGGCAGGAAGTGAGGCATGAGTCCAGGGCCATAGCAGTCCTCAGCCACTGAGTGGGGATGAGAATGCCTCTTCATCCCCACTGCCTCCTGTCACAGCCTTCCTGCCATCTGCCTTGCCCTGAACTGGCAAGATCAAGGAATGAGGAGTCTGTGGGAGAAGGGGGCTGAGGGTGGGGGGTAGCCAAGCCAGTGCCACTGCCCCGCAGCTCCAGCCTCAGCCTCTCTCCATGGCTCCCACAGCTCCTCCAGACCACCAACAACTCCCCAATGAACTCCAAGCCGCAGCAGATTAAAATGCAGTCGACGAAAAAGGGCCCCCTGACGAAACGAGACGAGGGGGGCCCGTCTGGTGGGCCAGCAGTAGGAGCACCCCCACCTGGAGATGAAGCCTCCTCTGTAGGGGCAGGGCAACCAGCTGCGTCCAGCAATCTCCAGCCTCAGGTGAGCACGGGCCCCTCGCAGCTTCGGCATGGTGGTGGGGGCTGTGGCTTTTACTCTGATTCGGTGAGGGTGACATGTAGGCAAGCCTCAAACCTGGCTAGAGGGTCTCCTCCACAGCTCTGGCACTGAAGTGCTCCTAAGAATGAGGCATTTGTCTCTAGAAGCTATAAGGCAGTGCTTCCAAATCAGGGAATACAGCCCACCTGAAACCAGTTTAATTGGCCCTAACTAGCATTTGGTTTTAATGAAATAAAATAGAACAGAAAAATGTCGAAGCTTCCCTTTCATAGTAAGATTAAGTATTGCAAGTATTGCTGGTGTGAGTGTCCAAGTGATATATGTGTGCACTGCAGTCCAGCAGGTTTGAGAGACACTGCCTTAGAGGGTCCTCCTCTGTCCCCTCCCTGACGTGCACACATCCTGAAGGGGAGGTGGCTTTGGGATGTGCCAGTGCGCCTCTTACTCGGCATCTCCTGCCAGCTGTCTCCCACAGGCACTCTCTCCTGGCGTGATGAAGGCCTGGTGCCCCTTGCACCCCTCTCCCCAGCATCTTTCTCCATTGTCCCCTCATTGGAAAAGGAGGCTATGCCTGGATCTGTCTGTCCATTCTGTTATCTGTCTCCCATGGGTCTTTCCTCTGGTTCGTTCGCTTCCTTTCTCTCTCTCCTGCTCTGCTTTGTGCTTCTCTGAACGGCCGCTTCTCACACCCTCATCATGTGTGTCCTACCCACCCTGTAAGGAAGGCAGGGCAGGCACTGGCTCCATTTTAGAGACAGAGGGGAGGTGCTGCATGCAGAGTGACCCAGTAAATTCCTGGTCAGGCTAGGGTGAGGACCACGCAGCCTGCTCACGCATCTTCCGTCCCTGTCTCCCCGCTGCTCAGCACCTCTGCTCTCTGGCCCTGCTCCTGATGGGCCAGTGCTTCTCAAGCTCCTTCTCTCTCTTTCAGCCTAAGCCCAGCAGTGGAGGCCGGCGACGAGGGGGCCAGCGCCACAAGGTGAAGTCCCAGGGGGCCTGTGTGACTCCTGCCAGCGGCTGCTGAACCTTCCCCTGGCCCACCCTCACCACCCAAGGGGTCATCATCTCTGGCCACCACTCCACCAGATGGGCAGAGCAGCTATGACCGCCACCCAGCCCTCCCGCTCAGGCCACAGCCGGAGCCTCCGCATTGCCCCCACCCCCATTTTCCAGGGGGGTTGTAATTTATAAGCTGACGAAGGTAGCCAGACTTCCGGAGGACTGACCATCTCTCACTGTCCTCCCCACCTTCTTCCTCACTCACACATTTTTTGTACATCTGGGCCCTTAGTTTTTATTCTGTTTATTATATGTCTCTGTCTCTCTCTATTGTGTGTGTGTGTGTGTGTGTGTGTGTGTGTGTGTGTGTGGTGCAGGAGTGCCACCCCCAGGGCCCTGTCAACCTCTCTTTTCTCCTCCATGGCTGTCTGCCTGCGTATCTGTCTCTGAGAATCCTCGGGGCGGTCAGGGGATGTCAGGAGGGGAAGGAGCCGCCCTCCCTATCTTGCTGCTCCTCTTGGCACTCAGGGGCACCTTCCATGGAGCCAGACCGGGTGGAGGGGCTTCTGGGATTTGGTGTCTGCTGCTGCCAGAGCAGGAACCCCCAGTCTAGGACTTGGGCATTTTAACAGGGAGAAAGTAGTGGCTTCCCTTTTCTCTCTCTCCTCCTTTTTCCCTTTAAGCCCACAGATTCAGGTCATGCCAAAAGCTCTCTGGTTGTAACCTGGAGACATGTGGAGGGGAATGGCGATGGGATTATAGGACTCTCCCCATCTCGGGCCCTGACCCTGACCCTTGCCACCAACCCAAAGACAGCTGGTGGGTTTCCCCTTGGAGACAATCCTGCGTTTGCCTGGGCCGGCCCTGGCTGCCCTCAGCTTTCGCTGATCTGCCCGGCCTGGAGCCTCCCATCACCCCGCTTCTTGTTGGGCCTCAGGCACTGGTTACCAGAAGGGGGTCTGGGTCTGCTCAGGATCATGTTTTGTAGCACCTCCTGTTGGAGGGGTGGAGGGATGTTCCCCTGAGCCAGGCTGAGACTAGAACCCCATCTTCCCTGAGCCAGGCTGAGACTAGAACCCCATCTTCCCCACCACGCCACCCCTGTGGCTGCTACAGGAGCACAGTAGTGAAGGCCTGAGCTCCAGGTTTGAAAGACCCAACTGGAGCGTGGGGCGGGCAGGCAGGGGTTAGTGAAAGGACACTTCCAGGGTTAGGACAGAGCATTTAGCCTTCTGGAAGAACCCCTGCCTGGGGTGGGACTGTGCAGGCCAGAGAAGGTGGCATGGGCCTGAACCCACCTGGACTGACTTCTGCACTGAAGCCACAGATGGAGGGTAGGCTGGTGGGTGGGGGTGGTTCGTTCTCTAGCCGGGGCAGACACCCAGCTGGCTGGGTCCTTCCTCAGCCTTGCCTCCTCCTGTCCCCAACCCTTTCCTTTCCTCCTGCTTGCGGACTGCTGGTCCCCTCTCCTTCCCTCCTTCCAGCTGTTTCTAGTTACCACCTACCCCTGGCCGTGGACTGATCAGACCAGCATTCAAAATAAAAGTTTGTTCCAAGTTGACAGTGTGGTGCTCCCTGCCCAGCCCCTCCAGGTGGAGGTGCTGCCACGGGAACGCAGTTGCTCTGCCTGCCCTGGGGCCCCTGGCGACAGCTGGGAGCAGGGCAGTGCTGTGAGGAGCCCAGCTTTCCCAGTCAGGCAGGCATGGCTTCCGTGTTCAGGCTCCCTCACCAGCTGGTGACACGGGACAAGCTTACAAACCTTCTCTGAACCTCAGTTTTCTCATTTACAAGAGGCAAAGCCATCCATCACCTTGTGTGGATTCAGAGAATGTGAGGCCCTGGGGTGTCCTACACAAGGGAAAGGCTTGCTCAGTGAGCGGTCTGCACACCGTTAGCCACCCTGCCACCTCTGTGCCCTGGGCAGGCTCCAAAGGAAAGCTCTGGCTGGGACTGCCAGGAGTCTCACACGCTCCTGTTGACATTCCCAGCAGCCGCCCCTGAGGTCGATGTTTGTTCTGTTTTTCTTTTTCTTTTTTGAGACGGAGTCTCGCTGTGTTGCCAGGCTGGAGTGCAGTGGTGTGATCTCTGCTCACTGCAACCTCCGCCTGCCAGTTTCAAGTGATTCTCTGCCTCAGCCTTCTGAGTAGCTGGGACTACAGGTGCACGCCACCACGCCCAGCTAACTTTTTGTATTTTAGTAGAGACAGGGTTTCGCCATGTCGGCCAGGGTGGTCTTGATCTCCTGACCTCATGATCCACCCGCCTCAGCCTCCCAAAGTGCTGGGATTACAGGTATGAGCCACCGCACCGGGCCTGTTCTATTTTTCTAGTTAAGGGAACTGAAGCTCAGAGAGGTGTCACCAGCAGGTGTTCATTCCCATGCCAGCCTTGCCCCCCGGCTTTTCCCAGGCAGGCTCCTGCGTGCCCACTGGCTCCAGCCTGGTCCTCTGTCTCTTGGCTGCTTCACTCCTGCTCTTTGTCCCGACTCTGGCCCTGCTTACAGGGGCCACTACCTGCTGGTGCCTCCATAACAAGCGTCTGGCGTTGAGACCCCTGGCATGGCAGGGGCTTTGGGGTCTGGTTTCCACAAGGCTTAGCCATGGCAGAACCTCGTTTTATTTTAACTCTTTGCCCCTACAAACAAACAGCAGTACTTGCCAGAACCATTCTTGGGATTCAGGAGCTCGGGCGACTGCCTTGGCCTCTGGCCGCACCCAGGAGGGTGGGGTTGGATCTGTGTAGTTGCCAGGCCCACACCTGCCAGCAGGGGGCTGACTGGATCCATGCTTTACTGTGTTTAATGGGGGTAACAGGGGTCCCTACAGCCCTCCCAGCTAAACATTTGGAACAAAACACCAGCCCTTTTGTAGTGGATGCAGAATAAAATTGTTAATCCAATCACCTCCAATGGCAAGGCCTGACCCTTCTGTGTGTGCAGCAGGTGTTTGTGGCGTCTTTCCCAGGAGTAAGGCCTGTGATGGTGGGATGGGGATGGCCAGACCCCTGACTCCACAGTCAGGACTGTTCTGGCTTATCAGCCACCCTGGCACAGAGAAGGTCACAGGGATGAATATGCCACGCACAGGGGCAGCACAGGTTTAGTTGGGTTGGGGGAAGTACCATGGAGCCGGCAGTGTGAGGGCTGTGCTGTGAGGGCCCAGTAGGATTTGAATGTACAGATGGGCAGAGGGCATGTGCCCAGCCCAGGCTCTGGACTCTTGCCACAGTGTGTGGCAACTTCCAGGGGCTTGTTTATTGGTGCTGCGTGGGGATGTCTCCTTTGTTTAGATGGCGTCAGAGGCAGAGCAGGTGTCAGTGAAGGGGAGTGAGCACAGGACCAGCTGTCTCCCAAGAGGCTGAGGAGCTGGCCCAAGGCTTTGGGGGCTGGATTTGTGCCTCACCCAGCTCCTGCCTTGTGGCTGTCTCCACAGTCCTCCCTACTGACTGGCTTTCTGCCTTTGTTTTCTCAGCCATGATGAGGAGCAGCCCTGGGCCAGGTGCCACGGTCAGTATGAGAGGCTCCAGGATCAGGCTAGAGAACCACGCGAACCAGGTCTGGGGAGCTATCTGTGGGAAAGGTCAGGGCCTGTTTTTCTCCTAAGCTGCTGGCTGTTCAAGGGACCTACCTCCTTGTCCCTTCCCAGTCACAGGTCCAAGGGGCAAATAGCGAATTCCCATGGAGGAGAATCACTGCACTCCAAGTGGACGTGGCTGGTAGGTAAGTGTAACTTTTTCTGCTGCTGTTCAGTGGTACTGAGAGACAGGAAAGCCCCACTGCTCCCGCCCCACCCTTTGTGATGGGTTATCAATGACAGCTAATAAAGCCACCTCACTGCTTCCTCATGCCAGCCCTTGACCCACAAACACTGGAGGAGACCTGCCTCAGGTCCCATCCCCCACCACAACTGGGCTTTAGCTGAAAGTTGTGGGTTTCTGAACTTCAGGAATAAGTCTTTGGGGACATTCGTTTGGCCAAGAATTCATTCCCTCATCTGCCCAAGAGCAGCTGCCCTAGGTGATAGGCAAAAGCCACATGAAAGCCACATCCCACAGCTCTTGGGCGTCATTTATTTTTTGCATAGGCATAAATTAGGATCTGGAGATAAAAAACTTAAGAACCAATAGTGCAGCATTTGTGACAGGAGAGCGCAAAACAAACCCTGGCTGCCTCGGGATGGAGCGGGGCGGCCTCACCACCACTGCATCCAGCCTCATGCTCCAGAGCGGATTTGAGGCTCAGTGCTGCAGTGAAGGCCTGCCCGCCTTCTTGCCCCTTCCCCGCAGCCAGACCACCAGACACAGCCGGAACCAGTGCCCCAGGCCCCTCTCCACGGCCAGGAACAAGAAACTGAGTATCACCCAGTGCCCCACAGAACGGGGCTAGGAATCAAGCCCTTAGCTTTTCAGTTAGAAAAACAGACCTTGAAAAATATATACATAATACAGTGGGGCCTGCTGGCTCTAAAAGTCCCCTCCTCCCCCTTCCCTATCCAGGGTAACTTCTGCCAGCCTCTTCCCCCAGCCCCCACCAACTGCCCCACAGAGAACAAACCAGAAGGGCGACTACCTGAACAAGAGCTGCAAGAGCCCAAGGGGGCAGCCTGAGCGGACGACCCCTACATCAGGGCCTGGTTAGATGTGGGGGCCGGTGCAGACAGACCTCGCACCCCGATACCCTGAACGTCCCCACAAGAGCCCAGGAGTTCCATGCTCCCCACTCTTCTTGCTATAACCCCAGATGCTAATGGCCCCAAAGACAGGTCTAGGTCTCCATACCCTGGGAGAATGTGGAAAGCAAGCTCAGGGGCACTGGCAGGCCCTAGCAGGAACAGGGAGCAGGGTGGGCCCCAACCTAGCATCAGGAGAGAGAAAAGCAACTACCGTCCCCAGCAGAGGGGAAGCCTACAGGGTTGGCCCTGGGCCCCTTAGAAGATCACAGCAGCCAGTCCCCTTTAGGGCACAAGAAGCCCCATGGCCCACTGCTACCCTCCCCGGGACAAATACACACTTTTGTCGAAGGCCCTCAGGGACCCTGTGGTTCATGCTTCCCTAGGTGGAGGGCACTAACCTTGTAGGAGAGCTGGGCAGCTCTCCATCAAGTGCTTCCTGCCTGGGGAAGTCCCATCCTGCTCTGGAGCTAAGCACCCTCCTCCCAGAGGGCCTCGCTTCCTTGCCCAGGGGCAGAGGCAGCTCACCTAGCCCAGGCCGTAGCTTGCCCCTCCCACAGCCCTGGCACCTGCTTCATCAGCTCCCAGGCACCAGCCCCTGACCCCAGCCAAGACCAGTCAGGTCCTACCTCTCCCAACTTCCCAGTCCCCCATGATATGCTACATATATACACACTCCCAGGATGGGAAGCAGACGCCACGGGCACAGAGGGAAGGAAGAAGGGAGCTGCTGGAGCCTGCTAACCGCCTCGAGCCACCTGCTGCTCAGGAGACCCTGCCCGTCCTTTTCATCTGCATGGGGCCACAGGCTCCTCTCTTGTGCTCCTAGAAGTCAGAGCGCCGAGCAAGCGTGTGGGGGAAGCGGCGGGGTGCTGTTCACCCACTCCCAGATGGCTGGCAGCAGGCACCAGTAAGCAGGGCTAGTGGGCGGGCTCCCCATGCACTCTGAAGCGGTAGATGCAGGTGTACTCGGGGTGGCCCCAGTTAGTCAGGATCCGCAGCTCCACCACCTGGTACGTGGCCATCGTAGGGGCCTGGGTAGAGAAGAAAGGGATTAAGAGCATCAGAGACCTGTGAGGCCTCACTGACAGAGAAGGTGGGAAGGGGAGACAGCCTCGCCTAGGGCCAGATGGCTCCCCTGCTCCTTCCCTGGGGCTCTGAAGAGAACCAGGCTTCAAAAGCTCCTATCTTTAGCCTCCTGAGCAGTGTTTCCAGCCAGTGGGTTAAGGGGCCACCTGTAGCACACTTCATCTGAAACCGGAATGAATTCATCCACAATCGTTTTTTTATTGTGATCAACAGATAGAACCACCTTCATAGAGGGCTTCATAGATGCTGATGTGGGGCACACTTGATTCTTTTTCTCCAGTGCCCATCGGGCCTCTGTCTAGCCACAGTGTTGGGAATGGTGTTAGCAGCATATCTTACCTGGGCAGATGCCACAGGCCTAGCACACTCCTGGCTTGTCCCTTCTCTCTGGCACATCGTTCTGTCCTCTACCCTCTTTTTTTGTTTTTGGAGACAGGGTCTTGCTCTGTCACCCAGGCTGGAGTACAATGGTGTGATCACAGTTCACTGCCTCAACCTTCTGGGCTCAAGGGATCCTCCCACCTTAGCCTCCCCAGTAGCTGGGACCACAGGTGCATGTCACCACACCCGGCTAAATTTTTTAACATTTTTTGTAGAGTCGGGATCTCGCTGTGTTCACCAGCCTGGTCTTGAACTCCTGGGCTCAAGCAATCCCCTCGCCTTGGCCTTGCAAAGTGCTGGAATTACAGACATGAGCCACCTCGTCTGGCCTCTATACTTTCCTAAAGAGAAATCCCAACCTCTCTTGCAGCCTAGTTACCTCCTCAGAGCTGATGACAACTCAGTTCTTTCTGGCTCCCCCGACAGCTCCACTGGACTGTTCCATAGGTGCCTCAGACTCAGCCAGACCTGCCCCCTGCTCCACATCAGCCCCCATCGCAGTGGCTTCTTCCTCCCACCCCATCCAACTGGACATTCACGACCCTCCCTGCTACGTCTTTGTCCTCACTCCCAACGCCCCTCTCCCCCACCTATCCTGTTCTGGCTGCTTTCCCTCAACCACTTCCTGACGGGTCTCCCAGGCCCAGGCTCGCCCCTTCGAGTCATATAGTGATGTTAGTCAAATGGACATAGCTTTGTCACCTGAAGCACAGCACTGCCTCCCCCAGGTCCCTGAGGGCTTATTTCCTGCCTCTCTGTGGCCTCCTCTTCCTGCCACTGTCCCTCGTCCACCTCCCACTATCCCGCCAACCCAATTCCTCACTCCAGGACTCCCCCGGTGTGGGGCTTAGGCCAATGGTTTGTTCAAATGCAGGCTCCTGGGTCCTGTCAGCCCTAAGGAACCAGACTCTCCTGGGGTGGAGACTGGGAATCTGCATTTCTAACTGACTTAGGAGATCGGATGCCCACTGAAGTTTAAGCCGCATGCACTGCCTGAGGCTCCAGCTGGCCATGGTAGAATGCCCGCGCCCTGGCATGTGCTGGCGGCGGCTCCTCGAACGCCTCTCCCGGCCTTCCTTTCCTGGCCACCCAACCCCTCTTGTGTAAAGCCCACCTCCTGGTGTCCTTTTCCAGGAAGCTTCCCTCATGCTGCCCTTCTGGAAGGTGCCTTCCCCTGTGCTGACGTCTGCAGGATGCGTGTTACACCCCATTTGGATATCACATCTTGAGCTGTGGGAAAGGAGAGCAGGGCTTCCCTCTCTGAACCCCATGCCTGGCAGGGTAAGTGCCCAGGGAGCACCTGCTGCCTGGATGGGGAGTCTGCGCCACTTCTGCTAGCACAGCAGCATCCCGTACCTGAAAGTGAAACGTCTGAATAGGCTCGCCGTCCTGATCGTAAGTGAACTTGCCAAGGAGTGTCCCCTCCTGCTGCAGGTCTTCGTCAAACCCCTGCAAAGAGAGCGGAGGGAAGTGGGGAGGGGCTGGAGCAGGGAGAACACCCCTCCCCACTCCAATCCCTGCTCCTCCCACCCAGCAGGTCAGGCACCAGAGTGGCCTATGACAAGTCACTTCACTCTCTTGTGCCACAGTTTCTGCCTCCAAAGCCTAAGGTAACAGGGACTGAAGTGCTGTCTCCCACCCTAGCTCCTCCTCTTCCAAATCCACTCCCCTCCCTTCCAGTCCAAGGGTGACCCTGACTTGATCCTCAGTAGAGAGGCCCACAGGATCCCCCTGCAGCCCCTCTGGCCCCACCACAGGACAGATACTCACAAAGATGGCGAAGTCCTTGGGGGCACTGGAGATAGTGCTGTTGGGTGACAAGGCCTTGGGCACATGCTCTAAGGTAACGGCTGTGGGGCGGATGCGGGCAGAGAGGCGGACCACGGCGAAGCCTTGTGGCCCCTGGAAGGCCCAGCAGTTGCCTGGGTGCACATCTGGCTGGAGGAGCAGAAAGTCATGTCAGGACAGGGCCCTGAGTCCAGCTCTTGCTGACCCCAGATGGGACCAGCCCTCAGTGTGCTCAGAGCCCCCGCTGCTGTGCTTGCCAGGTGCCCACCTGGAGGATGACTCGGGGTGACTGGGAGTGGTACCACAGGGGGATGCCGAAGAGGCTGAGGAGGGCCGTCTTGGTCTCGTAGGTCTCAGAACATCGGGTGCTGATGACGCTGGCCCCTGAGACAGGAGAGGAAGGCAGGGTGGGCTCCCGCACGGGAGGAGGGCCCCGCTCAGGCCATTGGCTGTCTCCTCGCTGAAGGTGGACGGCAGATGCCCCAGGCCTAGCCTTTAACCCTAACCGAGATGCTCAGAGCAGCTTTAAAGGTCAGCCTCTCCCTGGCCCAGGATGGTACTCGGTACGTCCTGACTTCCCTGAATTGCCACTTGCCTTTGTCATGGGTACTAGGTTGGGTGATTTCTGCTGATCCTGAGCTTTGCTTGCTCTGCCCCACCACCAACCTGGTAGATGCCAGGGGACCGGCCATTGCGGGGTCCAGGACAAGGCAGAGCGAGGAAAGCAGAGCACGTACCTCCTGACTCCAGGGCGTAGTCTGCCAGCCCGATGCGGTCCTCACTGTAGCGCTGCAGGGCCTGCTTCACGATGTGGTGCACCTGCTGCAATGCAGGCACCAGGAGACGGTTGCAGCAGGGAGCAGACGTGTCCCCCTGTCACCTCGTGGCCGTGGGCCAAGGACCCATGGGCTGACCCCTTCTAGGCTTGCACTGTGCTGGTGCCCAGGCAGATGTGGGCACACTGCCACCCACCCATGCCAGCCCCACAGCATGCAAAGCCTCCTGCTTGGCACTTCCATCCTGGAACCTGCCAGGGAGCTGGCAGTGTGGGACTGTCCAGGGCTCCCAGGGAGGAGAGCTGTGGGTGGGTGTGTGGAGAGGGGCATGTGGGCCTCACCTCCTCTGTCACTCCAATCACACCTTCTTTCTGCAGCGTCAGGCTCAGGGAGGCCGCGGCTTCCCTGGCCGACTTGCCCTGCATCTCTGCCACATGGGTGAGGATCTTGCTCTCCAGCTCTCGCAGCTGAGCTTGCATCTCCTCTCTCTGAAGGAGCCCCACGCGGCCCCCTCCACCTCGGGCAAGGAACTGACTGATCCAGGCCGGGAACTGAGATTCCACCTATAGGAACCCAAAGGGGTGTCACCCTGGGGGGCTTGCAGGGACAGCAGGAGCTGCTATGACAGGGCTAGTGCTTAGCTGGATAGCAGGGATAGGGTAGGAGGGAGGCCACTGGAGGAAAGAGTTATGAACACTCCATGGGCACTAACAAAAACAGGAAGAACGCCTGTCAGTGAGAGCCCACATGTGTCAAGGCCAACGCCACAGTCTCTTGGGCATAACAGAGGCTGCAGGGGCAAGGGGTGCTGCTTTGCAGGCCCCAGGACACGTCGTCTCAAAGGAGGAGGAGAGGGACCAGCAGGGCCCTGGTGGTTCCCACTCACGTCGTCCCGCACGGCCTGGATCTGCTGGGGCAGCAGGCCCACTTCTTCCGCCACCGAGCTCTGCTTCAGTGCCAGAGCCGCCAGCTCCTGCTGCAGGCCGGCCAGCTGGTCCTCCAGCCGCCTCAGCTCCTTCACAGAGCTCTCCTGGAAGGACTCCTGGGTCATGCTGGTCCCAGAGAGAGAAGAGTAAGCCTCGGATCTCTTTGGTGGGAGGTAAGGCCACACCAAAGATGAAAGAGGACCCCCTAGTGGGCTCCCGTCAGGAGAGCGGGTGCCCAGCACTCATTGTGAACCTGAGAAGGGGCAAGGCCTCTCCTGGGGGTTCTGGCTGCAGAACCCCTGCCTGTCCCAAGGAGCTAATTCTGAGCCTGCTCCCTTTCTAAGCCCAGAGTCCAGAATGTACTCTGCCTCAGCCTCTCACATCCTCCACAAGCATGGACATCTGGGGCATGAGAAGGCAGTTATGTGAGGCTGTAAGAAAGGATGCTGTGTCTATAAATGAATCCCGGTCCTCTCACACAGCCTGCCCCCCGCCCTCAGGACCCCCCTGCTAACCTCCATGGCACCTCAAAGACAGGCCCTGGGCAGGGGTCCTGAGCTGGGTTTCAACCCCTCCCCCTACCATCTGCTTGGCAAGATGATCAGAACTCTCTGCTCTGCGGCTCTGCTCCCCAGTCCTGCCTGGAGAGTGGGTGGGGCTGGGGAGGAGCAGGCCGAGGCCAGCTGGTGGCGCCCAGTACCTTTGCCACTCTGACTTCAGCTGCTGGATGCGAGCCTCGGACTCCTGTGTAGGAAGAAGGGACAAATACAAGAAATACTCATCTCAGAAATTGGTGTTCCAGAGTAGGATCTGCTGTCTGTTAGCGTCTTTGCTTAACCACACCCCTGCCCAAGGTCTCTTGACCCCTGCAGCAAAAATCAAACTGGCCTCCTTGTCAAAGCCCTCATGAGTCTCGTCCATGTCTGACACACTGAGGTATCTGTTCACCCACACTCAGCACATGCACACCAGCATGACAGGCCGCTGTGCCCTGGCACACCCCAGGGAGCCCCTGCACAGCTCTCCAACTAAGGGGTCGGGGGTCAAACAGAGAAGTCAGAGGAGGGCACTCCCCTCCCCATGCAACACCCAAACAGTCCCTTTGGAAGGGCCGAGGGGTCCGAGGTGAACATGTTGGATGGGGTCAGGACCCAGTCACAGGCCCTGAGTGCCGCAAGCCCGCTGACCTGGGAGGCCCGGACGATCTTCTTGAAGAGGTCTTCTGAGTCTTGCTGATGCTCTGCTCTCAGGGCAGACAGTTCTTCCTGTGAGACGGGAGTGAGAGGACAGGTTGGACAGAGCCATGCTTATAGGGACCCTCATGACTAGGAAGTGGCGGAACTGGAATTCAAACAAGGTCTGTTTGCTTCCAGAGCCCTGGCTCTCAGCCTTCTCTGAACCACGCAAGACTCCCGCTTCAGCTCCACTGCACACCTCTGCGGTGTCAGGTACCATGCTGGGGCTTTCTACTCGCACAGCTCACTATGGGGGTGGGGGAGACACGATGGCCTCCATCAAAGAGCAGGAAACTGAGGCTTAGAGAAGGTGAGGAGGCCTGGCGTGGTGGCTCACGCCTGTAATCCCAGGACTTTGGGAGGCCAAGGCAGGCAGATCACTAGAGGTCAGGAGTTCGAGACCAGCCTGGCCAACTTGGTAAAACCCTGTCTCTACTAAAAATACAAAATTAGCTGGATGTGGTGGTGCACGCCTGTAATCCAGCTACTCGGGAGGCTGAGTGAGGCAAGAGAATCGCTTGAACCTGGGAGGCACAGGTTGTAGTGAGTCGAGATCACGCCACTGCACTCCAGGCTGGGTGACAGAGTGAGATATTGTCTCAAAAAGAAAAAAAAAAAAGAAAAAAAGAGAAAGGGAGTAACTGCAAAATGGCAGAGCTGTCTGATCCCAAATGACACTTGTTCTCTCTGCTGCTGGGCACCTTCACGCTTTCCTATGGGTGTCACCCACCTCCCACCCTGAGGTATTCCACCTCCTACCTGGATGCGAGCAGCAGTTTCCCTGCGGAAATCCTCCTTCAGGGCAGCTTCACGGCGGCTCACTAGCCCCTCCAGCAGCGCCAGGGTGTCCTCGTGGCTCAGGCCACCACCACCTCCCTGGCCAGGAGCCCCTTGCCGCAGCTCCAGACGTTCCAGCCGCATGGCCTCCTTCTGCCAGTTGGAGGAAAATTCAGCAGCAAGAGCTTCCAGACGCCGCTCCAGAGAGTGTACCCGGGACATAACACGCTGCTCAGCCTGGAAGGGCAGAGAGAGAGCCACGGAGTGAGGGACCCTTGGATGATAGTGCTTCCCAAAGACCACCCCGACACAGCCAACACAGAAAGAAAGGGAAAAGATTCCAGAGACGTTCCAGCATAAGGCCATGCAGGGCCGGCTGGAGCTCGTGGGCAGGGGCTGCCGACCTCTGAGCTGGGTGTGCTGGGAGCCAGGGATCACTGGGTGCCGGCCACAGAGGAAGGTCCCTGAGGACACAGTACCGAAGTCTGATCCCAGAGGAGGAAGGAAGGTGGGCCGGGGAGAAGGTCTGAGTGCAGGGATGGTCCAGGAGGAGGACTGGAAGCTGCAGGATGGCTGCAGGGGGCCGTGGACCCTCCTGGCCTGAAGCTCACTCCTTCCCCGCCTCCTACAGGGGCAGGGGAGCCAGGGCTGCGAGTTCTGTCTGTGGACTCTCAATGGCTTTCACTCCTTCCCTAGGTAACTATGGCTAAGAGACAGAATAATTTGAAAATACGTTCTTTTTCCTCTTTAGCTGGATGTCCCACAGAGAAAATGGAATAAATGTCATTTGGACTGAGGGTGGCATTTGATAGTGTGTCATGAATTTGAGAATGTTGTTGGCTTAACAACAAAATCATTGCCAAGAGAAGTGATAAAAACTGTCAAATAAAGGCCAGGGAGCTACTGAGCAGCAGAGGTTCTGAGTTTTAGAAATTCTGGTTTTTAAATAGGCGCTACATTTGCATGACTCAAAAAGCACACAAACAGGCGGGACGTGGTGGCTCACGCCTGTAATCCCAACACTTTGGGAGGCCGACGCAGGTGGATTACCTGAGGTCAGAAGTTCGAGACCAGCCTGGCCAGTATGGCGAAACCCTGTGTCTACTAAATATACAAAAATTAGCTGGAGATGGTGGCAGGCTCCTGTAGTCCCAGCTACACAGGAGGCTGAGGCAGGAGAATCGCTTGAACCTGGGAGGCAGAGGTTGCAGTGAGCTAAGATCGTGCCATTGCACTTTAGTCTGGGCAACAAGAGCAAGACTCCGTCTCAAAAAAAAAAAAAAAAAAAAAGCCCACAAAAACCAGCAAAAAATCCTCTGCCCCATCACCCCAGTTGCCTCACCAACAGCCTCTCCCAGACCAGGAAGCTGTTTTTATTTTAACTTCATGCAAATGTTGCTAATACAAGATATATTCATTTTTTTAACTTACCCTTTTTTACAAAAAAGATGGTTCTGAAATTGAACTGTATTTAATGTCTTTAATGGTGAAAAAAGGAAAAGTCATAGATGACATGTCATTATTTTGTAAAATAATAAGATCATGGTCTGGTACTCACTTTGGCAGCACATATAATAAAATTGGAAAGACCATGGTCTGGAAAGTAATATATACAAAAATAGATGGTTAAACATGTGATGCCGGCTGGGCGTGGTGGCTCACGCCTGTAATCCCAGCACTTTGGGAGGCCAAGGCGGGCGGATCATGAGGTCAGGAGACAGAGACCATCCTGGCCAACATGGTGAAACCCTGTCTCTACTAAAAATAAAAAAATTAGCTGGCATGGTGGTGCGCGCCTGTAGTCCCAGCTACTCGGGACGCTGAGGCGGGAGAATCGCTTGAACCCGGGAGGTGTAGGCTGCAGTGAGCCCAGATCGTGCCACTGCACTCCAGCCTGGGTGACGCAGCATTCCAGCATGGGTGACTTAGCAAGACTCTGTCTCAAAAAAAAAAAAAAAAAAAAAAAAAGTGATACTATGCCAGGTGCAGTGACTCATGCCTGTAATCCCAGCCCTTTGGAAGGCTGAGGCAGGAGGATTGCTTGAAGCCAGGAGTTCAAGACCAGCCTGGCAACATAGTGAGACCCTGTCTCTACAAAAATTTTTTTTAAAAATTTGACAGACATGGTGGTGTACACCTGTAGTCCCAGCTACTTCACAGGCTGATGCAGGAGGATCGCTTGAGCCCAGGAGTTCAAGGTTACAATGAGTTATGATTATACTACTGCACTGCAGCCTGGACAACAGAATGAGACCCTGTCTCAAAAAATTTTTAAATGAATAATAAAAATGTAATACCAAGTTAAATTCAGTGAGATGCAAGTGCAGGTCAAATAACCATAATTAGAAAATGAAGAGTTTTATTAAAAATAAAGACAGGGCCTCACTGTGTTGCCTAGGCTAGTCTCGAACTCCTGGCCTTAAGTGATCCTCCCACCTTGGCCTCCCAAAGTGCCGAGATTACAGATGTGAGCCACCAGGCTTGGCTTAGAGGTTTAAATTGTCAGTATCAGTACCTGTGCTCACATTGCTTTCTGGTTATGCTGACTGCAGGCTCCTTGAGGGCACAGCCTGGGCCTGATTCATCTTTAGACTCTGGCAGATTATAAAAATGGCCACCATCCCTCACTCCTCCCTGCAGCCGCACCTCTGTCATGTGACCTTGTGGGCTCTCTTGCTGAGAGGTGAAGTCTATTTCCCTCTCCTTGAATCTGGATTTGGCTCTGAGATTTGCGGTAGCCAACAGAATGTGGCGGGAGTGACGGTGTGCTGGTTCTGGATCAAGGCCTCAAAGGTCTGGTTGCCTTGGTTCTCTCTTGAAACCCTGCCTGGGTGCGATGAGAAACAGCTGGGGCTAGCCTGCCGGGTGAGCAAAGTGCACATGGAGTACAGCTGTCCTAGGCAAGGGCCTTGACCAGCTGGCCCCCAGCTGACCCCCCCAGCCAACTGCAGACAGACAGATCCACACAGGCAAGTACGAGCCCAGCCAAGATTGCTTCTCTTTTCTCAGACCAGAAAGACCACCCAGACAACCCACAGACTCATGAACTAATCAACCATTGTAGTTTTGAGCCACTGCTTTTAGGGGTGGATTATCTTTGGTAAGAGGTAACTGACTGGGATATTATCCTAGTCATAGAAGGTGCCCAGTAAATATTTGTGAAACAGCATTGAAAAGGAACAAAGCAGACAAGATAATTTGTTGGATTCCTTTTCTTTCTGTTTTCTGTGCCTTGTAAGATGGCAACTAACAGTACGCCTCAGCTTTGTGTGTACGGTGTGAGGCAGGCTGAGGGCGCACCCACCACTTTCACCGTCACCTAATTATTGCTAAGCTCTTGGGAGCTACCACCCTCAGAGACTCACCTGGAAATGTGGCGATGAGTCTCTGGCTTCCCAGCCCTCATCCGGCCTCCTGCTGTCCTTCGCTGCCCACCAGGAAACCAAAGCAGGGTGGAATGTCTGCAGCCCATAGGGGTAGAAATACCAAGCACCTGTGCACAGGGGAGAGGGTGTTACCCCAGCTGGGCCTCCAGCAAGAGGCGCGCGCCAGGGAGGATGGCTACCTGATCCCTGCCAGTGCTTGTGGCCTGTCCCACTCGTGGAGCTGTGCCCTTCCAGAGGCATCAGAGGGATGCAGGTGCCCCCATTCTCTGAGGTGGCAACTTCCACCCAACAACCTCAGAGCATATTCATTCTCACACCCCCACGGGAATCCTTCATCTTTCTGTAAGTGGCAAAACTTGGAGAAAACATTTTGAATGAGTTAGGGATGATCCAGGGTACAGCCCAGAGGACCTGATGGTGGTTCTCAGCCCTGTCTGGTCGTCAGAATCACCTGGGGAGATTTTAGTACAACCAGGTCTGGCCCTGCCCTCTGGAGAGCAAGCTAATTGGCCTGGGGTGGGGCCCCTGCGTAGGTGAGTTTGTAAAGCTTCCTGGTGACTGTCATGGGCCGCCATGGCTGAGAGTCACTGCAACAGAAAGCACCACCCCCTCTAAGAGAGGCTGCTCGAGGCCCAGACACGAGCACCAAGCTGCAGCCACACAGAGACATGTTCATTCTGTTTTCAGGGCCATCTGTTTGATACCTGTTTACTCCTGAGCTCTGGGGCAGGTGGCAGGGGAGCGGGGGAGGGAGGGCTTTCTGTCCTGATAAAGCTCCATTCGCTACTCAAGCACCAGAGGTTGGCAGGTGCAAAAGGAAGCTCATGCCCATGGGGCTTGAAGTCCAGCATGGACATGGCCTTCATGCACACACTCCCCGAGCAGGTCACTGAGCCCCCTCCACGTGCATCTCCATGTGATGGGTTCACAGCACTGACTACAGCAACCCCACAAGGCCATGGTGAAGCTCAAATTGAACTGAGATAATGCACGGGAAAGTGCTCTCTGGGTACATTGCTATGCAATTATAAAGAATCACTGACTGGGCCGGGCGCGGTGGCTCACGCCTGTAATCCCAGCACTTTGGGAGGCCGAGGCGGGTGGATCACGAGGTCAGGAGATCGAGACCATCCTGGCTAATATGGTGACACCCCATCTCTACTAAAAATACAAAAAGAAATTAGCCAGGCGTGGTGGCGGCCGCCTGTAGTCCCAGCTACTCGGGAGGCTGAGGCAGGAGAATGGCGTGAACCTGGGAGGTGGAGCTTGCAGTGAGTCAAGATCGCACGACTGCACTCCAGCCTGGGCGACAGACTCCATCACACACACACAAAAAAGAATCACTGACTGGGCGTGGTGGCTCACACCTGTAATGCCAGCACTTCGGGAGGCCGAGGCAGGTGGATCACTTGAGGTCAGGAGTTTGAGACCAGACTGGCCAACATGGCGAAACCCCGTCTCTACTAAAAATATAAAAATTAGCTGGGCGTGGTGGCATGCACCTGTAATCCCAGCTACTCGGGAGGCTGAGGCAGGAGAATCGCTTGAACCCGGGAGGTGGAGGTTGCAGTGAGCCAAGATTGTGCCACAGCACTCGAGCCTGGGCAACAGAGCAAAACTCCGTCTCAAAAAAAAAAAAAAAAAGAAGAAGAATCATTATTATTTTAAGGGTGGTGCTCAGTTGCCACTGGATATGAACCAGCTGTTCTTGTAGCAGCAAACACAAAAACGAAGCTAACTTTTGGAAAAGTGTTCTACCCTGTTATTAATAAAAGAAATACAAGTTGAATGATATTAAGCTTATAAAACAAACTCTCAAAAAATAATAAAGCATGGTCTTTAATTACTTGGTGCAGTCATTAAAATTGAGCTGAGAGTCACATAGGCAATTCATATGAAACTAGCCAAGCTGTCAAGTAAAAAGCTGAACACAAAATGTCTATATAAACAAGGAAGGGCTGGGTGCAGTGGCTCACACCTGTAATCCCGACACTTTGGGAGGCCGAGGTGGGTGGATCACTTGAGGTCAGGAGTTTGAGACCAGCCTGGCCAACATGGTGAAACCCCGTCTCTACTAAAAATACAAAAATTAGCCATGTGTGGTGCTGCATGCCTGTAATCCCAGCTACTTGGGAGGCTGACGTGGGAGGATCACCTGAGCTCAGAAGGTCAAGGCTGCAGTGAGCTGTGTTCGTGCCACTGCACTTCAGCTGGGGTGACAGAAGAAGACTTTGTCTCAAAACAAACAAAAAACCAAGGCAGGCCTGTGCTAGCGCCTGGGATGATTCAGGACAGCTGGTAAGTGACTGGTGTAAAAAGAGGCACTTATGGCCGGGCACGGTGGCTCATGCCTGTAATCCCAGCACTTTGGGAGGCCGAGGCAGCTGGATCACCTGAGGTCAGGAGTTCGAGACCAGCCTGACAACATGGAGAAACCCCATCTCTAGTAAAAATACAAAATTAGCTGGGCATGTTGGCGCATGCCTGTAATCCCAGCTACTCGGGAGGCTGAGGCAGGAGAATCACTTGAACCTGAGAGGTGGAGGTTGTGGTGAGCTGACATCGCGCCATTGCACTCCAGCCTGGGCAACAAGAGCAAAAACTCTGTCTCAAAAAACAAACAAAAAAGGCACTTATTTCCCTTTGCTGCTTCATTGTTTTTACTTTAAAGACAGCTCAAGATTTAACTTCATCTTGTAAAAATAACTCCCTCATAGCAGATGTCCCTGTTGGAGTGGAAGGAGGATGACTGCTAATGATAATGGGAGGGCATCCCGCTTTTCACCCAATGTTGCGGCACTAGGGTGTGCTCCTGCCCAGGGCGGCACAAAAGAGGCTCAGGAGAGGTGGGGAGGGCCATGCAGAGATGATCCAGGGTCCAGGGCTCAGGCCCTGCCCAGTCACAGGCACACCCCACCCAGTCTTGCCCCTTCCCTGCCTGCCAAAGGTCACCACCCTCTGGTGAACACATCTCTGTGCCTCCCTCTGCTCTCCCCATGCAGGCTCACCATACGTCAGGCACGTCAGCAAGAGCAGCGGCAGCAGGAACCAGAGGAACGTCTTCAGGGACGAGAAGCGCCTGGACCACGCGGGAGGGCAGGACGGGGGAGGCGGAGGTGTGAGGGGAGCTCCAGGCCTCCACGTTCCACCCAGGGAGTACCCTGAGATGTTTTCCTGGGTGCTGAACTAGAGCTAAGGAGGATAGCTTGAGCTTCTCACTGTGCCAGGGCCAGCCTGGACACGTCAGAGCCTTTCCTGCTGGGCAGGTCTTAGAGTGATGGGACAATTTTGACTGAATTTTACTGATGTTATTAAAAATAGTGTGGTCTTTGAAAAACTCAAAAATTTTTATATGGACAGGTCCTCTAAGTATGCAAATATAGAAAAAAAAAGTAACTCCTTAAATAACAACAAGGAACCTGTTTTTGGTGACACAAACCCATCCTTGCCCCTTGTTTCAGTATGGCCAGCTGTCCCCTCTGCCCGGACCTGGATTACGGCCAGAGGGATCCTGACTTCTGGGTTCCGTGTTCTTCTGCCTAAGGGGCACATTCTCAAATCCTGGTTCTGCTGGTTTAGGGACTTGGGGAATGAACCCATAGCATCCTCAGGCAGAGCCTCTTTGTGGCTCTGACCATGAGTGGGGAACTCGGGGGGTTAGATTGTCCCAGGCCCAAGAAGGAAGATGGACTTTCTGGGAAACCCCACTTCTTGCCTGGAGTCAGTGGGCCTACCCTGCAGGAGGAAAGCCATCGTGTGTCTGAGAGCCAGGCACGGCTAGACTAGTGTGGCGTTTAGTAGAATGTGTCCAAGAAGAAATAATCTGTGCTCTGGAATCCTGCCTCGAAGGGCTATCAATTCGGGGAGAAGAACCTGACTCTGAGTCCATCCTCTGTCAGGCAGGGGTGGGCTTTGGGGAAGCTACTCCGTGATCGCTAATAAAGGCTCCAGGGAAACTGGGGAAAACCCTCAGAGAATCGACCATTACAGGTTGACACACTTTACCCGTCCCTTCACCCCAGGGCCTTGCGATTTATTGGCAAGGGTGGAGTCTCGCTCACCTGGTTAAAACGAAGACGTCAAGGAGGGAGGCAGCTGTGGTCAGGCGGTACCAGGTGGTGCCAGCCCACCAGTAGAGAAGTCTGAAGAGCCGGCCTGGAAGAATGACCATCAAGCCGAAGGCTCCATATGGTGTTTGGGGGCACCGCTCCTTTGTCCCGTCTGCCGTCCTCCCTGCCCCTACCCCACCCCCACCTGCCAGTATGCCTCTGTCCTGCCCTACCGGGACCCAGGTCCTTGGATCCCACCTGCCCACACCCTCTGTCCTGCTCTGCAGCTACTCCTTCCCTTCCACGCAAGGGGGTCCCCACAGCTCTGGGCTCCCAGTGATTATTCTAGAATGACCTTTCCCCAATGGTCCTACAGTCTCTCTGCATGGGCAGGATGCCCAACTGCAGAGAGATGGGTAAGAAAGCACTATCACCAAGAATGGAAGTAACTGGGCACGGGTTGCAGCCCACCTGGCGAAGTGGCCACCATCCAGAGTAAGGAGCCCGCCCGTGAGACGGCGCTTCGGAGCCGCGAGCTGGAACTCTGCTGGTCCACATCCGAGTAGCCTGCGGGGAACGAGGACACTGGCTCAGTCTCTGTCACTTTCGAGCCTCTTCCTTCACTGTCTTCTGTGAGCCAAGACCACAAGTCACCCACCCTCCTTCACATCCCCACAGCCCCACACAGGCCCGGTGTGCAGTAAGGAATGAAATGGGAGCTCTTTGACATTCTGTTTCTTCTGACAGCTTCCTGTTTGCATCCCTCTCCTCACCAGCCACCCCTCAAGCTGCTGTTCAGAACTAGGTGCTGGGGTCTGACATGCACACCACTCAGAATGACTGAGCACCCACCATGTGTGAGCCCCACAGGAAAGTGCTGGAATGGGCCTGAATGCAAGGATGTTGGCCTTAGGTTGCCATAGACTCGTGGGGTGGGGAGGACAGACAAGTGAAGGGCAGTCACAGCCCAGGGCACCAGGGGCCACCGCAGGCCAGGCTGGGGCGCACCCAGGGCCGGGCATGGGAGGGGCGCTGTGCCTGCCACATGCTGCCCTCTCTCCAGCTCCCCGGGGCTCCCTGCCCAGCCTTCCTGAGGCCTCCCAGCAGCCTCGGATCTGCTCAGGAGGGAGGAAGCATCGCCTACCCACGTAGTCGTCCTCAGAGGAGTAGCCCGAGGAAGAGCCCAGGAAGTCCTCGGTGGCCTTGCGCCCCACAAGCCCGCTGGCCCTGCTGCTCTCTGAGCCACCCGTGCCTCTCCTCCTCCGCACCCGCAGGTCCTCACCTGTGCAGGGAAGAACCAGGGGCTCTTCTGGGCCTCCAAGAGCTTCTGAAAAGTGGGGTCTGGGCAGAGAGGTGCTCTGAGGAGGGAATCCCGGGGACTGCAGGGGACACTGTGAGGAGTATCTCGCGGGAGGCCGAGGAAGCAAAGCCCCGGGACGGAGGGCTCCACACTCACCCCAGTTGGCGTCACCATGCAGTTCCTCCAGGGAGCTCCTGGGTGGGAACCAGGACTCGTGGACCAGCGACTCACTGTAGTAGGAGGTGTGTGCATCAGAGGACGGGCCCAGCTGTGGCGCTGGGGACAGGCGCTTCATGTTGCTGGATTTCCTCTTCAAGGTCCTGTGGGACAACCATGAGGGCAGAGGTAGGGAGCAGGGAGGTGAGCCCAGCCAGGAGCATGAAGGAAAGCCACAGCCTGCGGCCCTGCCTAGTGCAGGGTGTGGGTTCCCTTGTTGCTAGGCAACTCGCAGCTGCCATTCCCCTGACTCTCCCAATGCTGGCACGTCCTCTCCTGTTCTCTCTGAATCTCACCAGCAGATGGGCAAGACGGGCAGCGGCAGCTAGGGATGGAGCCACATTCAAACTTTACAACCCACTGAAACCAGACAGACCTGACCTGGCCTCAGAGCTAGCCAAAGCCTCAGGGCCTGTCTTCTGGGCCCCATGCCTGTGAGCCGGGCAGGACGACCAGGCAGCTGCTGCCACAGCCCATTTCCCAGTGGCCTGAGGACTGCGCCTGTTCTCAGCCATGTCGCTGGCCAGCTGCTGAGGCCGGACAGGTGGTGAGACATGCAGGCGTGGGGCCAGGAAGGATGGTAAGGCTGACACGCCCGTCCAGAGCAGGGGGGGTTCCTGTGAGCCCAGCCTGCAGTTTTGGGGTTTCCGGCCTGGCTTATGGTTGAAGCTGCCTCTCTCCACTTCCTGTTTTCTTTCTTTCCTTTTTTTCTTTTTGAGATTGAGATGGAGTTTCACTCTTGTCAACCCAGGCTGGAGTGCAATGCCATGATCTCGCTCACTGCAACCTCTGCCTGCCAGGTTCAAGCGATTCTCCTGCCTCAGCCTCCTGAGTAGCTGGGATTACAGCTGCCTGCCACCATGCCGGGCTAATTTTTGTATTTTTAGTAGAGACGGAGTTTCACTATGTTGGTCAGGGTCAGGTGATCCACCTCCCTTGGCCTCCCAAAGAGCTGGCATTACAGGCGTGAGCCACCGCGCCCGACCTACCACTTCCTGTTTTCTAAGCATGAGGGCAGCAGCCCCGGCTCACAGTCGGTGGGAGAAGAATGGGTGCTGTGTGCTCATACACATGGAGCAAGGAAGGACCCCCTCGACCGGACGGGGGCCCACGTCCTTCGATTTCCACCCAAGGTTGCAACAAGAAGGCAGGGGGATGGCTGGACCACAGGGCGTGCGGGCAGTGACCAAAAGCTTGTGGGGCTGTCAGGGGCCGTGGCACTCCCTTGGGTCCCTACCTGAGAGGACTGTCTTTAAACAGGGTGCTCTGACTCCCAGCCACCGAGCTCCCTCCGCTGCTGCTGCTGCCGTCATCGTCACCCTGGGAGTAGCGCGTGAGGCGCTGGCTTCTTCGGGACATGATGAGGTGGGATGTGGACTCTTCCCCTGAAGAGAATCTAAGGAGAGAGAGGAGGAGGACTGGATGTGAGGCCTGGGGCTGTCCCCAGCTCCTCTCTAGAGGAGGTGGGACAGAGGCATCGCCTCACAGCCGAGAACAGACCACCCCCCCGGCCCCCGGCCCCCGGCGTTCAGTCTAAACAGCCCTGATGGGGGGCAAGGCAGGGATCTGTGAAGCACCCCTGCACTGTGCAGCGGCTGGAGTCACGCCCGGCCTGGGGCTCACTTCGTGACTCTGGAGCCTCTTCCAGGGCGCTTTCCACAGGCTTCCCAATTCTCAGTTTCCTTGTCTTTATCCTTCATGGTGCTGAGCTCCGCACAAGCCAGAATTGGGTCTTCCTCGACCTCTGACAAGTAGCAGAGACTCTGGTGCTTCTGGTCACTGCCTGCACGCCCGGTGGTCCAGCCACCCCACCTGCCTTCTCCCTAGAGACTTCTCCCAGTCTCGCTCTAGCTGTGTCCCTTTGCTGACATGTGCTCGTTCATCGAGGGCCCCAACGAACCTTGATGGAAAACCTTTCCCATGTAGACCCCACCTATGTTCTTTTTTTTTTTTTTTTTTTTTTTGAGATGGAGTCTCGCGCTGCCTCCCAGGCTGAAGTGCAGTGGTGCAATCTTGGCTCACTGCAACCTCTACCTCCCAGGTTCATGCGATTCTCCTGCCTCAGCCTCCCAAGTAGCTGGGATTACAGGTGTGCGCCACCGGGACTGGCTAATTTTTGTATTTTTAATAGAGACGGGGTTTCGCCATGTTGGCCAGGCTGGTCTCGAACTCCTGACCTCAGGTGATCTGTCCACCTCGGCTTCCCAAAGTGCTGGGATTACAGGCATGAGCCACCACGCTCAGCCAAAAGGATTTTTCTTTTCTTTTCTTTTAATAATAGAGACAGGGTTTCACCAAGTTGGCCAGGCTCCCACCTACGTCCTGATGGCGCTTGCACTGTCTGTCCCCACGGTGCACACTGTGCTGCCACATCTTGGTAAGATGATGATAAAATGGTAAGTGTCTGCTGGGACCGGGCTCCTTGTATACCTCATTTATATTATTAGAAGCAAGGTAGGTATCATTACTCCCATCTACAAGGGAAGAACCTGGACACTGAGGCAATGGGTAACTTGTCCACAGTCCCCAGCCTGTAAGTGCCAAAGCCAGGGTTTGGGCTCAGCTCTGACAGGCTGTAGGGCCTGGGTCTTTCTACTCAGGCATAAAGTTTTCCAGTTGTTTCAGGAATGTATTGAAGATTCTAGTTGTGTGTCCTCAGCTAGAATCTTTTTTAGCCTCACACATGCGCAAAACAAGGCTGTATACAAACTTGTTACACAACAAATATTTGTTAGCAAACTAACAAAATAGGGAGGAGGAGGGCAGCATGAATTACAGTCAGTTCCGGTCACCATGTGGGGCAGAAATCAAGGCTCTGGAACTGATAATGAGGACAAAGGAAGCCAAAGTGCAAAGATCTGGCAAGAGGTAGCATTCTGTGACATGAGGAAGATTAATGAACCACTCAGGTCTAGACACCCGAATTCAAAGTCCCCGACTGCCAACATGGGGAGTCTCAACGTTAGTGCCTCTGCTGGCCCGTACAACAAAGTCACTTGGGAATTCCTAGCACTTGCTTGTGACTTTTGATCACTTCTAATATTCCTGGTTGATACTTAAATGACCAGTTCTCTGGGTTGTGTGGTGAGTATAGAAGTCCACTTCCCAACCCAGGCTGCAGAAACCCGAAGGTCTGGTTAGTCCAGCTAGAAAGTCCTCCTCTGAAAAACAAGCAGCCTCATGTCCTGGCCTTGTTGGCATCTTCCCAGGTCAGACGCCCATCTGGCATCCCCTCTACTTTTAGCTGGTGTTGGAAAAGGGACCGATTGGTAGTAGGAAAAGCAGGAAGTTGGCCTGGGTCCTTGTCTCTATTCCTGTCCTTATAAGGTAATCTCCCCTCCCCCCTCCCTGCCCCGCCCGTACGGTCCCTACCTGAAGGCTCCAGCTGCCCACACAGGGACTCCTCTTAGCCTCTGTCCTGCTGAAGGAGGTGACACCTTTGCCCAGGGCAGAAACAAGGCAACATGTTTATACCATACCCAAGCTGCCGCTGGGAAGAACTAAATATTCTGATGGAGGTTGAGCGGGGAGTGCTGAAAACTGTCAGCACCCGCCTCCGCCCTCCCAGAACTCCCAGAGATGCCTCTCAGTCTTTCCTGCGGCATCCTGGCATCACAAAACAGTTTACCATTGAGTCTGGGTTTCACAAGATGAAAAAGGTCGAGGCCCCATTCTCCAAAACAAGAAGTGAGCCTCTGGGAGCTGAAATCTACTACTGCGAATCATAATAGACACCACCCCCGCCCCACCTCCTCCCTAACAATCAGTTAGGAAACGCTCATCGGAAAGCATCCTTCCCCACTTCTCAGCTGGGCGACTTCCTTTCTCAATTCCGCCCTTCCCCATCACAAACATCTCCATCCATCTTCAGACTTAAACCAGATCTGGGGCATCTTCCTCGTGACATTTCCACTCCCTGGGCACAGCCAGGCCACACGCCCTTGTGGGACCTGCCAAACGCCCGGTGCTAACTCCCTCTGCCCTCATTCCCACAGGCCAAACCTGCAGAAATTGTCACCAAAGGCGCGCCTCCTGGCTCTCTAAGTCACACCGCGCCCCCCATTGCTTTGTTTTGTTTTGTTTTAGAACTGAACAAAACGGGCCTTCCTCTGAGGCCCTGAGTTCTGACAGGCAGAGGCTGGGAACTGCCTGTCCCTGGAAACGGCCTGTCTGGCACAAAACCCGTAGGCGCTGCCCGGGGCCGGGTTGGGGCAGTCGGCCTTTGCCCTCCTCCTCCCGGGAGGCTGCCCGGGAAGTCCCGCCCGCAGACACCGCCCTCCCGGCTGACCAGTGGCGCGGCAGGCGGGGCGGGGGCCAGGAGGTGAGTCAGGGCGCGGGCCGCGGACCCGGGTGGAGGCTGGATCCGGCCCAGCACGTCCCGGAGAGGAGGAAGCAGGCCTGGCGGCGCGGCCCCGCCCGAGTGGCCCGACGGTGACCCGGGGTCAGGCCGGGCCGCGGCCCCCCAACCCTCTCCTGAGCTCGCCCGCACTCACCTGCTGCCGCGGCGGCTTCTAGCCCGGCCGGGGGCGTCCGAGGCCAGGCCGCCGCCGGGGCGCGCCCCCTTTCCGCGTGGGGATCCCGCGGGCGGCGCTCCGCTCAGGGCGACACAGCGGCCGGGCCCGGGGCGCGCGGGCACGCGAAGAGCGGCGACGCGGGACAAGGCGGGCGGGCGGACAATGCGGCCGGCGGAGGCCCGCGCTGCGCGAGTGGGGCCGGGCGGCGCGCGTGTGGCCGACTCTGTATGTGTGCGCCTGTCAGTCAACGCTGACAGGCCGCAGCCCATTGGTCAGGCCCCGCCGGCCGTCACCGCCCACCGCCGCCACCCATTGGCCGGTTTGAACACAAAGCCCCGGCTCGCCCCGCCCTCGCGTGGGCCCCGCTGCCCTGCGCGCTCAGCCTAGGAGTCCGCGCGTGGGAGGCGCTGGGCGGGCGGGGACCCCGGGCTGCGGGAGGACGCGACGGGAGCCTGTGCTGGGGCTCGGGCTCAGCAGGGCACTGGACTCCCGATCTGGCGGCTCAGAACACCTGAGACAGCTCTGAGCGCTCCCACGCGCGCCTGCAGCCTGGTTCACCAGGCCGGCGTCCGAGGGGAGGGTGGGAGCCCTGGGAGCGGCAGCGCGCGGGTGGCCCTTGGTGCACTCTCGGTGAGGCTGTCGAGGGCTTGCTCAACACCCGGCACCAGTGCCGTTGTCCTCTTAGCCGGCCATTTCTACACCCATTTTTCAGACAAGGAAACAGGTTGCTAATTTGGGGATTCCAGACATGCTGGGAGGCCCTGCCTCTTCCCAAGCTTTACCCAGAGCACCCAAGTTTCACGACAGCTCTTCTATTTTTTGTTTGTTTTAAACAGATTTTCTATTTTATTTAAATAGAGACGAGATCTCACTATGTTTGCCTAGGCTGGTCACGAACTCCTGAGCTCCAGTGATTCTCCCGCCTCGGCTTCCCAAAGTACTAGGATTACAGGTATGAGCCACCGCGCCCGGCCAGCTCTTCTGTTTTAAGGACGGTGCTTGCTGCACTTGAGCTGTGGGAAGGCAGGGCTGGCCACTCATTCTTCTACCTTACTCAGACTTGGAACGAGTGCTCAGCGTTTGAGTAAAATGCTGCCTGACTCCGGGGGTCCTGTTCCTTGGCTCCCCATCCGCCAACTGTACAGATAGAGCAGGTGCACAGCTTGGGATGAATCTCTTTCTGTGCCAGCCCTTCTAAGGGCAGATGAACAGTCGTTATTTTACTTTTAAAGTACCAAGAGGAAACGAGACAAGAATGACAAAATCACCGAGGCAGGAACAGGAAGGCTGTGGGGTCGGAGGATTGAGGAAAGGCAAAACCCTCATGCTAAAGCGGCTTCAGCCCAACTCCAGACAAGAACAGTCCCCTTTCCTGGGCCTCCATTGCCTGCTCTGGAAAGAGAAGAGTCTCCTGCTCTTCCACCCTCCTGGAGACCACGGTGCTGGCCATTATCACTCCTAGGTTTAGACTGCAAGCTCTTTGAGGACATGGACAAGCTCTCCAGAGCCTGGTACCGAGCCTGGCTCTGGTCTGAGTGTCTGCTGGATGGAGCAATGAAAGGAGAATTCAAATCAGACGTAGGGGCAGCATCCAGGTAGGGGAAGGGCCTCTCTGACTCCTCATCTCTGGGATGCGCAACTCCAGAATTCTGTCCTAACCACTTCTATGGAGTTGCCACATCCTACCTCCTCCATTGCACAGCCTGCTTCCCCCTCTCCGGGGGTCCTGGCAGACAGGGGGGTCTGGCCTTGCTGGGGTCGGGGGGGAGTCCAGGTCCCCTCCCAGGATGTGCTGAGTGGATATGTGAGGCTCATGCCCACAGGCTGACTGAAGGCAGGCCCCTCTTAAACTCTGCATCCTCTGGGGGCTGGGAGCAGGCAGAATAATGGTCGCTACAGGAATTCGGTACTAATGCTTGGAATCTGTGACTGTTATCTACATGCAAAGACTTTGCAGATGTGACTAAAGATTTTGAAATGAGATTATCCTAGATTATCAGGGTGGGCCCTAAGTGTAACACAAGTAACCCTTTAAGAGAAAGATAGGGGCTGGGCACTGTGGCACACGCCTGTAATCCCAGCACTTTGAGAGGCTGAGGCAGGTGGATTGCTTGAGCTCAGGAGTTTGAGACCAGCCTGGCCAAATTAGTGAGACCCCCCCCCCCCACCACCCATCTCTAAAAAAGAAAAACAAAAAAAGAAAATAATTAGCTGGGCATGGTGGTGTGTACCTGTAATCCCAGCTACTCAGGAGGCTGAGGTGGGAGGATAGCTTGAGCCTGGGAAGTCAAGGCCACAGTGAGCCAAGATCAAGCCACCACACTCCAGCCTGGGTGACAGAGCAAGACTCTGTTTCAAAACAAACAAAAAACCAAAGAGAGGCAGAGAAGACGAGCAGAGGGCAATGTGACCATGGAGGAAGAGATTGGAGTGATGAAGCCACAAGCCAAGGAATCAGAATAATAATAAGTGTCCTGTGTGCCACACCAATGAGCTCTGTGGCCTTGGACAAGTCAATGGGGCTCTCTGGCCTTCATTTTCTCTTGCATGAGGGTCACATGGGCAAAGGACTTCTGAACTACTTCATCCCAAAGGGGTTTTATCACCATGATCTTTGCGGGGAGACGGGAGGAGGTTGGGCCCTTGGTTTGTCCTGGACCCATCATCTGTCAGGTGGGCTTCTCTGTGCTGCCAGAGAGCAGGGCCTCCCCTCTAACACCCCACGTGATGGTGGAATGTGCTGTGTGCCTGTCTGCCTCCCCCATGGACACTGGACAGTGACAGGTCGTGGTGGGTGTTCAGCGTCCTATGAACACGAGTTAAGGAAGAGCCTCCAGTCACCTGCCTGCAACCCAGGCCAGCTCCACATCTCCCTCCCTGCTGTCAGCATCAGTCAGCAGCCAGGGTGTCGGCGTCTGTCATTTAACCATCACAGGCAGGCCTTGGCGGGGGCGGGGGACTTTCATGTCAGGCATTCTGGCTGCAGGAACTCGCTTGGCAGCTGTCAGAGGGCGGTAACCTCAGGGGAGCTTGGCGACCGACCCTCCCTCCAACTCCCGGGGGCTGTTTCTCTGCACCCTTGGGGATCTGATGTGGGCTCCCTATTCCACCCCACCCAGTCTGGTGACAAAGGCTGCGTATTTACAGAATCTTTCATCCTAAGAGCTCAAAGAGCTCCATCACCAGGTGACAACCGCAGTTAAACTCATTTTATGGAAGAAGGCTACTCTGAGGAGTGCAGGCGTGGGATCCAGGTTACAAAGTGGGTCAGCTAGGGTGCCAGGAACACAACGTGGGTCCCTGACTGAGGGGGACAGTCTTAGGCATGCAGAGATTTGGCCAGACTCTTATGGGTGACTGTGCCTTAGTCACCTCTGTCCCCCACACCTATTACAGTACCTGGCTCCTAATAAATGCTCAATAAACGTTCATCGAGCGACTGCCTGACTGCAGCTTCCCAGTCTTAAATCACCAGCTCCCCAGTGTGGTTGCAGACGCAGATCTCCTGCAGGCCTCACCTGCACTCCTGGGGCCTCACCCCAAGGCCTCTCCTACTCCTGAGCCCTTACTCAGGCTGTGCCTCAGCCTGGAACGCCTTTCCTTGTTTCTCTGCCTGATGACATTCTAATCTTTTGGCCGGGTGCAGTGATGAATGCCTGGAATCCCAGCACTTTGGGAGGCCAAGGCAGGCAGATCCCCTGAGGTCAGGAGTTCGAAACCAGCCTGGCCAATATGGTGAAACCCTGTCTCTACTAAAAATACAAAAAAATTAGCTGGGCATGGTAGTATATGCCTATAATCCCAGCTACTTGGGAGGCTGAGGCAAGAGAATTGCTTGAACCCGGCAGGCAGAGGTTGCAGTCAGCTGGCACTCGGTAGGTGTAAGCTCCAATTAGCCGTCATTGTCACCAACACCCTGAGCACAGTAGCTGGCTGAGTGTGTGCTGCCCACATGGAGGAAGGCCTGAGCTGGCTGTACACTCACAAGGGAGGCTGGGGCAGCGCTGGAGCTCCCGAGGGCACCGATCCATGGGCCAGAACTCAGGGGCTGACATAGCCTGCTTGCCCCATGTCCAGGGTGTTCCTCCTGGACTCAGCCTCTTCATACATCCACCAGGTGCTCCACCTTCTGTGGGGACATTCTGGGCCAGTGGTCCAGAGAGCAGGCTTGGAATGCAGACACTCCTGGTGAACGACGTGGGCAGGTTTAACCTTTCATTGTCTTGATGTCCTCATCTGTAAAACGGGGATGATATCAATGTGTCTGTGTCATGGGAGCTCAGTACAGTGCCTGGCCCTGGGCAAGGATTGCTAACTGTCACTAACTAGCAATCAAGGCTATTTTTTTTTTATTTATAAGCATTTATTTATTTAGCAAATACTTACCGCTTGCCTGTTCTGACAATGTAAGACATGCCCCTGCCCTCCCGGGGCCCACTGTCTGGTGGAGAAGGCAGTCATGTGAGCCGATCATCACAACACTTCAGACTCGTGCCCAGGAGGGACACAGGGCTCAAAGGGACCCAGTGTGACTTTCATGGGCCCCCTCCTCCAGAAAAAGTATTAAGTATTGTGTTTTGCAACTATGTCAGTATCCACAAGCCGGCTAGGTTATATCCATTTTTTTCCCTTCTGATTAAACAAATAATTAAAACATTTATGTCGGCCCCTGAAAATTCATGGCCCTGGCCCTGGGCCTGCTGTGCCTAGTGGAGAGTTGGTCTGGCCCTGACTCTCGTAACCAGACTTGGGGAGTCAGAGAAGCTGCTGGAGAAAGAGACCTCTGGAGAAAGAAAGGGCAAGAGGAGGAGCCGGGGACAGAGGGGACAAGAGTACCAGGCAGAGGGGATAGCAGCGAGAGCGCTCAGCTCACTGGTGGGGAAGCTGCCAGATGAACCAGGCCCCCTGCGTGGAGACAGCTGGCAGAGCCGCCTCTGGCCATCCAGCCCTGTCACTGCAACCTCCAGCTCTGTCCCTTGGGCTAGCTGGAACGCCATAGCACAACCCGAGTGCCCCCGACCCCAGTAAAAACTCCCCGGTCTACCCACCTCTCCCTCCTGCAGGGCTGCAGCCCCCAACCCCTGCTCTGGTCTTGGCTTTTTTGTCTGTAGAGCAGGGGGAGTAATTGTCCTGCTCCCTTCCCTGCCAGGTGTCTGTGGAGGCAGAGGAGGTGGGAGGACCCTCTAGGCCTTCAGTTCTCACAGCAGTGTTGCTGTGGGTGTGGCCTGTGTGCTTCCCATGCAGGGACACTCAGCACCCAGCTGTCAGCACTGCAGCCTGTACGCAGTGAGTCACTGAGGGTGGTCCCCAGGGAAGCCGGAGGGCTGGTGGGCCTTGGTTATGGCTGAGGGCATTTGAACCTGGGACCCCAGTTCATTCAGTCCTCCTTTGTGCCCACTGCCCCTCCCCCAGTGCCTCTGTTTCCCTGGGGACGGTGCTTCCCGACAGCCAGAGGGATCCAGGTGTAGGGAGTCTGGGTGGGTGGCCTTGATGGCACATAGCTGCATGTGGGCAGCTGCCCAGCTCGGCTTGACTCGGCTCTGCAGTCAAGCACGTCGGGCGGCACCTCCCAGGGCCCTGTCCATGCACCTGTGCGTCATATGCAGGACGGCCTGCGGCTGCCAGCCCGGGGCCTCAGGGGCTTGAGACGCAGGAAGTGGCTCTGCGGTAGGGCATAGTGGCCAGGAGCTGTGGGCTGGAGAGGGCACCTTGTTGATGCTGAAGGGAGGGACGGTGGGGCAGGATCAACTGAGCCATGGACCAGGGCTGTCCCCTCCCCTCCATGTCCAGGAGAGGCTCACCTCCAGGTGGGTGTGAGAAGGTGAGAGTGTGTGTGAGTGTGAGTGTATGTATGAGAGTGTGTGAATGTGTGTGTGTATGAGTGTGAGTGTGTGTGGGGAGTGTGTGTGAATGTGTGTGCGAGTGTGTGAATATGTATGTGTGTGTGGGGTAGTGTGTGGGAGTGAAAGTGAATGTATGTGTGCATGTATGTGTGCGAGTGTGTGTGAATGTGTGAGAATTGTGTGAATGTGTGAGAATTATGTGTGTGAATGTGTGCATGTTTGTGTGACTGTGTGCAAGTGTGTGTGTATGAGTGTGAGTGTGTGTGGGGAGTGTGTGTGGGGAGTGTGTGTGAATGTGTGTGTGCGAGTGTGTGACTGTGAATGTGTGAGTGTGCGTGTGTGAATGTGTGAGAATTATGTGTGTGAATGTGTGTGCATGTTTGTGTGAATGTGTGAATGTGTATGTGTGTGAATATGTGTGTAAATGTGTGTGCATGTTTGTGTGAATGTGTGTGCAAGTGTGTGTCTGTGTGTGAACTGATGCCTGCTCTGGCGACCTCTCCTCTGTTCCCTGGACTGGCTTCCCGAGCTTGGGCCACACGGGCTCTGAGGGTCCCCTGGGTCATGGTCTTCCCTCTCTTCTTTGAGTCTGGGGTGCTCGGAGCTCCCCTGTTTTCGCCTCCTTTTCTGTGCCCAGGTTCTTTTCTCGGTGACCCCATCCTCCTCTGTTTGATTCTCAACGGCTTGGCTCTTAGGGCCAAGGTGGCTGCGGTGATTTGTAATTCAGGCAATTTCTTAATCTTCTCCTTCTGGCCTCTCCCCAGGCCAGCCCCCACCCCTCCTCAGCTCCCTCAGCGCCAGGTTCCTGCCCCCACCCCATGCCCACCCAAGTCCTGCCCAGGACATGCTTTTTGGATCCTGTGCCCCCCTCTCCCTCCCACAGGCTCAAACCGTTCCCCCTGGGACCCCCTTGGCACAGCCCCGCCTCCTCCTCCAAGACAGACGGGCCTTCTGCCCCCATGGGGCCTCTTGCTACGCTGTCCTCTTCTCCAGTGAGCTTCAATCCCTGAACTTGACTCTGGATGGTTTCTGCAGCTTCCTGGCTGCCCCCTCCCCTCCTCTCCGCTCCAGCCTCCACAAAGCTGCCAGGCGGATGTTCCTGAAGCAGGGGCTGGACCCGGCCACCTGCCTGCAGCCGATCATCCGTGCATGGCTCATCAGCCCCACGGCCAAGTCCATGGCCTGGAGGCCCCCGTGACACGGCCTCTATCTGCCCCTCTGCCTCATGGCCTCCCCTCCCCTCCTTCCCCGCTAACTGTGTAGAAAAGAATGAATGTAGCAGGCTGGAGACAAAGGCCTGCTTGCAAGGCTGGCCCTGGGCTGGCATCTGGGAAGCTGGATTTTGGGAGGATTCCCACCATTCCCTAAGAAGACCAGCTCACAGTGCCAGAACTGTTTCTACACACAGTGTGTCCACGATGCACGCCGGCTTTCCTTCTGGGGGGCTGGAATTCCGGTACGTGCCAGGCAGAGGGTGCCCATGAACCAGCCCCTGGGCTGAACCCCGGGCACTGAGTCTCTTTTGGGTGTCCCGTGTTGTCACCACTTGTTCTGGAGGAATTGATTACATCCTGGTAACTCCACTGGGTCCGCTGGGGGAAGATTTTTTTTCTTTTTTTTTTTTTTTTTTTCGAGACGGAGTCTCGCTCTGTCTCCCAGGCTAGAGTACAGTGGCCCAATCTCGGCTCACTGCAAGCTCCGCCTCCTGGGTTCACACCATTCTCCTGCCTCAGCCTCCCGAGTAGCTGGGGCTACAGGCGTCTGCCACCACGCCCAGCTAATTTTTTTTTTTTGTATTTTTTGTATTTTTAGTAGAGAGTAGAGACGGGGTTTCACTGTGTTAGCCAGGATGATCTCGATCTCCTGACCTTGTGATCTGCCCACCTCGGCCTCCCAAAGTGTTGGGATTACAGGCGTGAGCCACCGCGTCTGGCCTTTTTTTTTTTTTTTTTTCACCTTTAAGCTCTGTTGGACTTGAGGGGAAAAGATTCTTTTTTCTTTTTTTTTGAGACAGAGTCTCGCTTTGTCGCCCAGGCTGGAGTGCAGTGGTACAATCTTGGCTCACTGCAACCTCCGCCTCACGGGTTCAAGCGATTCTCCTGCCTCAGCCTCCCGAATAGCTGGGATCACAAGCATGTGCCACCACACCCAGCTAATTTTTGTATTTTTAGTACAGACAGGGTTTCGCCATGTCAGCCAGGCTGGTCTCGAACTCCTGACCTTAGTTGATCCACCAGCCTCGGCCTCCCAAAGTGCTGGGATTATAGGCATTAGCCATCGCGCCCAGCCAGTCCAAGGCTTCTTGACCAGGGCAGCTGAGGTGGAGGCTCCCCCACCTTCTCTCATTTTTCATTATTAGCCTCGCGAGCGTGTTATAAACAAAGGCTGATTTTCACGCAGTCTTTGGGGAGTCCTCCTGTCTGTGAAGCAGAGTGACCCTGAAGGTCAAGCTGGCGACAGTGGGCAGGAGGCCTGGCTTGGTCCACGTCCGATGGCAACACTACTCCACCGGACAGGGGTTGGGGACACTCCTCCTTCCACACTCTTGTGCTGGAAAAGATGCCAGGCTGGGCAGCTGGGGAAAGAACCCCAGGCAGCTGAAAAACAATCCCGGCTTTGGCTGTTGGAAACACCCCCAGCTTTTTTTTTTGTTTTGAGACGGAGTCTCGCACTGTCATCCCGGCTGGAGTGCAGTGGCGCAATCTTGGCTCACTGCAACCTCCGCCTCCCAGGTTCAAGTGATTCTCCTGCCTCAGCCTCCGGGGTAGCTGGGATTACAGGCTCCCACCACCACGCCTGGCTAATTTTTTATTTTTATTTTTGTATTTTCAGTACAGACGGGATTTCACTATGTTGGCCAGGCTGGTCTTGAATGCCTGAGCTCGTGATCCACCCACCTCAGCCTCCCAAAGTGCTGGGATTACAGGCGTGAGTCACTGTGCCCGGCCGGAAACACCCCCTGCTTTTTAGTCCTTGGGGTGGACGATGCTGTCCCAACCCTCAGGAAGGACGCTGGGTATCGGGGCCACAGGGATCTCTAACTGAAGCCACCCTGGCCTCAGCCTCAGTGACCCTCTGCCCTGGTGAGAACTAGAAGGGGACTGTCCCTGCAGCAGGATGGCCACCCCGACCCCACCAGCCATGCCTCAGGTGTGGGAGTGGAACCTCGTCCACAGAAGCTGCCCCTTATGCGTTACAGGACCTCATCAGCCACCCACCTCTCAGAGGACAAGAGTGTTTGTGGGGTTACTACGAAGGTTAAATGAAATTATTTTTATTTCAAATGATTTTTAAAAAATCATTTAAAATATTATGACTTGGCTGCGTGTGGTGGCTCATGCCTGTAATCCCACCACTTTGGGAGGTCAAGGTGGGCAGATCACTTGAGGTCAGGAGTTCGAGACCAGCCTGGCCAACATGGTGAAACCCCATCTCTACTAAAAGTACAAAAATTAGCCGGGCGTGGCGGTGGGCGACTGTAATCCAGCTACTCGGGAGGCTGAGGCATGAGAATCACTTGAACCCAGGAGGTGCAGGTTGCAGTGAGCCGAGATCATGCCACTGCACTCCAGCCTGGGCGACAGAGCAAGATTGTGTCTGAAACATAAATAAATAAAATAAAATAAAATAAAATAAAATAAAATAAAATAAAATAAAATAGTATGACTCAATGAATAATCTGTGCCGCACATTTTAGCATCAAGAAGGGGTGGGGCTGAGTATCCCTGGGCCCTCCCCAGGCCTAAGACTCTGAGTCTGTGTCTAAAGTCCTGGGAACCTCACTTGTGGTGGTTCATAGACATCACCAGGTCATGGACGGTGACAGAGGACAGAACACCCCAGGGGAGGCTCTCACCTGCTCTCTCAGCGCTCAGGAGAGACGAAGAGGGGTTTCTGTTCACCTCCAGACACAGGTGCACACACACCCCACACAGACACATACAGAGATACACAAAGACATAGACACACATACATTAGAGACACACAGACACACTTGGATACATCGAAACACACACACACACAGACTCCTGAGGAGCTCTGCTAGGCCTTGGGACCTTGAAGGTTCCTGGAGAAAAGGTAGGAAAGGGGCTCCCCCAGGCCACTTGGGGTAACAGTGGGGGGCTCACCATGTAGCCCTTGCAGCCACTGTCACCCTGGAAGTGCTCAGATTGGGAAAGGCTCTGTCAACCTGGGGAAGGGGCCACAGGGGACTCCAGTGGGGCTCAGTGGGGCTCAGGGGCCACCCAATGAGCTGGGAGTCAGTAGCCCCTGCTCTCATCCAGTGCTCTAGGACAGGCTACAGGTAGGTGGGCTGGTTGCTTGCCAGCCATTCTGACCAACTACTCAAAGCCCAAACCTCTCTGAGCCTCACTGGCCCACAGGTAGAATGAGGAGGTGGCCAGACAGCAGTTTGCCAGAATGTTCCCTAAGATCTGAGGACAGGATCCCTGCCGACTCCCCCTACTTCGACTAGAGCTGTTCTGCTCTGGTTGACACACTGGGGTTCCCTGGGCAAATTGATTTGAAAAAAGGGATTCTGCTGCCACAGAAAAAACAACAACAACAAAAAAAAGACAACTGGCCTGGCCAGCTGCCCTGTGACTCACCCTGGCTTGGCGCCTGCCACCTGTATCCAGGATGAGGATGAGCAGCGGGAATCCTTCCGACCCAGGCACAGCAGGCGAGTCTGTCTCCCCCTAGGGGCAGCTGGGAGAGTCATGGGCATAGCTTGGCTGAGGAGCTCCGGTGGACCCGGGCCCACCCCAGTCTTGGGGCAGTGGTTGGCCAGGCTGGGCCCAGGGAAGGGGGATTGATGTCTCATAGGCTCGGGTCTCGTGGAAAGGCCGAAGGGCTGTCAGCAGACATGGCCCCATGTGCACCCTGAACTCAGGGAAGGATGTTGGCTCAGTCCATATTCCTCTCTGGGCCTCTGTTCTCCAAGAGAAGGGCATGGCCATTGACTGCTTTCATTATCTTGTGCCAGGCATGGGGTTCCCAGTGAGTGAGACCCCGCAGGGCTGTCCTCTGGTGCAGAGAAGAGGGATTTGTGGGGTCACACCAGGACTCACATAATCACGTAATGTCCTTATAGTCTCTTTAGTCCTGCTTCAGGTCGCTCCTCTTTTTTTTCTTTTTTTTTTTTTTTTGAGATGGAGTTTCGCTCTTGTTGCCCAGGCTGGAGTGCAATGGCGCGATCTTCGCTCACCGAAACCTCTGCCTCCCGGGTTCAAGCCATTCTCCTGCCTTAGCCTCCTGAGTAGCTGGGATGACAGGCATGTGCCACCACGCCTGGCTAATTTTGTATTTTTAGTAGAGGAGGGGTTTCTCCATGTTGGTCAGGCTGGTCTTGAACTCCCGACCTCAGGTGATCCACCTGCCTGGAACACTCCCAAACATAGCTAGCTGCATGGCCCATTCCCTCCCTGGCCCTCTGCTCCGGAGTCCCACTGACGTCAGGATACCCTGGCAGAGGGCAGGGGCACTCATGCTAGGCCAGGGATGGCCACTGCTGGTCCTGGGTGGAGGGGCCACCGCGGCACGCCTTCCACAGCCCCAGGGACACCTTCCAGACAGACCATGGGCGCAGCTTCACCTCCCGGGGCTTTCGCTCCTTTACCTGCTAAAAGTGGGGTAGTGACGTCTGCCTTGAGGGGCTGTGGATAGGCCACAGTGAGAACATGGCTCAGGGCTGTGCACATGCCCACCTCCCTTCCTCCCCTGGCTTCCTTCCCCAAACAGCCCACAGGCAGGCCATTCTACAGTTGGGGGAAATGGGCCTGGATCCCTCAAGAACACGAGGCTTTGAGCCTGCTCTGGACTTACTTGTCTGCTTGGCCACATTAGCTGTATGATCCTGGCAGCGCACCTGGCCGCTGTTTCCCCGCCCTGCCTCCTCAGGTGCACCCACAGCTGTACGCGGTTCTAGAGGGACGCTCCTGGGAGGGGGTTGTTTTTTGAGGAGGAGGGGGCGGTACGGAGCAGGCCAGGGTCCCTTTTCAGGGTGACTGTAGGCTTGCAGGGTGGGGTGGACTCTGTTCTATAGGTGACACTCCCAGCCACAAAAAGGATGCCAAGAGGGGCTGGCCCTGCCTGCATTTTCCCTAAACGCAGATGCTGGGGCCTGTGCATCCTACAGCGGGTAGGGAGCCCCCTTCCCCTGCAGGGAGCTCAGAACTGCCCCACTTTAGGCAAACCTAAGTGAAGAATCCGAAGATGCTGTGGAGGGAATGTTGGAGTGTTCCCCAGAGCTTCCCCATCCAATTCCATTATCTTATCCCCTGGGGGAAGAGGATGAACCAGTCACTCCCACGAGCTCCCAGAGAGGCACCCAGCATGGACAGCAGCACTGGGGCAATGAGATTTGGGCACCCAGGTGGGAGCTCTTGGAATAACCTTCTGAAAGGAGGGGCCTCGGAGTGTGGAGGCAAGAGCAGTGGGAGGAAGAGGTGGGTGATGATTGCCAATGGGACCACCAGGTCCCAGGTGTCTCCCTGGACAGGACCTGAGCACCTTCCCCTCTGCCCTCAGGGGCCCTGTGAGACCGGCAATACTGAGCGGCAACATGGGGTGAGCTCGGAGTGGGAAGAGGAGGAGCTGAAGCCCGCAGGCCTGCAGGTGCAGCGAGGTGCGGACCTGCCTGCTCTGAGGTGGCTGCTCTAGGACCTACACAGGTAGGGCATGCAGCAGGTGCTCAATAAATATTTGTGGCTGGGCGCAGTGGCGAGAAGGTGGGGGAGCCTCCACCTCAGCTGCCCTAGTCAAGAAGCCTTGGACTGGCTGGATGCGATGGCTAATGCCGGTAATCCCAGCACTTTGGGAGGCTGAGGTGGGTGGATCACCTGAGGTCAGAAGTTTGAGACCAGCCTGGTCAACATGGTGAAACCCCATTAGTATTAAAAATGCAAAAATTAGTCGGGTATGGTGGCAGGTGCCTGTAATCCCAGCTACTAGGGAGGCTGAGGCAGGAGAATCGCTTGAACCTGGGAGGGGGAGGTTGCAATGAGCTGATCACGCCACTGCACCCTGGCCTGGGTGACAGAGCAAGACTTTGTCTCAAGAAAATAAATAAATAAATAAATAAATAAATAAATAAATAATTAATTAATAAATATTTGTGACTGAAGAGCAGAAGGAAGTCAGGCCTGACTCGAAGCCACCACACCTTTTCTCACTTGGGCCCAATGAGTGTGAAGAGGCTGAGCCTCAGAGAAGGGTGAGGTGAGCCCCCCAGCACCCTCCCAGCAGGCCCCCTCAACTGCAGTCCTCCCAGTGTCTCCCCCAAGTCCTCCCAGGGCTTGGCCAGCCCTCCCAGTGTCCTCCCAGCGCCCCGTTGATGAGCCACGTTATGCCCACATGTGGCCATGAGAGGTCGCCCTGCGCCGCCGGCTGCAGCGAGACTGCGTGGTGGAGGAAGGAGCTCATCTTGGAGAAATAGCAGGATGCGGCCAGGGCAGGATTGGAGGATTGTATTATCCAGAGGGGCAGGGGTGCAGGGATTCCCAACGTTCTGCTGAACAGTGCACCGTAAAGGGGTCCCTTGGGGCATAGACAAGAGATGGGCCCAGGGAGGGGGCGGCTGGCCCCAGAGACACACAGCAAGCCCATGGCAGAGCCAGAGGGTCCCCCGACCCAGGCCCTCACCTCCTGGGCTTGAAGAGGGCCTGCCTGTGTTTGGGGCATGTCACAGTCAGCCTCAGTTGGGTACCCAAGACTTCTGGACTGCAAGGTGGAGATGAGGTCAGAGAGGACAGGGCTGGGGACAGGGAGCGTGGGCTGGGGGCTGAGGGGGGAATTGGCTGACCCGAGGCCACAGTATCCTCCCTCACTGGAGGTCCTGCAGGTCATGCTGGTCACCCCTGTTGATGTGGAAGTGGAGCTGGGTGGGGCCTGGCTTGGTGGCTCTGCCAACTTGGTTTGGACCTCACTGATCCTGGGTCCCCAGACTTGAGGATTAGAGCTGGGCCCTGCTGAGAGGTGGTGGGACCAGGCCATGCTGGGCCTCGCAGGTCAGGTTGAAGCATTGGGTTTTGTCCAGGGAAGTGGATAAACTGTTGGCTGGGAGGTTAGGCCACGCTAACCAGCATGGTCCCTCTGGTTATCATCAGGCAAGAAGTAAGTGGGAGCTGACTTAGGAGGCTGCTGCTCTCCGTGCCTATAGCATAGCTTGAGGCCCAGCTCCATCCCTTACTGGCAGAGCAGGTTACCGGCCCTCAGACCTGGAAGAAGGGGCCTGTGTTCCTCAGGCCTGGCCCTGTGGCATCCCTCTCCTGCAGGAGGCCCTTCGTGGCTCCCCACTGTGGGCCCAATAACACATGTGTCTCGCCCAGCCCCGTCTTCAGCGCTATGCACTCGTCACTCATAGCTCGTTGGCTGCAGTGCCCTGACCGCTCCTCATCTCCCTGGGGCCCACTGAAATCTCTTCCAGCCCCAACTCAAATGTCCCTTCCTCTGAGAAGCCCTCCCGGCCAGCCCTGGGCATCGAGGCCTCCACTCCTCTGGGCTCCCTGGCACTTCCGGCCCCTGGGAACTCAGTGGTCATGTTGGCCGAGTCTGCAGTCAAGGCCCCTGCGGGAAGAGAGCTGCTGCTGGTGGCAGGGATGGGCCGTATCTGGCCATTCCAGGGTCCAGCGGCAAATACAGCATTCAACAAAATGGATGGAGAGGAAGGGAAAAGAAGGGAGCCCGGGACAGAGAAACCGGCTGAGACCCTGTCCTGGAGCCCCTGAGCGTCTGAGCTGTACAGGCCTCACGCAGCCCCCTTGCTTCTCACTGCACTGGGGGCCGGAGGGGCTTGGCTCCAGCCCGGGTACCCAGCACTCTCCTGGGGTCCGGCCTGCTGGAGCCTTATTGAGGAGAAGACAGGGCTGGGCTCCAGAATACTCATTACAGGATGTGTGCCCACCCTGGACAAACCTCTGAAGACGCCAGCCCATCACCAACGTGCTACTGCCTTCTTCAGCTCCACAGGGTCCCTGTGCTGGGGCAAGGACCAGCTAGCCCCATCAGAGATGCCCCTCCCCCTGAATCCTTGAGGGCCTCCTTTCACAGTGGCATTTCTGATGTCCGGTGGGTCGCCTTTCCCTGTTCAGCACCCTGTCTCCATCCTGGCGCGTGCTCCCTGCCCCCAGCCCACCCTCCGGGAGGGAGCTGCACCTGCCATGTGGGTGCTGTTGCCTCCTTCCAAGCCACCCATTTCCGTGCCTTGCCTCAGCCAGTGAAGCCCACACAGGTCTGACCCCTGCCTGTCTCTCCAGAGGCATCTCTTACAGCCCCTCACCCACGTGGCCCCCTTGCCCTGGCTGCACCAAATGGCCTTGTTTTCTTTTCTTTCTTTTTTTTTGAGATGGAGTTTCACTCTTGTTGCCCGGGCTGGAGTACAATGGCGCGATCTTGGTTCACTGCAACCTCTGCCTCCTGGGTTCAAGTGATTCTCTTGCCTCATCCTCCCAAGTAGTTAGGACGACAGGCATGCGCCACCACACCTGGCTAATTTTGTATTTTTAGTAGAGACGGGGTTTCTCCATGTTGGCCAGGCTGGTCTCGAATTCTGGACCTCAGGTGATCCGCCTGCCTCGGCCTCCCAAAGTGCTGGGATTACAGGTGTGAGCCACCGCGCCCGGCCAATGGCCTTGTTTTCTAAAAATGTCACGCTTCTTTGTTTTCAGCACTGTGCACACACTCCTGGCTCCTCCTCAATCCCATCCTCTTGTATTGACCTTCAGCTCCTTCCTAGAGATCCAGTTCAAATGTCCTTCCTCTGGTCTCTGCCCCTGTCCTGGGCACTCTCAGTACCCAGAATGGCACTCTGCATACAGAGCTGTTCCTGTTGTCTCCTGCGTCTGCCTAAATGCAAGGTTCTCAAGTGTGGCAACCATGTCACACTGTTCTGTGTTACTGGCCCCAGCAGAGGCCAGCACAAAGAATGGGCTGAAAAGTTTGGTGAATCAATAAGTGGATGACAAGGGCATTTACTTAATAAACAATGATTGAGCACCTGCTGGGTACACAAGCCCATACCGAGCCTCGTAGTGGGTACTGTAACACGAAGCCCCTCAGCTGGGGCAAATGCCTGGAGAGCAGTCAAAGCAGGGAGGTTCTGCTCACCGCCCTGCCCCAGGGTAAACAGGAAAAGCTCCAGAGAAGCTTTGCAGGGCGCTCCTGCTGGAAGCACCCTCCGGAACATCTGCCCGGTGCCCCCTCGGCTCTGCCAGTTCCTTCAGGAGGCCCCTTTAGAGTCTGTGTACCCTGGGAACCAGAGTGAGTGTGTGTTTCCTCTGCATAGGGCCCAGCACCTCATAGGAGCCCCTGAATATTTGCTGAATGATGGCTGGAAAGACCACCAGGACAGCAGGCTGGTCCCCAGTTGCAGGCGAGACTGAAAGCTGTTGTCATGTCAGAGGCTTGTGAACCAGAGCAACTCCATCTTGAATAGGAGCTGGGTAAAATACGAGGCTGAGACCTACTGGGCTGCATTCTCAGGTGGTTAAGGCATTCTAAGTCACAGGATGAGATAGGAGGTCGCCACAAAATACAGGTCATAAAGACCTTGCTGATAAAACAGTTTGCAGTAAAGAAGCCGGCCAAACCCCACCAAAATCAAGATGGTGACAAGAGTGACCTCTGATCATCCTCACTGCTACACTCCCCTCAGCGCCATGACAGTTTACAAATGCCATGGCAACGTCAGGAAGTTACCCTATATGGTCTATAAAGGGGAGGCATGAATAATCCACCCCTCATTTGGTATATCATAAGAAATAACCATAGAAATGGGCAGCCAGCCGCCCTCAGGGCTGCTCTGTCTATGGAGTAGCCATGCTTTATTCCTTTACTTTCCTAGTAAACTTGCTTTCACTTTACTCTATGGACTCACCCTGAATTCATTCTTGCACGAGATCCAAGAACTCCCTCTTGGGGTCTGGATCCAGATCCCTTTCCTGTACAGTCACAGGCCTAACATGAGACCCAGAGCCAAACTGGCCTCTTACTTGCTGCTTACCACCCTCTGGCAGCCGCTGCTGATGACAGAAGCGTTATGACCCCCTCTGCGGCTGCTTCCCCAGAACCTCATCCTCCCAGTGACCCTCTGGGCTCAGCTAGCAAGGACTTCTTCCCATTTTACCCACAAGGAGAATGGGGCTCAGGAGACGAAGGGAGTCACTCAAGGCCACACGGCTGGCATGGGGTGGGGCCGGCGTTGGAACTCAGGTCTCACTGCAAAGCCCAAGCTCTCTCCCCGCTGTGCTGCCCTTGAACAGCACCTTCCCTTCCACGCATGGGTTCCACTTGTGTTGGATTTTCATCTTTTCTTAGGATCCAGGTCTAAGTGGAGTGACTGTGAGTCCCAAACGGACCTGAGGCCTTTCATAAGGGGCCTGGAAATTTGGCCGAGGGCATCAGAAGTCAGAGGACAAAGTTCAGCCCCTGACCCAGTCCTTGCTGATACACCTCCTGGAGAAGTCTTTTCTTTTTTCTTCCTTGTTTTTTTTTTTTTTTTTTAAGAAGGAGTCTCGCTCTGTCACCCAGGCTGGAGCGCAGTGGCGCGATCTTGGCTCTCTGCAACCTCCACCTCCTGGCTTCAAGCGATTCTCCTGCCTCAGCCACCTGAGTAGCTGGGACTACAGGCACGTGCCACCACGCCTGGCTAATTTTTATATTTTTAGTAGAGACAGAGTTTCACCGTGTTGGTCAGGCTGGTCTCGAACTCCTGACCTCAAGTGATCCACCGACCTCAGCCTCCTGAAGTGCTGGGATTACAGGCATGAGCCACTGTGCCTGGCCCTGGAGAAGTCTTTTCCATCCATCCACTCATCCACCTATCCACCCACCCATCCACTCATCTACCCATCCACCCACCCACACACCCACCCACCCATCCATTCATCCATTCATTCACCCATCTATTCATCCACCCACTCACCTATCCATCCACCCATCCACCTATCCACCTATCCACCCACCTATTCATCCATCCATCCATCCATCCATGGACCCATCCATCCATCCACCCATCCATCCATCCATCCATCCACCCATCCATCCATCCACCCATTCATCCACCCACCTGTTCTTTCATTCACTCACTTGCTAGTCACAATGCATTTTCGATTCATATCAGCCCGACCCAGTCATTGCTGATGCACCTCCTAGAGAAATCTATTCCATCCATCCACCCATCCACCCATCCATTCATCTATCTGTCCATCCGCCCATCTACCCACCCACGCATCCATCCACTCATCCATTCCTATTTTCATTCACTCACTTGCTAGTCACAATGCATTTTCAATTTATATCAGGCCCTGGGCTAGGCATTGGGGATGCACAGAGAGATAAGACAGCCCCAGCCATCGAGTAAATAAAGCATAGCAGGTATAGACACCATGACAGAAGATGTGGCACCGTGGGGACGCAAAGTGCCTATGTGTCATGGGTTGCAGCGGGGAAGGGGTTCTGGAGGAGCTGGTATCACTCTGAGCTGCTGATGTGCAGTGGAGACCTGAGGCCAGCTCCCATCCTGGCATGTCACATGTTCTCTATGACGCCATCTCCCTACTGTTAGGGGAGGGAGGAGTCGCATGGAAACTTCCAGGCTGCTTCATTGGCCATTTTGAGACTGGAAGGACAAACGCAGTGTGGACCCTGCTGGGTCAACAGCCAAGTCCTCCCACATAATTGCCATTGGGATTGTCTTTCTGGGTTCTGGTCCCAGCCACCTGGGGCCCTTGGTCACTGGACCAGGTGCATGTGTGTGTGTGGCCGCCCTGCCTCTCCTGCTTTGGCTCTGCAGGGGCCCAGTGCCTACAGGGGCTTAGAGATGATAACCTACCTACCTGGCACACCCCAGCCTTCCAGACTCCCAAGCCTCGCACCCAGAGTGGAGGCCCAAGGAAGGGATGGCCCCCCACAGCACCTGACCCAAATCTTTGATCAGCCCTTCCAACTTTAAAGCACACTCACATTCAGGGCCACTGTCTCCTGGGAGCCCTACAGTAACTTTGGGAAGCAGGCATAGCCGGAGCTGCGAGTCCTGTCTTGCAGGTGATGAAACTGAGATCTGAGAAGCGAAGTGGCTTGTTCAAGCTGGCAGGCAACCCTGGAGAGGGTTCAGAACTGTCACAGGCCTGCGGGGAACCCTGGCTCTGCCACTTAGGTTGTGGGTCTTCTCATCTGCATGAGGGGGACACTGAGGGCATCTCCTCACAGAATGGACGTACACATTAGGGAAGATGGGGTTGGTGAAATGCTTGGTGCTGTGCCTAGCACGTCTGAGGAATCTAATAGTTTGGGAATATTATTCAAAATGATTCGAGTCTTCTGCCTTCTAGGCGTGCTCTCCTTCCACCCCCACGGCCTTTCTAAGGATTGGAGATAGCAGCTGGCAGTGGGAGGTGGTTGTTTTAAATATGAGATGAGGAGAACGAAAGGAAATTAGGACAGGGTGGTGGCTTTTGTGGCTGCACTCTGACAACCCCCTCCCAAACCTGGACACAATCAGATGCTGCCTGCTTCTGCGCTTAAGGAGCTGAGCCTCTGCTGCACAGTTCTCACTCCTGCTGTGGGGCGTGGGTGGGGGACACTGGTTTGAGGGGGGCCCCCATAGCCCAAGGGCACACCCCCTTGCCTACCTGTAGGGTCTGTCCTCTGGAGAAGCAGGAAGTAGGTTAAACAAGATGCTGGAGTTTCTCTGCACCTCTTCCAAGGCAACATGAAATATTCACCAGATTTCTCCAAAGGCCCCGCAGAGAGCTTCAAAGCTGGCTGTCCCCGCGGCAGCACGCTCCCTTCCACAGGCGACACAAGGCCTCGTGACCAAGCCCTCACCCTCCACCTTCTCACACTGACTGCCTCGGCACCTCTTGCTCCCCACTCTTGGGAGGCCTGTGGTTCTGGAGTCCCAGCAAGGGGACCTATGGTTCACTCTCTCTGATCTGGCGGGGCACTCACTGCTCTCCCAGGCAGAGGGACAGGCCCTGGGGTTGGGGCCTGTGACTCCCTTTAGACATGTCCAGACAAGGTTTCCGATTTTTGCCCCACACTGACTCTGGCTGGGCCCAGCAGAGCGGACTGGGGTGTTAGTGGGGGGAGGCCCTCCTCCCCATACTGCAGATGGCAGCGAAGAGGCGGGGTTGGTGGCAGGCCTGTGGTCACTGCCTCCACTATAAATGCTGCAACTGCCGTGGAGGGTGCAGGGGAGGCCTGGCGATGGTGAGGGAAGCAGCTAGGAGATGGACGGCCCAAGGCGTGGCCAGGCCGCGGGGAGCCCAGCTGTCTGTGGGGGACGGGGCAGGAGGGAAGTGGACGGAAGGTCTGAGAATGCAGCGTGTGTGGAAGAGCAGGGACTATCCAGGCAGGCAGCCCAGGTTCAAGTCCCGGCTACAGCTGCTCCCTAGCTGGACCCTGGGTCAGACACTCCATCCTCCAAACCTGAGTTTCTCCATTTGTAAATAGCAACAGCAACCCCTAATTTGGAGGTCTGCTGAGAGTTACACATCAGGGTAAGCCCAGTGCCTGCCAAGTGGGGGAAGCCTCCTTCCTCCTGAGCCCCAGCAAACCCTTTCACCTTCAGCCCGTCCTCTCTCCCCACCCCCATATCCTCTCCCATCCACGGCCACTGCCCGGCTTCCCTGAACCCATTGTGAGCTTCCTGGAGCCCCCACTCTGCACGGGCGGCTGGTCCCTCAAACAATGGTGACTTCCCCCTCCCCACCCCCATCTCACCCCTTCCTGGGAAAATGCCAAGGCCCAGTTCAATGCCACCTCCTCTGTGAAGTCCTCCCCAGCCCCCTAGTGAGAGTCACTCTCTTCTCTGAACTCCAGATTCCCTGAACCCCGTCTTCTCTCTTCTGGCAAATGAACCTGTCTTGCTTTTCTGTTCCTGGGTCTGGCCCTCAGTAGCCTGTATGCTGGGTGGCAAGGACGGTGCCTTCTCCGTGGTCACGGACCTCTCCTTTCAGCCCATCATCAAATGCTTATTGAATGTTACGGGCAGCAAGGGCCCTGGAAGGCCAGGTGTCCACGTCTGGCATGGGTCTTGGGGAGTGGAAGTAAAGCCACCGGGGCCAAGGAAACCCCTGGGAAACACACCTGCCATGGTTCCGTCACCTGACCTGGCCCAACGGTGACCACACCATTGTCTGGGAGCAGGAAGGGGAGACTGTGAATGACCCATTTCTGGGAAGGCAAGTGAGGAGGGTTCTGCTGCAGTGACAGGAGTGACTAGGGTAGAAGGTTTGCTCGCCACCTGTGGTGCCACCGTACGGTGTGACTGTGAGGGCCAGACACTGCACAAGCCTCATCTCACTGAATCTCCACCCACCCCGAGGAGCTGGTGTCAGCACCCCGTCCACAGGTGGCAAGAGGAGGGGCACAGCGATAATGCGGTGCACACCTCGGGGGTGTCACCTGTTCCAGTTGCGGTCCCAGGCCTCCCGTCAACCTCGTGAGGTGGGTGCGGTGTATCCCCATTCTACAGACAGAGCCACTGAAGACAGAGAAGTTAGGAGGAGCAGGGCCAGACCCGAACCAGCTCTGCGGGCCTCAGCACCCACGCTCCTGCCACCCCCACCACCCTGGTTGCCGGCTGAGCCAGCCTCGCTTTTTGGCGCCCACGTGCAGCAGATGAAAGGAGAGAACAGATGCAGAGCGGGCGGTAATCAGCGCAGCTATTCTAGGCCTCGGCGCCTGCTCCCCACCTCCAGCGCCGGCCCCCGCCTCTCCGTTCACTCCCTTCTGCCAATCCCTCCGCAACACCCGAGTGGCACAGGGTTCTGGCCAGGGCAGGTCTGAGGCCAAGAAGCTGCCCCATCCGCCAAGTCCCAGAGGGCCAGGACCAGCTGGAAAGCCACCCAACCAGATGGTCAGCCTTGAGGCAACGACTGCGCCTTCTCGTTCTTGTCTGTCCCACTGCTCTTGGACCGGGTGCGCACACGGCAGCAACCTTCCCCTTGGCTGCATGGGTCTGGTCTGAGCAAACCTTACCTGCTCGCCATGAGGCTGCCCAGCCAATCTGTTGATGGATCTTGTTAGTGCTGGACGCTCAGTCTCACAAGGGTGGGACTGGGACTGGGATAAGGACAGGGCTTCAGCTCCCAGACCCATGTATCCTAGGGACCATCTCAGGAGGGCCCCTGTGTGCATGGGAAGGCGGGCTCTCCCCGCTCTCCCCACGCCCGGGGTGTTCACTTCTGAGGCTCGGATTCAGGGGACAACCCCTGAGGGGGCTTCACAGGCCTGCACGTGGCTCCTGTCCTCAAGTCACTTCTCATCTCCTGCGTTTACCCCAAGTGCCTTGGGGTAATGTCTAGTTTTCTGTCCTGAGAGCAGCCCTCTCCCTTGGTAAGATCCCGTTTTCTGTTCAAGCGTCGGCTGTCAGGCCTTACCCCACTGGAGACCCTGTACTCCCCAGGCTGGGCTTGGAGTCCCTCCTTCCTCCTGCCAGAATGCCCCGCCCTATCTTACAATGTTACTTTTCGTATGAGTGAAATGATGGGGCCCATGTCCTCTGCAGTGGACCGAGAGCTCACTGAGGCCAGACCTATGGCTTGTCTTTGTATCCTCAGCTCCTGGGGCCTGACCCTCAGTGGCTATTGAATAAGCATCTGTTGAACTGAGTGAAATTCTGTGGGCCTGAAAACATCTTTACTGTAGCTTAGTCCAGCTGCCAAGCGTATCTCAGTGTCCGTGTGGCCCCATCCAGCTGCACTTGGCCCCCAACCTCAGTGACCTAATGGTGAGAGGGGCCAGGCCATGTCCACTGGGGCTATGCCTGGGCCAGGGGCTTCCAGCAGCCTCACAGTTTAACCAGAAACATCTCTAGGTGCCTGAGCCTGAGGATACTGATCACACCTTCCCCTAACATCAAGAGACTGTAGAATGAGGTCAGTTTTTGGTCATTTTAATTGTAAAAACCAAGACATTTATATAAATAAGACCGCTGTGTAAAATACGATTCACCCTTCTACTAAAACCCTTTTCCCACACTCGAAAAGAACATAGAAAACCCAGCAGAGAGCAGTACAAATCAGCATGCGGTCCCTGATGCGAAGTCGCGGGCAGGCCAGGGTTCCCTGCGGAAGCAGCCTCGTGGTGAGAGCACTCCTGCCCAGGTGTCCCACCAGAGGCTCGGTGACCCCTCGAGAAACTGCCAGGTAGCAGCTCCCACACACCAGCCCCTGGCTCTCAACTGTACGGGTCGAGGAGGGGACGGGAAAGGCTGCTTGGTCCCCACCAAGGCTGGGGGCTGGGGGGGCTGCTGGCCCAGTGAGATGCAGTGGTCTGTTCAGCCTGGGGTCAAGTTGGGGGAAGGGGTTTCTGAGGGGTCAGCACCTCCCCAGAGGACAAGGAGAGAAGCTGCCTGTGTCCCTTGAAAGAATCATCTCCTTCTTGGGGCCATTTTCATATGACCACTAATGACAAGGACGGCCGACACTTCCCGGCAGTACTGGGGATGGCAGGGCAGTGGGGCTCCCAGGATGCAAGGGGAAGGCAGCCCTGGAGAAAGGGGGACTGGCGTGTTCCTGTGCGGAAGATCTCATCTCCCACCTCCTCTACCCTGTCACACCGCCCCACCCCACGTCTCCCACACAGACCCATGCCCGCTGCCCCGTCCACACCCTGAGACTCCGAGGGAGACGGTTGAGAGCCTGGGGATGGAGATGTCAAGTTCACACACTGGGCGTGGCTCAGGAAACTGGTACACAAAGACAAAAAGAAAAGACCCCAACTCTCCTTGGAAAAACCAGGACCTGCCTAGGGCTGCTCCCCACCCCAGATGAGTGGCAGGAAAAGGCCCTGCAGGGGACGGGGCAGGGGACAGAGTGTCAGGAGCACTTCCAGACGCACACAGCCAGGGTGCCCCCGAAGTACAGGTAGAGGAGGTTCTTCACCTCGTGGGTGATCTCAAACCCAAAGCCCTCGCCGATCACCACGTGCCAGGAGGAGCCGAACTTCTTGTCCATTGTCTCTTTGATCATCTTGGCGGCGCTCTGGAAGGAAGAGGGCACTTATCAAGGGGGCGCAGGGCAGGTGGGGGCAGGAGTCAGGTCCTTCTCCAGGAAGGAGAAGGCTGGCACTGAGGTCTTGGCAAGAGAAAGGCCTGCTGTCCTATTTCTCTTGTCCTCCTGCTTCAAAAAGGGTTTCCACGCAGGCCACCTCCTGCCAGGTCTATTACACAGGCACAGAAAACTAGACATTACTCAGCAGTCAAGAAGAAACTGGCTGAGGCGGGAAGGCAAGCATCAGGTCTGGAGATAGCCTGGGGCTGCGTCCTGGCTCTGCACTTAGTGCGGGCTTCCTGGGCCAGTGCCACCTCCCTCAGATGTAACCTGGACAAGCGGGGCACCAGGCAGTCTCAGGACCAACTGGATGGAGAGACCTGGCACCCTGCAGACTGCGAGGTACCTGATGCGTTCAGTGGGCTCTGGGGAGGCGCCGACTACTCCCCTAGTCATGGCCACAGTCGACTTCTTCCTGTGCCTGCTCTTTCAAGACGTGCCCCCTGTGTGAGGAGGTCTAGAGGGGCAGGGACCCCCGCTCGGCAGGGCGAGTCCAGGTGCAGGCGCCTGAGGTACACCAACAGCGCCTCCCACCATGCCAGGTGCCATGCTGGGCACTCTGTCCCCATCGTCTCAGTAAATACATCCTCACAACTGGCCCAGTGAGGAGGCACCATCGCCACCCTCCATTTAAGGACTAGGAAACTGCGCTCAGAGTTGAGAAATGGCTCATTCAAGGGTACAGCTGGGAAGGGCTGAAGCCAGGATCTGAACCTGGGCCTGGCCGACCCAAAGCCTGGGCTCCCACTGGCCAGTGTCTTGCCTCCCCACCGGCTGCCGCAACACTGACTTCTCGCTCTCCCCACCAGATTGATGAATGGCCTTCCTGCGTTGATGCCTGCTGGCCGTATCCCCAACACCTAGAACAGCGCCTGTTCAACACCTTTTTGAATGGATGAGTGAATACATGAATGGATGCCTGGGCAGGCCTCTGTTCACCACTGGGATGGAACCACGGGGAAAGGCACCCTATTCAGCAGCCCACCTGAGGCAGGGAACATGGGCAGGGGCGTCATGGAGACCCCTGTGGCTTTGCTCCTCTAGGGCTGGGTGTGACCGTCAGTGCCTGGAGTCAGCGCCAGCCTCTCACTCACTGACTTTCCCCAGACTGAATGCTTCCAAGGAAGGCTCTGGCCTCATCCTAGCAGTACTGTCTGGAGCCAACTGCAGGGAACAGGGGCCACTTTATTCACCCACAGGGGCCATCAAAAGCACGAGGGGCCGCCTGCACTGCTGGCAATACCTCGTTGTTGTTGGAGAATTTCTCACAGGCTGTGACACATAGCTCCATGGTCTCCACGCGCATCTCCTCTGGCATGTCCGAGTGCTAGAGACAGGGCAGGGGTAACAAACAAGAGACAGGCTTAGCCCGTGACCTGGCCTTCCTGGCTGGCCTCTCTGTCCCAAGCTTAAGGCATGGACAGCAGGTAGCCTCCCTGGCCCAGCCCTGGGCAGGTGACCCATCTCCTGACTGAGGGCCTGCAGCTGGGGCAAAGGCATGGCATGGAGCTGAGCCTCGTGGGCTCTCAAGCCCAGGCTCTCTGCAAGGGCACGAAGCCAGCACCAGGTTCCAGCCAACAGACATGGGAAGAAAGCCGGCTGAGGGCGGAGGGAATGCTGGCTATGGAAGTGTGTTCCGACGGAATCTCACCCCGGAGGCCCGAAGAGGCCGCTGGGCGCTCTCTGGGGCCCCTGGTTTTCCTCCGGCCTTTCCCTCTGCTCCTTCTCCATCGATCTGCTGGATTTCCTTCCTCCTCCCAGCTCCTGGAGGGCCCTGGGCCCCACCTCCACTCTCCCATCTCCAGCGACTCCATCTCTGGGGTCTTGTGTGTTCCGCGCCTGTCTGTGTCCTCTCTGTGGGAGGGCTCCCACACTTCTACCCCCAGCTCTAACCTCTTCTTTGGGCTCCTGACTACTCTGTCAAACTGGCCACTTGACAGCCTCACTTAGATGTCTAAAAATAACTTGATTCCCACAAACCCATCTTCTTCCATCTCCTTTTCCTGGTAATTGATACCATTTTTTCTCCCAATACTCAGGAAAAGACAGACTGTAGCAGCCACCCTGGACTCTCTTGCTCCCATACCCAGTCTCCAATTTGGCAGCAGGTCCTTTGGCCTCTGCACTCACGGAACACCCTAAACCCGACCGCATCTCGCACTCTACTCCGTGAGCCGCACCCAGCCACCCTCATCGCTCTGGGCCTCCACAGCGGCCTCCTCGCTGGTCTCCCCACTTCTGCTCTGGTATCTCCAAATCCATTCTGCTCACAACAGCTGGAGTGAGCTTTTGAAAACCAAACAGATCTCATCACTCCCCTGCTTAAAACCCTTCAGTGTTCCCCCTTCGATTCAGGACAGAACCCACAGTTCTCACCACATTCTTCACTGTGGCTGGCCAGGCCTGTAGGGTCTGGCCCCACTGGTGCTGTTATGTCCTGCCACCCTTCTCAGCACTCCATTCCAGCCATGCTGGCCTTCTCTCTGTGCCTCCAAAATGCCAAGTTCATTCCCATCCCAGGCTTCCCGTGCCTCTGTTTCCCCGGCTTGGCATGTTCTTCCCCAGGTCTTTGTGAGGTTTGCTCTCTGTCTTCAGGTCTCTGATCTGCAAAACCTCTCCAGAAGCTAACCTCTGCTCTCCAGCTCCTTCCACCTGCTTCATTTTTCATTATAGTACTTACTGCCTACGATCATGTTCTTAAAACATGTATTTCATGTGGGCCAGGCCTTCGCCTGTCTCGTTTACCATCCCCACAGTGCCTAGAACAGTGCCCGGCATAGAGTAGGTGGCCCAATACTTGGTGAATGAATGAATGAATGAAACAATGAATCACTGTCAACTCCAAGATGTCTAGGTCTGAGCCAGCAGAGCCCTTCTTAACTTCCTCCCACTGCCATCCTGCAAGGGACAAGCTCCACCCACCTCTCTCCAGGCTGTGTGGGCCCTGCCGGCAGTCCTGCCTCCCTCCCCTGGGGCTTACCCTGACCAGAGGGAAGGTCTGCAGTCGCTTATAATCAGCCTCATCTTTCTTCCCTTCTGTTTCTCCCATGATCCTTCCACTGTGACCACTGGAGGAGAGTGGGGCTTTCAGGAGGTGCTGGGACTGGCAGTTAAGACACACCCAGGAGATTCAGGAAGCAGGCCCTGCCAACTCGGTGGGAGCAGAAAATGTCTTTCCCCGGGGGGTGCTGCAGAAAACAGGAGAAACCAGAAAAAAAGAGCTGGCTTCAAAACCATACATCGCAAATTAGAAATGTCTCAGTAACAATCTGACACCTCCCCATCTTAACTCCTCCGCACCCTTTTCCAAATGGCCAGCAAGTCTGCAGACGGCAGGATGAGTCAACACGAGATGCTGGGACCTGGTTAAGAACACACTGGTACGATGCCGCAAGCCCACACTGTCATTATCAAGACAAATACTGACTGTGGGCCAGGCCTGCAGGATGGAGGCTTGAGCTGGCAGTGAGCAAATGCAGTTTCCCCGCGTACCCACTACATACACGGTCCTTCCCTCCCACTACACACATGGGCCTTCCCTCCCACTACACACACGGGCCTTCCCTCCCACTACACACACGGGCCTTCCCTCCCACTACATACACGGGCCTTCCCTCCCACTACACACACGGGCCTTCCCTCCCACTACACACGCGGGCCTTCCCTCCCACTACATACGCGGGCCTTCCCTCCCACTGCATACACGGGCCTTCCCTCCCACTACACACACGGGCCTTCCCTCCTGCTACACACATGGGCCTTCCTTCCCAGAAGCTGTGCTTAGGAAGGGAAATGTTCAGGTCACCACTGACAGTCTGGGCTTATTGGCAAGCAAGGGGGCCCCTCTGCAGGCCCTGATCTTCAGGGGAATGGGCACGGTGCTGCTCTGTGCCCTCCCTGGCACACCAGGCTCCCTGGTTGTTCTTTCCTACTCCTTCTTGGACCACTGGGTCCTGTCCTGCTGGCCCAGCAGCTGGGAGGCTTGGGTGCTGCTGCTGGTTCAGTCAGTCACCAGCAGTATGGCCCTGGGCCCCAGACTCCTCACCAGTAATGTGGGTACAGTCACATCCATCTCATGCGGCCGTTATGAGAATTCAAAGAAACAGTGCCTGTAAAGCTAAGACAGTGCCAAGCACACGGCAGGCACTCAGTACATGGCTGTTCCCTAACCGACGGGGCTTCTACTAAAGAGACGGGCCTGGACCCGAGATGACTGGCAGCACTCCTGCCAATCCAGGCATTTCTCTTTCATCTTCAACCCAATTTATCTCATAATTCAAAGTTTTTTTTTTTTTTAATCTCAGAAGTACTGACATAAGCGGATACAAATCACCAGGTTGTTAAGCCCTTTTTAATGATTTATATTAGACAACTACAGCAAAATAATGTTATTCCAGCATTTCTCACATTTCCAAATAAATTTCCTTTCACTGCACAGTCATGGAACCCAAAGGTGCCGAGCACGGTAACTAACAGGCAGGTGATGACACGTGACGGCTGTCGGTTTCCTGCCTGTCGGTGTTTCACATGCATTTACACACCTTGTCATCGCAACAACCCCGGGAGTTCGGTTCTGTAGGGACAGAGGCATGAGGCTGGTCAGTCGCTGGCCTGAGGTCACTCAGCTCGTTAGCGACACAGCTAAGGTGTGAATCCAGGCCCGGCTGTCGGCATGGGCACTCCTGACCCCTTGTTCATACGCCTCCTCATGGGCACACAGGAGGCACTCACAAGCATACATCAGCTGCCCACTGGGACAGCTCCTATCATCCTAGAAGGGAGACGAATCAAATATTTGCTCTTCCCCTTTGCTGTCTCTTTCACTTTTTTTTTTTTTTTTTTTCTTGAGACGGAGTCTCACTCTGTCGCCCAGGCTGGAGTGCAGTGGCACGATGTCAGCTCACTGCAAGCTCCGCTTCCCAGGTTCATGCCATTCTCCCGCCTCAGCCTCCCAAGTAGCTGGGACTACAGGCGCCCACCACCACGCCCGGCTAATTTTTTTCTGTATTTTTAGTAGAGATGGGGTTTCACCGTGTTAGCCAGGATGGTCTCGATCTCCTGACCTCGTGATCCGCCCACCTCAGCCTCCGAAAGTGCTGGGATTACAGGCGTGAGCTACCGCGCCCAGCCTGCTGGCTCTTTTTCTAATGTTAACTTGACCCTGGTTTGGCCCAGCCTTGAGCTTTCTGGGCACTCTTTCTGGGCTGTGCTCTTGATTTGATCCCCGCTCCAATGACTCGGTGCCACTCCATTTGGTCGGCTCCCTCGCATGAGGCTGGAAGCCTGGCACAGACCCCCCCCCCCATCCAATGACATTGGTATTTTCTGATTTCCCAGTGGACAGATGGCTCCACTTATCTCATCAATTCTGGGCATTTGTACCACTCAGATGTTAGCAGTTTTTGTTTGTCTCTCTCTACAAGCTGGTGAATTACCAAGCACAATTTCATTGTACTTTCTGGTCAGGTTCCTTATTTCACAAAATTCAGGGAATCATTTTGTCTTTGCTCATGAATGTGAAGGCGTATTTCCAATTCCAGGCTGTCCTCCTAGCCTTACTGCTTCCTCCTCTACCTTTGTCCAGGTGTGACAGAGGTGGCGGCTACACTGATGACAGAAGGAAAAGGGCACACAGTTTGTTTATCTCTGAGAATTTCAAGGGGGAACAATGAAAAATGTGGAAGCAGCTTCTTAGGCATCTTCCACTGAGATGTTTCCATTTGATTCAATTCATCCCGGAGGCTAAAAAGTGCTGGCATGTAGGAGCCAGGAGGGAACCAGGAGCCAGTTGTGGACATGCCACCCTCCAGGAGGTCAGGGTCTGTGACAGCTGCTCTAACATGCAGAATCCTGCTGAGATGTCCCATGACTTCAGAGGTATGACCAAGGCCCATTTCTCAGGAACAACGGGGAAAAGCCAGTGGGAGAGTGACCTGTGCAGCATCTTGCAGAGCTAAGAACTGTGTGGGCCGCAAGCCGGAGTGTGCAGGCATGGAGACCAGCTCTGTCAAAGACGAGCATTCTGCTCACTTCCTTTCTTTGCAGCCGTCAGCAAGTAATTTCACCTAAGCCTTGGTTTCCTTCTCTATGAAACGGGATACTAAATCCTATCTCTGCGTTCTCAGGAAGCTGTTGCAAGCCCCAGGTATGTGTATGTGAGCGATTTGAAACGTTAAAGCTCTCTGCGCTGTTATCACAGTGCTCTCTGCTACCAGCGTTAATCAGCCAGGACTTGGTCACCATGATTCAGCCAAGTTTACTAAGGGCCCTGACTACAAAGAGCTTTTTCTAACCACTACACATACTTCTGGGGACCTAAAAGAGATGAGACAGAATAAAAAGGAATCGTTATAGATGATGTGTTTCCAAATACAGAAAGGCAGGAGAATTTTTTATGACGCTGTATCATTATAGTACAGCTAGAGTCATTCAGCCACAGTCCTAAAACTCTCCTCAAAGAATGTTACCAAAAATAGCAGAACCAGAGGTTCTAACAACCTTATCAATCTTCCATGCAGAGAAGCATGTGCCTGAACTCTTGGAGCCAGAAAGAGTCATGTCAGGTCTAAAAGAGCCTTTTAATAATATAATTGTGGCTGGGTGCAGTGGCTCACGCCTGTAATCCCAGCACTTTGGGAGGCCGAGGTGGGTGGATCACTTGAGGTCAGAAGTTCGAGACCAGCCTGGCCAACAGGGTAAAACCCTGTCTCTACTAAAAATATAAAAATTAGCCGGATGTGGTGGTACATGCCTGTAATCCCAGCTACTGGGGAGGCTGAGGCAGGAGAATGGCTTGAACCCGGGAGACAGAGATTGCGGTGAGCCAAGATCACACCATTGCACTCCAGCCTGGGCGAAGAAGTGAGACTCAGTCTCAAAACAAAACAAAACAAAACAAAACAAAAACAAAACTGTGCCCACCGCCAGGGTACTTGAATCTCCTGGGTACAGAAGCTCGACTCCAGCCCATCTGGCCCACAGTGGTGCAAAGCCAGGGGCAGCCTTATTCCCTCTCCCACTACCCCTGCTCTCCTCCTCACTCAAGGGCCATCTGTGGGCTTTACATATCCTCACCCCCTCTGATGTGAGGCTCTTCCTAAGCAACAGTGGGCACAGACAAGGGCCCTTTATCTCATTGCCTGGTCAAGGCCAGTGTTCCTGGTCCTGCTATCCCTTGTTCTTTTGTGGCACTGACCTCAGTCACCATTCACTATTCTGTGTCTGAAGCGTCTGGGAAGAATCCTAAAGAGGGTTAGGGTGTGTGGGAGGGACTGGGAAAAATGAATGCGTTCTGGGAAATAAGGCCCAAAATATCTGCCAGCCCCCTGGGAGGGGGGCAGCCATTCAATGTCTGGAACATCCGCGGCCCTTAGATCACGGCTCGCCTCCCTGTACCACCCACCATGCACCTGAGAGATTGCAGGACACACCTGGAGCATGTCATGGTGGTTCTGAGTACAGACTCCACCGTCGGATCTGAATTCACATCTTGGTTCTGTTTTAGACAAGGGCTTACCTCCCTAAGCCTCAGTTTTCTTTTCTTTTCTTTCTTTCTTTCTTTCTTTTTTTTTTTTTTGAGACAGCGTTTTGCTCTTGTTGCACAGGCTGGAGTGTAGTGACGCGATCTCGGCTCACTGCAACCTCCGCCTCCCGGGTTCAAGCAATTCTTCTGACTCAGCCTCCCAAGTAGCTGGGATTACAGGTACGCGCCACCACGCCTGGCTAATTTTTGTATTTTTAGTAGAGATGGGGTTTCACCATGTTGGCCAGGCTGGTCTCGAACTCCTGACCTCAGGTGATCCACCTGCCTCAGCCTCCCAAAGCGCTAGGATTACAGGCGTGGGCCACTGCACCTGGCAGCCTCAGTTTTCTCATCTGGAAATTGGGGCTAAGGACTCAGCTCCTGTTACTGGTGCAGTAGGAAGGAAACTGCGATATCCTTCTTCATAGACCAACCTGCTACACATCTAAACGTGCAGCCAAACAAACCACTATCTCCCAAGTTCCCACTATGTGCAAACCACTGTGGTAGTAATGAAGGAGGAAAGAGTCACAAGGAAATTCTGTGAAACCTCTTGGGGCTGAGGTGGTAGTGGTGTGGCTATGGTGTGCCTTCACATCCACCATCTCATTTCATCCTCCTAACACCTGTGAGGGAAGGATCCAGCTCCCTATTCTCAGACAAGTCACTGGAGCTCAGAGAGGTTTTATGGGTGGCCTGAGGGTGCACAGCCGGCAATGGTAGAACCAGGATCGGAACCCCAATCCATCCTTCTGACTCGACCTTCTGTGCTTTCTCCTTTGGCACAAGCAAGTAGGAGACAAGCCAGTAACACAGATGACTTCGATACTCAGCATCCACCCATCCAGCCTCTGTCCAGGCCTGCCTCTTGCTTCCCGCCACATTGGGGACACAGGCGGGCACTCCAGTCTTCCTTGGCCTTCTAGCGAACAAATGAAGAACAAAGCTGACAGGGGAGGAAAAAGGATCCTAAGGACTTGGGCATTCGTCCAAGACGCTCGTAGTAAGGTCAGGAAATGATGCAGAAGCCAGGCTCCCAGACCAGTTTAAAGTGTGGGCAGACGCAGGGCTGCCATTTTAAAATTCTGCTGCAAAAGGGCCTTAGAAGATACATCATCTACTACAAAAGAGGAAAATTTGGCAGAATAAAGATCAGCCCTCCTCAAGAAAAGTCAAACACACGAAGTTGTTTTTACGTGGTCCTTATTTTTTCTCATTTTGCTGCGGTCCAATGAAAACTTAATGTGCCTGGGACTGAGGGAGGAGTGGAGGGAAGGAGAGGAGGGAGGGAGAGAAGAGAGGCCTGCTGTCTGGATCTGCAATTCTCAACATTTCCTCATGTCCGACACCATGTGATAAGTGACATTGACTCACACATGCACCCTCAAGGACTTAGCCAGACTTGGATGAAATCCCAGACAGTTTTGTCAAGATACAAAGTATAAGGAAAGTCACAACCATCACAGCTATTAGCTCCCGGAGAACAGCTGCTCGCCACACACAGCAGGGCAGGCTCCCGCCCCGCTCTCTCCCACTCAAGAGAACAGATTTGAATCTAAGGGAGTAAGAGTGACATTATCACAGAAATAAATTGGACTTAGCATGGATTTATTTTTTAGAAACTCATTCACAATTGCTAATTACCAGTGACATCTCACAACCGATCACGACTTAACTGTGCCCGTGAGTCCAGATTCCCTGGGGCTGAGGAACTTGATTTGGCTCTAGATGCCCCAGAGCACAAAGGCCAGTGTCTGGCACACGGCAGAAGCCCAGAAATTATCCAAATTGCAATTAACTTATATTTCATTTGCCCCATGGGAGGGGAGAGGACCTATCACATCCATTCAAGACTATTTATTGAACACTGATCCTGAGCCAGGCACCAGAATGGGCGATCTACATACAGGATGTCCCTCCCCCAGTCACTCTGTCAGACAGGTACTACTAGCCCTACGTTACTGGTATAGCCACACAGCCTGAAAAAAAGAGAGTTTCCACCTAGTTAATAAACAAAGGGGCTAGGATTTGATTGCAGGTATATATGACTTCAAAGATTATGCTTTTTCTTTTCTTTTCGAGACAGGGTCTCACTCTGTTGCCCAGGCTGGAGTGCGGTGGCATGATCACAGCTTACCGCAGCCTCAACTTCCCAGGCTCAGATGATCCTCCTGAGTAGCTCATGCTACCACACTCAGTGGTGGCACACTACAGGCTTGTGCCACCATACTCGGCTAATTTTTTTATTTTTTGGAGAGACGGGGTTTTGCCATGTTGCCCAGGCTGGTCTCAAACACCTGAGCTCAAGCAATTTGCCCACCTCAGCCTCCCAAAGTGCTGGGATTATAAGCGTGAGTCACCATGCCTGGCCTGATTATGCTTTTTCAACTACTCGACTATAATCATCAGACAGTCCCTGCCTTTAAGGAGCTTACAATCTAATATGGAGACCAACAGGCATACACAAGGAACTAACTATGGTTCCTGGCAGCCTGGCAGAAAGTAGTGCCACAAGACAGGCATACTTGCAGTGGTGAGGAGGGTGAGATAAGACAGCAAAAGGAGCTTGCTGGCAGGGGCAGCATTTGAGTCAGGCCTGGAAAGGTGAGGAAGAATTGCAACAGGTGGACGAGGTGAGGAAGACCTTCCAGGCGGATGAACACAACAGTGCCAAGGCAGAAAGTACAAAGCATCTTCTGGGAAAGTCTAACAGTCCGATTTGGCTAGAAGATAGAATTTGGCAAAGAAGGGAGAAATAAATCTGGGGAAAAAGACTGGGGTTGGGCTGTGGACGTGTAGATGGGTCCTGAAACCTATGCTTACATATTTTTGTAGACATGGGGTCTCTATGTTGCCCAGGCTGGTCTTGAACTCCTGGACTCAAGTGATGCTCCCACTTCAGCCTCTCAAAAGTGTTGGGATTACAAGTGTGAGCCACCATGCCTGGCAAGATGTGTGGATCTTTTTCATAGTGAATGGGAAGCCCTTTGGAGGTCTCTAGGTGGCTGGTGACATGGGTGGGCTGGGTTGACAGGAGCAGAGACCGGAGGTAGGAGCAGTCGCTAGGAAGCTGCAGTAATGGTCCAGGGGTATTAATGTCACAGGCATGAAATACTTGAAGGAGAGTGGTGGCTTCAGGAATGGAGACGATGTGAGCTCTGCATGCAGCAGAATCAAAACAACCTGACAACTGCCCAAATGGAATGAGCATGGTGGAGTGAGGAATGATGCCCAGGAGGATGGTGATGCCACTGATGGGGAGAGGGGAAACCAGGTGGCACAGCTGGGTAGAGAAGCAGGTCAGTTTCATTTCAGAGCTGCAAAGTTTAAGTTGCTGGTAAGATACGCAGATGGAGGTATCTAGTCAGGAGAAAGAAATCACCAAGTCATGGGCTATCGGGGCAGGAGGGAAGCCATCAAGTCCAACTATCGCATCAACACAGTCATGCGTTGCTTAATGACAGGGGCATGTTCTGAGAATCGTTAGGCGATTTTGTTGTGTGAATGTCATAGAGTGTACTTACACAAACCTAGATGATGTAGCCTACTACAGACCTAGGCTATATGGTACGGCCTATTTCTCCAAGGCTACAAACTTGTATAGCATGTTACTGTACTAAATACTGTAGGCAACTGTAATGCAATGGTGTTTGTGTATCTAAACATAGAAAAAGTACAGTTGGCCGGGTGCGGTGGCTCACGCTTGTAATCCCAGCACTTTGGGAGGCTGAGGTAGGTGGATCACTTGAAGTCAGGAGTTCGAGACCAGCCTGGCCAACATGGCAAAACCTCGTCTCTACTAAAAATACAAAAATTAGCTGGTGTTGTGGCGCGCGCCTGTAATCCCAGCTACTCAGGAGGCTGAAGCAGGAGAATCTCTTGAACCTGGGAGGCGGAGGTTGCAGTGAGCAGAAATCACACCACTGCACTCCAGCCTGGGCAGCAGAGCGAGTCTCCACCTCTAGAAAAAAAAAAAAAAGGACAGTAAAAATATGCTATAAAAGATAAAAAATCATACACCTATATAGGTCACTTCCCATGAATGAAGCGTACAGGACAGGAAGTTGCTCTGGGAGAATCAGTGAATGAGTGGTGAAGGCCCAGGACATTACTGGACACCACTATAACTTTATTTTACTTTTTAATTTTTATTTTATTTTATTTTTTGAGATGAATCTTGCTCTTGTTCCCCAGGCTGGAGTGCAAAGCCGTGATCTCGGCTCACTGCAACCTCCGCCGCCTGGGTTCAAGCGATTCTCCTGCCTCAGCCTCCTGAGTAGCTGGGATTACAGGCACGTGCCACCAAGCCGGGCTTATTTTTGTATTTTTATATTTTGTATTTTTAGTATTTTGTATTTTGTATTTTTAGTAGAGATGGGGTTTCTCCATGTTGATCAGGCTGGTCTCAAACTCCTGACCTCAGGTGATCTGCCCGCCTCAGCCTCCCAAAGTGCTGGGATTACAGGTGTGAGCCACTGCGCCCAGCCTATTTATTTTTATTTTTTAGATGGAGTCTCACTCTGTTGCCCAGGCTGGAGTGCAGTAGTGTGATCTCAGCTCAATGCAACATCCACCATCCGGGTTCAAATGATTCTTCTGCCTCAGCCTCCCAAGTAGCTGGGATTACAGGCGCCTGCCACCATGCCTGGCTAATTTTTGTGTGTTGTTTTTTTTTTTTTGAGTACAGATGGGGTTTCACCATGTTGGGCAGGCTGGTCTCCATCGCCTGACCTCAAGTGATCCCTCTGCCTTGGCCTCCCAAAGTGCTGGCATTACAGGTGTGAGCCACCATGCCTGGCCACTACTGTAACTTTATTTATAAACACCGTAAAAAATTTACGTAAATTTAGGCTGCACTAAATTTATAGAAAATATTTTTCTTTCTTCCATAATAAGTTAACCTTAGCTTACTGTAACTTTTTACTTTGTAAAAGTTTTGATTTTGTTAACTTTTTGACTCTTTCGTAGTAACACTTAGCTTAAAACACAAACACATTGTACAGCTATACAAAAATATTTTCTTTCTTTATATCTTTATTCTATAAGCTTTTTTCTACTTATAAATTTTCTATTTCTTTTTTACTTTTTTTTTTTTGAGACAAAGTTTTACTCTTGTTGCCCAGGCTTGAGCGCAATGGCGCTATCTCGGCGCACTGAAACCTCCACCTCCCGGGTTCACGCCATTCTCCTGTCTCAGCCTCCTGAGTAGCTGGGATTACAGGTGCCCGCTACCACGTCTGGCTAATTTTTTGTATTTTTAGTAGGGACAGGTTTTACCATGTTGGCCAGGCTAGTCTCAAACTCTTGACCTCAGGTGATCTGCCTGTGTCGGCCTCCCGAAGTGCTGGGATTAATAGGCGTGAGCCACCGCTCCTGGCCTTTATTTTTTATTTTTAACATTTTTAACTTTTTTGTTAAAACTCAGACACAGATACACTAGCCTAAGCCTACACAGGGTCAGGATGCTTAGTGTCACTATCTTCCACTACCACATCTTGTCCCGCTGGACGGTCTTCAGGGCAATAACACGCATGGAGCTGTCATCTCCTATGATAACAAAGCCTTTTGCTTGAATACCTCCTGAAGGACCTATCTAAGACTGTTTACGGTTAAATTTTATTTTCTTATAAGTAGGAGGAGTGTACACTGTAAAATAACAATAAAAGTGTAGGATAGTAAACACATAAACAAGTAACAGTCATTTATTACCATTATCAAGTATGATGTCCTGTACACAATTGTATGTGCTATATTTTATATGACTGGCAGCACTGTAGGTTTGCTTACACCAGCATCACCACACACGTGAGTCATGCATTTTGCTTTGACATTACGATAGCTATGTAACTAGGTGATAGAAATTTGTCAGCTCCATTATAACCTTAGGGCACCACCGTGGTATCTGTGGTCTTTCTTGACCAAAACGTTGTTATATGGTACATGACTGTATTTCAATCTCCATCTGTCCCCTCCCCACCCCTAAGTAACCCTAACCATGGAAGCCCAGGAGGAAGATCAGAGAGGGTCAACTGGAGAAATGACAGTTCATGCTGACCGGGTTGATAACATTTCCCAGAGAGGGAAAATGTGGTGAAGAGACAAAGGAAAGAAACTAACAAATACTGAATCTATACTGGACTGGACTCTGTACTTCATATTAGCCTCAGAATTACCAAAGGAGATGCACCGACGTATACTGATTTTACATATGCACTGATTAAAAGCGCAGGGAGGGTAGGTCTTGAGACTGGGAATCCAAATTAGGTTTGCCAAGTTATTTTCACAATACACGATACCTCCCATTGGGGAGCACATCCTCTCGGAAGCCTAAAGTTGGGTCAAAGAACAACGACATCCTAGAACGTCAGAGTGGAAGAGGCCTTAGAGATCACTCAACTCAACTTCTCATTTACAGATGGGGAAACTGAGGCCCAAACAGGGGAAATGACCAGCCCAGAATCCCAGTAAGTCGCCAACTCTCCAAGCCAAGAGCGGTCTGACCTAGTTGATGGCGACCCCGCGGGAGAGGGAATTACTCCGCGAAAGGTCGAGGGATCAAGGTGCTGGGGGAAGTCGGCTAAAGGGGGACGCGGGACCACGAAGCTGGGCAGGCCTTGGGTGGGTGGGGAAGAGCAGCCGGCAGAGTCGCGATGGCAAACCTGTCACGACAGAGCTCGCAGGTCCCGAAGTGGGGGTGAGGGTGGGGGTTGAGGATGGGAAGACCTGGGGCAGGGGAACAGCAGGCAGGAGACCGAGGTGGGGCCTCGGCGGCGGGCGAGGCCTCTTCCGCCCTGCGTTGCCTCCCGCCCTCCCTCCGGGCCGGCCCTCCCCGCCTGGCTGCCCGCCGCGCCCCGGGGCCTCACCTGCTCCTGCGGGGGCCGGAGCCGGGGCCGCAGCCAGCGAACCCCCGCCAGGGTTGTCAAGGAGCGAAACAAGAGTGTCTTAGCAACCAGCAAGGAAGTCCTGCCCCCTCACCGGACGTTGACGAGAATTTCACTTATTATTGGTGGATAAAAGTATCAATCAGAGTGAAAGGCCCTTATAAGTCAGGCGTTTGCAAGGACAGGGGCGTGGTTTAGAGGCCAGGGAGGCGGGACTTCACTTATAGTTGTCTTAAGCGTGCCCGAGGAGCAGGGGACACATTGAAGTTCTTTTTCTAGGGAAACAAACTTCGAAAAGCAGTACTGCCTTGGGAGGTTCTTTTAGTCACTTGAAATAACAAATGCAACTTGTTGGTGTCGTGACACTTAGCCACTACTTTATTGGGATCTGAAAAGCCTGATAATAACTAGCATTTTTGTAGGGCTGTACAATTAATATCTCACTTGATTCTCATTACAGTACTTTTAGGTGATAATATTCGTCATCCCATCTGAACTAAAGTTCAGAGAGGTTAAGTAACTTGGTAAAGGATGGAGGTAATCTCCCTGGAGAAGGAACCCAGGGGCTCCTTCCTCTGTGCCACACCCTTGTATGGTCACCTAGCTCTAGTCACTAGGAGACATTTGTACCACCTAATTTCAGACACAGTTGCCCAGAGCCTGCCTTTTCTTCCCCTTGGGAGGGAAAATTAATCCGAAAGTACGGAGAAGGAAAAGGGGAAAGGGGAAGAACTGGCGGATTCTATTATTTGATTGGTAGATCAAAGGGTCAGTTGGGTACTTCGTAGTTTAAACCTTTATTATTGTGATGAGTACTTGGGGTGAAACCCCACTGCCACATTTACTAGCATTGAAGCTGTCTTTGCCAAAATTATAACTGAGGAAATTATGACAGTGAAAGAGATCAGACCTAACCCACTCCATCTTGCCTTTCTAGCCTTTAAGCTGTCTTTGTTCATTCCTAGGCATAGGCTGAACGAACCTTGGGAAGGAATTTAGTTTATAGTTTTACTCTGAAACAAAATTGACAATAGCCCTTTCCCAAAAAGGCTCCCTTCCTGCCTTGGGACCAGTCTGCCTTTGTAGGACTAACAAATTAGCTACAACATTAGAAATTATGGTTTAGGGGTCACACAGCAGCCTCTGGCTGCAAGAGTCTGAACCTTCCCAAATTGCTCCTGGGGATAACATCACTATTGTAAAACCTAAGATCAGCGCTTGAGATATTTTGCAGACCCTGCGCTCGATGGATCAGCTGACACCACCCAGACCAGTAATGTGGCTCAAACAGTTCTGTGATCCCACCCAGGAACAGAAGACAGCAAGAAAACCTCACTTCGACCCCCTCAGTATTCCATCTTCGACTTAATCAATCAACACTCCTCGCTTGCCAAGCCCCTACCCACAAAATTATCTTTAAAACCTCTGATCCCTGAATGCTTGGGTAGCATATTCAACTGCCTCCTAGCCATGTGCACCAGAATGTTCCACAAGCCCTTCAAACTCAGTGTGTCCCAAACTGAATTGATCATCTCCCTCCAATCTGCTCTTCCTGCATTCCCCATTCCAGTAAATGGCACCACCCCCGACCCAGTTGCCTCCATCAGAAAACAGGGGGGAGTCCTTCACCCTTCCCACTACAACAGCCCACTTCCAGTCACAAGCATGCCAATTTCGACTCCTCACTATTTCCTGATACAGCCTTTCTGGCCACGTTCATGGCACCCTCCATGTGCACAACACCACAATCCCATCTACCTGAGTGCAATCTCCTGGTGGGACTCCCTGGCTGCAGTCTTGCACCTCTCTAATTTATCCTCTGTACCATAGTCAACATGACCCTGCCAAAACCCAAATCTCACCGCTGCATTCCTCTGTTTGAGTAATTTGAGTAATAATAAAACTCCCCTCTCCCGCACAGCTGGCTCTGTTTGAATTACCTTTCTCCATTGCAATCCCCCTGTCTTGATACATCGGCTCTGTCTAGGCAGTGGGCAAGGTGAACCCATTGGGCAGTTACAGCATCTACTGGGAGCTCAGCCCTCGTCAGGTGCTAGTGATTCAGAGAGGAGTAAGATGAGGACCTTGATCCCATGGAAGGCACAGTCCAGTGAACAGACAGCCATGTGAACAAATAGATATAGAATAATTCATTCTACCAATGCTATGGTAGAGGTGTGGGCAAGATTCTGGCTCTTTCCAAGGAGGGAGTAACTAACTCTCAGAGTGTGGTACTTGAGTTGGCCGAGTCCAGGATGACCCCGGGGGGCTAATTGAGGGTGGGACAGCATGCTTCACTGGGGAACTGTGGGTGGCTTCGTAAGGTCTGGGTGGAGGGCGAATGTAGGTGTAGGTGGGAGGTGATAGGGGTGAAGATGCTAAGGGAAGTAGGGAAGTAGTGAGAAGGGTTTTGAATGCCAAGTTCAGGGACTTGAGTGCTCCCTGGGATGAGGTAAGAATAGGCACGGTAGCTGTTGGAGGGTTTCAAGATGTGGTCACATTTGTGTTGTGGAAAGATCACTCTGGTGGTGAAGACGGTGAATTGGATTTCGAGTGGGTAGACAGGAGGCAGGCACAGTGGGTTTGGTTCTGAGAGTTGGCAGCTTGAAGGGTGCTAGGTCCTTGCTGGTTCTTAAGATGCCTCCCTGGTGCGTTCTGATGGTCCGTGGAATGTCTGACTCAGCCTCCAGATTTCCTTAATCCTCTTTGCCAACTTTCTCTAGGAGACGGAAGGTAGCCTTTGAGGGGGAGGATGCTCTTGCCTACGTCTTTCATCCAAATTTCTCCCAAAAGGGGTCCACAGTTGCTGTCTTCTCTTTCTCACCTCCCATTCACTCTTCAGCCCACTGCAATCTGGCTTCCACTCCCACGACACCACTGAAATTTCCTCCTCCATGGTTACCAATGACCTCCTGAAGAGCGGAATCCAATAGACCCTTCAGTCTTTAACTTACTGGACCCAGCCCCACTTCTGGCGTGAGCCTGTTGACCATGCCCATCTAAATGAACTTCTGTACCCCATTGGTGGCACCTGGAGAACTCTTTACCATATAGATTCTAGGGCCCTACTGCTCCAGGATGGTGAAAGGCAGGAATGTGTATTTCTCATCAGCACCCATGGTGCACAGTAGAGAATCACTTCTCTATCCCAACACCCAGGGAACCTCACTCTCCTGCATGTCCTCAAACCTCTCCTCCTTTTCGGCCTCCTTCTTGGACTCTTCTTTCTTTTTCTTTTTCTTTTTTTTTTTTTTTTTTTTTGAGATGGAGTCTCGCTCTGTCACCCAGGCTGGAGTGCAGGGGCACAATCTCGCAATCTCGGTTCACTGAAAGCTCTGCCTCCTGGGCTCATGCCATTCTCCTGTCTCAGCCTCCTGTAGCTGGGACTACAGGCGCCCGCCACCATGCCCAGCTAATTTTTTTTTTTTTTTGTATTTTTAGTAGAGACGGAGTTTCACCGTGTTAGCCAGGATGGTCTCAATCTCCTGACCTCATGATCCGCCTGCCTCGGCCTCCCAAAGTGCTGGGATTACAGGCATGAGTCACCGAACCTAGCCTTGGACTTTTCATTCTTTGCTCTCTGTGCCTATCTTGACCCCCTTTTCTTCTCACTAATGCTCTCAAAATTCTTTGTACCTGAGGTCACCTCCTCATCAGTAACAGTGTTCCCCTGAGTCACATTCCCTGGGGTATTTACTGGAATTGAGGGTAGGGTATGCACTTTTGGAAAAGCCTCCCTGGTGATCCTGAACACTGTCCCAGGGAGCTATGCCACCCTATGCATATCTTGTTGAGGATTGCTACCTTAGGTACTTTCCCCTGGGGGTCTCCTCCACTCCCAAGGTTTCCATTGTCAATGTCCTTCTAAATTCTGATGCCTCCTGTATTTCTTTTTCTATATTAGACCTCTCTCTGGAGCTCTGGACCCAAATATTCAACTGCCTCCTGGCCACGTCCACCAGAATGCTCCACAAGTCCTTCAAACTCAGTGTGTCCCAAACTGAATTGATCATCTCCCTCCAATCTGCTCTTCCTGCATTCCCCATCTCAGTAAATGGTGCTACCCCCTACCCCCCACCAGTTGCCTCCATCAGAAACCAGGGAGTCGTCCTTCACACTTCCCACTACCATCGTCCACTTCCAGTCAATCAAAAGCATGCCAATTTTGACTCCTAACTGTTTCCTGATACAGCCTTTCTGGTCATGTTCATGGTATCCTCCATGTGCACCACACCACAGTCCCATCTCCATGAGTGCAACAATCTCCTAGTGGGACTCCCTGGCTGCAGTCTTGCCCCTCTCTAATTTATCCTCTGTACCACAGTCAACATGACCCTGCCAAAACCCAAATCTCACCGCCGCATTCCTCCGTCCGATAACTTCTTCTCTCCTTCCATGGCTTCCCATTGCCTAAGGGTGACATTCACCTGCCCTGTCCTGGCATTTAAGCCTCCCCATGGCGTGGCCCCGGGCTCCCCCATCTTCTTCTTGCTGCTCCATCCCCTGTGCTTTACGCCTCCACTACACCAACTCTCATGGCTCTCCACACACGCCAAGCTGTTTTTCACCTCCCTGCCTTTGTTCACAAATTCTCTCTGCCCACATCCTCCCTGTGCTCCTCCCTCCCTCCTTTTGGTTCTATGAGCCCATAAGGTTTTGGCCTAAGCTTGTATACTTTGGGATCTCATCTCTTGCAGTCAGAAGAGTCTTTTGTGTTCCTGTCTCATCTGGTGCATGTTCCTGTCACTGCCCTTCGTCACCATTTTGTACTTGAGTTTCATTCTCTGTCTCCCTTTGTGAGCTCCTGGAGAGCAAGGGCCTTGCCCTCTTCATCTTTGCATCCCATGTACCACACAGGACCTAACCAAGAGTTGGTGCCCAGTCAATGCTTCGTGAATAAGTGTGTGAATGAATGACTGAGGTGCAGAGGGTCAGACTCTACTGCTCCCAGACTCAGCTCTTGTCAATTCCAAGACTCAGCCTAGTACCAGCTACACCCTTTCTTGGGCTGCTCTTGCTGTTTAAAGTGGCTGATGGTGGACACCCAGGAATCAGCAATTGGATCAGTTGCAAGTAACAGAGATTGGAAAAATAGTGGCTTAAACAATGCAAAGTGTTTGTTTTTCTCATGTAACAAGAAGTAATTCAGGGCTACCAGGCATGGGTCTCCATGGTCTCATCAAGGACCCAGCTGAGCCAGCACAAGATCCACACCCCCATACCTCCAGCATCTCACTTGCACCCAGGTAGTAAAAGGGGGAAGGACAAAGGACAAACTAATGATTGCTAACTGGGTCAGTGCCCTTAAATGACACTTCCTCTAGCATCTCATTGGTCAGAATGATGTCACATGATGATCTTAGCTGCAAGGGAGGCTGGAGAATATATTTTAGCAGGGCCTATTGCAGCCTCCAATAGAATTGTGGTTCTGTTTGTAAGGAAGCAGGGAAATGTAGACACTGAGTCTGCCTACCCACCCAGTTGCCATCTTCCCAGCCTTCTTTGCTGTGAGAGTTGCTATTGAGTATGGGTACTGAGTAGCACATACTCAGGGAAGTTGGGTCCAGTCCCAAAGGATGAGTCCTGTCTAGTTTAAACCAGTCATGGTACTCCCATTTCCGCCCGAGATGGGTTTGGGGTGAGCATGTGACCTACTTCTGGATAATGAGACATAATTGCCTTCTGAGGGCTTTCCAGAGAGTTTTCCTCCCTCATAAAGAAACAGATGTGATGAGGTAATCACCTCCCTTTTTTCCTGTCTTGAACACAGTTGGGCGATGACGTGATCCTGAAATAGCCTTGGTAAGCTACATCCATGAGTGGTCAGGGCTACAGGAAGCCAAATGCGGAGGATGGTGGAGCAGGGAGATGGGAGATTCTGGCTTCATCGAGTCTTTGAGTGGCTGAGTTGACCAATCTTGAAATTGCCTACCTCCAGGCTTCTTGTATAAGCCACATTTTAACCATATGTTCTGCTACTTGCAGCTGAAAATACCTGATATTTGTGATTTGTCTGTCTAGCATCCTTCCCTTTGGGAAACAGCACCCTTTCTTTTTTGGGGGAACTCCTATCCTCACTCAACCCTGTGGTTCTAGTTGGGGATGGTATTCATTGTACCTCATCCTCCCTGGGGAAGGATTCCTGATCCAAGCTGAAGCAGTCATAATCCTTCCCTGAGATTGTTTTTTTAAACTAAGCATAGACTTGAGCATGCTAAGGAGCCTCTTAGAGCAAGCCAACCTGGAGGAATACAGACACTCAGAAGGCATGAGGGACAGGGAACCAAAGAGCCTTGCTGGAGGTCCAGTTGTCCTTGAGGCCAGCTGTTCCCATAGGTTGATTATGAGAGTTCATAGATGCCCCACTTTTTGCCTACACTGGTTCAGGTTGAATTTCTGTTACTTCTGACACACATGGGGCCTGAACCTCCTTCTTCCCCTACCTAAGTCCTTCCCATCCTTCACATTTCCACTTGGTTGCCTTTTTATAGCCAATTCTTTGCTGGAGTTAGCTGCTGAGGACATAGGGATTATTGAGACTCAGTCCTCACAACCCAATGGAAAGACAGATATAGACAGTCACAATCCTGGGGGGGCAAGTACTACAAGACACAGAAAACCTCAGGCCAAGGTGACTGATTTATTTTTGTAACCTGATGTGGTTTGGATTTGTGTCCCTGCCCTAATTTCAAGTCAAATTATAATCCCCAGTGTTGCAGGGGCGGGCCTGGCGGGAGGTGATTGGATGACGGAGGCAGATTTCCACCTTTGGTGCTATTCTTGTGATAGTGAGTGAGTTCTCACAATATCTAGTTGTTTAAAAGTGTGTAGCGCCTCCCCGCATGCTTCTTCCTTTTGCTCCGGCCATGTGAAAACATGCCTGCTTCTTCTTCACCTTCTGCCATGATTGTAAGTTTCCTGAGGCCTTCCCGGCCATGCTTCCTATAGAACCTGCAGTACTGTGAGCCAATTACACTACTTTTCTTTAAACCAGTCTCAGGTATTTCCTTATAGCAGTGTGAGAACTGACTAATCCATAACTCTAGTGTCTAACAAAGGGTCTGGCACAGAGTGTTGGTGTGATGAATGAATGAACACATGTACCAATTTGGTTAGAGGAAAAAGCCTTTTCACCGTATGTAGCTTATGGTCAATGCTCTTATCCCTAGGGTTTTGCTCTCATGGCCCAAGCTATTTCACACCACATCCCATCCCATGCGACAGGATGGAGGAAGGAAGGGAGAGGAGGGGAACGGCATGCCATCTCCATTTAAAGATTCAGCTGGGAAGCAACGTGCATCATTTTACTCCATCCCATTGCCCAGAACTTAGTTGTGTGGCTTAACCACAAGGAAATCTGGGAAATGTAGTCTTTATTCTGGATGGCCATATTTGCGCCTAGCTAAAAACCAGGTGTGTGCGAGGGGTTCTATTTCCATGAAGGAGATAGGAGAACAGGTATTGATGTCCAACTAGCGCCTCTGCCACAGTGGGGCTTCGGAATAAGGCAGATGTGATTTCAAATCTCAGCTTCTCAGCTCTGTGATCTCAGCAAGTCACTAGACCTCTCTGAGCCCAACCCTCTTCATCTATAAAATGGGAAGGGTCATGAGGGTTGGATGGCATAACTTGCACGCAGCACTTTACGGGGGATTAAATGTCTGTCGCTCTCCTCTTTTCCCTCCAGCGAAAGGACTCATGCTTGAATTCTAGCCCTGTCTCTAAGGTTCTATGTGACCTAGACTCCTGGGTCCTCTTGCTGGAGGAAGAGGTATTTAAGGCTTGGCTGGAGGATCACTTAGCGGGAAGTTGAGAAGGAGATTTAAGATCATATAGGGGGCTGGACGCAAAGATCTGAACCTGAGATTATAGTATAGGTTTTTGACACCTGGGGTGAGTGTGTGTTGAGTGTTATGAAGCTTCTCCCGGGACAGCACACACACATGTTGCCCTACTCAGGCAAAACAGATAGACTTGAACAACAGCTTCTCTGTTCAGATACTGCAGGGATGTACCTCCAGTTCCACTATTTGAGTGTCACTTGTTTGTGTATATGGCTGCCTTGTTCTGGACTGAAAGCTCCTGGGAGCAGGAAAAATCATTATATTTATTGAGCAGCTGTTATTTGCCACTTGATTTATATTTTCTTGTTTAGTTCTCACTACCACCTAGCAAGAACAGTTTTATTGTCCCCATTTTGCAGATGGGGAAATTGAGGCTCTGAGTTTACTAGAGTCACCTGTCTCTCAGTAGCAGAGCCAGAATCTGAGCCCCAAACTGCATCATGAGAGCCCATTTTCTTCCTCCTGCACCATGCTCCCATTGCCTTGTTCATTTCCAAATCCCCAGCTCTCAGTATGGTTTCTAGAGCACAGGAAATGTTTAATGAATTCTTAAAATAGAGAAAGCCTTGTCGCCGGGAGTGGTGGCTCATGCCTGTAATCCCAGCACTTTGGGAGGCTGAGGTGGGTGGATCATTTGAGGTCAGGAGTTTGAGACCAGCCTGGCCAACATGGTGAAACCCTGTCTCTACTGAAAATACAAAAAGTAGCCAGGCATGGTGGTGCATGCCTGTAATCCCAGCTATTCGGGTGGCTGAGCACGAGAATCGCTTGAACCCCGGGAGGTGGAGGTTGGAAGCTGCAGTGAGCCGCGATTGCGCCACTGAACTCCAGCCTGGGAAACAGAGTGAGACTGTCTCAAAAAAAAAAAAAAAAAAAAAAAAAGAGAAAGCCTTGTGTGGACCAGAGTTGAGCGGAAGGGGAAGAGGTGTTAGGCTCTCCTACCCCCATCCCTGAGCACCTCTCACTCCATTCCTGACGAGGCAGTTCTCCAGTTTCCTGGGGGTTGCTTCATGCTAGGTCCAGATGACCCAAAGGTGGGGAATGTGGCTCAGCTGTAAGCTTGGATCCTTTCCCAGAGCACAGCTAGCTTCAGGCTAGCTGTGACAAAGTCTTTGTTACAGCTCCCTGGGGCTTGTTCTTGGAGCTCCCCACCCCGGGCACTCCCTAGCTCCCAGAACTTTCTCCCTGCCTTTCCCTCCCTCCCTCCCTCCCTCCCTTCCTTCCTTCCTTCCTTCCTTCCTTCCTTCCTTCCTTCCTTCCTTCCTTCCTTCCTCTCTCTCTTTCTTTTTCCTTCCTTCCTTCCTTCTCTCTTTCTCTCATTCTTTCTTTTTTTTCTTTTTTCTTTTTTTTTTAGACAGAGTCTCGCTCTGTCGCCCAGGCTGGAGTACAGTGGCGCGATCTCGGCTCACTGCAAGCTCCGCCTCCCGGGTTCACGCCATTCTCCTGCCTCAGCCTCCTGAGTAGCTGGGACTACAGGCACCTGCCACTAGGCCCGGCTAATTTTTTATATTTTTAGTAGAGATGGGGTTTCACCGTGGTAGCCAGGATGGTCTTGATCTCCTGACCTCGTGATCCGCCCACCTCAGCCTCCCAAAGTGCTGGGAATACAGGTGTGAGCCACTGCGCCCGGCCTCTTTCTCTTTCTCTCTCTCTCTCTTTTTCTTTTTCTCTTTCTTTCTTCCTTCCTTCCTTCCTTCCTTCCTTCCTTCCTTCCTTCCTTCCTTTCTTTCTTTCTCTCTTTCTCTCTCCCTCCCTCCCTTCCTTCTTTCCTTCTTTCTGTCTCTCTCTCTCTCTTTCTTTTCTTTTCTATATAGAGACAGAGTCTTGCTTTGTTGGCCAGGCTGGTATTGAACTCCTGGCCTTGAGTGATCCTCCGCCCTCAGCCTCCCAAAGTGCAGGGATTACAGGAATGAGCCACCATGCCAGGGCCCTTTCTCTTCTTTCTGCTTCACTGAAACTTAACCATCCTAAATCCTTATTTTAGAAGGAACCAATTTTTGGCTTTATTGGTTCTCTCTATAATATTTTTGTCTTCTGGCTGGGCGTAGTGGCTCATGTCTGTAATCCCAGAACTTTGGGAGGCCATGGGTGAATTACTTGAGGTCAGGAGTTTGAGACCAGCCTGGTCAACAGGGTGAAACCCCGTCTCTACTACAAATACAAAAATTAGCCGGGTGTGGTAGTGCCTGTAATCCCAGCTACTCAGGTGGCTGAGGCAGGAGAATCGCTTGAACCCGGGAGGTGGAGGTTGTAGTGAGCTGAGACCGCGCCACTAGTCTCCAGCCTGGGCAACAGAGTGAGACTCTATCTCAAAAAAGAAAAAAATTGTCTTCTATTGTATTAATTTCTGCTATTATCTTTATTACTTCCTCTACTTTCTTTCTGTTGGATTTACTCTTTCCAATTGCTTGAGATGGAGCCTTAATTGACTATCAGCCTTCCTTCTTTCCTAATGTATACATTTATGCCTACCAATATCCCTCTAAACATAGCTTCAACTGCATCTCACATGCTTTGCTGTTCCACATTTTCATTATCATTTAGTTAAAATTGTCTAATTTCTATTATGATTTCTTCCTTTATCCGTGAGTTATTTAGAAGTGTTTTGCTTAATTTGTAAACATTTGGATATTATCTAGATTCTTTTTTTTTTTTTTAAGATGGAATCTTGCTATGTTGCCCAGGCTGGTCTTGAACTCCTGGGCTTGGACTCCTGGGTCTTGAACTCCTGGGCTCATCATCCTGCCTCAGCCTCCCGAGCAGCTGAGATTATAGGCATGAGAAACCACACCCAGCAGGGGCTATGTATTTTTTCAAAAACATTGATTTCTGGCTTCCTACTTAGTATGCTTTCATTCTCAAAAATTCATTGAAACTTACTTTTAACCCAGGCATGTCAATCATCGTCATACTTTTCTATGGCTGCTGTTTCAAATTCCCACAAACTTAGTGACTTAAAACAACACAAATGGATTATAAGTTTGAAATGGGTCTCCTTGGGGCCAGGAATGGTGGTTCATGCCTGTAACCCCAGCACTTTGGGAGGCCGAGATGGGCGGATCACCTGAGGTTAGGAGTTCGAGACCAGCCTGGGCAACATGGCGAAACCCCGTCTCTACCTTAAAAAAAAAAAAAAAATTAGCTGGGCATGGTGGCGCGCGCCTGTAATCCCAGCTACTTAGGAGGCTGAGGCAGGAGAATTGCTTGAACCTAGGTGGTGGAGGTTGCAGGGAGCTGACATCGTGCCACTGCACTCCAGCCTGGGTGACAGAGAGAGACACCATCTCAAATAAATAAATAAATAAATAAATAAATAAATAAATAAATAAAATAATAAAAATGAAAAACGAAATGTGTCTCATTGGGCTAAAATCGAGGTGTCCCCAGAGCTGCTGTTCTTCATGAGTCTCTAAAGGACACTCCGTTTCCTTTCCTTTTCTGGCCTCTAGAGGTTTCCCAAATTCCTTGGCTCACAGTCCCTTTGCATGTTTAAAGCCAGCAGTGGCCGGTTGAATCTTTCTCATGCAGCATTTCCACTATTTGAGTATCACTTGTTTGGCACTCCCTCTTCCACATCTAAGGACCCTTACAATTTCATTGGGTCTATCCAGATAAGCCAAGTTAATCTCCTTATCTCAAGACTACCTAACTAACAGCCTTAATTCCATCTGAAACATTTCCCTTTGCATGTGACATATTTACAGCATCTGTGCATTAGGATGTAGACATCTTGGTGGCGGGACATTTGTTTGTTTGTTTCTTTTTGAGATAGTCTTGCTTTGTCACCTAGGCTGGAGTGCAGTGGTGCAATCTTGGCTCACTGCAATCTCTGCCTCCCAGGTTCAAGCGATTCTCCTACCTCAGCCTCCCAAGTAGCTGGGATTATAGGTGTGCACCACCACACCTGGCTAATTTTTGTATTTTTAGTAGAGACGGGGTTTCACCATGTTGGCCAGGCTGGTCTCGAACTCCTGACCTCAGGTGATCCACCCCCCTCAGCCTCCCAAAGTGTTAGGATTGCAGGCATGAACCACCATGTCCAGCCCAGTTTGGGTAAATTTTTCACGTGCAATTGAAAAGAATATCTATTCTGTAGTTGCTCTATTAGGTCAAATTTGTTCAATCATTTTGCCAAATTTTCTATAACCACACTGGATATAATTTTTTTGTTTTTTGAGACAGAGTCTCCCTCTGTCACCCAGGCTGGAGTGCAGTGGTGCGATCTCCGCTTGCTGCAACCTCCGCCTCTTGGGTTCAAGTGACTCCCCTGCCTCAGCCTCCTGAGTAGCTGGGATTACAAGCATGAGCCACCGTGCCCGGCCAGATGTAAAATTTTTTTCTGCCTCTCCCTCTCCCTCTCCCCCTCCCCCTCCCCCTCCCCCTCCCCCTCCCTCTCCCTCTCCCCACGGTCTCCCTCTCATGCGGAGCGGAAGCTGGACTGTACTGCTGCCATCTCGGCTCACTGCAACCTCCCTGCCTGATTCTCCTGCCTCAGTCTGCCCAGTGCCTGCGATTGCAGGCACGCGCCGCCACGCCTGACTGGTTTTGGTGGAGACGGGGTTTCGCTGTGTTGGCCGGGCCGGTCTCCAGCCCCTAACCGCGAGTGATCCGCCAACCTCGGCCTCCCGAGGTGCCGGGATTGCAGACGGAGTCTCGTTCACTCAGTGCTCAATGGTGCCCAGGCTGGAGTGCAGTGGCGTGATCTCGGCTCACTACAACCTACACCTCCCAGCCGCCTGCCTTGGCCTCCCAAAGTGCCGAGATTGCAGCCTCTGCCCGGCCGCCACCCCGTCTGGGAAGTGAGGAGTGTCTCTGCCTGGCCGCCCATCGTCTGGGATGTGAGGAGCCCCTCTGCCTGGCTGCCCAGTCTGGAAAGTGAGGAGCGTCTCCGCCCGGCCACCATCCCATCTAGGAAGTGAGGAGCGCCTCTTCCCAGCCGCCATCACATCTAGGAAGTGAGGAGCGTCTCTGCCCGGCTGCCCATCGTCTGAGATGTGGGGAGCGCCTCTGCCCCGCCGCCCCATCTGGGATGTGAGGAGCGCCTCTGCCCGGCCGAGACCCCGTCTGGGAGGTGAGGAGCGTCTCTGCCCGGCCGCCCCGTCTGAGAAGTGAGGAGACCCTCTGCCTGGCAACCACCCCGTCTGAGAAGTGAGGAGCCCCTCCGCCCGGCAGCTGCCCCGTCTGAGAAGTGAGGAGCCTCTCCGCCCGGCAGCCACCCCATCTGGGAAGTGAGGAGCGTCTCCGCCCGGCAGCCACCCCGCCCGGGAGGGAGGTGGGGGGGGTCAGCCCCCCGCCCGGCCAGCCGCCCCATCCGGGAGGGAGGTCGGGGGGTCAGCCCTCCGCCCGGCCAGCCGCCCCGTCTGGGAGGTGAGGGGCGCCTCTGCCCGGCTGCCCCTACTGGGAAGTGAGGAGCCCCTCTGCCCGGCCAGCCGCCCCGTCCGGGAGGGAGGTGGGGGGGTCAGCCCCCCGCCCGGCCAGCCGCCCTGTCCGGGAGGGAGGTGGGGGGGTCAGCCCTCCGCCCGGCCAGCCGCCCCGTCTGGGAGGTGAGGGGCGCCTCTGCCCGGCCGCCCCTACTGGGAAGTGAGGAGCCCCTCTGCCCGGCCAGCCGCCCCGTCCGGGAGGGAGGTGGGGGGGTCAGCCCCCCGCCCGGCTAGCCGCCCCGTCCGGGAGGGAGGTGGGGGGGGTCAGCCCCCCTGCCCGGCCAGCCGCCCCGTCCGGGAGGTGAGGGGCGCCTCTGCCCAGCCGCCCCTACTGGGAAGTGAGGAGCCCCTCTGCCCGGCCAGCCGCCCCGTCCGGGAGGGAGGTGGGGGTGTCAGCCCCCCGCCCGGCCAGCCGCCCCGTCCGGGAGGGAGGTGGGGGGGGGTCAGCCCTCCCCGCCCGGCCAGCCACCCCGTCCGGGAGGTGAGGGGCGCCTCTGCCTGGCCGCCCCTACTGGGAAGTGAGGAGCCCCTCTGCCCGGCCAGCCGCCCCGTCCGGGAGGGAGGTGGCGGTGTCAGCCCCCCGCCCGGCCAGCCGCCCCGTCCGGGAGGTGAGGGGCGCCTCTGCCCGGCCGCCCCTACTGGGAAGTGAGGAGCCCCTCTGCCCGGCCACCACCCCGTCTGGGAGGTGTGCCCAACAGCTCATTGAGAACGGGCCAGGATGACAATGGCGGCTTTGTGGAATAGAAAGGCGGGAAAGGTGGGGAAAAGATTGAGAAATCGGATGGTTGCCGTGTCTGTGTAGAAAGTAGACATGGGAGACTTTTCATTTTGTTCTGCACTAAGAAAAATTCCTCTGCCTTGGGATCCTGTTGATCTGTGACCTTACCCCCAACCCTGTGCTCTCTGAAACATGTGCTGTGTCCACTCAGGGTTAAATGGATTAAGGGCGATGCAAGATGTGCTTTGTTAAACAGATGCTTGAAGGCAGCATGCTCATTAAGAGTCATCACCAATCCCTAATCTCAAGTAATCAGGGACACAAACACTGCGGAAGGCCGCAGGGTCCTCTGCCTAGGAAAACCAGAGACCTTTGTTCACTTGTTTATCTGCTGACCTTCCCTCCACTATTGTCCCATGACCCTGCCAAATCCCCCTCTGTGAGAAACACCCAAGAATTATCAATAAAAAAATAAATTAAAAAAAAAAATTTTATCTGCTTGTCCTATAAGTTACTGAGAGAAGTGTGTTAAAATATTCCATTTAGTCAACTCTTGTTTTGCACTTGTTAAATTTTCCTTTTGGTTCTGCCAATTTTTTGTTTTGTTTTGGTTTGGTTTTTTTTTGAGACTGAGTTTCGCTCTGTCCAGCCCAGGCTGGAGTGTAGTGGCATGATCTTGGCTCATTGCAACCTCTGCCTCCCAGGGTGAAACGACTCCCATGCCTCAGCCTCCCAAATAGCTGGGATTACAGGCACCTGCCACAATGCTCAGCTAATTTTTGTGTTTTTAGTTGAGACGGGGTTTTGCCATGTTAGTCAGCCTGGTCTCGAACTCCTGACCTCAGATGATTCATCTGCCTTGCCTCCCAAAGTTCTGGGATTACAGGTGTGAGCCACCGCGCCCAGACTTGGTTCTGCCAATTTTTACTTTATATGTTATGAAGCTATGTTCATATGTGCATACAAATTTAAAACCATCATACCGTCCTAAGAGATTGATTCTTTACCATCATGAAATGTCCTTTTTATTTTTAGCAATGCTTCTTGCCCTTAAGTCTACTTTAATATAGCTATACCAACTTCCTTTGAAGTAATGTTTGCATGCTATATATTTTCTATCCTTTTAATTTCAATCTTTCTATGTAGTTTTTTTTAAACCCAGATTGACACTATTTGGAATACGTATCTTTTTATATTTAGTGCAATTACTAATTTACATTAAAATTGTTTAAATCAGCCCACTTACTATTTATTTTCTATTTGTCCTTTCCTTTGGGAGTCCCTTTTTTCTCCCCTTTTTGGGCCTTTTTTGAATTATTTTTATATTCTTGGTAGCTTGTTAGTTACATACTCTTTTGCAATCCTTTAATGATTACTGTAGGAAAATATAACATTGATCCTGGACGTATTAGAGTTTAATATAAAATTAATACTTTTGCTACTTCCAGGACAATGTAAGGACATTAGAATATTTTAATTGCATTCACCTCTTCCCAATTTTTGTTTTTATTGTCATGAATCGTAAAACTCACAAGACGTACTTGCTTTTATTTTCAATCAACATTAAGTAAGATTTATCCACATATGTACCCTTTCTGTTGTTCTTCACTGGAATCACCACGCTTCCTTCAGGGATCATTTTCCTGCTCCCTAAAGCACTTCCTTTTGTGAAGTTCTGTTGACGACAAAAAACACCAGTGATAAGTCCTCTTAGTTCTTTCTTTGTCTGAAAATATCGTTATTTCATCTCCATTTCTGAAGGATGTTTTCACTGTCTCTAGAGTTCCAGGGTGGCAGTAATTTCCTTTCTGCACTTTGCAGATATTGGTTTATTGTCTTCCTTTCTCCATTCCTTCTGTTGAAAAGTTAGCTTTCAGTCTTGCTACTGCTCCTTGAAAGGTAATGCATCTTTTTCCTTTGGATGCTTTTAAGATTTTTCTCTTTGTGTTTGATTTACAAATGTTTCACTATTTACAACTGTTTCACTATTAGGGGCCTAGTTGTAGTTTTCTTTTCATGCTTGGGGTTCCCTGAGATTCTTGAATCTGTGGCTTAATGTCTTTCAACAGATTTGGGAAAATTCTTAGATGGTCTCTATTAAAACATTATTTCCGGCCAGGTGTGGTGGCAGGAGTTCAAGACCAGCCTGACCAATATGGTGAAACCCCATCTCTACTAAAAATACAAAAATTAGCCAGGTGTGGTGGCAGGTGCCTGTAATCTCAGCTACTTGGGAGGCTGAGGCAGGAGAATCACTTGAACCTGGGGGGCAGAGGTTGCAGTGAGCCAAGATCATGCCACTGCACTCCAGCCTGGGTGACAGAGTGAGACTCTGTCTCAAAACAAAACAAAACAAAAAAACCATTATTTCCGCCCTAATTGTGCTGTTTACTTCTTCTGGGTCTCCTTACATGTTAGATCTTTTCACTATGTCCCATATTAATCTTTATACCCTTTTCTGCACTTTTCATTCTTTTCTCTCAGTCTTTATTCTGGGTAATTTCTTTTGGTCTTTCTAATAGAGTTCACTTCAGCTGTATCTAATCTGCTGTTAAATCTATTTATTGAGTTCATAAGTTCGTTTAATGTATTTTTCAGTTCTATCATTTCCATTTGATTCTTTTTTACAGTTTACAATCCTCTGTTGAAATTCTTCCATTTGTCATCTAAAGTCCTGAATAGGCTTCCCTGTATTCCCAGCACTTTGGGAGGACAAGGCAGGAGGATCCTTTGAGCCCAGAAGTTCAAGACCAGCCTAAGCAACATGGTGAAACCCCATCTTTACAAAAAATACAAAAATTAGCCAGGTGCAGTGTTGCACACCTGCAGTCCCAGCTACTCAGGTGGCTGAAGTGGGATGATCCCTTGAGCCTGGGAGCTGGAGGTTGCAGTGAGCCGAGATGGAGCCACTCCAGCCTTGGGGGAAGAGTGAGACACTGTCTCAAAAAAAAGCCCTGAATATATTAATGATAATTATTTTCAAGTCTATGTCTCATAACACCACTATCTGGATAACAGGCCCATCATGGCCTGTTTTAAATGAAACATTTTATTTCAAAATAATTGTAGACTCACTCAGTTGTAAGAAATAACACAGAGAGAGCCCATGTACCCTTTACCCAGCTTCCCTTAATGGTAACATCCTATGAGAGTATAGTACAACATCACAACCAGGATATTAACATTGATACTGTCTTATTTAGGTTTCCCTAGTTTTACTTGTGGTCGTGTGTGTCTGTATATGTGTGTGTGTGTAATGTGTGTGTGTTTGTGTATGTTTGTGTGTATGTGTGTGCATGTGTGTGTATGTGTTTGTATGTGTGTATGTGCATGTGTGTGTGTTTGTGTGTGAGTGTTTGTATGTGTGTATGTTTGTGCATGTGTGGGTATGTGTATGTGCATATGTGCATGAGCATGTGTATATATGTGTGTAATGTGTGTGTATGTGTATGTGTGTGCGTGTGTGTGCATGTGTGTATATATGTGTGTATTTGTGTATATTTGTGGGTATATATGTATGTGTGTGTATGTGTGTGTGTGAGATTTAATTGTAGGCAATTTTATCACATGTGTAGGTCTAGTGGCCTTAAAAAAATTTTTTTCCCCCGTCTGGATTTTCAGTCATTCTGTTTCATTTCCAGATATGTCGGGTAATTTTTTTTTTATTGAATGCCAAACTTTGTGTAACAAAAATATAATGTGAGAGTTTGGATGGCGTTGTTCTCTTCCTCCAGAGAATTTACTTGGCTTCTGGCAAGCTGTTGGTGAAGAGGCAGACACCTTAATTCAATCAATGAATGGGATGCTTGGAAACTGCCATTCTGTGTGTGGGAGGGCTGGACTTTTTCCCTACTCAGAGTGTGTAACCCACTAAAAGCCTGGGTCATTTACCAGAGCTCCTCATCCTAAACTTCAGTTTTTAGCTGGAAGCTCTAGTTCTCATTGTCGTGTAATTTCTTGAAGATATTAACTGGCTGCTCAACTTAGCGATTTGTTGTTAGTGGATAGGGGCCATAAGAGGAAGGCTGCTGCCCCAGAATCCAGGCTCACCTCTCTGAACTTCTCTTCTTCCTGGGATCTTTGTCCCTCAACTCTGACTTGTCTTGATACCTCTCCAATGCCTTCCTTGGATGCCTTCTTTTATTTTTTTTGAGATGGATTCTCACTCTGTTGCCCAGGCTGGAGTGCAATGGCATGACCTCGGCTCACTGCAGCCTCCATTTCCCGGGTTCAAGTGATTCTCCTGCCTCAGCCTCCCGAGTAACTGGGATTACAGGCACGCACCATCATGCCCAGCTAATTTTTGTATTTTTAGTAGAGACAGGGTTTCACCATGTTGGTTAGGCTGGTCTTGAACTCCTGGCCTCAAGTGATCTGCCTGCCTTGGCCTCCCAAAGTGCTGGGATTACAGGTGTGAGCCACTGTACCTGCCTTTTCCTTGGATGTCTTAAATATGTTCTGTCTTTCTAGGTTTTCTCAGTGGGAAAGCTGGTCTGCAACAGAAATCTGCACCAGCCTTTGTTTCTCACACGAATATTTTGACATCCTTGAGGGACTAAGGGGAACCCCTTAATTACAGACCATATTGTGCAGCATTTGGGTGCTTGTTCAGGAGTCAGACTGGATTAAATTCTAGTGTTGCAGCTGGGCGTGACGGCTCACACTTGTAATCCCAGCACTTTGGGAGGCCGAGGTGGGTGGATCACCTGAGGTCAGGAGTTCAAGACCAGCCTGGCCAACATGGTGAAACCCCATCTCTACTAAAAATACAAAAATTAGCTGGGCGTGGTGGTGGGCACCTGTAATCCAGGCTACTTGGGAGGCTGAGGCAGGAGAATTGCTTGAACCTGGGAGGTGGAGGTTGGAGGCTGCAGTGAGCCGAGATCACTGCACTCCAGCCTGGGCAATGGGCAACAAGAGTGAAACTCTGTCTCAAAATAAATAAATAAATAAAAATAAAAATCTAGTGTTGTCACTTCCCAGCCATGTGATCTTGGGGAAGTCTCCCTCTCTGGGCCTCAGTTTTCTTATGGAACTTGCCTCCTTGGATTAAATAAACTAATATATGTCAAGTACTCAGAGAACTGAGTTCCTGTCATATAAAAGCACTCAATATATACCAGTTATTAGTATTCAGCAAATCAGTGTTAAACACCTACTCTGTGCCAGGGCACTGGATCTATATGGTGGTGAAAAAGACAAATACAGTCCCTTCCCTCGTAGAGCTGACAGTTTATTCAGGAGGACACTCTGGTGACTTATCATAGGAAGTTAGTAAAATACCATTGTCAAAGAGAGACTCATACTGTGGTGAGAATGAAAAAGGATGATAGAGCAGGGTACCCTGGCAGGTTTGGTTCCAGGTTGAGCAGGGAGGGCTTGGTTCCCAGGTCTGCGGTAATAGAGGGTATGTGGCAAATGACAGAGAGCGACCAGGCAGCTACTTATGGCCAGGTGGTCAGCAAACACATCTGTGATTGCTGCATGACAGCTGAGACTTGGATGATCAAAAGGAGCAAGTCCACTGAGACCTGGGGAAGGAACATTCCAGGTTGAGAGAATGACACATGCAGGTTATCTGAATCTGGCACGTTTGAGGGGCAGCAAGAAGGCCAGTGTGTCCTGGAGTGGAATGAGCAGAGGGGAGAGAGTGACCACATAAAATCCAGGAGGTGGGCAGGGACAGGATCCCAGAGGGCTTTGAGAGTCACCACGAGGGCGTGGATTTTAGTTTAAGCGAACTGGGAAGCTTTGGAGAGTCTTGTCTTGTCTTGTCTTTTCCTTTTCTCTTTTCTTTTTTCTTTTCTTTTCTTTTCTATTTTTTTTCTTTCTTTTCTCTTCTCTTCTCTTCTCTTCTCTTCTCTTCTCTTCTCTTCTCTTTTCTTTTCAACAGAGTCTTGGCTATGTTGCCCAGGCTGGACTGCAATCTCCGCCTCCTGGGTTCAAGCAATTCTCCTGCTTCAGCCTACTGAGTAGCTGGGCTTACAGGCACCTGCCACCATGCCCAGCTAATTTTTGTATTTTTAATAGAGACGGGGTTTCACTGTGTTGGCCAGGCTGGTCTCAAACTCCTGACCTCAGGTGATCCACCTGCCTTGGCCTTCCAAAGTGCTGGGATTACAGGCGTGAGCCACCATGCCCGGGCTGCTTTGGAGTTTTACAGAGGGGAGTGACAATATTTTGATTGCAACATGATCATTGTAGGTGTCATAAGGAGAACTAATTCTTTTTTTAAGAGTCCCACTCTGTGACTCAGGCTGGAGTATAGTGGAACAATCAGGGCTCACTGTAGCCTCTATCTCCCAGACTCAAGTGATCCTCCCGCCTCAGCCTCCAGAGTAGCTAGAACTACAGGTGTGCACCACCACGCCCAGCTAATTAAAAAAAAAAAAAAATTTTGTGGAGACAGGATCTCATTCTGTTGCCTAGGCTGGTCTTGAATTCCTCGGCTCAAGCAATCCTCCTGCCCGACCTCCCAAAGTGTTGGGATTACAGGGGTGAGTTACTATTGCACCCGGCCAGAGAATGGATTTTAAGAGAGGAAACTGCATTTTTAAGAGACAATGGTGGCTTGGAACAGAGTGGTAGCAGAGTGGAAAGGAGTGAACGTGGGTTGAGATATGGGTTAGTAGTTGAGTCAATGGGCGATGGATTGAATAGATGGGCAATAGAAAGAGAGAAGTCAATGAGCAACCGGAATTGAGCCTATTTATTTGAGCCTATTTATTGAGAAGGGGGTGAGTGGGGTAGGGAGAGGAAGATCAAGTGCTTAGTTTTGGATACCTACATTTTGAGACTCCTATTGGGTAACCTGGATATGCAAATGTGGAGTTCAGGGAAAAATCTAGGAGGGAGTCAAAGCCATGGGCTTGGATGAGATTTCCTAGGGAGAGCATCTAGGTAGAAAGAATAAAGAGACCCAGAACTGCGCCCTGGGGTAGTGCAGCATTTAGGGACCAGGGAGATGAGGAGGCACCAGAAGGAGTCCTAGTAGGAACCGCCAGTGAAATAGAGCAGTAGTTCTCAAAGTGTGGTCCCAGGACCAGCAGCCATAGCATCATCTGGCGCTTGTTAGAGAAGCAGACGATTGGGCCCCACCCCAGATCTACTGCCTCAGAACCTCCAGGGTGGAGCCCAGAGGTCAGCGACCAGTGCTTTAACTCGCTCCAGGCGATTGTAATGCAGGCTACAATTTGAGAACCACTGAGGTGAAAGACAAACCAGGAGAGGGTGTGTTTTGGAAGGCAAGAGGATACATTTTTCAAGAAGGAAGGAGTATGTTAGATGCAGCTGAGAGTGTGGCTAAGACAATGGCAGAGGCCTGGCCATTGGATTTTGTAACGTGGACGTTATTGTTGGCCTGGACAGGTAAGACTTCGGTGGAGTGGGGGTGTGGGGGGAACAGCAGCCTCATGGGAACTGGACAAGATGTGAATGAAAGTGGGATGAAGTGGCATCAAAACTGTAGACCTGGCTGACTGTGGTGGCTCACGCCTGTAATCCCAGTACTTTGGGAGGCCAAGGCAGGAGGATTATTTTGAGCTCAGGAGTTTGAGACCAGCCTGGCCAACATGGCGAAACCCCGTCTCTACTAAAAATATAAAAATTAGCCGGGTGTGGTGGCACATGCCTGTAATCCCAGCTCCTCGGGAGACTGAGGCAGGAGAATCGCTTGAACCCGGGAGGCAGAGGTTGCAGTGGGCCAAGATGGTGCCACTGCACTCCAGTCTGGGTGACAAAGTGAGACTCCATCTCAAAAACAAAAACAAAACACCCAAAACCCCCAAAAAACTGTAGACCCACTGTCTAGCAAAGGGTTAACTCAGCAGGCTTGGGCTGATGGAACCCTGTGCATTCCAAAGAAAGGACTGGGCCTGGAGCAGCTCCCCAGCAGGTAACTTCTAAACCCTTGGAAGGTCCTGCCTGATGAGACTATCTTTGTTTACCTTGGGCCATGCCAGATAATTTATGCTGACAAAGTCTTTTATGCCAAATGCCCTTGGTCACACTGTATCAGTTTGACCTCTGGAGAGGGTCCTGAGACTGAGTAGTTAAGGTCAGTCATACGGGTGCTCCATTACATAACCATCCCCCAGTATAGACCCTGGACACCAAGACTGGGGTGAGCTTCCCTGATGGACAAGTCTCTTGTGTGTGTGTCACACATCATTGCTGAGAGAATGAAGTGCTCTCCGTAGGACTTTGGGAAAGAACAACTGGAATCCTGCTCCTGGTCTGTCCTGGATTCCACCCTATATGCCTTTCTCCTTGGCTAATTTGCATCTGTATCTTTTCAATGTAATAAACCGTAACCATGAGTTTAGCAGCTTTTCTGAGTTCTGTGAGTCTTTCCAGTGAATCATCAAACCTGTGGGTGGTCTTGGGGACCCCTGATACTCCTGATTTTTCAAGAGGTTTTGCAGTGAAAGGAGAAAAGGAATGAGTGACAGCTGCAGGAGGTATTGGCCCAAGATGGGGATTCTGTGTAAGAGAGGAGATACTGGGGCAGACGTGGAGGCCCATTGAAATGACAAAGTAGATAAGGATAGGTTGGTAATGCAGGAGAAATGTTATTGAGAAGATAAAGTGGAAGGGGATCCATTACACAGCGCCTCTGATAGGAACAGTGACAGTTTATTCAGAGTAACCAGGGGAAGCCAGAAAATCTGGGTACAGTGCGGGTTTGCAGGCAGACTTGGTGGTGGGGTGATGGGGGAACACTGAACTAATGGTTTTCTCAATGAACTAGGAGGTGAGGCCACCCTTGAGTGTGCAGAGCTGGGAGTGGAGGGCTGTAGATTTGAGGAGAGAGGGAATATGATGTAGTCACTTTGGAGAGTAAGACCCCAAACAAGGAATGTGTACTAAGATTGCAGGGCAGGGTTGGAGATCTCTGGCCAAGGACTGAAAATGAGAGTCAGGCTGGGCGCGGTGGCTCACATCTGTAATCCCAGCACTTTAGGAGGCTGAGGCAGGTGGATCATTTGAGGTCAGGAGTTTGAGACCAGCCTGACTAACATGGTGAAACCCTATCTCTACTAAAAAAAAAAAAAATTAGCTGGGCATGGTGGCATGTGCCTGTAGTCCCAGCTATTCGGGAGGCTGAGGCAGGAGAAACTTGAACGTGGGAGGCGGAAGTTGTAGTGAGCCGAGATTGTGCCACTGCACTCCAGCCTGGGAGATGGAGTAAGACTCCATATCAAAAATAAATAAATAAATAGAAAAGAAAATGAGAGTCAACACACATCAAAATCCGTGCTTTTTCACATCCGCATTCAATTGTGCAGGTGCTGGCACGAAGCAGGTGGACAGCAGGATTTCACCAGGGTTGGACCTTGCCAGCTGAGTGAGACAGAGGGAGATGGGGTGTTTGCAAGTAAACTGGTGCAAAAGAGGATAAACAAGGCATAGCTGCCTGTAGCTTAATTTTGCTCAGTGGTAATTCAAATATTTTTATCTTAAAACAAATCTGGATTCATTCTGGAGTAGAATGAAAAAAGCGCATGAATTTGTCAGATAACAGACTTCAAATGCAGTTTCTCTGTTTTGAAGTGCCACTTCCAGGGATACCTACCCCCTGGTCCTCATGTGGTGACGCTACTCTTGTTGGAAGTTTGGGAAGCTTTGGAAAAGTCTGGAAAGCCCTGTCCTGCCGGTGTGATCCCCTGATCCCTGGCTAGCACCCTGACTTTTCACAGGGATCATCTGAGGAAGACATCCAACCAAGAACAGTGACAGTATTGAGAGAGTAGGAGGATGAAGGCTTTGTGCCCCTAAGATGGTGTGTGCAGGGAGGGCTGGGGACTAATCAAGAACCTCTTAAGGATGGGGCAGGTGCTGCAGGGGTGGGGTGGGGTAGCTGACCCTGATGCTGGTCTTAGAGTCCAGTCTAGAGGCCAAACATATCAGAGGAGTCTGGGTAGTGTGGGGAAGGGAGCGGCTGAAATACAACAACCAGGGCCCCTCACCCCGGCACCCCTCCCTAGGACTCCAAGAGATGAAACACTCTGGGGGTCCAGGCAAGTGACTGGGACAGACTAGGTCCCAGGAAACAAGTCAGGGACCCGGATCCCTGAACTAGAGCACAAGATGTGGACGGGGTATTGGGAATGAGGCCGAAGCCCAGTTATCAGAACTGGGACACGTTCCATGTGGGACTTGGGTTCTTTACATCCTTCCTGCATAAATCCTGGGAAATGGGGTGTGTCTAAGCCTGGAACAGGGAGAACTTGTCAGCTGGGGGGCATATTTAGGAGCGTGTGTGGCCCTGGGGCTGTCCAGGATCAGGCGTCTCCTCTGCGCTTCCCTGTGGCCCTGTCCAAAGCAGCCCCCTCCTTCCTGCCCAGCACCCCCTAGGGCAGCCCCATCCCTGCAAAGAAGAGCCTCAGAGTAAACAGCATGTTTATTTTGAACATTCAAGTTTACAAAAACAAAAAGGTAACAAAACCATGACACAGATCACACACACATACACACACACACACACGCACACACACGCACACATGTTGCAGCTCATGTCAATTTATGTACAAAACAGGGAGAGGAGAAAGGGGCAAGGCTGGGGAGGGGTTGTCAGTAGGGTGCACTAATGTCACAGTGTCAGACAACTTGACATGCTCACTCACACTCAGCCTGGGCCCATGTGAGCCCCTTCCCCACCCAGGGGTCGGGGGTCAGGGTGGGAGGTGGGGGTCTGGGGTGGCAGGCAGCTGGAATAAAGGGGTGAAGAGAGTAGTCCCTTCTCTGGGAGGGAGCCCCTTTCCAAGTTTACTCAGGCCAAGGGTGCTGGGACACACAAAGGAGGGGGGACTCAGTGCTGGGGAGAGGCTGCTGCGTCCTAGAGAGGGCTGAATGCAGTCAGAAGGCTGGGCTCAAGTCTCCCGTGTCCAGCTGGGTGGCCTTGAGGGTCGCTCCCCTCCCCGGGCTTCAGCTTCCTCATCTGTAAAATGAGGGCTTTGGCCTCTTCTCAGAGCCCTTCCTGTCCAAATCTGTGGTCCCAGGTGATGCAAAGTGGTGGCAAGGGGATTGGTCCCCTTGGGATGTTGGTGGGGGCACCACATGCCACAAGATGGGAAGATCTGGCAGATAACAGCTGGGAAGCAACTGGTGCAGGGCTTGGCCCCAAGCAAGAGTTGGAGAAGCAGCAATTTCCCTCCCCTTCCCTGCCCAGGACTCGGGAGATGCTCAGCTTCCTTTTCTTTTTTGGCTCTCCTGTGAACTCTAGCTGAGCTAAAGAAGGGCTGAAGCTCTGGCCCATGGTGGGAGGGACACATTCCCTGAAGCAGCTGAGCCCCCTGGCACGGCTTCACCAAGGGGACCCTGGCCCTGGGGCTGGCCCACCCCCTGCCTCTGTTCCTTCACTTCAAGCCCTGTGGGCTGGGAAAGGGGTCGGAACACGTCTGGAGCAATGGTGCCCAGATGGCACTCTACACAGGTGAGTGGGAACTCAGCCCCTGGACGTAACCCCCTTTGGTTTGAAATCTGGGCTCCATCACTTGCTAGCTGATTGACACCAGGCAGATGACATCACCTCTCTGTGCCCCAGTTTCCTCACCTGTCTAACGGAGCCAAGAACGTCCTAACTTAGAACTGTGTTGTGAGATCAACAGGACGGTGCCTGTGCCACACTCAGTGCAGTGCCAGATGGCAGGACAAACACGGGCTCCATCGTGGTTATCAGCCAGGAGCAGCTCAGGATGTGACTGGGCCATGTCTGACTCCTCTTTCCCTGTCTGCTTGGATGTGCTCAGGGGCAGCAGAAGATAGGAAAAGCGGGACCCAAACAGTGGTGCTGGGGAAATTTGTTCCTGTTCCCTTTGGAAGGCTGAGTGGGTGATGCAGCACAGGAACAAGGCTTGGACGTCAGAGGTCTCATCTTCACTGTGACAAAGCATAAAGGACTTGGGGTTGAGCGTGTGTGTGGGCTCAAGTGACCATGCAAGTGCTGTCACCTCCTTCCTAAGACCCCATCCTTCTCCCAAGTCCTCCACAAGAGCTACCTTCTTCAAAACAATAACAGAAACACATCAAGCTTGGCGTCACTGAAATTGAAGTTCTGAATTCTGCCGTCACCCCAGCAACAGTGCCAGTATGATGAGACACTTGACCCAGCACTTGGGTTGATGTCTTTGGCTGTTACCGTGGCAACCTAGGTCTCAGCAGGTCTGGCTGAAGCCCGCCATTGCCTTTTCTTCCAGTGGGATTGTACTGGAGGGGCTGGGCAATCTATTTATGTTCTCGAAATGGAAAGCAGGATCTGGGCGCGGGAGGCAATGCAACTTGGAGTAGCTTCCATGGCACTGAGCCCCCCGGCCTGCAGCTCTTGCATCATGTCTCAGGCTAAGTGGCCTCAGGGAGTGGAGATAGGGAACAAAAAGGCAGGCAAAAGGTACAGTGCCCACTTGAGCCAGGGAGCATGCAGCTGCTCAGACACCTGGTAGGTGACTAGCAGGGGAGGGACACCTCAGCTCTCCATTCTGCCGAAGCGCCCAGGGATCATAACCTCCTCCCCGCACTTCCTGGGGTGGGGATGCCAAGATGTTTGGGTGTTGCATAAAGGAAGATGTTCAGGTGTCATGTTGGAAAGCATCTGACCTCGCGGATGTCTACCTGCTTAGGTGTAGACTGAACTCAAAGGTCTTCAGGGGCAGGCAACATGGAGGGGGAAGAACACTGAAGAGGGAGTCAGATGCCCTGAGCTCTAGTCCTGGCTCTGCCCCATGCTCTGTGATCCTGTGCAGGTCACGTGTCCTCCCTGAACTCTTCCCCATTTCTCACAAGCAAGATGCAGCTGTGGTGCCAGATGGGGTGGCTTTTCTCATCTTTAAGATTATTATTATTTTTTTGAGATGGAGTCTTGCTCTGTTGCCCAGGCTGGAGTGCAATGGCGTGATCTCGGCTCACTGCAACCTCCACCTCCTCAGTTCAAGAGATTCTTCTGCCTCGGCCTCCCGAGTAGCTGGGACTACAGGCATGCACCACCTAACCAGCTAAGTTTTGTATTTTTAGTGAAGATGGGGTTTCACCACGTTGGCCAGGCTGACTTCGAACTCCTGACCTCAAGTGATCTGCCTGTCTCAGCCTCCCAAAGTGCTGGGATTACAGGCGTGAGCCACCGTGCCCGGCCTCTCAGCTCTTAAGATTCTGACACTCTCTTGGGGAAGCTGGTGATGACTCAAGGGGACCAGGAAGCCATCAGCCCTTTGAGACACTCTCAGACAGGCAAGGGTGCCAGGCTGGGTTGATCCAAAGGGAGCTGGTTTTTTACAATCCATGCATGAGGTTAGTCTGCCTTGAACCTTGCCCTGGACTCTGAGTCTCTGCTGACCCTAACCCATGACTGGCTGCATCCCATCCACTGCCGAGTCCTGGGATCTACCCCTGCGAAGCCCAGGGTCACCAGAGCTTTCCCCACATATCCACCTGGAATCACAGAGAAGCTCACACCCAATCTGGAGAGCAAATGACCAAAGCGAGGGCCTCAGCTCACGAATGAGGAAGGCCAGGCCCAGAGAGGGCAGGGACTTACAGAAGGCCACACAGCACATTAGCAGGGCTGGCTAGGAACCAAGGTCTTCTCCCTCTCACCCAGTGCTCTGCTCACTGCTTCATGCTTCTCCCCACCCTCTGAGCTTCTTCCTTGCTGCCCCAGGACCATGCACAGGGTAGGTAATGTGGCTCTGCCAGAGGTGGGGTCTCCTGGGCCATGAGGCCTCTACCTTAGGGCTGCTCCCAGCCCAGGCTGAAGCGGTCCAAGTCCTGTCCTTGGCATGGAGGGAGAGCGATGACTATACCAGTGGCCATCACTATGGGTGAGCACAAGGGGTGACTGCAGCCCTTTGGCCTCCTGGGGTCTTTGTCCCCTTCCCTCCAGGCTGGAGCTGGGAAAGGAATGTCCTGGAGACTGAGGTGGGGCTGGGCCAGGCATGGAACCAACATTCAAACCGCTACACACAAAGAGAGGAGGAAAGAGGAGGAAGAGGGAGGCATGGGTGGGGGGGGGGGGAGGCTCCATCGAGATCCCACTGCCCTTGACTGGCAGCTGGTGGAAAGAGGGAGGAGGGTAAGTCTAACCTCTGATGTCCTCGTCATCCCCTTCTACAGCCTGTTGTGGCCCTGAAGGGGAAGCCACTGGGCCTGTTGCATGGGGGACAAGGGGGCGGGCGGCCACCCCCACCACTGAGATAGTGGGGTCCCCCTCATACACAATCCTACCCTACTGGGGGTGCTGTCAAAATTAGTGAAATCAGATACAGTTGATGGGCAGGGAGGGTGGGGTAAGAGACAACTCCAGTGCAGTGCCAGGTGGGCAGGCTCCCACTGTTCACTTGAGACGCTCCTCCCCACTCAGGTGGGGACAGGGGACACACTCGCAGGGCAGGGCATTCTGGAGGTGTGGGTACAGGTGAGGGGAAATGGGAGGCACAGCCAGGAGTGGGGCAGGAGGGAAGGCCAGTGCGTGGGCAGGCTGAGGAGGGAATATGACCCCCCTCAAGTCCCCAAAGTGGCAGGCAAGGGAGGGGCCCTGGATGAGGTGGCCCCTCATGCCTTGGCCCTCCCCTTGCAGACATCGAAGGCAGCCTTTGTTGCACCCCCAAAGGCCTCCACCAACTTGTCTTCCCAGGGAAGGACGTTGCCCAGCAGTGGCGCAGTGCAGTTGGCAATGCCCAGGACCTGGGCTGGTGTCAGGGCGTGGTCCCACAGGTTAAACTGGGCAATGTCACCGACAAAGGCCTGGGTGGCATCAAACCGGCCACCCAGGGTATCCTGGGCCAAGACAGCAGCAGAGAAAGGAGAGGCATGGAGTGAGGGAGCAGAAAAGACAGGCAGGCTGGCTCAGTCAGGCTCTTGTCCCCGAGGCAGCCCCACCTTCAACCCCACTGAAGCCCCACCGCCAACGCTCTAGCCCCACCTTCAAGATTCTAGTTCCTTGGGCAGGTCTCTGATCTCTCTGGCCCTCAGTCTGCCCATCTGCACAATTAGGAGGTCCAGCCCCAATATCAGCCTGAGCCTTACCTGCTCCTGGCCCAAGATAAGGATCCCATGAGGCTTGATGGGGTGCCAGGCAGCCAGGTTCTCACCGGAGCCCTGCAGCTCCCCGTCCTGGTAGGCAGACCATAGGCCATCCCTTGTGGTCCAGGCGATGCAGATGTGGTGCCAGCCATTGTCCTTCAGGCTCAGGGGCAGCTGGGCCACCTGGACACAGGTCCCCCAACCCCAGGTCAGAGGTGCCCCAAGGCCCAAGGCCCATGGCTGAGGCAGTGGGGTGGGGCTGGGGAGACCCATGTCCATCCTTCCAGGGCCCGACCCCAGGCCTGACCCTCTCCATCCTCCTGCCCAGTGTCTTTCCCTGACTCCTGTCTCCTCTTTCCTCAAAGACCAAACCAGATCACAAGGGACTCTCTGGTTTTGGTTTTCAGTTGTCACAAGGTAGTTCACTCACTCTCCAACAGGCCTATTAAGGTCACTTGGGGAGAGAGGGATGTCTCATAATCCCAACTTCCCCTGAACACCTCACACAGCACTCAGCACACAGCTAGGGCTCAAGAAGTACTGGCAGGGATAGAATGAGCCTTGGACTCAGAGGCCAGGCTCCAGCATCTGGCCCTGGCTCTGCCACCAACCCCTGTGTGATCTGGGGAGGCTGCTCCTTCCTCCCTGGGCCTCAGTTTCCTTATCTGTAAAGTGAGGTCAGACAAGGGATGACAAGTCTGCAAGGGATGGCAAATCTTCCTCCACCCAGGGCAGACATAGCCAATCAATCACGAGCCTCGATTTAGCTCAGATCCCTCAGCACAGTGCTCTGGAAAGCCACTGCTGATGGGTTAGAGCTGGCCTGTAAGATGAAAGGTGCTTGCTGTCTGTGGATTTGGTGCTCCCAAAGGGCTTCCTCATCTGGTAAGTTTCCTGAGGTCACATTTTTTTTTTTGAGATGGAATTTCACTATGTTGCCCAGGATAGAGTGCAGTGGTGTGATCTCAGCTCACCACAGCCTCCATCTCCTGGTTCAAGCAATTCTCCTCCCTCAGCCTCCCAAGTAGCTGGGATTACAGGCGTGCACCACCATGCCCAGCTATTTTTTTTTTTTTTTTTTTGTATTTTTAGTAGAAACGGCGGGATTTCACCATATTGGCCAGCCTGGTCTTGAACTCCTGACCTCAGATGATCCACCCACCTCAGCCTCTCAGAGTGCTGGGATTACAGGCAAGAGCCACCTTACCCAGCCTGAGATCACAATTTAATGTAACATTCTCTGAGGCCTACGTGGTGCCTGGCCTTGTTGTGGATCCTGGGGATGTGGAGCTGGTCCACGCCTTAAATGAGCTGAGTCTGCAGGAGGGGAAGGACTTTGGGGCAATGCTATAAGACAAAATAACGGAGGGCATATGGGAGGTACAGAGGCTGCGAGGCCCAGAGGTAGAGGGGATATGGGAACAGAAGCCACGTCAAAACCCGTCTGGAAGGACAATGGATCCACCATTCCATTGCTAGGCAAAACAAGTGGTGGGCACAGAAGGAGTAAAGGCTTAGAGGCTGGAATAAAAAGGGAACAGTGAGCAGTCTGTTAGGCTGGCTCTCAAAAGGACTCTAGAGCGTCCCAGAACAGGGCTGCCCAATGCCCTGTCCAGGGTGCTGAATTCCTTCTAATGAGAACTGAGTGCTGAACTTGGGCCAGGCCAAGGACGGCAGCCAGGGGGTGATGAAGGGCACAAGGCAGCAGGATCTAGATGTAGTCCAGCCACCCCGGTGGTCGTAGGGTTTATTGGGCCACAAGGGAAAGTCACTGGTCCCTGGACTCATCTCCTCCCTCCTCCTCCTCCCCCTCCAGAATGCCATGAAATGCACCTTCTGCTAAGCTGGGTCTGATGGGTATCAATCACTCCTAGTGGCTTTATGTGTTGTGGGCTGGTCACAGGTGGGTACGATATGTGGTATCTGCATTTCCAGGGGGGTCTCAATAGACCACCATGCCTGCAAGGCCCAAAACAATGTGGCAGGTTGGGGAGGAGCTTTAGGAGTGGATGACAGTGATGAGATGCTCCCCTTCCTCTCCCCTCAATTACCATGCTCCTGCCACATCATTCTCCCTGCCTTGTCCTTGTCCTGCCTTCCAGCCAGGCTGAAGGAGGGGCATCGGGGAGGGAGGCCTGGGCATGAGGAAGATGGGTGGCCCAAGGGCAGAACAGGGGAGGGGTTAAAAGGTGGTTTCCGGAGCCCAAGACCCTGAATCACATCACACCCCAGCAGCTGTGTGGCCAGGGTGCATTACTTCCCCTCTCTGAGCCTCAGTTTCTCCATCTGCAAAATGGGGATAATGAGGGTACCTACTTCCCAGTGCTGTTGGGAAGGTCAAGGGTAATAATGTGAGTAAACTGCTTATTAGCACAGTGCCCAGTATAATAAAAATAGCTCACAGTTATTGATGTCTGCTAAACGCTAGGATCTGCTCAAAGCCCTCTACATGCATTTAAGCCACTTCTCACTACAACCCTAAGAGACAAGAGTTCTTATCATTCCTGCTTTAGAGATAAGCAAACTGAGGCACAGGGCAAGTAGAAGACTAGTCTGAGGTCACACAATGGTGAAGATGCAGAACCAAGACTCAAACCAGCATTTGGGTCCCAGAGCCTGAGCACAACACCTTTCTACTCTCCATAGCGGGGAGGGCCCGAGGGGCTGGCTCCAGGGAAGTAGAAGGAACGAGGAGGCCACAAGCACTCCCTTCCTCCCTCCATCCCCAGGTAGGTCTGTGCACCTCCCTTCTCTCTCTCTCTTTTTTTTTTTTTTTTTTTTGACACAGAGTCTTCCTCTGTCGCCCAGGCTGGAGTGCAGTGGTGCGATCTTAGCTCACTGCAAGCTCTGCCTCTCGGGTTCTGGCCATTCTCCTGCCTCAGCCTCCCGAGTAGCTGGGACTACAGGTGCCCACCACCACACCCGGCTAATTTTTTTGTATTTTTAGTAGAGATGGGGTTTCACCATGTTAGCCAGGATGGTCTCAATCTCCTGACCTCGTGATCCGCCCGCCTCGGCCTCCCAAAGTGCTGGGATTACAGGCATGAGCCAGTGCGCCCGGCCACCTCCCTTCTCTTTAAGTCCAGGATGATGAGCAGGGCCCTGGGGGCAGACACCTCAGCCCTGTCCCATAGCTGGGTCACTGGGGAAGTCACTGGATCCCCAAGAGCTTCACTTGCCTCCTCTGTAAAATGGAACAACACTTAGAGCCTCTATTGGACACAGCCTCTCTTCCGGCAGCTCCATGTCTGGCTTGTCTTTATATTCCCAGAGCCCAGCCTAGCACACGGTAGGTACTTAATGTGTGCTGAATATGCAGAGCAGGAGAATGAGCAGGAGAATGAAAGAGCCCAGTGTGGAGTGGGTGCTTCTGGAAGGGTGGCCCTCCCCCAGCCAGCCCTCCCTGCCAGCCCTGCCTACCTTGTCGTTGATCAGCAGCTCCATGGGCTCATGGCCCGCCTCTAGCAGTACAATCTCGTTGGCCTGCCCGGGCACTGAGTAGGAGAAGGGGGTGCCCTGGCCGGTGCCGCTGGACCTGGACCGCAGCCACATGCAGGCGGTGAATGCGTAGAGCTCGGGCAGAGCCTTCCGCACGCGGGCGTACATGTAGTTGTTACGGATGGGGATGCTGATCTTGAAGGCATCTGGAGGACTGTAGGCTGAGGACCCTGAGGGTGGGCAAGGCAGACATGGTGGAGGTCGGTGGACACCGAAAAGGGTGGGGTGGACAGGGCACACTTCAGAAAGATGGCTAACAGCTCCCAGGCACCTGCTGCATGCCCAGTGCCTTCAGGGCTCTCTCTGCTCCACCTCTGTGTTGAGGGGTGTGATTAAAGTGCAGGGGCTCTGGACCTTAGATGTCCTGAGACCAAATCTCGTCTCCCCCACTTCCCAGCCACGTGACCGTCAACAAATTAAACTTGTTGGGAGACCCGGGGTAGACAGGCCAGAGGCAGGGCTGAGGAGGGCTGGAGGTTGCTTCTCCTGTTCCTGTGCTCCACCTAGGATGCTGGCCCTGAGCCACCAGACCTGTCCCTCCCCTGCAGCTGTGCCCCTGCGATGGCCCCTCCATTCTGAAATTTGCTCCTCACCACTGTTTTCAAGAAGTAGCTTGAGGCCTGCCTCCTCCAGGAAGCAGCTTGGATATTCTTTCTTTTCTTTTCTTTTTCTTTTTTTCTTTCTTTTTTTTTTTTTTTTTGAGACGGAGTTTCCCTCTGTTGCCCAGCTCACTGCGACCTTCACCTCCCAGGCTCAAGCAATTCTCCTGCCCCAGCCTCCCGAGTAGCTGGGATTACAGGTATGCACCACCACACCCAGCTAATTTTTGCATTTTTAGTAGAAATGGGGTTTTGCCATGATGGGCAGGCTGGCCTTGAACTCCTGACCTCAGGTGATCCGCCCACCTCAACCTCCCAAAGTGTCGGGATAACAGGCATGAGCCACCATGCCTGGGCCTGGATTTTCTTCTCCTGAACCCCTGTTCCCCATGTAAGCTGGTCCCAGCTAACTGCTCACCATTTCTCCTGTTCTCCCCAACTTGTCTGTAAGCCTCTTAAGGGTGGTCTTCACAAGAATTGAAAGCTGAAAGGTCTTTGAGAGCTCATGAGTCCTAAACCCCTATTTCTCAGATGAGGAAAACTGAGGCCTGGGGAAGGAAGTGAACTTCTGAGGTCACAGAGCAAGCCAGAGACAGATATGCAACCAGGAGCCAGGTCTCCTTATGCTTATACCTGTACCCTGCCCATTATGTTCCTTTGACCCCTTGGCAGTGCCAGGCACAAGTGTTAAACAAAATCCTGACCAAGTCATTGAAAATGCTATTTTGTGGGTGGTTAAATGTATGGTTGTGGAGTCAGACCTTGTTTGAGGTCCAGACCCGCCACTTTTGTCTGTGTGACCTTGAGCATGTCACTTGACTTCTCTGAGCTTCGGTCTTCTCATCTGTGAAAACTGTGGATTAAATCAGCTGATGTATCAAGTACTTAGCCCACTCCCAGGACACAGTAAGTGCCAGAAAATGAGATCTGTTAATAATGTTGATAATGATAACAATATCCCCCAATGATTCTCTCCACTGTGTGTTCCACAGCCTCCTCCCCACCCTCCAGTCTGTCGATGTTAGCCTCCGGGGAGCATGGATATATTTTTTGAATGGCTCTGTCATCCTGAGGACCCCTCCAATGCCCTCTGCAGGACCCAGGACCCACCGTGCTCCAGCTCAGCCACACGACCCTGCAGGACGTCCAACTCCTTTTCCACTTCCTGCCTCTGCCGGCGGCTGCTGTGGCTGAGGGCCACACGCTCCTTCTCCAGTGCCAGCACCTGGGCCAGCAGCTGCCCCTCCAGCTGGTCCATCTTGGAGTGTAGGCCGGTGGGCACAGCAGAGACTGGGGCTGGGGCAGCTGAGAGGTTCACACGGGCTGGAAGCTCCTGCTGTTCACAGGGCAGAGAAACAGAAATCAACTGAGGGGAGGAAGGACAGGCTGGGAACACTCAGATGCCTACCGCCCCTGCTCAGTGACCCCAGGGGAGCCTCAGCTTCCCCAGTATGCAAAATGGGAATGACAATGGCCAACATCAGGCAACAGATGCATCCTGGGTCCCTGGCAGGCTCTGTTCCTGGTGCTGGCACATGACGGCGAGCAGCAGGCAGAGCTGGCCCCGGCCCTCAAGGACAGCTCAGGCTGTGGTGGGGGTGTGGGGCGTGGCCATGAGTGCTGTGAAGGTCCCCCAGGTGGTTTCAGGGTGCAGCTGGGGCTGAACGCCCCACCCTAGTCCTTCATAGCAGCAAGGCTAGACACTGATAGGCTGGTAAAGGGGCGGACCATCTTAGTCTTCATTCCCTCACTCAGCAAGCTTCTCTAGAACGGTCCTTGGCAAAAGGCTCTGTATGGCCACTGGGCCCACTCAGGGCGTGAAACAGGGACTTCTGGAGCAGGGCCCCGGTGGCTTGACCATACCAGGGTGACAGGTGGTTGAAATCACATACTTTGGAGTCAGACAGCCCAGGGTTCAAAACCAGCTCGGTAACCAATCTGCTATGTGACTCTGAGAAAATATCCTGACTTCTCTGAACTTGTTTACTCAAAAGAGAGCTGCACCTATTTGGAGAGTTGTGGGGAGGACTAAGGATTAAATATCAATAAACAGAGCCTGCTTATTGCAATTGCTGTCTAGGGCAGGGTGTTCCAGGGTAGGCTCTGACATCCCCCATCCAGCCCGGGATGAGGTCTAAGTGTTCAGAGTTCCCCATGACATGCCTGTCTTATCTTAAGACCCCAAGGGCAGCAGAACTGGGGCAGGAGCTGGGAGGGTTTCCTTCCCCTTCTCCTGCTGGAAGAAGGCCCCTCTGGGGTGGAGGAACGCAGGTGAGGCCGCAGGTCCAGACTCTTCAAGGGGACAGTCTGTGGCAGACATGTCACAGAAATGTCAGTAGGAGATTAATAATTCAATGAGCTGCTAGGAGCTAAATTAAACCTTCACCATCCTCCACCATCCTCCTGGATTCCCCCTCCTCCATGGTCCCCGCTACCAGGCCTGATGCTTGCGAACTCCCCAGGGGCCTGGGAAGTTTTTGCTCAGTCAGTTCCTTGCTCCCAGGCTTAGGCCCCAGACACGAACTCATTGCATTCTGTGATTCAGTCACTGAGCAAACATTCAGAGGGCACCCCCATTGTGCTGGGCACTGCCCCAGATGCTGAAGTTGTGGCTGGAGGCAAAACAGAAAACCAAGAACCCCACCTTTCCTCAGTTTCCTAAGCTGCGAGGGGATGGCCTTGCAGCCTGGGACAAGTATAGAATCCCCTGTCCAGCCTCACTGGCCCAGCCAATGGCCTTGTCAGTCATTTGCTGGGTGACACTGGACACTGCTGGTGGCTGCTGTGACTGAGGGCCGCGTGTTCCTTCTGAGCTGTGCACTCCTCCTTAACTTCTCTGAGCCTGTTTTCTAGCCATGGGACAAGGGGAGAAGTGCGTCCCCTGCATCAGAGTGCTGGGGGCAAAGGACCACTGCCATGCTCAGTGCCCGAGACTTGGGAGCTGCCAGTGTGGACAGCAATGTGACCTCATTTTGAGGAGTTGCAGGAACCGGCCCTCGGCTCTGCCACTGCCCCGTGAGAGTAGGGACAGGTGGGCTGACACTCCGAGATCATTTTTCCCCTTCTATAAGATGGAGACACGGAATGCTCAGCCTCCAGGGCTGGCCAGCATTAAATGATGGCGTGTAAGGGAAGTGCCCAGAGCCTGGCCCACAGTGGGTGCCGGGGGCATGGTTTTGGGTGCATGGGGTAGGTGGGAAGACTGAATGGGACGCTCTTGCTGCCGGCTGAGCCTTAGCAGACACCTTGCAAACATTCCCTCTCTGAATCCACTTAACATGCCAGTGTCCCCATTTCAGGGGCAGGAAAACTAGGGTGAGTTAACTAAGATCACACCAGGAGCAGGAGCAGAGCTGGGATCTGAGCCTAGCAGTCTGGCTCGCCCGCCCCCTCTGCATCACTCGCCACGCAGCCTCTCTTGGCATCTGCCAAGCGGCCTCTCCAGAAGCCCTATTCCCTCTCTGTCCCACCTGTCCCTTGGCTCCCATGGGAAAGGTGAGGTTGCTTCACAGGGCAGGGGGTCTGGTGCCACTCACACTCAGCAACCCCCCTCTTCTGCTGGCAGTGGGAGGGGCTGAGGATCAACCTCTCCATTCCAGGCTGTAAGATGGGGCAACAGACACAAGTCACTGTGGTCGTCCAGGCTGGCTCTGGAAAGGGACCCATGAAAGCAGCGGGAGAGGGGGGACTCTGGCCACCATTATCCACCCCCCCCACCTCTTGTGTAAGAGGTCACGGCCTCCCAGCCACGCAGATGCCTACTTGGCCCACGAGGATGGGGTGGAGGCCAGGTGAAGGTGGGCATGGGATGGGCGAGGAGCCTTACAGTGCACTCCCCGCTTACATTCATCTTTGCTTTCCCGAGGGCTCCTTCTGTCAAGGTGCCTATAAACCCTGACTCTGGTGCAGACTAACCACAAAGCCTTGGTTTCCCCTCCTCTAAAACGGGAACAGGCTGGGCATGGTGGCTCATGTGTGTAATCCCAGCACTTTGGGAGGCCAAGACAGGCGCTTGAGCCCTGGAGTTCGAGACCAGCCTGGGCAACATGGCGAAACCCCATCTCTACAAGAAATACAAAGATTAGCCAGGCATGGTGGTGCATGCCTGTGGCCCCAGCCACTTGGGTGGCTGAGGCAGGAGGATTGCTTAAGCCCAGGAGGTTGAGGCTGCGGTGAGTCATGATCATACCACTGCACTCCAGCCTGAGCAACAGAGCGAGACAAAAAAAAGTGTGTGTGGGGTGAAACAGACTTCCTCTTGTTCATTCCCAGGACAGATGGAAGGATGGGAGGACAAGTGACAGGCCCTCATGGACTATAAAAGCATAATGCCAACTGTGGGGCTTGACTACATTAGCTGATGGGGCGCTCATTACCTCCAGAGCCTTCAGGTGACACTGGATGGCCCACAGGGTGACAGGGTCAGCCACCCACTGCATTCGAGATGGCTGGACTTCCAGGAAGCCTTGGACTGAGGCAATCAGCTCAAGGGGCGCATTTCATCTCAGGGCTGGAAGGGCGGGCTGGGGCAGGGTGTCCCTGGTCCCAGGTACTGTTCTGTCCTCAGTTCTCCACCCGCTCTGTGCCAAGCTTGAGGCCAGAGGGGCATGCGGGAGTGAGGCTGTGCACCGGGCCCATCATAGGCACTTGGCATGTGTTTACTCATGAATCCTCGCAGCTGCTCGCTGAGGCTGGCACTCTTCGTATCCCCATTTCACAGATGGGAAACCAAGGCAGGAGTCGTTTTGAATTGTCTATAGCAATGGGGCTGGGCCAAACCGATACCCCTGGAGCCAGCATCTCCTCTCTCCAGCAAAGGGAGAGAGGGAGGAAGACTTGCCAGGAAGAACAGAGGGAGGAAGATCTGCCAGCAAGAACAGGGAGTCGAGGCTATTTAAACAGACGCTGTTTGGAGGAGAAAACGTGCGGGCTGAGGGGGTGTGCGCTCAAGCTGTTCTTTTGTCAGAGCCACTGGCTCTGCAGCGGCCAGGAAGGCCATGGAGGAGGTGGGCTCGCCGGATCGTGTGTGAGTCCCTCCCCGTCCCAGTGTCTGAATCAGAAGAACACGACTCCCGCACCCCCACTTCCCATCTGCTGTGGGCGCAGGCTGTGCCGCGTGGGCTCCCGGCCCGATGCCAACTGGGCCCCTCACCTAAGATGATGGAGGGAATGATGACGCCAGCACCCCCACTCAGCTCCTGCTGGGGCAGAAAGGTGGAGGCTGGGAACCCATGGCCTGTCCCGCTGGGAGTCCGGGGTGGGGTTTGGCGTAAGTGTGCTGGGCCTAGAGCCAGAGCCCCTTGTTCTAGGCCTGGCTCAGCCATAATGTGCTGGGCTCATTAGCACTCAATCAGAATGCTAACGGCAGCAGCTGTCTCCATCGAGCACTCGCTGCATGCCAGGCCCCGCACTAGGGAAGATCTGTGCAAACAGTTCTAGGCTGCTCTCAACAGCCTGGGGAAGTAGGGAGGCCCACTCAGAGATGAGGGAACTGAGGCTCAGTGCCTGTCTAAGGTCACATACCTGTGACGCTGCAGAGCCAGCACTCCAGCCTGGCCTTCCTGATCCTGAAATCTGTGCTCATTCCTCAGGCTCACACTGATGGTCTGGGTCTGTTGGTTGATCTGCCAAGTGGGCACAGTGCTGGTTGCCCTGCCTAACTCGAAGGCAAGCAGGAGAGGTACTAATGGCCACGGGAAGTCTAGAAGATCCAGAAGGTTGTGTGAGACTATGGCGCAGGGCAGCTTCACAAAGGGAGACTGATAGGAGGGTCCTGCCAGCGTGGGGTGGCTGAGGCTGGGAGGATGCAGGGAAACCCCATCACCTTAGCCCCACCCGGGGTCTATTCCCTTGCTGCAGGGAGCAGAAGGCAGGTGCAGGACTCCAGGGCCAGAGTCCCATCCTCTGCACAGCCCACAGACTGTGCTCATTCCTCAGGCCTACACTGCTGGTCTGGGTCTGTTGAGGGTCAGGGTCCCACCCTCTGCACCACTGCCCCTGCCCAGGATCACCCAGGTAGTGGTACTCCCAGCTGGCAGTGAGGCAGAGGCTGTTCTGGGACGGCCAGACCACCAGGTTTTGCAACGGTGGGAGTTTGGGGTCAGAAAGCTTTCTCAGAGAAACCCCATCCTGCCACCCCACCTCCCTCACCAGGGGCAGACTGCAGGGGCACCAGGACCAGGTGGAAAGTGAGCAGCCTTCAGGGGGAGCAGTGTGGACCACGGCCCCTCACCTCCCCCATCCAACCATCCCCTGAGTTCTGAGTCCTGCTAGGGCTCACACCTGGGCTTCACCAGCTGAGTGGCCTTGTTATGTAACGGTGCCATGCCTCAGTTTCCCCATTGGCCCCAAAGGGTAAAAGAGTAAATCTCATAGCATCGTGGTGAGGATTGACTGAGTTCATAGACAGAAAGCGCTTAGTGCGCGGTAGGCATAGGAAGCATCACAGGCGTGTCTACTATTAATGTCGTGACTAACAATTTTTTTTTTTTTTTTGCGATGGAGTTTCTTTTTTTTTTGAGACAGAGTCTCGCTGTTGCCCAGGCTGGAGTGCAGTGGCACGATCTCGGCTCACTGCAGGCTCCGCCCCCCTGGGGTTCACGCCATTCTCCTGCCTCAGCCTCCCGAGTAGCTGGGACTACAGGCGCCTGCCACCTCACCCAGCTAATTTTTTGTATTTTTAGTAGAGATGGGGTTTCACTGTGTTAGCCAGGATGGTCTCCATCTCCTGACCTTGTGATGGGGATCAGCTGATTGGAAACGTTTGGTTCTTGAGCCTGGGCAGGGGCCTGGGTAGTAGTATTTATGCCTTTTTGCCCATCTGAAATACTTGACATGATTTTCTTTTAAAAACAGGAAAACAATCCTAAAGTGGCATCTCTAGTGGTTGAATCTAACCCTGCTTCTTACCCAGAGCTTCATGAAGTGGTGTCTCTAATGCTTGAATCTAAACCTGCGTCTCGCCCAGAGCTTCACTCAGCTCCTAGCCTTCTCCCTAGTCCTGGCTACTCTCCGCTGGACTGTGCCACAGCTTCCACTCCCACCCTCCACACAGCGGCCAGAGGCAAATCCAGCCATGTTGCTCTCCTGCTTAAAATCCTTCCACAGCCCCGTCTCCCTGCCAATAAAGTCCCTGTCCTCCTGGCTTCAGCCCTTACCCCGACAGGACATAGGTCACGCCCACTGAAAGTCCTCTGCTGCTCAACTGCCCCAAACTCCTTCTCACCCTAAGGCCTCCACACATGCTGTTCCTTCTCCAAGAACATTCTTCCCGCCCCCACCCCTCCTCTGCCCATTGCCTGCTCATCCTCCAGATGGCAGCTTCCCTGATGCCTGAACTGAGATGCTCTATAGAGAGAGAAGAGGGCCCTGAGAGCTTCTCTGGCAGGGCTGCAGAGCACTCATCCATCCATCCATCCATCCATCATCCATCCATCCATCCATCCATCCATCCATCCATCCATGTGTGCCGCAGCAACATGGCGTCGTAGTTGCAGACACGAACTGTCACGTTAGACAGGCCAGCGTCATTTTCAGTTCCTTGCTTACTAGATCTGCGACCTTGGGCAAGCTGCTTAACTCCTCTGGCCCTCAGTTACCTTATCTGTAAAATGGGTGTAATAATAGTACCTACATTTGGGGATATAAATAATGATAAAATGAAAGAACAGATATGAAGTGTGGTCAACCATAAGAGGCAGTACGTGGTTGTCACATTACTATTATTCTTTGCTGTTATTGAGAGGCAGGAGAGCATAATGTGTCATGGTGCAGGCCCTGGAGCCAGACTGCCTGGGTGGAAATGCCAGCTGAGTGAGCTGGACAAGCTTCTGAAACTTTCTGAGCCTCAGTTTCCTCATCTGTAAAACAGAGATAGTAATAGTACCATAGTTCTTGTGGGATTCAATTGTAAGGCCCTTGACAGGCCTGGTGCAGAGGGTGAGCTCACCCCTGCTGCCTCTTGCCAAGTGCCAGGTGCTGTGGCCCCAAAGGCAAATATGGCCCCATGGTTCCGCAGGTGGCGGTGCTCCCAGCTGGCGGTGCTCCCAGCTGGCGGTGAGGCAGAGGCTGTTCTGGGATGGCCAGGCCACCAGCTCTTGCCAAGGTGGAAGTTTGGGGTCAGGAAGCCTTCTCAGAGAAACCCCATACTGCCACCCTGCCTTCCTCTCCAGGGACAGACCCAGCAGGTGGCTCCGCCTCCTCCTACCCAGGTGGGGAACAGGTGAGTGGTGGGCAAAGGACAGGTTGGTTTTGATCATCCTGGTCTCCTAGTACCACTTTGGAGCTGAAGGAAAGAAGACAAATGGGGAGGAGGATGAGGAAGAGGGAGCAGGGATGGGGTTGGCCATGTACCTCCTGGGTCCGAGACCCCAGACCGTGTCTAAAGACCCCTCTGGCCCCAGGCCCCTTGCTCCTCCCTTCAAAAGTCCCTCCTGTCAGGCTGCTGCTTCCAGAAGCCCAGCTGGGAGTTCTGCTGAGGTCCTGCCTGCCCACACACCTTCCGGGCCCCCAAAATCCTCAGCAGATGGAGGTCCCCCACCCCTAGCCCACTTCAGTGAGAAATCCTGGCTTGGTCTTGACTCAGCCTCTGTGGCTGTGGGCAGGTCCCTCAGCCTCTCTGAGCCTCAGCTTCCCCTGGAGTGAAACAAGGGCTGTGGAAGCACATAAGTGCTCCCACCTTGGGTTGGTTGCTTCTATCCCTGTCCCCAGAGTTCCACGGGGATGATGTGCCCAAGACTGTCCTGGGGAGACGCCCCCCCGCCGCCCCGGCACCCCACCTTCTTCACTCTGTGAGGAGCACCGACCTCTGAGTTCATTCCACCTCCTACAGGCAAAGATTTACAAAATGGCCAATAAACATAAGAAAAGGTGCTCAACGTCATGAATCATCAGAGCAATACAAATTAAAACCACAGTGAGTGCACTACACGCCCACCGAAACGGGAATGTTTTTAAAATGACCATACCGAGTTTGGCGAGGTTTACACGCGGGCGGGCTTGTAAACTCTCTCAGCTACTGTGGGGAAATGTTTGGCTGTACCTTCCGACGCTAAATATATGCCCCTCTTGCAACCCACTCCTGTGGCTCGATCCAGGGAGAAATGAGGGCTGACAGCCGCCAACAGATATCCCAAGAATGTTTACAGCAGCCTTATTTGTAAATCAGAAACAACCCACAGATCCATCCACAGAAGAACGGGTAAATGAATTAAGGCTCGTCCGCGCAACGGAACACCACACGGCAATGAAAACGGCAATCCTCCGTGGGTACACGCAATAAGCCTGGATGCCACAGACGTGACATTGAATGAAAGATCACCAGACGCAAGGGTGCACAGCTGTCTGCGTCCATTTGTACGAAGTCCAAACACAGGCAAAACTGACTACGGTGACAGGAGCCAGAATAGCCGTTGCCTTTGGAAGGCTACTGTCTTTGGGGGCACCAGGGAGCCTTCTGGGGGTGCTGGAAGTGTTCCAATTCCTGATCTGGCTGGCGCTTTCACAGGGGTATCCATCCACAAATTTTCATCGAGCTGTCCACTTACGATTTGTGTCTGTTTAAGTGAGATCTGTGACCTCTTCCGTATCTTGAATGTAATATAAACCTCAAAACAAACAAGTCACACAGGCTTTTTTATTTTATTTATTTATTTTTTGAGATGGAGTCTTGCTCTGTCGCCCAGGCTGTAGTGCAGTGGTGCAATCTCAGCTCACTGCAACCTCAGCCTCCCAGGTTCAAGCGATTCTCCTGCCTCAGCCTCCCGAGTAGCTGGGACTATAGGTGCCCGCCACCATGCCCGGCTAATTTTTTGTATTTTTAGTAGAGATGAGGTTTCACCGTGTTAGCCAGGATGATCTTGATCTCCTGACCTCGTGATACGCCCACCTCAGCTTCCCAAAGTGCTGGGATTACAGGCGTGAGCCACCGCGCCCAGCCCCCACAGGCTTTCAAATCTCCATTTCAGACAGGAAACTGAGGCTGAGAAAGTTAAGCACCTTGCCTGAGGTCACAGAACTCTCAAGTGACAGAGCTGGAATTTGCACCCAGGTGATCTGGCCCTGGAGTCTGTACCAGGAACATGTTCCACACTGCAGCTTTCTCAGGGCTGGAGGGGGCACTGTGGGGGAGGGAGGACACTGTGGGTCCACATCCTCCAACCAAAGCCCAATAGCAGAAGCCCTCTCTCCACATTCCACAGCCCCCCGCCATTCCCTTCTCCCAAGCCCTCCTCACTGCCAAACAGGCAGGGTCAGGGGAACCAGTGCCCACTAGGCAGAAGCTTCTAGAATGGGCAGCAAAGTCAGAGAAAAACAAAGACAACCAACGGAATTTAGAGAAGACACCAAGAGATCCTCGAAGCTGCTGTTTATCTGCAGATTTCCCAGAGAAACATAGTTCTGGGAGTGGGTGGAAGGGGCTCGAGGGCGGTACACACATGTACCCCCATAAACACACCTACACCCCACACAATCCCTATTTAGAAGCCTTCTGCCCAAGAACTCAGAATGTAGAGCCTAAGGGGACTGGGACTTAGCTCCTCCTCCCGCCTGTTTTACAGATAAGAAAACCAAGGCACCAAGAGGGAAAGTGATTAGTCTAAAGTCACAAGCAAGAACCCAAGCCTGTGCCTCCCAGCCTTTCTATTTCAGAGACTTATTTATTTTTATTTTTTATTTTATTTTATTTTATTTTATTTGAGACAGAGTTTCGCTCTGTTGCCCAGGCTGGAGTGCAGTGGCATAATCTTGGCTCACTGCAACCTCTGCCTCCTGGGTTCAAGTGACTCTTCTGCCTCAGCTTCCCAAGCAGCTGGGACCACAGGCACATGCCACCATACTTGGCTAATTTTTGTATTTTTAAGTAGAGACAGGGTTTTGCCATGTTGGCCAGGCTGGTCCTGAACTCCTGACCTCAAGTGATCTGCTGGCCTTGGCCTCCCAAAGTGCTGGGATTACAGGTGTGAGCCACCGCTCCTGACCTATTTCAGAGACTTTTTAGAGCTGGAAGCATGTTTCGGGCGTATCTGGCCTGCTATATCATTCTTTGTATGGAGGGGAAAACTGAAGCTGGTGGGGGGCGGGGCAGGGATTTGCCTGGGTCTGTGTCCTTCACTGTCTCTGAGCTTCTATTTGCTCATCTGTAAGATGGGAATGCGTTCAGCCTCTATCATAGGACTGAAGACTGAATAAGCTAATATGTATCTAGTAAGTGTCTAATAAGTGTTAGTTATTATCAGCAGCAGCAGCAGCAGTGAAGGTCTTGCAGCAAGTCTCTCGGCTATCTAGCCGGTCAGCAGGACAAGCCTTGAGGACTGGCCTTCACCCCTCTCACTCTGGGCTCCGAGGCAGAAATGGTCCAGGACAGTGACTAGCACAGGCACCGCCCTCACCTGGCTATTTTTTTTTTTTTTTTTTTTTTTTTTGAGATGGAGTCTCGCTCTGTCGCCCAGGCTGGAGTGCAGTGGCAAGATCTCGGCTCACTGCAAGCTCCGCGTCCCGGGTTCACGTCATTCTCCTGCCTCAGCCTCCTGAGTAGCTGGGACTACAGGTGCCCGCCACCATGCCTGGCTAATTTTTTGCATTTTTAGTAGAGACGGGGTTTCACCGTGTTAGCCAGGATGGTCTCGATCTCCTGACCTCATAATCTGCCCACCTTGGCCTCCCAAAGTGCTGGGATTACAGGTGTGAGCCACCGCGCCCAGCTCACCTGTCTTTTCCATGCTCCCAAAGGTGGGTGACGTCTGACCCCTCCAGATGGGTCTAGAGTTGATGATGAAGAACGAGGGCTCTACAGCCAGACAGTGGGCTCCACTGCTGCCTTGGGGCCAGTTCCTTAACCTCTCTGAACCTTGGTTTCTTTGTACCTCCCTCACAGAGATTTTACAAGGATTAAATAAGATAATGCACTGTGCCTGCCGCATAGTAAGTGCTCAGTAAGTGTTCGCTATAATGGTTATTTGGCTCCCACTCCAGGATGGGAGGAGGCAATCAGCTTGCTGGGCTGGGTTAAGGATGTGGTTTATGCCAAAGAAATGCTGTTGAAATTAATCTTGAAGTTCCGTTGTATACATACATTAAATTAGCACAAAAATGGAACAGGGGAACACACATGCATGGCCTGTAGCCGCATCATTGGGCCAACTCTTGGAAAGTGGCTCCTGGCCTCAGCCATAAAAAGTCAATATTGGCCAGGCACAGTGGCTCACGCCTGTAATCCCAGCACTTTGGGAGGCTGAGGTGGGCGGATCACCTGAGGTCAGGAGTTTGAGACCAGCCTGACCAACAAGGTAAAACCCCATCTCTATTTAAAAAACAAGAATTAGCTGGGCGTGGTGGCACATGCCTGTAGTCCCAGCTACTCAGGAGGCTGAGGCAGGAGAATCGCTTGAACCTAGAAGGCGGAGGTTGCAATGAGCCAAGATTGCGCCACTGCACTCCAGCCTGGGCGACAGAGCTAGACTTTGTCTCAAAAAGAAAAAAAAAAAAAGTCAATATCCTCTGACCCAGTACCCAGTAATACCACTCCTGGGAATTCAGCCTAAAAAAATCAACAGACTTAAAAACAAACAAACAAACAGCTCTCTGTATGAAATGGATCCTGCAATGAACATCTGGAAGAAAAATAATTAGAAACAACCTACATCTCCAGTAACAGGAGCCAGTCAAGTGACTGATGGATGGGGAGCTGCAGATGAATCCCAGGATATTATGGCATCATTAAAATGGTAATTACACAGCAGCTCTCAAACAATGGCTGCATATGGATAAGGACTGAAAGAGGGTTGCAAAAAGGGAGAAAATGACGCAATTGAATGCAGCATTTTCCCCAAAACCTTTTGATTTATTTCAATGAACAACAATAACAACACAAATAAAAATGGAAAAGAAGACACTTTCCCCTAAGCCCTTAAATGTGGCTCCCACTTGAGGCTTTGGGGAGAGGACAGGCCAATCAGACCTTCCCTTCCCTTTTGTAGGAGGGGTGGTGATGCAGGGATGTGCCTGGTGGGGACCAGCAGGGAAGTGTGATGATTATGGAAGCCCAGGTGGGGATAGGAAGGGGACAGAGTGTGAACAGGGATGGCTCCTGAGAGGAGGTGTACTTGGAGCAGACTCTAAGATGTGGAGCAGGAATGTGCTGGGGGTGATCCAGGCAGAGGCAGGAATGAACTGAGAGAGGGGTCAGGAGCGGGGGCCAGATCCAAAGTGGTAGCCTAGGAGCAGGCCGAGGAGTTAGGAGAGCCCCATGGTGGGCTTAAGGAAGACCCTTGGGGCTGCCTGGAGGAGGATGGAGGGAAGGGTGTGCCTGGAGTCATGAGACCAGAGAGGAGGCTGCTGCAAGCGTGTACAGAGATGAGGCCAATCAGAACTGGGGGGAGAGGGAGGGGCCAAGGATGGTTTCTCAGGGCACATGGAGGTACCTGGTTCAAGCTGAAACACAGTGTGGTTAGGGGGCTGATGGGACAACCAGAGAGAGATGCTCAGGAGGCCGATGTGTTGATGGGTCTGGAGCTTGGGAAGGAAACCTGGGCTGGACACTGAGTTTGGTTTGGGGCCCCTCCGTGGAATGGGTGTGGGAAGCCTCAGGGCATGGCTGAGTGTACCCAGGGAAAGTGAGGGCCAAGACGGGCACATGCCTTAAAGGAGGAGGACCCTGCAAGGAGACAGAGGCAGCAGACAGAGGGAGGAGGAGGGCTGCTGTGAGAGGCGGCTGGAAGCCCAGGGCATGGAGACCTGCAAGAGGGGATGATCAGCAGGGTCAGGTGTCAGAGAGGGTTCCCCCAAGATAAGGACTGAGAAGTCCTCATTTATCATCTTGGGGACATTAGCAAGAGCACCTTCAGTGTATCCTGGGAGGGAAAGGAGACCCTGAAAATCTGGGCACTTTGAGGATACTGAATGAGAAGAGAGGGGAGAGATTGGACAGTGGCTAACGGGTGCATGGGACTCCGCTGAGCCAAGTGGTCTCACCCTGTGTCTGCTGTGCTCCAGCTCCAGCCCCAGCCCCTCCCAGAGGCCCCCAAAAGACTAGCTGTGGCTGTTGCCACGCTCAGAAAGCAGACCTGGTGGCCAAGCAGGGCCCCGCCCTTCTCTGTCTGTGGCTGCTGCACTCAGAAAAGAGGAAAAGGTATACATGGGGAAGCCAGGGCTCCCCCAGCCTGGAAGGCTGACCTGTTGCCAAATTCCAGCTGCCAGGATCCCCCCAACCTCAGCGGGCTAACCGGAAGGGAGGCCACCCTGCCAAATGCTGCAGGTGCTGGGGGCACAGGTCCAAGGCAGGTCCAAGCCTGCCAGCCCCAGACGTGGGAGGAGCCACCTGTGCCATCTGGGCGTGGGGGCAGGGGCTATGGCAGGCACGAGGAAGTTTATTCAATGAAAGTCAAAAATTGTTTTTTACATGACTAAAACCTGTTGCCTAAAACCTGTTTGTTCCTATTTTGAGTTTTGGCTGTATTTTAAAAATGAGTAATATTATAGCTTAATGATAAAAATAGCCATCACTCAAATTGACTGAACATACCTGTGTGCCAGGCACTATTCTTGGCCTTTCATATAAAGTACTTAATCCTCCTAATATCCCAGTGAGGTAGGTGCTATTACTATCCCCATTTTACAGGCGAGAAAACTAAGACTTCCCTTCATTGCATACTTTCACCTTTTTCCTGATTATTTTCCTGCTCTTGGTTCTCTCATCCTAGAAATCCCCCAGAGCTGGAGTCGGGGAAGAGGTGGGTATGGGCCCGGCTTTTCTCCTGCCTCTGCCACCTCTCTTAGGACGTTTCTGAGCTGAGTTTTCTCATCCGTAAGGTGAGGGGTTGGCTGCAATGGCTGACTGGCTGCACTCTGACACCCTGTGGGGAGGGTGCTGACACCAGTACAGACGTCCTGGAGGGCTGTCAGACCACGACATCCTCAGCCTTGTGAGTGGGCATCACCAGTGCTGCTTGCCCAGGATTTAACTTAAAAAGCCCCGGGAGTAAGGGGTCCCTGCATTTACTCCCCGCCTCTCTCCTCCCTCCAACTTGCCTGCTGCACTCCACCTGGGTGGAGGTAGCAGAGGGGGCAGCGCGGGCTTTGGCCTCTTTCTCTCTCTTCCTTCCACAGATCTGATTTTGTTGCTTAACCCCCTTCCTTGTGGTCTGGAAGTCAGGCCATGGCTGGGGTAGTGAATGTGTCCCGGATGTTTGTCCTGCCCAGTCTGTCTGCCTTGCACTTCTGGGAGCCCCAAATTCATTCTTACAGGGAGGAAGGTGGCCATGGGACTCCAGGGGGGAAATGACTGGCCCAGGGTCACATGAGAGCCAAGAGTGGGTTCCCCCATGCTGGACCCCTTGTGTCTGACCCCAAGCCTGAGTCAGGAAAGCCTGGAAAAGTGAGTGGAGGAGGAGGAGCTCGGGGGGCCCTGTTCTCCATTCAGCCCCCACCCAAGAGCTGTGGGCTTCCAGGTGTGTGAGGCTGGGCGCCTGGCACCTGAGCTCCTGCGGTTTGGGTCATAGTCTGAGCCAGAGTGGGAGATTCAGGGTAGGGAGGTGGTGAGGGGCACCCAGGTTTGTCTTATAGGGCACTCTGTTCCCGGCTCTGTGTAATGAGGGGAGGACCCCAAGTCCTTTGGACAGCGCATCCATCTCCTGGCCATAAAGTGTGAGCGTGGAGCTGGGCTGATTTGGGGGTGTCCGGAAGAAGGAAATGAAAGGGACATTTAATGAGGTCCTAGTACGTGCCAAGCATTTTCACACACCTACATTTGATTCAATTTCCACTACAAGTGGACACTGTTATACCTATTTTACAGACACAGAAACTGAGGCTCAGAGAGGTGCCTGGAGACGGAAAAGGGTGGGGAGCGAATCTTTCTGGCGCGCCCTCTGTGCCTCAGTCACCGTGCCAGACGCCTGCCCGCGTTCCCTATCGAAATCCCCCCGCCTCGCCAGCGAGGAAGGCGCGATCGTCCCCGGAACACAGACGGGAGACCGGAGGCTCGGGGACCGCCGGACGACCGCGGCCGGGCGGCCCCTCACACCACCCGGGCGGCTCCCCCGACGGCGCGCGGCGCTCACCTCCAGGCGGTCGATGCGGTCCCGCAGGGCGCGCACGGCGTCCTCCAGCTCCAGAATGAGCGCAGGCGAGTCCCAGGGCCCGTCGGCCATGGTGTCGCGGCGGGGCCCGGCGCCCTGGAGGCCGCGCGGCAGGCCGCTCTCGCAGCGGCCCAGCTTGCCGGTGAGCTCACGGATGGTGTCCTGGTCGGCGCGGATGCGCGCCTCCTGCTGCAGCGCCGTCTGGCGCAGCTGCTCGGCCGTGCTCTGCAGCAGCAGCAGCTCTTCGCGCTCGCCCGGCGCAGCGCCCGCCGCGTCCCCCTGCTGGGCCCCCGACGGGCAGGCAGCAGCCAGCGGCGTGCACAGGAAGCGGCTGAACAGGGGCCCGGGCGGCAGCGGGTGCGCGCTGGCCGCGGGTGCCCCGGGCAGCGCGGGGGGCCCGGCTGAACCGCCCGCGCCGTGCAGCGCGCTCAGGCTCCGCTGCGGGCCCGGGGACGCGGCGGCGCCCGAGGCGACCGAAGCATTGTCGGCGCCGCCGGGCAGCGCCCGCGCCGGGCTGGCCGCCAGGGGCACGCTGGCGATGATGCAGATGACGGCACCGAGGAACGCCAGCATGCCCGCGGCCAGCAGCACGGCCAGGAACTTCAGCGTGAGGCGGGCGGCGGGGGCGCCCGAGGCCCCCGGCAGGCGCGGCGGCGGGGTCGGGGCGCGGAGCCCGGGCGCGCTGGGCCGAGCGGGGCAGGCGCGGGAGCCGGAGCCGGAGCCGGAGCCGGAGCCGGAGCTGGAGCTGTCGCCGCGGCCGCTGCTGCCGCCGCTCTGAGCCCGGGCGGCGGGAGGAGGAGAAGACGGCAGGCGGCGGGGAGGGGGAGCGGGCGCGGCGGCCCCGCCCCACTCGCTTCCCCGGGCCGGCCCTGGCCCCGGCCCAGCCCCGCACCCGTTCAGTGCCGGGCGCCCGGCTGGGGGCGCCGCCGGGGATGCGGCGAGGAGCGAGGGCAGCGCCTGGGACCTTATCTCGCCGCGGTCACAGCGCAGGGGCCGGCGACCCGAGGGCCGCGCGGCGGGGCTCCTGGGTGACCCCCATCCCAGCCCTCCCGTGCTCGGGCCCCCTCCCCAAGCCGGTTATGTTCACATCCACCCGGGAGGGAGCTTTCTTCCGGGTGGGGCTGTGCACTGGGCGCGCCACAAGCTCGGTCGCAATTGAGCCTTGCCGTGGACAGGCTCACAATAGAAATGAGGAAACTGAGACACCTGAGGTCAGGCCTCTGTCCAAGGTCACCGGGTGGCTGCGTTGGAGCCGCCTGCGAGCTTAGGCACGTTTCACCGGACCAGACTGTGGATGGGGCTGGAGTGGGAGCGGTTAGAGGTGGAGAAGAGGCCAGTGTTGGGGGTTGGGGGGAGGCTCGGATTTTGACCTAACTTCTGTTTATACTGTGGCCACCTGCCCGTCACCCCCACCTCCAACCTTCTGAAGGAGCAGAGTTCACTCCCCGCCACCCTCATTACAGAATCTTCCTGTGATCTCAGAGGATGATGGAAATTCTCTCCTCTGAATCCTTGGGGGCTTAGAGCCTCACAGGTCCAGAGAAACCCCCCACCCCCACTGCAGTCTGCCTTCGTTGGCAAGCGGTGCCACGTGCCTGGTGGGCATGTGGACCAGGCCCAGAAGGAACAGCAGGAATGGGAGTGGGCTGTGCTGTGGGGGTGGCAGAGGAGCGTTTTACTTTCTTCTGTCAAAAATGTCTATATATATTTTGTTGAAAATTAACTTTGCAATTAAAAACTTAAAAACAATCCTACTATCCTCCACACTTTATCCCCAGCTCCAATTTTCCATGAGGTCTTTCCTGACCAATACGGATTCCCAGGGCTGGAAGGGCCTTGGGAGGGCTGTGGTTATTCCCAGCTCTGTCTCCCTTCCAAGCCTGCATTTTTGACTTGAAGGGAAAGCGCAAACCAGGATCTCTGGACCACCACGGCTACCACTGTGGTTTCGAGTGTACTTCACATAGCGCTGGTGGTGGGGAGAGACCGGAATGTTTCCCAGGAAGCCACAACCCTGGGGGACGCTCTCCAGCCACGGGGATTTTGTCCAGTGTTCCCAGGCACACGTGCTCCACCTCCCTCTCTCCACACATGTTAGGATGATGTCCACCCTGTTCACCCATCTCTAGGAGCCAGGGATTTTCATCCATACCTGAGTTGTGAAAGAGGAGAGAAGCAAACACAAGCGCTGTATGCCAGGAACCTGAGTGCTGTGTGTGCGTGGATGTGTGCTGGTGCTCACTGAAGTCGTAACCTCAAAACCCAGGGCAGGCAGCTGGGCTTGGAGGAAGCATCTCATGGACAGAGAGATGGGCTGGGCTCTTGGAAGGCAAAGGCCAGCGGTAGGCCCTGCTAAAGTCCTGGGGATGCATGAGACATCGGGACTCCTGGTACATCTACACGTGTGCCGTGAAGACAGAAACACGGAGATAGCATCCCCAGGAGAAACTGTCATAGGAAGTCCAGGGAAGGACAGGAGATGCCAAGAGAGAGGGCTGCTGCCAAGAGCAGCAGAGCCACTGTGACTTGGGCACCAAATGGTGCCACCTTTACCTGAGCTGCCCCCTGAGACTTTGGGGACAGTTTGGATAAATGGGTCCAGAGGCTGGAGTCAAATTGTGTTTAAACTGGTCTGTTGATCTCCTAGAATGACTTTATTTTTTATTTTATTTTATTTTTGAGACAGAGTCTTGCTCTGTCACCCAGGCTGCAGTGCGGTGGCGTGATCTCGGCTCACTGGAACCTCTGCCTTGCGGGTTCAAGCAATTCTCCTGCCTCAGTCTCCCAAGTAGCTGGGACTACAGGTGCACGCCACCACGCCCAGCTAATTTTTGTATTTTTAGTAGAGATGGAGTTTCAATATGTTGGCCAGGCTGGTCTTGAACTCCTGACCTCAGGTGATCCACCTGCCTCGGCCTCCCAAAGTGCTGGGATTACAGGCGTGAGCCATGGCGCCCAGCCTCTCCCTTCTTCCTTGGCCCATCTCTATCCCCAGCATTCAGCATGAAGCCTGCCCAGGGAAGCTTCTCGGTGAATGTTTGCTGAACTAGTTCCTAATGCCACTGCTGGAGGCAGAGGAAGGAGGAGAGGACAGAGAAGTCCCAAAACTCGTCTCTCCTGGGTCCTGGGAGAGACCCCCCTTAATCCTAACACAGGATTCCTCAAGGGATGGGCAGAGAAGTATTCTCAGGGGAACTTCCCTAAAACTGGAATAGTTCCTATATTTTCCCTCTGAATTGTCATGACTCCTAGTTTTTTTTTTTTTAAATTTCTTCACTTTCATTCCATTCTTAGGCCAAGGGAATTCTGCCATATATAACAAATATAGGAATTCATTTTAGAAAATATGTTTTGAGACCTACATTGTGCCAGGCATAGTGCCAAGCATTGGAGAGAGCTGGGAACAAGACAAGCTCACGCAGTTTATATTCCAGTGGGGAGGCAGGCAGTAAACAAATGAATAACTAAGTAAACAAGTTAATTTCCAATAATGATGAGAATGACAAAGAAAAATCTTCAAGTGATGTTATAGAAAGTTACAGGAAGTAGGAAGGGGGAATTGGGAGGTGGGCAGTATTTATAAGGTGGTCAGAAAAGGCCTGCATTGGAGCTCAGACCTAAATGACCTGGGAAACCAGCCATGCAGAAGTCTGGGGAAAGATGGTGTGTTCTAGGCAGAGGGAACCGCTAGTGCAAAGGCCCTGGGGCAGAAAGGAGCGTAATATATTTCAGGAACAGAAGGAACAGAGTGGGGCTAGAGGCAGAGTGAGATGTAGGGGAGGGAGGAAGCTGGACAGGAAGGTGGGGGCCGTGTAGAGATTTACAGGCTCCGGGAAGGGAGTGGGTCTGACTCGAAGCCCAACTGGAGGGCTGAAGCACGGAAGTGATATCACCTGGACTGTGTTTTTAAAAGACCACTCTGGCAGTTGTCTGGAGACTGGGTTACAAAGAGATAACAGAGGGCCGGGAGCGGTGACTCATGCCTGTAATCCCAGCACTTTGGGAGGCCAAGGCGGGTGGATCGTTTGAGGTCAGGAGTTCTAGGCCAGCCTGGCCAACATGGTGAAACCCCGTCTCTACTAAAAATACAAAAATTAGCCAGGTGGTAGTGGTGCGCGCCTGTAATCCCAGCTATTCGGGAGGCTGGGCAAGAGAATCACTTGAGCCTGGGAGGCGGAGGTTGCGGTGAGCCGAGATCACGCCACTGCACTGCAGTCTGGGCGACAGAGACCCTGTCTCAAAAACAAAAACAAACAAACAAAACAAGAGGAAGTAGGGGGGTTACAATTGGAGGGCTATGCCTCCCTCCAGGTGCTTCTCCAAGTAATGGTGACTTGGAATTGGTGGTGGTGGAGAGACGTGGATGAATCTGTTTTACAGGTAGTGTTTGTCAGTTGGGTCCTCCAGGAAGCGGACACTGAGATGGGGTTGGAAGTGCAAGTGCTTTATTGGGGGTGATGTCCTGTGAAAGATAAGAGGGCCAGAAACAGAATCGGGCAGGGAGAACCTCTGACTTCGGTGCTGATCTAACAAAGTGTTGGCCACCCCGACAGGGAGCTCTGGGGCCGAGACTGCCCACGAGGGAGTTTTTGCATCAGGCACAAATGGCCTGTCTCTATGGTGCCCTTTTCACCCTGAGTCATTGGCTGGAAGTTGCCCCAGAAGAGCAAGGCTTCAGCTCAGAAGCTGAGGTGGATCATGAAGTTGGAGAGCGTCTGCTAACTGCCTCACCTGCTGCTGAGTGGCAAAGTTGTTGTTGAATGGAGAGCTAAGGGGGCCCCTCCCTGGCTGCCATGGTCCATTCCTTACACCAAGGTCCAGTTCTCCATACACGGTCAGGAGTAGTCCCTCCAAGGTGCCCGTGGCCTCTCTTCCTTAGGGACACCTGGAAGGGGGAGGTTAGTGGGAAGAACACCAGTGTCCGCTACTGCAGTTGGCCTCAGGCTGCAAGAGGCATCATGGATTCTTCCCCTGTCCATCTAATCATTCTCCCAGTCATTGTCTCTGCTGATAAAAGGGGAAAGAACATTCTTTCATTCCCCGGAGCCTAGGAAAGCCCGTGGTATTTTCTCAATAATGTTTTTTGAGGCCAGGCATGGTGGCTCACACCTGTAATCCCAGCACTTTGGGAGGCGAAGGCAGGAGAATGTCTTGAGCCCAGGAGTTCAAGACCAGCCCAGGCAACATGGTGAAACCCCGTCTCTGCAAAAAATACAAAAATTACCTGGGTGTGGTGGCACGCACCGGTAGTCCCAGCTACTTGAAAGACCGAGGCAAGAGGATCTCTAGTCCAAGGGGTCGGGGCTGCAGTAAGTTGTGATTGTGCCACTGTACTCCAGCCTGGGTGACAGAGTGAGATGCCGTCTCAATACAAAAATAAAAATAAAAGTTTTTTGAACTGAGATACACTTTTAAAAGGGGGGAGGAGGGAGAAAGAGGAATTGCACAGGGAAGGCCTTTAGACTGTAATAAAGTCATTTCTAAAAGATGGGTGATTGGATGCTAATTAGGTAACTGGCGGTTTCACCAGGCACATGGCAGAGCCAGGATTTGAACACAGGCTTAGGGTGACGAACTCATCCCATCTGGCCTGGAATTTTCCCAGTGTCAGCACTGAAATGCTAGCATCCTGGGAAACCTCTCAGTCCTGGGCAAACACGGACAGTTGGTCACCCTGGCTATCTTCAAACCCATTCTCCCACCACACTGTCTCAGTGCTGGTATGTATCACATAGCAATGAAACACACACGTCTTTCTCTTCCCTCGACCTCCATCCTTCCCTCTCCTCTAGCATCTCCCTCTTTCCCTGCTGCCTGCACACTGTGAGCTCCTCGAGGGCAGGGACCAGCTGCAGCACCCTCCTCTCTGTGACTCCAGGGCTGGCACTCGTGGGTGCTCAAACTCCCAGTGAAGGAGTTTGGGCAGATGGGTGGGATTACAGATGTGAGCCACCGCGCCCGGCCTCAAAAAACATTTATTGAGAAAACGTGTGGTACCTTTTGGGGTGTGCTTGTGAACAAAGAGTTCTTTTCCCCAGGGGGGTTGGTAAAGAGATTGGGGACAAAGAGAGTGTCTGTGTCCATCCTGAAGTCTCCATCTAGGTCCGGTCTCAAGACCTGAGCTGCCTCAGTCTCCTCACCTGTAAGGTGGAGCCAGTGGTACCTATGTATAGGATTGTAATGGGAAGGAAATGAGGGCAGGTGAGATGTGTGTAAAATCTCTCCCAGGGACTCAAGACAGGGACCATTTCCTACCATGCTACTGTGTGTTATCAGGGCAAGGCTCGGTACTTGCTATGCCTTCCTTATTTATTCCTAGCATATACTAGGTGCTCAATAAATGTTCCTTCCCTTCTTGACGCCTTTGCCTTTGATTCCCCGGCTGCCTACAGTGCTTACTCCCTAGTTGCTGTGCCCTTTCTTGATTCCCGTCCCGCCCCCGTTCTGAGCGGAGTTGGGGAATCATTCAGATGAAGGATCATACGTGTATTCAATCAACACACGCCAGTCTGAGGGCTTCCAAGTGGGGTGCAGGGCTCAACTGGGGCCCAGAAGTGTTCACACATCAGCAGTGGATACTGGGATTGGGAGCCCAGACCAGAGAGGAGGGCAGAAGCCAGGGAAAAGAGAGCTTTCCTCTCAGGGGAAGCCCAGAGATTTCCATCCAGAGTTTCTGCCTCCCTGGAAGCAGCAAAAGGAGCCAACCCAGCTTGCAGATTTGGGCAGGAAGCAAGGACATCTGTTCCCGCACAGGCTCAGGAGGGGCCGAGAACCAAGGAGGAAACGTGTGTCCACCTTGTGGGGGGCCCTTGGAGTTGGCTGGAAAGTGCGTGCCTGAGTCCAGGCCCAGTAAAGAAAGACCAGAAGGAGTGGCCGGCCAAGGATGCTGTAGGGGCGGGGTGGGGGTGCCCTCACTGTCTCAAGGGCCTCCTGCAGCCCCTGTTTGCTGGCCTATTCCTCCTGCCACTTCTTACTGTACTGGGCTCTCACCTTGGCAGCCCTGGAACTCTACAGTATAATCTTTCCATGTCACAGATGAGAAAATCAAAGCTCAGAGACATTCGGTCATTTGTCCTGAAGCCCCTGGTCTGTGGGGGTACCACTGGCATTTGAACCCGAAGTTGTCAGACTCAGGTTCCCCAGCTCACATTCTGACACTGCCCTTCAAAGGGTGTGTGGACTGGCCCCTGCTGGGTGAGGAGGCAGCCAAGTCCGTCCTGGGAAGCCCCCTCCTCCCCGTACTCTCCCCCTCCACCTCTGGAGTGTGTCTCAAAACTGCCACCATGGCCCCCTCCTTGGCTCACCAGTGGTCCCAGCACCAGTTTCTGTTGCACTGTCTGTAACTTGTGTTTCCCCAATGAGGCTGTGGACTCCTCAAGGCCTCAAACCTTATGTTCTTCATATGTGGGTCACTGGCACCCAGGGCATGTCCAGGGTACATTTGATTCCTCCTGCCCAATGGACCCTAAGGAATGGTGGCCACCTCTGCAGCTCCTCTAGGAAAGGCATTTTCAGGTGGCTCCCAGGGTTCTACAGCCACTGCACTTGGAGACAGGGAAGCTGAGTCCTAGGGCTCGGGGAAACTTCCTTTCCTCATCTGTAAAATGGGTATGCATAAACCTAACCTGCCTATGGTGAGGTAGGGGCACCTGAGATCTCACCTGGGTGGCCATTCGTGTGTGTCCAGCGAGGAATCAAGGGTGCCTGGTAGCTCCTCCTCAAATACCATCTGTCTCCTGATCTAGCTCAAGTACCCAAGGTGAGCCCTAGAAGTGGGGGGCAGGTGGAGAGATTCCACAGGTTGGAAGAAGGGACTACACATGAAGCCAGGGTGGGGTGGGCAGCGCTGCCAGCTGGGCCCCTCCCTGCTCCTGCCCGTCGAGCTTGCCAGCCCGCAGGCCCACCTTGGGCTGGGTCCAGGCTTGGTTCTTTCTCTTCTCTGAGGTTTGCCTGCCACCAGCACTAGCCACAGCCACTTAAGAAGACACCTCCCTCTCCAGCCTCCCACCACACACGAGGCTCCCTAGCTACTCAGCCTTGAAGGGGTGAGGGACCAGGAGCATTTTTTTTTTTCTCAGCTCCTTTGCAACACTACACTTTGGCATGGGTACTTGGTCTCCATTGTCCTCAGCTTTGGGGGTCTGGGCTGCAGGGGGGCAGCAGGGCTGGAGAGGAAGGAACGGATCCGAGTGACATTTCCACTAAGGGGTCAGTTAGTCACAAACGCTGATGGCTGGCTGGAAAGGAATGAGTCAAACACAAGGCCTGGGGTTCAGGCCCCATCAGGGAAGCAGATGAGTCAGGCAGCCTGTTGGGGGGTGCACTTTGCAGTCGGGAGATTGGTTTTAAACGTGGAGTTTGAGGGCATTGCATCAAGGTGGAGTGGAGTAATTGAAATATGGACTTTGAAGTCAAGGAGTTGGATTTTAATCCCAGCTGCACAACTTACTAATAGAGTCACCTGGAGCAAATGACTCAGCCACTCTCTCCGGCTTCCTTGGCTGCACCACGGGAGGATTTATGCAAGAGTGAAATGCGAGTGTGCAGCTCAGAGCCTGGCTCGTGTAGCGCTCAGCAGAGCTCCCTGCAATTCCAGGAGGAAGGGGGTATTACGATCCTTTCCCATTTCATAGATGGGGAAACTAAGGCACAGAACAGATACGCACATATTCCCAGGGCCCTGTACAGCCAGGCTGTCCAGCTCCAGTGACTGTGCCCTTAACCACGGTGCCATGCACAGAACGGTGTTGGCGTGGTGGTTAAGGATGATCGCATGGGGTCAAATCCTGGCTCTACCACTCCAGAATTTCTAAGCAAGTAATCACATTTCTGAACCTCAGTTCCCTTATCTGTATGTTGTGGGTACTGTGCTCTCTGGTGCTACGGTTAGAATATTTGTCCCATCCAACACTCATGTTGAAGTTTAATCCCCAGTGTGGGGGCATTGAGAAACGGGGCTCTTAAGAGATGATTGGGTCATGAGGGCTCCGCTTTCATGAATGGGTTAATCCATTCATAGATTAACGGATTAATGGGTTATCATGGGAATGGGGCTGTGGTTTTATAAGAAGTAGGAGGGAGACATGAGGTAGCACTCTCAGCCCCCTCACCCTGTGATGCCCTGTGCCACCTCGGGACTCTGTAGAGTCCCCACCAGCAAGAAGGCCCTCACCAGACACAGCCTCCTTGACCTTGAGCTTCTTAGCCTCCATAACTGTAAGAAATAAGTTCCTTTCCTTTACAAATTACGCAGTATCAGATATTCTGTTATAAGCAACAGAAAACAGACAAGGACATCTGGGTTGTGGGTATTTAATGAATTGGTTAGTGTAAAGTCCACTCTGTACGTGTTAGCTATCCTTAGAGTAATTCTGAGTTGGGAAGGATAATTAGAGGGAGCCCCCTCCCCCATTTTATAGGAGATGATACAGAGACCAGAGAGGGTGATTGACCAGGCTGAGGTCACACAGCTGGAAGAGCTGGGACTCAAGCCACTGTTTTCCTACTCACCTCAAGCTGTTACATGGGAGGAGGACATCAAGAATTGGTGAGCAGATAGCTGGGATGCCAGACTGGAAGTCAGAATTGTGGTCATATCTGGACACAGAGATCTAGAAGGTGTTTCTTCTTACTCACCATCTCCTTTAATCCAAATAAGCCTGCCAAGTAGGGGGTCCTAGTCTCCTTCCCAGCTGAGGAGCACTGAGGCCTGGAGAAGTGACCGAGAGGCTGCAAACCAGGCCGCCTGTCTCATGGACAAGGGTCTCTTTATGGTGCCTGAGTTTGAAAGGCAGGCAGGCAGGCAGATGAGCCCCCCAGAGGGAACCAGAGATGATAAGAGCAGAAGCCTTCTACAAGGGCACCACTGCACAGAGACCAAGCCGTGTGTGCCAGCAGGGACTGCCAAGGGAGCTAGCGAGTGACGATCGTTTTAATGAGTCCCCTTGGGGGACAGGGTCCACATTTGCCTTTTCCAAAGTGTGTCCTGTTTCCTTGCTCACGGCTGGGAGTATCTGAGCCTTTACCGAGAACTCCTAGGGATATCCAGATCTTCTCTGAAAGAGCCTGTTGCTGGCGCTGCAGTTTCAGGCCCTGAGGCGTGATAGGCAGGATAAGCTGGTGGGGGGCTTGTCCTTATTTCACAGGACTGAGGACCCCTGCCACCCGGCTTTGTTCTGTTTCCATCAGCCCACCCTGGCTCCGCACCGATGTTTCCCAGGCCCTTGTGTTCATAAAGGCTGATTGCTGGCGGCCGTCATTTAAATGGAGGCTCATGTCTTTGTCAAGCTCTGAGCTCACTCATCCTTTGGAAAAGACAGAAAAGACTTTGGTACCAATTTGCTCTAATGAAGGCCACATCCCTTCTAGAGGGATCAGAGGGGGACCTGTTCCCATCCAGCTTTAAGTCAGATTGGCTGTGCGCCCCCTGCGTGTCTGCTCGCTATTAGGAATGTTCACATTCATCTTTGAATCTCATTGTCCTAAAGATTTCAGAAGGTTGGGGAGGGAGCAAGATGCAGGGGAAAGAGAGCTCTGGGTTACTGTCCGGATAGATGAAGTTTTGGGTTTTAGTTATCTTTTTGCTATTGATTTTGTTTTGTTTTTCAAATTTTTAATCATAGTAAAATATGTTACAATAACAAAATTTACCATCTTAACTGCTATTGATTTTGTTTTGTTTTTCAAATTTTTAATCATAGTAAAATATGTTACAATAACAAAATTTACCATCTTAACCACTCTTTTTATTTTTTAGAGGCAGGGTCTTGCTCTGTCACCGAGGCTGGAGTGCAGTGTTACGATCATGACTCATTGCAGACTTGACCTCCCAGGGTCAAGTGATCCTCCCACCTCAGCCTCCTGAGTAGCTGGGACTACAGGCACACACCACCATGCCTAGCTGATTTTTCTATTTTTTGTAGAGATGGGGTTTCGCCATGTCGCCTAGGGTGGTCTCAGACTCCGAGCCTCAAGTGATCCACCCCTCAACCTCCCCAAGTGCTGGGATTACAGGCATGAGCTACTGCCCTCAGCTCCATCTTAACTATTTTTTTTTTAAATTTTATTTTAAGTTCTGGGATACATGTACAGAATGTGCAGGCTTGTTATATAGGTATACATGTGCCATGGTGGGTTGCTGTATCTATCAACCCCTCATCTAGGTTTTAAGCCCCGCATGCATTAGCTATGTGTCCTGATGCCTCCCTCCCCTCCACCCCTTGACGGGCCCTGGTGTGTGTTGTTCCTGTCCCTGTGTCCATGTGTTCTCATTGTTCAACTCCCACTTATAAGTAAGAACATACAGTGTTTGGCTTTCTGTTCCTGTGTTAGTTTGCTGAGGATGCTGGCTTCCAGCTTCATCCATGTCCCTGCAAAGGACATGATGTCATTCCTTTTTACGGCTGTGTTACCCATTCTTAAGTGTACAGTGGAGTGGCATTACATACATTCACATTGTTGTGTAACCATCACCACCATCCATCCCAGAAGTCTTTTTGTCTTGTAAAACTGAAATTTCAGGCCGGGCACGGTGGCTCACGCCTGTAATCCTAGCACTTTGGGAGGCCAAGGCGGGTGGATCACGAGGTCAGGAGTTCAAGACCAGCCTGGCCAACATGGTGAAACCCCGTCTCTACTAAAAATACAAAAATTAGCCAGGCGTGGTGGCGCATGCCTGTAATCCCAGCTACTCAGGAGGCTGAGGCAGGAGAATCGTTTGAACCTGGGAGGCAGAGGTTGCAGTGAGCCGAGATCACACCATTGTACTCAAGCCTGGGCGACAGAGTGAGATTCCGCCCGTCTCAAAAATAAATAAATAAGTAAATTGGCCGGGCACGGTGGCTCATGCCTATAATTCCAGCACTTTGGGAGGCCGAGGCGGGCGGATCACGAGGTCAGGAGATCAAGACCATCCTGGCTAATACGGTAGAACCCTATCTCTACTAAAAATACAAAATAATTAGCTGGGCATGGTGGTGGGTGCCTGTAGTCTCAGCTACTAGGGAGGCTGAGGCAGGAGAATGGCATGAACCTGGGAGGCGGAGCTTGCAGTGAGCCGAGACTGTGCCACGGCACTCCAGCCTGGGCGACAGAGCGAGACACCGTCTCAAAAAAAAAAAAAAAAAGTAATAATAATAATAATAATAAATTTAAAAATAAATAAATAAAACTGAAACTTCATACCCATTAAACACTAACTCCACATCCTTCCTCCTCCTAAGCTCCTGACAACCACCATTCTACTGTCTCTGTATGATTTTGGCTACTCTAAATATCTCATGTAAGTGGAATCATACAGTATATGTCTTTCTTATGACTGGCTTACTTGACTTGGCATCATAGCCTCAAGGTTTGTTCATGTTGGAGCATATGTCAGAATGCCTTTCTTTTTGTGTATGTGTATTGCCTTTCTTGTATGTGTATGTCATCTTTTGCTTCTCCATTCTTCCATTGATGGACACTTGAGTTGCTTCCACATTTAGCTATTGTGAGTAACGCTTCTATGAACATGGGTATACAAATATCTTCTCCAGACTCTGCATTCAATGCTTTTGAGTATATATCCAGGAGTGGAATTGCTGGATCACATGGCATTTTTAATTTTTTGAGGAACCGCCATACTGCAGCAGCTATTCTATTTTATATTCCTACCAACAGTGCACAAGGGTTCCAAGTTCTCCACATTCTTGCCAACATTTATTTTTTTAAATAGTAGCCATCTTAATAGGTATGAGTTGGCATCTCATTGTAGTTTTGATGTACATTTCCCTAATGGTTAGTGATGTTGAGTATCTTTTCATGTGACCTTTGACTCTTTGTATATCCTATTTGGAGAGCTGTCTATTCAAGTTCTTTGCCTATTTTGAATCAGGTTTTGGTTTTTGTTGTTGCTGTGTTTTAGCAGTTCTCTATGTGTTCCGGTATCAGTCCCTTATCAAATACATGACTGGCAAATGTTTTCTCCCATACTGTGGGTTGACTTTTTACTCTGTTAATAGTCTCTTAATGCACAAAAATTTTTAAATTTTCATGAAGTCCAACTTATCTATTTTTTTCTTAGTTGCCTGTGCCTTTGGAGTCATATCCAAGAAATCTTTGCCAAATCCAGTGTCATGAAGCTTTTGCCCTATATTTTCTTCTCAAAGTTTTTTAAAGTCTTACATTTCAGTCTTTGATTCATTTTAAGTTTTGTATATGGCATTAGGTAAGGATACAACTTCCTTCTTGTGTATGTGGATATCCAGTTTTCCCAGCACTGAAAAGACTGTCCTTTCACCATTGAATGGTTTTGGCACCCTTGTCAAAAATCATCTGACCATACATGTGAAGGTTTATGGTGGGATCTCCTTTCTATTCCTTTGGTCTATACGGCCAACTTTATGCCAGTACAACACTGTTTTTATCACTATTTGCTATTGATTTTTAATTAATTACACATGATCTGAGATGCCAATTTCTTGAAATTTATTGAGACTTGCTTTATCTCCTGCTATATGATATACATGACAATTTTAGGAAAACTTTTTTTTCTTTTTTTTTCCCTGAGACGAAGCCTCACTCTGTCTTCCAGGCTGGAGTACAGTGGCGCGATCTCGGCTCACTGCAACCTCTGCCTCCCGAGTTCAAGTGATTCTCCTGCCTCATCCTCCCGAGTAGCTGGGATTACAGGCATGTGCCACCATGCCTGGCTAATTTTTGTATTTTTAGTAGAGATGGGGTTTCATCATGTTGGCCAGGCTGGTCTCGAACTCCTGACCTCAGGTGATCTGCCCACCTTGGCCTCCCGAAGTGCTGGGATTACAGGCATGAGCCATTGTGCCTGGCAGTTTTAGGACATCTTCAATGCATGTTTGAAAATAACGTGTTGGGTGCAGGATTCTGTATGTACTGTTGGTTGTTTTGCTATTTGTCTTTGTGGCTTGCGTGTTTTTGTAATTTTGGATAGTGAGCTCACATTTACAATGGTTTTATCTGTGAGAATCCTGTGTGGCCTTTACTGTGGGTAGGGCTATCCACAGAGGCTTGCATTTGCTACTAGTAGCCACATGTCTGTGGTGTAACTCGCCCCAGGTTTTTTTCTTATATTAATTTCTATACTTGGGAGTCCTGGGACCATATGGGTAATACAAATTCAAACCTCAAATGTGTGTTAGTGAAGGTCTAGAGTTAAAATTTCTCAAGAGATCATTCTTTTCAAATTTTTTCCAGCCGAGCCAGAAATGAGACTACAACTTTTTTGTCTTTTCCCTTTGTGAAAGGGTGATTTTTCCCCACCATTTGCTTTTTTCATTGAGGATATGGGTCCAGTTTTATTCTGGTTCCAAATTTCTGCTGGCAAGGGTCCCAGGCCTTGTCTCCTATCCCTCCCTCCACAGGTATAAAATCCAAGCTCCTTTGGTTACCAACATTAGCAAAAGCCACCACCTCCCACGCCCATCTCCTGCCTCCCTTTGCCACCCATAGGCCCACCCTGTAGGACAGCCAAAGAATAAACACCTGCTTGTCACTGTGATTTTTGGCTTTTCTCTTTGTTTTTGGTCCCTGGGGATTTTTTTTTTTTTTTTAATCTCGGAAACTCAGTTGGGTATTTGAAAGAATGTTTATGTTTTACCCAGTCTTTAAGTATAGACAGAAGGTTAGCAGGACAGAAGGTTCTATCTTTTCATGCCTCAGACCTGGGTTCCATTCTCTCTGCCTCTGAGTGATTTTGCAGAGCATCCCCACCCTACAACTCTCAGGCCTCGCCTTGCACCTATCCAATGGGGTTAATCATTCCCCAGCCTCACCTCATGGGGGCTGCTCATGGAGATAAAAGGTATGAGATTGATGGGGTAGAGGCGGGCGGCAAGGGGCTGGACATTAACCCCTGGAATTTCCAGTGGCTTCCAGAGCTAAGCACCTATGTCCGTGGTGGTGCTTCCAGGATGGCTGGTGACCAGTCATCTCAGAGATGAGGTGCACTAAGGGACAAAGACCCTTCAGCAGATTTGTCCAGCAGTGCCTGGGTGGGCAGGAGCTCGCTCTGAGCCTCAAATCCATAGATGAAAATCCCTCCAGGACCCTATGGCTGATTTACTCCCAATGTGTCCCTGGAAGCTGTGTCCTCCACCAGGTTCTCCACCTGAGAAGAATGCACTCACTCACTCCTCTGCCTATACCACATACCCAGGTGCTTCTTCGAAAAGGCTTTTATACAAGCTCTCAAAGGCAGTCCCTCACCAAATTCTAAATATTCCAAACATCCCATCCACTCTGGCCACTTTCTGTTGTCCCCACTGCCTCAGGCCTCATTATCCTCGCCAGGGTCATTTCGAGTCTCGCCCTGGAGTGGCCTCTGTCCCTCCTGGGACTCCCTCCTGAGCTCACAGCTTCCCTGGCTGATGCTCAGCGCGTGTGGATGTCTGGAGGCCAGGACGGGGCCTCCCCCTGCTGCTTCCTTTGTGACCCCACCGCTGTGGATCAGGTGTCCTTGTGCTCGGCCTCTGCAGGCCACCAGGCCTTTTTGAAGTCTGTCCTCCCAGAAGCCAGCAGCCTGAACAAAGAGGGCACAGAATCAGCTCGCAGACCTGTTAGCTGGCTTGGGGGGGGGCTGGGCAATTTGATGTGGCCTCTGTCACCTCCCTATTCACTCCAGGCATGGCTTGACATGGACCAAAAAATTTCAACTTTTAGCTTTTAAAAAGCAACCAAGGGCTGGGCATGGTAGTTCATGCCTGTAATCCCAGCACTTTGGGAGGCTAAGGCAGGTGGATCACGAGGTCAGGAGTTCAAGACCAGCCTGGCCAACATGGTGAAACCCCGTCTCTACTAAAAATACAAAAATTAGCTGGGCGTGGTGGCATGTGTCTGTAATCCCAGCTCCTCGGGAGACTGAGGCAGGAGAATTGCTTGAACCCAGACCCAGGAGGCGGAGGTTTCAGTGAGCCAAGGTTGCACCCCTGCACTCCAGCCTGGACTACAGAGCAAGACTCTGTCACAAACAAACAAACGTAACCAGGTAATTTTGCAAAAATAGTCATCCACATCCCATCCCATCCCCCTACTCCTTGGCTTGCCCCACCCCTGAGCTTCATCCCACCGCTGACCCTTAACCCTGGGAGGAGGCCCAGGAATAGGACAAGGAAGGGGTGGGGGCCAGGCAGGCACCCCCCTCTCTAAGCCGAGTCAGCTCGCTCTCGGGCAATTGCTTGGTATTGCCCAGTCCTCTTCACAAACTGTTCAGTTCCTCGAGAAGTTGCCACAGCCTCCTCACTCATTAACCCTCAACTAATAAGGAGACTTACCTGCTTAGCAATGGCAGGACTTGTGATCAGGAACACGGTGACTAATTTCGGCCTGCACTTGCCTCACATGGGCTGCCCCATGTCCTCATTCCCAAGAGCTTGGGGTTCAGGGGCAAACAGATGGGGCTGGGGTGAATGCCGACTCCCCTGCTCCAATTGTGCCCCCTTGGACAAATGAACAAGTTAATGACTTCGCCTCTCTGGCCTCCTCTTCCCCATGACATCTGCTCATAACTCATGGGCTCGCTGGGCACGGGTTAGGGACATGGGCTAGGGCCAGTGACGTGCTCACCAGGGCTTGGCCGATAGTAGGTGCGCTAATAATTTGGGGTTCAAAAAAATAAGTACGAATGAGGGCTTTCTGGGAGTAGAACACCAAGGCAGGTGCTCAAGATGACAAGGAGGTGGCCGTGAGGTGCAGCAGTGGCACTGAGCAGGACCAGCCCTGGCTTACTGGCTGGCCTCCCCTGCCCTGTGGGTGCTTCACTGTGGGTCCCTTCCCACCTGCCTGCCCAGTGGCAGCCCCGTATCCGGGACAGGGACACACTCCCATTTGTCCTGCTGGCCCCTGCCTGGCCCAGGCCAGGCCCACTGGTAATGCTCAGAGGCAGTTGGTTGATTGCACTGAGCCCCAGGTCTACCTCTCAGCCGCTCCCAAGCCTCACTGTCCCAGCCAGCATAGGAAGAGGACTGAGCTTGGTGACGGAGATGATCTGGGCCTACCATGTGCCAGACACTGAGGTGTGGGCAGAGAGGGGATGAAGACCCAGCCCTGTCCTTAGGAAGGGGGAAGGACAAAACCGCAGGTCAATACCGAGGGAGGAGACAGGGCAGGGCCCGGGAGGGCAGGTGGCAGGGGAGGGGCTTCAGGCAAAGGGAGGCAAGGAGGAGGGGGGCGGGGAGGTGGAGGCTAGGGGAGACTTTGCACCTCAGCCATTTGCAGATGGCACACAGGCTGTGTTGAGCTGTGGGGGCTCTGGGCATTGCAGCCTGGAAATTAACAGCAGGGTCTGTCTGCATTGAATATCCCCAGCGCCGGGACCAGGCATGACAAGGAACTAGATCACACTCCTGCCTGCCTAGAGGCCGTGGCGCTGGGGCGGTAGCCTCCCTGACCCCTATGGCACTGGTGTGGAAGACACAGGGGGCAGGTGCAGGCCAGGATGGAGACTGGTGGACCAGGCCAGAGCCGCTGCCAAAGCAGAAGCGCTCAGGACCCCAGGCTGCAGGGCGGGGAGATACTAGAGAGGCCAGACAGGAGGTGGGGTGGTGAGGAAGGGGAGACCAGAGCGCTACCTGTCCGAGGCCTGGCAAACAGGTGGCCACGGGAGTCATCGGGAGCTTGCAGGTGGAACGCCAGGCACCTGGGGAAGGCATGGAAGTTTGCCTGGGGCTGCTGCTTTTAAGCCCACCTATGTGGGGAGAGGGTGCGTCACCTCAAGAGAGAAGGCACATGGCACCCAGAAAACAAACTCGAAGACCACCATTCTCATTATCCGAATGTGATATCGGACTTTATGGCACGGTTGGGTGCCAAACTGTAGGACCCAATGGCAAGAGCAGCTGGTGCCCCATTCCGGCCTGCTCCCTTCTGGGCTTTGGGGCCACAACCCCAGAGGCCCCTTCCTCTCTGCGGGTGCTGTGATTCCCACTGAGGGACAGGCAGTGATGAGACCTCCATCCTCCCACTCTCACCTACCCGTTATTCTCAAGGGTCCAAGAAGCAGCAGGCATCTCTTTTTCCCACTGAGGCACATGTGAGCTGGGGGAGTGTGGGAGATAGGAACCGGGAAGCAAGTGAGTGCCAGCGGTGGGACAGGGCTTCCCCCTCTTCACCTGTCACTGGAGGGACATGGGCCTGCTACTTTTGAAAAGCCAGTCACAGCTGGAAGAAGACACAGACACACCCCAACCTAGGGGCTAGGCCTCAGCTTCGGAATGTGACAATTTATTTGGGGGGTAAAAGAGGCTTTTCACCCCCCTTTCCTGGCGTTGATACAATATTGAAGAGCAGCAGAACAAACGTACAAGACAGAGTAATCGGCACAGACCCACCCCTCCCCCGGAACCGCCGAATCCAGAATGGAGCCCAAACCCACACCCCCAACTAAGCGTCTTCTCCACAGGGGGAGGGGCAGGGTGGACTGGGGGACCTGCCCCCCATGCTGGGGCGGCACCTCCGTTTTCCATCTCCTGCCAACCCCACTCTTTTCCCATCTTTGACCACTGGAGGCAAAGTTTAGCCAGCTGGGAGCTGGATGGTTGAACCACATACAAAGGCAACAACACTTCATTTTAAAAATGAGAGAAAAAAGAGACAGTGCCCCTCCCCAAATATAGAGCTATATATGTATATTTTATATATATAGAATTCATTCGTGCACAATTCATTAAATGAACGTCTCAAAAATTAAAAAAATTATAAGATACGTATTTCTTTAGGCCTTTGTGTTTTTAAATTAAAACCAACAAAAAGAAGTCTCCCTCTCCACTCCACCCAGCAGCAAGGGCAGCCGGAACGCTTCGCTCCAGCTACCCGGCCTCCCGCAAGAGGGTTCCCCCATGAGACCGTTAGTCTCTCTTTGCCTGGCTGACTACCTGCATACAGTAGGCACTCACTGCTGGAGTGAGGCACTGACTCCTCCAAAGATTGCAGGGGGCGGAGGAGGGAACCACGAAGGCCTGGGAGGGGGCATCTTTGGCCCCCACTAACCATCTCCCTATTTCTGCATCCTGGTGACCGTCAGCAAGAGATGAGTCGGGGAGACCCTCTCCTGGAGTTCTAGCCCCTAATTCTGGGCTTTCTATATGAGAGGACATGCAGATAGGGAAGAAACTAAAACCTTTCAATGTCTTCCTTTTTTCTTTAAAAGTGTTTCCTCAAACCATCCCCGTCCCAAAGAGGCCGCCTTGGGCAAGTGCATGGGAGCCCGGAAGTGGAACTGACCAGGTGGGGCTCCACTGTCCTGTGTGGGCGAAGTGCAAAAAAAAAAAAAAAAAAAAAAAAAAAGAAAGAAAGAAAAAAGAAAAACAAAAGAAAAAAGAAAAACCACCACAAACCAAAACAACAAAATGACACAGAAGAGTGGGCAAAAGGGGGATGTGTCCTCTTGGGTCCCCATAGGCCAGAGAGGCTGGTAGCAGTCCAGCCCCCTGGCCAACCCAGCTCCCTGTTGGGGCTGACCCTCCAGCCTTGGGCGGGCCCACCGGCCTGGCTCTCCTCCAGGACCTCCTGGCTCAGGGGCTCGAGGCCAGTCTTGTGCTGGCTCCAGGGCCTGGGCCCTGCCTTTTAAAGGGCTTTTCCCCATAGGCCAAAGCATCCTGGGCCCCAGTCCCTGCCGCATTCCCCCAGTGAAGCAGCTGCGCTTCTCCAAAACCATTTTCACCTCTTCAAAAAGGGGCCATCCCCCCAACTCTGTCCACCTCACACTGAAGTTGGGGACTTGATCATCACCTCTTCCCAGATCATAGGAAGGATGAGGCTCATTTTGACCTTGACCCCTTTGCAGGGTGAGAACAAAGAGGGGTTGTGGGCAGCTGGGGGCCCCAGTACCAGCAACCTTGACCCCCCACCTGGTACTGGGCAGCTGCTCTGACACCAGCAGCGCTTTCTGAAGAGGGCTTGCTACCCAATACACCCATTTCACAGAAGGGCAAACTAAAGGTCAGAGTGGGCACCCAGACAGGGATGGGTCCCAACTTACCGTCTCAAACCAGAGACACCAGACCTCACCGGTTTCCTATGATACTTGGGTGGGGAGGGGGCGCACTTAAGGGGAGATGACGGATGCCCCAACCAATATTGAACGTAGGAGGAGATTGGGCTTTGGGGGTTATTTCACATACAAAAATAAAGCAAACCAGATTGCAACTTCTGCTTGGTAATTAGGCAAATGGAAAGCAGCAAGGGTGGACGAGGGGCCCATGGAGGCTGATCTCCCAAGGGAGGCCGATCCGTGCAAGTGTGTGGGAGGCGGGGGTACTAGAGAGGGGAGGAAGGAGGCTCCACTCACCCTCGGTCCCATCCACTCGGGCCCCCATGGGCACTGCCCACCTCAAGGCGGTGTGCCTGGTGCCTCTTCATGCACCAAGGCTGGCCCGGGCTGCTCCACTTGGAGCTCAGGCCAGCAGAAGCAGACCACCTGTGGCAAGGGAAATGCATTCCCTCTCCCCAGCCACCCCCAGGGGCCCAGCTTCTTGCCTCCTGAAGCCTGCATCCCCTTTCAGGCCAGGGAGGCTCAGAGAGGTTGTGGGCTTTAGGGTGACCCGTGGGGAGGGAGGTCTCCCCCATAGGGTGGCGGTGGTGGGGACCAGATGGCCCAACAACTGGGAAAGGAACAGAAGGGGGCAAGAAACCAAACTGCCCACTCACCAGCCCCCTGGAGAAAATCACCAGTGACAACCCCCACCCTCCCAAACCTCAGCTTGCCGGGACCTGCAGCTTGGGTTAGCTCCCGGGGGCCCGCTGTTGTCCTTCCCTTTGAGCAAGCACGGGTGTGGAGATCTGGGTCCAGGCCCTCTCCACAGTGCCTGCGATGCCAGGGGACCTGCCAGCTGGGCCCAGGCCTCCGCCCCATCCTGACATTGCCACCTCACCTGTGCAATCACTGCGTTACTATTTTTTCTTAAATAGCTCTTTCTCCCCCGCCACCCCCCCATAGGAATCCCACAATATTTTTTTCTATTTCTTTTTTTTTTCCTCTTTTTTTGTTTTTGTTTTTTTGCAAAACTAATTCTTTCACTTTCCTGTCATAAAATCACCTCTGAAAACACAACTTCTTTACAAAAAAGTCACGAATGACACGAACTCTCAGGAAAACACATTTCTATGGTCTCTGGAAACACCTGTAACTGGCACCCAGGTGGTCACTCACCTGGGGGAGGGGGTCAGGGGGAAATCACCTCCAAGGACAGAGGAGAAATACCAGCCCTTATTTGGGCGAAAAGCCAATTGGCACTTGGACGGCCACAAAGCCAACACACAGGGCAGGGTAGGGAGGGGCCGAGGAGTATCAGCCCCCGCCCCAACCCTGCGAGGGTCCCCGTTCTACATCCCGGGGAGGGGAGGGCTAGGGCCACGCTGTGGGCCCTGGCAGGGAGATTGGGAAGGAAGGCAGCCTCCCATTCTTAGGACCAAAGGCGCTAGGGTTCTGATCGGCCTCCTGCCAACGTGCTTCTGAGGGAGGGGCCCATGGCAGCACAGCCAGGAAGCCAGCTCCAGCCACGCCTGGAACACGCCACCCACGCACAATGGAGACCCGGGAAGTGGCCCAGGGCTGGCCAGCGGGGCCCCGGTCCCAATTCTGGGACCAACACCCTCATTCTCCTGGAGAACACAGACCCTCTGGTCTCCCCTTTGCCTGCCTGCCCTCCCAGGGCCTGGCCTAAGGCTGGGGCTGTGGCCTCTGCCACTGGCACGGGTGCCTCAGCTCCCAGGCAGCAGAGGGAAACAGAAGCTGCCCAGGACACGGGAGCCTCCTTTGCTTCAGGCAGGCTGGGCTGTGAGAAAGCCTCCGTGGTCAGAAGCAAAAGAGGGGCTGGGACAAGCCGGGAGGCCCTCGGGAATGGATTCTTCAGCATCCTCCCCAAACACCCGGAGGAAGAGGGAGCTTGGAATGGGGTCTCCCTCTCTATCTCGGTCCCCACCATGATGTGAAGTGAAGGTCCGACAGGTTGGGCTGACCACCCTGAGGAGGGCAGGGGGGTGGGGGGCACGGTGCCCCCAGCACACCTGGGCCAGGAGGGGAGGCCTGGTGACTTCCACAGCAAACCTCCAGACCCAAGCCTGGTCCCCAGGCCTACTGAGGCGAGAGGCAGTCCAGGCCTTCAATGCCCCTGTTCAAAGGAACTGTAAAGGGTGCCACCCGGCAGCCTGGGGCCTAGCACCCAATGCATGTATGAACCCACGGACAAACACAGCGAGTGGGGCAGACGCACAACTGGAAGTTTCCACGGCAGGTTCTCGTAGCACCTTTGGTCAAGAACTGAAGGGGCCTTTAGATGCGGGGAGGCTGTGGCCAGGCGCACCCTCTGCCAGTTCCTCCCACCGTTGAGGGGGTTAGGAAAGAGCCAGGGCTGGGGCAGGGCATAGGGGGTCTACTTAGGCCTCGTCCAAAATCGAGCAGGGAAGACCCCGCCCTGGCCCAACTTCTGATGCCCTGGCTGATGTGGAGGGAGGAGCCGAGTCAGGCCTCATCCTTGGCCTCTGCCTGGGACTTTGCCAAACAGGCAGGAAGCCCTCCTCCTGCCTAGGCATCTGCAGGAAGGAAAGGGACTGTGTCCACCCTCGGTGGGGGGCTCCTAAGGGCCCCACAGCTGCCAGGTTAGCACCGAGAAATCAGACGCCGCACAGGAGAGCAGGAAGCAAGCTAGAGAGACAGGTGGGATGTGGAAGGGGCAGAGGAACCCTAGTTTCTAGGGCTTTCCAGAAACCACCCAGTGGGCTACCATGCATGGGCAGGGGGTGTGCCCTTCCCCTGCCCCATTCCAGGGTGGCCCCTACCCCCGGCTTTCTGGGACCCCAACTACCCAGCCCCATCCCTGGGTCAACACCGAGCCATTTGAGACAAGCAAAGCACAGGGAGAGAGGGCTGGGGGCAAGGGTGGGGTGGGAGCAAGAGTATGACTTCGGGCAGGAGGGCCCCCCCAAGCCCCCCTCCTTGGTGGAGCCCCCTCACTTGCTCGCCCCAATGCTGCCACCGCCCCCAGCGGCGCCTGCTACCCCAGCAGCCACCTTCTCGAAATCCTCAGGGTTGCAGAATTCCTTGATTGTGACCGTCAGGAGGTTGCTGGTGACATCGGTGACGACCACATTGGAGCAGGGTGACATCTCGGGGCGCCAGTCCCCAGCCTCGGGCTCGGAGGAGGCACCGGCGGGCTCAGGGGCCGTGGGAGGTGCCGGGCCGGCAGCAGCTGTGACCTCAGGCGGTGCCCGCTTGCTGGTGGCTGCCGACTCGGGAGGGAGGGACAGGTCGAGCACCTCCGGCTCGCGCCAGCTGGGGGCGGATGGGCTCACGGTCTCGGGGAGGAGCTTGGGGGGCGTGTCGTCGGGGTCAGAGGACTGTGGTGTAGGCGAGGGGCAGCCGGAGGAGCCAGAGCTGCGGGCGTCGTAGGGGGCGGCGGGGGCGGCCAGAAGTAGCCCAGGGCCCGGGGCTGAGGCCTCAGCCTTGCCGGGGGACGGGGCTACCAGGGGGGCGGGCGGAGGCTTGTACAGCGCAAAGGCGCCGAACTTCATGTGGCGGATCTGTGTACGCAGGACGCTCTCGCTGAACTTCTTGCTCTTGCCTATAACGCGGTTCCGCGAGGGGACTTTGGGGCGGGCCAGCGCCCCGGCCCCCTGCCCGGCGCCCCCGCCGCCAGCGCCCTTGTCGATCACCTTCAGGTTCAGGATGATGCGGTTCCGCTTGGGCTCCCGCGGCTTCACCTTGCGGTTGATGATGCGCACCGTCTCCGAGAAGGGCGAAATGGGCGGGCGCAGTCCGGGGCTGCCCCCCTGCGGGTCCGGGCGGGGCAGGGGACGGCGGGACATACGGTGGCAGCGGCGGATGTCCTTCTTGAGCCGGTGCACGGCTGCGCTGGAGTGCAGCTTGGGCGAGGAGGCACTGGCGCTCGGCTTGACAGAGAAATGCACATCACTGATGCGGAGGGCCTCGGCCTGGGCCCGCGCCTGCGGGCAGAGGGAGGGGTGGGTGGGACCTCAGGACTGCCCGCTGACCTCCCCTGGATGTCCCTACGCCAGCCAGCCCTAAGTAGAGCCTCTCAGCCAGCGATCCCGAGATCATTTAAGATAATCACTGGTCTTCATGACCTCGACTTAGAAAAGGAAACAGAGGTTCAGAGATGAAGCAATTTGCCTCTGACTCCAAGGTCAGAGTCAGGACACCCTTGTCCAGGCCCAATTCCAAAACTGTGTTTTTTCTATCACCCACCACCTCTGTTAGCTCCACAGAGGGCCCTGGGCCACTCCATGGCTGCCCTTGCTGACACGGAGGAGTGTCGACAATTGGGACACAGTGTCGGGAGGGCAGCCGTTTGCTCAGAAGCCCCTGCTAAACCCCTGCTCTGTGGCAGATCCAGCCCAAGTGGGGACTCCTCCACGGACTCATTCGTGGTGACAGAAAGGAGGAGGTGGGTCCTCCCTGCTCCCCCGCACCAAGTCCTGCTGAGCCACCATGTCCCCAATGCCCCGTACTCTCTCGCCTTTGAGCAGGCTGACCTCCGGCTCCAGCCTGTCTCCTCAGCTGGCCAGCACCTCAGCCACCATACTTCCCTGGATGGGTCTCATTTACTTGTCTGCCCAGTGCCTGGCTCAGAGTGAACTGGTACCAATGCATCCCAAAGCCTGGGCTGGAACCCAACCCGGTCAGACGTGAGTTTGGTGGGGACAGGCCTAGAAGTGGGCCCGACCACTGCCTATTCTCTGTGCCAAGATGGTCTGGGGCAGGATGATGGTGCAGAGGTCGTGGGCAGCCAGGAATACTGCCCCAGGCTCCCAGGCCTGTCCTTCCAGCTGTCCTTCCAGGCATGAAATCTCTTTAAAGCCACAGGGCTCTCAAGAGACCCCAGGTTCCGGTCCAACCCACCCGTTGTCAGATGCCACTAAATGGAGAGAGGCTAAGGGACTCCTAAGGCGATGTAAGCTGTCTGCATGGCCAGTCCTTTCTTTACTAAGGAAGGTACTGAGGCACCAGGCACCAGTTGCTTGGGGTTACAGCTGCACACGCACAGACTCTCCCCTGGAGAGCTGCCCTATCACAGGGAGGACGGTGGGCAGTGGGAATATGAAGTGATTTCGTGCAGCGAAAGAACCACAGAGCCCAGAGAAGCACAGACCCCAGGCTTGGAGAATGAAACATCAAAGCCCGGCCCTGACACCTAAGTAGGAAAAAGTCCTGGTCCTTACTGAGCCCTGACTGCACCCCAGACAGTTCCAGAGGCTGCGGTGGCCTGCTAAGACAGACAGATGGTAGAGGCAGAGAGTCCTCTGGGCAAGATCCCAGTGGTGTGAGAAGATGGCGAGGAGTCACAGGACTGAAAGCAAGGGCTGGGGACAGAGGCTGGGGTGTGTGTGGGGTGCCACAAGGGGCGTGGGTTTTAGAGATCCTACTGGGGCAGGGAGGCTTGTTAGGTGATGGCTGCCCTCAATCTAGGTGGGAGATGGTTGGGACCGAGAAGAAGGCCATGTCCCCACGGTTGGTCTGTGAGGTCCATGAGGGTGGGATCTGTTGTGAGGTCTCTCTACCTCCCACTCCCCACAGCATTGGATGCTTAACTAGTACCTGGAGGTAGCCCATATGCCTCTCAGACAAGACTAGATTACCATTTGATCACAACTCTCAGGAGAGATGTTTGCTGGCTTATTTGTTGGCTAAGCAAGGATGTCTTCATTTAGAACGTGGCGTTCACCCCCATGGGAGAAGGGACTGTGACTCCACGTGGTCCTCCCAGCCCAGGCTGGGGCCTCCTGGGGCTGCTTGGTTAACAGTCCCTTCCGCCACTAGGTGGCAGCACATGAAGCCGGGCCTGCCCATGCCAATGCTGCCAGCCCAGCTCCCAGGGATTGGGCCCCTCAGACCCCTTCCCACACAAAGGCAGGGAAAAGCCCAGGCTTTTTTGGCGTGGTAAGCAGACATTCTGCAGGTGCATCCCCACACTTTCTGACTCTCAGAAAGTGTTTACTCCCTCTGCAAACTGCCTGAGCTTCCTGACTTCTGAAATTATGCTTCCAAGAGTCCAGTGGTGACGGACTGTTCCTGGGGGAGGGGCAGAGTGTGGGCAAATGGCAGGCCCGGAAAGAAACCCTGGCTCAGTGAGTCTCCTTTCCTTATCTGCTGAACCATCACAGGGCCTACTACGGGCACTCCTATGATGATCAGAGAGTACATGGCACCTGCTCAGCACAGTGCCTGGCACGCAGCAAATAACTGAACAGACCTACCCATGGGTGGTGGACTTATAAGCAGTGATCTTTTTCCAATGTATGCTTGGCATACATTGACATTTCTTACTTTATACTTTCTATATATTATTATTTTTTAAAGGGTTTACCCTTCCTCTTCCTCCCCACATGGAGAACTCTTTGAAAGTGGGACCTGGGTCTGCCTGATGAATTAAAAATAACTGTAGCCAACATGCTTATTGCACCCTGACCAGGTGACAGGCATAGCTCTGTGGGCTTGGCAAGCACCGTAGATGGTGTGAAGGTTTAAGCACCTGAACTCTACCATGGCCTCTCCCCATGTCTGTGGGCAAGTTACTGGACACCTCTGGCCCTGTTTCCCCATGCGTGAAACAGGGAGGATGGAAGCTATCTCATGGGCTCCTGTTTGCTTCAGAGTAGTTCCTGGCAGAAAGCGCTGAGTGTAATTTGCTGACTCTGCCATACTGCCTCTCAGGGAGCCCCAGAACAATGTGTTCAGCCCAAGCTAATCTCCATAGCCCCTCACAAACATCCACATCACTCTCAGGCTACCTGTTTCTTAGGGTCCAGATAAAAAAGTCCTACTATCTGTGTCTCTATCCCCTGCCACGCCAACTCTGCAGCCTTCATAGTTTCCTGTGTGTGTCTGCCTTCCCCCTTTAACCTGACATGGACTACTCAAGGCACAAGATGAAGAAAAGGAGACAGGATGAAGCCAGGAAGCTGGACCTCGGGTAAGTCACTTTCCCTTCCTGGGCCTTGATTTTTTATCTGTGAAATGGGGATAATACTCCTTACTTCTTGGAACTGTTGAAAGAATTAAAGGAGATAATCCATGTGGGGGCTCAGCCCTGTATTAGGCCCACAGCCAGCTCAGGAACCAAAAGAACTATCAAGAAAAAAAGGCGTTCTGTGTATCAATGCTCATGGTCATACTCGCTTCGCCGCTAGAGGGTGCCCCAGCTGCACTGAGAGGCTGTCACACAGCCCACCAGCCTTCCAGCTGCTCCGCCCATCCCTCCCCAAGAGAAGCATCAGGGTTAAGGTTACTCCCTGGATCCCCTAGGATGTGCGTCGCTTGAGGGTGGGGGTTATAAAAATATGAAATTCTGGAAACCAACATTTCTTTCACTTCTGCTTCTCTTCTCCGAAAAAGAGTCCTCCCACAAAGTCACCGGCTGTCGGGTGGGAGGGGGCCCTGAGGCATCCGTAGCACTACAGGAAGACAGGGGGCCCACTGAGTCCCACCTGCAGCCGTGCCTGCCACCTAGGGCCATCTTGCCCTTCCTTTCCCAGACTCTGTTTTTCCTTGTCAAAATAAAATAAAAACCCAAATCCTCCAAGATGGCTTCCTCTGGAAGTTCTTCCCTCCCTAGCAGAGACTAATATGCTATGCTCTCACTCCCACATCCCCATCCCCCAGAAATGGCCGGGAGTGGGGGGAAACTGAGGCTCAGAGCCCTAAAGTTAGTGGCCCAGCCTGGGTGATAAATTCAAAGTAAAATGATTTGAGGTCAAATTCAAGTTGGATCCCCAAGAAAGGAGGGGAGCCATGAAGAACAAATCCTGAAAGACTGAACGGGGGAAGCTGGGGGCAGGGAGGCAGGTGGTCCCCCAAATCCTCTCCTTGTGCCCTGCCAGGAGGTGGGACCCCACTCACTCTCCCCCTGGGTTCCAACTCCCAGCACAGTCATAACAGCTCAAACAAATGCCCCCTTCCCATGGGCATCCCCCACCTGCCTCAGCCACCCCCTTTCCTGGAGCCCTAAAGGCATCCCCAGCCCCTGGTTTCAACAGGGAGGATTATCCCCAGTCCCAAAACCCTCTTGTTGAAGCTGATGCTGGCTGAGGCCTGCCATCAGGGGCTTCTGGGGGGGCTCACAACCACCCCCTGCCCAGCTGGGGCCCCTCTGAAAAGGCCGGCCCGCTTGGGCGGCCGCGTATCTGTCCCTCCCTTCCAGGCCCCGTGCTGTGCCGGGGCTGGGGGCCCGAGAGGGGGATGCTGCTGGGGCTGGGCCAGGTTACCTTCAGGAGGAAAGTTTTGGGTTTGGGTCCCCTCTTCTTGGGCCCATACAGCTCACGCTCCCTCTCCCTGCGGCCGAAAAACACCAGAGGTTAAAAAGAGCCCCTTCCCGGGCCCCACTCCGCGCTGCCCTCCCCGGCTCTCCCGCTTCCCCGCGCGGCGCCCCAGCCGAGCCTCGGCCTCGCAGCCCCTGCCAGCTTCCCCAACAACTCACTTTTGTTCGAAGGCTGCAATGAGCCGCGAGTCCAGGATGTTCTCCTCGGGCTCCCAAGTGCTGTACCTGCCGAGTCACAAACGCACAAAATCAGGATGAAGACCAGAGAGGGACAGGCACGCGGCGAGAGCAAGAGCGCGCACCCCCACCCCAGGCCCCGGTGCCCGCTGCCTCCCCTCCCGCGACGCCCCCGGACCCCGCGACACTCACTTGATCGCCCACCCCTTCCATTTCACCAGGTACTCGATGCGTCCCTGAAAAACAGAGGGGAGAAAAACGGGGGTGGGGGTGGGGAGGATGCGGGGACGCGAGGAGGCGGCGGCGCGGGGCTGGGCGAGGGAGCCGGGCTAGCGGGACCGCTTCGCCCCGAGGGCCCCCGGCCCCGGCCCCGGCTGCGGACAGCGGCGGCCCGCCCCGGGCGGCGGCTCACCTTTCGGATCCGCCGTTTGATGATGGATTCGGCCGCGAAGACCCGCTCGCCCACTGCAGACAGCTCCATCTTGCTCAGCGGCACCCACAGCCCATAATACTCCCTGCGCCCGCGGCCGGTGCGGCACCGCTCGCGCACGCGCCGCAGCGCCCAGGCCCCGGCGGGCGGGAGCGCGGCGGGGCGCGCGCTCGCGTTCCAGCTGCGGGCCGTCACGTGATCCTCGCGGCTGGCGCGCGGTTGCCAGGACCTCCCCCTCCCCCGGGGCGGTTGCTAGGGAAAGTCGGCGCTCGCGGGGCGGGGGCGCGCGCTGGCTCTTAAAGGGGCCGCGCGGGCGGAGGGAGCAATTGCCGGCCGACCCGATGGGTGCCCGGCTTGTGGGCACGCTGCGGCCTTACGCTTATCACCCCCCCTCACATCTTGCCGGCGCCCGATCGCTGACACCCTCTCCTTGCCTCTTAATCCCCACGCGAGTCTCGCCAGGCCCCGGGCGGAGAAGGGCTGTGGAGCCCGAGTCTCGCCGCCACCGCGCATCTCCCGCAGCAGCCTGCAAACAGTTAAATATGATGCAGCAGAAATGCAGTTGCTGTTGCCTTGCCAGGCCTTGCGGGAATTTCTTTAAAACATCGCCCCCCACCCATTATTTATGTATTCGTGGGAGGGTGGTTTTGTAACCAGTTCAGAAGAGTTAAAACAAAAACGCCACCGCAGGAAGGGGGTGTGCGGCGAATGGGGCCGAGGAAGGCCGGAGTGACCGTGGGCATCTGTCTGCGGCCGGGGTCTCGGGCGGCACCTGTCCTCGCCCAGGAGACCGGGGAGGATTCGGCGGGGCCGGTGTGGCAGTGGGGGAGGGAGAGGGACCGCGGGCAGGAACGGGCTCCCCGCACTCCGCCTTGGGCCCACAGCGGGTCATCATCTGGTCATTCGGCAGAAACCGCCTTCGCGGTCATATCTGTGTTTTCCGATTCCCAGCACCCCTCCCGGCCCCCCGACCTGGCCGCGTCCCTCTCCCCGCCCGCAGCTGCGCGAAGCTTCCGCCATTGCTCTGGGGAGCCCAGATCCCAGCTTCCCACTTGAGGAGGGGCGGGGGATCGAGCTGGGGCTGTCCAGGAACGGACACACAAAAAATAGCCCTGCCGCGCAAAACGCTCCACTTTTTAAATGTTGAAATTACTTGAACTTTATTTCCCATTATGTTAGTAGTCTTGTTCTTTGTAAAACAATTTTAAAAATACAGATAAAACAACTGTCCATAACCCCCATAAAACCATTGTTAACATCTTCACCAATCTTCCAGCCTCTGCTCTATGCGTACATAAACTCACGTACACCTATGTATGTATGTATATACATACACATACACATTGTCTGTAGATTTAATTTTTTAACAAAATGGGATCACGCTATTCACACTGTTCTGGAATCTGCTTTTCTCCCTTAATGCTATAAAGTGGACATCTTTCAGTGTCATTAAATACAGATTTCACCATCCTTCCAGTGACCACCTTGGGGCTGAGATGGGGTGGGGAGGAATGGGGATTGTGAAGAGTCAGGGTTGTGTCTTGCGAACATCAATGGCTCATTAGGAAAGATTTTTGCGTTTCTGTGCTACAATGCCAATTCTTGGGTTTCAAATCCACCATAGCAAAATGTTAGTCTTTTTCTCCCAGCAGATTTGTCCAATTATTACCTTGAGAGAAATCCCTCTCCTCACTTAAAATCAGTATGTTCCAGGGAAACAGCTATTTGCTGGCCAGCCCAAGGTGAGCTGCTGTGGTAAAAATAGAAATGTCCTCCTGGGAGATGTGGGTGGTGGTGGGTGAGCAGGTGAGAGGAGTGGGTATGACAGTGTGTGTGTGTTCAGGCTGACGGAGACAGGCGGGGGATGAAGCAGGTGAGTCCACTTGTTGATTCATTCAGCAGTGTTTGTGAGCCCTTGTGAAGCACCAGGCTTTGTGTGAAACCATCAGGAAACAAAGGTGCCCCAGGCTGAGGAGCTGTCAGTGGAGTGAGAACGGCACCTGTCACACAGTGTGACTAATGCTAGAATAAAGGTGTAGGAGTTTCGTGTTGCTGCTCTCACAAATTAACACAAGCTCAGTGGCTTAAAATGACTCACATTTGTTATCTGATGACTCTGGAGGCGGGAAGTCCCAAATCAGTGTTACTGGGCCCAAGTGAAGGTATCCTCAGGGCTGGTCCCTTTTTGGAGGGTCAAGGAGAGTATCTGTTCCGTGCCTCATCCAGCTTCCAAATGTTGCTGGCATTTCTTGGCTCATGGCTTCATCACTCAAATCTCTGTTTCCACGATCCCTTTGCTCACTTCCTGCTTCTTTCTTTCTTTTGTTTTTGTTTTTGAGATGGAGTCTTGCTCAGTCACCCAGGTGGGAGTGCAGTGGCACAATCTCGGCTCACTGCAACCTCTGCCTCCCGGTTTCAAACAATTCTCCCAGTCTCAGCCTCCCAAGTAGCTGGGATTACAGGCATGCGTCACCACACCCGGCTAATTTTTGTATTTAGTAGAGATGGGGGTTTCACCATGTTAGCCAGGCTGGTCTCGAACTCCTGACCTCAAGTAATCCACCCGCCTCAGCCTCCCAAAGTACTGGGATTACAGGCGTGAGCCACCGCACCTGGCTTCTGCCTCTTTCTTTTAACAACACTTGTGATTACATTGGGTCTGCCCAAATAATTGAGAATGATCTTTCCGTCTCAACCTCAACTTAATCAGATTTGCAAAGACCCTCTTACCATAGGGTAACATGGATGGTAAGTAAGGTATCCTATCCACAGGTTCTGGGGGCTAGGGGCTAGGACACGGACATCTTTCGGGGAGGCATTATAAGCCTGCCACAAGAGTCTGTACAGGATGTCTTGGGAGTGGACATAGGGGAGCAACCTACCACGTGGAGGTGAGGCTGTGAGGGCTTCTCAGAGGTGGAGACCTCTGATTTGGGGCCGGAAAGACAAATGGGAATTGGCCTACAAGTGAAGAATGGGAAGGGTGTCCCGGGTGGAGGTGTCAACTTGAACAAGCACATCAGAGCCTGAGAGTGTGTTTTGGGGATGGGAAAGAAGTCTGCTATGGCATGGGTTGGGGCAGTACGGCAAAGGATGGCAATGGAAAGATGGGTTGGACTGAACTTGGGAAGGGCCTTGAATGCTGGGTAGGTTTGGACTTTGTCTCAGGCAGTGGGAAGCGTGAGGGAGTTTTGAGTAGAGGAGGGATGTGATGAGATGAAGTGGGAATTCGGGCAGCCAGGCTTGGATCCCTTTTCTTTTGGTAATCGTGTGATGTTGTACAAGTCCTTTTCTACTCTCTGGATCTTAGTTTTTCAACTTCAAAAATGGGGGAGGAACTGGCCCTTTTTCATGCTCTATATTTTTTGGCAGGTGACTTTTTTTTTTTTTTTTTTTGAGGTGGAGTCTCCCTTTGTTGCCCAGGCTGGAGTGCAGTGGCGTGATCTTGGCTCACTACAACCTCCGCCTCCCAGGTTCAAGTGATTCTCCTGCCTTGGCCTCCTGAGTAGCTGGGACTATAGGCGCGCCACCTTGCCAGGCTAATTTTTGTATTTTTAGTAGAGACGGGGTTTCACTATGTTGGCCAGGCTGGTCTCAAACTCCTGACCTCGTGATCCGCCCGCCTTGGCCTCTCAAAGTGCTGGGATTACAGGCGTGAGCCACTGCGACAAGCTGCAGGTGACTCTTTTGAAAATCTGTTATTTCCAAGTCATTCCAAAATTTTGGAGAGATTTATGGACTTCTCACATGCTTTTCCCTTGTTTATGAGCACCTGGAGAAGATAGTCTCTATTCTATGAGAAAAAAATCCCCTCCACCTCTGACAGTCTATAGTTCTGAGGTTTGGTGTAACATCACAAAGGAAAAAAATTGATCTCTTAGCCTGTGTGAGTTGTTGCCCAGACAGAGGGCAAATCAGTTTCCTATGAAATTGTGAACCAAAACTATCTGAGACAAGTCTCAATCAATGTAGAAAGTTTATTTTGCCAAGGTTAAGGACGTGCCCGTGACATAGCCTCAGGAGGTCCTGATGACTTGTACCCAAAGTGATAGGGGTATAGCTTGGTTTTATACATTTTAGGGAGATATGAGACATCAATCAGTACATTTAAGATGTACATTGGTTCAGTCTGGAAAGGTGGGGCAACTCGAAGTGGGGGCTTCCAGGTGGTAGGTAGATAAGAGACAAAAGGTTGTATTATTTTGATTCTGATCAGCCTTTCACTGAGTACACAATTTACATGTGAGGAGGGTAGAGGAAGAGTCACTTATGCCTCAGTCTGTCTCAGTGAATCTGCATTTTTACATAAGCAACAGGCGGAGGAAGCAATCAGATATGCATTTGTCTCGGGTGGGAAGAGGGATGACTTTGAGTTCTGTCCTTGTCCCGCATCTGTTAAGATAAACTATCAATTTACATTGCCAAGGTGAAATTCAACAGAACTGTTTTAGGGTAAAGATGCTGAGGCCCACATGGAAATTCCTTGGGGGCAAACTCTGAAGGAGATATGTAGTTTTTTAATCTTTGTAACTATCTTATTTGGGGAAAAAATGGGAGCCAAGTTTGCCTGATGCAGTCCCCAGCTTGACTTAGTGATTTTTTGGGTTCAAATTTCAACCCCAAAAAAGGCAACAACTGTCTTTCTTTTTTTTTTCTTTTCTTTTTTTGAAATGGAGTCTCGCTCTGTCGCCCCGGCTGGAGTGCAGTGGCGCGATCTCGGCTCACTGCAAGCTCTGTCTCCTGGGTTCATGCCATTCTCCTGCCTCAGCCTCCCGAGTAGCTGGGACTACAGGTGCCCACCACCACACTCGGCTAATTTTTTGTATTTTTAGTAGAGACGGGGTTTCACTGTGTTAGCCAGGATGGTCTCGATCTTCTGACCTCGTGATCTGCCCGCCTCGGCCTCCCAAAGTGCTGGGATTACAGATGTGAGCCACCGCACCCGGCCAACAACTTTCTTTTTGGCTTAGTGATTTGGGGGTCCTGAGACTTACCTTCCTTTCACCAAAAAAACCTGTAGTACAGCAAACAAAAATTTAGTAGCTTAAAACACAAGAATCTATTATCTCTCATGATTCTGTGTTTGACGGGCACTTTGGATGGTTCTCTTTCCTGCTCTTGTATAGGGTAACTGGTGTGGCCACGGTCAGAGACAAGGCCAAGGCTTGATGTGTACATCTGGAGTCATAGTACTGGATGCTGGCTGGGCCTCTCTCTCCTCGTGGTCTCTCATCATTCATAGTCTACTTCAAGCTTGCTTATGTGGTTCCAGGAGTCACACAAGAAGGTGAGAGACACACAAAGCTTCTTAAGGTCTTGCCTTGGAACTTACACAACATTGCTCCCTCTGCATTCTGTTGGTCAAAGCAAGTCACAAGGTATGGTGAGCAGATTTCAAGGCCACTAAGGTTCCTGCCTCCCCCAACCCAGTGTACATGTCCTGTATAATCCCCTCCCTTTGAGCATGAGAGGGACCTAAGGAACGTGTTGGGATTTTGCTCCCATGATTAGGTTATATTGAAAAAACAGGCCGGGTGTGGTGGTTCCTGCCTGTAATTCCAGCACTTTGGGAGGCCGAGGTGGGTAGATCACCTGAGGTCGGGAGTTTGAGACCAGCCTGGCCGATATGATGAAACCCCATCTCTACTAAAAATACAAAAATTAACTGGGCGTGGTAGTGGACACCTGTAATCCCAGCTACTGGGGAAGCTGAGGCAGGAGAATCACTTGAACCTGGGAGACGGAGGTTGCAGTGAGCCAAGATTGTGCCACTGCACTCCAGCCTGGGCAACAGAGCAACACTCTGTCTCAAAAACAAACAAACAAGGTTTTGTAGACATAATTAAGGTCCTTTAAGTTGACTTTGACTTATTCAAAAGGGAGTTTATCTTGGTCTGACCTAATCAGGCGAGCTCTTTGAAAGACAATCCAAGCCTCTCCCAAGAGGAAAGGTTGGAAGCAGTGGAATTGCGCTCCTGTTGACCTTGAAGAGGCAAGATGCCATGTTGTGGAGAGGGCCATGTGGCAGGAACGGTGGTGGGTGGTTTCCAGGAGCTGAGGACCTCAGTCCTACAATCACAAGGATCTGAATTCTGTGACTAGCCACTGAGCTTGGAGGAGAACTCTGAGTTTTCAGATGGGGATGTGGCGCCAGCTGACACCTGGATTGCAGCCTGTGAGACCCTGAGCAGAGACTTCAGTTAAGCTGTGCCTGGACTTCTGACCCACAGAAACTGAAATGATAAAGGGGTATTGCTTTAAGCAATCAGTGATAGAGCATAGCAAACTAATATATCAGGCCAGTCCAGATTCAGGAACAGGGAAAGAGACTCCATGCCTGGATGGGAGGAGTGGCAGGGTCACACTGAAAAGGGAACGCAGAGCTATTATTGTAATAATTTACCTCAAGGGTCCCTAGTTGGGACACAGCTCATGCTTAAAGCTGATGGGATCCCTGGGGCCAGACACTCCTTTCACAAAGGCACCTGCAGAATTCTGGGCATCTTACCTTTGTGACTTCTACCAGTTGGGTGTGGTTGGGACTCATGGGCTATGCCTCCATGTCCCTAGCATCAGACACATGTGGGTGCCTCATAAATATCTGTGGGACAAATCAAGGAATGAAGGTGCTGAACTGGGCTTTGCAGGGATGGGGAGTGAGGCCTTTGCCAAACAGAGTTTGTCTGCACCTGGGGCAAGGAGGGACTCAGGGATGGGAGGAGGTAGCTTTGTCCCAGGCTTCGACTGTCAGCCTGGCATGGTTGAGGCACAGAGTCTCTTAAGGCTGTGGACAGTGTCAGAATTGGGAAAGAGTACTTTAGCTCCAATCCCATTGAAGATCTATCCAAGTCCACTTTCCAGAATGGACTATCCCCTCCCTGATGCCAGAAGTCAGTGCCTTGAGCTTGGGACCACAGGCCACAGGCCTTCATTCTGTCCCTGATTTGAGGTCCTGGAGGGCTGGGGTGTGAGTTAGAATGTGGAGGGTGTGGCATCATCTGGACATTTAACTCAACACAGAGTCAACTCTGCACTTGTCTCCATCATTTAGAAAATGTAAAATGATTTTCTGCAGATGTCTTTATCACTATACACTGCACACTGCTGCAACTCAACCCCTTATGTGATTGTCTTAGTCACATGTAAGTGACTTATTAAGGAAGTGCTCCCAGGGGAGATTGCTAAGGGAATGAGTGAAGCAAGATAGGAAAGGGAAGGAAGCAAGCAGAGAGTAAGGTGTCGAGCTAAAGTCCTGCAGTGAGTGGCCCCAGCCTCACGCCTCAAGGGATCTGGAGAGTAAGTTATTCCTCAATATTTTCCCCCACCCACCAGACCCTGGTTACAGGCTGCAGGGCAAGGGTATTAGGTGGGGGGAATGTTGATCCCCCAGACACGTGCTGCTTTCTGCCTCTGTCTGCAAAGTGGCTTCAGTACCCTGGGGATGGCCTTTGGAAGGAGAGCTATAGATGCTGGCTGCTGGAGGAAAGGCACATGGGTGGGCTTGGGGGGACATAGAACAGGGACCCCTGGGGATCCGAGCAGGGAACAGATGTTACTGCGGAGGGATGAGACACAGCAGCTGAGTATGGTACTTTATAGGCTCTGCAAACTCCAAGCTGCTCCCACCCCAGGCCCTTGATCCTTGCTGTTCCCTCTACCTAGAACAGTCCCATCTTCTCCCAGGGGTGGCACGGTGGCTTCTTCAGTTCTTTCAATCTCTGCTCAGATGTTACCTCTTCAAAAAGATTTCCTCTGATGACCTTATGTAAAGGAGCCCCAACTCCTACCCACCACCCTCTCTCCCCATAGATGAGAAAGAAAAATAAAAACTCAGGACCCGAATTCACTATCTTCCGGACATGTCCTTGACCTTGGCAATATAAGCTTCTCAATTGATCGAGGCCTGTCTCAGACACTTTTTGGTTACAATGTCTATTTTTTCCCCTGGTCCTTAACACTATCTGGCGTTATAGGAATGGTTTGTTTAATATGACCATTTATTTAATGCCTGACTTCCTCACTAGACGCCAGGCTCCACAGTGGCAGGGACTTTGCCCATCTGGTTCCCACTTTTTCTCCAGTGCTAACACAGGGCCCTGCACACAGTAGGTATCCAATTCATATATATATATTTTCCAATTAATATTTGTTGGGTGTGCCATTGAAGGGCTTGTTAAGAGTAATTTTGACCATATAACATGTATAGGGATTCAGGTCCAGCAACTGCTTGCTGCATCTCTCTCCCCCTCTCTGCAATGGGCTCTGGGAATGCAAAGTAGAAAAGATGGGATTTCTGCCCTGGAGGAACTGAGATGCTTGAAGAGATGGATGTGCACACGGATGAATTTCAGCGGTGCAACTTTTCATCATCAACCTCTTTGAGCCTCAGTGTTCATCTGTAAAATGGAGATAATCATTCCTAGCTTGTAGAATTCTCATGAGGATAACAACATATGATATATATCAGCATCTGCAACTGTGTTGGGCACACAGCAAGTCTGCAGTGGTGGAAGTGTACGTTTATATATGCTCTGAGCCAGTTTATACCTCAAGAGAGATGAACATCACACACAACCCCCCCACACACACACGCACACAACGTATACACTTATATGTTTTTCTTCCACTGAAAGTATATTGGACCAATTCTAGAAATTGAAGCTGTATTGACCAAAAATAACAACAGCTAACACGTTGTACAGAACTCCTTATAGGGTTCATACCTATAATCCCACCACTTTGGGAGGCCGAGGCAGGAGGATCACTTGAGGTCAGGAGTTCGAGACCAGTCTGGCCAACATGGTGAAACCTCGTCTCTACTTAAAAAAAAAAAAAAAAAAAAATTAGCCAGGTATGGTGGTGGGCACCTATAATCCCAGCTATTCAGGAGGCTGAGGTAGGAGAATCTCTTGAACCTGGGAGGTGGAGGTTGCAGTGAGCCGAGACCGCGCCATTGCACTCCAGCCTGGGCAGCAAGAGTGAAACTGTCTCAAAAAGAAAAAAAAAAAAACTCATTATGTTTCAAGGACTCTTCTGAGAGCTTTACATACAGTATTAATAATTTATTTATTTATTTTTTCTTCTTTTCTATCTCTACCTGATTAGAGAAAAGGTATTAATAATTTGATCTCAAAAGGATCCTACGAGGTAGATGCTGTTGTTATTCCATTTTACTATTGAGGATACTGAGTTTCTATCCAAATGTGGAAGACTCAGAGGTGAATGAAACTTTTCTTCTTCCATTTAATGCCCTTCCCTTATCTCTTCCTGCTGCCCAACGAGTCCAGCCACATGATGCTATTTGACCTAGGAAGCTGTGGACAAAGAAGCCAAATACAGGAGTTCAGGGGACAGTGTGAGCCCCTGAACATGTAGAGAATAGAGACGTGTAGAGTTCCTTCTGAAACACTGCACTGTGAAATTCTGTGCCTCCGAAGACAGGCTCGCTATTTTTAGAAAGAGGGCAGCAGAGTCGTTGGAAATATGCCCGAATACGGTCATGATTGGGCAAGGGACACGGGAAACGCCAATTTTGGCAAAGGGATTATTTGGAAGTGCAGTTCTGACCAAGTCATTCCTCTGTTTAAGATGTTTCAACATTGAAGGAGCCAAAATATCAACAGTGAAAAAACCTCTTAGTGGCTGTTGCTGTCTCTAGAGGAAGCCTGAGCTCTTTCTCGTGGCAGAGCAACTCTTCCCCATGTCCCTACACCCTGTACCCTCAACCTGCACACCTTCTTCGTTGGGTCTCTTTGAACCACCTGCTGTTCCCGGGTGGTCCCCGCTTTTCCACACCTTTGTACCTTCACCTGGGATGCACCTATGCATCTTTCAAAACTCAGTTCTGGGGTCTCCTGTATGAAGCCATATCTGGCCCTGCCAGGTAGAACTGGCCAGCCTTCCTTTGCCCCATTTTGGTGTTTATAGAGCATCAAGAACACAGGAGAGTTCTTCCTGGTGACTTGCCACCTCCCTGCAAAGCATGAGCTCCCTGAGGGCATGGCCCCCTGTGCTGCTTGTTCCCTGGACAGGGCCTGACACTAGGTAGACAGTCAAGTAATATTTACTGGGCTTCAATCATATGCTTGTACTATTCTAGGAGCTGGGGACACAGCAGAGAACAAGACAGACAGAGTCCCTGCCCTTGAGAGTCTTGGATTCTTATGGGGGCAGCAGACAGACAACAAACACACAAGGCAAGATGATTTCAAGTCAGATATGTGTTGTGAAGAGGCTGAATAGGAATGCACAGTGGAGAGGAACAGGGCGCATGGGTGGGGTGCTCAGCATGGTGGCTGGGGCAGGCCTGTAGAGCAGCCACATCTGAGATGAGACCCACACCAGGAAAAGGAGGCAGCTGTATAGATCTGGGAGAGGAGGTTTCCTAGCAAAAGGCCCTGAGGCAGGGACACACCTGGCATATCTGAGGGACAGAAGGAAGCCAGCGGGGCTGGAGCCGAGTGGACAGAGAGAGTGAGGTCAGCGAGGGAGGCAGGGCCCTGCAGGCCATGGAGGAGAGCCTGGGCCTTGATCCAAGTACAGGGAGGAGGCCCCCAGTGACAACTCACTGCAGAGGCGAAGGGGCCTGGCACAGCAAGCTGGATGCAGAGGCTGAGCCCTGGGTGAGGTTCCGAGGGCCAAGAGGCAGATGCATTTCCAATCTGCTGCAGCGCAGCCTCCCCGATGTATATTCAGAGAGGCAACAGGCTGTACATTAAAATGGAAAGAGCTGGAAACTCCCTGGAAACTCCAAGCCTGGGCACCATCTCACAGATGGGTGCCCAAGACGGAGGGAGCCATTCCCCTCTGGTCTGCTAGTTAATTAGGGCTTCTCTACAAAGACACTTGGAAATACAATGATTTAAAGAAGAGCGTTTGTTCCTTTCTTCCACAACAGTCTGGCTTGTCAGGCCAGGGGCGCCCCAGCAAGGTCTGCGGGACTGACAAGGGGTGGTCAAGGCCACGGTGGGAAAACTGACACCTGAGCAATTGCAGATAAAATCCAGGGGCACTTCTGGCTCCCACAGGCCCCTCGTCCGGACACCTCTTTCCAGTGAATGCGAAGCAGATGAGAAGAGATGCAAAGCTCTGGCGTGATGTCTTTCATCTCTCAGCTCTGTGCAAACTTGTTCTCTTCCTGCTCTTCCTGTTTTGCTGGGCAGCATGTTTTTTGTTTTGTTTTTTTTCTTCCAACTACATTTTAGTGGTTTAGGGGGAATGCTAGTTTCTCCAGAATCTTTTTCACTTTAAGGAAAGTTAGGGCACCCTGACAAGGGGGTGCTGGGAGGCTGGTCCTCTCTTGGGTTCCATTCTGCCAGTTTTCTTTTCTTTTCTCTTTTCTTTTTTCTTTTCTTTTCTTTTCTTTTCTTTTCTTTTCTTTTCTTTTCTTTTCTTTTCTTTCCTTTCCTTTCCTTTTCTTTCCCTCCCTCCCTCCCTCCCTCCCTTCCTTCCTTTCTTCCTTTGTTCTTTCGTTCTTTCTTCTTTTCTTTTTGCGTTTTGCTCCTGTCGCCCAGGCTGGAGTGCAATGGCTCTCACTGCAACTCCACCTCCTGGGTTCAAGCAATTCTCCTCCCTCAGCCTCCTGAGTAGCTGGGATTACAGATGCCTGCCACCATGCCTGGCTAATTTTTGTATTTTTAGTAGAGATGTGGTTTTGCCATGTTGGCCAGACCGGTCTCGAACTCCTGACCTCAGGTGATCGACCCACCTCGGCCACCCAAAGTGCTGGGATTACAGGCATGAGCCACCGCACCCAGCCCCATTCTGCCAGTTCTGCTGAGCTGTGTGGACTCCTGCCCTGGAGCAGAGGGCTGGCATATGGCTGGAGAAGGCTGGCCATTGACCCGTGCTGCTGACCGCCTGCCCTCCCCAGCATTTGGGCCCCGGTGCGGTGCCCTATCCCTGCTCACAGCGGGGACCAGAGTCACCTGGGGCCTTCCGCCCTGGCGGGAGGAGGAGGACCCCCCACTATGTGTCCCCTCACCTTTGCCTTTTCCTCCTCATCCCCTTCCCTGGGGTCTTGAGGGGGCCCCTTAAGGGGATTGACAATATCAAAAGCTTGCTGATAGGAGATCGGCTGTGAGGTTCCTGTTCCTGTCGTAACACAGCAGTTCTGGGATTGTTTTAGGAGAGAAACTTTGAGAGGTTAAATGAGAAAGGAGCCTTCTGGTGGGTTCATTGAGTTCTGCCTCCAAAGCACACACCCAGCAGAGAAGCCCCGAGAAAGTGCTGGGCCCAGCTAAGCACCCCAGATCTTGTGCCCAGGGACACACCTGGACCTCCCAGACAATCCTGGGAGGGATTTTCCAGGGGTGTGGAGTTCGTGGTGAGGCAGAGCCAGCCAACAGAAGAACGCATCAGTCTGATTATGTAGTTAGTTTAGAACCCAACCCAATTTCGGGAGTCCCTAGCTCTGGGAGATTGCTCCCACCTTTGTCACCACCAAAATGCATCATCTTTCTTCCGTTTCTCTAGTGTTGTGTGTATGACTCCGATTTGTGATGTATCCCCCGCCACCTGGAGAGGCAAGGAGGTCTGTCATCCACCTGGGAGGTCCGGCTGTCCAGGGCGGGCGTCACCTGTTGGGGGTGCCAATAAAGATGCCGCCTAAGGGAACCACATCCTGATAATCATGTTCTGAGCCATGGGGGAACCCTGCTGCACTCCAGCCTCAGACTCTGGGACAGGTTGGAGCCCCAGTGACTCTCACATGGAGATAGGACATCCCTCTGGGGGACATTGTGAGCCACAACCTCAACCCCATTTGGGCTGGGGATTCTCTGTTCCCAGGGTCCTGTGTGAACCGCAGCTGCTGAATGGTGTGCAGAATTGGAAGAGTTATGATCAAAAGCCAGTTCCTGTGTGAATTTAAGGGTGCTGGGTGGTTAGTCCAGGGGCCTACTGAGAACTTGTCCTATTCTTTTTTATTTTTATTTTTGACAGAGTGTCGCTCTGTTGCCAGGCTGGAGTGCAGTGGAGTGATCTTGGCTTACTGCAATCTCTGCCTCCCAGGTTCAAGCGATTCCCCTGCCTCAGCCTCCCGAGTAGCTGGGACTACAGGTGCACACCAACACGCCTGGCTAATTTTTTGTATTTTAGTAGAGACAGCATTTCACCATGTTAGCCAGGATGGTCTCAATTTCCCAACCTCGTGATCTGCCTGCCTGGGCCTCCCAAAGTGCTGGGATTACAGGCGTGAGCCACCGTGCCCGGCCCGAACTTGTCCTATTCTTGACCCCACATGAACAGAAATAAGAGGTAACAGGACTGTCTCAAATAACCTCAACCTCATATGCACATTAATGTGAATTTTTGGATGCCCTGAAAGGCAGATTTTATGTGCAGAAAAGATTATCCAGGGGTTTTCTTAAGTTTTAAAAATTAATATTCAATTTATTAAAGTTATAAATAAAAGGAAAAACCTAGTTTGTCCTTACACTTTTAATTTCAGCTTAAATAACTTATTATTTTAATTATAGATCTAGCAAATTTAGCAATCACTTCTAAGAAGGCTCTGATTAATTTTGGTCTCATTTACGAACTTAAACTCCTTTAAACTTTTCATATTGCATTATTCATCACATATAATATATTTGCTTAACTTCCTAAGTATAATTGGCTGACAAACCTTCTTAAGTGCTGAAGCAATTCTTATAAATTGAATGCATTTAGCATATAAATATGAGCTTGAAGTCTGACTGGCTGTTCCAGTACTACGTGTAAAAGAGCAAATCCCAAGTCCAGATCATTTACTCAGTTACACATTTAAAATTGTAATCTTGAGGCAATCTATTATTTTAATAGACTGAGTTCTCTTAAATATTATAAGAATATAAAATAGAAAAAACACCTTAATATAAAAGATGGCCAGGCGCGGTGGCTCACGCCTGTAATTCCAGCACTTGAGACGCCAAGGTGGGTGGATCACCTGAGGTCAGGAGTTCGAGACCAGCCTGGCCAACATGGTGAAACCCCATCTCTACTAAAAATACAAAAATTAGCCAGGTGTGGTGGCGCATACCTGTAATCCCAGCTACCTGGGAGGCCGAGGCAGGAGAATCACTTGAACCTGGGAGGCGGAGGTTGCAGTGAGCCAAGATTGCACCACTGCACTCCAGTCTCAGCAACAGAGCGAGACTCCATCTCAAATAAGTAAATACATAAATAATTAGGATTTTGTTCTTTTTACATTTCTGTACGTAATTCAAGTCTTCCTGGGGGTAAAAACTACTTACTCACTAAGGGAATAATTCAGTCATTTCAAACCATTTTTGAGGGTCTCTACTCAGCAGTTTGATGTTGTGTAATGATTCAGGATTCTTCTCTGTGACCCTGATGGGCCATTCCGATTCCTATTTATAGATGCTTATCTCAAGACCTTCTGTGTGGGTAGTCTCAGAGCCCTTGGGACTGCCTTCGTCCACAACCTTGGGTTTGAGTCATATCACTACCGAATTCTTCCCTCTGTTCATGGAAATCTGGTAACTACATCAACGAGGTATTTTCTACAGAACTGATTGGGTTTTTTGTTTCTTTGCCTCATAAGATATAAAAATGTCTAAAGGCCCTGGAATGTCACAGTATTAATAGCTGATGTGTATGGAAGGCCTACTATGTACTGGGCATAATTCTATGTGTTCTTCATTTGTTAATTCACTCAATCCTTTTTTTTTCTTTTTTTTTTTTTTTGAGATGGAGTCTCACTCTGTCGCCAGGCTGGAGTGCAGTGGCGCGATTATATTCACCTAGAAGTTTGTGAACACTGTTCCTCTTTCAGTAAAATCCATGTTATAGATGCTGCTGGATTTTAGGCATCCAGAAAGGCCTGAGATTGGCAGCTATTTGTTGACAATTCAATGGGTATAAAAGGTAAGCACTTAAGATAACCAACTATTAGAAGACTGAGAATGACGGTGGTGGGGAGTATTTGGGGGACAGGGGAGCAATACATTCTGGTGATGTCATTTTGGTTCATTACTCAGCAAATTTTTTTTTTTTGACAGAGTTTTGCTCTGTCGCCTATGCCAACTCAGCTTGCTGCAAACTCCGCCTCCAGGGTTCAAGCGATTCTCCTGCCTCAGCCTCCTGAGTAGCTGGGATTACAGGTGCCTGCCACCATGCCTGGCTAATTTTTGTATTTTTAGTAGAGATGGGGTTTCACCATGTTGGCCAGGCTGGTCTCGAACTCCTGACCTCAGGTGATCTGCCAGTCTCAGCCTCCAAAAGTGCTGGGATTACAGGCATGAGCCACCATGCCTGGCCTGAATTAATATTGTTAAAATGTCCATACTACCCAAAGCAATCTATAGATTCAATGCAATCTCTATCAAAATTTCAATTGCTCCTCTTTAAGTGGAGGCCTCAGGCAAAAATAAATAAATACATAAATACATACATACATACATACAGGAAAAAAGAAAAAAATCCAATAGAATTCTTCACAGAAATATAAAAGAAAAATCCTAAAATTTGCATGGAATCAAAAAAGGCCTTGAATACCCAAGCAATCTTGAGAAAGAATAACAAAGCTGGAGGCATCACACTCCTGCTTTCAAACTACATCACAAAACAACAGTAATCAAAGCAGCATGGTACTGGTATAAAAAGACACATAGACAAATGAAACAGAATAGAGAGCCCTGAAATCAACCCATGCTTATACTGTTAACTAATCTTTTACAAAGGTGCCAAGAATACACAATGGGGGAAGAGTAGTCTCTTCAATAAATGTGTTGGGAAAACTGGATATCCACATGGAAAACAATGAAATTGGACCCGTATCATACACCACACACAAAAATTAACTCAAAATTGATTAAAGACTTAAATGTAAGAACTGAAACTGTAAAACTCTTAGAAGAAAACAAAGGGAAAAAGCTCCTTGACATTGGTGTTGGTAATGATTTTTTGTGTAGGACACCAAAAGCATAGGCAACAAAAGTAAAATAAACAAGTAGGATTACATCAAGCTAAAAAGCTTCTGCACAGCAAACAATCAGTAAAATGAAAAGATAACTTATGAAATAGGAGAAAATATTTGCAAATCATATATCTGATAAGGGGCTAACATCCAAAATATATAAGGAACTCATACAAGTCAATAGCCAAAAAATAAATAACCTGATTTTAAAATGAGCAAAGAAATAATAATAGACATTTTTTCCAAAGAACACAGCAAGTATATGAAAATGTGCTCAGCATCACTAATCATCAGGCAATTGCAAATCAACACTACATGAGCTAGCAACTCACACCTGTTAGAATGGTTCTTTTGAAAAAGACGGAGATATCAAGTGTTGGCTAAGATGTGGAGGAAGACAAGGGAACCCTGGACACTGTTGGTGGGAGTATAAATTGGTACAGCCATTATAGGTAACAGTATGAAGTTTCCTCAAACAATTAAGAATAGTGCTACCATTTCATCCAAGAATCCCACTTCTGGATGTATAGCCAGATAAAATGAAGTCAGTATCTTAAAGAGAAATCTGCTCCATCATGTTCATTGCAGCATTATTCACAATAGCCAAGATATGGGAGCAACATAAATGTCCACTGACAGATGAATGGCTAAAGAAAATGGGAAATATATACACATTGGAATATTATTCAGCCATAAAAAAGGAAATCTTGCCATTTGTGACAACATGGATGAACCCACAGAACACAATGCTAAGAGAAATAAGCCAGACACACAAAGAAATACTGTATGTCTCACTTATATGTGGAATCTAAAGCACACACACACATACAGGTAACTATGTGAGGTGATGGATATGTTAATTTGCTTGGTTATGATAATCATTTCACCATGTATACACGTATCAGTGTGTCATATATCAAATCATCGTGTTGTATACCTTTAATATGTTCATTTTTTTGTCAATTATACTACCAGTTTTCTCAATAAAACTGGGAAAAAACGAAACAACATATAGTAACAATGGCAAAAAAGAAGCCAGTAAAATATATCCTATCATTCAATCCAAATAATCAATGGTGGAGCTGACTGTAAATTTTAAGAAAGAGGAAAGTAGAAACATTTATTGAGTGCTTGCTTTTTTTTTTTTTGAGATGAAGTTTTGCTCTGTCGCCCAGGCTGGAGTGCAGTGGCGCGATCTTGGCTCACTGCAAGCTCTGCCTCCCGGGTTCACGCCATTCTCCTGCCTCAGCCTCCGGAGTAGCTGGGACTACAGGCACCTGCCACCACACCCGGCTAATTTTTTGTATTTTTAGTGGAGATGCGGTTTCACCGTGTTAGCCAGGATGATCTCGATCTCATGACCTCGTGATCCACCCACCTCGGCCTCCCAAAGTGCTGGGATTACAGGCGTGAGCCACTGCACCCGGCCTGAGTGCTTGCTTTAAGTCAGGCATTGTTCTAAGTTCTTTCTGTACCTGTATCATCTCATTTAATCCTCAGAGTAGCCATGTGAGGTTTTGTAGTACTATCAGCTCAAATTAGTCTTTTAAACGTTTATTTATTTATTTTTGAGACAGGGTCTTACTCTGTCACACAAGCTGGTGGAATCTTAGCTCACTGTAACCTCGAACTCCTGTATCATCCCAAATTTAAACGAGTCAAACGGCAGTTAAAGGACCTATCCAGGATCACAGAACTAATGAATAACACAATCCAGATCCAGACCTGAGCCCAGGCTGTCTGGTTCCAGCACCTGGTTCTCAACCTTTGCAGTGTAGTGCAATTTTTACCAAAGAGTTCCTGAAATGAACGCAACATAATTAAAAAAAAAAAAAAAGGCCAGGTATGGTGGCTCACACCTATAATCCTAGCACTTTGGGAGGCCAAGGTGGGTGGTCAGGATTTCGAGCCTGACCAACATGGTGAAACTCCTTCTCTACTAAAAAAATACAAAATTAGCCGGGCATGGTGGCATCCACCTGTAATCCGAGCTACTTGGGAAGCGGAGGCAGGAGACTTGCTTGAACCTAGGAGGCGGAGGTTGCAGTGAGCAGAGATCGCGCCACTGTACTCCAGCTTGGGCAACAAGAGGAAACTCCATCTCAAAAATAAAAAATAAAAAAATTTTAAAAATCACAGATGGAAGCTCGAGCTGATTTTAATGAAACCTCTGTGAAGCAGTGAGGGAAAAAGTTGTGCTAAAATTATATCATTTTTAGAGCAGAGAATTTTATACATATTGACAAATTCTTTTTAAACTTTTCAAAAATGCTAACAGCTAATTTTATTTATCCCAAAATGGGAATCACTTTGTTTCTCTTGATTATAAAAATGATACATAGTCATGGTAAAAAAAATTAAACACTCCATAAAGTCCAAAGAAGGTAAATGTCATTCTAATTCCCACTACCCATTGATAACCTGCGGTGCAGTGTGGTGAATGACCTAGACATCTTTTTTTTTTTTTCAAATATGTACACAAATGACTCTGTGTATATCAGATCGGCATGTGGGTGTGTGTATAGGTGTATCCACCTATCTCCATGTCAAGAAATATAGATCTTGCCAGGCAGTGGCTCATGCCTGTAACCCCAGCACTTTGAGAGGCCGAGGAGGGGGTGGATCACCTGAGGTCAGGAGTTCAAGACCAGCCTGGTCAACATGATGAAACCCCATCTCTATTAAAAATACAAAAATTAGCTGGGCATGGGCGCGCCTGTAGTCCCAGCTACTCAGGAGGCTGAGACAGGAGAATCGCTTGAACCTGGGAGGTGGAGGTTGCAGTGAGCCTTGATTGCACCACTGCACTCCAGCCTGGGTGACAGAGCAAGACTCCATCTCAAAAAAGAAAAAAAAAAAGAAATATAGATCTCCATTATCCCTTTAACAGTGCAGAGTAATCCACTGTATGGATGTGACATTATTCATGTATATAATCAGAAGTTAATGGATCTAAATGTACTGTTTTCAGTTTTTTGAAATTACAGACAGGCTGCGATGAATATCCTTAAACACATGTCTTCATGCACTTGCCCAGTTATCTTCTTGGGATACCGTTGGTGGGATTTAGAGAAAAATCACTCACATTAGGGAGGGTATATACTGCTGACTTTGACCCATCAAATCCAGCCATGGATTCTCTGCAAACTGAGGGGCCACCCAGCTCCCTGAACAGTGGTCTTATTCTGCTGGGTCCTTGTGAGGGCGTAGCATAGCCTCACATCCTAAATTAAAGTCAGTTCACCGGCTGCTGCTCGGGTAACTGGCGAGAGAAAAGAGCCTTTGCCTCTCCGCAGCCGGGGAATTTCCAAATCCTGAAATTGTCCTGTCCAGACACAGTAAATAGTTTGGCCACAACAATCTCTGCATCCACCTCCCTCCCATCTGTCTGGGCTGGGCATGCCCGTAATGTTTTTCATTCTGTGACAGGCTTGAGCATCCTTTTCTTAAAGGAGACAAAGGAGATAAAAGGGCCTGGGCTCAGAATTTTGCAAGCAGAACACACGGAGGTTGTGCCAAGACAGAGATGGTGGCTCGATGGCCAGCTAATTCTTGTTTATCCAACAAGCCATGCTAGTTGCTGGGGAGACCCAGAGAAATGAGACACAGTCCCTGTTCATGGGGGTTAGCTGTGTAGTAGAGTTGATAGACCCATGGGGCCATGGAGCGGGTGTTGGGGATGGGGCAGAGGCTACTCCATTATCACAGACTTCAGAGTGTCTTTCCAGCAAGACTAGCCACACAGTCTGCCTTTAAAGTCCCCTGGTAAGTCACTCAAAATGATATTTTCAAGTGCCTAGCATTTACATCTTCTGGGTGTTGGGGATTGACATCTGTTATCACAGGCAATGGCGCTTTTATTATCATTGGAACAGGTGGATGGGGATGTCAGCCCTCCTCTGGCAGGACCAAAGCACTGGCCATCTGCAAAGGGAGGACATTTGGGTGTCCTCGGACTTGGGCAAAGGTGCACCCTAGGCTTTAGAGAGCCCAAACCAATTTTCCTCCAAATGTCCTCTATACCTGGTTTTTCTAGGTTAGGGTTCAGGACCCAATCTGCTTACATCCACAAATCTCTTTTAATTTAGAACAGCCTCTATTTTCATACCGTGAATTGAAGGAATTAAGCTACTGTCCGATAGAATATTCTGCCTTCTAGATTTCACTGATTGGTTTCTTACTGTGAGTTTGGATAGTTCTGTCTTGTCTAACATACCTCACTGAGTAATTCAGAAGGAGAAAGCAGAAAAAAACAAAAGTCAGTGAGCATAGAAAAGATGAGAGATGAGAATTATGGAATTACAAATTTTACTTAATGGGAATTTCCAGAACATTTCACCAAGTAACTGCAGACATTACATTACTTTCAAGCACGTCTGGAATATTTATGAAAATTGACCATTTATCTTGCCAAAAAGCAATCTTTTGTTAATGCCAAAAGGATGGATTGAACAAACAATATTTTCTGACCACCATGTACTTCAATAAGAAATAAATAACAAAAAAGCATAGAAATAGGAAAAACCTTTAAATAATTCATGGGTAAAAAAAGAAAGCATAACAGGTTTTAGAATATGCTTAGAAGCGAACAATAATGAAAATTCCACGTATCAGAACATATGAGAGGCTTATGATATAGGAGAAAAAGGCTGAAAATCAATAAGCCAAACATTTAACATGAGAAGTTACCAAGAGAACAGCTGAGTAAATCCTAAACAGTAGAAAAAAGAAAATTTACAGGTAAGAGCAGAAATAAATGAAACAGAGAGCAATCATAAAATTGACATGACGAACAAAGCCAAATTTTGTTTTTTTGAAAAAACTAATAAAACTGGCAAACCTTTGGCAAGACTAATTAGGAAATAGAGATGGGACCCATAAAGTATAGCAGAATTGAAAGGAAATTGGCTGGGCGCCGTGGCTCACGCCCGTAATCCCGACACTTTGGGAGGCCGAGGCAGGCAGATCACCTGAGGTCGAGAGTTCAAGACCAGCCTGACCAACATGGAGAAACCCTGTCTCTCCTAAAAATACAAAATTAGCCGGGCGTGGTGGTGCATGCCTGTAATCCCAGGTACTTGGGAGGCTGAGGCAGGAGAATCGCTTGAACCTGGGAGACGGAGGTTGCAGTGAGCCGAGATTGCACCATTGTACTCCAGCCAGGGCAACAAGAGCAAAACTCCGTCTCAAAAAAATTAAATAAAAATAAAGAAAGGAAACATGACTTCGATGAAGAATCAATTTTAAAAATGTAAAAATATGATGCAACTTTATGCCAATAATTTTGAAAATGTAAATCAAGTTGCACAAATTTTACATTTAAGACATTTTAAATGTAAACGATGTTTTAACCATTTAAAAAATTGAATTGGTGACTAAAAATCTTCATATCAAAGAAACAGCAGGACTAGACTTTTTTTTTTAAACAGAAGGGTTTTACCAAACATTTAAGGAATGAATACTTTCAAATACAAACTATTCCAGCAAGTAGAAAAATTACCAATACTTGCTAATAATTTTTACAAAGTTGGCTTAATCTGCTTGTTATCCCAACCAAAGACTGTTTGAGGAAGGAAAATATAGAACAATCTTTTCCATAAACAAAACATCAGTAAACTGAATCCAAGATAATACATCATGACCAAATTGGATTAGAGTACACTAGAATAGATTAGAAAAGTAAGTACGTAATTTTTCACATTAACAGATAGAAGGAGAAAAACCATAGGATCATTTCAATAAATGCAGAACAGGTGTTTGCTGAAATTCAACCTCTATTTATGATTAAAAAACTAAACAAATTAAGAATATAAAGAAACGCTTTTAAACTAATACAGGATGTCTTTTTGTTATTTATTTGTTTATTTTATGAGATGGAGTCTCGCTCTGTCACCCAGGCTGGAGTGCAGTGGTGCAATCTTGGCTCACTGCAACCTCTGCCTCCTGAGTTCAAGCGATTCTCCTGCCTCAACCTCCTGAGTAGCTGGGAATTACAGGCGTGCGCCCCTACGCCCAGCTAACTTTTGTATTTTTAATAGAGACAGCGTTTCACCATGTTGCCTAGGCTGGTCTTGAACTCCTGACCTCTGGTGATCCGCCTGCTTGTCCTCCCAGAGTGCTGCGATTACAGGCATGAGCTACCACGCTCAGCCATAAAAGATGTATTTTTTTAAAAATTCCCCACAGTGAAGACTTTAGTAAATATTAAAATGTTAAGATCAGTAACAAGCCAAGGAAACTTACTCTCACCATTCTATTAAACATTAAAGTATAGTAGGGCCAGGAAAAATGAATGAAGGATACAACATTGGGACAGAAGACACAAAACTGCCATAACTTCCAGATAATATGATTACTCTCTCTCATTGTGGAACTGCCTGGAACAGTGCCTGGTGTGCAGTAGGCACTCGAAAAATATTTGTTGATCATTATGTTGTGACTTACTTTATCTCAAGTTATTTTATTTATTTATTTTTTGCCTTGAAGCCTTCTGTTTCTTCCCCCCTCTGAATACTGAAAGATGTATATGTGCTTTTTTTTCTTCTTTTTTTGGAGACGAAGTTTCTCTCTTGTCGCCCAGGCTGGAGTGCAAGATCACTGCAACTTCTGCCTCCCGGGTTCAAGCAATTCTCCTGCCTCAGCCACCCGAGTAGCTGGGACTACAGGCATGCACCACCACGCCCAGGTATTTTTTGTATTTTTAGTTGAGACGGGGTTTCACTACGTTGGCCGGGTTGGTCTCAAACTCCTGACCTCAGGCAATCTGCCCAACTTGGCCTCCCAAAGTGCTGGGATTACAGGCATGAGCCACTGTGCCCGGCTGATCCTGGACTTTTGTTGTTGGGAAGCATTTTAGTACAGGTGCAATCTCTTTACTTGTAAGATTTATGTGCAGATTTTTTATTTCTTTTCAAACCAGTTTTGGTAATTTGTGTGTTTCTAGGAATTTGTACATTTCATCTCGGTTACCTAATTTGTTGGTGTACTATTCTCCCATAATCCTTTTTATTTCCGTAAGGTTGGTAGTAGTGTCCCCGCTTTCATTTGCGGTTTTAGTTTTTGGCATTTTTTCTTTTTTCCTTAGTCTAGCTAAAGCTTTGTTAATTTTGTTGATTTTTTTTTTCAAATATCAACTTTTGATTTTGTTGATTTTCTCTGTTGTTTTTCTACTCTCTGTCTCATTTTTCTCCATGTTAATCTTTTATTTTTATTATTTCCTTCTTTCTGCTAGCTTTCTGTTTAATTTGCTCTTCTTTTTCTAATTCCTTAAGGTATAAAATTAGGTTATTGATTTGAAATCTTTCTTTTTTGATGTAGGCATTTAGTGTTAGAAATTTCCCTTTGAGCATCACATTTGCAGCATGCCATTAAATCCTTGCCTTTTAACAGGAAAGTTTAATTAATTCAAATTTATTATGATTACCTATATATGAATTTATGACTACATCTTATTGTCTCATTTATTTTTTTTCCTGTTGTTTATAACTTGCTCTTTTTTGGACTGTTTTGAATAGATGAAGATTTTTCTCTTATTTCTGTTTTTCCACTTTGTTGGTTTGGAAGTTTTATATTCTGTTTTTATTCTCTCAATGACTACCCTGCAATTTATCATATACATTGCAGCCTTGAACTCCTGGGCTCAAGTGATCCTCCTGCCTTGGCCTCCCAAAGTGTTGGGACTAAAGGCATGAGCCACTGCATCTGGACTATCATATACATTCTAATGTTAACCAATCTCTTTTCTCTATTTTATCTTACCTGTAACAGAAATTTTACGTTTATTTTGCTTCCTTTGCAAACTTTATATTATGGAAAATTTCACATCTATACACAAGTAAAAAACAATATAGTGATATGGGTGCAGTGGCTCACACCTGTAATCTCAGCACTTTGGAAGGCCAAGGTGGGTGGATCACAAGGTCCAGAGATGGAGACCATCCTGGCAAACATGGTGAAACCCTGTCTCTACTAAAAATTTAAAAAATTAGCTGGGTGTGGTGGCGCGTGCCTGTAATCCCAGCTACTCGGGAGGCTGAGGCAGTAGAATTGCTTGAACCCAGGGGGCGGAGGTTGCAGTGAGCCAAGATCATACCACTGCACTCCAGCCTGGTGACAGAGTGAGACTTTGTCTCAAAAAAACATATGTGTGTATATATATAATATATGATATATATTATATATATAATTATATGTAATATTATATATAATACATATATATAATACATATATAATATATATAGTGAACACCCATGTACCAATTATGTCTCCAACAATTATCAATATTTTGCCAATTTTGTTTCATCTATTTCCTTATTTTTCTTTTTTTGTTTTCTATATTATTTTAAAGTAGATCTCAGATATCATGTCATTTCACCTGTAAATACTTCATTATGCATCTTTAACTCAGACATTTTGTTTTTATATAACCACTGTCTAATAATTACATTGTTTCTATCATTCAATATTCAGTTCATATACAAATTTTTCTGTTTCAAAAGCATCTTTTCAGGTTTTTTTTTCAGATCAGGATTCAAACAAAGGCCACATATTGCATTTTATTGCTGTTCCTTGTCTCTTTTATTCTATAGGGAACCTTGTTTTATTTCCATGCCACCAATTTATTAAAAATCTGGTCATTTTGGAGAGGCATGTCCTACATTCTGGATTTAGCTGATTGCTTCCTTGTGGTGCCTTCTTCTTCTATCCCCTGTATTTCCTATTAACCAGTATGTATGTCTAGCTAGCTAAATTAGGTTCAGATTTATTTACTTAGGAAGGAACATTCACAAGTGATGCTCTTACTTCCTGTTTCATCACATCATAAAGCATGTAAGGTCTGGTTGTCTCCATTTTTTAAATGATAATTTTCATAAATGGTTTCAGGTGCTATCAGCCTAATCTCTTCCTTATGAAGTTCCCTATTCATCTTTCACTTAACGGATTGGTTGTTCATTGGTGATCATTGGCTACATCCATGGTTTCATTAGGGATTGTAAAATAGTGATTTCCTAACATTTTTCTGCATTTAGTAGCTGAAATTCTTCTATAAAGAAATTTCCCTCATGCACTATTTGGTTACTGTTAAATCGACCCATCTTAGTAAAAAGAAAAAACCCAAACAACAAAGAACCCTTCAAGTTGGCTTCTGTGTCCTTTGACGTGATCCCAGCAGTCTGTGATAGCTTCCTTTTTGTCTAACACAACGTATTCTAGGCAATTTTTACAATTCCTGCCCCAGACCTGGAACCAGCTGTTATGTTAAGAAACGCTAGTTCCTTTAGGGGAAAATGATACTTAGAGACCACAATCTGGGGACTGAGGAGTGATCATTACTAGTGTGTTTTCATGCCTTCCAGGATTTTCAGTGCACATATTAGGAAATGAGTGCATTCTAAAAGAAAAGAGTTATGAGTTCATACTGATATTTCCAATTCAAATTTATGATTACAAGAGTTTAACTCAAAATATTTGGTTTAATACTTGTATATTTTTTTCTTTCACTGAAAATCTTGGTTTTTGTTTTGTTTTGTTTTTAGAGATGGGGTCTATGTTGCCCAGGCTAGGGTGCAATGGCTGTTTACAGGCACAATTGTAGCACACTACAGCCTCAAACTCCTGGGCTCAAGCGATCCTCCTGCCTCAGCCTCCCAGTCTATAGGTGTGCACCAATGCACTCAACTGAAACTTTTGTTTTTTTAATGAGCAAACGTATGTATTATTTGGCTTATCCTATAATATACCTATAGGTATTCCAAAATTAAAAATTTCAAAATTGCTACTAACAATAAGACCCTGAATATAGTTCAACATTTCTATGTAGTTCTTATTGTCTTTAGAATATTTTCCACTAGGAATGTACACTTAAAATACTGTGTTTTAAAGTAACATGAAATAATTTTTTAATGTGTCTATGCTACTAACTTGATGTATTTTAGTTTAGCTTGTTTAAATTTGTTTTCAATTTTTAGGGATTTTTTTCTATTTTGATTTCATTTTATTTTGTATTTATGTAAAATTTGTTTTATTTTAAAGTGAAAACTGTAAAACAAGGTGTCTTCACAGAAGTCTCCTTTCCATCCTACTTTACCCTGTTTACTGCCTTCCTCTTCACATTGTATAGATTTTTGGTTTGGTTTGTCCTCACCTTGCATTGCTCCCTTTCTGGAGACACATATTTTTCTTTTTAATCACATATAACACTTCTTTATCAACTTGATATATCAGATTTTGTATGATAACATCAGGGTTTTAGGCTATAAATCCAAATTATTCTCCCAAGTAGTATTATTAAATCCAAAACCATCTTGAATCTTTACCTAACCCCCTCCACATACACTTAGAAGTTTTTTTTTTTTGTTTTTTTGTTTTTTTGTTTTGAGACAGAATTTCCCTCTCTTGCCCAGGCTGGAGCACAGTGGCACCATCTTGGCTCACTGCAACCTCCACTTCCCAGGTTCAAGTGACTCTCGTGCCTCAGGCTCCTGAGTAGCTGGGATTACAAGTGTGCACCACCACACCTGGCTAATTTTTTTTGTATTTTTAGTAGAGATGGGGTTTCACCACGTTGGCCAGATTAGTCTCGAACTCCTGGCCCACTTAGAGGAATTTTATTTTAAAATTATTTATTTGTTTTTTGAGATGTAGTTTCACTCTTGTTGCCCAGGCTGGAGTGCAATGGCGCGATCTCTGCTCACCGCAACCTCCGCCTCCAGGGTTCAAGCAATTCTTCTGCCTCAGCCTCCCAAGTAGCTGGGATTACAGGCATGCGCCACCATGCCCAGATAATTTTTGTATTTTAGTAGAGATAGGGTTTCATCATGTTGCAGGCTAGGTTTTAGGGAGAGGTTATTATTATTATTATTATTTTCTTTTTTGAGATGGAGTCTCACTCTGTCGCCCAGGCTGGAGTGCGGTGGTGTGATCTCAGCTCACTGCAACCTCTGCCTTCCAGGTTCAAGCGATTCTCTTGCCTCAGCTTCTCAAGTAGCTGGGATTACAGGTGCCCACCACCAAGCCCGGCTATTTTTTGTATTTTTAGTAGAGATGATGTTTCACCATGTTGGCTAGGTTGGTCTCGAACTCCTGACCTCAAGTGATTCTCCCACCTCAGCCTCCTAAAGTGCTGGGATTACAGGCATGAACCACCCCATCGGGCCCACTTAGAGGAATTTTAAAAAGACTGCTTAAAATTTTGGAGTGCCATATGGTTAATATGTGAAAATATTTAGGTTTGCCCTAAAATCTTCTAATTTATGGGTGAAAATGCATGCTTCACTCCATATGTGTTTGTGTTTATATTTTAATTGCAGGTAATCCTAATGTAAAACTTCTAATTTATTAAGGAGCTTTTGATAAAACCAAATGCCTACTGATTCATGTTTAAAATTCAAATTTCTCAAAGCAATTATGAAATATGCCCATATTATACTTATTTAAAAAACTAAAAATAATAAATAATTATTGAAAGAAGCTATTGTACCTTTGGTTCTTTACCCCAAAAGTTCAAGTGGAATTTTTTTTATAGATTTACATAATTTTCTTTTCTTTTATTTATTTATTTATTTATTTATTTATTTATTTATTTTTTTGAGATAGAGTCTCGCTCTGTTGCCCAGGCTGGAGTGCAGTGGCTTGACCTTGGCTCACTGCAATCTCTGCGTCCCAGGTTTAAGCATCCTCCCAGCTCAGACTCCCGAGTAGCTAGGACTACAGATGTGTGCACCACCACACATGACTAATTTTTTTTTATTTTTATTTTTTGTGGAGACGGAGTTTTGCCATGTTGTCTAGGCTGGTCTTGAACTACCGGAGTCAAGCAGGAGTCTTGCCTCAGCCTCCCAAAGTGCTAGAATTACAGGTGTGAGCCACTGTACCTGGCCTAGATTTACATAATTTCCGCTACAACCGATTTCTAAAAGACAGTAGGCTTTATAATTGTATCACATTTCCATTGTAGTATACTTCAATTGTGGTTCTATGATCATATATTTGCAGAAGGTTTTGCCTATTTAGTTTTAGTGCAAAAATTCAGGTTTTTGCATGGAAGCAGGCTGTGCTATACCTCCAATTCCCAATTTTGTATTTTGTAGTAATTGCACTTAACCTTACGGAAACTAACAAAATTACTAAGCTTTAAAATTCAGATTAAATTTAAAATGTTGGCTTTCATTATACATTCCCTATAACTGTAATTTAGAACACATACCATCTCTCAAATTTGAAAAAAATTTAGAAAAACAACAAAATTTATACATGCTTTACAGAGTCATACCTGAGATCTTGAGATTATCTTTTAAATTTAATACACCAAGCTCTTTCCTTGAGGAAAAGTTTTCTATCCATAAAATAATCTGAAATCAGAGTTGCTTCTAAGCAAACACACTTAAATTTCAGCTATCTATTTAGTGTCATCTAGTAGAGTAGGATTCTTTATTGGAAATATGAACAATTTACCTCTATTTTTGGCTGCAATATTCTGAGTTTAACCCGAGGAAAAAAAATGTTCATTTTGATTAATTTTTGATTTTTCAGATATTCCACTTTTAGTAGACAAGTGAAATGCTGTCGTTTCAGACCTTTTATTTTTTAAATGTGATATTCTCTTTATTAAATGTATAAACTCAAAATCCTAGTTATTTTTGAGATTTCAAGTTCATTTTACACTTTGTATTATTCTAAGAAGAGCACATGCTTGGTTCCATTTACAACCACTTTAATCTTTAAGTTGCATTTATAAATTTAGCATCTTTAATTTCCTTCACTACTATTTTAATGGCCTGACCACAATAGTGGCATGTGACCTGAGACCACAAACTTCTCTCTTCCTTTCCTGTATCTCTGAGGTAAACCGATCATCCCAGCTGCAGTATCAGCCAAGGAGTAGTGTAACCGAGTATCCCAGCCTCGAAATGCATTTTAAAACTTTTTTTTCCTTTCTTGCTTTCAGCCTTGAAACATACTTTGAAATTCTTTCTCTTTTTCCCACCAGGTGCTCCCGTGCACAGTGCTGACTTATCCGATTATGTGCTTGCTTAGAAATTTCAGGGGGCAGTTTTGCAACAAGCCAGGCAGAGAGACCCAGCTGTTGAATCCTCCCGCTCAAGGGAAGTTAGGAAGTTAGTCCACCACCACTGGGCTGAAGACAGGATGACACAAACCAGACCTCCAGATGGGTGATTACTTGAGATAGCTATAGAACAAGACATGCAGACCTGCATTCTCCTGCACCATGCCCGCATATTTTCTACACCTTTTTCCTTCTTAAATCCCTTCACTCAGCCCAGAAGGCAGAGACGTTTCCCTTTGAAGCTTGAGCCCAGCCATGGTCCCATCTGCTAGCATTTGACCAATAGAAGCTGCTTTCCTTTCACCACATACCAAGCTTCTCATGCTTTGACTGCTGAGCGGTGAGCAGCTGAACTTGAGCTGGTTACAGACTTGGTGCCTGAGTGAGGAGGTGTGTGTTCTGAGCAGCTCAGCCTGTAGGCCTGGTTTCCAGCGAGTGGAGCAGTTGGCCAGGCAGTGGACCAAGGCTTACCCACTGATGGTACCAGGCAGGGCAGGGCCATTTGCAAATGCTAGCTATGCTAGCTACTTGTGGCCAGTGGACCCTGCGACTGGGGCCTTGGGAATTCCCAACAGATGCAGAGACTGCCTTTGTTTGGGGTATTTTCCTTTGCCTCCTTTTCATGGCATCAGGTGCTATCATGCTCTGATGGTGTAAGGAAAGCAGCATTCAGTAAGTTGATGGCCTTCAGGACTGGGTAAGTCAACCAGAGTGCACCTGGAGTTGTCTGTCTCTGCCATCTGGGCTGTCCAGCCACCTGGACCTAGCATAGGTCATCTTGGTGCCATCTGAGCCTCCATGCTATCTGCACCTAACACAGGTCACTCTGTGGTGCCCTCTGGGTTTGACACAAGATCTCAGGACTTTTCTCCAGTCTCTCCTCTTTGGGGATTGGTATGGAGTGCTCTGTCTGCATGGGATCTGTCTGTGTTTGTGTCTCTGTTTAGTGTTACCCCTTTCTCCAAGGGTGCTTTGGACTAGTCTCCATCCCACCCGCCAAGACTAGGTCAGAAAGCATCAAGATAGGCTGCTTCTCTCCTCTGCAGGGGAGAAAGTTTCCAATATCCTAGCCTCTAATTTTGTCATCCTCTCTGAGACCTCCAGAGTATTTCCTGAATCCATGTCAAGGTTTGTGGGGGGAGAAAGCAAGTCAACTCTCTTTTCTAGACAATCTGAGACTCCACCTGGTTACATATTATGGCCAACTTTTGTGCACATTTTAAGCTGATGGGCAAATTACAGTAAGGGAAATTCAGAGGTCAAATGGTTAACCTGCAACTCTACAGTTAAGCAGAGTCTTCTAAGGCTCTCTACCTCTCTTTTCTTTTCTGCCTTCTTTGAATCTGCTGTTATTCAGCTACTGGTGTTGAGATAAAACTTACTGTTTCCACATTACTTGGAGATTTTGTTTTTCTTATACATTTCAGCCAGTTCTAGCTAAAATGGAAACACTAGAAACTCACTTGAAACTGCAGAAAAAAGAAGAGTAAAAAGGTTTTCAAAACCAAACTGCCATAGAAACTACTTTACCCAAATTTTGGTTCACAGATTTCCTTAAATTGGGGCAAACAGCTTTCCTTAGCCATGTGAACAGGTTCCAATTTCATCAGAAAAATAATTTGGATCCAGCTATCTTTTATAAAGTGGTGAGTCTGTACTGCTATCTTATGGCTGGAGTTCCAAAGTAAAAGCTATTGGATCTTTGTGCATGTAGGTATACATGTTTAGATATGCTTGTGTGTACATACATGTATTATGTTGTATATTGTGTCTAGCATGCTACCAAATTGGATTATAAGTAAATGAGTACTCATAAATTAAATAAGTCCAGATGCTTTTCAAATTCACATGAATCTTTGGTAAATAAAACTAAAATTATTGATAGAAATGTCTTCAAAATTGTCAGAATACATTTTTGTCTGAGTTTTTTAACCAAATGGTTTTATATTTGTCTCTGTCTACATGTTAAGGTGTCAGAGTTTCACATAAAGGTTATAGGACTATAAACCCAAACAAAACCAAAATTATCTTTGTGTAATTTTTTTTTGACAAAAAGACTAGATTGTTGGTTTAATTAAAACAGCTGAATCTTCTGAGTTATTGGCAAAATGTGTTTACGTTTAAGGTTCTTGGGTGTTCACCTGCTATTCAGACTTTTAAAATGGTTAATAAATAAATAACTTATTTATTTATTTATTTATTTATTTATTTATTTTTTGAGACAGGGTCTTGCTGTGTTGTCCAGGCTGGAGTACAATGGTGCAAACTTGCCTCACTGCAACCTCCTCTTCCCAGGCTTAAGTGATCCTCCCACCTCAGTCTCCCAAGAAGCTGAACTATGGCTGTGTACCACCACGTGGTACCAGCTAATTTTTGTATTTTTTTGTAGAGATGAAGTTTCTCCATGTTGCTGAGGCTGAAATAAATTTAAATAATGACTAGATTTGTGTAACATCTCAGTTTTCAGAAGTAATCTAGATAAACTGTTAAAAATGGAAAAAATTGAGTACATGTAAATGAGATAAATGCTTGTAAGTGGACTTCTTGTATAATTTAAAATCTTGACATTATTTTGAATTAAATAATAGATGCTTTTTTGGATGTCTGGGTCATTTCCAATTAAGAAAAAAATAATGTGTGAAAACATGTTATAATGTTATAATATGGGAAAACGTAATATTATGGAATGGTTTATAATATTATGGAGTAGTTGTTTCATCTACAAAATGCTAATATCTAACAAACAGTTCAGGATTTCTTGCTTCATAGGTTTTTACTAAAATTTAAGGTTACCAAGAATAAAAATTCTAATTAATATATAATCGTGTAAGTTGTGTTATTGAAAACTAACACAATACTTTTATGTAATTTGGGGGTTATTTAAAAGTAACTTCTAAAAGAAGGTAGAAAGGACCAGTAAGTAGGAGAGAGATGTTAAGAAAGTTGTGGTTATGAAGATGTGTTTTTGGTAAGAAAGGTTATAAAGAAAAGAAAATGATTTTGTATAAAAATATAGCCTCATATGGTAAATTTTTGTCCTAAAGAAAAATGATTATTTAGGAAAGAGAGAAGTATAGGACAAGTCAGAAATTCCAAGCATGTCATAGACGGTCTGTATAAGTTGCAAAATGTTCATGAAGGGGAATTTATAAAAGGAATTTTGTGGGTTGTTTTTTTTTTTGAGATGGAGTCTGCTCTGTCTCCCAGGCTAGTGTGCAGTGGAGTGATCTTGGCTCACTGCAACCTCTGCCTTCCAGGTTCAAATGATTCTCCTGCCTTAGCCTCCTAAGTAGTTGGGATTAAGGGTGTGCACCACCACACCCAGCTAATTTTTGTATTTTCAGTAGAGTCGGGGTTTCGCCATGTTGGCCAGGCTGGTCTCAAACTGTTGACCTCAGGTGATCTGCCTGCCTCGACCTCTCAAAGTGCTGGGATTACAGGCATGAGCCACCACGCCAGGCCTATAAAAGGAATTTTGTCTTGTGGTTAAGTTAGCTATGATTAAAAGGGAATTATTTATGATAGTATTTCTAAAGAACAGTCCCCTATGTTAAAATGGGGCTTTCTTAAGCTATTGATTTGCTCTTATTAAAATTACAAGAAGATTTGCTTTTTAATTCTATAAACTGTTTCTTTTGAAAACTTCTTAGATTAATATCTTAAAAGTTCAGCTTTTGTTGTATCTCACTGCATTCAGCTTTTTCTCCCTTTGAAAAGGCCTGAGATGATAACTCTCCTTCAACTTTGTCCATCAACTTCTATAATTTTTTCCCCTCTGGATCTAACTGTTGTGGCCAGATGCTGAAATGTTTTATCTTAGAAGTCTGTAAAAGCAGTGGTTTCCTCCAGTATAACTTGATTCTGTTGTCTTGGCTTTTCTTGATATGTCTAAATTTTCAGTTAATCAGGAAACTTCTCATGCAGTTACTAAGAGTCATGTATTCCCCTGTTATACTCATGATCTTGAACATACTCTTTCTGTGTCTAATTAAATTAAAGCACTTTTTTTCATCAAGTTTGACTTCCAGGTTATCTAAGTGGGCTTCCCATAAGGAGAAGCAGTCACACCGCAGAAAGTTTTTCTTTGCCTTTTTGGCAACTGGCTCAAGAAACAAGATTCTACATTTTATGGAGGTAATTCCTATGCTGTCTTTTTTTTTTTTTTTTTTTTTTTTTTGAGATGGAGTCTCGCTCTGTCACCCAGGCTGGAGTGCAGTGGCACGATCTCAGCTCACTGCAAGTTCCGCCTCCCGGGTTCATGCCATTCTCCTACCTCAGCCTCTCAAGTAGCTGGGACTACAGGTGTCCGCCATCATACCCGGCTAATTTTTTGTATTTTTAGTAGAGACGGGTTTCACTGTGTTAGCCAGGATGGTCTTGATCTCCTGACCTCGTGATCCGCCTGCCTTGGCCTCCCAAAGTGCTGGGATTACAGGCGTGAGCCACCATGCCCTGCCCCTATGCTGTCTTTATTAGGTTTTGTTTGTTTGTTTGTCTTTGAGACAGAGTTTTGCTCTTGCCATCCAGGCTGGAGTGCAATGGCACGATCTGGGCTCACTGAAACTTCCACCTCCCAGATTCAAGCAATTCTGCCTCAGCCTCCTGAGTAGCTGAGATTACAGGCGTGCACCACCACACCCAGCTAATTTTGTATTTTTAGTAGAGATGGGGTTTCACCATGTTGGCCAGGCTGGTCTCAAACTCCTGACCTCAGCTGATCCGCCTGCCTCGGCCTCCAAAAATCCTGGGATTACAGGCATGAGCCATCACAGCTAGCTATAGGTTTTTGATTGCTTAAAAAAACTGAGATTTAAAAGGGTTAAGGCTTTTACGCCCATTTATCCTTCTGTATTGCCTTTAAAGTCTTTTAGTTATCTCCTTGTTTCAATGAGTAACTACTATTTTACAATGACCATTATTCTGTTTTGATAAAATGTTTTGAGCTTTTTAACATATTTGACAAACATCCTCAAATCAAATCCTAAATTAAGAGCCTGACTTACTGCTGAGGTTTATCAAAGCTATAAAAGTTAATCACTGGAAGTCTGTAAAATCTTTTTACAGCTTCCAGTCAGGTCATGAACTCAAGTATCACCACCTTCAGCCTCAAAAAAGCCCTAAAAGGTGCTATTAACTAATCTTTGTGCTGTTAAGTTATGGGGCTTTGACTCCTGGGTACACATATCTCATCTAAAGAAGGCATTGGCTCCTGCCAGTCTCTGACACCAAACTCGAGTTAGCCAAAGCCTCGTCTTTAGACCTGGGCAAAGGAGACAATCAAAGCAAACTGCTTTCATGAGACATCGGGATAGGTTTGTATTGAAAAACATTAAGATTCATTTAATAATTTTGCCTCTATCTGAAATAATATAATTTGTTCTATGCCTTGATACTAAATAATTTAAATGTTTAATGACCTATGAACTTCCTTTCCTGTTCTCCTCAGAACTAGGCAGGGCTTATGATCTTTTTGTGTAAAACATTGCTAATTCTTTATGTTTTGTTTTGCCTTCAAAATTTGAAACTATTCAATCCCTGCAGGCCCAGGGACTATTGCATGAGATTTTAAGGGCTGATTTTGAGAGAGAAAATTATTTCAGACTCTCCAAATCGAGAACTAGCACACAGATGCCTAAACGGCTGAACAAAATGCTTGTGTTTTGTATAGCCAATTTCTACAAGTCAAAAATACAGTAGTTCAATGCATTGAATTTATAGAGAAGTCAATTTTAGAACCTTGCCTTTTGGCTTTTGGTTTTTGGCTCTTACATTGCTTAAAGGGGGTTTCCCCTCTGGCCTAGACTGTTTAATTAGCTATAAGTCTTTTGATTTTAAGTCCCTTTGCCAAAGGGGTTCCACTGAGGGACATGATGAACTTGGGGCAGATAGCATCAATATTGGACAAAATAAAAGCTTGGCCATTGATGCTACATCTAGCATACCTTGACAAAAGAGGCGGAATATAAACAGAAAAAAAATCCTAAGCCTCCCAAGAGACAGAATGGACCCGTTTTCCCTCCCCCACCTTCCCCCATCTTGGCCAAGAGGGATCCGAAAGGAACCTGAAAAACTGTTCAGTCCATGACAGAAAGCAGGGGGTTAGACACACCTTGCTACACCTTCCCCCTCCTTTGGAATTCAGGCACAACTGACCATCATTACCATTAAAATAGAGATCATAAAACTGACAGAACTTTGAAATTCTTTGTTTCCCTCCATTTCCCCATCAGGCGCTCCCATGCACAGCGCTTGCTTATCTAATTATGTGCTTGCTTAGAAATTCCAGGGGCTAGTTTTTAAACAAGCCAGGCAGAGAGACCCAGCTGCAGAATCCTCCTGCTCAGGGGGTGTTAGGAACAGTTAGCCCACCACCACTGGGTCGAAGTCAGGATGATGCCAAGTGGACCTCTGTAGAGCGATTACTCAAGATAACCATCAGAACCAGACACGCACACCTACACCCCCCTTTTCATGAGTCCCGCATATTCCCCACACCTTTTTCCTTCTTAAACCCCTTCACTCAGCCCAGAAGGCAAAGATGGTCTCTTTGAGGCTTTAGCCTGGCCATTCTCCCATCTGCTGGCATTTCACCACTAGAAGCTGCTTTCCTCTTGCCACACCTTGCTTCTTATGCTTTGACTTGTGAGCAGCGAGTAGCCGGACTTGAGCCAGTTACAGTAGTGCCTTCTCTAACCTGTTCCTCAGCAGAACATTTCAAGTAAACCATTTTTGCTCCTTACTAGTTTCTGTAATCTCAGTGGGTGTCTCCCTCAACAGACCTTGTCATAGCCCCATGTAATGGATCAGCTGGTAGACTGAAAAACAAAAAAAAGAAATTACCTTCCTTCTAGTTGCTGATCACCAGGGCTAGGCTAACTTCTTCCCCTTTTCTAACTCTTCCCATAATGCTAAGCATCCTAACCTCAATCATGGCACTATTCTCTGCTTAGCATCCTTCACCCCATTCTGTCCTCCCTCCCTCACTCTCTCCTTCCCTCTCTCCCTCCCCACCACCTTCCATCATGGTCTGACTGTGAGTTGGGGGGGTCTTCTGTTGATGATACTTTTTCCTACTTAAGAAATTGGGATACAAGGTAGAATTCACATACCATAAAACTCACTCTTTTAAATGGTAAAATTAAATGATTTTAAGTATATTCACAGGGTGCAACCATCATCATAAATAACTTTAGGACATTTTTTGTTTTGAGATAGAGTCTCCCTCTGTTGCCCAGGTTGGAGTGCAGTGACGTGATCTCAACTCACTGCAACCTCTGCCTCCCAGGCTCAAGCAATCCTCCTACCTCAGCCTCCCAAGTAGCTGAGACGGTGTGTGCCCCCATGCCTGGCTAATTTTTGTATTTTTTGTAGAGATGGGGTTTCACCATGTTGCCCGGGCTGGTCTCGAACTCCTGACCTCAAGTGATCTGCCTGCCTTGGCCTCCCAAAGTGCTAAGATTACAGGTGTGAGCCACCATGCTCAGCCCCTTTAGAACATTTTTAACACACACACACACACACACACACACACACACACACACACACACACACACATATAAAACAAAACAAAAAAACCCAACTCTGTACCCATGAGCAGTCATTCCCCATTTTCCCTAGTCCCCCCAGCCCTCAGTAACTACTAATCTACTTTATGTCTCTATGGATTTGCCTACTCTGGACATTTATTAAATGGAATCATTTAATATGTGGCTTTTTTTTTTTCTTGAGACGAAGTCTTACTCTGTTGCCTAGAGTGCAGCAGCGCAATGCTGGCTCACTGCAACCTCTTCCTCCAGGTTCAAGTGATTCTCCTGCCTCAGCCTCCCAAGTAGGTGGGATTACAGGTGCCCATCACTACACCCAGCTAATATTTTGTATTTTTAGCAGAGATGGGGTTTCACCATGTTGGCCAGGCTGGTCTCGAACTCCTGACCTCAGGTGATCCACCTGCCTTGGCCTCCCAAAGTGCTGGGATTACAGGTGTGAGCCATGGCGCCCAGCCTAATATGTGGCTTTTTATGTCTGGCTTCTTTTACTGATCATAATGTTTTCCAGGATCATCACCTTGTATCAGTACTTATTATTTATTTATTTATTTATTTATTTTTGTAGAAACAAGATCTTACTATATTGCTGAGGCTGGTCTTGAACTCCTGGGCTCAAACAATCCTCCTACCTCAGCCTCCCAAAGTGTTGGAATTACAGGTGTGAGCCACCATGCCCGGCCTCCATTCCTTTTTATGGCTGAATAATATTCTCTTGTATGAATGTATGACATTTAGTTTATCCGTTCCTCAGTTGATGGATTTATTTTTTCTACTTTTTGGCTATTGTGAATAATGCTGCTATGAACATTCATGCACAGATTTTTGTATGGACATGTTTTGCTTTCTCTTGGGTATATACCTAGGAGTGGAGTTGCTGGGTCATATGGTAATTCTACTTCTTGAGGAACTGCCAAAATATTTTCCAAGAGGCTGCACAATTTTACATTCCCACTAGCAATGTATGAGGGTTCCAGTGTCTCCACATCCTCATTAATACTTTTTATCATCTGTCTTTGATCATTTTGGCCATTCCCATGGGTGTAAGTGGTATCTTATTATGATATTGATTTGCATTTCCCTAATGACTAATGCTGAGCATCCTTTCATGTGCTTATTGACCATCTGTATATCTTATTTGGAGAAATGTCTTATTGTGTCCTTTGCCCATTTTTAAATTAGGTTGTCTTTTTGTTGTTGAGTTGTAAGAGTTCTTTACATATTCTGGATACTAGACCCTTCTCAGGTACATGATTTGCAAATATTTTCTCTCATTCTCTGGGCTGTCTTTTCACTTTCTTAACAGTGTCCTTTGACACACAAAATTTTTGAATTTTGATGAAGCCCCTTTAATCTATTTTTCTTTGATCGTGCATGCTTTTGGTGTCATAGTTAAGAAACGATTGTCAAGGCCATGCATGGTGGTTCACGCCTGTAATCCCAGCACTTTGGGAGGCCAAGGCAGGTGGATCACTTGAGGCCAGGAGGTCGAGACCAGCCTGGCCAACATGGCGAAACCCCTTCTCTACTAAAAATACAAAAATTAGCCGGGCGTGGTGGCAGGTGCCTGTAATTCCAGGTACTTGGGAGGCTGAGGCGGGAGAATCACTTGAACCAGGGAGGTAGAGGTTGCAGTGAGCCGAGATTGCGCCACTGCACTCAGCCTGGGCGACAGAGTGAGACTCCGCCTCAAACAAACAAACAAACAAACAAACAAAAAGAAATGATTGCCGAATCCTAGGTCATGAACGTATACACCTATGTTTTCTTCTGAGAAGGTTTTACACCTTTAGCTCTTATCCAATCCTATCTCTTTACCATTCTTCTCCCATTGTTTCTTTATCATCTTTTTTATTAAATCAACTTATCTTTACTTTCCTTCACATCATCTCAAATCAAAACTTCCAGAAACTTGCTTGCTGCTTCCCAGCTTTTCACAGTAGCTTGATTCCAACACCATGGGTTTGTTTCCAAGTAGTCTTCTCCCCACACCCCATATCCTTGTTCCTTATTTTCAGTTCATGTAAGCGCAATGACACAGTGACAAGCTCACACTGCCTTGCCAGCATCCACACTGGGCTCCTGCAAAAATGATCTTTATGGTCACTTGCTGTGTCCGATGATGTGAACCAACCTAGGCCAATTTGGCCAAGCCAACTCCTAGCTTTGTTTTGGTAGATGTTGTTTAACTGTTAAAAGTTTGAGGTCGATAAGGAGGTGTGTCTATGTATGTAGCAGAATCTGGAGTGGGGGAAGCAAGTAGCACCTCCTTTTCCACCTCAGGACACTCTCAGACAAAAACTGAGTTTAACACCAAAAGACTCTCGTTTTAGAACTAAAACATGCTTATCACAGTGACTGCGATCACTTTGAAACACTTCATCATAGATAGTGTGTCCCAGTGGTCGGCTGGCATCATATTAGAGGTGGATTTCAGAGGAAGGGACCACTTTTGCTATCATATCTAGAACAATACCTCAGGCTTGCTAAGAAGTAAATTTAATGTCAGAAATGAGTTTTCACTGATGAAATTAACAACTTGTTAATTAGTATGATGACTCTTAACGAAAAGCTCTAATGGTTAAATTAAAGATATTAATTTCCAAATTTGGATATTTTAAGGGATTTTTTAGTTACTGAGTTCTAGTTTAATTACATTTTAATAAGAGTATATACTCTGTATGATTTCAATCCTTTTACATTTATTGAGACATCTTATGCCCCAGTGTATGTCTAAACTTGGTAATGTTCCATGTACATTTAAAAAAAGGTATATTTTACAGTTTTTTGATGTAGTGTCCTACAAACGTCATTTAGATTAAGCTGGTTGATAGTGTTGTTTAAATCTACCACATCTTTATTGATTTTTTTTATCCATTTGTTCTATCAATTACTGAAAATGGAGTATTAAAATCTCCAACTCTAATTGTGTTTTTTCTGTTTTCCTTTTAGCTTTATCAGCATTTGTGGAATGCAGATAAAGCAATTCTTAGAGAAAAATTTATAGCTTTAAATGCTGTTATTAGAAAAGGAAAGAGGTTTGAAATCAGCCATCTGTGGTTTCATTTTGATTATATAGAAAAAGAAGAGCAAATTAAACCTAAAATATGCAGGAGGAAGGAAATAATAAAGATAAGAGTGGAAATGAAATAAATAGAAAGCAGATAGGCAACAGGCCGGGCCGGTGGCTCACGCCTGTAATCCCAGCACTTTGGGAGGCCGAGGCGGGTGGATCACGAGGTCAGGAGATCCAGACCATCCTGGCTAGCATGGTGAAACCCCGTCTCTACTAAAAATACAAAAAAAAATTAGCCGGGCGTAGTGGCGGGTGCCTGTAGTCCCAGCTACTCGGGAGGCTGAGGCAGGAGAATGACTTGAACCCGGGAGGCGGAGCTTGCAGTGAGCCGAGATCACGCCACTGCACTCCAGCCTGGGTGACGGAGCGAGACTCCGTCTCAAAAAAAAGAAAGCAGATAGGCAATAGAGAAAGACCTACAAAGCCAAAAATTGCTTCTTTAAAGTGAGTAATAAAACTTCTGGCTCAAAATATAATATTGAAAAACAATGACATGTAATTCAAGAAGGAGTAAATCAGTGGTAAAGTATTCTAAGGTCTTGAAATTTTCAGAAGGGGGTAGAATAATATATTAATTTTAAAATTTGTTATATATACATGCAGAGCCTCAAAGATTATCCCTAAAAAGAAAAGAAATGGAGCATGTAAATTCAAAACAGTATAGGAAATAGGAAATACAAATAGGAATAGGGAAAACAAATAAAAGAAGCCCAATTAGTAAAACAAAAAACAAAAAACCAAGAAAGAAAAACAAAGAAGCATGAAAAAAATGCAAAAAAGAATAAGATGATAGAGGTGCGTTAAAAAATAACAATAATCACAGAGGTGTATGGACTAAACCCACCAGTTAGAGGACAGAGATTTTCAAAATGGATTACCTCTCCCCCATCCAACTTTCTAAGAGATGTATTAAAAGTCAAAGAACGGCCGGGAGCGGTGGCTCACGCCTGTAATCCCAGCACTTTGGGAGGCCGAGGCGGGCAGATCACGAGGTCAGGAGATCGAGACTATCTTGGCTAACATGGTGAAACCCCGTCTCTACTAAAAATACAAAAAATTAGCCTGGCGAGGTGGCGGGTGCCTGTAGTCCCAGCTACTCGGGAGGCTGAGGCAGGAGAATGGCGTGAACCCGGGAGGCGGAGCTTGCAGTGAGCCGAGATCGCGGGACTGCACTCCAGCCGGGGAGATAGCGAGACTCCGTCTCAACAAAAAAAAAAAAAAAAAAAAAAAAAAGTCAAAGAACACAGAAAGCTTGAAAATAAAAAGATTTTTTAAGTGCCAAGAAAGCAAGTTTATGATATCAACATCAGATAAAAATATTCTTTTTTTTTTTTTTTTTGAGACAGAGTCTCGCTCTGTCGCCCAGGCTGGAGTGCAGTGGCACAATCTCGGTTTACCGCAAGCTCCGCCTCCCAGGTTCACGCCATTCTCCTGCCTCAGCTTCCCGAGTAGCTGGGACTACAGGCACCCGCCACCACACCCAGCTAATTTTTTGTATTTTTAGTAGAGACGGGGTTTCACCGTGTTAGCCAGGATGGTCTCGATCTCCTGACCTCATGATCCGCCCGCCTCTGCCTCCCAAAGTGCTGGGATTACAGGTGTGAGCCACTGCACCCGGCCCAGATAAAAATATTCTTTAAAGAAAAGTCATTACTAAGGATAGAGAGGGTATGTACATAAAGATAAAGTATTTTAATTCACCAAGATGATAAACTAATTTAAAACTTGTACATATCTTATAGCCTTAAAATGAATAAAGCAAGAATCAACAGAAAAAAGAAAAGAAACCCAAGAAGAACTTGACAAATCCACCACCATTATGGAAGATTCTAACATATTTCTATCATTGGTAGATCATGCAGAAAAAAGAACCTGTAAGAGTGTAAAAGATTTGAACAGTACTGCTAACCAGCTTGATTGAATGCTCATTTATAGAATGTTTTGCATAAGAATTAGATAATACACATTCATTTCAAACTCTTGTGGAACATTTGTGAAAAATGACCATGTATTATGCCATAATCAAGTCTCAATAAAGACCAAAGATTGAAATTATACAGATCACCTTCTGTGATTATATTGCATAAATTATAAATCAACAACAAAAAATAAATTATTAATACATTTGGAAATGAAAATGTTCACTTTTTATACAGTCCATTAGTCAAAGACAAAATTCTAATGGAAATTAGAAAAATGTTAAACTGAAAGATGATGACAATATCACATATTAAAACTTCTCACATGCAATTAAAATAGTACTTAGAGAAAAATTGATAGCCTTAATTTCATACACTGGAAAACAAGGGAGACTAAAAATTAATGAGCGAACCATCTATCTGAAGAAGTTAGGGATAAAACTGCAGCAGAACAAACTCAAAGAAAGAGAAGGAAGCTAATTACTATTGTCTGAATGTTTGCATCTCCCCCCAGAACCACATGTTGAAATCCTAACCCCCGGTGAGTTGGTATCAGGAGATGGGGCACTTGGAGGTGAGTAGGTCGTGAGGGTGGGGCCCTCATGAATGGGATTAGTGCCTCTTATAACAAGAGGCACAAAAGAGATTATCTGTGTCTGCCATGAGAGGGCATAGCCAGGAGGCACCCTCTATGAACCTGAAAGTGAGCCCTCATCAGACACTGAATCTGTTAGAGTCTTTATCTTGGACCTCCCAGCCTCTGGAACAGTGAGAAATAAATTTCTGTGTTTATAAGCTATCCAGTCTATGGTATTTTATTATAACAACCTGAACAGACTAAGACAGAAATAATAAAGGGTAGGCCAGGTGTAGTGGCTCACACCTGCAATCCCAGCACTTTGAGAGGCCGAGGTGGGTGGATCGCTTGAGCTCAGGAGTTGGAGACCAGCCTGGTCAACATGGCAAAATACCATCTCTACTAAAAACACAAAAATTAGTTGGGTGTGGTGGCATGTGCCTGTAGTCCCAGCTACTCAGGAGGCTGAGGTGGGAGGAGTGCTCAAGCACGGGAGGTCGAGGCTACAGTGAGCCATGAACGCACTGCTGCACTATAGCCTAGGTGACAGAGTGAGATCCGGTCTCAAAAAAAAAAAAAAAAAAAAAAAAGAGAGAGAGAGAGACAATAGCTTAGTAAGTGGCATAATCCACCTTTCTGGCTTCTCAGCATTTGTATACACAAATCTGACTTTCAAATAAGAGGATAGGCTGGGCGCGGTGGCTAACGCCTGTAATCCCAGCACTTTAGGAAGTTGACACGGGCAGATCACTTGAGGCCAGGAGTCTGAGACCAGCCTGACCAACATGGCAAAACCCTGTCTCTACCAAAATACAAAAATTATCTGGGCATGATGGCACACACCTGTAATCCTAGCTACTGGGGTGGCTGAGTCAGGAGAATCGCTTGAACCCAGGAGGCAGAGGTTGCAGTGAGCCGAGATTGTGCCACTGCACTTTAGCCTGGGCAACAGACAGAGACTCCGTCTCCAGAAAAAAAAAAGACAACTCTATGTTTACACTTAACAGGTTGCAACTATCCTTCATGCAAATGAAGACATTCTCAGTCTTTCCCCAAAATGGGGAGATGCAAAGATTCCAACAGCATTGTATCCATCTCCGGACAATGTTAATAACCCCTCAAATCCAGTCACAGTGCCGGCTGAATATTCCGTTATCTAAATACTGAATTGGAAAGTTAACTTCCAAGAAAACTTATCAAAAAATAAATAATAGGAAGGGAGAGAAAGAAGGAAAAAAAGTGGTTAACATATACAAACACATACACACACACAAACACAGCAAACGAAGAAAGAAAGGTACACAACTGCTACAGTCCTTGTTTCTGTAATAGGCCATGTGGCTGAAGTTGACATTCCAATTCTGTCTTCCACTCTTCCTTGTACATATCTTTTGCTCTCAACTGGCTAGGCCTCTTTGCCTGATGGAGTGACCTAAATCTTCATCCTGAGGTGTCTGGATCCTTAGTGGTCCTGCCTTTTTTGACTGTCATGTTTTTTCACTTATTTTTATGGTTGGACATGGAAGTCCTAAGGGGCATCCTAGAGCATCCTTGGGGGTTCAGATGTGGTCCTCCCTACCTCCACTGTGTGGCAGCAACCCAATTTCTCCTTGTAATAGGGATCAGTCGCCCCAGGCAGTAGAGTAACCCCTTTCTTCTCTCGGTTCAGTGGCATGAAGATTCCCAATGGCCAGCAGCAGTCCCAACATCCAATTCAATGGAGCTGCAGTTGTGTCCTCTGGTGGCAGGATTCCTCTCTTGGGAGCCATGACCATGACCTCCAAACCTGCAGAGCTCAGAGCTGTGGAGATGGGAAGAAAGATTCTGCACACAGGTTATTAGGTGTGCAGTGAGAGGAGCCACTCCCATGTCTATCTGGAATTCCATATTCTGGTGATAGGAGAGAAAGCACCACATACTAATTTCTGATCCAAAGCATAAACTGCATCCTGTTGATAGAAGTCAAATCCTTTCAAGTTCTTCTTTCACCCTGGACGATTCTCTCTTGAGAGATCATTTATCATACCAGAAATCTGGTATGGTAAAGCAGATTTTGGAGGCAAAGACAGGGAGGTGAGGCCTGAGGCTTGAGACAGAAAGAAAAGAGGACCGTAGAGAGAAGGCACACAGAGGGGCCCAGACTTTGTGTTGTTCATGTCCTTGAGTAAGGGGTTAGGAGGGATAAGAAGAGTCAATAGAGGAGTTCTTATAAGAAGAACAGAATTGCCACATGCATTGCTATAAAAACAGAGTCTCAAGGAGAGAGGGTCAGCACTTCCAGGCACCACAGGTTAGCCGGCAGAGAAGGATGAGCATGGCTCTGGGCATCCCTTGCTAGGGCACCCATTCTCTGTGAACTCTTGTGCCTGAATCTCATTGACTGGCTTTCGAGGCTTAAAGCAGAAAAGCACCGTGTAACTTGGCTTAGGAATTGCTCTTAGACAAATCTATAGATCCTGGTCTCTTAACATCTGCTTTCCCCGGAAGCCAGCAGTGGGAGCTCCCCTTTCTCCACTGATGGGTCCAAATGGAAGCGTTCCTGGGTATTTTTGGTTCTCAGCCCCATCTTCCAGCCTGGAGGGGAGGGTTGTAACAGTTCACAACATGAGCACTGGTGAAAATCCAGTTACTCCAGCAGCAAGAGCACAACCTATGAGAGGCAGGGGGGTTCTGCCCTCAGACTGGCTCTTGCATAGGGAGAGAAGACCTTGTGCTGATAGGACTCACCTGTTTGGCACAGGAGGCACCCATCAGCGCTGTTCATGGTCCTGAACTACAGCTGCTGGTCTCTCTTTTTTTGTTTTTGTTTTTTTTTGAGATGGAGCCTTGCTCTGTTGCCCAGGCTGGAGTGCAGTGGTGTGATCTTGACTCACTGCAACCTCCGCCTCCGGGTTCAAACGATTCTCCTGCCTCAGCCTCCCAAGTAGCTGGGATTACAGGCGCCCACCACCATGCCCAGCTAATTTTTGTATTTTTAGGAGAGATGAGGTTTCACCATGTTGGCCAGGCTGGTCTCGAACTCCTGACTTCAGGTGATCCACCTGCCAAAGTGCTGGGATTACAGGTTGAGACACCGCACCCGGCCCAGCTGCTGGTCTCTATTGCATTCTCCTTCCACTTTCCATAGAGTCAGTGGTGACTTCAGTCCAGCCTCTCCCAAGAATTGGGAATCAAGTTAGCAAGGACGTGAGAGGAGAGGGGAACATGGCTGGAATCCTTTGGAGAATAATGCTGCTGAGACATTTGCAGGGAGAAGAAAATGGGACTTTTTCTTTTGGTCATCTTTGACAAAGTTTTACAATTACCAAGACCTCTGAGAAGCTGGGAAGCGCATGACACCACTATACCACATCCCTCTGCTGGCAAGTTCATAGAAGGGGATGGAGACCTAGGACTGTGAATTCCAGGAGTGCAGGGTCCATATTGGACTCCCTTATCCCTTGTCAGTGTACAAGGCAGGCATTCAATAAGTGTTGGTTGAACTGATAAGATGTTGGGTGTAAGAGACTAAGTACAGGAATACCTCAGAGATACGGTGGGTTTGGTTCCAGGCCATCACGATAAAGTGAATATTGCAATAAAGCAAGGCACACAAATTTTATTGTTTCCGAGTACATATAAAAGTTATGTTTACTCTATACTGTAGCCTATTAAGTGTGCAATCGCATTATTCTAAAAAAGTACATACCTTAAAAATATTTTATTGCTAAAAAGGCTAATGATCATCTGAACCTTCAGTGAGTTGTAATCTTATTGCTGGTGGAGGGTCTTGCTTTGATGTTGATGGCTGCCAACAGATCAGGGTGGTGGTTGCTGAAGGCTGGGGTGGTGGTGGCAATTTCTTAAAATAAGACAACAATGGGCTGGGTGTGGTGGCTCATGGCTGTAATCCCAGCCCTTTTGGAGGCCAAGGTGAGTGGATCACCTGAGGTCAGGAGTTTGAGACTGGGCTGGTCAACATGGTGAAACCTCATCTCTACCAAAAATACAAAAATTAGCTCAGCGTGGTGGCAAGCACCTGTAATCCCAGCTACTTGGGAGGCTGCGGCAGGAGAATCATTTGAATCTTGGAGGTGGAGACTGCAGTGAGCCAACTGCACCAGTGAGCCAACGCCACTGCACTCCAGCCTGGGCGACAAGAGTGAAACTCTGTCTCAATAAATAAATAAATAAATAAGACAACGATGAAGTTTGCCACATTGATTGACTCTTCCTTTCATGAAAGATTCTCTGTAGCATGTGATGCTGTTTTATAGCATTTTACCCACAGTAGCACTCCTTTCAAAATTGGTGTCAATTCTCTCAAACCTGCTTTATCAACTAAATTTCTATAATATTTAAAATGCTTTGTTGTTATTTCAACATGTTCACAGCATCTTCACCAGGAGTACATTCCATTTCAAGAAACCACTTTCTTTGCTCATCTATAAGAAGCAGCTCATCATTCACTCAAGTTTGATCATGAGATTGCAGCAATGCAGTCACATTTATAGGCTTCACTTCTACTTCTAGTTCTCTAGCTATTTCCACCACATCTGCAGTTCTTTCTTTTACTGAAGTCTTCAACTCCTCAAAGTCATCCACAAAGGTTGGACTCAACTCCTTTCAAACTCCTGGTAGATTGATATGTTCATAATGGCACCTAGAATGATAAATGCTTTTCAGTAGGTTTCAATTTACTTTGCCCAGATCCAGACTTGAAAGCTGAAAGGACTCCTTGGTCCATGGGCTGCAGAATGGACATTGTGTTAGCAGGCAGGAAAGCAACATTCATCTCCTTGTGCATCTCCAGCAGAGCTCTTGGGTGACCAGGTGCATTGTCAATGAGCAGTAATATTTTGAAAAGAATATTTGAAAAGAATATTTTTTTCCGAGCAGTATATATCAACAGTGGGCTTAAAATATCCAGCAAACCACGCTGTAAACAGATGTGCAGTCATCTAAGCTAGAGCACTGGCAGAGTAGATTTAGCATCATTCTTAAGGACCCTAGGATTTTCAGAATGGTAAATGAGCATTGACTTCAACTTAAAGTCACCAGCTGCACTAGCCCCTAGCAAGATAGTCAGCCTGTCCTTTGAAGCTTCAAAGCCAGGCATTGCCTTCCCCTCTCTAGCTATGAAAGTTCTAGATGGCATCTTCTTTCAATAGAAGGTTATTTCATCTACATGGAAAACCTGTTGTTCACTATGGCCACCTTAATCAATGATCTTAGCCAGATCTTCTGGACAACTTGCAGCTGCTCCATCAGCACTTGCTGCTTCACCTTGCACTTTTATGTTATGGAGACAGTTTCTTTCCTTAAATCTCACGAACCAACCTCTGCTAGCTTCAGACTTTTCTTCCGCAACTTCCTCACCTCTCTCAGCCTTCATAGAATTGAAGAGAGCTAGGGCCTTGCTCTGGATTAGGCTTTCGCTTAGGAGAATGTCATGGCTGGTTTGATCTTCTATCCAGACCCCTCAAACTTTCTCCATATCAGCAGTAAGCCTGTTTCACTTTCTTATCATTCATGTACTCATTGGAGTGGCACTTTTAATTTCCTTCAAAGGCTTTTCCTTTGCATTCACAACTTGGCTAACTGCATAGTGGAAGAGGCCTAGCTTTCAGCCTATCTTGTTTCTTGACATTCCTTCCTCATTAAGCCTAATCATTTCTAGCTTTTGATTGAAAGCAAGAGATATGTGACAGTTCCTTTCACTTGAACACTGAGAGGCCATTGTAGGGTTATTAATTGGCCTAAATTCAATATTGTTACATCTCAGAGAATAGGGAGGCCAGGGCAGAGGGAGAGAGATGGGGAACAGCTGTTGGTGGAGCAGTCAGAACACACACAACATTTATCAACTAAGTTTGCTGTCTTATGTGGGTGTGGTTTGTGATGCCTGAAAACAATTACAGTGGTAACATCAAAGACACTGATCACAGATCCCTGTAACAGATATAATAATAATGAAAAAGTCTGAAATATTGTGGGAATTTACCGATGTGACACAGAGACCTGAAAGTGAGTACCTACTGTTGGGAAAATCATGCCAATACACTTGCTCGATGCAGGGTTGCCAAAAACCTTCCATGTGTAAAAAAAAACACAGCATCTGTGACTCAGTAAAGTGAATCCCAATTAAATGAGGTGCATCTGCACTCAGGATAAGTTATGCTTTCATCCCTCCTCTAAGGAGAGCAAAAGGGCTCAAATTTGAGGTCCAAGTATGTGTCAGGCATTTGATATTAGGGTCTTTCACTTAATTCTCATAGGAGATTTATCACAAATTTCCCAATCAAGATTCAGCCTCATAGAAGTGAGCCTCCTGAGTGAGACTCTGTGGCTCCTAAGTGGGGAATCTAGGGCTCGAACCCAGGTCTTGCTGATCCCATGTTTTTCTCACCATCACTGGATACTTCCTTCTTATGCAAGGAGAGAAATGCAAATTCTACAAAAGAAAAATGGGCTTGTGGTCTAGACAAGCATCTTGGTTAATGTCTGAGGGTCATGTTAAAAGCTTAGAAAGTTAGTTTTGTCTGCTGGGCATGGTGGCTCATGCCTGTAATCCCACTACCTTGGGAGGCCGAGGCGGGCGGATCACCTGAGGTCAAGAGTTCGAGACCAGTCTGGCCAACATGGTGAAACCCTGGCTCTACTAAAAATACAAAATTAGGTGGGCATGGTGTCATGTGCTTGTAATCCCAGCTACTCAGGAGGCTGAGGCAAGAGAATCGCTTGAACCCAGGAGGCAGAGGTTGCAGTGAGCTGAGATTGCACCATTGCACTCCAGCCTGGGCAAAAAGAGCGAAATTCAAAAAAAAAAAATTGGTTTTGTGATGGCAGCTGTTGCTAATCAGGGTATGGAGTCAGGAGCTTAGGTCTAGGGTTGAGCTCAGATCTCGACATGGACCAGGCTTTTCCCCTGTCTCAGTGCCTCATTTATGGTTCAGTTTCAGGCAGCAAAACTAATGAATGATTTCCAACCACAGAAGCCGTCACTGGGAGAGCCAATAAAGATACGACAGATCTGGCAGGAGAACAAGATCCAGCCCAGGTGATGGGGTGTGAGGCTTGGTCTTAGCTACAGGTAGGTCGTTTCCCTTAGCTCCTGGATGACTCAGCTTGGCAGCCACCCAGACTTCTATCAGGACCCAGAGGTGCTGCCAGCTCTGGAGCCATGTCAGGCCAGCTTTCTCCCCATGTCACCAGGGAATGGAGATTTTTCTGGTCTGCTGGGGCTTTTCCTAATTCTGCACGGTCGGCTTGAGACTGTCCACCTGTTGCTCCATCTAGGCTGCGTTGCCCTTATGAGCCGTCTTCACAAGGTACGTTTGGAGGATGTCAGGATGTCTTTCAAAGGATTTGTAGACATGCTTTAAAGTACTTACGGAGTCAATGTCCCCTTTGCTTCAAGCTTCTCTCCTACTGTAGGAAATAATGTCTACGGTGGCCCATTTCCAAGGCAAAGTGCCTCAAATAGGCTTGGGCCCACAACCTGCGGATGGACAGGATATACTAGACCCCTGCTGGTCAGGGCCCCCTTAGTTACCCCCACCCAAAGCAAAGCGTTTAGTCTAGAATGAAAGTTTACTAGCCTGAAAAATAGCTCACTTTATCTATTCTTATCAGCTTGCCTGGCCACCTGGGTCATAAGTCAAATACTTGAAGAGCACCTTAGCTGACTATGATTGCAGTGCATTATGGGCCACAACAAACTGCAGCGAGACAACCCTAAAGTAAACACCTAAAAGCCCCAACCCAACGACCAATAGGTGATGTCTGGGAAGATGGTGACCCCATGGTACTCAGCCTATGAGGAACCGGGGGAGGGACTTGCCTACTAGGGGATACATTGCTTGTTGTAACTGTACTGGGTGTGCCTGCCTACCAGACACCAGATCTTGCAAGACTGTCATTAAAAGTCTCACTTCTGGCTGGGCGCAGTGGCTCATGCCTGTAATCCCAGACTTTGGGAGGCCAAGGCAGGCAGATCCCCTGAAGTCGGGAGTTCAAGACCAGCCTGACTAACATGGAGAAACCCCCATCTCTACTAAAAAAAAACAAAAACAAAGAAAAAACCTACAAAATTAGCTGGGCATGGTGGTGCATGCCTGTAATCCCAGCTACTCGGGAGGCTAAGGCAGGAGAATCACTTGAACCCAGGAGGCGGAGGTTGCGGTGAGCCGAGATGGAACCATTGCACTCCAGCCTGAGTGACAAGAGTGAAACTCTGTCACAAAACAAAACAAAAACAAAACAACAACAACAACACAAGTCTCACCTCTGCAATTCTCTATGTCTCTAAGTTCATCCTTTGGGTTTGGACAGGTGAGCATGTTTCTCATATTACCCACACTGGTGGGCCCCGTAGGCTTCCTGGTTGGTCCAGGAGTGGATGCCTGATGCAGGCTGCACAAATCAGATTCTCTCTTCTGGAGATTTAGAATCGAGAACCAGTGGTTATCATAGGTTAGCCTTGGCTGTCAGACCTGGAAGGTGAGGAGACCCAGAGCTGAGGGTGCCCTTTTGGGACAGGTGTCAAATCCTTGTACAAACAGAGAAACCAGACTGACAAGGGGGTAGGATGAAGGAGCTGAAGGAGAAGCAGAGCCACAGAGGACCGGGCAGAGAGAGGGGCTGCCTTGGTGGGGACAGCCTGTAGACAGCGCCAACGACGTGGGGCTGGTGCTGTCCCCACTGTGGTCTCAAACACCAGACTAGTGCCCGGTCAGCACAGAGTTCAGGACAGTGGTGCAGCTGACACCCAGAAAGACACCGCAGTGGAAAGCCTGGCCTGACGCTCCCAGCTCTCTCCCTGCCATGCACTGACTCCATGTCCTGTGAGGAGGAGGTGGGAGGAGAGTTTTATTAGGGGAATTCATTTGTAATAATTGCCTAAGTATTTGCTACTTAGGAGAACATGGATCTGCAAAGGGTCCATGACCCTTTGAGTCAGAGTTTCACTCTTGTTGCCCAGGCTGGAGTGCAATGGCGTGATCTCGGCTCACTGCAACCTCCGCCTCCCAGGTTCAAGTGATTCTCATGCCTCAGCCTCCCAAGTAGCTGGGACTACAGGGGCACACCACCATGCAAGGCTAATTTTTGTATTTTAGTAGAGACGGGGTTTCACCATGTCGGCCAGGCTGGTCTCAAATTCCTGACCTCAAGTGATCCGCCTGTCTCGGCCTCCCAAAGTGCTGGGATTACAGGCATGAGCCACCACAGCTGGCCTGCAAGGGGTATTTTTAGGTGTTAGAAGCATCTCGAGGCATCCTTTCTCAACGTTTCACACCACAGACCACTGAATGGGCATTTGGCACATTCATAGATCATCAATTGTAATTCAAAAAAAAGTAGAGTTTCATCAATGATTTTAAATTTAAAGAGAGTGTTTGAAACATTAATTATGTTCTCATATCCATGAGATCTTCATTTCTTTCTTCCTCTCTCTCCCTCCCTTCCTCCTTCCTCTCCTCCCTCCTCCTTTCTTCCCTCCCTCCCTTCTCTCCTTCCCTTCCTCTCCTCCCTCCTCCTTTCTTCCCTCCCTCCCTTCTCTCCTTCCCTTCCTCTGCTCCCTCCTCCTTTCTTCCCTCCCTCCTTTCTCTCCTTCCCTTCCTCTGCTCCCTCCTCCTTTCTTCCCTCACTCCCTTCTCTCCTTTTTGCTGCTGCTTTGCTGTTTGCTGCCATCAGGGCAGGGGTGGAGCAGTAAGTGGGTTCCACCCCCAGCCACACCGTGATTGGCTCAGGAGTGGACACGTGCCCTGAGCCAGTCTAATCCATGCTAACCTCAGGACCTTCCTGGGAATTGTGGGAGACAGAGACTCTCTGTTGGTCCAGATAGGTGGGGCGTACTGTGGGCTTGGCGCTGCTGTAACAATTTTTCTACCACAGGAGACGCTGGTCTGAAAAGAAGGCAACGCAAGGAAGAGAACAGAGCCAAGGCACCTGCAGCGAGCCAGAGCCAGAGCCCTGACATCACAAATGCTTTAATTGGTTCCATTTATTGTTTAATCCACTTGAAATTGAATTTCTGTCATCCCCGACTGGAAGTGTACTGACCTGCATACTACCTGTGTTTCCTCACAGCAGGCTGAAAAGCTGTGCCAATATTGAGCTCATCCAGAATTAGACGAAGTTTGTATTCTTTTTATTACTTCCTTTAACCCTGAATCAGGGTCCAGAAGCATTTTGTTGACCATTAACTCTTCTCTGTGAATAAAGCAGCATGAGGAACAACCTCTTTTATTCACAGAGCAAAGCTCTTCGCTGCTCAGCCACAGCGGCTTCAACTCTGGCACGGGTCCTGAAGTGCCATTTCTAGCACATGACTCACAAAGTAAATAATCTGTAAATGAAAAGCCTCTTATCATACTTTGGCACGAAAAACAAAGCGACAAGCCAGGCAGCATTTTTCCCTCATATTTGAACCCCACATGCACCAAGGGCTGTTTTATGCCTTGCACATGAGGAGTTTGGTTTGCTCAAAAGCAAAGTATTGGCTAACATGTGTGTGCACTAGTAATTGCATTTCTGCTTTGTGTGCTCTGTTATCTGATAGAGGAGCTTTGTCAATATCCTTTGGATCTCTCTCCAAGCACAGTCTTCATTATGATCTGTGAGCTGATTTACGGTCTTCTTGGCAATTTTACGACTGATATCTAGGTGCATTTGCTAAGAGGACAGCAATTTAGAATGATGTTTCTGTAGCTTTAGTCTCCTCCGCACCTTTAATAAGAAGAATAATCAATTTTACATTAGAAAGTTATTTTGTGCTTATTCTGGAAAAATGGAATTGGTTGCTTTTTCTAAAGATAATGAGAAACACTTTTTATGGCTCCAGACTACTATATATCAGCATTTTCATTTTAACAGTAATATATCGAGGACTAGGGGCAAATGGATTGCTTGTCCAATAAATGAAATGTTCAAGTATTCCTCACTGAACTTAGACTCACAATTTTCATTTATGGTTGCATGTGTAAAATCACCACTCAAGAACTTGTTTGTCCTTGAATATATAGTTTTGTATTTCCATAGTTATATTGCAGAACCATTTACTCATTATGTTTACAGTGCCCTTCTGAGGATTTATGCTGCCATTTTCATCATTACTTTGCATTTTATAGAACCTCTTTTTAGTCATTGATCCATTTTGGTGAATTGGAGATACAGTGTGACATATCTACTACAATAACCATGAAAATTAAAAAATAACAGACATAAACTATAACTTGCAAGCGAGAAGCCCTATGTGAATATGATTTATTAATACTTTGTTTTAAGTCTCTTTCCCCTGGTTCTCACCTATTGAAGCTTTTTGCTTTTCTGTCAGCCAAGAGGTGCCAGGTAGGTAAGGAGCATACTGGGTAACTGTGTACTCCGTGCCCAGGCCTACTCATGCCTCTGTGGGCTGGGCACTGATGCAAACTTCTGCCAGGCATGGCCCTCTTAAGTGGACAGGGGATAGAAAAATAACCTAGAAATGATGACAAATGTGGCTTCTTTCCAATGATCACATCTCTTCCCTTTTCCTTGGCTTACTTATTGGTTCAGACCTTCACAAAGAAGTTGACCAAGTGCAGTGACAGGATGATGTGCTGGTCATCATCCTGTCGCTACACTGAAACATCCCTTTCTCCCTTTTTGGGCCCATGGTGGAGTCAGGCTTTCCCGCATCATTGAGGTTAGGTGTGAACACGTGATTTGCTTTGGCCAATGAAATGGGAGTGAAAGTGACACATCCCTGCCAGGTACAAGCTTTAACGGCCAGGGAACAACGTGCGTCATCACTGCCTTGACCCTGTGGTCAATGTTCCAGACAGGGGTCTGTGTCAGCCTGTGTCCCTTAGTGAGGACTGGGTATAGACTGCCCCTCTCCACTTCATGGATATTTAACTTAAGCAAGAAAAAGGCTTCATGAACTTAGGCCACTGAGATCATGGAGGTTTGTTCCTGTAGCATAACCCAGCCTCTTCTGTCCAAAACAAGTGGGTACACAAATCCAAAAAGGACAGAAATCCCTTTGCCCAGTTCCCTTCCTGAGAGCTGACACTGACTGGCACCCAGCCTCAGCCCCAAGCCCAGGGCCCTCGTTTATAGACACTCATCTGTGTCCAAGTTTTGTTCTTCTAGTTGCCATTCTTCCATTTTCTCTTTGCCAGTAACACACAAAAAATGAGAGATTTTCTCAGTATTGGTATGGATTTTCAATTAACAACAACAAAAACAACAAAATACTCCCAATATAATAATTCTTTTTTTTTTTTTTTGAAACAGGTTTTCGCTCTGGTCACCCAGGCTGGAGTGCAGTGGTGTGAACTCAGCTCACTGCAACCTCTGCCTCCCAGATTCAAGTGATTCTCCTGCCTCAGCCTCCCAAGTAGCTGGGATTACAGATGTGTACCACCACACCTGGCTAATTTTTGTATTTTTAGTAGAGACGGCGTTTCGCCATGTTGGCCAGGCTGGTCTCGAACTCCTGACCTCAGGCGATCTACCTGCCTCGGCCTTCCAAAGCGCTGGGATTACAGGTGTGAGCCACTGCGCCCAGCCTCCCAATAGGAGTGTTTAAAAACACTCATTTTTAAAAACGAGGCCGGGCGTGGTGGCTCACACCTGTAATCCCAGCACTTTGGGAGGCTGAGACGGGCGGATCACCCGAGGTCAGGAGTTCAAGATCAGTCTGGCCAACATGGCGAAACTCTGTCTCTACTAAAAATACAAAAATGAGCCGGGCGTGGTGGCAGGTGCCTGTAATCCCAGCTACTCAGGAGGCTGAGTCAGGAGAATCGCTTGAACCCAGGAGGCAGACGTTGCAGTGAGCCGTGATCACACCACTGCACTCCACTGTGGGCGACAGAGTGAGACTCTGTCTCAAAAATAAATAAATAAATAGAAACTAGAGTGTTGGGTCTAAGGGCGACAGTGGTAATTAAAACACAAAGATCAACGCACTGTTCAAAGATTCCCAGTGCGCGGCGCTGCTAGAGTCGCTGAGTCCTCACAACCCCGGCTCGTGGCGCGAGCCTGGTGCCACCCGGGCGGTGGTGGGAGTGTCGCGGCCCGGGGTGGGTGGGATTCAGGCTGCCGGGGGCGGGGGGGGGGGTTGCCGCAGAGGGGGCTGGGGAGGGCGGCACCCCCCCATTGCCCGTCCTGGGCCCTGCGTCCCCTGGCGGGCTGCGGCCAGAGCAGATGGCAGCACCGGCGCTGGAGGTGGCAGATCCCCGGGGAATGAGCAGCGGGATAGATCACTGGCTGCAGGGCAGGGGGCGCTGTGAGTCGCCCTGGCCGAGCTGTCGGAGAGGAGATTACTTAGCAGCTGGTAGTGAAAGGAGACGCCTGGGCAGATTGGAGCAGAACGGAGACTCAAAGCCGGGACTGGGGTGCCTGTTCTCACAGTCACTGACCCCCACCTGTTCGAAGACTGGCAAGATTCTGTGAATATGGGGGAGGAAGAGCCAATGATTCCCAGCAGAAGACGCAAGATTCTCCAGTGTCATAAACTGGATAGTATATGCAGAGTATGTGGAAAATGCTAGCTGGGTTGTTCCCCAAGCAATGCAAACACCATCGTCCCTTCCCTCCAAACCATGCCTTGTTTGTACCAAGGACTGCACAGAACTTGGAGTGTCACCGAGTGACAGAAAAAGGACCCAACACGGCGCAACCGCTCAGCCCGAGAGGCGGGTGTATTGTCGTCAACCAACATCTGAATGACGCTTGCAAACTGAATTTGCCGTGCAGGGTTTCCAACAGCAGGCATGTTTTCCAGATGCTTTGAAATCCTCTTTTAAAAAAGTGAATAAGAGGCCAGGCGCAGTGGCTCACACCTGTAATCCCAGCACTTTGGGAGGCCGAGGCGGGCAGATCACGAGGTCAGGAGTTCGAGACCTGTTTGACCAACATGGTGAAACCCTGTCTCTACTAAAAACACAAAAATTAGCCAGGTGTAGTGGCCCGCGCCTGTAATTCCAGCTACTCAAGGGGCTGAGGTAGAAGAATTGCTTGAACCTGGGAGGCAGAGGTTGCAGTGAGCCGAGATCATACCACTGCACTCCAGCCTGTGTGACAGAGTGAGATTCTGTCTCAAAATAAAATAAAATAAAAAAGTATACAAGGCTGGCTGAAGTGGCTCATGCCTGTAATCCCAGCCCATTGGGAGGCCGAGATGGGTGGATCACCTGAGGTCAGGAGTTCGAGACCAGCCTGGCCAACATGAGGAAACCCTGTCGCTACTGAAAATACAAACGATTAGCCAGGTGTGGTCGTGGCACCTGTAATTCCAGCTACTTGGGAGGCTGAGGCAGGAGAATTGCTTGAACCCAGGAGGGAGAGGTTGCAGTGAGCTGAGATCGTGCCACTGCACTCCAGCCTGGGCAACAAGAGCTAAACTCCATCTCAAAAAAAAAAGTAAAAAAAAGTACAATATTTTAATAAGCCAAAAGCCACCTTTTTTTTTTTTTTTTTTTTTTTTTTTTGAGACAGAGTCTTGCTCTGTCGCTGAGTCTGGAGAGCAATGGCATGATCTCGGCTCACTGCAACCTCCGTCTCCCGGGTACAAGCAGTTCTCCTGCCTCAGCCTCCCAAGTAGCTTGGATTACAGGCACCTGCCATCATGCCTGGCTAATTTTTGTATTTTTGTAGAGACGGGGTTTCGGCATGTTGGCCAGGCTGGTCTTGAACTCTTGACCTCAGGTGATCCATCCACCTTGGCCTTCCAAAGTGCTGGGATTACAGGCATGAGCCACCGCACCCAGCCACCACCTTCTTTTTTATACATCTTAACTGTGCCTCTCTTCCTTGTATTTTGTGGGTGTCATTTGTCTTTTCACAGCATTCAAATGTTTCTGTCTATTTGACATCAGTCTGTGGTTTATTTGTAGCCTTAAAAGTCAGATCTGGCCAGGCGTGGTGGCTTATGCCTGTAATCCCAGCACTTTGGGAGGCTCAGGCAGGCAGATCATGAGGTCAGAAGATCGAGACCATCCTAGCCAACATGGTGAAATCCCGTCTCTACTAAAAATACAAAAATTAGCTGGGCATGGTGGCACATGCCTGTAATCCCAACTACTCAGGAGGCTGAGGCAGGAGAATTGCTTGAACCGGGGAGTTGGAGACCTGGCAACAGAGTGAGACTCCGTCTCAAAAAAAAAAAAAAAAAAAAATCAGATCCACTTACTCTGAGATATTTTCCCCCATAACTTGTTTTTTCTTTCACAGTGCTGATGTGTTCAACAACATCTGAATAGTGGGAATTGGTGAAAAAGATCATTCTTGGACCCAAAGAAATTTTACATCCATTCCAAAACTTGTTTTATATAATTATAATTTTAATTTATAAATTTTAGATTTGGGCTAGTTTTGTATTGTCCAATAATTATTTTGACAAACGATTTACTTTGCTTTCTCAGGAATTTGTCAACTCATTTGTCTCATTTTTTTCTTTAAAAGTTTTTTTTTTAATTAAAGACTTTTTTTCAAAAGCAGTTTTAGGTTCACAGAAAAATTTGAAGATGCAGAGATTTCCCATATGTTCCCTGCCCCACACATGCAGAGCAGCAGTTTTTAATTTTAATCAAGTCCAGCTCATCAATTATTCCTTTCGTGGGTCAGGCCTTTGGTTATTGTATTTACAAAGTCATTGTCATAACCAAACTCATTTAGGTTTCTTCCTATGTTATCTTTGAGGAGTTTTATACTTTTGCATTTTACAATTAGATCTATGATCCTTTTTGAGTTAGTTTTTATAAATGGTGTAAGGTCTGTATCTAGAATCACTTTTTCTTTTCCATATGGATGTCCAGTTGTTCCATCACCATTTATTGGGCCAGGTATGGTGGCTTACACCTGTAATCCCAGCACTTTGGGAGGCCGAGGTGGGCAGATCACCCGAGGTCAGGAGTTCAAGACCAGCCTGGCCAACATGGTGAAACCCTGTCTCTACTAAAAATACAAAAATTATCCAGGCGCGGTGGTGGGTGCCTGTAATTCCAGCTACTGGAGAGGTTAAGGCGGGAGAATTGCTTGAACCTGGGAGGTGGAGTTTGCAGTGAGCCGAGATCGTGCCACTGCACTCCAGCCTGGGCGACAGAGTGAGACCCTGTCTCAAAAAAAAAAAAAAAAGAGGATCTTTGTGTCTTAGTCTATTTGTATTGCTATAAAAGAATTCTCGAGGCAGGGTAATTTATAAAGAAAAGAAGTTTATTTGGCTCATGGTTCTGCAGTCTGCAGGCTATACAGTAAGCATGGTGCCAGCATCTGCATCTGGGGAGGGCCTCAGGCTGCTTCCACTCAGGGTAGAAGGCAAAGGGGAGCAGGTATCACATGGCAAGAGGGGAAGGAAGAGAGAGAGAGGAGGAAGGTGTCAAGCTTTTTTAAACAATCAGCTCTCGAGGAATGAATAGAACAAGAACTCATTCACTACCTCAAGAACAGCAGCAGGTTTTTGAGGAGGGATCTACTCCCATGACCCAAACACCTCGCACTAGGCCCCAACTCCAACATCAGGGATCAAACTTCAACACGAGACTTGGCTTTCAACATGAGACTTGGCAGGAGACCAAGCAAACCATAACATTGTATTCCCTTTGCTTTTTTGTCAAAGATCAGTTGACTGTTTATGTGGGTCTATTTCAGGGCTCTCTATTCTGTTCCATTATCTATTTGTCTATTTCACCAATACCACATGGTCTTGATTACTATAGCTTTTAAATACGTTTTAAGTCAGCTAACTTCAGGCCTCCAACTTTGTTCTTCTCCTTCAGTGTTATGTTGCTATTCTGGGTCTTTGGCCTCTCCATATAAAGTTCAGAATGTTTCTTGATATCCACAAAATAACTTGCTGACATTTTGATTTAGATTGCATGGAATCCATAGATGAAATTGGAAAGAATAGACATCTTGGCAATATCAAGCTTTCCTATCCATAAACATGGAATATCTTTTCTTTTCTTTTTTTTTTTTTTGAGACAGTCTCACTCTATTGCCCAGGCTGGAGTGCAATGGTACCATCTCGGCTCACTGCAACCTCCACCTCTTGGGTTCAGGTGATTCTCCTGCCTCAGCCTCCTGAGTAGCTGGGATTACAGGCACACGCCACCACACCTGGTTAATTTTTATATTTTTAGTGGAGACGGGGTTTTACCATGTTGGTCTGGCTGGTCTCAAACTCCTGACCTTGTGATCCACCCACCTCGGCCTCCCAGCGTGTTGGGATTACAGGCATGAGCCACCGTGACCAGCCATATCTTTTCATTTATTTAGTTTTTTATTTCTTTCATCAGTTTTATGGTTTTCATTATATCTATCTTGTACATATTTTGCTATATTTATATCAAAGTATTTCTTTTTTTTGAGTGCTAATGTAAATGGTATTGTGTTCTTAATTTCAAATTCACCTGCTCATTGCTGGTATAAAGGAAAGCTATTGACTTTTGTATATTAACCTTGTATCTGGCAACCTTTATATAATTGCTTATTAGTTCCAGAAGTTTCTTTTTGACAATTCTTTAAGATTTTCTATGTAGACAAATGCTTTGTGGTATGAATGTTTGGATCCTCTCAAAATTTGTATGTTAGGCCAGGTGCGGCGGCTCATGCCTGTAATCCCAGCACTTTGGGAGGCCGAGGCGGGCGGATCACAAGGTCAGGAGATCGAGACCATCCTGGCTAACATGGTGAAACCTCGTTTCTACTAAAAATACAAAAAAAGTAGCCGGGTGTGGTGGCGGGTGCCTGTAGTCCCAGCTACTTGGGAGGCTGATGCAGGAGAATGGCATGAACCTGGGAGGCAGAGCTTGCAGTGAGCCAAGATTGCACCACTGCACTCCAGGCTGGGCGACAGTGCGAGACTCCATCTCAAAAAAAAAAAAAAAAATATATATATATATATATATATGTGTGTGTGTGTGTGTGTGTGTGTGTTAAAAACTGATAGCCAATGCAATAGTATTAAGAGGTGGGGCTTTTGGAAGGTGATTAGGCTCCACTCTCATAAATGGGATTAGTGCTCTTATAAAAGAGGCCAGAGGGAGCATGCTTGCCCCTTCCACCATCTATGAGGAATGGGCCCTCACCAGATACCAAATCTGCTGGCACCTTGATCTTGGACTTCCCAGTCTCTAGAACTGTGAGCAATACATTTCTATTGTTTATAAATCACTTAGTTTAAGATATTTTGTTATAGCAGCCCCAATGGACGAAGACAATGGTCATGTTATCTGCAGACAAAGACAGCTTTATTTCCTTGCTCCTGATCTGTATACCTTTTATTTCTTTTCCTGTCTTATTGCATTAGTTAGGACTTCCAGTAAGATGTTGAAAAGCAGTGTGAGAGAGGGGGCATCCTTGCTTTGTTCCTGATCTTAGTGGAAAAGCTTCTAGTTTCTCAATTTGCCTCAATTTTCACAGCTGGTATTTTGTCACTGGCTACTGGCTACCTGCTATGACTATTTCCCCTAATAAGTTAAGATTCGTTTCAATACAATGTATAACTCTTGAAGCTGGTGACTTTTAGGGAGGCATTGTTAAACAAATGCAAATAGTAAATCCATTTTATCATGAAAGCTGAATTTGATTTAGCATGCTCAGTTGCCAACTCCCTTTATCCATAATCTCCCTTTGCATGGAATAATTTTGAAACCTATTTGATTCAATGTTATTTTTTGAAGTATTTTCAGTTTTTGAATTCAGTGACACCTCTTCAATTAAATTTGCCTGTCTACCAATGACCACAGGATTGGACTCTAATCTTGCAAACTATCTGAATTTGCCTAGTGCTTGTATTCTGGGCAACTTGCAAACTTCCCAAGACTTCTATTTGTATAATGAAACAGGATACAGTTGTCACACTTTGAATCTGTGGTTATTTAATCTGATTCTGGAGCTCACTTGAGCACAATTAGAGGAAAGACTCTAAGAAGATTTAGTTTTTTTAAAAGAATGAGCCAAACATTTCAGGCTACAACAGTCAACCCTATATAGATAACAAACAATGTCTACCATCTCAAGCCTCCCAAAGTTGCAATGCCGGGGCTACCATTTGTGCTCTCTGAGTGGTGGCTGGACAAACTTGGGCAGCTAACCTTTACAATCCTACGTGCCTTCCAAATTTAAAAAAAAAGAAAAAAACAAAACAGACAAGAATTAGTGATTATAAACTCATACTTGCAGGCTTGAGGTAGACGCTATCCTGCGTGTTTTGTAAACTGGTGATATTTTACCAAGGGCCGAGGTAGGAGGAAATGGAAATTTGGTGTTTAATGGCTACAGAGTTTCCATTTGGGATGATGAAAAAGTTATGGAGATGGACGGTGGTGATGGTTGCACAACACTGTGAATGTACTTAATGGTGAATTTGATGTTGTGTGTATCTTACTATACATTACTTTTGTTTTTATTTTTATTTTATTTTTTTGAGACGGAGTTTCACTCTGTTGCCCAGGCTGGAGTGCAGTGGTGCAATCTCGGCTCACCGCAACCTCTGCCTTTCGGGTTCAAGCGATTCTCCTGCCTCAGCCTCCCAAGTAGCTGGGATTACAGGCGCGTGACACCACGTCTGGCTAATTTTTGTATTATTAGTAGAGACAGGGTTTCACCATGTTGGCCAGGTTGGTCTCGAACTCCTGACCTCAAGTGATCCACTCGCCTCGGCTTCCCATAGTGCTGGGATTACAGCGTGAGCCATTGCGCCTGGCCCATGCCACACTTTTTTAAAAGGCCTTCTGTGTGCTGATTCTGCTGCCTGCTCACCCCTGTTTCTGCTCCTCTTGGCCCTAAGGCCACCTCCCTGAAGCAACAGCAGGTTGCAGTTTCTGGCCTCTCCTCTCCCACACCTGGCTTCTACTCGCCTCTCTCCTCTGCTCGGCTCTGCTTTCTGCCTGCCATGCCTTTCTCTTCCTCTTCACCTTCTCATTCCACTCCCATCTTTCTGACTTAGGAACTGAACATTTGGGAATCAGATGCCCAATGAAAACCAGCTGTGGGAGTCATAGACGGTCTCAGCCCTTCCCCTCTCTTTTCTTTTCATTTGCAGCCAAGTAGCCATTAAGTCAAAAGGCACGGGGCAGGATCTGGGGACCCTGGAATTAATTATTGACATTTACCTTGGCTTGGCCCCCAGCAGCTTTGATGCAAACTCCACCCTTGTTGGGAGCCCCATCCCCTGCCCCACACCACCCAAGAGCATTTCTTTTCTTTTCCTTTTCTTTTTTTCTTTTTTCTGTTTTTTTTTTTGAGACAGAGTCTCGCTCTTTTCGCCCAGGCTTGAGTACAGTGGCGTGATCTCAGCTCACTGCAACCTCCGCCTCCTGGGTTCAAGCGATTCTCCCTGCCTTAGCCTTCGGAGTAGCTGGGATTACAGGCGCCCACCACCACGCCTGGCTAATTTTTTTGTATTTTTAGTAGTGATGGGGTTTCGCCTTGTTGGCCAGGCTGGGCTTGAACTCCTGACCTGAGGTGATCCGCCCACCTTGGCCTCCCAAAGTGCTGGGATTACAGGCATGAGCCACCATGCCCAGCCCTTAATAATGTTTTCTGATGATAAAAACAACACTCCCTCATCACAGGCAATTTGAAAAGCAGAGAAAAGTTGCAAAAGGAAATTATCCCTATTACCACCTAGAGATGGTGAATACTTGAATTTTTTGTTTAAACTTTGAATTTTATTTCAAATTGACAGAAAATTGCATAGAAAGAGGATCCGTATACCCTTTACCCAGATTCATCAGCTGTGAACATTTCCCCGGTATGCTTTAACCCTGTGTTTGTTCTATCAATCATGTGTTTCTCATTCGGATTATAAAATTGACACTTTGCTCTATTCTAGTGTTCCTCAGCTTTGGTCTCTTTGGTGTTTGACCACGATTATGTGACAGATGGAGCCTGGCCACCATGTCCCTGGCTGTACCCCAGGCCCCAGCCTAGCCCTCATTTGCACCATGGGGTGTGATCATCCCCAGCTCCCGGGCACCGTGCCATGGCAAAGTCAGGTGTGGCCATGCCAGGGCTGCGGGCAGCCTGCCAACAAGACTGCAGGTTCTGCCTTTATAGCAGGGCGTGCACCAGCGCTTCACTGTTCCTGCCTTCTGTCCTTGTGACCTTGTAAGATAAGGGCGTTGGGCAAGGAAAGTGCAGGTAGGAGCAAGGGAAATGAAGGAGATGTGAATGAAATAGTTCGATTCAGGTAGATCTGGGCATCACCAGGCCCGAGGAAAGGTGTATTTTCACTGATGAAGGAAACCATGTTTTTGTTGTTGTTGCTGTTGTTGTTTGTTTTTTGTTTGTTTGAGACAGAGTCTTGCTCTGTTGCCAGGCTGGAGTGCAGTGGCGCACTCTCGGCTCACTGCAAACTCCACTTCCCGGGTTCAAGCGATTCTCCTGCCTCAGCCTCCCAAGTAGCTGGGATTACAGGGGCGCACCACCACGCCTGGCTAATTTTTGTATTTTTAGGAGAGACGAGATTTCAACATGTTGGCCAGACTGGTTTTGAACTCCTGACCTCAGGTGATCCGCCCGCCTCGGCCTCCCAAAGTGCTAGGATTACAGGCCTGACCCATCGCACCTGGCCATCGCACCTTAAAACATTTAAGACATGTTTTAAATGCTGAAACCAAATGGCCAACGATCGTATCTAAAAGGGAAGATATAATCAGAGATTTTGAGACATCTTTTAGTTCCCTAGGAATGGAATCCTCCTGAAAATATGGAAGTTGAGTATTCTTTCTTTTTAGTTTTTTCAGCGACGTCGTGGATACAATTTCTTCAGACTTGTTCTACTTTATTCATGTTCTACATTATCAGAGATTCTGTGGATGCATCACTTTAATGACAGTTATAATATTTTAAGCATTGTTAAATTAGATGGCAGTTAGAATAAGAACAATCAGTAAGCTGGACTTAAGGGTTAGTAGAACACTCTTCTCACAGTTGACAGTGTACTCATAGGAAATAGTATAACCTTGGCTGAGGTACCTGCTTTTTGAGTCATAAGATCTGAAATAGGGACATTTTCTGTACATTTTTGTAAAGTTTGCTGAAGTAGTTTAAAACCCATTTTGACATAGTTTCAGTTCCACCTGAATCAGCATTCTGAAAAGAACATTCCAGGGGTTTCCTGAAACTTACAGAGCTGAAAAGCTAGTGTGCCTCCCGGAGTCAGGCTGGAGAAGCAGATTTGGGGGCTGCAGCAGAGGTGTCCTGGCTGGGGTGAAGGGCAGAGCCAGTTCCTGGAGGGAGGGAGCCCAGAGAAAGGGCAGGTGGCCAGGGCTGGGCTAGAGAAGACCTAGAAAGAGGCCAGGAGGAGAGGAGGAGCCTTTAGGGGAAGGAGCCGAGTTCACCACCCTGGAGGTCCCAGGAAGCAGAGAAAAGGTGACGCTGACTCACTGCTGCAGGGGTCGGGAGTACCTGGGTCTCAGCTCTGCCCTTGAGTCCATCACGCTTCGCCTCTGTCTCTGAGTCTGGCCTCTGCATCTTCCCGCTCCCATTACCAGTTTTGTTTGCATTTTCTGTCCCAGGAAGCTCTCTTTGGCCTCTGGAGCTGCGTATATCTGTAGACAGCGGACCCTGCTGCCACATGGCTGGGCCTGCCGCTTCTGTGGCTTGGTCACACTCACATGCACGTACGTGTGCATGAACACGCTCGCACACACCCACATGCATACACGTGTGCACACATGCATGTACAGGCACACACGCACACATGTGCATGCGTGTGTACGAACACACACATGCACACACGCAGAATCAGAAAAGGATCCTGCCCATAGCTCACCCCAGACTCCCCTGGGTGTCGCATCTTGTACCACCCAAAGTCAGGGTGTCCCAGCCCTCTCCAGGAGGCCTTTACTTCCCAGGCTCTGTCATTCCCAGAAGCAGGGGGCTAGCATGTGACAAGGAGTGCTCAGGCTCAGGTATGGTCAGTCTGGGCAGCAGGGACCAAATCCCAGTGGAAAGGCGCAGGCCGGTGAGTGAGTGAAGGCCTGGTGTCCATCTGATGCTTCCAGAGGGCAGGGGCCAGCTTGGACTTATCTGCACCACACAGGGCCCCAGCCCAGGGCTTCCCACGGCATGGGTGAACTGGGTCAGGTGGGCTTCACAAGGTGTGGGAAGAGAGAAGACGCTGGCCTGGGAATTGGCCACCTGGCTTTCTTTCCTGGCCCTATGGAGGGAAGGGAAGGAACATTGAACTCCCCCAAGTCAGGCCCTGGACTGAGTCTCCCACTCAACCGTAGAAGCCATCATGCTGGGAAGTGGTTTTATCCCCGTTGAAGAGAGGACACAGTTCCACTGAGAGGTGAGGTCGTGATGAATGTGTCCATGGGTGTGTGCGTGTGTGTGTGGGTGTGTGCGTGTGGGTGTGTGTGTGGGTGTGCATGTGTGCATGGGTGTTCGCACGTGTGCATGTGGGTGTGTGTGCATGTGGGTGCACGTGTGTGCATGGGTGGGTACATGTGTGCATGGGTGTGTGCACGTGTGAGTGTATGCATACATATGTGTACGTTGGTGTGCATGCATGTGTGTATCCATGTGAGTGCATTGTGTTCACGTAGGTGTGTGCATGGGGGTGTGTGCATGTGTGTGCATGTGTGTGAGTGTGTGTATGTGGGTGTGTGCATGTGTGTGCATGTGGGTGGGCGCATGTGTGGGTGTGTGCATGTGTGTGAGTGTGCATGTGTGTGCGCACGTGGGTGGGCGCATGTGTGGGTGTGTGCATGTGTGTGTAGGCATGTATTGAGGGGCTGGGAAGTCTAGTCAAGGTGGGGATATGTCCTGGTCCTATTGAAAGTCTCACTGCAGCACCTCTGTAGACACTGATTGTAGGGAGAAGATTGAGAGTCAGAAGGTTCTCCACCATCCCAGTGAGAGGTGATGGTGCAGGCTGTGGGGACAGAGATTAGCAGGCGAGTAGGGATAAGTTTGGAGGTGGCATTGGCAGGACTCAGTGATGAACTGGGTGTCAGGAGAAAGAAGAATCCTGGTAACACCTTGGGCTGGGGCTCAAGCTCACTGCTCGCTGGGTGAATGCTGGTGTCCTGTGTAAAGTTGGTGAAGTCTGAGGAAAAATACATTTTTGGGGGGGAACCCACAAGGAATCAGGAATGTGAATTATGATGCCCATCAGATATCGAGAGTGGATGCCCAGTAGGAAGTGGATGTCCGAGTCTCGGGCTGAGGCGAACTCCAGGACCGGAGAGGTGAGTGGTGTGCACATGGGGCGGGCCGATGTCTCCTGGGAGAAGGTGGGAGACACAAGTGGGGAGGACCCCCAAGTCTGGTACTGGTGTTTACAGATCCTGGAGAAGAGGAGGAGCTACTGAGTGAGCAGAAGAGAGAAAGCCGCGGGTCAGGGGTGTCACCAACAATGAGAGAGGAGGCGGCTCAGGAAGAAAGTGTGTTCAGCCGGGTCATCTGCTGCCGGTGGAGGGGCAAGATGAGAACTGAAAACTATCTCTTTCTCCTGGCAACCTGAAGGTCGCTGGTGGTGTGGCCAAGAGCAGTTTTCTTGGAGCGTTGGGGAGGGGACAGGAGCCAGATTGCAGGGGGATGAAAGTGAACAGGAGGCAGGAAACTGGGACAGAACATGTAGAAAGATTTTATATCTATAAATCATATATAATTTTTTTCTATGAAGGGATGCCAAGAATGGAGGAAAATGTGGCTCCACAGGGTGGAGATAGCAGTCCACGTGGCTTGCTGATGGGAAGGAGCCTCCAGTAGGGGCGATGGTGTGGAAAGCTACAGAGGGAAACCCACTGAAGGAGAGGCCGAGCCCTGAGCAGGAACAGAAGGCTGGGCTTTGACAGGGCACAGACTATGGCAGGCCGCGGAGTCAGGAATTGTGTCTGTTTTTGTTTGAGTCTGTATCCAGCTCCTAGAATAGCACCTGTCACATAGTAGCTGCTCAGTAAAAACAATGTTGCATGAATGAATATAGACACCAAAGGAGGCAGGGTTTTAGAGGTGGAGTGAAGGTGAGTGTGATCTTTTCTGCTTTTTGGTGCTCAGTGACGGCTGAGGTAGGGTCATGGGCTGAGGACTGGGAGGGGATTGGCTGGGAACGGGTGACTGCGGGAGCAGCTGTGCAGGAGAGGAGCTGTGCTCACTGTGCCACGGGAATGCCAGGAGGATTCATTTCTCATCCACTGGACAACACCAGCTGAATCGAGGCCCATCTTTCCACCCCTGAATTGCAGCTCCACCTTGGTCATATACCAGCTTCCCAAATATCCTTGATTCTGTTTGTGTGTGGCATTTTCCTCATCTCTATTTCTGCTCCTGGTGCATATACTACTCTTTTGATTACGGTAGCTTTATAGCATTCCTAGTTTCTTTTTTTTTTAGACGGAGTCTCACTCTGTTGCCCAGGCTGGAGTGCAGTAGCGCAATCTCGGCTCACTGAAACCTCCGCCTCCCAGGGTCAAGCAATTCTCTCGCCTTAGCCTCCCTAGTAGCTGGGATTACAGGTGCACACCAGCATGCCCGGCTAATTTTTGTATTTTTAGTAGAGACAGGGTTTCACCATGTTGGCCAGGCTGGTCTCAAACTCCTGACCTCAGGTGATTCCCCCGCCTCGGCCTCTCAAAGTGCTGAGATTACAAGCGTGAACCACCATGCCAAGTCAGCTTCCCTAGTTTCTGATATATTGTAAGTACCCCCTCATTTCCTTCAATCACAATTATTCTGTCACTTGGACTTAAATAACCCGTTTACTATTTTAAAAAAAGAAAGAAAGCTAAGAGCAGTCATGGTGATTCTATTTGCATTTGTGTTGTATTTCTGTCTATCAGTGTATTTGGGATATTTTATGTCCGTTAGTAAAACTGTTCCCTTCTTTCAAAATACAGGCTTTGAAACTTTGTTTTCTTTCAAAAATGTTTGTATTGGAGTATAACTTAGAGTTAATTGCAAAAGCTTAGGTTTGCAGTTGATGTAACCACCGGCCAGATGGGGTGGAGGCTTTCTCCAGAATCTCAGGTGGCTCATGCATGTCATTCGATTTGTTCCCCCTCCACTGGAAACTGGTGTTCTGACTTCTATTATCATAGATTAATTTTGCCTGTTTTTGAACTTCATAGAAATTACACAGTATGAATTCTTTTATGTGTGACTTCTTTTGTTCAATATTACTTTTGTGGGGTTCACTGATGCTTTATATGCCAGGAGTTCATTCATTTTTATTGCTGTGTAGTATTCCATTGATGGAGAGAGTACAATATATTTACCATGTATAACATATTCACAATATATTTTAATATATATTTTAAATTATAATATATTAAAATTACATTGTATATAATTTATATATTAAAATAATTTTATATATTATAATATATTTTAATATATGCCATTGTTGCTGGACAGACCGAGTTATTTCGAGTTTTTGGCTGTCATGAATAAAGCGAAATGAACGTTCTTTTTTTTTTTTTTTTTGAGAGTCTCGTTCTGTTGCCCAGGCTGGAGTGCAGTGGCACCATCTCTGCTCATTGCAACCTCCACCTCCTGGGTTCAAGGGATTCTCCTGACTCAGCCTCCCGAGTAGCTGGAATTACAGGTGCATGCCAACACGCCTGGCTAATTTTTGTACTTCTTTTTAGCAGAGATGGAGTTTTGCCATGTTGGCCAGGCTGGTCTCAAACTCCTGACCTCTGGTGATCTGCCTCCCTCAGCATTCCAAAGCGCTGGGATTACAGGCGTGAGCCACCGCGCCCAGACTGTGAACGTTCTTATGCAGCCTTTTGGTGGACATAGCATCTATTTCAGTTGGATATTATAATACCTAGGAGTGGCATTGCTAAGTCATGGAGTAGATGCTTGTTTCGCTTTAGTAGCTGCAACTAAACATTCTATGCTGCCCCTTTTATGCTACCATCAGCAATGTAAAAGAGTTCCATCCTTGACAATATTTGATGTTGTCAGTCTTTTGGATTTTAGCCATCCTGGTGGGGAGGGGCTAGTGGTATCTCACTGTGGTTTTACTTTACATTTCTCTGATGATTAATGAGGTTGACCACATTTTCATGGGTTCACAGGCCATTTTGATATCCACTTTTGTAAGCTGCTCCTTCAAGATTTTGGCCCATTTTATAATGGGCTCTTTTTCTTACTGATTTTCTGGAGCTCCTTATATATTTGGGAGATAAACTCTTTGTTAGGTAGATATAGTGCAGACATCTTTTCCGAGTCTATGATAGGCCTTTTCACTCCCTTACTCCCTTAATGGTGCTTTCTGATGAAAGTCTGTGCTTTTCTTACTAATTCCTGGTTATAGTATCGTTTTATTTCACATTGTGGATGAGGTTAAAAGTTGTTGATATAACACACACTAGTTAAGACAACATCCTGGAGAAGGGAACACGGCGCAGAGGATTTTCTCCTCTAGGCTGCTTCCGGTTTTCGGAGTCAGTCATACTGACCCTCTGGTTTTAGTTCCTTGGGTGGTTTCCTCGGGGAACCACTATTTCTTGATTTACTAGCTCTTGATGGTATCTACTGCCTTCCCTCCGCGAATATGAGAGTTTCGCTCTTATAATTCTCCAGAACTTCCCCTCCCCTCCTCTCCCCTCCTCATGTAGTTGCATCAGTGCCCTCAGGTCCCCCGTGGGCAAACGCCCACAGCTTCAAGTGCTTGCTGAAACTCAACAAGAAGCAGAATCACTTGACTCAACCTTGTGAATCAGCCGCTGACACTTCCCTCACTCCTCTTCCAGCCTCCCTCCTCATTCCATCTTGACCTCTTTCACTTTCGCCTTCACATTATTAAGGTTGAGAATGTTTATATTAATTTTGTGAACATATCTCAGCCTCCCATGTCCTGTCTATAGATTGAATCTAAATGTTGAAAACCCAGTCTTTGGGGTTTACATCACCGTACTTATAGGAACGTGCATCTCACCAACCTCGGTCATGATGACTTACCTCTCCCGAATCTTCCTGTCTTAATGCCGTTCCAAAAAACATCTTCTTCATGTGGCAGCCAAATGGTTCCACCTTTTTGATTTTCCACCGATGATGCTTACAATCGTGCCATGATCTTGTTGGCCTCCTCCTTGGACCATGGCTGTAGAGTGTGGAAAGGTGTTAACTCTTCAACCTTTTCTGTCTGTCCAGTGTAGAAAAGGGTTAACCTTTCCACTCTGTGAGCCGCCCCCCATGTTTCCTTTTTTTTGAGATGGAGTCTCACTTTTGTCACCCAGGCTGGAGTGCAGTGCCACGATCTCAGCTCACTACAACCTTCGCCTCCTGGGTTCAAGTGATTCTCCTGCCTCAGCCTCCCAAGTAGCTGGGATTACAGGTGCCTGCCACCACACCTGGCTAATTTTTGTATTTTTAGTAGAGACGGGCTTTTGCCATGTTGGCCAGGCTGGTCTTGAACTCTTGACCTCAGGTGATCCACCTGCCTTGGCCTCCCAAAGTGCTGGGATTACAGGTGTGAGCCAGCGCACCCAGCTTCCCCCACGTTTCTAGGTAGCCATGGTTAGTTTCTTTTGCTTGCAACCAAAGATCTCTAATAGGTAAAGAAGGTGATCCAAGATTCCAGGAAACAGGAAACAGAAGGAACGTGCTGTGGGGAGATGAAACAGAAGCTCCGGGTGAGACCAGGGCAGCACTGACCACTCCACAGCACCTGGCTGTGTAGCTGCTCTGGGTTGGACTCGCCTGCCCAGCATCCCTTCCTCTGCTGCCTTTGGGGAACCGCCTCTCCTTTGATTGTCATCTTGATTGATTTGTGGACAAGACAACCCAGGCCCCTGCCCTCTCCAGGACTAGGGCCAGTTCAGAACCCAAACCCAATCTGACTCCCCTGGAGCTCTGACTCTGAACAAAATAAGACAAAACCAGAAAACACGGTCAGAGCAATGTGGATCCCAGTGGTTGAGACCTCCAGGGCTGTGCATGGGTTCCTGCTCCTGGACCCTGCACTGTCACTCGTTCTTGTGCTTCCTGAGCCCAGATTCTGTAATTTACCCTTCAACCCCGTGAGCTCTGTTACGTTTCTCGTTAGCTATGGTCCACTTCTTTTGCTTGAAACCGAAGATCCCTAATGGATAGAGAAGGTGATACAAGATTCCAGGAAACAGGAAGCAGAGGGAATGTGCTGTGGGGAGACAGAGGCGCCACAGCCCCCTATCGGCGACACCTGGCTCCAAGCAGTTTTTTTCTCTGGTTCTTAAGCCTCTCTCCTCCCCGACTCACCCTCCCTCCCTGAAGGTGTCTTCTCTGCTTTTGCCTTTGAGATGGCCTCTTCCTTCCCCTTTTCTGGTCTCCTTCCCTCTGGGTCCCTGCCCTGTCCGAGGCCTCAGTGCTCCCTTCTCTGATGATGCCTCCCAACGTTGACTCCAGCTGAGCTTCTCAAAGCTCCTTCTCCTGGCCAAGAACATTTGGTGTCACCTTCTACCCTGTGCTGACTCCTTCCTGCTTGGTCCTGTCGCCTTCCTGTTTGGCCTTTTGGTCACACTTGTCTTTCCTCAGTAGGGGCTTTGGAGCCCAGCAGACCTAACCTCAAGTCGAGTTTCTGCCTTTTCTGGGCTGTGTCTTTGCACAGTGGCTTCACCCGTAAAACGAGGGTCATGACGCTTGCCTTCACTGCAAGGAGATTGTAAAAGTTAAATAGGAGCCTGTGTGTGGAGTGCAGATACAAAAAGTGATCAATGTTCCTCTGTAAACAAAAACAGAGAAAAAAATCCTCCCACGACCCTTTACCACCACCTCTTGTGAATCTAAAGGTCTCTTGCTGCTGTGTTTTTGAGCATAAATCTGTTTATTAATTTATCTCTAGGTCATTTCTCTCATTTCCTTCCTTCCTTCCTTCCTCCCTCCCTCCCATCCTTCCTTCCTTCCTTTCTTCCTCCCTCCCTTCCTCCCTCTCCTTCTCCTCGCTCCCTCCCTCCCTCCTTCCCTTCCTTCCTTCCTTCCTTTCTTCCTTCCTTCCTTTCCTTCTTTTTCTTTCATCTCACTCTGTCATCCAGGCTGGAGTGCAGTGGCGTGATCATGGTTCATTGCAGCATTGACCTCCTGGGCTCAAGTGATCCTCCCACCTTTCAGCCTCCTGAGTAGCTGGGACAAGAGGCACGCACCATCCCGCCTGGCTAATTTTTGTATTTTTTGTAGAGATGGGATTTCACCATGTTGCCGAGGCTGGTCTCGAACTCCTGTGCTCAAGCGATCAGCCCTCCTTGACCTCCCAAAGGACTGGGATTACAGGCGTGAACCACCATGCTCAGCCCTTTCTCTAGGAATTGTGTGTAAGCTGACGAGATTTCAGTGTGTGCCTAGCCCATCCTTTTGAAGGCTAGGGTTGTCGGTGGTTCTCAAAGAGAGTCCAGCCTCTTGATACCTTGGTCTTAAAGCTCAGGAATCTCGAAGAATTAAGCTCCGTTTAGGCCAGTCCTCTGTGTTCACTCCATGTTCCGCTCACAGGGGCTGCTTACCACCCATGCTTCCCTTTTGCCCTCCTTCCCCTCTCCTGGGATTGGAGAGCTCATGGAAGCACCGATTCTGCATCTCATCAGGGCACCTGCTGGGGACCACTCAGGAAGGGTGTGGGAAGGTGGCCTTCGGCCGCTGGTTCAGATTTGATTCTGAGAGCAAGGGGGTGGGAAGATCTGGGCTCTCTAGAACACTGCTGTGCCATTAGTCTCCTGAAAGTCACACAGGTGGCAAATACACGCCCCAGGTTGGGCTGTCTCTCGGCTCACCTATGGGGCCCTCGCTGAACAGAATTGACTATGACAAGTTCAATATCATGCACTCAGATACCTCTGCATGCGAGACCCCTTGTGTCATGATTGTCTCTGCCATTCACAGCCCTCCAGCCTGGCTGACTCCTATCTGCCTTTAGGATTCATTTCAGGGACCACCTCCTCAGGGAAGCCTTCTCAGATAGCCCTGTCCCCTCTGGGTTGTGTGAAATGCCCCAGCTCTAAGCACCCCCACCTCCCCAGCACATTCCCCTCATCGTGTGGTGGCCACCCATTTTACCCAGGGATGAAACTAGACTCTCAGTGTCTTGAGGACAGAGTTGGTGGCTATTGATCTGTAGGGAGCGAAGAAAAAACTTCCCCTTCGCCCTCTGAAGTTTTGCTGAAAGAGGAACTCACAAAAGGCAGACAACTTGGCCAGGCGTGGTGGCTCACCCCTGCAATCCCAGCACTTTGGGAGGCCAAGGCGGGCGGATCACCTGAGGTTAGGAGTTCGAGACCAGCCTGGCCAACATGGTGAAACCCCTTCTCTACTAAAAATACAAAAAAATTAGCCAGGTCTAGTGACAGGCTCCTATAATCTCAGTTACTCAGGAGGTCGAGGCAGGAGAATTGCTTGAACGAGGGAGGCGGAGGTTGCAGTGAGCTGAGACTGTGCCACAGCACTCCAGCCTGGGCAACAGAGCGAGACTCCATCAAAAACAAAAACAAAAAAAAACAAACAACAACAACAACAACAAAAAACAGACAAATCGGAGAAAAGGCATGCATGTTTTATTTAACGTCTATGATGGAGCCTTCAGAATGAATACCAAAAGATACAGGGGAAGTCATCCATTTTTATGCTTAATTTCAACCAGGTATGGGCAGCCATGTAGAAATATAATTGGACAAAAAGGGTTTGATCTAATGCTAATAGACTGAGGGGGAAATCCAGCAGGGCTTGTCTCTCTAGATTCTTCTTGGCCTCTTTGAGCAACATTCCTTCCTTCTGGGTGTGGGGCAAGGCCCTCTCTGGACTGGGAGTCTTATGACCTACAGTCAAAATAGGTCAGAGAATTTCTTCTTTCTTTCCTGCTTGCTTGCTTGCTTGCTTTCTCTTTCTTTTCTTTTCTTTCTTTCTTTCTCTCTCTTTCTTTCTTTCCTTCCTTCCTTCCTTCTTTCCTTCTTTCCTTCCTTCCTTCCTTCCTTTCTTCCTTTCTTCCTTTCTTCCTTTCTTTCTTTCTTTCTTTTCTTTCTGACAGGGTCTCACTATGTTGCCCAGGCTGGAGTGCAGTGGCACAATCTTGGCTCACTGCAACATCCACCTCCCAGGTTCAAGCAATTCTCCTGCTTCAGCCTTCTGAGTTGCTGGGATGACAGGCACCCACCATCATACCTGGCTAATTTAGATATTTTTAATAGAGACAGAGTTTTGCCATGTTGGCCAGGCTGGTCTCGAACTCCTGACCTCAGATGATCCACCCACCTCGGCCTCCCAAAGCGCTGGGATTACAGGCATGAGCCACTGCACCCAGCCCAGAGAATTTCTTTATGAACAGTTTTTATATAGAAAGGCAGAGAGAAAGTTAGAATAATATTTTCGGGTTTTATGGCTGGTTTGGGGGGAAAAGTAATATTTTTAGGTTTTATGGCTGTTTGCAGGGTGGGGGTGGAAAGGGGATTCGACTTCCTATGGCCAGCTTAGCAAGAGAATGAGACTGAGGACAAAAGGGCATGCAAAGTTCAGAGAAAAGCTATTGCTTCTGAGGCTGCTTCTCAGGCCTTCATTTTGAGATATTGTTTTCTGCGTCCCAACACGTTCTTTCACTGAGTTTTCCCCCAAACATTGAAAAAGCACTGACCATGTGCTAGGAGTTCAAAACCAAAAAGGAGGGTTGGTTTTCGTCAAATGGGAGATACTTTCAAAATGTGTGGCTCATGGCAGGGAAATGAGAGCACTGGGGACTACTGGAACAGAACCGCCTGGCCCGGGAGAATCCAAGGAAGGCTTCCTGGAGGAGGAATGGCAGAGCGGACCTCTGCTACTGCAGCAGGAATGCCCCCAGCTGCTGCTGGGGAAGGGCTTATGTTGGCTGGGTTTGCCTTTGGGGCAGAGTGGCTGGCTGCTCCCCCTGCCCAGCGAGGGTAGTTCTGGGGAGAGTTGCCACGCTCGGACCCCATTTCCCATCATCCCCAACCCTTTGCATTGGTTCTTGCCAGCAGATGTGAAGATAAAAAGCTGGCCAGACTTCCCACTCTCCTTCCGCTTCTATCCCTGTGCGCTGAGGCCTCCGAGGAGCCCTCTGAGGCTTCTGATTTGCGACCTGGAGGAAATTGCCCGTGTGCTCGGAGGAATGCCTGCATGACACTCTTGTGTGAGAGAGGAATAGACGTCTTTTGTATTAAACCACTGCAGTGTCGGGGTTTATTTGTTCCCTATGCAGTGCCTCTTACTTCACCAGCACCCAGCCTAGCAGATCGCTTGAGCTCTGAACCTCTGGTGGGGCTGAATGGCGGGATTAGGAAGTGATACCAGTCTTTGAAAGTCTCCCTCACTGAGTCACTTGATCCTCATTCACTCAGGGCTCATAAGCCGAATACCTGGCGCTGATGATGCAGAGATGACACTGCCCTGCTCTTACAGGAGGTACAACCCAGTGGAGAGAACAGGCGGAAAGTCCAACAGCCACGCCCCCCTCTCTCTACTCACTTTCCCCCAGGGTCTTCCTGGGCTGATGTTTCCTAGAGAGTTGAGGGAGATGTTCCAAGCTGAGCAGGTGAAAGGGACAGTACCAGGGAGAGGGCCATCGGCCAGAGAGGTCAGCGGCAGGTAGGAGCAGGGACATGTCGTAGGTGGAGGAGAGACATTGGTCCTGGGGCTGCCAGGGGCTGAAGTGTTGATGTTAACTGCCGGGATCACTGTCAGCCAATCAGGGCTGCCACGTACAGTTGCTCAGCCTCGCACTGCTCAGGGAGGATGAGTAGAGGCTGGCACCTGGAGAAATGTGTCTGTACAGAGCAGGGGTACTTTTCTCTGACTATCACAAACATGCCAAATGAGTCAGGTGCCCTGATACCAGTGAACTCAGGGTCAGCACTTAAACTCATTGCTTATTAGTGATGAGACTTCACAGAAGTAGGGGTGAGAAGTGGGGGTGAGGGTAAGAGGAATAATGGAGCCACTTCTGCTGCTGCACATGAGTGGCACCTTCTTGCTTAAGCCTCACGGCAGCCATGTGGGCAAGGGGTTCTTCTGGTGCGGGGGAGGGAGTTAAGGTTAGGTGGCTTGCCTAGATCTATATTCGGGACATCTCAGAGCCTCAGCCTCCCCGTCCATGTAATAGCAATTGATCGACTCCCTCTGAATAGGGTGAACCTCTGTCCCTTTTGCCCTGGATGGGGATGCTCTAGGCCTGCTGTCCCTGCCATGGGTGACAGCACCCCTGTCACTCTTGAAAAGGTCCAGGTTCAGATGAAAAGTGCCACAGTGACCCTACTTCCAAGGCAAGGTATGAGGCTAGAAATGACCAATTGCCAGAAAGAGCTTGCCAGGGCAAAGGCATCACCTGGCAACATAGTCAGGGAAGACAGGGCCTGGGAGGGAAGCGCTGGGGCTGCCCAGAGAGGCATCTATCCAGGAAGCTGCACAGAAGGGGCTGAGGGTGCAGCTGAAGGACAAGCACCTGAATTCAAACTCTGACCTCACTCACAGAGCTCCCCGCTGCTGGCCAGCCCTGGTCAGAGGGACAGGCCAGGCAATAAGAGGAGAGCCAGCAGTGAGTCTCCCTGTTGGAAAGGGGCCACACATATGCAGTCAGGGGGCCTTGGGAGCAGCCCTGTCCCCACCCCTTCCTGATCCCACCCCACTAGAGAGGGAGCCCAGAGGTGGGTAAAGGGCCTACCATGCCCCGCGCCACTTCCTCCTGTGTGTCCTTGGCTACAGGACATCCCCTGCCTGAGCCTCAGCATCCACATCTGGAAGCTGGGAGTAATGAGAGTTGCTCACCTAGGGGGATGGGGTGAAAATTAAACAAGATTCTGCCGGCAAGGTCCTTGGGTTTGCCCACAGCTCCTCACAGCCTCCCTCTCTCTCCTATCTCTCACGTCCCTCCCTCCTCTCCCGTCATTGTCACTGTCCCCAGACCTCCTCCCTGTGCCCTCTTTCCACTCTCTCACCTCCTACTCCATTCAACTCCCCTGCTTTTCCAGAATCAGGGAAACTGAAGGATGGGCCTCAGTCTCTAAGGAAGGCAGAGACCTGGGTTGAGCAGCAGAATAAAAGATCTTCTTCTAAGAAATGCAAACAGGCTGTTCATCACCATCTCCAGGTGTTCACAGACACCAGCAAAGCAATGCACTCCTGACAAGTAGATTTTTTAAAAAATCAGAGTGAATTAATTTTAATTAAAAATTTATCTTATGTTTTGGCCGGGCGTGGTGGCTCACGCCTGTAATCACAACACTTTGGGAGGCCAAGGCAGGTGGATCACCTGAGGTCAGAAGTTCAAGACCAGCCTGATCAACATGGTGAAACCCTGTCTCTACTAAAAATACAAAAATTAGCCAGGTGTGGTGGTGTGTGCCTGTAATCCCAGCTACTCAGGAGGCTTAGGCAGGAGAATCACTTGAACCCGTGAGATGGAGGTTGCAGTGAGCTGAGATCCAGCCTCGGCGACAGAGAGGGACTCTGTCTCAAAAAAAAAAAATTAAGTTTCAAGAATTAAATTGTATGATTATGGTTAATACTCTGGGAATAGCTTTCGATTTATTAATGAAATGATTGTTTTAATTGGCTTTGAAGCTACACTTCTAAAATAAAATGTTAAGAATCTTCCATAATTTGTTAGGTAATTGTACCATGAATTGCAAGTGTGTAAATAAACACTAGGAAATGAATAAATGTCATTCCTTTTGGAGTGGACCTTCATGTGGGGCAAAAGTCACACTAACTCCTTCTGGGATGAGAAAACACAGCTAACCCTTCCGGGACAAGCACCTGAATTCAAACTCTGACCTCACTCACAGAGCTCCCCACTGCTGGCCAGCCCTGGCCGGAACGGACAGGCCAGGCAATAAGAGGAGAGCCAGCGGGGAGTCTCCCTGTTGGAAAGGAGCCACACGTGTAGTCAGGGGGCCTTGGGAGCAGCCCTGTTCCCACCCCTTCCGGATTCCACCCACTAGAGAGGGAGCCCAGGTGGGAAGGGTTCCACATGGAGGATGGACTCTGCCCCTGGACAGCAGCCCCCACTTCCCAACCTCAGCCATGGTGGGCACTGGTGCTCTCTTGCCTTTCCATCTGCAGAGCCTGAAGCCCCTGGGTCCAGCCTCCCGGCCCTGGTCACCCTGGACGACAGGATTGTCCAGAAAGGGCAGCCTTCCCCAGGTCTCCCCTTGGCAAACTTCTGCTCACATATCTGGGGCCAAACTGTGCCACAACGTTGACAGTGACTATATGGGCCTGGGGGAAAATAATTATTTAGTGGAGGGGATTAGAAGCAGCAGTGAGAGGGGATGGCGCAGGAGGGCAGGAAGAAGTCTGGCAGCCGTTTAGGCCCGAAGGGAAGAGCTAGTAGACTCAGATCCATGGAGAGATGGAAGGAAAGGAGAAGAGAGGAGGGAGGAGAGGGGCAGGGCAGGGCTGCAGGCAACTGCGGGAGGACAGGAGGCAGTGGACACGAAGGAGCCAGGAGGACAGGGGCGTGGGAACAGAGGGAGCTGGAGGGAGGTCTGTGGCTGTGGGGACCAGCAGAGCTGCCTGAGGGGCTGAGTAGGGTTCGGTCATTACATACAACAAGATCCAGGCCTGCGACCACGCTCAGGATCCAGGCTCTGCCCCCACATCTGCTCCTGCAGACGCAGCTCTCCTGCTGGTCACCTGGTGGCCCCCAGAGGGATGGCTGGCCATCTCCAGGCACTGGGCCTCATCCCAGGGAGGAAGAAAGAGGTCGTGGCTAAGCTGTGAGTGAGCCCCAGGGGACAGGGGGCCTGGGCCCTTGGAAGGTGGGGTTCTGGGGGACGGTGGTCCGGTCTCCCTGAGACCCGCCCTGTGACATGACTAACTGTGGGGTTCTTTCACCAGGGTGAGCCCCTCTTGCCTCCCTTACACTGGCCCCTTTGCCCAGAATGACTGCACAATTTTTATCACTTACTTCCAATGAGTGGAGTCAGGGCTGTTATCAAACCCAGAGACACAAGCAAAGGGCAGGGCGTCACGTGGGGGTGGTGAAGGCTTCTCTGGGGACCCTTCAAGCCTGGCTGCCATGAGGTGCCAGGGCAGGAAGCACACTGTCCTTCCTTAAGCTCCCACAGTGTGCCCAGCCCTTGATGGAAGTCTCAATTTAATTATAAATGCAGGCTTGAGGTTGCCAGTATCAATCATCTACCCAACTAATCTATAAACGAGTGCAATCACATTTAAAATGTTGATAGGGCTTTACTGGAACCTGACAAGCTGGTCATTGCATTCAGAGGACTTGGATCCACTCATTTGATTTTGAAAACTACGAGAGATAAAGAGAGTTAAGGTAGAAAATGTCAATACATGGCTGGGCATGGTGGCTCATGCCTGTAATCCCAGCACTTTGGGAGGCTGAGGCAGGCAGATCACCTGAGGTCAGGAGTTCAAGACCAGCCTGGTCAACATGGTGAAACCCTGTCTCTACTAAAAATACAAAAATTAGCTGGGTGTGGTGGTGCACGCCTGTAGTTCCCAGCTACTCAGGAGGCTGAGGCAGGAGAATCGTTTGAACCCGAGAGGCAGAGGTTGCAGTGAGCTGAGATCACATGACTGTACTCCAGCCTGGGTGACAGAACAAGACTCTTGTCTCAAAAAAAGAAAAGAAAAGTCCATACTATTTTAAAGCTATAACAATTGGAAGAGTGAGCTGTACAAAGTCTCAATACAGTTATAAAGCTATAACATTCAGAAGGGTGTGTGTAGGAGGGTGGACGGGTGCTCAGAAGGAAGCTCTAAAGCCACAAGGAGAAATTTCACCCCCTTTGGACTGGACATGGGCTGGGCTCTGGCAAATTGCACAATGCAAGGTGCTGACATTATTGCCCACTAGGTCACATTGCCTAAGAGTAGCAATTTATAAAATCTCATTAGAGAGTGCCTGTGTAAATTCTTTATTTCTGGGCCACCCGTGTACTTCCTCATTAGTAAGGAGGAGAATTAGGTGAAGCTCATGGTTGTGGATTGCTGCAGTTTGCACAGACTTTACAAAAAGAGCTTCAGCTGGTGTCCTGCCCCTCTAGGGCACTCACTGGGGCTTTCACGCTGGCATTGGAAAAGTGGGCATCGGCAAGTTCCGTGGCTGAAGAGGAAAAAGAAAAGCAAGCTTTCACCCGCCCTGGGTGAACTGTGAATTCTAAAGTGTGTCCCCAGGAATATTGGGAGACCTCAGCAGTTTACACTTGGTGGGTTGAACAGGGTTTGTTAGTATGAATTATTCATCCAATATTGAACACCTACCTGTGCACAGCACGCTTGCCTAGTGAAGAGAGCAGGGCTGCTGTTCCTGCTCTGTGCCCGGGTGGGAGGCAGACACAGGGGCTGTCATGGGAGAAGCTGGGCTCAAACAGCCCATGAAAAGGGACCCATGCACAGGCACAAAAGCCCCGAGGAAGAAGCCAGCTTGGTGCACTCGACGGAGCATCACCCACTTGGCTCAACAAATGTGTGGTGGTATGTGCATGTGTGTGTGTGTGTGCATGTGTGTCTCACACATGCGTATTTATCTACATATGCAAGAGGATAGGAAGAAATACAGGAAAACACTTTTGTAATCTTGTGGTTGAGAAAGCTGGCATAAACAAGGCACACAATGCCAGACACTATGGCCTTCAGGCCTCCCTGCCACGGGGATGCTGCCTTTTCTGCTCCGGGTGTTTCCACGAGGCAGGCATGGAATCTTCCCTGGACAAGCGACATACCGTGGAGAGACAGGTAAGAATTTCTACACATAGGAAGGGTGGAGCAGCCATGGTCTTAGATGTGAGCCCAAGGGAAGACAGCCTGATATATTTTACTGGGCCATATTTGAAATTTCTGCACAGCGGAAGACACCATACAGTAAACACAGGAGCCTGCGAGAGAACCTCTGCCGAGCACCAGTGAACGGCCAAGTGACACGAGTGACACCATGAGCTTGGTGCCCTCTCCATCCCAAGCCAGAGGCGGAAGCCAGGCCCTTCCTCCCAGCCCAGACTCCTACATCCCAAACTTGAGCCATGGCACACATGCTGGGCACTTACTCTGTGCATAGCAGAGGGAGCTGAGCTGCATCCAGAAACAGACCTAGGAGCTCACAGACCCAAGGCCTGGGTCTCCACCCCTGGAAGAGGGTGGTGCCGAGAGCAGGGCCCCCGGCTGTCACTGGCCCGGAGCTCACCGTGCAGGGGCAGCCCAGGCCCTCCGGGGATGGCACTGGGGTGTCGGAGGCCAAGGAGCAGAAACAGCTGTGGATGCTTCCCTCGGAGGACTGGGTGGGGCCGGGACCACCAGGACCTGCCCACCACCTTCTCTATGGGGCATCTGGCTGTGTCTGGGAGTATCTTGTGGAAGGGTCCTTTTTACCATGTGGGATCGGTGGTCCAGACTTGTCTGGGAGCCAAGGATACCAGGCATGTCAAGTAGGCTCTTCCAGAAGGTTTTCCCTCCTGGGATGTCTGTGTCTCTGCCCCTCTCCTGCTGCCTGCATCAGGAAGGGAGGGAGCAGATGGGCTGGTGAAGTGAGCAATGTCAGTCACATGCATGGACTGTCCAGGGCTCATTCTGTGCTGAGGGTCCTCCCGTGAATACGTGGCTCACCAGCGTCCCACCCCATAGAGAAGGTGGGGGGCTGGCCCTGGCAGCCAGGGCTGGAGTGGGAGGAGGTTGACCAGGAGCATGGGGGTGAGGGAGAAAGAGAGAGGGACCCCACTGTGCTGCCCTAGCACAAGGGACACTGGTCTTCCTGATTCCTGGCCTTCCACGAGGTGGGACGCCCCTCCTTCTCTGGGCTCCTTCTCTGCCCCGCGGGGTGGTGGATGCAGTAGGGACCTTCCACCTCAGGACCTCAGGAGCCGCATATGTGGTACACAGTGGGCCTCCTCGACAGCTGCTCATGAGCAAACAGGCCCAACTCCTTCTGGTGGCAAAGACACAGACACACACAGACACATAAGCACACACAGACAGTGACAGGACAGAAAGGAACCTTCCCCGGGGTTTCCCAGACACACCCAGATGTCTACCTCAGCTCTGCCCCAAGTCAGAGGATTGCAGCAATTCTTACCGTGAAGAGTGCTGGGGAAACCACGTCATCAACCCCGATCCTCTCGTTTTCATTTCTGGGTTCTGACAACAGCCCCAGCTCCACCCCTTGAAACAAGTGACCGAAAAATGGACAACATGTAGTCACTCTGGGCAAAGAGGCCACCCCAGTGGGGGTATGGGGGACAGAGGGCCCCACCCTGGGAGGACAGCACTGTCCCCTGTCCAAGGGCAGGTGCAGCCACCTCCTCCACCTCCCTATTCCCCCCACCCTTTGTCCCCCCCGCCCCCCCGAGCTTGGCCCCTTTGCTTGGAGAGATCCTTTGGTTTTTTCGATCACTTGCTTCTAGGCTGAGGAGGGCGGGGCTGTTGTCAGAGCCCAGAATCAAAGCCAGAGGAGCAGGTGGACGCTGAGACTGTCCCCTCACCCTGCTCCACGGGCAATGTTGAAGTGGGCATCTGGGTGTGTCTGGGGTATCCCAAGGAAGGGTCCTTTTCGTCATGTCACTCTGTTGGGGGCGGGGCACAGGAGCAGGGAGCCCTTTCTCTCCCGAGCTCCTCAGACTCCCAGCTTCCCTGGGTCTCATCTCAGAGCTTTGCCTATGACCTGGGAGCCCTGTGGGTCCAGGGGAGGGGACTGGACGCAGCCCCATGACAATGCTCAGACCTGGGCTAGGAACTGGAAGCCTGTGGTTCCTCTGGGCTGTAGGGGTTGGGGCCCCACAGTGATGGCAGAGCCAGGACCTCATACACAGCAGCATGGACTCCAGACCCGAGCGGGACCTCCGTTCTGGTCCCAGGGTGACCTGGGCTGAGTGGCCCAGCAATCAGGGACCACTTCAGGGTCCCTCTGCACTGGTCTGTCCCTCTCACCCAGTCTGGACCCCTGTGGGGCACTTGCCCTGTCCCCAGTTTTCCTTACAGGGGACCTGGGCAAAGCCCAGGGAAGCTTGCACCTGTTAAGGAGGCCATTCTCCTGCCTCCCCCTTGGGGATCCAGTTTCTTTCTCTCGCCTTGGACCTTCCCCAGGATCCTATGGAAACTCCAGCAAGACCTGGTATTTTATCACATTTTCACAGTTATCGCATTGATTGTTCAGCCAACATTCCAGGGACAGAAATGGGGGAGGGGCTGTCCTTCCCCAGGAAAGGGTGGAATCTCCTTCCGTCTTCCTTACAGTTGGCCTAGGGAAGGTGCACACTCTTAACCACCCCTGGGTTCCCCTGATGCCTTGAAGACCCTGCCTTGCCCTGGCTGCAGGGGGACCAGGAAGGGGCCAGTTGTGTCTGGGACATTCCTGCCGGGAGAGAGTCAGGCCCTAGTGCACAGAAGGATGTGGGTGTGGTCGGTGGGGGCACTGGCAGGGGGTAGGGCACATAAGTCCCTGGGGAGCTCACTCAGAGGTTCCAGGTTGTGGCCCTTATGGAAGTTCCTGGGTCCAGGGGCTAGAGTGAGACTGTTCCCCGCTCATGTCTGGGCTGCAGACGCCCAACCAGTGGCTCCCCCTGTCCACCCTTGGCAAGGGAGGGTCCTGGCCTCCCTCTCTGCTAGTGGGGACCCCCCAACACCCTGTCTTCTCTCCTCTCTGGAGCTCTGCCTGGGTGCATGGCTTGTACAGTGAGTTACTGAGAATTGAACTCTGGACAGTAGCTGGGCCCCACTTTGCTTTAAACATTTTAGTCTGAGGCCTTCTTTGTCATCAGATGAGAAGGTTCACAGATGTGCAGATGTGCTGATAGTCTAACCTGACTGGTTTGTAAAACTAGAAAGAGAAACAGACAATGTGCCTGTTTCTGTGATGGGCCATAAAGTGGATCTTACAGATTTGGAGACATTCTGGAAGATCTGGACCTGTCTGGATCAGAGAGGGGAGGCAGGCATGGGCCAGTCATGAATCCAGTGGGGCTTGGGCCAGCTGGGGCAGCAGGGAGGAGGACGTGCCCAGGGTGGGTGAGCTGGGGAGACCCTGGAACCCAAGGCTGAGGACCCAGAGCCAGGAGATGCAGGAGACGCCCCAGGGATGCTGAACAAAGCGCTGTCCCCTGTTGCAGCTCTCCTGGGTCTCCCCATAGAAAGCTCATGTGGGGGCTGTCCTGACCATGGGTCCAGGGGTGTATTTGCTCCAGGGGCATTTGATGCATTATTGAGCCAGGGGAAAGGCCATCACACTCTGGGCAGCAGGAGCCACCGGGAAGGGTTGGGGAAGGGTTGGATCCTCCCAAAGTTGGTACAAGTGTGGTCTCTGGCCCAGGTGGGCTGTGGGTACTGCGGGGCGTCCAGCTGTGCATGCCTCTGGTGTGAACTGGGAAGGGTGGCCTCTGGTCAGACTCACACAACACACCAAGATGAGCTCACACCAGAACCACCTGAGACTCAAATGGCAGTTGACTGCCCCCAGGGGACATCTTCTTGACTAGAAGAGTCCAACATCTGGAGACAGAATGGGAGGGGTCCTCACGGCAGAGAACAGGGCCTCTTCTAGTCTGTGGCGCCCACCAAAATGGCAGGGACACTGTGCTGAGGTGGGAGGATTGCTGGCCAAAGACAGGGGGGTCTAGTAAGAGCCAGAACAGGGGAGCAGGCAGGACAGGGGACAGCCCCTGGGCCCACAGGGCCAGCACCTTCCAGGGGCAGCTGTGCTGGGTGTAGCAGGTGGACCTGGGAAAGGACGGCGCCAGACCTGCCGCCAGGACTCAGGGGCTCACTTGGGGCAGGAGCACAGTGTCCCTCACATTTCTGCAGGGCCCAGAGGTGGGAGAAAGGGCACAGGGTGGCCCTTCTGACAGGGGGGTGGGGGTGTGTCCCTGCTGGGGACTCTGTTTCCTGGGAGGGCCTGGATCTCTAGGTACCTTTCAGAGCCTTTAGCATCTCCTCTGGGTAATGGGGATGAAAACACTCCTCCCTCTAGTTTACAATTATTAGATACACTGATGCATAGGAGGATGCAGGACCTGCTGGTCTCCCATCTTCACAGCCAGGGAAGAAGATGCAGGACCCTAACAGAGAGCACAGGATGCAGCAGGTGCCAGGGAGCCTGGACCAGGCACATCCTGCACTGGCCACAGGGGAGGACACAGGGGTGGCTGTCCTGGAGCCTGCTCTCTGGACCGCTGAGTGTTATTCAGGGTCTTTCTCCAGGGTGTGGACACCTGTCTTCTCACCTGCCCCCTGGTCTCCTGCCTTCCAGATTCCTGTGGCCCACAGGGAGCAAAGTGTGGCCAGCTCTACATCCCCATTGTCACTCCACAGTGTCTGGTGGTTCAGTGGTCAGAGTGGGCACATCAAAACCAAAGCTTGCCCAGAGGCATGGCAGAGAACTTCCTTGTTCTGACGCTAATGAGGGTGGCACACTCGGCCTGAGCTGGAGAAGGGGTGGGGCAGGGTATCGCTGACTCAGCAGCTTCCAGGTTGCTCTGATGATATATTAAGGCTCCTGAATCCTAAGAGAATGTTGGTGAAGATCTTAACACCACGCCTTGAGCAAGTCGCAAGAGCGGGAGGACACAGACCAGGAACCGAGAAGGGACAAGCACATGGAAGCCAGCCCAGCATCCGGGCCCAGGTATGGGAAGCCCCTCCGAGCACCTCTGCGCCTCAGCCTCCTCTTTGAGCTTTTCTGATGAGCACTCACCTCTCACCCTCAAACCCCTGGGGCCTCTCTTTTCCTCCTGACCCTCTCTCTGGACCTGGCCTCTTGCTCTAGGTTCCCAGTTTTGGTCCCAGCGCTGGTCTCTCCTCCGATGGTACCAATTCCAGGTCTCCTTCCACCTCCCGGGGCAGGTGCACAGGGAGCCTGAAAATCCCAATAGATAATGGTGCTGTGCCCCAGCCAGTGAAGACGGTCAGAGAGGGGATTCTCCTCACTTGTCTTTAAATGAGCATCTACTATTTCTTGCAAATGTTCCATGTATCTGGACTTGGCCTAAGCCCTTTTTATGTTCAGTGTCATCTCGTTCTCCCTAATATTAAGAAAAGGGGGTTGCTTGTAGGACTGCTTGGCTATGAGGAAGCCTTGTTTCCTTTTTTTGAGAACACAGAGCAAGTGAGTGGTAGAGCCCAGATTCATGCCCAGGTCTACTCGAAATGGTGGGGAACATTTTGAACCTTCCTTCCTTCTTTCCTTCCTTCCTTCCTCCTTCCTTCCTTCCTTCCTTCAATTCTCTCTCTCTTTCTTTCTTCTTTCTTTCTCTCTCTCTCTTTCCTTCTTTATTTCTTTTTCTTCTTTCTCTCTCTTCCCTCCCTCCTTCCTTCCCTTCTGTGCTTCCTTCCTTTCTTCCAATATTTCCCTTTCTCTCTTCCTCCCTTCCTTCCTTTCTCTTTCTTTCTTTCCTTCTTTCTTTCTTTTTCTTTCATTCTTTCCTTCTTTCTTTCTTTTACTTCCTTCCTCCCTCCTTCCTTCCTCTCTTTCTTCTTTCCTTTCCTTCCTTTCTTCCTTCCTTCCTCTCTTTCTCCCTTTCTCCCTCCCTTCCTTTCTTTTTTCTTTCTTTTCTTTCTTTCTTCTTTCCTTCTTTCTTTCTTTTCCTTCCTTTCTTTTTTCTTTCTTTCTTTCCTTCTTTTTCTTTTCCTTCCTTCCTCCCTCCCTCCCTTCCTTCCTTCCTCCATCTCTCTTTCTCTTTCTTTCTTTCTTTCTTTCTTTCTTTCCTTCCTTCTTTCTCTTTCCTTCTTTCTTTCTTTCTTTCCTTCCTTCTTTCTCTTTCCTTCTTTCTTTCTTTCTTTTGTGCTGCCTCCCAACAGAGATTTTTCTAATTCTGATTATGTCAGGATGCATAGAGAGGGGCTGGGAGAGGTCTTCAAGGTGGGGCTGGTGTTTCCAGCCCAGGAGTCCTGAGCTGCCCCATCTCAATTGCCTGAGAAGCACATTTGGGAGACCTCAGGGCACCCTAAGGGATGTGGAAAATCCTATGAATTACCCGAAAAGAAGTCCCTGGCAGGTTCCTCTCCCCAGTCATCCCCCTCAGGAGTGTCCCTGTCCCGATGCTCGGTGTGGTAGGAGTTAACCCTGCAGGCAGGAGGAAGCCCCAGAGGGTCCATCTCCAGCAGGGGCTGTGGGTGAGCAGAGCCAGGACAGGGGTGCATGGTGAGGCCACAGAATAAGACCCAGCTCTACCCCAGGGAGAGGAGCAGGGTCCTCCTCGGAGGGCCTGAGCACACTGAGCTGACCCTGGGGAGACCCTGACAAGGCTTAGACAGGCCCCAGGGCTGCAGTGATCTCCCAGTGAGCCATAGAAGGGGTCAGAGGGGGAGGTTTGGAAGTGTGCTAAGGGATGTGCGGAGCAGGGGGAAGGAGGGTGGGGTGCAAGGGAGGAAGTGTGGGGAGGGAGGAGGAGGCAGGGCAGTCCAGGAGGGCTCTTCCTCCTCTGGTCTTTTCCCTGGCTGTCCACAGACACTTGATGGATCCACACATATTCACTTCCAACTTTAACAATGGCATTGGAAGGCATAAGACCTACCTGTGCTACGAAGTGGAGCGCCTGGACAATGGCACCTCGGTCAAGATGGACCAGCACAGGGGCTTTCTACACAACCAGGTGACCGACCCAGCCATCCGAATCCGGGCAGGGCCCTTCCAATCCAGGGACATTCATAGGTAGAAGGTTCCGGATTGTACTTGTGGTTTCCTGCAGTGTTTGTCACTTGTGCTTCCTGCAGCTGCTGCTGCTTGGCCCTGGGGTTGGGGGGAGACTTCGGCTTCAGTGACTATCCATGCCCAGGTGGGGTTGAGTCTGCCCAATGGCAAAGTGCTTCCTGAGGACCCTCCCAGGATCCCCTCACAGACACAGCTCTCACCAGGAACAATTCAGCAATGTGGGATCTGAGGACTCAGGGCCTACCTGACCTCACAAGGCCAGGATGCCCCAGTGCCCTCTCCTGGGCTTCATCCTGCACGGAGAGAGACTGAGGCAGGAGAGGCTGACCAGGGATCCTGTCCTGCCCAGGGTGGAGCCCACAGCAAGGCCAGAACAGGTCCCATGTCAGGATGCAGGGATGTCCAGCATTTGGGGAGGAGCTGGGCCAGGCCAGGCTGAGGGGCCCTGAGCCCGGGGGACTTTCTTCCCTGGCCCCTACCCAGCACAGCCTCTGTCTGGAGAGACCAGGTAATGCTTGGCTCCGGTGCTGGAAACTGGGACCTTCTCTGGGCTCTATGAGCTCAATGTGGGCCTCGCTGGATCCACACACACTGCTTGGAACATCCTTTCAAGGGTGCCAGTCTCCATCACCGCCTAAGCAGTGGGACTCCCCCAGGAACGACCCACAGCCCCTTCTCAGCACAAACCATGTCATCCACTCCACCCTGCATCACTGCTGATGGAGTCCCTCCCTGTCTTTGTCCCCATCACAATCACAGTCCTTGCTGCCCTGCTGTCCCCAACTTGACCGATTCCTAGTCTTAGTGGAAAATCCTTTTCTCTGGAGTTTGGAGTAAATACCATATTTCTATAAGTCAAAATAATGACAATTATACCATGTCACAGGGACCTTCCCACGTTGGAGTGAGTCCTGCTGGTCTTCTCTTCCCCACTACTTTTGGTGGAATTCATTTTGGCCTAAGTCTATATCACATTTGGGCTCAGCACAGGTTGTGGCACAGAATAGAAGCTTCTAGAATTATGGGCCACAGATGGGATGGGAGTAGGGGAGTTGATGAGTAGAGCAGGTCAATCTCCCCTTGAAGGAAGCACACTCACTCAGGGCCATCAGGCCAATGACCTCGGGGCTCCGCCGGCCCCTCCTCCCTGCCCCCATCTCTGTAGCCCCTCCCTGCAGGGCTGGGTCTGGGGTGAGGGTCCTGAAGGCTCTGACCTTGGGTACAAAATTGATGGGGGCTCCAAATGCTCAGTAATTAGAGAAAACACATTTTAATTTAATAATTAATGCAATATTTTAAAACGCAAATTTAATACAAATAGATCATGATGAATAAAAGCAAAGATTTTAATAAAGCCTGGCAGGAGAGTGCTGTCCTGTGTATAGTGGAGCTGGGGCAAAATAAAACCTCATTGCTCCTGATCTGTTTGTATTTAAATGGGCAACATTTTGCTTATCTTGGGATTTTTGCATAACATCTGATATTTTTAATATTGCATAGAAAATCATGCATCCTAATAACCGGGGTTTTGGTGACCCCTCTAATTTCGTGCTGGAGGCCCCCGCCTCCCCAGCCCCACCTGGTCCAGGCGCTCCCTCCCTGTTCACCACACATCACCTCACACTCTGTTTCCTTTTCTAGGCTAAGAATCTTCTCTGTGGCTTTTACGGCCGCCATGCGGAGCTGCGCTTCTTGGACCTGGTTCCTTCTTTGCAGTTGGACCCGGCCCAGATCTACAGGGTCACTTGGTTCATCTCCTGGAGCCCCTGCTTCTCCTGGGGCTGTGCCGGGGAAGTGCGTGCGTTCCTTCAGGAGAACACACACGTGAGACTGCGTATCTTCGCTGCCCGCATCTATGATTACGACCCCCTATATAAGGAGGCACTGCAAATGCTGCGGGATGCTGGGGCCCAAGTCTCCATCATGACCTACGATGGTAAGAATGGAAGGTTCAGGTGGGGTGGGGTGGGTGGGGGCAGGAGAGGTTCCTGGGAAGAAAAGGAGAAAGGCCTTGGTCTGCTGCCTGCAGAAACGATGGCTGGACTCTGGGACCTGACTTTGGGGTCGATGGGAAGAGAGAGGCCAGGCCAGGAGATGTGGGCCCAGGGAGGGCAGGGAGAGTGGCTGGAAGTGGAAGCAGAACTTGGGGCTTTCTGAAAGAATGAGAACTGGGCTGGCCCAGATTCCAATGGGAAGGAACTGCCTGATGAAGGAGCTAAGTCCCTAGGGGAGGGAGAGGGAAAGGAGGGACTGAAACCAGGATGTGGGAAGTCTGTCCTGAGAGTCATGGGCCCTAGGTGCCACCCCGATCCCACAGCGGGAGCGTGACTTATCTCCCCTGTCCCTTTTCAGAATTTAAGCACTGCTGGGACACCTTTGTGGACCACCAGGGATGTCCCTTCCAGCCCTGGGATGGACTAGATGAGCACAGCCAAGCCCTGAGTGGGAGGCTGCGGGCCATTCTCCAGGTGAGGGCTTCCTCCCTCTGCCCGGTGCCCCATCGGCCTCCCCCTCCTCCCCACTCCCCTGGGCCTTGCCTTCCCCTCTGCTCAGAGCCTCCTCTGGGTTCCCTGCTCCCCACAGGGCGCCCAGCTCCGTCCCTCCCTTTCCTTCTCACAGCCTCCTTCTCTTTCCCACCTCCCGCATCCCTCCCTCCTCTCCCGTCATTGTCACTGTCCCCAGGCCACCTCCCTGTGCCCTCTTTCCACTCTCTCACCTCCTGCTCCATTCAACCCCCCTGCTCTTCCAGAATCAGGGAAACTGAAGGATGGGCCTCAGTCTCTAAGGAAGGCAGAGACCTGGGTTGAGCAGCAGAATAAAAGATCTTCTTCCAAGAAATGCAAACAGACCGTTCACCACCATCTCCAGCTGCTCACAGACGCCAGCAAAGCAGTATGCTCCCGATCAAGTAGATTTTTAAAAAATCAGAGTGGGCCGGGCGCGGTGGCTCACGCCTGTAATCCCAGCACTTTGGAGGCCAAGGCGGGTGGATCACGAGGTCAGGAGATCGAGACCATCCTGGCTAACACGGTGAAACCCTGTCTCTACTAAAAATACAAAAAATTAGCCAGGCGTGGTGGCGGGCGCCTGTAGTCCCAGCTACTCTGGAGGCTGAGGCAGGAGAGTAGCGTGAACCCGGGAGGCAGAGCTTGCGGTGAGCCGAGATTGCGCTACTGCACTCCAGCCTGGGCGACAGTACCAGACTCCATCTCAAAAAAAAAAAAACCAGACTGAATTAATTTTAACTGAAAATTTCTCTTATGTTCCAAGTACACAATAGTAAGATTATGCTCAATATTCTCAGAATAATTTTCAATGTATTAATGAAATGAAATGATAATTTGGCTTCATATCTAGACTAACACAAAATTAAGAATCTTCCATAATTGCTTTTGCTCAGTAACTGTGTCATGAATTGCAAGAGTTTCCACAAACACTAGCAAATGTGTAGATGTCTTTCCTTGTGTAGCGGACCTGTAGCGGGGAAAGGTCACACAACATCCCTCTGGATCCAGAAAACTCAGCTAAACCTCACAGGAGAGGAACCTAAATGCAGACCCCACCCTCACTCACAGAGCCCCGCCCACCCTCACTTACAGAGCCCCGGGCGCTGATTGGAAGGGACAGGCCCAGCAGTAAGAGGACAGCCAGCAGCCAGTCTCCCTGTTGGAAAGGAACCACAAACGTGCAGTCAGGGGCCCTCGGGAGCCGCCCTCTGTCCACCCCTTCCTGATTCCACCCCCCTAGAGAGGGAGCCCAGGGGAGGCCATGGCTGAGACCCAGGACAGGCCCAGTCGGGGGAAGGAGCCCAGGGAGGGGGCAGGTGTCTAGGCTGGGCCCAAAGAGAGGGCTGGGGAGAGGAGCAGCCCAGGAGGCAGAGCCCAGCCACAGAGGGGAGGGGAGCTGAGTCCCGGGGACAGGAGGCTCCAGAGGCAGAGACGGAGCCCAGGGCTAGGGCGGCAGGTGTCAGGGCTGTGGCTTCAGCTTGGCGTCTGTCCTGGGCCTTCTGCGCTGGTTCCCAACTCTGGGATGTGTGACTTATATGCCTGATTACAGCGGCGGCTCCCACCTCACGATTTCTGGAAAGTCCTCAGAAGCCGCATATAAGACCAAGAACGGGCCTCACATGCAGCTGCTCCTGGGCAGAAACGACTCACTGTTTCCCTGGCCTAGACACACACAACACACAAACACACACAAGACACACATACACACAACACACACAACACATACACACACAACACATGCACAAAACACATACACACACACACCCACACACAGTGACAGAGACTTCACACAAAGAAACCTCCTCCAGGTGCCCCAGAGCACTCCGGGGCGCACCCCAGCCCCGCCCTGAGCAGAGGACTTTGGCATTTCCCACGCAGGGGCGGGTGCGGGAGGGACCGGCTTGTCAAAGCTGCCCTTTGCTTGTGTCTCTGGGTTTGATAACAGTCCTAACTCCACTTGTTGGAAGCAAGTGATGAAAAACGTGCAGTCATTCTGGGCAAAGGGACCAGTGTAGGGGAGGCATGAGAGGCTCACCTGGTGAAAGAACACCAGAGTTAGTCATGTCACAGGGCAGCTCCCAGAGAGACCTGCCCCTCGTCCCCCAGAACCCCACCTTCCAAGGGCCCAGGCTCCTGTCCCCCGGGCCTCAACTCACAGCTTTGCCCATGACCTGGGAGCCCTGGGGGTCCTGGTGAGGTGACTGGACACAGCCTCATGACACTGCTGGGACCTGGGCTGGGAACTGAGAGCCTGTGGTCCCTCTGGGCTGTAGGGGTCGGGGCCCCACAGTGGCGGCAGAGCCGGGACCTCGTACACAGCAGCATGGACTCCAGACCCAAGTGGAACCTCCATTCTGGTCTCAGGGTGACCCGGGCTGCACAGCCCAGCACCTGCCCAGGGTCCCTCTGCCCTGCTCTGTCCCTCAATAGTCTGGACCCCTGCTGGGTACTTGCCTTGTCCCCCCCTTACAGGGGACCAGGGTGAATCTTGGGCGAAGCCTGCACCTGTGAAGGAGGCCATTCTCCTTGCTCCCATCCCTGCCGCCCACATGGGGAACCAGCTCCTTCTTGTTCCTGGGGACCTTTCCTGGGCTCTGGTGGAAACTCCAGCGGAATGTGGGGTCTTTCATTTTCCCTCAGTGTTGCAGAGGCCGAAATGGAGAGGGGCTGTCACTCCCCAGGAAAGGGCACAATCTCCTTCCTTCCCTCCAGCTGGCCCAGGGACGGTGCACACTCTTATCCTAGTCACCCTGAGGACTGCAGCCCTGGTATGAGCCCAGAGTCACCCCCAGGTTTTATGGATGCCTTACACACTCTGCCCTGGCCTGACCTCAAGAGGACCAGGAAGTGCCCAGTTGTCACTGGGTTTTGCTGCCCTGAGAGAGTCAGGCTCCAGTGCACAGAGGAACGTGTGTGTGCAGGGTGGTGGCACTGTCAGGGGGCACAGCAATCCCAGGGGAGCGTGCCCTGCTGTTCCAGGTTGTGGCACTTATGGAAGATCCTGGGTCCAGAGGCTGGAGTAAAATCGTTCCCACTCACATCTAACCTACCCTGGGCTGGCTCGTGGGAGTCAAAGGCCCAGACAGTGGCTGGCCCTGTCCATCCTTGGCCAGGGAGGGTCCTGGCCTCCCTCTGCGCTGGGGGGGGAGCCCCACTCACCCTCTCTTCTTTCCTCTCTGGAGGCGCTGCCCTGCTCTCCGGCTTGTACAATTTGCTACTGAGAATTTAACTCCAGACAGTATTTTTGCCCCAATTTGCTGTAAACATTTGAGCCTGAGGCCATGTTTGTCATCAGATGAAGTGGTTTACAGATGTGAAATTGTTGTTTGTAGTCTAACATTTCTGGTTTGTAAACCCATCCGTGATGGGCTCCCAGCCCAACCCGCTGCAGATGAGGCCGCTGAGTTTCTGTTGAGAATGAAGACCGGGTTCCCAATTAGGGCAACTCGTCCCTCACACTGCTCCTTACACCCCCATCTTCCAGATCCCAGCCAAGCCCCCTCCACCCAATACACCCCAGCGTCCTTGCATCCAATTAACATCTCAGAGTGGCCACCTTTGCAGAGACCTGGCTGGGGAGGGAGGTCACAGTAAAGACACAGCCTGGCTCCTGTGGGCCCCCTGGGGACAGCAGCCCTGCACACACACTCTGGGCCTTTCTCTCCCCCTTTCAGCCTTGTCCTTGGATATCCCCCAGGTCACTCTTGCTCAGGACCAAGCAGATTGACTGGGGACAGCAAATGTAACCATAAAAGGGGATTCTACAAGGACTCCCCTCAGGGAGCAGGTGCCAGCGGTGGGGACTGGGGAGTAGATAAGAGGTGGCTGGGAGCTAGGATAAGAGCGACAGCCCAGAGTTCCTGGATCCTGGCTGAGGCTGGGTCCCGGGCCCCAGGACAGTCCTGCAGACCCCAGAATCAGAGACTGAGGAGTCAAAGACAGGCAGGAGACGCCCCTGGGGATGCCCAGCAAAGCACTGTCCCCTGCGTGCAGCTTTCCCGGGTCTCCCCACAGAAAGCTCAGTGAGGGCTGTCGTGGCCACTGGCGACCCAGGCACATTTGCTCCGGTAAGAGGCCATTGCTCTGGGAAGCAGCAGCCACACAGGAAGAGTTGGGGGAGGGCAAGGGCTCTGCCCTCCGAGGGTCCTGCAGGGCACAGGGTCTGCATAGCAGGAACCCCAGACTCTTTGTGCCCCACCCCCACTCTAACTCAGAGCTCTGTGCTAAGGAGAGCCTTATCATGCCCTCGGTGGATTCAGAAGCACTTTGTAGGGCTGAGTGACGAAACATTTGGGGCTGGGAGTAGAGCTGGCTGGGTCAGGACGACACCCCCTCCTGGAAGGGCAGGCCTGTGGGGGGCACAAGCAGGGACAACAGCCCATTCGTGTCTGCTGGTACAGGTGCAGTCTCTGTGCAGGTGGGCAGTGGGTACTGCAGGGCACCATGCTGTGTGTGCCTCGAGTGTGAACTGGGAAAGGTGGTCTCTGGTCAGACTCACACAACACACCAAGATGAGCTCACACCGGAACCACCCGAGACTCAATTGGGAGTTGACAGCCCCCAGGGGATATCCTCTTGACTAGAGAAGTCCAAGGTCTGGAGACAGAATGGGAGGTGGCATCCTCATGGCAGAGAACAGGGCCTCCTCTGGTCTGCCCATGAGGAGTGGTGCCCACCAAGATGGCAGGGACACTGTGCTGAGGAGGGTGGATCACTCCCACCTTCTTCTGAGGTTTCCACCTCAGCGAGCACCGGCCAGGCTGGGAGGGCGAGGAGCTGTGCTTGGTCCGGGTGGCCAGGGTGGGACTGTCCCCAGGATGTGGACTCTCTTGCATGAGACAGCTGGCCAAGGATGGGGGGTCTAAGAGGAGCCAAGACAGGGGAATCAGCAGGACAGGGGGCAGCCCCCAGGCCCACAGGGCCAGTGCATTCTTCGGGCAGCTGTGCTGGGTGCAGTAGGTGGACCTGGGAAAGGATGGCGCCAGACCTGCCGTTGGGACTCAGGGGCTCACTTGGGGCAGGAGCACAGCTTCCCACACATTTCTGCAGGGCTGGAGGTGGGAGAAAGGGCACAGGGTGAGCCTTCTGAGGGCATTTGTGTCCCTGCATCACTCTGCTCACTGGGAGGGCCTGGGCAAGTCTAGGTACCTTTCAGAGCCTCTCGTATCTCCTCTAGAGGAGTAATGGGGATGAAAGCACCCCTTGCTCTAGTTTGCCGTAATTAGATGGACTGACACAAACAAGGGCTCAGCATGTCTGTCTCCTTCCCTTCCCAGGGCCTGGGATCAAGACCCAGGACACACTCTGCTCTCTGCACTGCACGCCCTGCAGGGCCCTGGATGCAGCAGGCATGCCCTGTGCTGGCTATAGTAGGGGACGTAGGGTCGGCTGCTCTGGAGCCTACTCTCTGGGGGCGCTGAGTCTTATTCGAGACCTTTCTCCAGGGTGTGGATACCTGTCCTCCTGCCTGTCCCCTGGCCTCCTGCCTTCCTGGTCCCTGCTGCCCAAAGTGACTGAAGTGTGGCCAAGGCTCGCTTTCCTCATTGTCACTCCACAGCATCCCTGTAGGGCTATTGTCAGAGCAGGGAAATCAAAACCAATGCTTGTGGGAAGACACAGCAGAGAACTTCCTTATTCTGTGACACTGATGTGGGTGGCACAGGGGACCTGAGTTCAGGAAGGGGTGGGGCAGGTCATTGCTGACCCAGCAGCTTGCGGTCACTCTGAAGTGATGTAAGCCTCCTGTGTCCTAAGAGCAACCAGAGGAGGACCACAGGAGCACATGCTGTGACCGTCACAGAAGCAGGAGGACCCTGACCTAGGAACCGTGAAGGGACTAGGACATGATGGCTAATGGCTAACACGGTGCTGACAGCCAGTCCTGCAGCCTCTCGAAGCCTCTGCTCCTGAGCCTCCTCCTCGGGTTCCTTGGTGATGGTCACTTGCCTCCTGCCCTCCAGGGGCTCCTTCTGGTTCCCTTGGGGACTGTCCTCTCCCCTTAACCCTCTCTGGACCTGGCTTCTGCTCTAGGCTCCCAGCCCTGTTCCCAGCCCCAGTCTCTAGTCTGATGCTATCTATTGAGTCTCCTCCTGCTCCTGGGGCAGGTGTGCAGGGGGGCAGCAAATCCCAGGTGATGGCACTGTGCCCAGGGGGCGAAGACGGTTGGAGAGAAGATTCTCCTCACCCACCTTTAGAGTGGCACCCACCATTTCTGGCAAATGCACCATGTCTCCCCTCTGGGCTAAGCTCTTTTCGCGCCCAATCCAACCCTATCTTACCCAATATTGGGAATAGGGAGTTGCTCCCGACACCACCGTGCTACGAGGAAAAGCCATTCTTTCCTTTTCCTGTGAACACACAGAGGGTAAGTGGTAGAGCCCAGATTCACACCGGTGTCTATGCAAAACCATAGGCAGCACTGAGATTTCCCTAAGGCCAGGCTCATTAGGGTTATGTAGGGTGCACAGAGCGGGGCTGGGAGAGGCCTGCAAGGCCCAGTAGGTGCTTCCTGCCCAAGAGTCCTGAGGTGGCCCACCTGGCTAGAGAAGCATGGTCGTTGCTTGTTTGGCAGAACACAGGACTGTTGTGGTATCCTTCATTGCCGTGTTCATGTATATAATTTAAATTAAAATGTAAAATTAAAGAAAAGAAAGAAAGACGTTAGAGCAGCCCCGGTCAGCCCCGGTCCTGGGAGGTATCACCCAGGTTGTGGGCTTTGCACTCCTCTCCCATATGATCACAGCTCCCCTCGGCCCCGGTGGCCCCCCTGCCACGCCGCCTTGAATTTGACAATGCCACATTAGAAGTCTTGGTCTTAATCCTGAATGTTTCTTTTGCCCACCTTCCCTTTCATTCGCCCAGCTGTTTCAACCCCAAAACGCTGCTTCCTCCCCTTCCTCTCACTTCCATATCTAATTAGTAACTCACTCTGGCTGAATTCATCCCCACAATTCACCCCCAATGTACCCTGACTGCCATCACTGTCACCTGTCGCCTGGGATGTCTGACAGTCTCCGGTTCACCAGCTCAGCTCCCATTCCCTTTGCATGCAGCTACTGGAGTGACTTTGTTTTTTTCTTTTTTTAGAGATAAGCTCTGTCTCTGTCACCCAGGCTGGAGTGCTGCAGCGTGATCATATCTCACTGCAGCCTCGAACTCCTGAGCTCAGGCAATCCTCCAATCTCAGCCTCCTGAGTAGCTGGGACAACAGGACCATGCCACCATGCCTGGGGAATTTTTTGTAGAGACAGGGTCTTGCTATGTTGCCCAGGCTGGTCTTCAAACTCCTGGTCTCAAGCAATCCTCCATCCTTGACCTCCCATAGTGCCAGGATTACTGGCATCAGCCACCTGGCCCAGCTCTGGAGTGACTCTTCAAAAGAAAAACCAGGTCATGTCACTGTTTGGTGACATGAAACAACCCCTACCCCAACCACACATGGATATGCACATGTACACATGCATGTAGGCTCACACACCCATGTATGCATGTGCACGTGCATGTGGGCACATGCGGGAGGGTACACCCAGTTGTTGTCTTTTAAAATGAAATCGAGGCCGAGTGCGGTGGCTCACACCTGTAATCCCAGCATTTTGGGAGGCCGAGGCGAGTGGATCGCTTGAGGTCGGGAGTTGGAGACCAGCCTGGCCAACATGGTGAAACTGTGTCTCTATTAAAAATACAAAACTTAGCTGGGCATGGTAGCAGGCGCCTGTAATCCCAGCTACTCAGGAGGCTAAGGCAGGAGACTCGCTTGAAGCTGGGAGGCAGAGGTTGCAGTGAGCCGAGATGGCACCACTGCAATCCAGCCTGGGGGACAGAGCAAGACTCTGTCTCAAAAAAAAAAAAAAAAAAAGAAATTTACATTTTTCCCAATGACCCATGAGACTCCCTCCTCCCGTGCCAGCTTTGTCACCCTCTACTTTTTTTTTTTTTTTTTTTAAGACGGAGTTTCTCTGTTGTTGCCCAGGCTGGAGTGCAATGGCACAATCTTGGCTAACCACAACCTCCACATCCTGGGTTCAAGTGATTCTCCTGTCTCAGCCTCCGAGTAGCTGGGATTATAGGAATGCACCACCATGACCAACTAATTTTGTATTTTTAGTAGAGACAGGGTTTCTCCATGTTGGTCAGGCTGGTCTCGAACTCCCGACCTCAGGTGATCTGTCCGCCTCAGCCTCCCAAAGTGCTGGGATTACAGGTGTGAGCCACCGCGCCCAGCTCCTCTACTTGTTTTCTATGCTGTCTGGCTGGTGTCTGTTCTAGTCCAGGTCACCCAGCCCTCTCTCGCCTCAGACCACGGCACCTGCCATTCCCTCTCTCTGGACAAAGCTTCCCTCGGCTCTTCCCACTGCTATCCCTTCTCTCCCTCAGGATTCAGTTCCCAAGTCACCTCCCCTGGCCTCTTAAAGCGAGCTGCCCACACAGTTCCCTTCTGCCCCATCTCCATGTCTATTTCCTGCACCGCCCTTGTTACAAACCAGATTTATCTTCCCTGTGTGTAGATTCTCATTTCTTGACCATCTGCCTCCACTTCCCATAAACGCACTGAGGTCAGAGTCCACTGCTTCCTGCCCATGCCTCGACGGCAGTGCTGGCAGCCAGCCTTGCCCCCTGGGTAGGAATCCATTTACAATTGTTGAAAGAAAAAAAATGAATGATTAAAAACAGTATAAAGGAATGAGAAAACGGTGGATGGTAATACACAAATTATTCATTAGCCCCAAGGAGTGGGCTAGGAGGTACACAGAGTGGACAGTCACATCCTCTGTGATACCTGTTTGTATTGGGCTCTTGAGTAATTGACAGAATGATAACACTGCCACCAGAGATGAGCTTTCCATGACGACCAAGGTGGAGGAGTCAGATTCTGGGTGCTGCGGCCAAAATACACGTTTCAAAATAAATGGGTAAAGAAATTCGTCACTGGAGACTGCATAAAGGTTGGGGCAATTGCCAGAGCCTTGCATGGAGAATCACACCTGCTTCAAAGATCCATTTCTGTGCTACAAACCACCCCACCTTAAAGCTTACCATAAGGTGTATTGTTCAGGCTTCTGTGGATCAGGACTCAGATGACCTGTCCACTGGATGAGCCAGCAGCTGGCTCACTCGTGCAGCTACAGTCGGAAGGCGGCCAGGCGGGCTGGATGGTGCCCAGTGGTCTCACTTACCTGCCTGGTACTTGGTGTGGGCTATCAGCCAGGCACCCAGCTGGGCTGTCAGATGCTCTCCCTGTGGTCACCCCATGCATCCAGCTTGAGCTCCCTCACCGAATGGCATCTGGGTTCCAAAATACCAAGTCTGGTCAAGACTCTGCCTACATCACACTTGCTAATGCCCTGTTGGCCAAGGTAAGTGGTCAAGCTCAGTGTTGATATGGGAGGACGAGGCTGGGCATGGTGGCTCTCACCTGTTATTCCAGCACTTTGGAAGACCAAGGCGGGTGGATCGCTTGAGGCCAGGAGTTCAGGACCAGCCTGGGCCATATGGTGAAACCCTGTTGCTACCAGGTGTGCACCTGTAGTCCCAGCTACTCCAGAGGCTGAGACAGGAGGAGAATTTGAGCCCAGAAGGTGGAGGTTGCAGTGAGCCATGATGGTACCACTGCACTCCAGCCTAGGTGACAGAGCGAGATGCTTTTCAAAAAGAAAATATACGTGTATGTGTGTGTGTGTTTGTGTGTGTCTGTGTGTTGTGTGGGAAGCCAGTCACAAGGATGTGAATATCAGGGGGTGTGTTTCACTGGGGATCGCCAACATGACAGTTTATCAGTCTTCCCTGTGTGCCAATGCATCTTACTCCACCCACTTGAAAATAACCCACCCATTCCCAACAGCCACAAAGTATCACCCCAATATGGAATCATGTTCAGACATCACATCCAAGATCCTGTCATCTAAATCAATCCCAGGTATAGACAGGGCACCTTCAGTTTGTTTTGTGGGGGTGAGTTGCCTCAGGTTCAGAGATCTGTGCTCTAAAACACAAGTGATCTCCAGCTGGGCTCGGTGGCTCAGGCCTGTAATCTCAGCACTTTGGGAGGGTGAGGCAGGTGGATTATCTGAGGTCAGGAGTTCAAGACCAGCCTGGCCAACATAGTGAAACCCTGTCTCTACTAAAAAATACAAAAATTACCTGGGTGTGGTGGCGGGTGTCTATAATCCTAGCTACTCGGAAGGCTGAGGCAGGAGAATCGCTTGAACCCGGGAGGTGGAGGTTGCAGTGAGCCGAGATTGCGCCATTGCACTCCAGCTTGGGCAACATGAGAGAAACTCCATCTCAAAAAAAAAAAAAAAAAAAAAGGGAATCGCTAGATGGGGCTGAATATCCAGGGGGCCTTCATCACATGCCTGGAGGCTTGGGCAGGCTGTCAGCTGGGGTGTTTCCTCTCTCCACCTGGTCTCGCAGCATTTAGGACTACAAGTCTGTTTTCCTTGCATGTAGGTGAGCAAGTCCTAGATATGCAAAAAATGAAACCTACAAGGCTACTCAAAGCCCAGCCAAGGAAATCACATGACATCATTTCTACTGCATTTTATTGGCCAATGCAAGTCACAGACCAGCCCAGATGGAAGGGGACAAAAAAATAGACTGCATCCCTTGATGAGAAGAGTGTCAAAATCTCATGGCAAAGGGTTGTAAAAACAGACCGGAGGAAGCGTGAGGCGTACACTGCACCCCCACCACACCAGCCCAAGCCCTTAGAGAAAAATGATGAAAAATCCACCTTTGGCCAGCCACGGTGGCTCATACCTGTAATCCCAGCACTTTGGGAGGCTGAGGCAGGCAGATGGCTTGATTCCAGGAGTTTGAGACCAGCCTGGACAACATGGTGAGACCACCTCTACAAAAAATACAAAAAAATTAGCCAGGTGTGGTGGCGTGAGCCTGTAGTCTCAGTTATGTGGGAAGCTGAGGAGAGAAGATGCCTTGAGCTCCGGAGGTTGAGGCTGCAGTGAGCGGTGATCGTGCCACTGCACTCCAGCTTGGGCAACAGAGTGAGATTTTGTCTCAAAAAAAAAAAAAGTCGACATTTGTTAGAGTCACCCAAGCAAGGGAAGATCAGACGAATAAGGTCTCAAGTGAACATTTTCTACGTGAGCATATCCAACCCGGGGCCTCTGCAGGGCCTGTTTTCTCTAGGAGCAAGGACTATTAGCAGGCAGGGGATGGGCCTGGGGGGCCTGGGAAAGGGAGAACAGGTGGAGGCTCCATACAGGGGGACGCTGGGGCCAAGCTCAAGGTAGGGCACACCCCTCCATATCGAAGTAGGTCATCAAGAGTCATGCAGACGGGACAAGGCAAGGAGTTCCGGTGCAAGCTCGCTAGGACCCTCAGTAACACCAGAATAGAACCTGGACCCAGGATCCAGGGCAGAGAGAACCTTTTTACCAAAGCCTGCTGTCACCACCCAGGCTGCTTTGCCTTGACAGTCCCACTCCTCAACTGTAGGAAGGTGAGAAAAATTCAACTTCTCAAGTGTGCTGTTCAGGTCACACCCTCTAGAGGGCGAGCATGCAGCAGAGGCATGCGGCATAAACCTTTGTCCCTTTCCTCGGCAGGGTCCCGTGAAAGTCAGGTTGCAGGACCCCCAGGCCACACTGGAGGAGACCCTGAAGCTCCACTTTGTCACCCAGGAGTCCGTGCCTTGCAGAGCCTGGGCCAGGTGCTGAGAAACACAGGGATGGGGCTGGGCTGCACCTGCCCTTGCTTGTTTTTTTTGTTTTTTGTTTTTTGGTTTTTGGTTTGGTTTGGTTTTTTTGAGACAGAGTCTTGCTCTGCCACTCAGACTAGAGTGCAGTGGCACCAACTCAGCTCACTGCAACCTCTACCTCCCGGGTTCAAATGATTCTCTTGTCTCATCCTCCTGAGTAGCTGGGATTACAGGTGCACGCCACCACACCCAGCTAATTTTTTATATTTTTGGTAGAGATGGGGTTTCACCTTGTTGGCCAGGCTGGTCTCAAACTTCTGACCTTAAGTGATCTGCCCACCTTGGCCTCCCAAAGTGCTGGGATTACAAGTGTGAGCCGCCGCGCCCGGCCTGCCCTTGCTTTTTGGGTTTTGTCTTTGCCACCCAGAGTGGCGTCACCTGGATAACATGCCCTAAGACTGCAGGGATGTAGGTGAGTCTGTCCCAGTCCAGGAAACCAAGGCTAGTATCAGATTGGCTTTCATGGCTTCTGGGCAGAGCCCAGATCTGCACCTCACGTGTCCCGGAGTCAGGGAAGGGTGATACTGGCTTCCCCAGTTCTGCCCTCTGGACGGGCGCTCCGTTGACAGAGACCCTGAAGAGCATCATGCCAGGTGTGGCCTCAAATAGTAAAGATAAGAGAAACAGAACTCGAGGAGGAGAAATATAGAGGCCAGGCCAAGGCCGTGCACAGCCCCCTACAGCATCTGGCACTGTGGTCGCTTCTTTACTCTGCCTCCCTCCTCTGGAGCTCCCGTGAATGTGAGCGTCCTCCTCCTGGCTGGACGGCATCTCCTCTCTCTGGGCCTTCTGCCCTGGCCCCATCCTCCCTCGGACTGGGTGCCGAGTCTCAATGTTGGTCACTTATGACCCCAAATCGCCTTCTCCAGCTGGACACCCCCAGTCTCCTGGGCTGGACTCTGCAGTCACCTTTAGTGCTCCCAGCTCCCCTGTTCCTAAGCCCTGCTGTTTCTACCTTTGGGAGGACACGCAGGCTGTCAGCCCATGTTTGCCGAGTGCTACGGTGCTTGAGTGTGCATAGCCCTAAACAGGGAGCTGGCACTGGGTGTTATGACTCCCCTTGCTGTAAACTTTAAGGACTCAAACAGAAGCAGAAAAAAGTGAAAATAAGCAACATCTACTGAGTACTGACCACCCACCAGGCTCCGTTCCTTATGCCTGAAGGGGAGCGGCTCATTTAAACCTTACACCTGAATGGGAGCGCTCATTGAACCCTTGCGCCCAACCCCACAGTGAGGAGCCATCATTTTCACCTTCCCTGTTCAGATGAGGAAATGGACTATTGCAGTTAGAGGTTGCAAAGCCAAGCTGGGGTTGACCCAGCCAGGTAGGTCTCTACCCAGGTGCTCAAACGCAGCTGGGGCAATTGAAACAAGTCTTGAAATCAGTTACAGAGATTCTTTCTTTTTTGTATTTTACCATTTACCTAACTTTACATGCAACTTCCTTAGTTCAGATACAATGTTTCATTAAAAAAAAAAAAATCTGGGCTGGACATGGTGGCTCACGCCTGTAATCCCAGCTCTTTGGGAGGCTAAGGCAGGCAGATCACTTGAGATCAGGAATTCGAGACCAGCCTGGCCAACATGGTGAAACCCTGTCTCTACTAAAAAAAATACAAAAATTAGTCAAGCATGGTGGCACATGCCTATAATCCCAGCTACTCTAGAGGCTGAGGCAGCAGAATGGCTTCAACCCAGGAGGCAGAGTTTGCAGTGAGCCGAGATCACACCACTGCACTCCAGCCTGGGAGACAGAGTGAGACTCTGTCTAAAAAAAAAAAAAAAAAAGTCTGCTCTTCTTTAGAGCAAGGGTCCCCAACCCCCGGGCCTCGGATGGGTACAGGTACATGGCCTGTTAGGATCCCAGCTGCACAGCAGGAGATGAGCCGTGGGTGAGTGAGCATTACCGCCCGAGCTCTGCCTCCTCTTACATCAGTGGCAGTGTTAGATTCTCACAAGGGCGAGAACCCTATTGTGAACTGCTGTGAACTGCACATGCGAGGGATCTAGGTTGGGTGCTCCTTATAAGAATCTAATGCTGGCCAGGCACGGTGGCTCACACCTGTAATTCCAGCACTTTGGGAAGCTGAGGCAGGAGAATCACTTGAACACGGGAGGTTGCAGTGAGCTGACCCTGCCATTGCACTCCAACCCCCGGCGACAGTGTGAGACTCTGTCTCAAAAAAAAAAAAAAAAAAAAAATCTAATGCCTGATGATCTGAGGTGGAACAGTTTCATCCCAAAAGCATCCCCCTCACCCTGTCAGTGGAAAAATTGTCTTCCACAAAACGATCACTGGTGCCAAGGAGTTTGAGGACTGCTGCTCTAGAGGAAATCATACAGTGTCCTACTGGGAAACTACCTTTAAGAAAGGAAGTTAACGTGTTCTTTAATTCACAGATGGAATTTTCAAATATTTGCAACCCAAATTATTCCTATTTTAAATTATAAATGCACCAGTAAAATGCTTTTTTTAAAAAAAAGGTTTTTGGCTGGGCGTGGTGGCTCAAGCCTGTAATCCCAGCACTTTGGGAGCCTGAGGCGGGCAGATCACGAGGTCAGGGGATCGAGACCATCCTGGCTAACACGGTGAAACCCCATCTCTACTAAAAATACAAAAAATCAGCTGGGCATGGTGGTGGGTGCCTGTAGTCCCAGCTACTCAGGAGGCTGAGGCAGGGGAATGGGGTGAACCCGGGAGGCGGAGCTTGCAGTGAGCCGAGATTGCGCCACTGCACTCCAGCCTGGGAGACAGAGCAAAACTCTACTTCAAAAAAAAAAAAAAGTTTAGGCTGGGTGCGGTGACTGGTGCCTATAATCGCAGCACTTTGGGATGACAAGGCAGGCAGATCACTTGAGGCCAGGAGTTCAAGACCAGCCTGGTCAACATGGTGAAACCCAGTCTCTACTAAAACTACAAAAATTAGATGGGCTTGGTGGCATATGCCAGTACTCCCAGCTACTCGGGAGGCTGAGGCAGGAGAATCGCTTGAACCCAAGAGGTGGAGTTGCAGTGAGCCAGGATCTCACCATTGCACTCCAGCCTGGCTGACAGAGCGAGACTCTGTATCAAAAAAAAAAAAAAAAAATTACACACTTAATAACAGACCATCAAAATATATGAAGCAAAAATTAACAGAATTGAAGGAGAATTAGAGTTCTACAATAATTGGAGACTTCAATACCCAATGCTCAATAATGGACAGAACAACCAGATAGAAAAAAAAGGAAGGAAATAGAGAACTCAACACAATAAGCCAACTAGATCTAACAGACATATATGGAACACTTCACCCAATAACAGCAGACAGCCGCTGTGGAAAACAGCATGGCAGTTCCTCAAAAAATTAAGAATAGAATGGCCAGATGATCCAGCAATTCCACTGCCAGGTGTACACTCAAAAAAATTGAAAGCAGAGTCTCAAGGAGGTATTTGTACACCCATGGAGGTAACCCAAATTTTCATCAACACATGAATGGAGAGGCCAAATGTGGTCTACACATGCAATGGAATATTACTCAGCCTTGAAAAGGAAGGAAATTCTGACTCACGCTACAACATGGATGAACCTTGAGGATATTATGCTGAGTAAAATAAGCCAATCACATAAAGAGAAATACTGAATGATTCCATTTATATGACGCACTTAGAATATTCCCAATGGCCAGTCTGGCGCAGTGGCTCAAGCCTGTAATCCCAGCACTTCGGGAGGCCCAGGTGAGCGGATCACCTGAGGTCAGGAGTTTTTTGTTTTTGTTTTTGTTTTTGTTTTGAGACAGGCTGTGTCATCCAGGCAGGAGTGCAGTGGCATGATCTTGGTTCACTGCAGCCTTCACCTCCTGGGCTGAAGCAATTCTCCTGCCTCAGTAGCCCGAGTTGCTGGTATTACGGGGGGGCCCACCACCATGCTCGGCTAATTTTGTTTTGTTTTTTTTTTTTTTTGAGACAGAGTCTTGCTCTGTTGCCCAGGCTGGAGTGCAGTGGCGTGATCTCGGCTCATTGCAACCTCCACCTCCTGGGTTCCAGTGATTCTTCTGCTTCAGCCTCCTGAGTAGCTAAGACTACAAGCACACGCCACCACCCCCGGCTACTTTTTTTGGTGTTTTTAGTAGAGACGGGGTTTCAGCATGTTGGCCAGGATGGTCTCAATCTCCTGACCCTGTGATTCGCCCACCTTGGCCTCCCAAAGTGCTGGCATTACAGGTGTGAGCCACCATTCCTGGCCAATTTTTGTATTTTTAATAGAGACAAGGTTTCACCATGTTGGCCAGGCTGGTCTCGAACTCCTGACCTCGTGATCCTTCCGCCTCGGCTTCCCAAAGTGCTGAGATTACATGCGTGAGCCACCTCACCTGGCAGGTTCAGGACTTCAAGATCGGCCTGGCCAACATGCCGAAACCACGTCTCTATTGAAAATACAAAAATTAGCTGGGCATGGTAGGATATACCTGTAATTCCAGCTACTTGGGAGGCTAAGGCACGAAGAATCGCTTGAACCTGGGAGGCAGAGGTTGCAGTGAGCCAAAATCGTGCCACTGCACTCCAGCCTGGGTGACAGAGCAAGGCTCCATCTCAAAACAAACAAACAAACAAACAAACAAACAAACAGAGAATATTCAAAATGTTAAAGACAGAAAGTAGCATGGTGGTTGCCAGGGGCTGGCAGAGGAGAGAATGGGGAGGAGGGAATGAAGATTTTGCATTAAACGGGTACAGAGTTTCAGTCTTACAAGATGAAAAGAGCCGGCCGGGTGCAGCGGCTCACATCTGTAATCCCAGCACTTTGGGGGGGCCGAGGCAGGTGGATCTTTTGAGGTCAGGAGTTCAAGACCATCCTGGCCAACAAGGTGTAACCCCGTCTCTACTAAAAATACAAAAATTAGCTGGGTGTGGTGGTGCGCACCTGTAATACCAGCTACTCGGGAGGCTGAGGGAGGAGAATTGCTTGAACCTGGGAGGCGGAAGTTGTGGTGAGCTGTGATTGTGCCACTGCACTCCAGCCTGGGCAACAGAGTGAGACTCTGTCTCAAAAAAAAAAAAGAAAAAGAAAAAGAAAAGAGCCATGGAGAAGGATGGTGGTGGTGGTTGCACAACATTACAAATATGATTAATATGTTTAATACCACTAAACTCTGTACTTAAAAATGGTCAAGATGGTAGATTTTATGTTATGTATAATTTAACACAACATTTTTTTCTTTTTTTTTATTATTATTATACTTTAAGTTTTAGGGTACATGTGCACAACGTGCAGGTTTGTTACATATGTATACATGTGCCATGTTCACAACATTTTTAAAATTGGAAAAAAAGAAAACCAGCAGCAAGGATTTTACCAGAGCAATAAGTAGATGACAGTCACATGAAAAAGACATTCGACATCATTAGCCATTAGGGAAGTGAACATTAAAATCACAATATTACTACAGACCTATCAGAATGTTACCACAGACTTATCAATGGGTAAAATAAAACTTAGTGGCAGTGCCAAATGCTGGAGAAACTGGGTCATTTATACATTGCTGGTGAGAATATAAAATAGTACAGCTATTCTCCAATTTAGTTTAGTAGTTTCTTTCTTTCTTTCTTTCTTTCTTTTTTGAGATAGTTTCTCACTCTGTCACCCAGGCTGCAGTGCAGTGGGACGATCTCAGCTCACTGCAACCTCTGCCTCCCGGGTTCAAGTGATTCTCCTGCCTCAGCTTCCTAAGTAGCTGGGACTACAGGTGTGCACCACCATGTCCAGCTAATTTTTGTATTTTTAGGAGAGACGGGGTTTCATCATGTTGGCCAGGATGGTCTCGATCTCTTGACCTCATGATCCACCCGCCTCAGCCTCCCAAAGTGCTGGATTTTTATTATTTTTATTATTTTATTTTATGTTATTTTGAGATGGTGTTTCATTCTTGTTGCCCAGGCTTGAGTGCAATGGTGCAATCTCGGCTCACTGCAACGTCTGTCTCCCAGTTTCAAGTGATTCTCCTGCCTCAGCCTCCCAAGTAGCTGGGATTACAGGCATGCACCACCACACCTGGCTAATTTTGTATTCTTTTTTAGTAGAGATGGGGTTTCTCCATGTTGGTCAGGATGGTCTCGAACTCCCGACCTTAGGAGATCCCCCTGACTCGGCCTCCCAAAGTGTTGGGATTACAGGCATGAGACACCACGCCTGGACTATTTTTTTATTTTTTGAGATGGAGTCTCACTCTGTCGCCCAGGCTGGAGGATACTGGTGAGATCTCAGCTCACTGCAATGTCCACTTCCTGGGTTGCATCTATTCTCCTGCCTCAGCCTCCCAGGTAGCTGGGACTACAGGTGCGTGCCACCATGCCTGGCTAATTTTTGTAATTTTTTTTTTTTTTTAGTCGTGACAGGGTTTCTCCATGTTGGTCAGGCTGGTCTCAATCTCCTGACCTCAGGTGATCCACCCGCCTCAGCCTCCCAAAGTGCTGGTATTACAGGTATAAGCCACTGCACTCAGCCATATATAACCTTCTTCAAATAAAATTACACAGGTGGAAAATTTTTTTCTTTCTTTTTTTTTTTTTGAGACAGGGTCTCACTCTGTCGCCCAGGCTAGTGTGCGGTGATGATGTAATCATGGCTTAAGTGATCCTCCCCGCCTCAACCTCCCTAGTAGCTGGAATTACAGGTGCACACCACCACATCTGACTAATTTTTTTGTTTTTGTTTTTGTAGACACGGGGTTTCAGCAAGTTGCCCAGGCTGGTTTCGAACTCCTGACCTCAAGTCATCCGTCCACCTCGGCCTCCCACAGTGCTGGGATTACTGGTATGAGCTACCACACCTTGCCCGAAAACGTTTTCAAAATAATAAAATGGGCTGGGCAAGTGGCTCACGCCTGCAATTAGAGGCCTGGAGACATTAAGTAAACCACCCAAGGTCACACAGTAAGGAAGGGGCAGATCTCAGAGTCGCCTGGCTGCAAAGCTGGTGTCCCTTCCCCACTGTGCCTTAACTGCCGCCTTACAGCTGGGTTGGAGGATGCCTCCCTGGTCTAGGGTCATTATTACATTTTCTTTTACAAAGTATGTTTCTGATAAACGGAACTGTTTATTTTCCACCGATGGTCTTATCCTTTGTCCATCTCTTTCTGACGGCAACAGAAAACTTCACCTTCCAGAGGAGCGCCTCTGCCTGGCTGTCCCACCGTCTGGGAAGTAAGGAGCGCCTCTGCCCAGCCCCCGCACCGTCTGGGAAGTGAGGAGCGCCTCTGGACGGCCCCCGCACCGTCTGGGAAGTGAGGAGCGCTTCTGGACGGCTCCCAGCAACCCCCCAGGTGTGAAGTGACAGCCCTGTGTGTGATCTTTCTGCCCTCCCCAAGTTTGCATTTTCGACAATAAAATTTACTTTTAAATTAAAAGATTTATACTGGGGAAGATTTAAAAAAAAAAAAAGAAAGAAAAGAAAACTCACCTTCCAAAAACAACCACTGGGAGTCCGCTTTGTGCAGAGGTTGGACAAGCTTCTGTGCAGGTAGGGGCGCTGCTGCTCCCCCTACCACCCACGCATCCTCCTCCCTGTCTGCATTCCCGTCGTCGTAGCCAGAGGAGTTCAGAGCCTCTACAGAGAGCACAACTTCTCCAGCTGGAACAAACTCCCCTTAAAGGAATCTATTTAGGAAGATTATTTCAATGTACATTCATTCCTCCAAAATATGCTTAGATGGACTTAAATAATCAGAAAGCTGTGTGTGTATGTGTTTCCCGTTTTCTTGGCCCACAAAGAACCCCTTGAGAGGTCCCTGGGCAGTGAGCCTGTTTATAGACACCCTTCTCCCTTCCTTGGTGTCGCAGACATCGCAGTCCCTCTGAGGGGCTGACCTGCCCCCCACCTTCTGGAAGCTGGGAGGTTGGAAGAGGGGACGCATGCCATGGACCCAGCACACAGCTGGGAACTCGAGGCACACCTAAGCCTTCCCTTGTGCTGTGCGGAGTCCACACTTCCTTCCCCACTGGAGTCTCAAAACCTCCCCTCACTCAACAGGGTGGTGCTGCTCAAAGCTCTGGGCACACATTAGGGCTGGGGAGGGGGTGGTGGAGAGGGGGCTCCAGCCTGCCCAACCACCAGGCAACGGGGCACCTGCCCCTCTCTCAGCTGGGTCTGGACCCGCCTCCCAGGCTCAGGCTGCAATGCCTTTCTCTTTCTCTTTGCAATTCCGTTGGGTCCTGCCCAGGACAGATAAAGACAGAGCAGCCTGTCTTTATTGGAGGTTCCTCTGCCAGCGGGAAGGGTCCGGGGAAAACCAGAGCCAGAGCCAGAGCCAGAGAAACATGAAGCACCCCGGGGCCTCCCACACCAATGCCTGAGCAGGAATGGGGAGGGGCCATGACTCATAAGGCCCTGGGAGGTCACTTTAAGGAGGGCTGTCCAACTGCAAGGACGCTGTAAGCAGGAAGTGAAACCACAGAGCTTCAAAAAAAGAGCGGGACAGGGACAAGCGTATCTAAGAGGCTGAACATGAATCCACAGATCAGGTACCGCTGCCCACTCTGCCTGCTGGGCCCCTCCTGCCCCTTCCTGCCTGGTGGTCCTGCTGGGCCTCAACCCTGGCCTCCCCCCGCCCCTGCCCCAGCCCTGGGCTCCCTCCCCTCTGGCTCCCCTGCCACACGAATCCCAGTCAGGCTCTTTGTCCTGCTGTGTGGTCACCCCACTGCTGCTTCTGAATGGGCTGCCTCCCCTACCTGCACCAGCCCAGGCCCCGTGCTGAGACTCTCCCTTAAAGTCATGCCCGGACTGGTGCTCCCCGCCCTGGGAGGGTGCTCCCTCTGTGTGCTTCCTGCCACTCCTGAGCTCAGAAACTGGGAGAATTGAACCAAAGGGTAATTGGAGCAATCAGGCATTTTTGTTCTCAGTGTTTTGATGAAATTTCTGTAAGAATTACTTTGCTTAAATACAAAGTCTTAGGAGAGGGTGCGGGGGTAGGAATGGTCTCTGAAGCACATGATAAATCGTGTCATCCAAGGATGACTCCATGGTGAGCAGATGTCCCCAGACAGGTTCCACTCCAAGGTCACTCTTCATCTTTTAGAACATGACCAGTGGTTGAGCGTGGTGGCTCACACTTGTAATCCCAACACTTTGGGAGGCCAAGGCGGGCGGATCATGAGGTCGGGAGTTTGAGACCAACCTGGCCCATATGGTGAAACCCCGTCTCTACTAAAAAACATACAAAAATTAGCCAGGCATGGTGGCGCATCTCTAGTCCCAGATACTCAGGAGGTTTAGGCAGGAGAATTGCTTGAACCTGGGAGGTGGAGGTTGCAGTGAGCTGAGATCATGCCACTGCACTCCAGCCTGGGCGACAGAGTGAGACTTCATCAAAAAAAAAAAGAAAGAACATGATCAGTAACATGGAATGTGAGAATGTGGGAAAAAAGTGCAATGATGAGGAGAAATGCTCTGATTTTAAAATTTAGTGAAAAGAGAGCCCAGTCCCCAACAGCTTTCTCCTACAGGATCCGTGATGCAGAGGCTGGACAGGGCTGGCCTGGAAAGGGGCCCCTGCTCCATCCGTCCCCAGCTCTGTGGCCTCGGCAGGTTACCCCGCCTCTCTGTGCCTCTGGCATCTCCTCTGTAAGATGGGAATGGCCCCTGCAGGCCTAGGGTAGCCTCACGTGAGCTCACACCCGCTCAGCACTTAGAAGAGTGGCCTGGGCCTCAGAATTCAGTTCTACCATGATTTTAAAATAATGTTAACACGCAGAGTGAAACATCAGGAAGGAATTGAGCTGAAAGGTTAAAAGCTATTTTTTAGGGGTGAAGGGTTTTATTCTCTTTTGCATTCTCCTAATGGGTTGGGGAGTGGGTTGGCAGAAATACTAGGAGGGTGGGGAATGTACCCCTGGAAAGGCCAGAGTTGGACCCGAGCTGGGAGAGATCACCCCAGCCCGCCTGCCAGCATCCCCTCCTCTTCCTCTCCCCTCAGTCTTCCTGCCTGGGAAGGCAGCAGAAATTCTCAGGGCTGTGGAGGGGTCGGGGAGGCCCAGGGCCATCCTGGGAGCTGTGTTCAGTGGACATGAGCCCCGAGGACTCCCGGGAGGGCTCCCTGCATGGGCCGGTTTCTCTCTTGTGCCTTCAGAAATCCGATGGAGCGGATGTATCGAGACACATTCTACGACAACTTTGAAAACGAACCCATCCTCTATGGTCGGAGCTACACTTGGCTGTGCTATGAAGTGAAAATAAAGAGGGGCCGCTCAAATCTCCTTTGGGACACAGGGGTCTTTCGAGGCCAGGTACCACCCAAACTTCAATCGAATCACAGGCAGTGTTGCAGGAATTAGAGGACTGGAGAGACTGATATGGGTGAGACAGGAGGATTTATTTAGGTGCACTGGTTCAGCAGACTCACATCCAAAAAGGCTGAGCCCTTAACAAAGACAGACTGAGGTATTTATAAGCAAACTTACAGAAGCAGAACAAAGGCGATTAATCAAACAGTGACAGGTCACATAATCTATAGCATAACAGATGACTTAGCATAACTTGGGGCCTTCTATAGCTGGTGGCCTTGCAGCTACATCAAAAGGAAAACAGGAACTGGCTAAATACAGACATTTGTAAAATATAGTTATAATGGTTCTGGAAAGGAGAGACAGTAAAGGAATTTGTCTTTTTTTTAAAAAATTTTTTTAAAATTTTCTTCAACCTTGCCCTGGAGGGGTGTGGGGGTGGTGTCTGGAGCCCATTCCTTTGGCCTTGACTTTTCAGGCAGTGTTATAACTGTCGTTGGAGTGAGCTGGCTAGGCAGAGGAAAACTTGTTCTTCTTTTCTTTTTAACCCTTGCTACAGTAGGACCTAAGCAGCTGGAAATGCAGAAAACACAACAATAAGTAAAATGCCCAGCACTGGGCTCTCAATTGTGTATTTTTCCCACATTTCTTTTTTCTCTTTTTTTCCTTTTTTTTTTTTTTTTTTTTTTCCGAGATGGAGTCTCGCTCTGGCACCCAGGTTGGAGTGCAATTGCACAATCTTGGCTCACTACAACCTCCACCTCTCAGGTTCAAGTGATTCTTCGGCCTTAGCCTCCCGAATAGCTGGGATTACAGAAGGCTGCCACCACGCCCAGTTAATTTTTTCTATTTTTAGTTGAGACTGGGTTTCACCATGTTGGCCAGGCTGGGGAATTCCTGACCTCAGGTGAGTCACCTGCCTTGGCCTCCCAAAGTGCTGGGGTTACAAGCATGAGTCACCGCACCTGGCCACTTCCCACAGTTCTGTTTTTTTGTTTTGTTTTGTTTTGGTTTTTTTTTAAGACTGAGTTTCACTCTTTGTTGCCTGGGCTGGAGTGCAATGACTCACTCTCAACTTCCACCTGCCAGGTTCAAGTGATTCTCCTGCCTCAGCCTGTGAGCTGAACAGTCACATGAGGGTGAAGGTTGTTGCCACAAGCTCAGGGGATGCTCCAGACAGAGTGGCCTGGGATGTCGAGTCACAGCTGCTCCATGCCACGGGGACAAGAGGAAGCAGGAGTTTAGTCTGACACACTGCCCTTCCAGATAGAGGGCAAGAGACAGAAAGAGGGGCTGAAGTCACCCTTGAATAACCACAGCAGTGGCACCCACAAAGGTGCAGTCCCCACAGCCTCATAGCCTCTTCTAGGTGCCACCTCTTAAGGCCATTACAATAGCCATTAACACTGAACGTGAGCTTTGGAGCAGACAATCACTCAAACTAAACAGGGGGGATGGAGGAAAGGAGCTTCAATGGCAAGATCCCCTGGGCTCCTGTCCTGGCCCCTCCTCTCCCTGCCCCACCCCTGCACTCCTCCTGCTCCCCCTCTCAGAGCATCCCCTGCCCCCTGCTCCTCTCCCAGGTGTATTTCAAGCCTCAGTACCACGCAGAAATGTGCTTCCTCTCTTGGTTCTGTGGCAACCAGCTGCCTGCTTACAAGTGTTTCCAGATCACCTGGTTTGTATCCTGGACCCCCTGCCCGGACTGTGTGGCGAAGCTGGCCGAATTCCTGTCTGAGCACCCCAATGTCACCCTGACCATCTCTGCCGCCCGCCTCTACTACTACTGGGAAAGAGATTACCGAAGGGCGCTCTGCAGGCTGAGTCAGGCAGGAGCCCGCGTGACGATCATGGACTATGAAGGTGAGAGGTGGAGGGGTCAGGGGAGCGTGAGCGGGAGGAACAGCATGAAAGATGGATGGATCTGCAATGCCATGGCTGGGGGTGTCCCAGGGCAGCCTGCAGGGGTGGGACTGGCACTGACTGCAACTGACAGCCAGGAGACCAGGCCTGGGAGGACAGGCCAGGGTCAGGGGAGAGCCTGACTGCTTCCCGCTTCTTCATCTCAGAATTTGCATACTGCTGGGAAAACTTTGTGTACAATGAAGGTCAGCAATTCATGCCTTGGTACAAATTCGATGAAAATTATGCATTCCTGCACCGCACGCTAAAGGAGATTCTCAGGTGAGGGTCTCCCTCTGGCCTCATCATCTCTCTCCTCTCACCTGCTCATCCTCCTGAGGCCTCCGTTGGCCTGGCCCTCCCGCCCTCCCTCTTGACCCACTGCCTGCCCTCATGGTCACACCACCTTCCCTTAACTCCTGGTGCTCCCTCCACACTGCCTCCTCCCTGCTTTCCTGGGCCCTTCCTGTGAGTAAGAGGCCCCTTCTGCCTCTAAGGCACCTGGGTCTTGGACTAGAGGAACAAACAGCAAGACAGGGTGGCCTGGGACACCAGCCGCTGCCCTTCTGTGACATGGGGACAAGAGGAGGCAAGAGCTCAGCCTTCCAGGGAACAACTCTGGGCAGGAGATGTGGAAGGAAGGAGCTCAGTGTGGGGGCACCCATGGCATCCTGGGGGGACATCTGAGGGCCACCCCCACCCGCTATTCCTCCCTCCAATGGTGGCCTCTGAGTGTGAAGGCATGGGGGAAGGCAGACACCTGCCCCTGACTCTCCCTCACTACCACATAGCTGCTGGGTGGCTGGGGACGGGGGGGGTCCCTGGGATGATTCCTGAGGGCAGGATCCAGGGGTCCCTCCAGATGTCCTCCCATCCAGGTGAGAAAGCAGCATAAAGTGAGGCTTGCACTCAGATGGGCCTGGGAGGTCACTCACAGCGCAGGTGTCTCCTGGAACAAGGGCCCTGGAAGATAGAAATAGAATCCAAACCCAGGACTAACATCAGGGCCAAGACAAGCCTGCCAGGGAGGCTGCACATGAAGCCCCAGATCAGGGACCACTGCCCGCTCTGCCCATGGGGCCTCTGCTGCCCTTTCCTGCCTGGTGGTCCTGCTGGGCCTCAGCCCTGGCCTCCCCCTGTCCCAGCCCCAGCCCTGGGCTCTCTCCCCTCCTGTTCCTCTGCCACCCCCACTCCCAGCCAGGCTCTTTGCCCTGTTGTGTGGTCGCCCCACTGCTGCTTCTGAATGGGCCACCTCCCCCACCTGCCCCAGGCCAGACCCCCTGCTGAGACTCTTCCCTGAAAGTCACCGCTGGGCTGGTGCTCCCTGCCCTGGGAGGGTGCTCCCTGTATATGCTTCCCACCATTCCTGAGCTCTGGAACTGGGAGAATTGAACCAAAGGATGATTGGAGCAATCAGGCATTTTGTTCTTAGCATTTTGATGGAATTTCTGTAAGATTTACTTTGTTTCAACACAAAGTCTTAGGAGAGGGTGTGGGGGAGGAAATGGTCTCTGTACCAGAAAATAAGTCATTTCTTCCAAAGACGCCTCCGCTGTGAGCAGAGGAGGATGCACACGACCCCAGACACAGGCTCCTCCTCCGTGAGCACCATTCACCTTTTAGAATGACACCTGCAACATGGAGTGTAGGAAAACATATGATCAGGAGAAATGCTCTTATTTTAGGCAGGGCACGGTGGCTTATGCCTATAATCCTAGCTCTTTGGGAGGCTGAGGTGGGTGGATCACTTGAGGTCAGGAGTTGGAGATCTGCCTGGCCAGCGTGGCAAAACCTCCTCTCTACTGAAAATACAAAAAATGAGCCAGGCATGGTAGCGGGAGCCGGTAATCCCAGCTACTTGGGAGGCTGAAGCAGGAGAATCGCTTGAACCCGGGAGGGACAGCAGTGCTGGTCACGGAAACACCCAGGACTCAGGACTGAAGCACAAGTGTTTCCAGTCCCCACACACTAAAAAGGAGACAAGAACTCCTCTTCGAGCTTTTCTGATGAGCACTCACCTCTCACCCTCAAACCCCTGGGGCCTCTCTTTTCCTCCTGACCCTCTCTCTGGACCTGGCCTCTTGCTCTAGGTTCCCAGTTTTGGTCCCAGTGCTGGTCTCTCCTCCAATGGTACCAATTCCAGGTCTCCTTCCACCTCCTGGGGCAGATGCACAGGGAGCCTGAAAATCCCAGTGGATAATGATGCTGTGCCCCAGCCAGTGAAGACAGTTGGAGAGGGGATTCTCTTCACTTGTCTTTAAATGAGCATCTACTATTTCTTGCAAATGTTCCATGTCTCTGGACTTGGCCTAAGCCATTTTTATGTTCAGTGTCATCTCGTTCTCCCTAATATTTAGAAAAGGGTGTTGCTTGTAGGACCACTTTGCTATGAAGAAGCCTTGTTTCCTTTTCTTGAGAACACAAAGCAAGTGAGTGGTAGAGCCCAGATTCATACCCAGGTCTACTAGAAATTGTGGCAAACAGAGATTCCTTCCTTCCTTCCTCCCTTCCTTCCTTCCTTCCTTCCTTGCTTCCTCTCTCTTTCTCTCTTTCTCTTTCTTTCTTTCTTTCTTTCTTTCTTTCTTTCTTTCTTTCTTTCTTTCTTTCTTTCTTTCTTCCTTTCTTCTCTCTCGTCTTTCTTCTTTTGCTGCTGCCTCCAAACAGAGATTTTTCTAATTCTGGTTTTGTCAGGATGTCTACAGAGGGGCCGGGAGAGGCCTTCAAGGTGGGGCTGGTGTTTCCAGCCCAGGAGTCCTGAGCTGCCCCATCTGGCCTGAGAAGCACGTTTGGGAGACCTCATGGCATCCAAAGGGACGTGGAAAATGCTATGAATTATCCAAAAAGATGTCCCTGGCAGGCTCCTCTCCCCAATGATCCCCCTCAGGAGTGTCCCTGCCCCAATGCTGGGTGTGGTAGGAGTTAACCCTGCAGGCAGGAGGAAGCCCCAGCAGGTCCATCTCCAGCAGGGGCTGTGGGTGAGCAGAGCCAGGACAGGGGTGCATGGTGAGGCCAGGGAAGGAGACCCAGCTCTACCCCAGGGAGAGGGGCAGGGTCCTCCCCGGAGGGCCTGAGCACACTGAGCTGACCCTGGGGAGACCCTGACAAGGCCTAAACAGGCCCCGGGGCTGTGTTGACTTCCTGATAATCCACCAGAAGGGGTCAGAGAGAGAGGATCAGTGGCCCCCACAAAGGGAGTGGAAGCGCCTCCTCTGACAGGTGCCTCAGTATATGGGGAGCAGGGAAGGAGTGGGGGGTGCAGGAGAGGAGCGAGAGGTAGTCCCAGGAGGAGTCTTAGGGCTTTTGGTTTCCCCTGTCTTTGTCCACAGATACCTGATGGATCCAGACACATTCACTTTCAACTTTAATAATGACCCTTTGGTCCTTCGACGGCGCCAGACCTACTTGTGCTATGAGGTGGAGCGCCTGGACAATGGCACCTGGGTCCTGATGGACCAGCACATGGGCTTTCTATGCAACGAGGTGACCGACCCAGCCACCTGCATCCAGGCAGGGCCCTCCCAATCCAGGGACACTCATAGATAGAAGGTTCTGGGTGGTGCCTGTGGTTTCCTGCAGTGTTTGTCACTTGTGCTTCCTGCAGCTGCTGCTGCTTGGCCCTGGAGTTGGGGGGAGACTTTGGCTTCAGTGACTCTCCATGGCCAGGTGGGGTTGAGTCTGCCCAATGGCAAAGTGCTTCCTGAGGACCCTCCCAGGATCCCCTCACAGACACAGCTCTCACCAGGAATGATTCGGAACTGTGGGATTTGAGGACTCAGGGCCTACCTGACTCACAAGGCCAGGATGTCCCTGTGCCCTCTCTTGGGCTTCATCCTGCGGAGAGACAGACTGGGGCAGGAGAGGCTGATCAGGGGTTTTGTCCTGCCCAGGGTGGAGCCCACAGCAAGGCCAGAACAGGTCCCATGTCAGGATGCAAAGATGGCCAGCAGTTGGGGAAGAACTGGGCCAGGAAAGGCTGAGGGGGCCAGGCTAGGCTGGCCAGGAGCCCTGAGCCCAAGGGACTTTCTTCCCTGGCCCCTACCCAGCACAGCCTCTGTCTGGAGAGGCCAAGTTCTGCTTGGCTCTGTTGCTGGAAACTGGGGGCTTCTCTGGGCTCTATGAGCTCAATGTGGGCCTCGCTGGATCCACACACACTGCTTGGAACATCCTTTCAAGGGTGCCAGTCTCCATCACCGCCTAAGCAGTGGGACTCCCCCAGGAATGACCCACAGCCCCTTCTCAGCACAAACCATGTCATCCACTTCACCCTGCATCCCCTCTGATGGAATCCCTCCCTGTCTTTGTCCCCATCACAATCACAGTCCTTGCTGCCCTGCTGTCCCCAACTTGACCGATTCCTAGTCTTAGTGGAAAATCCTTTTCTCTGAAGTTTGGAGTAAATACCATATTTCTATAAGTCAAAATAATGACAATTATACCATGTCACAGGGACCTTCCCACATTGGAGTGAGTCCTGCTGGTCTTCTCTTCCCCACTACTTTTGGTGGAATTCATTTTGGCCTAAGTCTATATCACATTTGGGCTCAGCACAGGTTGTGGCACAGAATAGAAGTTTCTAGAATTATGGGCCACAGATGGGATGGGAGTAGGGGAGTTGATGAGTAGAGCAGGTCAATCTCCCCTTGAAGGAAGCACACTCACTCAGGGGCATCAGGCCAATGACCTTGGGGCTCCGCCGGCCCCTCCTCCCTGCCCCCATCTCTGTAGCCCCTCCCTGCAGGGCTGGGTCTGGGGTGAGGGTCCTGAAGGCTCTGACCTTGGGTACAAAATTGATGGGGGCTCCAAATGCTCAGTAATTAGAGAAAACACATTTTAATTTAATAATTAATGCAATATTTTAAAACGCAAATTTAATACAAATAGATCATGATGAATAAAAGCAAAGATTTTAATAAAGCCTGGCAGGAGAGTGCTGTCCTGTGTATATTGGAGCTGGGGCAAAATAAAACCTCATTGCTCCTGATCTGTTTGTATTTAAATGGGCAACATTTTGCTTATCTTGGGATTTTTGCATAACATCTGATATTTTTAATATTGCATAGAAAATCATGCATCCTAATAACCGGGGTTTTGGCGACCCCTCTAATTTCGTGCTGGAGGCCCCCGCCTCCCCAGCCCCACCTGGTCCAGGCGCTCCCTCCCTGTTCACCACACATCACCTCACACTCTGTTTCCTTTTCTAGGCTAAGAATCTTCTCTGTGGCTTTTACGGCCGCCATGCGGAGCTGCGCTTCTTGGACCTGGTTCCTTCTTTGCAGTTGGACCCGGCCCAGATCTACAGGGTCACTTGGTTCATCTCCTGGAGCCCCTGCTTCTCCTGGGGCTGTGCCGGGGAAGTGCGTGCGTTCCTTCAGGAGAACACACACGTGAGACTGCGCATCTTCGCTGCCCGCATCTATGATTACGACCCCCTATATAAGGAGGCGCTGCAAATGCTGCGGGATGCTGGGGCCCAAGTCTCCATCATGACCTACGATGGTAAGAATGGAAGGTTCAGGTGGGGTGGGGTGGGTGGGGGCAGGAGAGGTTCCTGGGAAGAAAAGGAGAAAGGCCTTGGTCTGCTGCCTGCAGAAACGATGGCTGGACTCTGGGACCTGACTTTGGGGTCGATGGGAAGAGAGAGGCCAGGCCAGGAGATATGGGCCCGGGGAGGGTGGCTGGAAGTGGAAGCAGAACTTGGGGATTTCCGAAAGAAAGAGAACTGGGCTGGCCCAGATTCCAATGGGAAGGAAGTACCTGATGAAGGAGCTAAGTCCCTAGGGGAGGGAGAGGGAAAGGAGGGACTGAAACCAGGATGTGGGAAGTCTGTCCTGAGAGTCATGGGCCCTTGGTGCTGCCCCCTCCCCACAACAGGAGCGTGACTTATCTCCCCTGTCCCTTTTCAGAGTTTGAGTACTGCTGGGACACCTTTGTGTACCGCCAGGGATGTCCCTTCCAGCCCTGGGATGGACTAGAGGAGCACAGCCAAGCCCTGAGTGGGAGGCTGCGGGCCATTCTCCAGGTGAGGGCTTCCTCCCTCTGCCTGGTGCCCCATCGGCCTCCCCCTCCTCCCCGCTCCCCTGTGCCTTGCCTTCCCCTCTGCTCAGAGCCTCCTCTGGGTTCCCTGCTCCCCACAGGGCGCCCAGCTCCGTCCCTCCCTTTCCTTCTCACAGCCTCCTTCTCTTTCCCACCTCCCGCATCCCTCCCTCCTCTCCCGTCATTGTCACTGTCCCCAGGCCACCTCCCTGTGCCCTCTTTCCACTCTCTCACCTCCTGCTCCATTCAACCCCCCTGCTCTTCCAGAATCAGGGAAACTGAAGGATGGGCCTCAGTCTCTAAGGAAGGCAGAGACCTGGGTTGAGCAGCAGAATAAAAGATCTTCTTCCAAGAAATGCAAACAGACCGTTCACCACCATCTCCAGCTGCTCACAGACACCAGCAAAGCAATGTGCTCCTGATCAAGTAGATTTTTTAAAAATCAGAGTCAATTAATTTTAATTGAAAATTTCTCTTATGTTCCAAGTGTACAAGAGTAAGATTATGCTCAATATTCCCAGAATAGTTTTCAATGTATTAATGAAGTGATTAATTGGCTCCATATTTAGACTAATAAAACATTAAGAATCTTCCATAATTGTTTCCACAAACACTAGCAAATGTGTAGATGTCTTTCCTTGTGTAGCGGACCTGTAGCTGGGAAAGGTCACACAACATCCCTCTGGATCCAGAAAACTCAGCTAAACCACACAGGAGAGGAACCTAAATGCAGACCCCACCCTCACTCACAGAGCCCCGCCCACCCTCACTCACAGAGCCCCGGGCGCTGATTGGAAGGGACAGGCCCAGCAGTAAGAGGACAGTCAGCAGCCAGTCTCCCTGTTGGAAAGGAACCACAAACGTGCAGTCAGGGGCCCTCGGGAGCCGCCCTGTGTCCACCCCTTCCTGATTCCACCCCCCTAGAGAGGGAGCCCAGGGGAGGCCATGGCTGAGACCCAGGACAGACCCAGTCGGGGGAAGGAGCCCAGGGAGGGGGCAGGTGTCTAGGCTGGGCCCAGAGAGAGGGCTGGGGAGAGGAGCAGCCCAGGAGGCAGAGCCCAGCCACAGAGGGGAGGGGAGCTGAGTCCCGGGGACAGGAAGCTCCAGAGGCAGAGACGGAGCCCAGGGCTAGGGCGGCAGGTGTCAGGGCTGTGGCTTCAGCTTGGCGTCTGTCCTGGGCCTTCTGCGCTGGTTCCCAACTCTGGGATGTGTTATTTATGTGCCTGATTACAGTGGCGGCTCCCACCTCACAATTTCTGGAAAGTCCTCAGAAGCCACGTATAAGACCAAGAAGGGGCCTCACATGCAGCTGCTCCTGGGCAGAAACGACTCACTGTTTCCCTGGCCTAGACACACACAACACACTAACACACACAAGACACACATACACACAACACACACAACACATACACACACAACACATGCACAAAACACATACACACACGCACCCACACACAGTGACAGAGACTTCACAAAAAGAAACCTCCTCCAGGTTCCCCAGAGCACCTGTCCCCGGACGGGGACTCCCTTGCATGAGACAGCTGGCCAAGGAGAGGACTCCCTTCTCCCCTGCCAGCTTTGTCACCTTCTACTTGTTTTTTTGTTTTTGTTTTGTTTTTGAGATGAAGTTTTGCTCTTGTTGCCAGGCTGGAGTGCAATGGTGTGATATCGGCACACCGCAACCTCCAGCTCCCGGGTTCAAGCGATTCTCCTGCCTCGGCCTCTGGAGTAGCTGGGATTACAGGCATGTGCCACCATGGCCAACTAATTTTGTATTTTTCATGGAGACAGGGTTTCTCCATGTTGGTCAGGCTGGTCTCGAACTCCCGACCTCAGGTGATCCGCCTGCCTCGGCCTCCCAAAGTGCTGGGATTACAGGCGTGAGCCACCAAGCCCAGCTCCTCTACTTGTTTTCTATGCTGTCTGGCTGGTGTCTCTTCTAGTCCAGGTCACCCAGCCCTCTCTCGCCTCAGACCACGGCACCTGCCATTCCCTCTCTGGACAAAGCTTCCCTCGGCTCTTCCCATTGCTATCCCTTCTCTTCCTCAGGATTCAGTTCCCAAGTCACCTCCCCTGGCCTCTTGAAGTGAGCTGCCCACACAGTTCCCTTCTGCCTCATCTCCATGTCTATTTCCTGCACTGTCCTTGTTACAAACTGGATTTATCTTCCCTGTGTGTAGATTCTCATTTCTTGACCATCTGCCTCCACTTCCCGGAAACGCACTGAGGTTGGAGTCTACCGCTTGCTGCCTGTGCCTTGACTGCCCAGCCTTGCCCCCTGGGTAGGAATCCATTTACAATTGTTGAAAGAAAAAAAATGAATGATTAAAAACAGTATAGACCTAGGGCAGTGGCTCACGCCTGTAATCTTAGCACTAGGAGGCAGGGGCAGGTGGATCATCTGAGGTCAGGAGTTTGAGACCAGCCTGGCCAACATGGTGAAACCCCGTCTCTACTAAAAATACAAAAATTAGCTGGGCGTGGTGGTGCATGCCTGTAATCCCAGGAGGATGAGGCAGGCTTGAACACAGGAGGTGGAGGTTGCAGTGAGCCTAGATCATGCCACTGCACTCCAGCCTGGGTGACAGAGCAAGACTCAACTCAAAAAAAAAAAAAATTAATTAAATTTTAAATATAGAATTTTTGTTTTTTTGTTTTGTTTTGTTTTTGACATGGAATCTCACTCTATTGCCTAGGCTGGAGTGCAGTGGTGCAATCTTGGCTCACTGCAACCTCCACCTTCTGAGTTCTAGCAATTCTCCTGCCTCAGCTTTCTGAGTAGCTGGGATTACAGGCATGCGCCACCCTACCCGGCTAATTTTTGTATTTTTAGGAGACACGGGGTTTCACTATGTTGGCCAGCCTGGTCTCAAACTCCTGACCTCAGGTGATCCACCTGCTTCAGCCTCCCATAGTGCTGGGATTACAGGCATGAGCCACTGCGCCCAGCCTATAGAATTTTTTTTAATTCTTAAGATTTAAATACGACAATATGCGAACACCAAAGTGTGTACTCCCCAACTTAAGAAATAGGCACAACACAACTCCTAGCCACCCCCCTCCCCATTCATCTGCAAAGTGAGTCTAGGGAGGTTCTTGTGATTCTTTGGCCCAATTTTTTTCCTGTCCAATACTTTTATAGCAGAGATGATAGAATGTAACAGTTAAAAGCATGGGCTGTGGATGCAGAATTCCTGGATTCAACTCCCGGCTCTTCCTCCTCCTACCTGTGTGACCCCCTATTGAGTGACTCACCCTCTCTGTGCCTTGGCTTGGAGCTCATTAAGGCAGGTAAAGTATTCAATGGATGGACCCAGCCACAGCCATGGCCAACAGGTAATAAATAGTGCTATGCTGGAAACTATCTTGTGCCCAGAAGTTGGAGTCCTGCGTCTTTCCTTATAGTATAGTTACAAACATTTCCCCACATCTTAGGAAAAGGCTTCAAAAGGCTGCATAATATACGTGTGATAGCCAGGTGTAGTGGCGCCTGCCTGTAATCCCAGCTACTCGGGAGGCTGAGGCAGGAGAATCACTTGAACCCGAGAGGCGGAGGTTGCAGTGAGCCGAGACTGCGCCATTGCACTCCAGCCTGGGCAACAAGAGCGAAACTTCATCTCAAAAAAATCCATGCCTGGAAAGCCCCTGATCTACAAGTTCTCACCAACCCCCAGTGGAGCACAGTTAGGTAGTTTTCAAATTTCCAGTATTGTCCATGAAGCTGCGATGTGGGGTTTCATAATTGCTTAGGCATTTTGGACAGATGGTCGTAGAACATTTCCTAAGAACTGAACAAAGCTTTTGATGCACTTAGCCAAACCCGCCTATGAAAATCTTCTTGGAGTTCACTGTCCCCACGGAAGGGTGTGAGGACCTGCCTCCTCACCCATCTCGCAGCTCCTCTGCATCTGGGCATCCCCAGTGAAACTGTGGCACTAGTTGGGGAAGAACAGAGCCAACCCAGGGGCCAGCAGGAGTCCAGCCCCAAACCAGGACCCGGCCACTGTTTTGGAACCAACTCCTTCAGTGTTACCCTACAACACCCTCGCCCCATGAAGGCTCCACCTCCAGCCCTGGGCTCGCCGGAGTTACCCAGTCAGACGATGCCATTTCTGCTCCCTCCTGAAAGAGGAAGTGTCCAGGATGAGAACTTCAGGCAAAGAGGTGCCTGTGGATGGGCAGTGGGAGAAGACTTGGAGACAGAGCATCTGTGGCTAAGGACAGGGAGATTTGGGGTGGTCATCACAAAGAGGAGGGCCTGAGGGAGGGAAGGCACCGTTCCTGGGGCTGAGAAGTGACCCCATCCCTGACTCTACACAAGGAAAAATGAGATGTGGCCTCGTGGACTAGGCTGGATTCGGGGCAGAAGGTCCTGGAGACCACCAGCAAAGAAAGCAAAAAGCTTTCCAGGCTCATCCCAGGTGGTCGGGGCCTCAGAGATGAACAAGTGCCTGCCAGGGCTGCAGGGCACCCGTCTGTGTCTTCCTTTCATCTCCCCTCTGACCTCTGGATGCCAGATGTCTCCAAAGGACTTCAACTTTTTTTTGTTTGTTTGTTTTTGTTTTTTGAGAGAGTCTCACTCTGTCACCCCCGCTGGAGTGCAATGGCACCATCTCAGCTCACTGCAACCTCTGCCTCCCGAGTTCGAGCGATTCTCCTGCCTCAGCCTCCTGAGTAGCTGGGATTACAGGTACGAACCACCATGCCCGGCTAATTTTTGTATTTTAGTAGATGGGGTTTCACCGTGTTGGCCAGGCAGGTCTCGAACTCCTGGCCTCAGGTGATCTGCCCGCCTCAGCCTCCCAAAGTGCTGGGATTACAAGTGTGAGCCACCGCGCCTGACCTGGACTTCAACTTTAACTATGAAAACCTACAGCTGGCCAAAGGGCGAGGGGAGACTTGCCTATCCTACCATGTAGAGTGATCAGATGGTGACACCCTGTCCTGCTGGACACCAGTGTCCTTCACAACCAGGTGTTAGCTGGGGATGGACACAGGAATCCCAGATTGGTAGGGAAAGGGGAGCCCCCCACAAGACCAGCTTTCTTCCTCCCATCAGGCTCAGACCAAACACATTGCACAACGCAGTTGCATGGAAGCCACAAAGATGGAAACCCAGGGCCTGGGGCCCTCTGGGAGGGACCTACACACGATCATAGCCCCCCCGACAATGCCTCGTGTGCCCAACACCAGCCCACCAGGTAGCTAGAGCCATTCCCTCTGGTCACTGGAGCAGAGCAGCCACCACAGCCTCCTGCAACACACCCTCCCATGCTGCGCCCACCCGCCTGGGCTCTCCCACCTCCCTTTGACCTACCTTGTTCCTGGGCACAGCCCCCTGTCCTGGCTGCAGATCTCAGGGTAACAGACCTCCACACAGCTGCTGATGCAGAAGTCCAGGCTGCAGTGCCCACAAGTGGATAGAGGAGGGGGTACGTGGGATGGAGGGGCTCACTATGGGTCCTCGTTGATTTCCCTACACTGTGATCTCCTGGAGGGAGGACCATGTGCCATCCATCCTTGCATCCCAGGTTCCTGCCTGAGCCGTGGCCCTGAGTGGGTGCTCTTGGGTTACTGTTGAAGGAATGAAGGAACTAGTATATGAATGAACCAGTTGTCCTTCCTTGCCTCCCCCCTTCCCTCCCTCCCTCCCTCCCTTCCTTCCCTCCCTTCATTGACCCTTCCTTCCCTCCCTCTCTCCCTCCCTCCTTCCCTTCCTTCCTTTCTTCCTTCCTTCCCTCCCTCCCTTCATTGACCCTTCCTTCCTTCCCTCCCTCCCTTCATTGACTCTTCCTTCCTTCCCTCCCTCTCTCCCTCCCACCTTCCCTCCCTCCCTCCCTCCTTCCTTCCTTCCCTCCCTATCTCCCTCCCTCCCTCCCTTCCTTCCTTCACCCTTCCCTCCTTCCCTCCCTATCAGGGGACCTGGTCCGATAATCATGTAGGTTCTTTTCTATTTTCTTAAGTGTCGGCTGGCTTGAGAAATAAAGGGACAGAGTACAAAAGAGAGAAATTTTAAAGCTGGGCTTCCGGGGGAGACATCACATGTTGGTAGGATCCGTGATGCCTCACAAGCCGCAAAAACCAGCAAGTTTTTATTAGGGATTTTCAAAAGGGGAGGGAGTGTGTGAATAGGTGTGGGTCACAGACATCAAGTACTTAACAGGGTAATAGAATATCACAAGGCAAGTGGAGGCAGGGCGAGATCACAGGACCTCAGGACTGAGGCAAAATTAAAATTGCTAATGAAGTTTCGGGCACCATTGTCATTGATAACATCTTATCAGGAGACAGGGTTTTAAGAGCAACCCGTCTGACCAAAATTTAGTAGGCGGGAATTTCCTCTTCCTAATAAGCCTGGGAGCGCTATGGGAGACTGGAGTCTATCTCACCTCTGTAATCTCGACCATAAGAGACAGGTACGCCCTGGGGGGGCCAGTTCAGAGACCTACCCCTAGGTGCGCATTCTCTTTCTCAGGGATGTTCCTTGCTGAGAAAAAGAATTCAGCGATATTTCTCCCATTTGCTTTTGAAAGAAGAGAAATATGGCTCTGTTCTGCCCGGCTCACCGGTGGTCAGAGTTTAAGGTTATCTCTCTTATTCCCTGAACAATTGCTGTTATCCTGTTCTTTTTTCAGGGTGCCCACATTTCATATTGCTCAAACACACATGCTGTACAATTTGTGCAGTTAATGCAATTATTACAGGGTCCTGAGGCGAAATACATCCTCCTCGGCTGACAGGATTAAGAGATTAAAGTAAAGACAGGCATAGGAAATCACAAGGGTATTGATTGGGGAAGTGATAAGTGTCCATGAAATCTTTACAATTTATGTTTAGAGATTGCAGTAAAGACAGGCATAAGAAATTACAAAAGTATTAATTTGGGGAACTAATAAATGTCCATAAAATCTTCACAATCCACGTTCTTCTGTCATGGCTTCAGCTGGTCCCTCCATTTGGGGTCCCTGACTTCCCACAACACCTCCCTCCCTTCCTTGACCCTTCCTTCCCTCCTTCCCTCCCTCCCTCCCTTCCTTTCTTCCTCCCTTCTTCCCTCCCTCCCTGCCTCCTTCCCTCCCTCCCTCCCTCCCTCCCTCCCTCCCTCTCAGGAGAGAGCAGCACACTGGAATGGCTGAGCTTGAGGACCCCCCATCTGGCTTGCACAGTCACCCAAACCACCACCCCTCCCCTTCCCTCCTCTTCTGCCTTGAGGAATCTGACTGTCTGGAAACTTGTTTCTCCTTCTCCATGAACATTCTAAAGCCACTGGCCATGCACTGGTGCTACCAGGTCACCTGGAGCATCTCCTGGAGCCCTTGTCCTTAATGTGCCCAGACAGTGAACAGCTTCCTGGCTGAGCATGTCAACGTCAACGAGAAGGCTTGAAGCCTGACCCCTCCACTGCCAACAGCCAGAAATTGCAGGAAATGAGGACCCTGCACCGGGCTGGTCAGCTGTCATGTGGGATGTCAGGGGGAGGCTTTGGGCTGAAGGGTGGTTGGGAGCCGGTGGGGAGAGTCCTTGGCTAGGACTGTAGGTGACACCAAGGACAAGACTCAGGACGTGGAAGACTCAGGACGTCCACATGGAAAGGATGCCAGGGCCAAGGCCGAGAGGTGCTGGGGAGGGCTCCCCACCTGCCCCACACACCATGGCCTCAGCCCCTGTGACGGAAGCTGACTATCTCCCCCTCACCGCAGTGTTTAGCCCTGCTGGGAAGACTGTTCAGACCACCAGGGAAAGCCCTATGAGACCTGGTCCTGCCTGGAGACGGATGGACGCCACCAGCCTGTCCTGGGTCACAGCTGTCCCCAGGGCTCTTCTCTCCCTCTGTACCTTGGCGGGCCCCATCCTCTCTCCATTTCCTCCATGATAGCCACTTTCCAGATTTCTAATGCAATACGTTAGTTTAGCTTTTTCTGCACTTGCTCTAAACACCAGCACATAGTACACAATCTTCTGTGTGTGGCTCTTGTCACTCAACCCTATGTTTGCAAGGTTCACCCATTCTGTTTATCACGGTTGCAGGTCAATTCCTATTGCTGTCCACTATCCCACCCGTGAATACCCGGCACTCACTTTGCCAGTTCTGTTGTTGATGGGCATTTGGCTTTGGGTGTGATGACTGTGGCAGAGTGGAGGAAGACACGAGGGGAGCGAGGGGGCCGGGGGCCGCTGGGACCCGGCTTCACCAGGACCATGTTCTCTCTGCAGAACATTGTTCATTTATCTACTCAGTCTCTTTGATCTTTTCCAATCTGGTATGAGAATGGGCTACTGTATAGTATTTCAATGGTTACTAGGGGGAGATTAAACTGATGTCTTTGTTGTTTTAAACTGTTTTGTTTGTTTGTTTGTTAGTGGTGGTTTTCTTTTTCTTTTTTTTTTTCTTTTCTTTCTTTTTCTTTTTTTTTTTTGAGATGGAGCCTTGCTCTGTCACCCAGGGTCGAGTGCAGTGGCGTGATCTCGGCTCACTGTAAGCTCCACCTCCCAGGTTCAAGCAATTCCCCTGCCTCAGCCTCCCGAGTAGCTGGGACTACAGGCAACCACCACTACGCCTGGCTAATTTTTGTATTTTTAGTAGAGGTGGGGTTTCACCATGTTGGCCAGGCTGCTGTCGAACTCCCAACCTCATGATCTGCCTGCCTTGGCCTCCCCAAGTGTTGGGATTACAGGCATGAGCCACCACGCCTGGTCTGTTTTAAACTGTTTTTTTTTTTTTTTTTTTTTTTTTTCCCAAGACAAAGTCTTGCTGTGTCGCCCAGGCTGGAGTGTAGTGGCACGATCTCGGCTTACTGCAAGCTCCGCCTCCTTGGTTCACACCATTCTCCTGCCTCAGCCTCCCAAGTAGCTGAGACTACAGGCGCCCGCCACCACACCTGGCTAATTTTTTGTATTTTTAGTAGAGACGGGGTTTCACTGTGTTAGCCAGGATGATCTCGATCTCCTGATCTCGTGATCCACCCGCCTCGGCCTCCCAAAGTGCTGGGATTACAGGCATGAGCCACCGCGCCCGGCCACAAAGTGTTTTTAAGGAAATTTCTATCCACTCTTACTCCCTTTCATCCCGTAACACGTAGCTCTACTAGCCTGCTATTGGGCTTTCCTGCTAATGAACAAAGTTCCATAGCCTCATTCTAAAAATTGTGCACATCTTTGTATATACGAAATACTATAAGATAAAGATGAAGATGTCCCCTCTCCCCTGCAGCAACTGAGGGGGGAGATCTTGCTTTTATAGAACGAGTTCAATGAATCTGAACGTAAGAGTAAAGTCTGGCCGGGCATGGTGGCTCATGCCTGTAACCCCAGCACTTTGGGAGGCCGAGGTGGGCAGATCACCTGAGGTCAGGAGTTAGCAGAGAGCAGAGAGCAGCCTGGCCAACGTGGTGAAACCCCGTCTCTACTAAAAATACAAAAATTAGCCAGACGCGGTGGCGTGCGCCTGTAATCCCAGCTACTCGGGTGGCTGAGGCATGAGAATTGCTTGATCCTGGGGGGCGGAGGTTGCAGTGAGCCGAGATCGTGCCACTGCACTCCAGCCTGGGCAACAGGGCGAGGCTCCGTCTCAAAAAAAAAAAAAGAAAAGAGTCAAGTCTGATATTGACAGAGCATCAGTCCTGATTTTATGTGCTATTGGATACTGGTAGGAACGCTTGTCACTGTTACCAAGCAGCACAAGGGGAGCAGTGTGAGTGGCAACTCTGCAGCCGGCTGCCTGGGTTTCATCCTGCTTCTGCCACTTACTGGATTGTGGCATTTAGCAAGTTACTTAGCACCTCTGTGCTTCAGTCTGTCATATGAAATGGAGATGATAATACAACTTCTTCATTGTGGGTTGTGAGGCTTAAACGAGTTTGTTCATATTCATATTATAGCTACATATATTATAAAGAGCACCTGGCCCATAGTGAGCCATTTAGAATATTGGTTTGTTATCTATCACCAGAAATCTGTCCCTGAAAACAGAGTGTTAAAAATCATCTTGATGGTCGGGCACAGTGGCTGATGCCTGTAATCCCGCACTTTGGGAGGGCGAGGCGGGTGGATCACCTAAGGTCAGGAGTTTGAGACCAGCCAGACCAATATAGTGGAACCCTGTCTCTACTAAAAATATGGAAATTAGCCAGGCGTGGTGGGGTGTGCCTGTAGTCCCAGCTACTTGGGAGGCTGAGGCAGGAGAGTTGCTTGAACCCGGGAGGTGGAGGTTGCAGTGAGCTGAGATTGCGCCACTGCACTCCAGCCTGGGCGACAGTGAGATTCCATCTCAAAAAAAAAAAAAAAATCATCTTGCAGGCAAGGTGCAGTGGCTCACATATGTAATCCCAGCACTTTGGGAGGCTGAGGTAGGTGGATCGCTTAAGCCTAAGAGTTGAAGACCAGCCTGGGCAACATAGTAAAACCCTGTCTCTACAAAAAATACAAAAATTATCTGGATGTGGAGGCGTGCACCTGCAGTCCCAACTACTTGGGAGGCTGAGACAAGAGGATCACCTGAACCTGGGGAGGTCAAGATTGCAGTGAGCTGTGATTGAGCCACTGCACTCCAGCCTGTGTGACAGGGCAAGACTGTATCTCAAAAAAAAAAAAAAAAAAGAAAAAGAAAAAAAATCATCTTGCAAAAGTTGTATAAGACCCATACACAGAAAACTACAAAACTCTACTAAGAACTAAGAGAAAGTTTTTAAAAACACCTAAATCAATGGTGAGATATACCATGTTTTGGGATTGAAAGACTTAATATTAAGAGGTTAAATCGGCCAGGTGCGGTTGTGCATGCCTGTAATCTCAGCACTTTGGGAGGCTGAGGTGGACAGATCACTTGAGATCAAGAGTTTGAGACCAACCTGGCCAACATGGTGAAACCCGGTCTCTACTAAAAATACAAAAAATTAGCCAGGCGTGGTAGCGTGCACCTGTAATCCTAGCTACTCAGGAGGCTGAAGCAGTAGAATTGCTTAAACCTGAGGTTGCAGTGAGCAGAGATCCAGCCACTGCACTTCAGCCTGGGTGACAGAGCAAGACTCCATCTCAAAAAAAAAAAAAAAAGTTTACAGATTTGATGCAATCCTAATCAAATTCTCAGGGTTTGGGGTCAGCTCTTCTGCCCCCTTGCGGAAGCTCTGTAATGTGTGCACTAAGTCAGGATGCCCTCCCTTCCCAGCGGTCAGATTTCAGGGCTAGCCACAGAGACCGCCCTGGCAAGTCTGCTGGGAGGAAGTGAGGCAGCAGCCCTTTTCTGGCATGCTCACATCTCCTTGGCGTGAAGCAGCACCTGGGCCTGCAGCTGCCAGGAGCAGTCCTAGATGGTCCCTGAGTGTCTCTGATCCTGAGCCAAGTGTGTGTCTTTAGCTCCTTGAGGAAGGTCCCCAGTAGGACACAATTAAAGTCAGAGGCAAGAACGATGACATGGGTTCTGTCTCTCCTCGTACGCTCCACAGCTCAGACCTGTGGGTTCCAGCTGGCTCTTGCTCTCCCACACCTAGCATCCCTCATCCCTTTCTGATGGCCCCTTGAACCACCCCGCCGCAGACTTCAAGCTCCAACATCACAGGCAGTGAAGACAACATTTTATGGGGGTTGCTTAACCAGCCCCTGCAACTGGATAAGGTCAGATTCAGATTTTTTAAAATTCGTAAACAAAATATATACATCTTAGTGGTTCTGTTTATTGGCTGAACCCCAACTAATACACCCCTAAAAAGCATTACCGTGGCAGGGTACAGTGGCTCATGCCTGTAATTCAAGCATTTTAAGAGGCAAAGTTGGGGCCGGGTGCAGTGGCTCACGCCTGTAATCCCAGCACTTTGGGAGGCTGAGGCAGGCGGATCACAAGGTCAGGAGATCGAGACCATCCTGGCTAACACAGTGAAACCCCATCTCTACTAAAAAAAAAAAAAAAGAATACAAATTTGGCCGGGCGTGGCGGTGGGCGCCTGTAGTCCCAGCTACTTGGGAGGCTGAGGCAGGAGAATGGCGTGAACCCGGGAAGGGGAGCTTGCAGTGAGCTGAGATTGTGCCACTGCACTCCAGCCTGGGCAACAGAGCGAGACTCCATCTCAAAAAAAAAAAAAAAGAGGCAAAGCTGGGAGGATTACTTGAGCTGGGGAGTTTGAGGTTGCAGTGAGCCATCACTGCACTCCAGCCTGGGCAACAGAATAAGATCCTGTCTCTAAAAAATTAAAAAATTAAATTTAATTAATTAAAAATTTAAAAATTAAAAAAATGTTTAAAAAGCATTATTCTCTGCTGGGTTCGGTGGCTCACACCTGTAATCCCAGCACTCTGGGAGGCCAAGATGGGCATATCACTTGAGGTCAGGAGTTGGAGACCAGCCTGGCCAACATGGTGAATCTCCGTCTCTACTAAAAATACAAAGATTAGCCGGGCGTGGTGGCAGCTGCCTCTAATCCCAGCTACTCGGGAGGCTGAGACAGGAGAATCGCTTGAGCCCAGGAGTGGGAGGTTGCAGTGAGCCGAGATCGTGCCATTGCACTCCAGCCTGGGTGACAACAATGAAACTCTGTCTCAAAAAAAAAAAAAAAGAAAAAAGCATTATTCTCCTACATCTCTCCAAAATTACTTAAAATATTTTAAGGGACAAATGGATATCGATTTCCAATGAGTTCAGGGTAGGCTGTGCTGCTAGACACGGTGGTGTCCGTATTTGAGCTCGATTCCCGTTCTTGCTAGGGTAGCACGTTATCGCTCCTAAATCATTCACGCGTTAAAGACAAAATCATAGTGTGAATTAGGCACACTTAGAACTCAATGATCTTTTTTTCTTTTTTTTGAGGCGGAGTCTCGCTCTGTTGCCCAGGCTGAAGTGCAGTGGCACGATCTCGGCTCACTGCAACCTCCGCCTCCTGGATTCAAGCAATTCTCCTGCCTCAGCCTCCAGAGTAGTGCTCTAGCAAATTAACTGAACCCAAAGAATGGGTCATGGGAACCTCAACTTGAAGCCTGTTGGTCAGACACTCCAGATGTCTGAGCTTTCTACTGGTGTCTAAAGCAGGGGCAGTTTTGGGGACTGGGCCCTCAACCTGTGAGATCTGACACCATCTCAAGGCAATGTTGGATGTGACTGAGAGGACACCTGGCTGGTGCCTGCTGAAGAATGGATTGCTTGTTTGTTGGTGGGAAGAAATCCCCCACATTTGGTCACAGAAGTCTTCTGTGTTGACTGTTGTTGTGTTGGTGCGAGAGCAGAGGAAAAACACGGCTTGAGTTTGTGTGTTTTTCTACACACTCAGTTTCCCAAGCCCTCTTAATTCCCAGCCGTTGCTTGTTGCCTGTTGCTGGGGTCTCCCGGCCAAAGCTGAATGCCTCTTCACAAGACCTTGTCGTGAGTCTTTCTGTGGTGTATCTGTCTGACCCTCACCCATCTGAAGCTTTCTGTAGGATGTTAGGTACATAATCTCTCTTTGACCATGGTTTTAACTCCCGGCCACCAATTCCAGGGCAGATGGAAAAGTCGTGCTTGGCCTTCTAGCACACTTACATAAATATTCCATAAAAGTAAGAATCACCAAAACTGACACAAAATGGAGAAAAATCACTCAGTTAGGTCGATCATCAATGAGGACACTGAAAAGGTAACCAATCCTCACCTAACCTCAGGCCTTGATGGTTTTACTGGCAATTTCTACCAAATTGTCAATGAACAGATCATTCCACATTACAGAGACTATTCCAGAGAAAAGAAAATGATGGGAAGCTTCCCAAATCATGACCGAGGTTTATCACAACCCTGATGCTACAACTGGGCAAAAATAGAAAACAATTTTTTAAAAACTATAATTCATGAGTAATTTCAGTCAATGAGACACAGCAGCCCAGGAACTGAAGAGTCCCTGACTAAAAAGGCATTAAATCTGGCCGGGTGCGGTGGCTCATGCCTGTAATCCCAGCACTTTGGGAGGCTGAGGCAGGCATATCACCTGAGGTCAGGAGTTCAAGACCAGCCTGGCCAACATGGTGAAACACTCCTCTCTACTAAAGATACAAAAATTGGCCGAGCGCGGTGTCTCATGCCTGTAATCCCAGCACTTTGGGAGGCCGAGGTCGGCAGATCACCTGAAGTCAGGAGTTCGAGACCAGCCTGGCCAACATGGTGAAACCTCATGTCAACTAAAGATACAAAAAATTAGCTGGGTGTGGTGGCATGTGCCTGTAATCCCAGCTACTAGGGAGGCTGGGGCAGGAGAATCTGTTAAACCTGGGAGGTGGAGGTTGCAGTGAGCCGAGATCACACCATTGCACTCCAGCCTGGGTGACAGGGCGAGACTCCATCTCAAAAAACAAAAACAAAAACAAAAAACAAAAATTAGCCAGGTGTGTTGGCACGCACCTGTAATCCCAGCTACTCAGGAGGTTGAGGCAGGAGAATCACTTGAACCCAGGAGGCAGAGGTTGCAGTGAGCTGAGATCGTGCCACTGAACTGCAGCCTGGGTGATGGAGCGAGACTCAGTCTCAAGAAAAAAAAAAAAAACAGAAAGGTATTTAATCTGCAGGCCCCAGAGCTGATGGCTTCCCGGAGCTGGGCAGGTCCACACTCCCTCAGCCTCAGGACCAAGTGTCCGTGTGCGTGAGTGACAAGGGGCCTCAGAAGCTACACGTGGGAGTCCTGAGACTTCCGCTCTGTGCTGTTACACACGTTGTCCCACCTGTCCTGTATCTTTTCTTAAAGCCAAGGAAATGCATACTGGGTGAAGCCTATCACGTCTCTTTTGATAGTCAATCCAAATCACAAGCCACTACTACTTGTCAAACAGAATGATATTGCAACTATATCAATAGATTAAAGGAGAAAAACCACATGACCATCTCAATCATAAAAAACAGAAAGCATATGCTATTAAAATAGCATCTTAGGACCAGGCACTAATCCCAGCATTTTGCCTGTAATCCCAGCATTTTGGGAGGCTAAGGCAGGTGGATTACTTGAGGTCAGGAGTTAATGACCAGCCTGGCCAACATGGTGAAACTCCATCTCTACTAAAAATATAAAAATTGGCCAGGTGTGAAGGTGAACACCTGTAATCCCAGCTACTCAGGAGGCTGAGGCAGGAGAATCGCTAGAATCCGGGAGGCAGAGGTTGCACTGAGCCGAGATCGTGCCAATGCACTCCAGCCTAGGCAACAGAGCAAGACTCCATCTCTAAGATAAATAAAATAAATAAAATAAAATAAAATAAAATAAAATATAAAATAAAATAAAAAATAAAATAAGTGAAATGAAATGAAATAAAACAAAATAGCGCCTTAGAAGATGCAAAGGTAGCTTAGAAGCTATCTTAAGAGCTTGAAGCATGCTGCCATGCCAAAGAAAGCATTCCCAGTTCAACAAAAGTCTTAGCAAGCTTTCTTCATCTCATAAAAGGTTTCTAGATAAAAGGTTAGTCTACTACAAGTATCTACTAGATGGTGAAATCAAAGTCAAGAGAAAAGGCTGGCTCCTGAAACCCCAATCCAGCATTGGGCTAGAGGTTTCTGCCAACAGAAAAATGGGCAAATGATATGCACAGGCAATTTATAGAAGAAATGAAATAAGCAATAAAATATGCAAAATTGAACAGCCTTATTAATATACAAGTAAACACTAGTGGGAATATCAACTGGGAATCTCACTTTGGAGAGTGTGGCAGACACTAAAGGCAGGCTCACCCAAATGAATAAAAATAAAATGTAATGCAAATAGTAACCAAAAGAGAGCAGCAGTGGCTACACTAATATCAGATAAGAGATTTTTTTTAACCAGGTGTAGTGGCTCACGCCTGTAATCCCAGCACTTTGGGAGGCCGAGGTGAGCCGATGACCTGAGGTCAGGAGTTCAAGACCAGCCTGACCAACATGGTGAAACCCCGTCTCTACTAAAAATACAAAATTAGCTGGGCGTTGTGGCGCATGCCTGTAATTCCAGCTACTTGGAAGGCTGAGGCAGGAGAATCGCTTGAACCGAGGAGGTGGAGGTTGCAGTGAGCCAGGATCTCACCATTGCACTCCAGCCTGGCCAACAGAGCGAGACTCTGTATCAAAAAAAAAAAAAATTTACACACTTAATAACAGACCATCAAAATGTATGAAGCAAAAATGAACAGAATTGAGGGAGAATTAGAGTTCTACAATAATTGGAGACTTCAATACCCAATGCTCAATAATGGACAGAACAACCAGATAGAAAAAAAAGGAAGGAAATAGAGAACTCAACACAATAAGCCAACTAGGTCTAACAGACATATACGGAACACTTCACCTAATAACAGCAGACAGCTGCTGTGGAAAACAGCATGGCAGTTCCTCAAAAAATTAAAAATAGAATGGCCAGATGATCCAGCAATTCCACTGCCGGGTGTACACTCAAAAAAATTGAAAGCAGAGTCTCAAGGAGGTATTTGTACACCCATGGAAGCAACCCAAGTTTTCATTAACACATGAATGGAGAGGCCAGATGTGGTCTACACATACAATGGAATATTACTCAGCCTTGAAAAGGAAGGAAATTCTGACCCACGCTACAACATGGATGAACCTTGAGGATATTTTGCTGAGTAAAATAAGCCAATCACATAAAGAGAAATACTGAATGATTCCATTTATATGACGCACTTAGAATATTCCCAATGGCCAGCCCGGCGCAGTGGCTCACGCCTGTAATCCCAGCAGTTTGGGAGGCCCAGGTGAGCGGATCACCTGAGGTCAGGAGTTTTTTTTTTTTGAGACAAGCTGTGTCACCCAGGCAGGAGTGCAGTGGTGTGATCTCAGTTCACTGCACCCTCTGCCTCCCCGGCTGAAGGAATTCTCCTGCCTCAGTCTCCCTAGTTGCTGGGATTATAGGGGCCTGCCACCATGCCTGGTGTTTTGTTGTTGTTGTTGACCGAGTCTTGCTCTGTTGCCCAGGCTGGAGTGCAGTGGTGTGATCTCGGCTTATTGCAACCTCTGCCTCCTGGGTTCCAGTGATTCTTCTGCCTCAGCCTCCTGAGTAGCTGAGACTACAAGCGCACACCACCACCCCCAGCTATTTTGTGTGTGTGTTTTTAGTAGAGATGGGGTTTCACCATGTTGGCCAGGATGGTCTCGATCTCCTGACCTTGTGATTCGCCCACCTCGGCCTCCCAAAGAGCTGGGATTACAGGCGTGAACTACCATGCCCGGCCAAGTAGTTTCTTATAAAACTAAACGTGTACTTAATATACAATCCAGCAATTGCACTATTGGGCATTTATTCCAGAGAAATGAAAACTTATGCTCACATTTAAAAAACAAAAACAAAAACAAAAACAAAAACCTGTGTTCATAGCATCTTTGTTCACGATAGCCAAAAACCACAACCAGTCTAAACGTCCAGTGGGCGAATGGTTCAACCTGCTTTGGTACATCCATGCAATGAGTCGTGCCCTGCAATGAAAACGAACAACCTATGGAAACCAGCAACAATTCAGATGAACCTCAAGGGTATTATGCTGAGTGAAAAACGTCAGTGACGAATGATTCCGTATATACATTCCACATATAATCATATACTGATGATTCTATATATATCAAAAGAAATCATATTAAAAGATCCCATATATATATTCTAGATATATATTTCATATAATCATATACTAAAGATCCCATATATATAAAACCTTCTTTTTAATATTTATTTTTATTATTTTATTTTGTTATTTTGAGATGATGTTTCATTCTTGTTGCCCAGGCTTGAGTGCAATGGCGCGATCTTGGCTCACCACAACCTCTGTCTCCCGGGTTCAAGTGATTCTCCTGCCTCGGCCTCCCGAGTAGCTGGGATTACATGGTGGCATGCACCACCACACCTGGCTAATTTTGTATTCTTTTTTAGTAGAGACGGGGTTTCTCCATGTTGGTCAGGATGGTCTCTAACTCCTGACCTTAGGAGATCCCCTTGCCTCAGCCTCCCAAAGTGCTGGGATTACAGGCGTGAGCCACCACACATGGCTTATTTTTTAAATTTTTTCAGATGGAGTCTCACTCTGTGGCCCAGGCTGGAGTACAGTGGTGAGATCTCCGCTCACTGCAACGTCCACTTCCCAGGTTCCAGCTATTCTCCTGCTTCAGCCTTCCAGGTAGGTGGGACTACAGGTGCATGCCACCATGCCTGGCTAATTTTGTAATTTTTTTTTTTTTTAGTCATGACGGGGTTTCACCATGTTGGTCAGGCTGGTCTTGATCTCCTGACCTCAGGTGATCTGCCCGCCTCAGCCTCCCAAAGTGCTGGTATTATAGGTATGAGCCACGGCAATCAGCCATATATATACCTTTTGCAAATAAAATTACACAGGTGGAAAACGTTTTTCTTTTTCTTTTTTTTTTGAGACAGGGTCTCACTCTGTCGCCCAGGCTGGTGTGCGGTGATGCAATCATGGCTCAAGTGATCCTCCCCCATCAACCTCCCTAGTAGCTGGAATTACAGGTGCACACCACATCTGGCTAATTTTGTTTTTGTTTTTGTTTTTGTAGACACGGGGTTTCACCATGTTGCCCAGGCTGATCTCGAACTCCTGACCTCAAGTCATCCGTCCGCCTCGGCCTCCCACAGTGCTGGGATTACTGGTGTGAACCACCACACCCGGCCCGAAAAGGTTTTCAAAATAATAAAATGGGCTGGGCAAGTGGCTCATGCCTGCAATTAGAGGCCTGGAGACATTAAGTAAACCACCCAAGGTCACACAGTAAGGAAGGGGCAGAACTCAGAGTCTCCTGGCTGCAAAGCTGGTGTCCCTTCCCCACTGTGCCTTAACTGCCGCCTTACAGCTGGGTTGGAGGATGCCTCCCTGGTCTAGGGTCATTATTACATTTTCTTCTAAGAAGTGTGTTTCTGATCAACGGAACTGATTATTTTCCATCTATGGTCTTACCCTTTGCCCCCATCTCTTTCTTATGGCAACAGAAAATTTCACCTTCAAGAGGAGCGCCTCGGCCCGGCCGAAGTACCGTCTGGGAAGTGAGGAGCGCCTCGGCCCGGCCGAAGTACCGTCTGGGAAGTGAGGAGCACCTCTGGACGGCCACGGAGCAACCCTCCAGGTGTGAAGTGGCAGCCCTGTGTGTGATCTTTCTGCCCTCCCCGAGTTTTCATTTTCGATAGTAAAATTTACTTGTAAACTAAAAGATTTATATTGGGGAAGATGAAAGGAAGGAAGGAAGGAAACTTCACTTTCCAAAAACAACCACTGGGAGTCCGCTTTGTGCAGCGATAGGTAAGCTTCTGTGCAGGAACGGGCGCTGCTGCACCCCCTACCACCCACGCAGCCTCCTCCCTATCTGCCTTCAGGTGGTAGCCAGAGGAGTTCAGAGCCTCTACAGAGAGCACAACTTCTCCAGCTGGAACTGAAGGGGGCCTGCCCCTCCACACCGGCGGGTATTTCTCGAAAGGTGGAGATGAGAGACTGAGAAAAGAAATAAGACACAGAGACAAAGTATACAGGAAGAAAAGTGGGCCCAGGGGACCGGCGCTCAGCATATGGAGGACCCGCATGGGCACTGGTCTCTGAGTTCCCTCAGTATTTATTGATCACTATCTCTACCATCTCAGCGAGGGGGATGTGGCAGGACTATAGGGTAATGGTGAGGAGAGGGTCAGCAGGAAAACATGAGAGCAAAGGACTTTGTGTCATAAATAAGTTTAAGGAAAGGTGCCGTGCCTGGATGTGCACGTAGGCCAGATTTATGTTTGACTTTATACAAACATCTCAGTGCAGTAAAGAGCAGTATTGCCGCCAGCATGTCTCACCTCCAGCCATAAGGCGGTCTTCTCCTATGTCAGTAAATAGAATGTATGATCGGGTTTTACACCAAGACATTCCATTCCCAGGGATGAGCAGGAGACAGATGCCTTCCTCCTATCTCAACTGCAAAGAGGCTTTCCTCCTTCACCAATCCTCCTCAGCACAGACCCTTTACGGGTGTCGGGCTGGGGGACGGTCAGGTCTTTCCCTTCCCATGAGGCCATATCTCAGGCTGTCTCAGTGGGGGGAAACCTGGACAATACCCAGGCTTTCTTGGGCAGAGGTCCCTGCGGCCTTCCGCAGTGCACTGTGTCTCTGGGTACTCGAGACTGGAGAATGGCGATGACTTTTACCAAGCTTATTGCCTGCAAACACATTTTTACCAAGGCACATCCTGCACAGCCCTAAATCCATTAAACCTTGAGTCAATATAGCACATGTTTCTGCGAGCACAGGGTTGGGGCTAGGGTTACAGATTCACAGCATCTCAAGGCAGAAGAGTTTTTCTTAGTACAGATCACAATGGAGTTTCTTATGTCTTCCTCTTTCTACATAGACACAATAACAGTCTCATCTCTCTTTCTTTCCCCCACAAGAACAAACTCCCCTTAAAGGAATCTATTTAGGAAGATTATTTCAAGGATACAATGTACATTCATTCCTCCAAAATATGCTTAGATGAACTTAAATAATCAGAAAGTTGTGTGTGTATGTGTTTCACATTTTCTTGGTCCACACGGAACCCCTTGAGAGGTCCCTGTGGGCCGTGAGCCTGTTTGTAGACACTTGCTTCCACCGCTTGATGTCGCAGACATCGCAGTCCCTGATGTAGGGTCTGGCCCTATGGGGCTTAGTGGGTGTTCTCCCCGTGTGTGGAGATGAGAAATCGTAAAAAGTAAAGACACAAGACAAAGAGATAAAGCGAAAACAGCTGGGCCCGGGGGACCACTACCATCAAGACACGGAGATGGGTAGTGGCCCCAAATGGTTGCGTGCACTGTTATTTATTGCATACAAGACAAGGGGGGCAGGGTAAGGAGGGTGAGTCGTCCAAGTGATTGATAAGGTCGAGCAAGTCACGTGATCATAGGACAGGGGGCCCTTCCCTTATAGGTAGCCGAAGCAGAGAGGGAAGGCAGTATACGTCAGCGTTTTCTTCTATGCACCTATCAGAAAGATCAAAGACTTTAAGACTTTCACTATTTCTTCTACCGCTATCTTCTGAGAACTTCAAAGAGGGACCAGGAGTACAGGAGGAAAGTGGACAAGGAGCGTGACCATTGAAGCACAGCATCACAGGGAGGGGTTTAGGCCTCCGGATGGCTGCAGGCAGGCCTGGATACTATCCAGCCTCCCACAAGAAGCTGGTGGAGCTGAGCGTTCCCTGACTCCTCCAAGAAAAGGGAGACTCCCTTTCGTGGTCCGCTAAGTAACGATGCCTTCCTAGGCACTGGCGTTACCGCCTGACCAAGGAGCCCTCCAGTAGCCCTTATGCGGGTGTGACAGAGGGCTCACCTCTTGCATTCTCGGTCACTTCTCACAACAGCCCTTCAGCACCTGACCCTATACCCACCGGTTATTTCTTGGTTATATTAGTAATACAATAAAGAGTAATATTAAAAGCTAATGATTAATAATATCTACACTAATGATTGATAATGTCCATGATCATCTCTGTATCTAATTTGTATTATAACTATTCTTATTGTAAGTATATTCTTTATTATACTGAAACAGTTTGTGCCTTCAGTCTCTTGCCTCAGCACCTAGGTAATCCTCCGCCCACATCTCTGAGGGGCTGAACTGCCCCCCACCTTCTGGAAGCTGGGAGGTTGGAAGAGGGGATGCGTGCGATGGACTCAGCACACAGCTGGGAACTCGAGGCACACCTAAGCCTTCGCTTGTGCTGTGCGGAGTCCACACTTCCTTCCCCACTGGGGTCTCAAAACCTCCCCTCACTCAACAGGGTGGTGCTGCTCAAAGCTCTGGGCACACATTAGGGCTGGGGAGGGGGTGGTGGAGAGGGGGCTCCAGCCTGCCCAACCACCAGGCAACGGGGCACCTGCCCCTCTCTCAGCTGGGTCTGGACCCGCGTCCCAGGCTCAGGCTGCAATGCCTTTCTCTTTCTCTTTCTCTTCTTTTTGCAGTTCCGTTGGGTCCTGCCCAGGACAGATAAAGACAGAGCAGCCTGTCTTTATCGGAGGTTCCTCTGCCAGTAGGAGGGGCCCGGAGAAAACCAGAAAGAGGGCCAGAGCCAGAGAAACATGAAGCACCCCGGGGCCTCCCACACCAGTGCCTGAGCAGGAATGGGGAGGGGCCATGATTCACAAGGCCCTGGGAGGTCACTTTAAAGAGGGCTGCTCAACTGCAAGGACGCTGTAAGCAGGAAGAGAAGCCACAGCGCTTCAGAAAAGAGTGGGACAGGGACAAGCATATCTAAGAGGCTGAACATGAATCCACAGATCAGGTACCTCTGCACGCTTTGTCCGCCAGGCCCCTCCTGCCACTTCCTGCCAGGCGGTCCTGCTGGGCCTCAGCCCTGGCCTCCCCCTGCCCCAGCCCCACCTCTGGGCTCCCTCCCCCCTGGTTCCCCCGCTGCCCCCACTCCCAGCCAAGCTCCTTGCCCTGCTGTGTGGTCCCACGACTGCTGCTTCTGAATGGGCCACCTTCCCCACTTGCCCCAGCCCAGTCCGCCTGCTGAGACTCTCCCCCGAAAATCATGCCCGGGCTGGTGCTTCCCGCCCTGGGAGGGTGCTTCCTCTGTGTGCTTCCCACTATTCCTGGGAGCTCTGGAACTGGGAGAATTGAACCAAAGGATGATTTGAGCAATCAGGCATTTTGTTCTCAGCGCTTTGGTGCAATTTCTGTAAGATTTACTTTGTTTCAATACAAAGTCTTAGGAGAGGGTGTGGGGGAGGGAATGGTCTCTGTACCAGAAAATAAGTCACTTCTTCCAAAGATGCCTCCACTGTGAGCAGAGTAGGATGCACACGACCCCAGACACAGGCTCCTCCTCTGTGAGCACCGTTCACCTTTCAGAATGACACCTGCAACATGGAGTGTAGGAAAAAATATGATGATCAGGAGAAATGCTCTTATTTTAGGCCAGGCACGGTGGCTTATGCCTGTAATCCTAGCACTTTGGGAGGCTGAGGCGGGCGGGTCACTTGTGGTCAGGAGTTTGAGACCAGCCTGACTAACATGGTGAAACCTCGTCTCTACTGAAAATACAGAAAATTAGCCAGGGGTGCTGGCGGGCGTCTGTAATCCCAGCTACTTGGGAGGCTGAGGCAGGAGAATCCCTTGAACCCGAGGGGTGGAGGTTGCAGTGAGCTGAGATTGCAAACTCCAGCCTGGGGGACAGAGCGAGATGCCGTCTTTAAAAAAAAAAAAAAAAAAGTAGCAGAAAAACTGGGAGGTTGAGGGTGTTCCATTGGTAGCCCCAGAGCTGGGGTTCCAGCTAGGAGAGGTCACCCCGGCCCTGCTGCCCCTGCCAGCGTCCCCTCCTCTTTCTCTCTCCCCGTCTTCCTGCCTGGGAAAGCAGCAGACATTCTCAGGGCTGTGGAGGGATGGGGGAGGCCCAGAGCCCAGGGACGTCCAGGCAGCTGTGTTCAGTGGGCATCAGCCCTGAGGACTCCGGTGCGGGGGTCTCTGCATTGGGGTTTCTCTCTTGTGCCTTCAGAAACCCGATGAAGGCAATGTATCCAGGCACATTCTACTTCCAATTTAAAAACCTATGGGAAGCCAACGATCGGAACGAAACTTGGCTGTGCTTCACCGTGGAAGGTATAAAGCGCCGCTCAGTTGTCTCCTGGAAGACGGGCGTCTTCCGAAACCAGGTAGCACCAAAGTCCTAGTTACACCCTAAATAGGAGCTAAGCAGCTGGGAATGCAGAAAACGCAACAATAAGTGATGTGCCCGGCGTGGGCTCTCCTGTGTGCACTTTCCTGCCACATTTCTATTTTTTTTTTTTTTTTTTTGAGATGGAGTCTCGCTCTGTCACCCAGGCTGGAATGCAGTGGTCTGATTTCAGCTCACGGCAACCTCTGCTTTCCAGGTTCACGCGATTCTCCTGCCTCAGTCTCCCGAGTAGCTGGGATTACAGGCACCTGCCACCATGCCCAGCCAATTCTTTTGTATTTTTAGTAGAAACAGGATTTTGCCATGTTGGCCAGGCTGGTTTCGAACTCCTGACCTCAAGTGATCCACCAGCCTTGGCCTCCCAAAGTGCTAGGATTACATGCGTGAGACACCATGCCCCTGGCCTCCTCCCCACATTATTTATTTATTTATTTATTTATTTTGAGACGGAGTCTTGCTCTATCGCCCAGGCTGGAGTGCAGTGGCACAATCTCAGCTCACTGCAAGCTCCGCCTCCCGGGTTCACGCCATTCTCCTGCCTCAGCCTCCCAAGTAGCTGGGACTACAGGCGCCCACCACCATGCCCAGCTAATTTTTTCTTTTTTTCTTTTTTTTTTTTTTTTTAGTAGAGACGGGGTTTCATGGTGTTAGCCAAGATGGTCTCGATCTCCTGACCTCATGATCCGCCCGCCTTGGCCTCCCAAAGTGCTGGGATTACAGGCATGAGCCACTGTGCCCGGCCTCCCCACATTTTTTAAGTCCATGGCCCAGATCTTCCTCCCTGACTCTCCTGTGATCAGATCGTGGAGGGGGTTTGCTTCCTCCCAAAAGGCCTTGTTTAGCGCCCAGCACCCTCACTCTTGACTTTGTTTCCCAAAATCTTGTTATGGAGCTGTGCGTCCGGCAGTCCTCGGGAATCAGCAGCTGTGGGAAGCGGGGGGTGTTGTGTCCAGCGCTGTGTCTGGGCCAGTGACTGCGGGCTGGTGGGGCCGCCCCCGCCACTGCCCTGATTCCTCAGCAGAAGGCAGGCAGGGAACAAAGCTGACCCCAGAGAGCCAGGCCATAGCAGGGGCTGAGGATGCCTGGTGAATGGATGCCTGGGAGAAAAGATGGCAGAATTCACACATGAGTCTATGAGACAGGGAAAGAATCAATAAAATAAAGAAGGAAGGGGCCGGGCACGGCGCGGTGGCTCATGCCTGTAATCCCAGCACTTTGGGAGGCTGAGGCAGGCGGATCATGAGGTTGGGAGTTCGAGACCAGCCTGGCTAACATGATGAAACCCAGTCTCTACTAAAAATACAAAGATTAGCCAGGTGTGGGGGTGCATGCCTGTAGTCCCAGCTACTCAGGAGGCTGAGGCAGGAGAATTGCTTGAACCTGGGAGGCAGAGGTTGCAGTGAGCCGAGATTGTGCCACTGCACTCCAGCCTTGGCGACAGAGCAAGACTCCATCTTTGAAAAAAATAAAAATAAAAGAATAAAGAGAGAAGGAGAAGGATAGAAGAAGGGAAACTCAATGAATAAAACACCCTGGGGCCTACTATGTAGCCAGAAAAATGAAAAGTAAAGAAATAAAATAAGGCTGTGCATGTGGTTTATGCTCATAGTCCCAGAGCTTTGGGAGGGTGAGGCAGGAGGATCGCTTGAGCCCAAGAGTTCAAGATCAGCCTGGGCAACATGGTGAAACCCCGTCTCTAAAAAAATTATTTAAAAAATTAGGCAGGTGTGGCGGCATGCACCTGCATCCCAGCTTATCAGGAGGCTGAGGTGGGAAGATTCCTTGAGCCTGGGAGGTCAAGGCTGCAGTCAGCCCAGATCCCACCACTGCACCCCCTAACCTGTGCACCAGAGAGAGACCCTGTCTCAAAAATGAGTAAATAAGGAAACGGCCCGGGGCTCCAGGCCCGCCCTCTGCTCCCATCGCCCCACCCCTGCACTCCTCCTGCTCCTGGTCTGAGCTCCCCTGTCCTCCTCCTCCTCCTTCGCCAGGTGGATTCTGAGACCCATTGTCATGCAGAAAGGTGCTTCCTCTCTTGGTTCTGCGACGACATACTGTCTCCTAACACAAAGTACCAGGTCACCTGGTACACATCTTGGAGCCCTTGCCCAGACTGTGCAGGGGAGGTGGCCGAGTTCCTGGCCAGGCACAGCAACGTGAATCTCACCATCTTCACCGCCCGCCTCTACTACTTCCAGTATCCATGTTACCAGGAGGGGCTCCGCAGCCTGAGTCAGGAAGGGGTCGCTGTGGAGATCATGGACTATGAAGGTGAGACGTGGGGGGCTGAGGAGAGTGGGTGCAGGAGGGACAGCATGAGGGGCAGATGGTTCTCCAATGCTGTGGGGCGGGTCAGTGTCCCCTGGGTGTCTGTGGGGACCGGGCCAGCGCCCACTGCAACTGGCAGCCTGGATACCTGGGCTGGGAGGGGAGGGCCCAGGGCCAGGAGAGAGGCCTGCTGGGCCCTCACTGTTTTCTCCTTGTTTTTTCTCAGATTTTAAATATTGTTGGGAAAACTTTGTGTACAATGATAATGAGCCATTCAAGCCTTGGAAGGGATTAAAAACCAACTTTCGACTTCTGAAAAGAAGGCTACGGGAGAGTCTCCAGTGAGGGGTCTCCCTGGGCCTCATGGTCTGTCTCCTCTAGCCTCCTGCTCATGCTGCACGGGCCTCCCCTCCACCCTGGACCCGCTCTGTTTCTGCCTGGTCATCCTGAGCCCCTCCTGGCCTCAGGGCCATTCCACAGTGCTCCCCTGCCTCACCGCTTCCTCCTCGCTCTTCCAGACTCTTCCTGCAGAGGCTCCTTTCTGCCTCCATGGCTATCCATCCACCCCCACAGACCCCGTTCCTCCAGCCTGCGTGCCCCTAACCTGGCTTTTCCCATCTCCCCAGCATAACCAAATCTTACTAAACTCATCCTAGGCTGGGCATGGTGACTCACGCCTGTAATCCCCCAGCAATTTGGGAGGCAAAGGTGGGAGAATCGCGTGAGCCCAGGAGTTCCAGACCAGGCTGGGTCACATGACAAAGCCCCATCTCTACAAAAAAAAAAAAAAAAAAAAAAAAAAAGCCAGATGTGGTGGCATGCATCTGTAGTCCAAGCTACTTGGGAGGCTGAAGTGGGAGGATTACTTGAGCCCGAGAGGTGGAGGCTGGAGTGAACAGAGATCGCGCCACTGAACTCGGGTCTGGGCAACAGATAGAGACCCTGCCTGAAAATAAATCGATAAATAAACTCAACCTAAACAGGTGTGAATATATGTAAGTTGAAAACCCGAAGTTTTGAGAAACATCCTTTGTAAATTTCATCCTATGAATTGGGTCATTCATGTCCTACCCAGCTAAAACAGAGGCCAGGAGCCAGGGAGGAAAAGCAGTCAGGCCACACAACATTGTTTCCGAAATGGACTTCTCTGCAAGCCTGACTCCTGAGACTGTGCATTGTACCCTGAAACCAGCTTTATCCATAGCTTCTGCGATAAATGGCTGTAAGTCTTGGACTCCTTGCTCCAAACGCAGCGACTCAGCAATAGAACCTCCCAGCTCCCAGCCCTTCCTAGTGCCCATGGGCTTTACATAGGGCAAGAGAACATTTCTCCTTCTATAATTGCCATCTCTTTGCTCTCTCAACATGGTGAACACCATCCGGACTCCGTGTATGTCTCAAATTACAATTCTTTCTTTGCAAATGAAATATGAAATTTAGAGGCTCTTCTAAACACTTTAAATTTGATTTGACATTTTCAAAGCAGATGTAAGTTTTAGAGAATGAGATTCTCCATAAAAATGACCCTTTCATGCTGTGGCCTCCATAGAAGATGTCCCAGGCCAGGTGCCCACATGGCAGGCATTTATTTTCTCACAGATCTGGAAGCTGCAGGTCCAACTTCGAGGGGTGGGTGGGGTTGTTTCCTCTGAGGCCGCTCCTTCTGGCTGGCAGGGAGTCTCTTCCAGCCGTGTCCTCTGTGGCCTTTCCTCTATGCACACGCACCTCTGGGATCTCTCTGCCTCCAAATATCATCTTTTTTTTTTTTTTTTTTTTTTTTGAGACAGAGTGTTGCTCCTCTTGTCCAGGCTGGAATGCAATGGCACAATCTGGACTCACTGCAACCTCCGCCTCCCGAGTTTAAGCGATTCTTCTGCTTCAGCCTCCCGAGTAAAAGGCATGCATCACCACACCTGGTTAATTTTGTAGTTTTAGTAGAGATGGGGTCTCACCATGTTGGCCAGACTGGTCTCGAACTCCTGACCTCAGGTGATCCGCCTGTCTCAGCCTCTCCAAGTGCTGGGATTACAGGCATCAGCCACTATGCCCGGCTGGGATCATATGTTCCACACATGTTTGTTCAATAAGCATGGACTGCAACCACCTACATGAATATTCATAGCTCCTCCTGTAGCCTGTTGAATATGTATGTTTAGCCAACCTCTTCAGCATAAAGCTCCTGCCCAAACCCCTCCTGCTCCTAAATGTCTGTCTCTGGTGTTAACCAGAGGCTGCTCTTCCCAGGCTGCTGGATGGCTACCTTGCAGGCTGTCACCCTTAACAAGAAATAAAGTGTCCTTTGCAAATGCATCCCTTGTGTAATTTGTAGGTCACCGCGCCATGGGAACACGCTACCATGGGAAGGGAGCTGTGAGACGCGCAGGGAGGCTCCAGACAGGCTGGCCTGGGACACCAGCCGCTGCCCTTCCATAACATGGGGACAAGAGAGGGCAAAAGTTCAGCCCAACACGGAGGATCTTCGGGCAGGAGATGGGGAAGAAGGAGAAGCAGGAAGGAAAGAGCTCAGTGTGGGGGCGCGCATGGCATCCCGGTGGGACATCTGAGGCCCACACCCACCTGCTGTCCCTCCCTCCCACGGTGGCCACCGAGGGTGAAGGCCTGGGGGGAGGCAGACGCCTGGCCCTTTACTCTCCCTCCCTGTCCCCATGGCCGCTGGGTGGGGGCCGTCTCTGGGATGATCCCCGAGGGCAGGATCCGGGAGTCCCTGCAGAGGCATCAGCCTGTCTGTCTTGATGGTGGAGTGGCGGCTCCAGCTGGGCGGGACCACCAGGGGAGGGGCTTGTGCTCTGCTGGCTCAGCCTGGTGTGGACCCACCTCCCGGGCGCTGGCTGCAATGACTTTCTCTTTCCCTTTGCAATTGCCTTGGGTCCTGCCGCACAGAGCGGCCTGTCTTTATCAGAGGTCCCTCTGCCAGGGGGAGGGCCCCAGAGAAAACCAGAAAGAGGGTGAGAGACTGAGGAAGATAAAGCGTCCCAGGGCCTCCTACACCAGCGCCTGAGCAGGAAGGGGGAGGGGCCATGACTACGAGGCCCTGGGAGGTCACTTTTTTTTTTTTTTTTTTTGAGAGGAAGCCTCGCTCTCTCACCCAGGCTGGAGTGCAGTGGCAGGAACTTGGCTCACTGCAACCTCCGCTTCCCAGGTTCAAGTGATTCTCCTGCCTCAGCCTCCAGAGTAGCTGGGATTACAGGCGCACGTCACCACACCTGGCTAATTTTTGTATTTTTAGTAGAGACGGGGTTTCTCCATGTTGGTCAGGCTGGTCTCGAACTCCTGACCTCGTGATCCGCCCGCCTCGGCCTCCCAAAGTGCTGGGATTACAGGCGTGAGCCACCGTGCCCGGCCGGGAGGTCACTTTAAGGAGGGCTGTCCAACTGCAAGGAGCCGCAAGCAGGAAGTGAAACCACAGCACTTCAAAAAAAGAGGGAGACTGGGACAAGCGTATCTAAGAGGCTGAACATGAATCCACAGATCAGGTACCGCTGCCCACTATGTCCGCAGGGCCCCTCCGGCCCCTTCCTTCTGGTGGTCCTGCTGGGCCTCAGCCCTGGCCTCCCCCTGCCCCAGCCCCAGCCCTGGACTTCCTTCCCTCTGGCTTCCCTGCCGCCCCCACTCCCAGCCAGACTCCTTGCCCTGCTGTGTGGTCGCCCCACTGCTGCTTCTGAATGGGCCACCTTCCCCACCTGCCACAGTCCAGGCCCCCTCCTGAGACTCTTCCCTGAAAGTCATGGCCAGGCCGGTGCTCCCTGCCCTGAGAGGGTGCTCCCTCTGTGTGCTTCCCACCATTCCTGAGCTCAGGAACTGGGAGAATTGAACCAAAGGATGACTGGGGCAATCAGGCATTTTGTTCTCAGTGCTTTGATGAACTTTCTGTAAGATTTACTTTGTTTAAATACAAAGTCTTAGGAGAGGGTGTGGGGAGGGAATGGTCTCTGAAGCACAAGATAAATCACATCGTCCAAGGATGACTCCACAGTCAGCAGATGTCCCCAGACAGGTTCCACTCCAAGGTCACTCTTCATCTTTTAGAACATGACCAGTAACATGGAATGTGAGAAAGAACGCGATGATCAGGAGAAATGCTCTTATTTTAAATTTAGTGAAAAGAGAGCCCAGTCCCCAACAGCTTTCTCCTGCAGGGCCCGTGATGCAGAGGCTGCACAGGGCTGGCCTGGAAAGGGGCCCCTGCTCCAACTGTCCCCAGCTCTGTGGCCTGGGCAGGTTACCCCACCTCTCTGTGCCTCTGACCCCTCCTCTGTAAGATGGGAATGGTCCCTGCAGGCCTAGGGCAGCCTCACATGAGCCCACCCCCACGCAGCACTTAGAAGAGAGGCCTGGGCCTCAGAATTCGGTTCTACCATGATTTTAAAATAATGTTAACACGCAGAGTGAAACATCAGGAAGGAATTGAGCTGAAAGGTTAAAAGCTATCTTTTAAGGGTGAAGAGTTTTATTCTCTTTTGCATTTTCCTAATGGGTTGGGGAGTGGGTGGGCAGAAATACTGAGAGGGTGGGGAATATACCCCTGGAAAGGCCAGAGTTGGGCCCGAGCTGGGAGAGATCACCCCAGCCCCCCTGCCAGCATCCCCTCCTCTTCCTCTCCCCTCAGTCTTCCTGCCTGGGAAGGCAGCAGAAATTCTCAGGGCTGTGGAGGGGTGGGGGAGGCCCAGGGCCGTCCCGGGAGCTGTGTTCAGTGGACATGAGCCCCGAGGACTCCAGGAGGGCTCCCTGCATGGGCCGGTTTCTCTCTTGTGCCTTCAGAAATCCGATGGAGCGGATGTATCGAGACACATTCTACGACAACTTTGAAAACGAACCCATCCTCTATGGTCGGAGCTACACTTGGCTGTGCTATGAAGTGAAAATAAAGAGGGGCCGCTCAAATCTCCTTTGGGACACAGGGGTCTTTCGAGGCCCGGTACTACCCAAACGTCAGTCGAATCACAGGCAGGAGGTAAGCAGCTGGGAATGCAGAAAACACATAAGTAAAATGTCTGGCGGCGGGCTCTCAACTGTGTATTTTTTCCCCACATTTATTTATTTTTTCTATTTATTTATTTATTTATTTATTTTGAGACAGAGTCTCCATCTGTCGCCCAGGCTGGAGTGCAGTGGTGCGATCTCAGATCACTGCAACCTCCACCTCTTGGGTTCAAGCGATTCTCCTGCCTCAGCATCCTGAGTAGCTGGGACTACAGGCGCGTGCTACCACGCCCGGCTAATTTTTGTATTTTCAGTAGAGATGGGGTTTCACTGTGTTGAGCAGGCTGGTCTGGAACTCCTGATCTCAGGTGATTCACCTGCCTTGGCCTCTGAAAGTTCTGGGATTACAGGCATAAGCCACCGTGCCTGGCCACTTCCTATATTTCTTTTTTCTTTTCTTTCTTTCTTTTTTTTTTTTTTTGAGACAGAGTTTTACTCTTGTTGCCCAGGCTAGAGTGCAATGGCTCAATCTTGGCTCATTCAACTTCCGCCTCCTGGGTTCAAGCGATTATCCTGCCTCAGCCACCTGAATAGCAGGGATTACAGGTGCACGCCACCGTGCCCAGCTAATTTTTTTGTATTTTTAATAGAGAAGGGATTTCACCATGTTGTCCAGGCTGGTCTTGACCTCCTGACCTCAGGTGATCCACCCAACTCGGCCTCTGAAAGTGCTGGGAATACAGGTGTGAGCCACTGCGCCTGGCCTCCACTTCCCACATTTCTTAAGTCCGTGGCCCAGACCTTCCTGCTTGACCGCCCCGGCCACCGCCCGGATTCCTCCTTGGCAAAGATGCCTCATCACAGTTTGGTGAACCCTCACTCCTCACCCTGCCACCCCCACTGGGGACACTAAGTTCCCCGCCTTGTCCCACCCATCCCTACGGCCCCCTCCACCCAGGGAGGAGACTTTTCAGAGTGTGTTTGGGGAGGGAGTCGTCTGTATGCTGGGCAGTCCTGGCCTACAGCGGTGCTGGCCACGGAAACACCCAGGACTCAGGAATGAAGCACAAGTGTTTCCAGTCCCCACACGCTAAAAAGGCGACAAGAACCGGTGAAAGTAATTTTAATATTCTATTTAATCCAGTGTAGCTAACATATTACTTCAACGCTGATTAACATAAAATTCTTCGCGAGATAGTGAAGTTTCTTTTTCTTCTCACACTGAAATGAGTGGTGTATTTTTGATGTGCCGAGGTCTCTCATCAGAGCCCTGTTTCAGATGCTCAGTAGCGCCCTTGGCCAGTGCCCCCCAATATGGGACAGCGCAGGTCCAGTGGCCTCCCCAGTGGGGAACAAGGCGGACCCCAGAGGGCCAGGACACAGTAGGGGCTGAGGATGCCTGGTGAATGGATGCCTGGGAGAATGGATGCCAGAATTCACACACGAGGCCATGAACAGGGCTGGGAAAACTTCCAAACACAGGGAAGCACGTGTCTTGGTGCACCTTGTGATGCTTCAACAGCAGGACTGAGACGGGGACATTTACAGTGAACAGAAATGTGTTGGCTCGAGTTCTGGACTCCAGGAAGTCCAACGTCAAGGCACCAGCAACTTTCCAGGGCCTGCGAGCTGCACAGTCACATGGGGGTGAAGGTTGTTGCCAGAAGCTCAGGGGATGCTCCAGACAGAGTGGCCTGGGATGTCGAGTCACTGGTGCTCCGTGACATGGGGACAAGAGGAAGCAGTTTAGTCTGACATACTGCCCCCCCAGCTAGAGGGCAAGAGACAGAAAGAGGGGCTGAGGTCACCTTTGAATAACCACAGCAGTGGCACCCACAAAGGTGCAGTCCCCACAGCCTCATAGCCTCTTCTAGGTGCCACCTCTTAAGGCCAGTACCATAGCAATTAACACTGAAGGTCAGCTTGGAGCAGACAATCACTCAAACCAAACAGGGGGGATGGAGGAAAGGAGCTTCAATGGCAAGATCCCCTGGGCTCCTGTCCTGGCCCCTCCTCCCCCTGCCCCACCCCGCACCCCTCCTGTTCCCCCGTCCCAGAGCTTCCCCTGCCCCTGCTCCTCTCCCAGGTGTATTTCCGGTTTGAGAACCACGCAGAAATGTGCTTCTTATCTTGGTTCTGTGGCAACCGACTGCCTGCTAACAGGCGCTTCCAGATCACCTGGTTTGTATCATGGAACCCCTGCCTGCCCTGTGTGGTGAAGGTGACCAAATTCTTGGCTGAGCACCCCAATGTCACCCTGACCATCTCTGCCGCCCGCCTCTACTACTACCGGGATAGAGATTGGCGGTGGGTGCTCCTCAGGCTGCATAAGGCAGGGGCCCGTGTGAAGATCATGGACTATGAAGGTGAGAGGTGCAGGGGTCAGGGGAGCATGACGGGGAGGAACAGCCTCAGAGATGGATGGATCTGCAATGCCATGGCTGGGGGTGTTCCAGGGCAGCCTGCAGGGGTGGGGCTGGCACTGATTGCAACTGACAGCCAGGAGACCAGGCCTGGGAGGGCAGGCCCAGGGTCAGGGGAGAGCCTGAGTGCTTCCCACCTCTTCATCTCAGACTTTGCATACTGCTGGGAAAACTTTGTGTGCAATGAAGGTCAGCCATTCATGCCTTGGTACAAATTCGATGACAATTATGCATCCCTGCACCGCACGCTAAAGGAGATTCTCAGGTGAGGGTCTCCCTCTGGCCTCATCGTCTCTCTCCTCTCGCCTCCTGCTCATCCTCCTGAGGACTCCCCTGGCTGGGCCCTCCTGCCCTCCGTCCTGCCCCCCTGCCTGCCCTCATGGTTACACCCCCTCACCCACACTCCTCATGCTCCCTCCACCTTGGTGCCTCCCCCCTGCTTTCCTGGGCTCTTCCTGTGAGTGAGAGGCCCCTTCTGCCTCCAGAGCGACCTCCATCCACCCCCGAGGCTGCCCTCCCCACAGCCTGGGAGCCCCAACCTGGCTCCTTCTATCTCCCTGGCATAACCGAATTTGTCATAAAACTGGACGTAGTAAGTGGGCATGAATAGTCACAAGCCCGACAGTCGGAAGCTTTGAGCAACATCCTTCAAGGCCGACCTGAGCCCCTGAGAAGGAGCCGCCACCATGGAAACAGAGCTTCAGGCTTCCGCGGCCATAGAAGATGCCCCCGGGCCGGGTGCCCACAGGGCAGGCATTTATTTTCTCACAGATCTGGAGGCTGCAAGTCCAAGGTGGAGGGGTGGGTGGGGTTGTGTCCTCTGTGGCCGCTCCTCCTGGCTGGCAGGGGGTCCCTTCCAGCCCTGTCCTCTCTGGCCTTTCCTCTGTGCACCTGCACTCCTGGGGTCTCTCTGCCTCTAAATGTCCTCCTTGTTTATGGACCCCAGTCAGACAGGATTAGGGCCCACCCTAAGGGCCATGAGTTAATTTAATCACCACTTTAGTGTACTTGTCTCCAAATACAGTTATCCTGTGAGGAGGTGGGGTTGAGGGCTTCGACATGTCAATGTAGGGAAGATACAATTTAGCCCATGACAATGACCCAGGGGGCTTGGGTCAAGCTTGGGTGGGGTGTGCAGGGGTCCCCGTTCTGTGTGTCTGTCTCCCAGGCGAGTCCTGCCCTGACTCCCACAGCCCCTCCCTCCAGACCATGGCTTCCCCACCTAACAGCACCTAGCTGGGCCTCCGGCTCACGCCTGTCCCTTCTCAAATCCCTCCCACAGGGATGGAGATGCAGAAAGAGTCAAGCAAACACTCAGTGATCAAGGTCCCATTTGAGTAAGGTTTTTTTGTTTTTTTTTTTTTGAGACAGCGTCTCCCTCTGTTGCCCAGGCTGGAGTGCTGTGGTGCGATCTCGGCTCACTGCAACCTCTGCCTCCCGGTTCTAGCAATTCCCTTGTCTCAGCCTCCCAAGTACCTGGGATTACAGGCTCATGCCACCATGCCGGCTAATTTTTGTATTTTTAGTAGAGACGGGGTTTTGCAATGTTGGCCAGGTGTTGAGTAAGATTTTACAAAAGAGTAGGCTTGGATCATGGGAGGCTTGAGATGCTAGGAGCTCTCCAGGAAGCACAACAGAAAAGGGCAACCAGGGACCAGAGAGGCCCTAGAAAGAGATCTAAGGCCCTCGGGAGAGATGGGAACTGAGCACCTGGGTCTTAGACCGGAGGAGCAAACTGCAAGACAGGGTGGCCGGGGACACCAGCCTCCGCCCTTCTGTGACATAGGGACAAGAGCTCAGCCTGCCAGGGAACAACTCTGGGCAGGAGATGTGGAAGGAAGGAGCTCAGTGTGGGGGCACGCATGGCATCCTGGGGGGACATCTGAGGGCACCCCCACCCACTATTCCTCCCTCCAATGGTGGCCTCTGAGTGTGAAGGCAAGGGGGAAGCAGACACCTGCCCCTCACTCTCCCTCCCTACCACATAGCTACCGGGTGGGGGGCGTCCCTGGGATGATTCCTGAGGGCAGGATCCAGGGGTCCCTCCGGAGGTCCTCCCATCCAGGTGAGAAAGCAGCATAAAGTGAGGCCTGCACTCAGATGGGCCTGGGAGGTCACTCACAGCGCAGGTGTCTCCTGGAACAAGGGCCCTGGACGATAGAAATAGAACCCAAGCCCAGGACTAAAATCAGGGCCAGGACAAGCCTGCCAGGGAGGCTACACATGAAGCCTCAGATCAGGGACCACTGCCCGTTCTGCCCATGGGGCCTCTGCTGCCCCTTCCTGCCTGGTGGCCCTGCTGGGCCTCAGCCCTGGCCTCCCCCTGCCCCAGCCCTGGGCTCCCTCCCCTCTGGTTCCTCTGCTGCTCCCACTACCAGCCAGGCTCTTTGCCCTGCTATGTGGTCGCCCCACTGCTGCTTCTGAATGGGCCATCTCCCCCACCTGCCCCAGCCCATGCCCCCTGCTGAGATTCTCCCCTGAGAGTCATGCCCGGGCTGGTGCTCCCCGCCTTGGGAGGGTGCTCCCTCTGTGTGCTTCCCGCCATTCCTGAGCTCAGGAACTGGGAGAATTGAACCAAAGGATGATTGGAGCAATCAGGCATTTTATTCTCAGCACTTTGGTGGAATTTCTGTAAGATTTACTTTGTTTCAATACAAAGTCTTAAGAGAGGGTGTGGGGGAGGAAATGGTCTCTGTACCAGAAAATAAGTCATTTCTTCCAAAGACGCCTCCGCTGTGAGCAGAGTAGGATGCACACGACCCCAGACACAGGCTCCTCCTCCGTGAGCACCATTCACCTTTTAGAATGACACCTGCAACATGGAGTGTAGGAAAAAATATGATCAGGAGAAATGCTCTTATTTTAAAGTTTAGTAAGAAGACAGCGTGGTTGCCTACAGCTCCCCACCGCAGGGCCTGCGATGCAGAGGCTGGACAGGGCTGGCCTCGAAAGGGGCCCCAGCTCCATCCACCGCCCCAGCTCTGTGGTGTGGGCAGATTATCTGGCCTCCCTATGCCTCTGGCACCTCCTCTGTAAAATAGGGATGGCCCCTGCAGGCCTCAGGCACATGCCATGAGCTCAGACATATGCAGCACTTAGGAGAGTAGCCTGGACCGGCCGGGCTCAGTGGCTCATGCCTGTCATTCCAGCACTTTGGGTGGTTGAAGCAGGCAGATCACGAAGTCAGTTCAAAAGCAGCCTGGCCAACATGGTGAAACATGATCTCTACTAAAAATACAAAAATTAGGGCCAGGCGCGGTGGCTCACACCGGTAATCCCAGCACTTTGGTAGGCCGAGGTGGGTGGATCACAAGGTCAGGAGTTCAAGACCACCCTGGCTAACGTGGTGAAACCCCGTCTCTACTAAAAATACAAAAAATTAGACGGGCGTGGTGGCATGCACCTGTAGTCCCAGCTACTTGGGAGGCTGAGGCAGGAGATTTGCTTGAAACCAGGAGGCGGAAGTTATAGTGAGCCGAGATTGCACCACTGCACTCCAGCCTGGTGACAGAGTGAGACCGTGTGCAAAAATAAATAAATTCGCTGTGATCCCGATATAAAAATAATCATCATCATCATCGGACAGGTGAAATGTGAGGAAGGAATTGAGCTGAAATGTTCAAGCAATTATTTCAGGGTGAAGAGTTTTATTCTCTGTTGCATTTTCCTAATGGGTTGGGAGATGTGTGGCAGAAAAACTGGGAGGTTGAGGGTGTCCCATTGGTAGGCCCAGAGCTGGGGTTCCAGCTAGGAGAGGTCACCCTGTCCCTGCTGCCCCTGCCAGTACCCCCTCCTCTTTCTCTCTCCCAGTCTTCCTGCCTGGGAAAGCAGCAGACATTCCCAGGGCTGTGGAGGGATGGGAGAGGCCCAGACTCCAGGGACGTCCAGGGAGTTGTGTTCAGTGGGCATCAGCTCCGAGGAATCTCTGCACTGGGGTTTCTCTCTTGTGCCCTCAGAAACCCGATGGAGGCAATGTACCCACACATATTCTACTTCCACTTTAAAAACCTACTGAAAGCCTGTGGTCGGAACGAAAGCTGGCTGTGCTTCACCATGGAAGTTACAAAGCACCACTCAGCTGTCTTCCGGAAGAGGGGCGTCTTCCGAAACCAGGTAGCACCAAAGTCCTATTTACACCCTAAATAGGAGCTAAGCAGCTGGGAACGCAGAAAACACAATACGTGACGTGCCCCGCGTGGGCTCTGCTATGTGTACTTTCCTCTTACATTTCTTTCTTTTTTTTTTTTTTAAGACAGAGTCTCCCTCATGCAACCTCTGCCTCCCGGGTTCAAGCGATTCTCCTGCCTCAGCCTCATGGGTAGCTGGGATTACAGGTGCCCGCCACCACACTCAGCTAATTTTTATTTTATTTATTTATTTTTTTAGTAGAGACGGGGTTTCACCGTGGTGGCCAGGCTGGTTTCAAACTCCTGACCTCAAGCGATCCGCCCCGCTTGGCCTCCCAACGTTCTAGGATTACAGGCATGAGCCACCACGCCCAACTTCCTCCCACATTTTTTAAGTCGGTGGCCCAGATCTTCCTCCCTAACTTTCCTGGGATCAGATTGTCGAGGGGTTTTGCCTCTTACCAAAAGGCCTTGTTTAGCGCCCAGCGCCCTCACTCTTGACTTTGTTTCCCAAAATCTTGTCATGGAGCTGTGCGTCCGGCAGTCCTCGGGAAACAGCAGCTGTGGGAAGCGGTGGGTCTGGTGTCCAGCACTGTGCCTGGGCCAGTCACTGTGGGCTGGTGGGGCCGCCCCCGCCACTGCCCTGATTCCTCGATGTCAAGGACACATCCTCACAGGGTGGTGAACCCTCGCTCCTCACCCTGCCGCCCCCACAGCAGCCACTGACCTCCCACCCACCCTGCCGTGTCCCACCCAACCCTGCGGCCCCCTCCTCCCAGGCAGGAGATTTTTTCAGAGTGTGTTTGGGGAGGGAGCCGTCTGTGTGCTGGGCAGGCCTGGCCTACAGCAGTGCTGGCCTCGGAAACACCCAGGACTCAGGATGGAAGCGCAAGTGTTTCCAGTCCCCACACGCTAAAAAGGCGATAAGAACTCGTGGAAGAAATTTTAGTGTCTGCATTAGCTCAATTATCTCACATAGGATTTCAACATATACTTAATATAAAATGCCTCATGAGAGAGTTAAAGTTTGTCTATTCTCACAATGAGATTTTGAAATGCGCTGTGTATTTTACACGTGCCAACGTTTCTAATCAGAGCCCCATTTCAAGTGCTCAGTAGCCCCTTTGGCCAACCTTCAACTCCATGGGACAATGTGGGTCCAATGACCTTCCCAGCAGAAGGCAGACAGGGGACAAGGCAGACCCCATAGGACCAGGCCACAGCAGGGGCTGAGGATGCCTGGTTAATGGATGCCTGGGGGAAAGGATGCCAGAATTCGCACTTGAGGGCATGATGAGACAGGAAAAGACTCAATAAAATAAAGAAGGAAGGGGCCAAGCGCGGTGGCTCACGCCTGTACGCAGTAGCTCACGCCTGCAATCCCAACACATCGTGAGGCCTAGGCGGGCGGATCATAAGGTCAGGAGTTCAAGAACAGCCTAGCTAACATGGTGAAACCCTGTCTCTACTAAAACTACAAAAATTAGCCAGGCGTAGGAGTGCGCGACTGTAATCCTAGCTACTCCGGAGGCTGAGGCAAGAGAATCGCTTGAACCCAAGGGGCAGAAGTTGTGGTGAGCTGAGATCGTGCCGTTGCACTCCCGCCTGTGCAACAGAGCAAGACTCCATCTCAGAAAAAAATAATAAAAAAATAAAGAGGAAGGAGAAGGATGGAATAAGGGAAACTCAATGAATAAAACGCCCTGGGGCCTACTATGCACCCAGAAAAATGAAAAGTAAAGAAATAAAATAAGGTCGTGCATGTGGTTTATGCTCATAGTCCTAGAAATTTGGTAGGCTGAGGCAGGAGGATGGCTTGAGCCCAAGATTTCGAGATCAGCCTGGGCAATGTGGCACGACTCCGTCTCCACAAAAATTACAAAAAAATTAGCCGGGCGTGGCAGCACACACCTGCAGTCCCAGCTAATCAGGAGGCTGAGGTGGGAAGATTCCTTGAGCCTGGGAGGTCAAGGCTGCAGTCAGCCCAGATCGCACCACTGCACCCCAGCTTGGGCAACAGGAGAGACCCTGTCTCAAAAATAAATAAATAAGAAAATGCCCTGGGGCTTCAGGCCTGCCCTCTTCTCCCATCGCCCCACCCCTACACTCCTCCTGCTCCTGGTCTGAGCTCCCCCTGCCCTCCTCCTCCTCCTTCCCCAGGTGGATCCTGAGACCCATTGTCATGCAGAAAGGTGCTTCCTCTCTTGGTTCTGTGACGACATACTGTCTCCTAACACAAACTACGAGGTCACCTGGTACACATCTTGGAGCCCTTGCCCAGAGTGTGCAGGGGAGGTGGCCGAGTTCCTGGCCAGGCACAGCAACGTGAATCTCACCATCTTCACCGCCCGCCTCTGCTACTTCTGGGATACAGATTACCAGGAGGGGCTCTGCAGCCTGAGTCAGGAAGGGGCCTCCGTGAAGATCATGGGCTACAAAGGTGAGACGTGGGGGGCTGAGGAGAGTGGGTGCGGGAGGGACAGCATGAGGGGCAGGTGGGTCTGCAATGCCGTGGGGCGGGGCAGTGTCCCCGGGAAGCCTGCAGGGATGGGGCCGGCGCCAGCTGCAACTGGCAGCCAGGAGACCTGGCTTGGGAGGGGAGGGCCCAGGGCCGGGAGAGAGGCTTGCTGGGCCCTCACTGCTTTCTCCTTGTTTTTTTCTCAGATTTTGTATCTTGTTGGAAAAACTTTGTGTACAGTGATGATGAGCCATTCAAGCCTTGGAAGGGACTACAAACCAACTTTCGACTTCTGAAAAGAAGGCTACGGGAGATTCTCCAGTGAGGGGTCTCCCTGGGCCTCATGGTCTGTCTCTTCTAGCCTCCTGCTCATGCTGCACGGGCCTCCCCTCCATCCTGCACCAGCTGTGCTTTTGCCTGGTCATCCTGAGCCCCTCCTGGCCTCAGGGCCATTCCATAGTGCCCCCCTGCCTCACCACCTCCTCCCCGCTCTCCCAGGCTCTTCTTGTAGAGGCTCTCCATCCACCTCCCCAGTCCTGTTCCCCCAGCCTGGGTGCCCCTAACTTGACTCTTCCCATCTCCCCAGCATAACCAAATCTTTTTTTTTTTTTTTTTTTTTTGAGACGGAGTTTCACTCTGTCGCCCAGACTAGAGTGCAATGGCTGGATCTCAGCTCACTGCAAACTCTGCTTACTGGGTTCAAGTGATTCTCCTGTCTCAGCTTCTGAGTAGCTGGGATTACAGATGCCTGCCACCACGCCCAGCTAATTTTTTTTTTTTTTTTTTTTTTTTTTTGTATTTTTAGTAGTGACTGGGTTTCACCATGTTGGCCAGGCTGGTCTTGAACTCCTGACCTCAGGTGATCTGCCCATCTCTGTCTCCCAAAGTGCTGGGATTACGGGCGTGAGCCACCCGGCTCGGCCGCACAACCAAATCTTATTAAACTCAATCTAGTCTGGCCCTGGTGACTCACGCCTTTCGGAGGCAGAGGTGGGAGAATCGCTTGAGCCCAGAAGTTTGAGACCAGCCTGGGCCACACGACAAAGCCCCATTTCTACAAAAAAAAATACCAAAAAAAAGCCAGATGTGGTGGCATGCACCTGTAGTTTAAGCTACTTGGGAGGATGAAGTGGGAGGACTGCTTGAGCCGGGGAGGTGGAGGCTGGAGTAAACTGAGATCGCGCCACAGAACTCCAGTTTGAGCAACAGATCAAGACCCTGCCTGAAAATAAATCAATAAATACACTCAACCTAAATGGATATGAATATATGTAAGTTGAAAACCAGTTTTGAGAAACATCCTTTGTAAGTTTCATCCTACGAATTGGGTCATTCATGTCCTACGCAGCTAAAACAGAGGCCAGCAGCCAGGGAGGAAAAGCAGTCAGGCCACACACCATTGCTCCCAAAATGGACTTATCTGCAAGCCTGACTCCTGAAACTGTGCATTGTACCCTGAAACCAGCTTTATCCATAGCTTCTGCCATAAATGGCTGTAAGTCTTGGACTCCTTGCTCCAAACGCAGTGACTCAGCAATGGAACCTCCCAGCTCCCAACACTTCCTAGTGCCCATGGTGGGCTTTCCCACAGGGCAAGAGAACATTTCTCCTTTTTTTTTTTGAAGTGGAGTCTCGCCCTGTCACCCAGGCTGGAGTGCAATGGCGCAGTCTCCGCTCACTGCAACCTCCACCTCTGTTGTTCAAGTGATTCTCCTGTCTCAGCCTCCCGAGTAGCTGGGATTACAGGCGTGCACCACCACACCGGGCTAATTTTTGTATTTTCAGTAAAAACGGGTTTCATCATGTTGCCCATGCCAGGCTTATTTTTATTTTTTTCAGATGAAGTCTTGCTCTGTCACCCAGGCTGGAGTGCAGTGGTGCAACCTGGGCTCACTGCAACCTCTGCCACCCGGGTTCAAACTATTCTCCTGCCTCAGCCTCCCGAGTAGCTGGGATTACATGGGTGTGCCACCACGCCTGGCTAATTTTTGTATTTTTAGTAGAGATGGGGTTTCAGCATCTTGGCTAGGCTGGTCTTGAACTCCTGACCTGGTGATCCACCCGTCTCGGGCACCCAAAGTGCTGGGATTACAGGTGCGAGCCACCTGGCCAGGCTTAGGCTGGTCTTAAACTCCTGACCTCAAGTGATCCGACCTCCTTGGCCTCCCAAATTGCTGGGATTGCTGGTGTGAGCCACAGCGCCTAGCCCATTTCTCCTTTTTATAAAACCTGTTGCTGTCTCTGTTCTCCCAACATGGTGAACACCACCCAGACTGCGTGTATGTCCCAAATTCTTTCTTTGCAAATGAAATGTGAAATTAGAGGCTCTTCTCCACACTTTAAATTTGACTTGTCATTTTCTAGGCAGATGTAAGTTATTAGAGAATGAGATTCTCTATAAAAATGACCCCTTCATGCTGTGGCCTCCACAGAACATGCCCCAGGCCAGGTGCCCACACAGCAGGCATTTATTTCCTCACACATCTGGAGGCTCCAAGTCCAAGTTCGAGGGGTGGGTTGGGTTGTTTGCTCTGAGGCTGCTCCTCCTGGCTGGCAGGGAATCCCTTCTGGCTGTGTCCTCTGTGGCCTTTCCTCTGTGCACCTACCTGCACCTCTGGGGTATCTCTGCCTCCAAATATCATCTTTTTTTTTTTTTTTTTTTTTTGAGACAGAGTTTTACTCTCGTTGCCCAGGCTGGAGTGCAATGGCATAATCTTGGCTCACTGCAACCTCCACCTTCAGGGTTCAAGCGATTCTCCTGTCTCAGCCTCCTGAGTAGCTGGGACTACAGGCATGCGCCACCACGCCCGGCTAATTTTGTAGTTTTAGTAGAGGCGAGGTTTCTCCATGTTGCTCAGGCTGGTCTTGAACTCGTGAGCTCAGGTGATCCACCCTCCTCCACCTCCCAAAGTGCTGGGATTACAGGTATGAGCCACCGTACCCGGCCTTTTTGTTTTGTTTTGTTTTTGTTTTTGTTTTTGTCTTGAGACGGTGTTTTACTCTGTTGCCCAGGCTGGAGTGCAATGGCATGATCACTGCTCACTGCAACCTCCGCCTCCCAGGTTCAAGCAATTCTCTGGCCTCATCCTTCTGAGTAGCGGCGATTACAGGCGCCCAGAACCACTCTCTGCTAATTTCTGTATTTTTTAGTAGAGATGGGGTTTCACCATGTTGGCCAGGCTGGTCTCGAACTCCTGACTGCCCACCTCGGCCTCCCAAAGTGCTGGGATTAAAGGCATGAGCCAGGGCACTTGGCCACCCTTCTCCTTGATGGACCCCCGCCAAGTGAATTTGTGCCCACACTAGAGGTCTCGTTTAAATTAATCATCTTGGCCGGGCGTGGTGGCTCACGCCTGTAATCCTCCCACTTTGGGAGGCTGAGGCTGGCAGATCACTTGAGGTCAGGAGTTGGAAATATGCCTGGTCAACATGGTGAAACCCCGTCTCTACTAAAAATACAAAAAAATTAGCAGGGCGTGGTAGTGGATGCCAGTAATACCAGCTACTCGGGAGGCTGAGGCAGGAGAATCGCTGGAACCCGGGAGGCAGAGGTTGCAGTGAGCTGAGATCGTGCCATTGCACTCCAGCCTGGAAGACACAGTGACGCTGCATCTCAAAAAAAAAAAAATTAATTAATTAGTTAATCATCTGTTGGCTGGGTGCGGTGGCTCACGCCTGTAATCCCAGCACTTTGGGAGGCTGAGGTGGCGGAGTTGGAGGTCAGCCTGGCCAACATGGTGAAAACCCACCTCTACTGAAAGTGCAAAAAGTAGCTGGGCATGGTAGTGGGCACCTGTAATCCCAGCTACTCGGGAGGCTGAGGCTTGAATCACTTGAACCAGGGAGGCAGAGTTTGCAGTGAGCCGACACGGTGCCACTGCACTGCAGCTTGGGCGACAGAGTGAGACTCCATCTCCAAAAAAATTAATTAATTAATTAACTAATCATCTGTTGAAAAGGACCTGTCTCCAAATACAACCACACATTGAGGTAGAGGGGTTAGGGCTTCAGTATATTGATTTTTGGGAGAAACAGGGCAACATGGCAACAAGCCACAGTCACTGTGGGCGGGCCTGAGTGGGGAGTGCAGGGGTTCCTGTCCTGTGTGTCTGTCTCACAGGGGAGTCCTGACCTGACCCTCACAGCCCCTCCACCCAGACCTTCCTGCATGTTCCACCCAGCCCACCCTCCTGCACCCAAGAGCACCCAGCCCTCCCTTCTGCTCATGCCCCTCCCTTCTCAAATCCCTCCCAGCAGTGCAGCTCTGGGCTAGGACACAGCCTAGGGAACGTGACTGAGAAAGAGCCAAGAAAACTTGATCAGTGATCAAGTTGGTGTTTAAGTAAGATTTTCAATAAAAAGTAGAATTGGGTACTACATGGAGGCTTGAGATGCTCAGAGCTTTTCGAGAAAGCAGAACAGAAAGTAGAAGGGCAACCAGGAACCAGAGGTGCCAGAGAACTGGAAGCGCGGGCCCTCCGAGGAGACAGGGAGTGGGCACCTGGGTCTTGGGCCTGTCGACAAAAAGAGTCAAACTCTGTAAAATATTTGAAGAGACGTATTCTGAGCCAAATACGAGTGACCATGGCCCGTAACACAGGGCTCAGGAGGTCCTGAGAATGTGTGTGTGCTCAAGGTGGTGTGGGTGCGGCATGACTCCCCAGACCCCTTAGATAGGAATTTGGTTTTATATATTTTAGAGAAGCATCAGCTATCAATCAAACACATTTAAGAAATACAGAAGCTGAGCGTGGTGGCTCACGCCTGTAATCCCAGCATTCTGGGAGACTGAGGCAGATGGATCATGAGGTCGGGAATTCTAGACCAGCCTGGCCAACATGGTGAAACCCCGTCTCTACTAAAAATACAAAAAATTAGCCAGGTGTGGTGCTGGGCACCTGTAATCACAGCTACTCGGGAGACTGAGGCAGGAGAATCACTTGAACCCAGGAGGCAGAGGTTGCAGTGAGCCAAGATCACGCCACTGCACTCCAGTCTGGGCGACACAGCAAGACTCCGTCTCAAAAAAAAGAAAAGAAATACTTCGGATTGCTCCAGAAAGGTCGGACGGCTCAAAGTGAGGGCAGGAGTGCTGGGGGGCTTCCAGGCTACAGGTAAATTTAAACATTTTCTGGTTGACAATTGGTTGAGTTTGTCTAGAGACCTGGCATCCATAGAAAGGAAACGTTCAGGTTAAGATAAAAGATTGTGGAGATCAAGGTTCTTTTGAAGTCTCATAGTGGCTGCCCTTAGAGACAATAGATGACAAATGTTTCCCATTCAGGCCTTTAAAAGGTGCAATTAGTTCATCTGTTTAGGACCGGGAGGGCCTAGAAGAAAAAGATCCAGCTATGTTAATAGAGATTCTTTACAGATACAAATTTTGCCCCACAAAGGACAACTTTGCAGGGCCATTTCAAGATATGGCAAAGAAACATGTTTTGGGGTAAAATATTTTGTCTTTTTACTTTGTCACATAATGTTGTGCCTGAGTCAGATTGGAAAGTAACTCACAATATATAGGGTTAAATAAAACCCATGTGGGCCGGGCGCAGTGGCTCATGTCTGTAATCCCAGCACTTTGAGAGGCCTAGGTGGGTGGATCACCTGAGGTCAGCAGTTCAAGACCAGCCTGGCCAACATGGTGAAACCCTGTCTCTACTAAAAATACAAAAATTATCCAGGTGTGGTGGCGGGCACCTATAATCCCAGCTACTTGGGAGGCTGAGACAGGAGAATCGCTTGAACCCGGGAGGCGAAGGTTGCAGTGAGCCGAGACCACACCATTGCACTCCAGCCTGGGCAAGAAGAGTGAAACTCGGCCTCCATTAAAATACAATAGGAAAAAAAAAAAAAAAAATAGAACCCCTCTGATGAGGATGTACGGGTTGTAAGGCATGACTCCCCAGACCCCTTAGATAGGATTTTGGGCAAGATTAAATAAAAACAAATCAGAGCTTAGTCCAAAGGCCTATGAACTAAAAATAAAGTCTTTAGCCCCCACCGATCCCCCCCAACTTTGGCCCCCAGTGGCCAGGGGTATCTCAGAAAAACCTTAAAACTGAGTTCCCAGCCATGATGGGAGGGGAGGTCAGGCACGCCTCATTATCACCCCGCCCTTTTGCAGTTTAGACACAACTGACCAGCAGTAATGTTAAAACAGAATCATAAGATGGGCAGAACCAGAACAGACTCTTCATGGCAATCAGATACCAAATCACAACCAGGACCTCAGGCCGTGCCAGGCAAGGGTGAGATCACACACCCCACACTTAAACAGTCAACTCTGTTCTGCCTGCCCCAAGGTTTTTTTTTTTTTTTTTTTTTTGCTCTAGCAGCTAAACAAGCACTGCCTCCAGATAAAGATGAAAACAATCACAGCTCACCCAGCGCCCGGACGCGGAGCAACAGAGCCCCTGCTCCACAGCCCTAATTCCAGGTTTCCCTGGACAAGAGACTGATTTCAGTAACTTTCTCCAGATCGGAAGACCACGGACCACGGACTAGTTCTGAATGGTTTACAGACCTGGCAAATTTTGGTGCCTTCATGTCCTGAAAGGACCTTTTGACATACAGGCTTAATTGTGGTACATTTAAATGTTGTCTCCACCGCAATGTGAGGACGGATTATACGGTTGCTTTTTTTTTTTTTAGATTTTTGTTTGTTTGTTTTTTGTTTTGAGATGGAGTCTCACTCTGTCTCCCAGGCTGGAGGGCAGTGGCGCGATCTCGGCCCACTGCAACCTCTGCCTTCTGGGTTCAACTGATTCTCCTGCCTCAGCCTCCCGAGTAGCTGGGATTTCAGGCACGTGCCACCACACCCGGCTAATTTTTGTAGTTTTAGTAGAGACCAGGTCTCACCATGTTGGCCAGGTTGGTCTCGAACTCCTCACTGTCATGCGTGTCTGTATAGAAAACCACCTAAACAGGCTTTGTGTAAGCAATAACGCCATTTATTCACTTGGGTGCAAGTGGGCTGAGTCTGAAAAGAGAGTCAGCGAAGGGAGATAAGAGAGGGGCAGCTTTATAGGACTTGGGTAGGTGGTGGAAAGTTACAGTCGAAGGTGGTCATCTGTTGTCAGCAGGGGAGGGGGTCACCAGGTGCATGGTGGGAGACCATGAGACCCATTGTCCAGAAGAAGAATGTCATAAGGTCGATTGATCAGTTAGGGTAGGGCAGGAACAAGTCCTAATGGTGGAATGTCTTAAGGTTGGTTAATCAGTTAAGGGAGAAACTGGCTGTTTCACTTCTTTTGTGTTTTTTTGGCTGCTCCAGACTTCTTGGCTGCTGCAGGCCATCTGGATGTATATGTGCAGTTCACAGGGGTCACAATGGCTTAGCTCCGGCTCAGAGGCCTGACACTGACCTCAGATGATCCACCTGCCTCGGCCTCCCAAAATGCTGGGATTACAGGCGTGAGCCACTGTGCCTGCCTGGGATCATATGTTACACGCATGTTTGTTCAATAAGCATGGAGTGCAGCCACCCACATGAATATTCATAGCTCCTCCTATAGCCTGTTGAATATGTATGTTTAGCCAACCCCTTCAGCATAAAGCTCCTGCCCCAACCCCTCCTGCTTCTAAATGTCTGTCTCTGGTGTTTCCCAGAGGCTGCTCTTCCCAGGCTGCGGGATGGCTACCTTGCTGCCTGTCACCCTTAACAAGAAATAAAATCTCCTTTCCAAATTTATACATTGTGGCCAGGCGCGGTGGCTCACACCTGTAATCCCGGCACTTTGGTACGCCAAGGCGGGCGGATCTCCTCAGATCGGGAGTTCGAGATCAGCTGACCAACATGGAGAAACCCTGTCTCTACTAAAAATACAAAAATTAGCCAGGCATAGTGGTGGGCGGCTGTAAGCCTGACCAACATGGAGAAACACTGTCTCTACTAAGAATACAAAAATTAGCCTAGGCGTAGGGGTGGGTGCCTGTAATCGCAGTTACATGGGAGGCTGAGGCAGGAGAATCTTTTGAACCTGGGAGGCAAAGGTTGCGGTGAGCTGAGATTACGCCACTGTACTCCAGCCTGGGTAACAGAGCAAGTCTCCGTCTCAAAACAAACAAACAAACAAAAAAACACAAAAAAACAAAAGCAAACAAAAAAACCAAATGCATCCCTTGTGTAATTTTTAGGTCACCGCGCCATGGGAACACGCTACCAGGGGAAGGGAGCTGTGAGACGCGCAGGGAGGCTCCAGACAGGCTGGCCTGGGACACCAGCCACTGCTCTTCCATGACATGGGGACAAGAGGAGGCGAGAGCTCAGCCCACCAGGGAGGAACTCCGGGCAGGAGATGGGGAAGAAGGAGAAGCAGGAAGGAAAGAGCTCAGTGTGGGGGCGCGCATGGCATCCCGGTGGGACATCTGAGGCCCACACCCACCTGCTGTCCCTCCCTCCCACGGTGGCCTCCGAGGGTGAAGGCCTGGGGAGAGGCAGACACCTGGCCCTTTACTCTCCCTCCCTGTCCCCATGGCCGCTGGGTGGGGGCCGTCTCTGGGATGATCCCCGAGGGCAGGATCCGGGAGTCCCTGCGGAGGCATCAGCCTGTCTGTCTTGATGGTGGAGAGGAGGCTCCAGCTGGGCGGGACCACCAGGGGAGGGGCTTGTGCTCTGCTGGCTCAGCCTGGTGTGGACCCACCTCGCGGGCGCTGGCTGCAATGACTTTCTCTTTCCCTTTGCAATTGCCTTGGGTCCTGCCGCACAGAGCGGCCTGTCTTTATCAGAGGTCCCTCTGCCAGGGGGAGGGCCCCAGAGAAAACCAGAAAGAGGGTGAGAGACTGAGGAAGATAAAGCGTCCCAGGGCCTCCTACACCAGCGCCTGAGCAGGAAGGGGGAGGGGCCATGACTACGAGGCCCTGGGAGGTCACTTTAGGGAGGGCTGTCCTGAAACCTGGAGCCTGGAGCAGAAAGTGAAACCCTGGTGCTCCAGACAAAGATCTTAGTCGGGACTAGCCGGCCAAGGATGAAGCCTCACTTCAGGTACCGCTGCCCGCTCTACCCGCTGGGCCCCTCTGCTGCCCCTTCCTGCCTGGTGGCTCTGCTGGGCGTCAGCCCTGGCCTCCCCCTGCCCCAGCCCCAGCCCTGGGCTCCCTCCCCTCTGGCTCCCCTGCCCCCGCCACTCCCAGCCAGGCTCTTTTTCCTGCTCTGTGGTTGCCCCACTGCTGCTTCTGAATAGGCCGCTTCCCCACCTGCCCCAGCCCAGGTGCCCTGCTGAGACTCTCCCCCGCCACCGAAAGTCATGGCAGGGCTGGTGCTCCCGGCCCTGGGAGGGTGCTCCCTCTGTGTTCTTTCCGCCATTCCTGAACTCTGGAACTGGGAGAATTGAACCAAAGGATGATTAGAGCAATGTGGAATTTTGTTCACAGTGCTTTGATGGATTTTCTGTAACATTTACTTTGCTTAAATAGCAAGTCTTAGGAGAGGGTGTGGGGAGGGAATGGTCTCTGAAGCACAAGATAAATCGTATCTTCCAAGGATGTCTCCACTGTGGGCAGAGGAGGATGCAGATGACCCCAAACACACGCTCCTCCTCCACTATCAGCATTCACTGTTTATAAATGACACGAGTAACATGGAATATAGTGGCCGGGTGCGGTGGCTCACACCTGTCATCCCAGCACTTTGGTAGGCTGAGGTGGGTGGATTGCCTGAGGTCGGGAGTTCGAGACCATCCTGATCAACATGGATAAACCCTGTCTCTACTAAAAATACAAAATTAGCCGGGTGTGGTGGCGGGCGCCTATAATCCAGCTACTCCACAGGCTGAGACAGGAGAATCGCTTGAACCCAGGAGGCGGAGGTTGCAGTGAGCCGAGATCGCCCCATCGCACTCCAGCCTGGGCAACAAGAGCCAAATTTCGTCTCAAAAGAAAAAAAAACAAAAACAAAAAACATGGAATATATGGGAAAAAAACTCAATGATCAGGAGAAATGCTATTATTTTAAAATTTAGTAAGAAGAGAGTCTGGTCCCCAATGGCTCCCTCCTGCAAGGCTGGTGACACAGAGACTGGACAGGGCTGGTCTGGTAAGAGGCCCCAGCCCCATCCGTCCCCAGCTCTGTGGCCTGGGCAGGTTACCCCATCTCTCTGCGCCTCTGGCACCTCCTCTGTAAGATGGGAATGGCCCGTGCGGGCCTAGGGCAGCCTCACATGAGCTCACATCCGCGCAGCACTTAGAAGAGTGGCCTGGGCCTCAGAATTCGGTTCTACCATGATTTAACAATAGTAATATACAGAGGTGAAATGTCAGAAGGAACTGGCTGAAAGGTTAAAATCTATTATTTTGGGGTGAATAGTTTTATTCTCTCTCTCTTTTTTTTTTTTTTTTTTGAGATGGAGTTTCGCTCTTGTAGCCCAGGCTGGAGTGCAGTGGCACGATCTCGGCTCACTACAACCTCCGCCTCCCAGGTTCAAGCGATTCTCCTGCCTCAGCCTCCACAGTGGCTGGGATTACAGGCACCCACTACCACGCTTGGCTAATTTTTATATTTTTAGTAGAGACTGGGTTTCACCATGTTGGTGAGACTGGTCTCAAACTCCTGACCTCAAGTGATGGGCCTACCTCGGCCTCCCAAAGTGCTGGGATTACAGGCATGAGCCATAATGTCCAGCCAAGAACTTTGTTCTCTTTTGCATTTTACTAATGCGTTGGAGAATGGGTGGGAGAAATACTGGGAAGGTGGGGAATGTACTCCTGGAACGACCAGAGCTGGACCCTGAGCTGGAAGAGGTCAGCCTGCCCCTGCTGCCCATGCCAGCATCCCCTTTTCTTGCTCTCTCCCCGGTCTTCCTGCCTGGGAAGGAAGCAAAAATTCTCAGGGCTGTGGAGGGGTTGGGGAGGCCCAGAGCCATGCAGGGGGCTGTGTTTAGTGGACATCAGCCCTGAGGGCTCCCGGGAGCGCTCTCTACATTGGCTGGTTTCTCTCTTGTGTCTTCAGAAACACAGTGGAGCGAATGTATCGAGACACATTCTCCTACAACTTTTATAATAGACCCATCCTTTCTCGTCGGAATACCGTCTGGCTGTGCTACGAAGTGAAAACAAAGGGTCCCTCAAGGCCCCGTTTGGACGCAAAGATCTTTCGAGGCCAGGTACCACCCGGACTTCAATCACTTTGCAGGCAGGAGCTAAGCCAGCTGGGAAAGCAAACCACGCACTGATAAGTGAAGTGCCCGGCGGCGGGCTATCCAGTGTGTCCTTCTCTCCCACACTTTCCAAGTCCGTGGCCCTGACCTTCCTGCTGGACCGTCCTGGGATCGGATCGTGGAGGGGGTTTGCCTTTGCACAAAAGGCCTTGTGTTTTTTTTTTTTTTTTTTTGAGACAGAGTTTCACTCTTGTTGCTCAGGCTGGAGTGCAATGACGCGATCTCGGCTCACAGCAACCTCTGCCTCCTGGGTTCAAGCGATGCTGTCGCCTAAGACTCCCGAGTAGCTGGGATTACAGGTGCCCACCACCACGCCCAGCTAATTTTTTTTTTTTTTGTATTTTTAGTAGAGACAGGATTTTACCATATTCACCAGGCTGGTCTCGAACTTCTGACCTCAGGTGATCCACCTGCCTCGGCCTCCCAAAGTGTTGGGATTACAGGTGTGAGCCACAGCGCCGGCCTAATTTTAATATTTAATTAATCCAATGTGGCTAACATATTACTTCAACATTAATTAACATAAAATTCTTGACAAGATAATGAAGTTTCTTTTTGTCACACTGAGTCTTTGAAATGAGCTGTGTAGGCCACGCTTGGTGGGTGGCTCGCGCCTGTAATCCCAGCACTTTGGGAGGCCGAGGTGGGTGGATCACCTGAGGTTAGATGTTTGAAAACCAGCTTGGCCAACATGGTGAAATCCCGTCTCTACTAAAAATACAAAAAAAAAATTAGCCCGGTGTGGTGGCAGTCGCCTGTAATCCCAGCTACTTGGGAGGCTGAGGCAGGAGAACCGCTTGAACCCATGAGGCAGAGGTTGTAGTGAGCCGAGATTGCATCATTGCACTCCAGCCTGGGCAACAAGAGTGAAACTACGTCTCAAAACAAAAACAAAAAACAAAAAAAGATAAATGAGCGGTGTATGGTGTATTTTTCAGGTGCCCAGGTCTTTCATCAGAGCCCCATTTCAAGTGCTCAGTAGCCCCTTTGGCCAGTGCGCCCCACCACATGGGACAGCGCAGGTCCAGTGGCCTCCCCAGCTGACCGCAGGCAGGGAACAAGGCAGACCCTAGAGGGCCAGGCCACAGCAGGGGCTGAGGATGCCTGGTGAATGGATGCCTGGGAGAATGGATGCCAGAATTCACGCATGAGGCTCTGAACAGGGCTGGGAAAACTTCCAAACGAAGGGAAGCTCATGTCTTGGTGCACTTTGTGATGATGCTTCAACAGCAGGACTGAGATGGGGACATTTACAATAAACAGAAATGTATGGGCTCGAGTTCTGGCCTCTGGGAAGTCCACTGTCAATGCACCAGCAACTTTCCAGGGCCTGCGAGCTGCACAGTCACGTGGGGGTAAAGGTTGTTGCCAGAAGTTCAGGGGATGCTCCAGACAGAGTGGCCTGGGATGTCGAGTCACTGCTGCTCCATGCCACGGGGACAAGAGGAAGCAGTTTAGTCTGACATACTGCCCCCCCAGCTAGAGGGCAAGAGACAGAAAGAGGGGCTGAAGTCGCCCTTGAATAAACACGCCAGTAGCACCCACAAAGGTGCAGCCCCCACAGCCTCATAGCCTCTTCTAGGTGCCACCTCTTAAGGCCATTACAATAGCCATTAACACTGAACGTGAGCTTTGGAGCAGACAATCACTCAAACTAAACAGGGGGGATGGAGGAAAGGAGCTTCAATGGCAAGATCCCCTGGGCTCCTGTCCTGGCCCCTCCTCTCCCTGCCCCACCCCTGCACTCCTCCTGCTCCCCCTCTCAGAGCATCCCCTGCCCCCTGCTCCTCTCCCAGGTGTATTCCCAGCCTGAGCACCACGCAGAAATGTGCTTCCTCTCTTGGTTCTGTGGCAACCAGCTGCCTGCTTACAAGTGTTTCCAGATCACCTGGTTTGTATCCTGGACCCCCTGCCCGGACTGTGTGGCGAAGCTGGCCGAATTCCTGGCTGAGCACCCCAATGTCACCCTGACCATCTCCGCCGCCCGCCTCTACTACTACTGGGAAAGAGATTACCGAAGGGCGCTCTGCAGGCTGAGTCAGGCAGGGGCCCGCGTGAAGATTATGGACGATGAAGGTGAGAGGTGGAGGGGTCAGGGGAGCGTGAGCGGGAGGAACAGCATGAAAGATGGATGGATCTGCAATGCCATGGCTGGGGGTGTCCCAGGGCAGCCTGCAGGGGCGGGGCCAGCACTGACAGCAACTGACAGCCAGGAGACCAGGCCTGGGAGCGCGGGCCCAGGGTCAGGGCAGAGCCTGACTGCTTCCTGCCTCTTCGTCTCAGAATTTGCATACTGCTGGGAAAACTTTGTGTACAGTGAAGGTCAGCCATTCATGCCTTGGTACAAATTCGATGACAATTATGCATTCCTGCACCGCACGCTAAAGGAGATTCTCAGGTGAGGGTCTCCCTCTGGCCTCATCGTCTGTCTCCTCTCGCCTCCTGCTCATCCTCCTGAGGCCTCCCCTGGCCAGGCCCTCCTGCCCTCCGTCCTGCCCCCTGCCTGCCCTCATGGTTACACCCCTCACCCACACTCCTTGTGCTCCTTCCCCTTCTTGCCTCCTCCCTCTTTCCTGGGCCCCTCCTATGAGTGAGAGGCCCCTTCTGCCTCCAGAGCAACCTCCATCCACCTTCGAGGCCGCCCTCCCCACAGCCTGGGATCCCCAACCTGGCTCCTTCCATCTCCCTGGCATAATCGAATTTGTCATAAAACTGGACGTAAGTGGGCATGAATATTCACAAGGCCGACAGCCAGAAGCTTTGAGCAACATCCTTCAAGGCCGACCTGAGTCCCTGAGAAGGAGCAGCCTCTGTGGAAACTTCAGGCTTCGACTGCCATAGAAGATGCCCCCGGGCCGGGTGCCCACAGGGCAGGCATTTATTTTCTCACAGATCTGGAGGCTGCAAGTCCAAGGTGGAGGGGTGGGCGGGGTTGTGTCTTCTGCAGCTGCTCCTCTTGGCTGGCAGGGGGTCCCTTCCAGCCCTGTCCTCTCTGGCCTTTCCTCTGTGCACCTGCACCCCTGGGGTCTCTCTGCCTCTAAATGTCCTCCTCGTTTATGGACCCCAGTCAGACAGGATTAGGGCCCACCCTAAGGGCCATGAGTTAATTTAATCACCACTTTAGTGGACCTGTCTCCAAATACAGTTATCCTGTGAGGAGGTGGGGATGAGGGTTTCAACATATCAATGTGGGGAAGATACAATTTAGTCCATGACAATGGGTCAAGCTTGCGTGGGGCATGCAGGGGTCCCTGTTCTGTGTGTCTGTCTCCCAGGCGAGTCCTGCCCTGACTCTCACAGCCCCTCCCTCCAGACCTTGCTGCACCCTGGGCCCCACCCCATGGCTTCCCCACCCAACAGCACCCAGCCCGGCCTCTGCTCACGCCTGTCCCTTCTCAAATCTGCCCCCAACAGGGATGGAGATGCAGAAAGAGCCAAACAAACACTCAGTGATCAAGGTCCCAATTGAATAAGATTTTTTTTTTTTTTTTGAGACACTGTCTCCCTCTGTCGCCCAGGCTGGAGTGCTATGGTGCGATCTCGGCTCACTGCAATCTCTACCTCCTGGTTCTAGCAATTCTCTTGTCTCAGCCTCCCAAGTACCTGGGATTACAGGCTCATGCCACCACACTGGCTAATTTTTGTATTTTTAGTAGAGACGGGGTTTTGCAATGTTGGCCAGGTGTTGAGTAAGATTTTGCAAAAGAGTAGGCTTGGATAATGGGAGGCTTGAGATGCCAGGAGCTCTCCAGGAAGCACAATAGAAAAAGGCAACCAGAGACCAGAGAGGCCATAGAAAGGGATCTAAGGCCCTCGGGAGAGACGGGAACTGAGCACCTGGGTCTTAGACCGGAGGAGCAAACTGCAAGACAGGGTGGCCGGGGACACCAGCCTCCACCCTTCTGTGACATAGGGACAAGAGCTCAGCCTGCCAGGGAACAACTCTGGGCAGGAGATGTGGAAGGAAGGAGCTCAGTGTGGGGGCACGCATGGCATCCTGGGGGGACATCTGAGGGCACCCCCACCCGCTATTCCTCCCTCCAATGGTGGCCTTTGAATGTGAAGGCAAGGGGGAAGCAGACACCTGCCCCTCACTCTCCCTCCCTACCACATAGCTACCGGGTGGGGGGCGTCCCTGGGATGATTCCTGAGGGCAGGATCCAGGAGTCCCTCTGGAGGTCCTCCCATCCAGGTGAGAAAGCAGCATAAAGTGAGACCTGCACTCAGATGGGCCTGTGAGGTCACTCACAGCGCAGGTGTCTCCTGGAACAAGGGCCCTGGAAGATAAAATAGAACCCAAGCCCAGGACTACCATCAGGGCCAGGACAAGCCTGCCAGGGAGGGTGCACATGAAGCCCCAGATCAGGGACCACTGCCCGCTCTGCCCACGGGGCCTCTGCTGCCCCTTCCTGCCTGGTGGCCCTGCTGGGCCTCAGCCTGGCCTCCCCCTGCCCCTGCCCCAGCGCTAGTCTCTCTCCCCTCTGGTTCCTCTGCTGCTCCCACTACCAGCCAGGCTCTTTGCCCTGCTATGTGGTCGCCCCTTTACAGCTTCTGAATGGGCCATCTCCCCCACCTGCCCCAGCCCAGGCCCCCTGCTGAGACTCTCCCCCGAAAGTCACCCCTTTGCTATTGCTCCCCGCCCTGGGATGGTGCTCCCTCTCTGTGCTTCTCGCCATTCCTGAGCTCAGGAACTGAGAAAATTGAACCAAAGGATGATTGGAGCAATCAGGCATTTTGTTCTCAGCACTTCCATGGAATTTCTGCAAGATTTACTTTGTTTCAACACAAAGTCTTAGGAGAGGATGTGGGGGAGGGAATGGTCTCTGTACCAGAAAATAAGTCACTTCTTCCAAAGATGCCTCCACTGTGAACAGAGGAGGATGCACATGACTCCAGACACAGGCTCCTCCTCCGTGAGCACCATTCACCTTTTAGAATGAAACCTGCAACATGGAGTGTAGGAAAAAATATGATGATCAGGAGAAATGCTCTTATTTTAAAGTTTAGTAAGAAGAGAGTCCGGTTCCCAACAGCTCCCTCCTGCAGGGCCTGTGATGCAGAGGCTGGACAGGGCTGGCCCGGAAAGGGGCCCCAGCTCCATCCATCCCCATCTCTGTGGCCTGGGCAGGTTACCCCGCCTCTCTGTGCCTCTGGCACCTCGTCTGTAAAATAGTGATGGCCCCCTGCAGGCCTCAGGCACATACCATGAGCTCAGACCCTCACAGCACTTAGGAGAGTGGCCTAGGCTGGCCGGGCACAGTGACTCACGCCTGTCATCCCAGCACTTTGGGAGGCTGAGTCGGGCAGATCACAAGGTCAGGAGTTCAAGACCAGCCTGGCCAACATGGTGAAACCCAGTCTCTACTAAAAATACAAAAACTAGGTCTGGCCGCGATGGCTCACACCTGTAATCCCAGCACTTTGGGAGGCAGGCGGGCAGATCACAAGGTCAGGAGTTCAAGACCATCCTGGCTAACATGATGAAACCCCATCTCTACTAAAAATACAAAAAATTAGCCGGGTGTTGTGGCACGTGCCTGCAGTCCCAGCTAGTTGGGAGGCTGAGGCAGGAGAATCGCTTGAAACCAAGAGGCAGAGGTTGCAGTGAGCCGAGATTGTGCCACTGCACTCCAGCCTGGCGACAGACTGAGACCCCGTATAAAAATAAATAAATAAATAAAAGTACAAAAATCAGCCGGACGTGGTGACACAAGCTCGTAATCCCAGCTACTCAGGAGGCTGAGGCAGGAGAATCACTTCAACCCGGGAGGTGCAGGTTGCAGTAAGCTGAGATCGCGCCACTGCACTCCAGCCTGGGCAGCAGAGGGAGACTATGTCCCAAACAAAAACAAAAACAAAAAAAACAAAAAGAGTAGCCTGGGCCTGGGAATTCGGTGTGATACCAACGTAAAAAGAATCATCATCATCGGACAGGTGAAATGTGAGGAAGGAATTGAGCTGAAATGTTCAAGCAATTATTTTAGGGCGAAGAGTTTTATTGTCTGTTGCATTTTCCTAATGGGTTGGGAGACGTGTGGCAGAAAAACTGGGAGGTTGAGGGTGTCCCATTGGTAGGCCCAGAGCTGTGGTTCCAGCTGGGAGAGGTCACCCCGGCCCTTCTGCCCCTGCCAGCATCCCCTCCTCTTTCTCTCTCCCAGTCTTTCTGCCTGGGAAAGCAGCAGACATTCCCAGGGCTGTCCAGTGAGTGGTGTTCAGTGGGCATCAGCTCCGAGGAATCCAGGGGGGTCTCTGCATTGGGGTTTCTCTATTGTGCCTTCAGAAACCCGATGGAGGCAATGTATCCACACATATTCTACTTCCACTTTAAAAACCTACGCAAAGCCTATGGTCGGAACGAAAGCTGGCTGTGCTTCACCATGGAAGTTGTAAAGCACCACTCACCTGTCTCCTGGAAGAGGGGCGTCTTCCGAAACCAGGTAGCACCAAAGTCCTATTTACACCCCAAATAGGAGCTAAGCAGCTAGGAATGCAGAAAACACAATAAGTGACGTGCCTGGCGTGGGCTTTCCTGTGTGTACTTTCCTCTTACATTTCTTTTTTTTTTTTTTTTTTGAGACAGAGTCTCACTCAGTCACCCAGGCTGGAGTGCAATGGCGTGATCTCTGCTCACTGCAACCTCTGCCTCCTGGGTTCAAGCAATTCTTCTGTCTCAGCCTCCTGAGTAGCTGGGATTACAGGTGCCCACCACCACACCCAGCTAATTTTTATTCCATTTTTAGTAGAGACGGGGTTTCACCGTGGTGACCAGGCTGGTTTCGAATTCCTGACCTCAAGTGATCCGCCCCCCTCGGCCTCCCAAAGTGCTAGGATTACAGGCATGAGCCACCACGCCCAACTTCCTCCCACATTTTTTAAGTCCGTGGCCCAGATCTTCCTCCCTAACTTTCCTGGGATCAGATTGTCGAGGGGTTTTGCCTCTTACCAAAAGGCCTTGTTTAGCGCCCAGCGCCCTCACTCTTGACTTTGTTTCCCAAAATCTTGTCATGGAGCTGTGCGTCCGGCAGTCCTCGGGAAACAGCAGCTGTGGGAAGCGGTGGGTCTGGTGTCCAGCACTGTGCCTGGGCCAGTCACTGTGGGCTGGTGGGGCCGCCCCCGCCACTGCCCTGATTCCTCGATGTCAAGGACACATCCTCACAGGGTGGTGAACCCTCGCTCCTCACCCTGCCGCCCCCACAGCAGCCACTGACCTCCCACCCACCCTGTCGTGTCCCACCCAACCCTGCGGCCCCCTCCTCCCAGGCAGGAGATTTTTTCAGAGTGTGTTTGGGGAGGGAGCCGTCTGTGTGCTGGGCAGGCCTGGCCTACAGCAGTGCTGGCCTCGGAAACACCCAGGACTCAGGATGGAAGCGCGAGTGTTCCCAGTCCCCACACGCTAAAAAGGCGACAAGAACTTGTGGAAGAAATTTTAGTGTCTGCATTAGCTCAATTATCTCACATAGGATTTCAACATATACTTAATATAAAATGCCTCATGAGAGAGTTAAAGTTTGTCTATTCTCACAATGAGATTTTGAAATGCGCTGTGTATTTTACACGTGCCAACGTTTCTAATCAGAGCCCCATTTCAAGTGCTCAGTAGCCCCTTTGGCCAACCTTCAACTCCATGGGACAATGTGGGTCCAATGACCTTCCCAGCAGAAGGCAGACAGGGGACAAGGCAGACCCCATAGGACCAGGCCACAGCAGGGGCTGAGGATGCCCGGTTAACGGATGCCTGGGGAACAGGATGCCAGAAATCACACATGACCTATGATGAGACAGGAAAAGACTCAATAAAATAAAGAAGGAAGGGGCCGAGTGCAGTGGCTCACGCCTGTAATCCCAGCACTTAGCGAGGCTGAGGCGGGCGGATCATGAGGTCAGGAGTTTGACACCAGCCTGCCTAACATGGTGAAATCCCATCACTACTAAAACTACAAAAATTAGCCAGGCGTGGGGGTGTGCCCCTGTAGTCCCAGCTACTTGGGTGGCTTAGGCAGGAAAATCGCCTGAACCCAGGAGGCAGAGGTTGCAGTGAGCCGAGATCTTGCCACTGCCCCCCAGCCTGGGTGACAGAGCAAGACTCTGTCACTCAAAAAGATAAAGAGGAACGGCCAGGTGCAGTGGTTCACGCCTGTAATCTCAGCACTTTGGGAGGCCAAGGCGGGGGATCACGAGGTCAGGAGCTTGAAACCATGCTCGCTAACTCGGTGAAACCCCATCTCTACTAAAAATACAAAAAATTAGCCAGGCGTGGTGGCGGGCGCCTGTAGTCCCAGCTACTTGGGAGGCTGAGGCAGGAGAATGGCGTGAACCCCGGAGGCGGAGCTTGCAGTGAGCGGAGATCGCGCCACTGCACTACAGCATGGGTGACAGAGCGAGACTCAGTATCAAAAAAAAAAAAAAAGAAAGAAAAAGAAAAGAAAAAATAAAGAGCAAGGAGAAGGATGGAAGAAGGGAAATTCAATGAGTAAAAAGCCCTGGGGCCTAGTATGTACCCAAAAAAATGAGAAGTAAAGAAAATAAGGCCATGCATGTGGTTTATGCTCATAGTCGCAGAGTTTTGGGAGGGTGAGGCAGGAGGATGGCTTGAGCCCAAGAGTTCGAGATCAGCCTGAGCAACATGGTGAAACCCAGTCTCTACAAAAATTACAAAAAAATTAGGCAGGCGTGGTGGCACGCACCTGCAGTCCCAGCTAATCAGGAGGCTGAGGTGGGAAGATTCCTTGAGCCTGGGAGGTCAAGGCTGCAGTCAGCCCCAGATCGCACCACTGCACCCCAGCCTGGGCAACAGGAGAGACCCTGTCTCAAAAATAAATAAGGAAACGCCCTGGGGCTCCAGGCCCGCCCTCTGCTCCCATCGCCCCACCCCTGCACTCCTCCTGCTCCTAGTCTGAGCTCCCCTGCCCTCCTCCTCCTCCTTCCCCAGGTGGATCCTGAGACCCATTGTCATGCAGAAAGGTGCTTCCTCTCTTGGTTCTGTGACGACATACTGTCTCCTAACACAAACTACGAGGTCACCTGGTACACATCTTGGAGCCCTTGCCCAGAGTGTGCAGGGGAGGTGGCCGAGTTCCTGGCCAGGCACAGCAACGTGAATCTCACCATCTTCACCGCCCGCCTCTACTACTTCTGGGATACAGATTACCAGGAGGGGCTCCGCAGCCTGAGTCAGGAAGGGGCCTCCGTGGAGATCATGGGCTACAAAGGTGAGACGTTGGGGGGCTGAGGAGAGTGGGTGCGGGAGGGACAGCATGAGGGGCAGGTGTGTCTGCAATGCCGTGGGGCGGGGCAGTGTCCCGGGAAGCCTGCAGGGATGGCGCCAGTGTCCACTGCAACTGGCAGTCAGGAGACCTGGGCTTGGAGGGGAGGGCCCAGGGCTGGGAGAGAAGCCTGCTGGGCCCTCACTGCTTTCTCCTTGTTTTTTCTCAGATTTTAAATATTGTTGGGAAAACTTTGTGTACAATGATGATGAGCCATTCAAGCCTTGGAAAGGACTAAAATACAACTTTCTATTCCTGGACAGCAAGCTGCAGGAGATTCTCGAGTGAGGGGTCTCCCCGGGCCTCATGGTCTGTCTCCTCTAGCCTCCTGCTCATGTTGTGCAGGCCTCCCCTCCATCCTGGACCAGCTGTGCTTTTGCCTGGTCATCCTGAGCCCCTCCTGGCCTCAGGGCCATTCCATAGTGCTCCCCTGCCTCACCACCTCCTCTCCGCTCTCCCAGGCTCTTCCTGCAGAGGCCTCTTTCTGCCTCCATGGCTATCCATCCACCCACCAAGACCCTGTTCCCTGAGCCTGCATGCCCCTAACCTGCCTTTTCCCATCTCCCCAGCATAACCTAATATTTTTTTTTTTTTTTTGAGACGGAATTTCGCTCTGTCACCCAGACTGGAGTGCAATGGCTTGATCTTGGCTCACTGCAAACTCTGCCTACCAGGTTCAAGCGATTCTCCTGCCTCCGCCTCCCGAGTAGCTGGAATTACAGACGCCTGCCACCACGCACAGCTAACTTTTTTTTTTTTTGTATTTTTAGTAGTGACTGGGTTTCACCATGTTGGCCAGGCTGGTCTTGAACTCCTGACCTCAGGTGATCCGCCTATCTCAGCCTCCCAAAGTGCTGGGATTACAGGCGTGAGCCACTGGCCCGGCGGCACAACCAAATCTTATTAAACTCACCCTAGGCTGGCCGCGGTGACTCATGCCTATAATCCCCCAGCAATTTGGGAGGCAGAGGTGAGAGAATCGCTTGAGCCCAGGAATTCGAGACCAGCCTGGGCCACATGACAAAGCCCCATCTCTACAAAAAAATTACAAAAAAAAAAAAAACAGGTGTGGTGGCATGCACCTGTAGTTGAAGCTACTTGGAAGGATGAAGTGGGAGGATTGCTTGAGCCGGGGAGGTGGAGGCTGCAGTGAACTGAGATCACGTCACTGAACTCCAGTCTGAGCAACAGATCGAGACCCTGCCTGAAAATAAATCAATAAATAAACTCAACCGAAATGGGTATGAAAGTTGAAATGGGTATGTAAGTTGAAAACCAGAAGTTTTGAGAAACATCCTTTGTTAACTTTCATCCTACAAATTGGGTCATTCATGTCCTACGCAGCTAAAACAGAGCCCAGGAGCCAGGGAGGAAAAGCAGTCAGGCCACACACCATTGCTCCCAAAATGGACTTCTCTGCAAGCCTGACTCCTGAAACTGTGCATTGTACCCTGAAACCAGCTTTATCCATAGCTTCTGCAATAAATGGCTGTAAGTCTTGGACTCCTTGCTATAATCGCAGCTATTCAGCAATGGAACCTCCCAGTTCCCAACCCTTCCTAGTGCCCATGGGCTTTCCCATAGGACAAGAGAACATTTCTCCTTTTCTTTTTTTTTTTCTTTGAAATGGAGTCTCGCCCTGTCACCCAGGCTGGAGTGCAATGGTGCGGTCTCGGCTCACTGCAACCTCTGCCTCCCTTGTTCAAGTGATTCTCCTGTCTCAGCCTCCCGAGTAGCTGGGATTACAGGCGTCCACCACCAAACCAGGCTAATTTTTGTATTTTTCATAAAAACGGGTTTCATCATGTTTCCCAGGCTGGTCTTATTTTTATTTTATTTTTTGAGATGGAGTCTTGCTCTGTTGCCCAGGCTGGGGTGCAGTGGTGCAATCTGGGTTCACTGCAGCCTCTGCCGCCTGAGTTCAAGCTATTTTCCTACCTAAGCCTCCCAAGTAGCTGGGATTACATGCGCGTGCCACCACGCCTAGCTAATTTTTGTGTTTTTAGTAGAGACGGGGTTTCAACATCTTGACCAGGCTGGTCTTGAACTCCTGACCTCGTGATCCACCCGTCTCGGCCTCCCAAAGTGCTGGGATTACAGGCGTGAGCCACCTGGCCAGGCTTAGGCTGGTCTTAAACTCCTGACCTCAAGTGATCCAACCTCCTTGGCCTCCCAAATTGCTGGGATTGCTGGTGTGAGCCACAGCGCCTAGCCCATTTCTCCTTTTAATAGGACCTGTTGCTGTCTCTGTTCTCCCAACATGGTGAACACCACCCGGACTGCGTGTATGTCCCAAATTACAATTCTTTCTTTGCAAATGAAATGTGAAATTTAGAGGCCCTTCTCCACACTTTAAATTTGACTTGACATTTTCTAGGCAGATATAAGTTATTAGAGAATGAGATTCTCTATAAAAATGATCCCTTCATGCTGTGGCCTCCACAGAAGATGCCCTGGGCCAGGTGCCCACATGAATAATGCGGGCCACAGGCAGGCATTTATTTTCTCACAGATATGGAGGCTACAAGTCCAAGGTGGAGGGGTCGGCGGGGTTGTTTGCTCTGAGGCCGCTCCTCCTGGATGGCAGGGATCCCTTCTGGCTGTGTCCTCTGTGGCCTTTCCTCTATGAACCTGTACTGTACCTCTGGGGTCTCTCTGCTTCCAAATATCTTTTTTTTTTTTTTCAGACAGTTTTGCTCTTGTTTTCTAGGCTGGAGTGCAATGGCACAATCTCAGCTCACTGCAACCTCTGCCTTCCGAGTTCAAGCGATTCTCGTGCCTCAGCCTCCTGAGTAGCTGGGACTACAGGCGTGTGCCACCACGCCTGGCTAATTTTGTAGTTTTAGTAGAGACGGGGTTTCTCCATGTTGCTCAGGCTGGTCTTGAACTCATGAGCTCAGGCGATCCACTCTCCTCAGCCTCCCAAAGTGCTGGGATTACAGATATAAGCCACCATACACAACTTTTTTTTTTTTTTGAGATGGAGTTTCACTCTGTTGCCCAGGCTGGAGTGCTAAATAGCAGAATCACTGCTCACTGCAACCTCTGCCTGCTGGGTTCAAGCAATTCTCCCACCTCAGCCTCCTGAGTAGCTGGGATTACAGATGCCCAGAACCAATCTCTGCTAATTTTTCTATTTTTTAGTAGAGATGGGGTTTCACTGAGGAAGGAGACCACCTCTCTCATTGTCTCCTATTTCAGAAGGAAGCAAAAAGTTAGAAAGATGCAGAAGTAAGATCAATGGCCAGACTGTTTGGCGCTGCTACCTGGGCCTGGTAGTTAAAGATCAACTCCTGACCTGACCGCTTGTTTTATCTAAAGATTCCAGACATTGTATGAGGAAGCATTGTGAAACTTTCTGGTCTGTTCTGCTAGCCCCCACCACTGATGCATGTAGCCCCCCAGTCACGTAGCCCACGCTTGCACAATCTATCACGACCCTTTCACGTGGACCCCTTAGAATTGTAAGCCCTTAAAAGGGCCAGGGACTTCTTCAGGGAGCTCCAATCTTCAGATGCAAGTCTGTCAACGCTCCCAGCTGATTAAAGCCTCTTCCTTCCTAAAACTGGTGTCTGAGAGGTTTTGTCTGCAACCGTTCCTGCTACATCACCATGTACATTCCAGGCGAGGCTGGTCTCGAATTCCTGACGCCCACCTCTGCCTCCTAAAGTGCTGGGATTAAAGGCATGAGCCATGGCACCTGGTCGACCTTCTCCTTTATGGACCCCAGACAAATTAATTTGTGCCCACACTAGAGGTCTCATTTAAATTAATCATCTTGGTCGGGCGTGGTGGCTCACGCCTGTAATCCTAGCACTTTGGGAGGCTAAGGCAGGCAGATCACTTGAGGTCAGTGTCACACGTGTCCATGTGAAGAGACCACCAACAGGTTTTGTGTGAGCAACAAGGCTGTTTATTTCACCTGGGTGCAGGTGGGCTGAACCAGAAAAAGGAGTCAGCAAAGGGTGGTGGGATTATCATTAGTTCTTACAGGTTTGGGATAAACCTATCCCAAACCTATAAGTGTACATTCTTAAAGGCATACAAAGTACATTCTTAAGTGTGGGGGAGAATATTACAAAGTACCTTCTTAAGGGCAGGGGAGACTATATGGTATCAGTTGGGGTGGGGCAGGAACAAATCACAATGGTGGAATGTCATCAGTTAAGGCTATTTTCGCTTTTTTTTGTGGATCTTCAGTTGTTTCAGGCCATCTGGATGTATACATGCAGGTCACAGGGGATATGATGGCTTAGCTTGGGCTCAGAGGCCAGACATTCCTGTCTTCTTATATGAATAAGAAAAAACAAAATAGTGGTGAAGTGTTGGGGTGGCGAAAATTTTGGGGGGTGGTATGGAGAGATAATGGGCGATGTTTCTCATGGCTGCTTCAAGCGGGATTAGGGGCAGCGTGGGAACCTGTGGTGGGAGAGATTAAGCTGAAGAAAGATTTTGGGGTAAGGTGATATTTTGGAGTTGTTAGAAGGAGCATTTGTCGTATAGAATTATTGGTGATGGCCTGGATGCGGTTTTGTATGAATTGAGAAACTAAACGGAAGACACAAGGTCTGAATAAAAGAAGGAGAAAAATAGGTTGGTTTTTTTTTTTTTTTTTTTTTTTTGAGACAGAGTCTCGCTCTGTTGCCCAGGCTGGAGTGCAGTGGCACGATCTCGGCTCACTGCAACCTCTGCCTCCCTGGTTCAGACGATTCTCCTGCCTCAGCTTCCTGAGTAGCTGGGACTACAGGTGCACGCCACCACGCCCGACTAATTTTTTTGTATTTTTAGTAGAGAAGGGGGTTTCACCATGTTAGCCAGATGGTCTCAATCTCATGACCTCGTGATCCGTCCACCTCAGCCTCCCAAAGTGCTGGGATTACAGGCATGAGCCACCACACCCAGCCAGAAAAATAGGTATTAAAGGACTAAGAATTGGGAGTACCCAGAACATCTAATTAGACAGTGTCCAAGGGGGTTCAACATAATTATTTGCTTGGTTGGTGAGTTTTTGGCCTCTATCCTTGAATTTTTTTATGTTGTCATATACCTGTCCAGATTGATTTAGGTAAAAACAACACTCTTCGTTTAAAAATATACAGAGTCCTCTTTTTTTTAGCAGTGAGTAAGTCGATGCCTCGGCAATTTTGGAGGAAAGAGAAATGCAAAGCCAGCAATTGTTCATTTAAGAAGGATTAGAAATGGCTAAGAGAGAGTTTGATAGTGTGGTGGAGATAGCTGGGGAGAGGTAGAGGGTAGCATAAGAACGGAACCAGAATAAGAGTGAGTATAAAAGTAAAGAATAGGACTTCATCAGGGTGAAAGTACTGGAGGGTACCTTGCCACTGAAGATCTTCTATCGACTTCAAGAGCGACTTAAGGGTGGTGATTTGAAGTAAAACCAGGAGCCTCCAAATACCAAGAGCCTGAGAACCTTCTTGGGTGATTTGACTAATAAAGGCCGGTGCGTTATCAGACTGTATAGAGGTGGGAAGGACAAACCCAGGAATTCTGTCTAAAAGAAAGGAAGAAATGATCACGGTGGACTTCTCAGACCCTGTGGGAAAGGCCTCTACCCATCCAGTGAAAGTGTCTACACAGACCAAGAGGTATTTTAGTTTCCTGACTCAGGGCATGTGAGTAGTCAATTTGCCAGTCCTGGGCAGGGCCAAATCCCAGAGCTTGATGTGTAGGGAAGGGAGGGGGCCTGAACAATCCCTGAGGAGTAATAGAATAGCAGATGGAACACTGAGAAGTGATTTCCTTGAGGATAGATTTCCACAATGGAAAGGAAATGAGAGGTTCTAAGAGGCAGGCTAGTGGCATGTAACCTACATGGAAGAGGTTATGAAAGGACGACAGAATAGACTGGGCCTGTGAGGCTGGAAGGAGATATTTTTCTTGGTCCAAGAACCATTTGCCTTGTGTGGGAAGAGATTGATAGGTGGAAGTTTCGGTGGGGGAGTAGGTGGGAGTGACTGATGAGAAGGAGAAAAACCGGCCATGAGGGACAGAAGTTGGAATGCTAGCTGCTTCTTTAGCATTGCCCTGAGCGATGGGATCCGATGCCTTTTGATGGCCCTTGCAGTGAATGACTCCAGCTTCCTTTGGAAGTAAAGCAGCTTTAAGAAGACTTTTTATTAAGGAGGCATTGATGATGGAGGACCCTTGCGTAGTGAGGAAACCTCTTTCTGCCCATATAACAGCATGGTGGTACAGGATATGGAAGGCATATTTAGAGTCAGTATAAATATTGATGTGTAGTCCCTTTGCAAGAGTGAGGGCCTGAGTTAAGGCAATGAGTTTGGCTTGCTGAGAAGTAGTGGAGTGGGGCAGAGTGGTAGCCTCAAGGATAAATATGGAAGATACTATAGCATAGCCTGCCTTTGCTGGTGAGTGGCAATTAGGCCTGATGGAACTGCCATCAATAAACCAAGTGTGATCAGGGTGAGGAACAGGAAAGAAGGAAATATGGGGAAATGGAGTGAATGCCAGGTGTATCAGAGAGATACAGTCATGGGTGTCAAGTGTGGTATCAGGAATAATGTGGGAGGCCAGATTGAAGTCTGGGCCAGGAACAATGGTAATTTTGGGAGACTCAACAAAGAGTGAGTATAGCTGAAGGAGCCGGAGAGCAGAAAGTATATGCATCAGGTGTGAGGAAGAAAATAGATTTTGGAAGTTATAAGAACTGTAGAGAGTGAGTTGAGCACAGTTTGTGATTTCAAGGGCCTCTAAAAGTATTAAGGCAGTGGCAGCTGCTGCACAGAGACATGATGGCCAGCCTAAAACAGTAAGGTCAAGTTGTTTGGACAAAAAGGCTACAGGGCACAGTAGCCTTGTGTAGGAATCCTGGTCCTTGTGTAAAAATTCCGACTGCACAGCCCTGTACTTTGGCTGTGTGTAATGAAAAGGGTTGGGATGAGTCAGGGAGAGCTAGTGTGGGAGCAGTCTCTAAAGCTGTCTTCAAGGAACGGAAAGAGGAGTAGGGAAAGGATTTAGGATCTATGGGGTCAGCTAGGTTTCCCTTTATGAGTTTACATTAGGTTTTGTTAGTACGGCAAAACCAGGTATCCAAAGATGAAAGTATCCAACCATGCCCAGGAAGGAAAGAAGTTGTTTTTTTGTAGAAGGGGTTGGAGTTTGAGAGATTAGCCAGACATGATTGGCAGGGAGAACATGCATGTTTTCATGAAGAATTATGCTGAGGTAGGTAACGGATGGGGAAGAAATTTGAGCTTTGGAGGGGGGATACCTGATATCCTCTGGAGAATAAATGTTGAAGGAGCAGGAGGGTATCTTACTGAGAAGACTCAAAGGAGGGACTACAAAGTAAAAGGTCATCCATGTATTGAATAAGGTGGGAAGCAGAGGGGTGGAAAGAAAGTAAATCACGAGAAAGGGCTTGGCTGAAGTAATGAGGGCTGTCCCTGAAGCCTTGTGGCACTATAGCCCAGGTAAGCTGCTGGGACTGACGTGTGTCAGGGTCAGTCCAGGTAAAAGCAAAGAGAGGCTGGGATGAAGGGTGCAAAGGAATAGTAAAGAAACCATGTTTGAGATCCAGGACAGAATAATGGGTTGTGGAGGGAGGTATTGAGGATAGGAGAGTATATGGATTTGGCACCATAGGGTGGATAGGCAAGACAATGTGGTTGATAAGGCACAGATCCTGAACTAACCTATAAGGCTTGTCCAGTTTTTGCACAGGTAAAAGGGGGGAATTGTAAGGAGAGTTTATAGGCTTTAAAAGGCCATGCTGTAACGGGTGAGTGATAACAGGCTTTAATCCTTTTAAAGTGTGCTGTGGGATAGGATATTGGCATTGAGCAGGGTAAGGGTGATTAGGTTTTAATGGGATGGTAAGGGGTGCATGATCAGTCACTAAGGAGGGAGTAGAGGTGTCCCATACTTGTGGATTAAGGTAGGAAGACACAAGGGGAGGACGTGAAGGAGGCTCTGAACTGGGGAAAAGGGCGGCAATGAGGTGTGGCTGTAGCCCAGGAGTAGTCAGGGAAGAAGAAAATTTGGTTAAAGTGTCCTGACCTAATAAGGGAGCTGGGCAGGTGGGGATAAATAAAAAAAGAGTGCATAAAAGAATGTTGTCCAAGTTGGCGCCAGAGTTGGGGAGTTAAGAATGTTGTCCCAGTTGGCGCCAGAGTTGGGGAGTTTTAAGAGGTTTAGAAGCCTGGCTGTCAATACCCACAACAGTTATGGAGGCAAGGGAAACAGGCCTTTGAAAAGAAGGTAATGTGGAGTGGGTAGCCTCCGTATTGATCAAGAAGGGGACAGACTTACCCTCCACTGTAAGAGTTACTCAAAGCGTCCGTGATGGTCCAGGAGGCTTCTGAGGCAATCGGACAGCGTCAGTCTTCAGCCACTAAGCCGAGAAGATCCGGGAAGGAGTCAGTCAGAGAACCTTGAGCCAGAGTTCGAGGGGCTCTGGGACTGTCTGCTGGGCGAGTTGGACAGTCCGATTTCCAGTGGGGTCCTGCACAGGTGGGGCATGGCTTAGGAGGAATCCTGGGCTGTGGGCATTCCTTGCCCCAGTGGCCAGATTTCTGGCACTTGAAGCAAGATCCTGGGGAAGGCAGTCCTGGAGGAATGCCTGACCCTTGCAGTTTAGGCGTTCTGAAGTTCTTGTGTGCTGGAGATGTGGCTGGGGTTTCTCTCACAGAAGAGGCAAGTAATCGCAACTCTTCTCTATTATTGTACACCTTGAAGGTGAGGTTAATTAAGTCCTGTTGTGGGGTTGAGGGCCAGAATCCAATTTTTGGAGCTTTTTCTAATGTCAGGAGCGGATTGGGTAATAAAATGCATATTGAGAATATGACGGCCTTCTGGCCCCTCTGGGTCTAGGGCGGTAAAGCATCTAAGGGTTGTTGCCAAACGGGCCATGGACTGAGCGGGGTTTTCATATTTGATGAAAAAGAGCCTAAACACTAACTGATTTGGGAGAGGTTGGGTAAAGAAAAAGGAGCATTAACCTTGGCTATGCCTTCAGCTCCAGCCACCTCTCTAAGAGGAAACTGTTGGGCAGGTGGGGGAGGGCTAGACGCAGAACAAAACTGTAAGCCAGACCCGGTGTGAGGAGGGGAAGTGATAGAAGGATTATAGGGTGGGGGAGCAGAGGCTGGCGAAGAGTTGGGACCTGGCTCAGCCTGGCGAGGAGCAGCCTGAGGAGAAGAGGAGAGGTCAGATGAGTCTGTGGAAAAGGAGGATTCAAAGGACTCAGAGCTTGGGGTGGAGACTGAAGGAACAGACAGGAGAGAAAGAAGAAAGTTTTGGGATGAGTCTCATCAGGAGCAGAGATTAGGAAGGGACTGAAGTGTAAAAGAATGCCTGGACATCAGATACCTCAGACCATTTGTCCATTTTATGACAAGAATTATCTAGATCTTGTGGGATGGAGAAATTGAAAGTGCCATTTTCTGGCTATTTGGAATCATTGTCGAGTTTGTACTGGGGCCAAGCGGTGTTGCAGAAGAAAATAAGACGCTTAGGTTTCAGTTCAGGTCTGAGTTGAAGAGGTTTTAAGTCTTTGAGAACACAGGCTAAGGGAGAAGAAGGAGGAATGGAGGGTGGAAGGTTGCCCATAGTGAAGGAGGCAAGCCCAGAGAACAGAGAGGGTAGAGACACGGAGAAGAGGGGGTAGTGAGCAGCCCTGGGCTGCAATGTGGGTGAGCAGCCAAAGCAGGCATCCCCACAATTGACTGACCACCAAGGGAATGTGGGTGAATAATCAGGCAGGCGTCCCCGTGGAGATCAGACACCAATGGAGTGTGGGTGAATAATCAGGCAGGCGTCCCCGCGGTGATTAAACACCAAGGAAAGGCTGTCTTCCCGAGTCCGTGACTGGCGCCGGAGTTTTGGGTCCATGGATAAAATGTGTCTCCTTGTCTCTACTAGAGAAGAAAAAGAACTGGAATTGGAAGGACAGGAAGATTGAAGGGTAGCGAGAGAGGAAGGCTGGAGGGTAGTGAGAGAGGCTGGAGAAGAGCGAAAAGACCACTTACCTGATTTGAAATTGGTGAGATGTTCCTTTGGCTGGTTGGTCTGAGGACCCGAGTTGTAGGTGGATCTCCTCACCCAGTGAAGGTGAGGACAGGGGACCGGTCTCCCGAAGGAGTCCTCCCGTCCCGAGTTTTGGCACCAAACGTCACGCACGTCTGTGTGAAGAGACCACCAACAGGCTTTGTGTGAGCAACAAGGCTGTTTATTTCATCTGGGTGTGGGCGGGCTGAGTCCGAAAAAGGACTCAGCAAATGGTGGTGGGATCATCATTAGTTCTTATAGGTTTGGGATAGGCGTACAAAGTACAGTCTCAAGAGTGGGGACAATATTACAAAGTACATTCTCAAGACTGGGGAGAATATTACAAAGTACCTTCTTAAGGGCGGGGGAGAATATATCATATCAGTTAGGGTGGGGCAGGAAAAAATCACAATGGTGGAATGTCATCAGTTAAGGTTATTTTCACTTATTTTGTGGATCTTCAGTTGCTTCAGGCCAGGTGGATGTATATGTGCAGGTCACAGGGGATATGATGGCTTAGCTTCAGCTCAGAGGCCTGACAGTCAGGAGTTCAAAACAAGCCTGGTCAACATGGTGAAACCCCGTCTCTACTAAAAATACAAAAAAATTAGCCAGGCGTGGTAGTGGATGCCTGTAATCTCAGCTACTTGGGAGGCTGAGGCAGGAGAATCGCTGGACCTTGGGAAGCAGAGGTTGCAGTGAGCCGAGATCATGCCATTGCACTCCAACCTGGAAGACAGAGTGAGACTGCATCTCAAAATAAAAATAAAAATAAATTAATCATCTGTTGGCTGGGTGTGGTGGCTCACACCTGTAATCTCAGCACTTTGGGAGGCCAAGGTAGGCGGATCACCTGAGGTCAGGAATTCAAGACCAGCCTGGCCAACATGGCAAAACCCCGTCTCTACTAAAAATACAAAAAGTAGCTGGGCATGGTGGCGGGCACATGTAATCCCAGCTACTCGGGAGGCTGAGGCTTGAATCGCTTGAACCAGGGAGGTAGAGGTTGCAGTGAGCCGAGATGGTGCCACTGCACTCCAGCTTGGGCAACGGAGTGAGACTCCGTCTCTAAAAAAATTAATTAATGAATTAATTAATCATCTGTTGAAAAGGACCTGTCTCCAAATACAACCACACATTGAGGTAGAGGGGTTAGGGCTTCAATATATTGATTTTTGGGAGAAACAGGGCAACATGGCAACAAGCCACAGTCACTGTGGGCGGGCCTGAGTGGGGAGTGCAGGGGTTCCTGTCCTGTGTGTCTGTCTCACAGGGGAGTCCCGACCTGACCCTCACAGCCCCTCCACCCAGACCTTCCTGCATGTTCCACCCAGCCCACCCTCCTGCACCCAAGAGCACCCAGCCCTCCCTCCTGCTCATGCCCCTCCCTTCTCAAATCCCTCCCAGCAGTGCAGCTCTGGGCTAGGACACAGCCTAGGGAACGTGACTGAGAAAGAGCCAAGAAAACTTGATCAGTGATCAAGTTGGTGTTTAAGTAAGATTTTCAATAAAAAGTAGAATTGGGTACTACATGGAGGCCTGAGATGTTCAGAGCTTTTTGAGAAAGCAGAACAGAAAGTAGAAGGGCAACCAGGAACCAGAGGTGCCAGAGAACCGGAAGCGCGGGCCCTCCGAGGAGACAGGGAGTGGGCACCTGGGTCTTGGGCCTGTCGACAAACAGAGTCAAACTCTGTAAAATATTTGAAGAGACGTATTCTGAGCCAAATACGAGTGACCATGGCCCGTAACACAGGGCTCAGGAGGTCCTGATAACATGTGCCCAAGGTGGTGGGGGTGCAACTTGGTTTTATATATTTTAGAGAGGCAAGAGCTATCAATCAAATACATTTGAGAAATACAGGAGCTGGGTACAGTGGCTCATGCCTGTAATCCCAGTGCTTTGGGAGGCTGAGGTGGGTGGATCATGAGGTCAGGAGTTCGAGACCAGCCTGGCCAACACAGTGAAACCCTGTCTCTACTAAAAATACAAAAAATTAGCCGGTGTGATGATGTGCACCTGTAATCCCAGCTACTCAGGAGGCTGAGGCAGGAGAATCACGTGATCCTGGGAGACGGAGGTTGCAGTGAGCCGAGATCACGCAAGGGCACTCCAGCCAGGGCGACGGTGTAAGACTCCATCTCAAAAAAAAAAGAAAGAAATACATTGGTGGCTGGACACAGCAGCTCACGCCTGTAATCATAGCACTTTGGGAGGCCGAGCCAGGTGGATCACGTGGGGTCAAGAGTTTGAGACCAGCCTGGCCAACATGGCAAAACCCTGTCTCCACTGAAAATACAAAAATTAGCTGAGTGTGGTGGTGGGCGCCTATAACCCCAGCTACTTGGGAGACTGAGGCAGGACAATTGCGTGAACCCAGGAGGCAGAGGTTGCAGTGAGCCAAGAGCATGCAACTGCATTCCAGCCTTGGAGACAGAGCAAGACTCTGTATCAAAAGAAAAGAAAAGAAATACATTGGTTTGGTTCAGAAAGGTCGGATGACTCAAAGTAAGGGGAGGGGGTTTGGGGGGCTTCCAGGGTACAGGTAAATTTAAATATTTTGTGGGCCAGGCACAGTGGCTCACACCTGTAGTTGCAGCACTTTCGGAGGCTGAGGCAGGCGGATCACGAGGTCAGGAGATAGAGACCATCCTGACTAACACGGTGAAACCCCATCTCTACTAAAAACACAAAAAATTAGCTGGGCGTGGTGGCGGTCGCCTGTAAGCCCAGCTGCTCGGGAGGCTGAGGCAGGAGAATGGCGTGAACCCAGAAGGCAGAGCTTGCAGCGAGCCGAGATCGCACCACTGCAGTCCAGACTGGGTGACAGAGCAAGACTCCATCTCAAAAACAAACAAACAAAAAACATTTTCTGGTTGACGATTGGTTGAGTTTGTCTAGAGACCTGGCATCCATAGAAAGGAAACGTTCAGGTTAATATAAAAGATTGTGGAGACCAAGGTTCTTTCGAAGTCTCATAGTGGCTGCCCTTAGAGACAATAGATGACAAATGTTTCCCATTCAGGTCTTTAAAAGGTGCAATTAGTTAATATGTTTAGGACTGGGAAGGTCTGGAAGAAAAAGATCCAGCTATATTAATAGAGATTCTTTACAGATGCAAATTTTCCCCCACAAAGGACAACTTTGCAGGGCCATTTCAAGATATGTCAAAGAAACATGATTTGGGGTAAAATGTTTTGTCTTCTTTGTCACGTAATTTTGTGCCTGAGTCAGACTGGAAAATATCTCACAATATATAGGGTTAAATAAAACCCATCTGGGCCGGGTGCAGTGGCTCATGTCTGTAATCCCAGCACTTTGGGAGGCCTAGGTGCGTGGATCACCTGAGGTCAGGAGTTCGAGACCGGCCTGGCCAACATGGTGAAACCCCATCTCTACTAAAAATACAAAAATTAGCTGGGCGTGGTGGCGGGTGCCTGTAATCTCAGCTACTTGGGAGGCTGAGGAAGGAGAATCGCTTGAACCAGTGAGGCAGAGGTTGCAGTGAGCCAAGACTGCACCATTGTACTCTAGGCTGGGCAAGAAGAGTGAAACTCAGTCTTAATTAAAATAAAATGAAATAAAATAAAATAAAAATAGAAGCCATCTGATGAGGATATATGCTTGGTAGGGCATGACTCCCCAGACCTCTTAGATAGTGTCACACACGTCCGTGTGAAGAGAGTCCACAGTAGGCTTTGTATGAGCAACAAAGTTATTTATTTCACTTGGGTGCAAGTGGGCTGAGTCCGGAAAGAGAGTCAGCAAAGGGAGATAGGGGTGGGGCAGTTTTATAGGATGTTGGTGGGCAGTGGAAAATTACAGTCAAAGGGGGTTTTTCTCTTGTGGGCAGGGGCAGGGCTTACAAGGTGCTTGGTGGGGGAACTTCTGAGACTCATTGTCCAGGAGAAATAACTTCACAAGGTAATGTCATCAGTTAAGGCAGGAACCGGCAATTTTTACTTCTTTTGTGGTTTTTCAGTTGCCTCAGGCCATCTGGATGTATTTGTGCAGGCTTGGGCTCAGAGGCCTGACATTCCTGTCTTCTTATATTAATAAGAAAAATAAAACAAAATAGCGGTGAAGTGTTGGGGCAGTGAAAGTTTTTGGGGGTGGTATGGAGAGATAATGGGTGATGTTTCTCAGGGCTGGTTTGAGTGGGATTAGGGGCATCATGGGAGAGATTAAACTGAAGAAAGATTTTGGGGTAAAGGGTGATAAACCAAGTGTGATCAGGGTGAGGAACAGGAAAGAAGGAAATATGAGGAAATGGAGTGAATGCCAGGTGGATCAGAGAGATACAGTCATGGGGGTCAGATGTGGTATCAGGAATAATGTGGGAGGCCGGATTTAAGTCTGGGCCAGGAACAATGATAATTGTGGGAGACTCAACAAAGAGTGAGAACAACTGAAGGAGCTGGAGGTCAGAAAGTATATGTGTCAAGTGTGAAGAGAAAAATAGATTTTGAAATTTATGGGAACTGTAGAGAGTAAGTGGAGCATGAGCATAGCTTTTGATTTTGAAGGCCTCTAAAAGTATAAAGCAGCGGCAGCCACTGCACAGAGACATGTGGGCTAGCCCAGAACAGTAAGGTCGAGTTGTTTGGACAGAAAGGCTACAGGGTGCTGTCCCGGCTCTTGTGTAAATTCCGACCGCACAGTCTTGTACTTCGGCTGTGTGTAATGGAAAGGGTTGGGTTGAGTTAAGAAGCGCTAGTGTGGGAGCAGCTTCTAGGGCTGTTTTTAAGGCATGGAAAGAGGAGTGGGGAAGAATTTAGGATCTATGGGGTCACCTAGGTTTCCTTTTGTGAGTTTATGTAATGGTTTAGCCAGGATGGCAAAACCAGGTATCCAAAGGCAAAAGTACTTAACCATGCGTAGGAAGGAAAGGAGTTGTTGCTTTGTAGAAGGGGCTAGGGTTTGGGAGATTTGCCAGACACAATCAGCAGGGAGATCACGCGTGTTTTCATGAAGAATTACAGTGAGGTAGGTAACGGATGGAGACAAAATTTGAGCTTTGGAGGGGGATACCCGATATCCTTTGGAGAATAAATGTTAAAGGAGCAGGAGGGTGTCTTGTTGAGAAGATTCAAAGGAGGGGCTATAAAGTAGAAGATCATCAAAATATTGAATAATGTGAGAAGTAGATGGACGGAAAGAAAGTAAATCATGAGAAAGAACCTGGCTGAAGTAATGAGGGCTGTCCCTGAAGTCTTGTGGCAGGACAGCCCAGGTAAGCTGCTGGGACTGATGGTGTCAAGGTCAGTCCAGGTAAAAGCAAAGAGAGGCTGGTATGAGGGGTGCAGGGGAACAGTGAAAAAAGCATCTTTAAGATCAAGAACGGAATAGTGAGTTGTGGAGGAAGGTATTGAGGACAAAGAGTGTACGGGTTGGGCACCACCGGGTGGATAGGCAAAACAATTTGGTTGATAAGGCACAGATCCTGAACTAACCTGTAATACTTGTCCAGTTTTTGGACAGGTAGGACAGGAGAGTTGTAAGGAGAGTTTGTAGGCTTTAAAAAGCCATATTGTAACAGGCTGGTGATAAGAGGCTTTAACCTTTTTAAAGCCTGCTGTGGGTTGGGATATTGGCATTGAGCAGGATAAGAGTGATAGGGGTGGGACAGTTTTATAGGATTTGGGTGAGTAGTGGAAAATTACAGTCAAAGGGGATTTTTCTCTTGCGGGCAGGGGTGGGGGTTACAAGGTGCTTGGTGGGGGAGCTTCTGAGACTCATTGTCCAGGAGAACGGATTTCACAAAGTAATGTCATCAGTTCAGGCAGGAACCGGCCATTTTCACTTCTTTTGTGGTTCTTCAGTGCCTCAGGCCATCTGGATGTATACTCGCAGGCTGGGCTCAGAGGACTGACAGGTAGGAATTTGGGAAAGATAAAAAAAAAAAATCAGAGCTTAGTCCTCACGCCTATAACTAAAAATAGAATCCTTAGCCCCCACTTACCAACTTTGGCCCCTAGTGGCCAAAGGTATCTCAGAAAAACCTTAAAACTGAGTTCCTGGCCATGATGGGAGGGGAGGTCAGGCACGCCTCATTATCACCCCTCCCTTTTGCAGTTTAGACACAACTGACCAGCAGTAATGTTAAAACAGAATCATAAGACCGGCAGAACCAGAACAGACTCTTCATGGCAATCAGATACCAAATCACAACCAGGACCTCAGGCCGTGCCAGGCAAGGGTGAGGTCACACACCCTACACTTCAACAGTCAACTCTGTTCTGCCTGCCACAAGGTTTTTCTTTTGCTTGTTTAGCAGCTAAACAAGAACTGCCTCGAGATAAAGAAGATGAAAACAATCGCAGCTCATCCAGCGCGCTGACACGGAGCAACAGAGCCCCTGCTCCACAGCCCTAACTCCAGCTTTCCCTGGGCAAGAGACTGATTTCAGTAACTTCCTCCAGATCAGAAGACCACTGACAACAGACTGGTTCTGCATGGTTTACAGACCTGGCAAATTTCGGTGCCTTCATGTCCTGAAAAGACCCTTTGACATACAGGCTTAATTGTAGTACATTTAAATATTGTCCTTTAGGAGGCCGAGGTGGGTGGATCACGAGGTCAGGAGATCGAGACCATCCTGGCCAACATGGTGAAACCCCGTCTCTACTAAAAAGGCAAACATTAGCAGGGCGTGGTGGCGCACACCTGTAATCGCAGCTACTCAGGAGGCTGAGGCAGGAGAATCACTTGAACCCAGAATACAGACGTTGCAGTGAGCCGAGATCTCTCCACTGCACTCCAGCCTGGTGACAGAGTGAGACCCCATCTCAAAAAAAAAAAAAATTCCTCATGAGAGAGTTAAAGTTCGTCTTATTCTCACACTGAGATTTTGGAATGAGCTGTGTATTTTACACGTGCCAAAGTCTCTAATCAGAGCCCTATTTCAGGTGCTCAGTAGCTTCTGTGGTCAACCTTCAACTCCACGGGACAATGCTGTTCCAATGGCCTCCCCAGCAGAAGACAGGCAGGGAACAAGGCTGACCCCAGAGGGCCAGGCCACAGCAGGGGCTGAGGATGCCTGGTGAATGGATGCCTGGGAGAAAGGATGCCAGAATTCGTGCTCGAGGACATGATGAAACAGGGAAAGACTCAATAGAATAAAGAAGGAAGGGGACGGGTGCGGTGGCTCACGCCTGTAATTCCAGCACTTTGGGAGGCTGAGGCGGGCGGATCACGAGGTCGGGAGTTCGAGACCAGCCTGGCCAATACGGTGAAACCCTGTCGCTACTAAAAATACAACATTTAGATGGGCATGGTGTCACGAGCCTGTAGTCCCACCTACTTGGGAAGCTGAGGTAGGAAAATCCCTTGAACCTGGGAGACAGAGGTTGCAGTGAGACGAGATTGTGCCATTGCACTCGAGCCTGGCTACAGAGTGAGACTCTGTCTCAGAAAAAAATAAAAATTAAAAATAAAGAAGGAAGGAGAAGGATGGAAGCGAATCTCAATGAACAAAATGCACTGGGACCTACTATGTACCCAGAAAAATGAAAAGTAAATAAATAAAATAAGGACTTGCATGGTGGTTTATGCTCATAGTCCTAGAACTCTGGAACTCTGGAAGGCTGAGGCAGGAGGATCGCTTGAGCCCAAGAGTTTGAGATCAGCCTAGGCAACATGCGAAACCCATCTATACAAAAAGATATGAAAACATACAAAAAAAATTAGCCAGGTGTGGTGGCACGCGCCTGCAGTCCCAGCTAATCAGGAGGCTGAGGTAGGAAGATCCCTTGAGCCTGGGAGGTCAAGGCTGCAGTGAGCCCAGATCGCACCACTGCACCCCAGCCTGGGCAACAGAGAGAGACCCTGTCTCAAAAATAAATAAATAAGGAAATGCCCTGGGGCTCCAGGCCCACTCTCTGCTCCCATCGCCCCACTCCCGCACTCCTCCTGCTCCTAGTCTGAGCTCCCCCTGCCTTCCTCCTCCTCCTTCCCAGGTCAATCCTGAGACCCATAGTCATGCAGAAAGGTGCTTCCTCTCTTGGTTCTGCGACAACACACTGTCTCCTAACAAAAACTACCAGGTCACCTGGTACACATCTTGGAGCCCTTGCCCAGAGTGTGCAGGGGAGGTGGCAAGTTCCTGGCCAGGCACAGCAACGTGAAGCTCACCATCTTTGCCGCCCGCCTCTACTACTTCCAGTGTCCATATTACCAGCAGGGGCTCCACAGGCTGAGTCAGGAAGGGGCCTCCATGGAGTTCGTGGGCTACAAAGGTGAGACGTGGGGGGCTGAGGTGACTGGGTGCAGGAGGGACAGCATGGGGGGCAGATGGGTCTCCTGATATGGTGAACACCACCCGGACTGCGTGTATGTCCCAAATTACAATTCTTTCTTTGCGAATGACATGTGAAATTTAGAGGCTCTTCTCCACACTTTAAATTTGACTCAATATTTTCAAGGCAGATGTAAGTTATTAGAGAATGAGACTCTCTATAAAAATGACCCCTTCATGCTGTGGCCTCCACAGAAGATGCCCCGAGTCACGTGCCCACATGGCAGGCATTTATTTTCTCACAGATCTGGAGGCTGCAAGTACACGTTCGCGGGGTGGGTTGGGTTGTTTGCTCTGAGGCCGCTCCTCCTGGCTGGCAGAGAGTCTCTTCTGGCTGTGTCCTCTGTGGCCTTTCCTCTTTGCACCTGCACCTCTGGGATCTCTCTGCCTCCAAATATCAACTTTTTTTTTTTTTTGAGACAGAGTTTTGCTCTTGCTGTCCAGGCTGGAGTGCAGTGGCACAATCTCAGCTCACTGCTACCTCTGCCTTCCGAGTTCAAGCGATTCTCCTGCCTCAGCCTCCCCAGTAGTTGGGACTACAGGCATGCGCCACCACGCCCGGCTAATTTTGTAGTTTTAGTAGAGATGGGGTTTCTCCATGTTGCTCAGGCTGGTCTTGAACTTGTGAGCTCAGGTGATCCACCCTCCTCGGCCTCCCAAAGTGCTGGGATTACAGGTATGAGCCATTGTATCCAGGCTTTTTTTTTTTTTTTTTTTTTGAGAGGAGGTTTCACTCTGTTGCCCAGGCTGAAGTGCAGCGGTAGAATCACTGCTCACTGCAACCTCTGCCTCCTAGGTTCAAGCAATTCTCCTGCCTCATCCTCCTGAGTAGCTGGGATTACAGGTGCCCAGAACCACTCTACTAATTTTTGTGTTTTTTAGTAGAGATGGGGTTTCACCGTGTTGGCCAGGCTGGTCTCGAATTCCTGACTGCCCACCTCGGCCTCCCAAAGTGCTGGGATTAAAGGCATGAGCCAGGGCACTTGGCCACCCTTCTCCTTGATGGACCCCCGCCAAGCGAATTTGTGCCCACACTAGAGGTCTCGTTTAAAGTAATCATCTCGGCCGGGCGTGGTGGTTCACGCCTGTAATCCTAGCACTTTGAGAGGCTGAGGCCAGCAGATCACTTGAGGTCAGGAGTTGGAAACAAGCCTGGTCAACATGGTGAAACCCCGTCTCTACTAAAAATATAAAAAAATTATCCGGGCGTGGTAGTGGACGCCTGTAATCTCAGCTACTCCGGAGGCTGAGGCAGGCGAATCGCTGGAACCCGGGAGGCAGAGGTTGCAGTGAGCTGAGATCGTGCCATTGCACTCCAGCCTGGAAGACAGAGTGACGCTGCATCTCAAAAAGTAAATAAATAAAAAATAAAAAGAAATTAATTATCCGTTGGCTGGGTGCGGTGGCTCACGCCTGCAATCCCAGCACTTTGGGAGGCCAAGGCGGGTGGATCACCTGAGGTCAGGAATTCAAGACCAGCCTGGCCAACACGGCAAAACCCCATCTCTACTAAAAATACAAAAATTAGCCGGGCGTGGTGGCAGGTGCCTGTAATCCCAGCTACTCGGGAGGCTGAGGCTTGAATCGCTTGAACCAGGGAGGCAGAGGTTGCAGTGAGCCGAGATGGTGCCACTGCACTCCAGCTTGGGCAACGGAGTGAGACTCCGTCTCTAAAAATATTAATTAATGAATTAATTAATCATCTGTTGAAAAGGACCTGTCTCCAAATACAACCACACATTGAGGTAGAGGGGTTAGGGCTTCAATATATTGATTTTTGGGAGAAACAGGGCAACATGGCAACAAGCCACAGTCACTGTGGGCGGGCCTGAGTGGGGAGTGCAGGGGTTCCTGTCCTATGTGTCTGTCTCCCAGGGGAGTCCCGACCTGACCCTCACAGCCCCTCCACTCAGACCTTCCTGCGTGCTCCACCCACCTCATTCCTCCTACACCCAACAGCACCCAGCCCTCCTGCCTCCTCATGCCCCTCCCTTCTGAAATCCCTCCCAGCAGTGCAGCTCTGGGCTAGGACACAGCCTAGGGAACGTGACTGAGAAAGAGCCAAGAAAACACTCAGTGATGAAGTTGGTGTTTAAGTAAGATTTTCAGTGAAAAGTAGAATTGGGTACTACATGGAGGCTTGAGATGTTCAGAGCTTTTTGAGAAAGCAGAACAGAAAGTAGAAGGGCAACCAGGAACCAGAGGTGCCAGAGAACCGGAAGCGCGGGCCCTCCGAGGAGACAGGGAGTGGGCACCTGGATCTTGGGCCTGTCAACGAAGAGTCAAACTCAGTAAAATATTTGAAGAGATGTATTCTCAGCCAAATACGAGTGACCACGGCCTGTGACACAGCCCTCAGGAGGTCCTGAGAACATGTGCCCAAGGTGGTGGGGGTGCAGCTTGGTTTTATACATTTTAGAGGGGCATGGGCCATCAATCAAATACATTTAAGAAATACAGGAGCTGGGCGCGGTGGCTCACACCTGTAATCCCAGCACTTTGGGAGGCTGAGGCAGGTGGATCACGCGTTCAGGAATTCAAGACCACCCTTGCCAACATAGTGAAACCCCGTCTCTACTAAAAATACAAAAAATTACCCGGGTGTGGTGGTGTGCACCTGTAATCCCAGCTACTCGGGAGATTGAGGCAGAAGAATTGCATGAACCCAGGAGGCAGAGGTTGCAGTGAGCCAAGACCACACCACTGCACTCCAGCCTGTGGGACAGAGCAAGACTCTGTTCCAAAAAAAAAAAAAAAAAAAGAAAAGAAAAGGCCAGGCGTGGTGTCTCATGCCTGTAATCCCAGCACTTTGGGAGGCCAAGGCGGGCGGATCACGAGGTCAGGAGATGGAGCCCAGTCTGGCCAACATAGTGAAACCGCGTCTCTACTAAAAATACACAAAAAGTTAGCCGGGCGTGGTGGTGTGCACCTGTAAACTCAGCTAGTCAGGGGGCTGAGGCAGGAGAATCGCGTGAACCCGGGAGGCAGAGGTTGCAGTGAGCCAAGATTGCCCCACTGCACTCCAGCCTGGGCGACAGAGCAAGACACAATCTCAAAAAAAAAAAAAAAAAGAAAAGAAAAGAAAAAGAAAAAGAAAAAAGAAAAAAAGAAACAAAAAAAGTAAAGAAAAGAAATACATTGGTTTAGTCCTGAAAGGTCAGACGACTCAAAGTGAGGGAAGCGGGGTTGGGGGGCTTCCAGGCTACAGGTAAATTTAAACATTTTCTGGTTGAGGATGGGTTGAGTTTGTCTAGAGACCTGGCATCCATAGAAAGGAAATGTTCAAGTTAAGATAAAAGACTGTGGAGACCAAGGTTATTTTGAAGTCTCATAATGGCTGCCTTTAGAGATAATAGATGACAAATGTTTGCTATTCAGGTCTTTAAAAGGTCCAATTAGTTAATCTGTTTAGGACTGGGAAGGCCTAGAAGAAAAAGATCCAGCTATGTTAATAGAGGTTCTTTACAGATGCAAATTTTCCCCCACCGGGGACAACTTTGCAGGGCCATTTCAGATATGGCAAAGAAACATGTTTTGGGGTAAAATATTTTATCTTTCTTCTTTGTCACATAATGTTGTGTCTGAGTCAGATTGGAAAGTAACTCACAATATATAGGGTTAAATAAAACCCATTTGTGCCAGGCGCAGTGGCTCATGTCTGTAATCCCAGCACTTTGGGAGGCCGAGGCGGGTGGATCATCTGCAGTCGGGAGTTCGAGACCAGCCTGGCCAACATGGTGAAACCCCATCTCTACTAAAAATACAAAAATTAGCCAGGCATGGTGGCGGGGACCTATAATCCCAGCTACTTGGGAGGCTGAGACAGGAGAATCGCTTGAACCCGAGAGGCGGAGGTTGCAGTGAGCCGAGACCGCACCATTGCAGTCCAGTCCGGGCAAGAAGAGTGAAACTCGGCCTCCATTAAAATACAATAAGATAAAAAAATAAAAAATAGAACCCCTCTGATGAGGATGTATGGGTTGTAAGGCATGACTCCCCAGACCCCTTAGATAGGATTTTGGGCAAGATTAAATAAAACAAATCAGAGCTTAGTCCAAAGGCCTATGAACTAAAAATAAAGTCTTTAGCCCCCACCGATCCCCCCCAACTTTGGCCCCCAGTGGCCAGGGGTATCTCAGAAAAACCTTAAAACTGAGTTCCCAGCCATGATGGGAGGGGAGGTCAGGCACGCCTCATTATCACCCCACCCTTTTGCAGTTTAGACACAACTGACCAGCAGTAATGTTAAAACAGAATCATAAGACGGGCAGAACCAGAACAGACTCTTCATGGCAATCAGATACCAAATCACAACCAGGACCTCAGGCCGTGCCAGGCAAGGGTGAGATCACACACCCCACACTTAAACAGTCAACTCTGTTCTGCCTGCCACAAGATTTTTCTTTTGCTCTAGCAGCTAAACAAGCACTGCCTCCAGATAAAGATGAAAACAATCCCACCTCACCCAGCGCCCGGACACGGAGTAACAGAGCCCCTGCTCCACAGCCCTAATTCCTACTTTCCCTGAGCAAGAGACTGATTTCTGTAACTTTCTCCAGATCAGAAGACCACAGACCATGGACTAGTTCTGAATGGTTTACAGACCTGGCAAATTTTGGTGCCTTCATGTCCTGAAAGGACCTTTTGACATACAGGCTTAATTGTGGTACATTTAAATGTTGTCTCCACCGCAATGTGAGGACGGATAATACAGCTGCTTTTTTTTTTTTTTTTTTTTAATAGATTGTTGTTTGTTTGTTTTTTGTTTTGAGATGGAGTCTCACTCTGTCTCCCAGGCTGGAGGGCAGTGGTGCGATCTCGGCCCAGTGCAACCTCTGCCTCCCGGGTTCAACTGATTCTCCTGCCTCAGCCTCCCAAGTAGCTGGGATTTCAGGCACATGGCACCACGTCCGGCCAACTTTGGTAGTTTTAGTAGAGACGAGGTCTCACCATGTTGGCCAGGTTGGTCTCGAACTCCTGACTGTCATACATGTCCATATAGAAGACCACCTAAACAGGCTTTGTGTAAGCAATAATGCCATTTATTCACTTGGGTGCAACTGGGCTGAGTCTGAAAAGAGAGTCAGCGAAGGGAGATAGGAGAGGGGCAGCTTTATAGGACTTGGGTAGGCGGTGGAAAGTTACAGTCAAAGGCGGTCATCTGTTGTCAGCAGGGGAGGGGGTCACAAGGTGCATGGTGGGAGACCATGAGACCCATTGTCCAGAAGAAGAATGTCATAAGGTCGATTGATCAGTTAGGGTAGGGCAGGAACAAGTCCTAATGGTGGAATGTCTTAAGGTTGGTTAATCAGTTAAGGGAGAAACTGGCTGTTTCACTTCTTTTGTGTTTTTTTGGCTGTTCCAGACTTCTTGGCTGCTGCAGGCCATCTGGATGTATATGTGCAGTTCACAGGGGTCACAATGGCTTAGCTCTGGCTCAGCGGCCTGACACTGACCTCAGATGATCCACCTGCCTCGGCCTCCCAAAATGCTGGGATTACAGGTGTGAGCCACTGTGCCCGCCTGGGATCATATGTTACACGCATGTTTGTTCAATAAGCATGGAGTGCAGCCACCCACATGAATATTCATAGCTCCTCCTGTAGCCTGTTCAATATGTATGTTTAGCTAACCCCTTCAGCATAAAGCTCCTGCCCCAACCCCTCCTGCTTCTAAATGTCTGTCTCTGGTGTTAACCAGAGGCTGCTCTTCCCAGGCTGCTGGATGGCTACCTTGCAGGCTGTCACCCTTAACAAGAAATAAAGTGTCATTTGCAAATGCATCCCTTGTGTAATTTGTAGGTCACCACGCCATGGGAACACGCTACCAGGGGAAGGGAGCTGTGAGACGCGCAGGGAGGCTCCAGACAGGCTGGCCTGGGACACCAGCCGCTGCCCTTCCATAACATGGGGACAAGAGAGGGCAAAAGTTCAGCCCACCACGGAGGATCTCCGGGCAGGAGATGGGGAAGAAGGAGAAGCAGGAAGGAAAGAGCTCAGTGTGGGGGCGCGCATGGCATCCCGGTGGGACATCTGAGGCCCACACCCACCTGCTGTCCCTCCCTCCCACGGTGGCCTCCGAGGGTGACGGCCTGGGGGGAGGCAGACGCCTGGCCATTTACTCTCCCTCCCTGTCCCCATGGCCGCTGGGTGGGGGCCGTCTCTGGGATGATCCCCGAGGGCAGGATCCGGGAGTCCCTGCGGAGGCATCAGCCTGTCTGTCTTGATGGTGGAGAGGAGGCTCCAGCTGGGCGGGACCACCAGGGGAGGGGCTTGTGCTCTGCTGGCTCAGCCTGGTGTGGACCCACCTCCCGGGCGCTGGCTGCAATGACTTTCTCTTTCCCTTTGCAATTGCCTTGGGTCCTGCCGCACAGAGCGGCCTGTCTTTATCAGAGGTCCCTCTGCCAGGGGGAGGGCCCCAGAGAAAACCAGAAAGAGGGTGAGAGACTGAGGAAGATAAAGCGTCCCAGGGCCTCCTACACCAGCGCCTGAGCAGGAAGCGGGAGGGGCCATGACTACGAGGCCCTGGGAGGTCACTTTAGGGAGGGCTGTCCTAAAACCAGAAGCTTGGAGCAGAAAGTGAAACCCTGGTGCTCCAGACAAAGATCTTAGTCGGGACTAGCCGGCCAAGGATGAAGCCTCACTTCAGGTACCGCTGCCCGCTCTACCCACTGGGCCCCTCTGCTGCCCCTTCTTGCCTGGTGGCTCTGCTGGGCGTCAGCCCTGGCCTTCCCCTGCCCCAGCCCCAGCCCTGGGCTCCCTCCCCTCTGACTCCCCTGCACCCCCTACTCCCAGCCAGGCTCCTTGCCCTGCTGTGTTGTCGCCCCACTGCTGCTTCTGAATGGGCCGCCTCCCCCATCTGTCCCAGCCCAGGTCCCCTGCTGAGACTCTCCCCTGAAAGTCATGGCTGGGGTGGTGCTCCCGGCCCTGGGAGGGTGCTCCCTCTGTGTGCTTCCCGCCATTCCTGAACTCTGGAACTGGGAGAATTGAACCAAAGGATGAGTAGAGCAAGGTGGAATTTTGTTCACAGGGCTTTGATGGATTTTCTGTAAGATTTACTTTGCTTAAATACCAAGTCTTAGGAGAGGGTGTGGGGAGGGAATGGTCTCTGAAGCACAGGATAAATCATGTCTTCCAAGGATGTCTCCACTGTGGGCAGAGGAGGATGCAGATGACCCCAAACACACGCTCCTCCTCCACTATCAGCATTCACTGTTTATAAATGACACCAGTAACATGGAATATAGTGGCCGGGTGCGGTGGCTCACACCTGTCATCCCAGCACTTTGGGAGGCTGAGGTGGGCGGATCGCCTGCGGTCAGGAGTTCAAGACCAGCCTGACCAGCATGGATAAACCCTGTCTCTACTAAAAATGCAAAATTAGCTGGGTGTGGTGGCGGGCGCCTGTAATCGCAGCTACTTGGGAGTCTGAGACAGGAGAATCCATTGAACCCAGGAGGCGGAGTTTGCAGTGAGCTGAGGTCGCCCCATTGCACTCCAGCCTGGGCAACAAGAGCAAAACTTCGTCTTGAAAGAAAAAAAAACAAAAACAAAAGAAAAAACATGGAATATATGGGAAAAAAACTCAATGATCAGGAGGAATGTTGTTATTTTAAAATTTAGTAAGAAGAGAGCCCGGTCCCCAATGGCTGCCTCCTGCAGGGCCAGTGATACAGAGACTGGACAGGGCTGGCCTGGAAAGGGGCCCCCACTCCATTTGTCCCCAGCTCTGTGGCCTGGGCAGGTTACCCCGCCTCTCTGCGCGTCTGGCCCCTCCTCTGTAAGACGGGAATGGCCCCTGCCAGCCTAGGGCAGCCTCACATGAGCTCACCCCCGCGCAGCACTTAGAAGACTGGCCTGGGCCTCAGAATTCGGTTCTACCATGATTTAACAATAATAATATACAGAGGTGAAATGTCAGGAAGGAACTGAGCTGAAAGGTTAAAAGCTGTTATTTTGGGGTGAAGAGTTTTATTCTGTCTCTCTCTCTCTTTTTTTTTGAGACGGAATTTCGCTCTTGTCGCCCAGGCTGGAGTGTAGTGGCGCGATCTTGGCTCACTACAGTCTCCGCCGAAATTCTCAGGGGAGGGGAGGGATGGGGGAGGCCTAGAGCCGTCCAGGGGGCTGTGTTTAGTGGACATCAGCCCGGAGGGCCCCCAGGAGTGCTCTCTACATTGGCTGGTTTCTCTCTTGTGTCTTCAGAAACACAGTGGAGCGAATGTATCGAGACACATTCTCCTACAACTTTTATAATAGACCCATCCTTTCTCGTCGGAATACCGTCTGGCTGTGCTACGAAGTGAAAACAAAGGGTCCCTCAAGGCCCCCTTTGGACGCAAAGATCTTTCGAGGCCAGGTACCACCCGGACTCCAATCACTTTGCAGGCAGGAGCTAAGCCAGCTGGGAAAGCAAACCACGCACTGATAAGTGAAGTGCCCGGCGGCGGGCTATCCAGTGTGTCCTTCTCTCCCACACTTTCCAAGTCCGTGGCCCTGACCTTCCTGCTGGACCGTCCTGGGATCGGATCGTGGAGGGGGTTTGCCTCTGCACAAAAGGCCTTGTGTTTCCGTTTTTCTTTTCTTTTCTTTTTTCTTTTTTTTTTTTGAGACAGAGTTTCACTCTTGTTGCTCAGGCTGGAGTGCAATGACGCGATCTCGGCTCACAGCAACCTCTGCCTCCTGGGTTCAAGCGATGCTGTCGCCTCAGACTCGCAAGTAGCTGCGATTACAGGTGCCCACCACCACGCCCAGCTGATTTTTTTTTTGTATTTTTAGTACAGATGGGGTTTCACCATATTCACCAGGCTGGTCTCGAACTTCTGACCTCAGGTGATCCACCTGCCTCGGCCTCCCAAAGTGTTGGGATTACAGGTGTGAGCCACAGCGCCGGCCTAATTTTAATATTTAATTAATCCAATGTGGCTAACATATTACTTCAACATTAATTAACATAAAATTCTTGACAAGATAATGAAGTTTCTTTTTCTTGTCACACCGAGTCTTTGAAATGAGCTGCGTGGGTCACGTACAGTGGGTGGCTCGCACCTCTAATCCCAGCACTTTGGGAGGCCAAGGCGGGCAGATCACCTGAAGTTAGATATTCAAAACCGGCCTGGGCAACATGGTGAAATCCCATCTCTACTAAAAATACAAAAAAAAAAAAAATTAGCCAGGCATGGTGGCAGTCACCTGTAATCCCAGCTACTCGGGAGGCTGAGGCAGGAGAACCGCTTGATCCCATGAGGCAGAGGTTGTAGTGAGCCAAGATTGCATCCTTGCATTCCAGCCTGGGCAACAAGAGCGAAACTCCATCTCAAAAAAAAAAAAAGAAATGAGTGGTGTATTTTTCAGGTGCCCAGGTCTCTAATCAGAGCCCCATTTCAAGTACTCAGTAGTCCCTTGGCCATGTCACCCCCCCCGACATGGACAGTGCAGGTCCAGTGGGCTCCCCACTGACTGCAGGCAGGGAACAAGGCAGACCCTAGAGGGCCAGGCCACAGTAGGGGCTGAGGATGTCTGGTGAATGGATGCCTGGGAGAATGGATGCTAGAATTCACACACGAGGCCATGAACAGGGCTGGGAAAACTTCCAAACTCAGGGAAGCACGTGTCTTGGTGCACCTTGTGATGCTTCAACAGCAGGACTGAGATGGGGACATTTACAATGAACAGAAATGTATGGGCTCGAGTTCTGGACTCTGGGAAGTCCCCTGTCAATGCACCAGCAACTTTCCAGGGCCTGCGAGCTGCACAGTCACGTGGGGGTGAAGGTTGTTGCCAGAAGCTCAGGGGATGCTCCAGACAGAGTGGCCTGGGATGTCGAGTCACTGCTGCTCCGTGACATGGGGGCAAGAGGAAGCAGTTTAGTCTGACATACTGCCCCCCCAGCTAGAGGGCAAGAGACAGAAAGAGGGGCTGAAGTCGCCCTTGAATAACCACAGCAGTGGCACCCACAAAGGTGCAGTTCCCACAGCCTCATAGCTGCTTGTAGGTGCCACCTCTTAAGGCCATTACCATAGCAATTAATACTGAACATGAGCTTTGGAGCAGACAAACACTCAAACCGAACAGGGGGATGGAGGAAAGGAGCTTCAATGGCAAGATCTCCTGGACTCCTGTCCTGGCCCCTCCTCCCCCTGCCCCACCCCTGCTCTCCTCCTGCTCCCCCTCTCAGAGCTTGCCCTGACCCTGCTCCTCTCCCAGGTGTATTCCGAACTTAAGTACCACCCAGAGATGAGATTCTTCCACTGGTTCAGCAAGTGGAGGAAGCTGCATCGTGACCAGGAGTATGAGGTCACCTGGTACATATCCTGGAGCCCCTGCACAAAGTGTACAAGGGATATGGCCACGTTCCTGGCCGAGGACCCGAAGGTTACCCTGACCATCTTTGTTGCCCGCCTCTACTACTTCTGGGACCCAGATTACCAGGAGGCGCTTCGCAGCCTGTGTCAGAAAAGAGACGGTCCGCGTGCCACCATGAAGATCATGAATTATGACGGTGAGAAGTGGGAGGTTCAGGGGTGTGGGAGAGACTGCTTAAGTGTCTGTGATGGGTCCTTCCCACACATACCTGTGGGTCTGCTCTGATGCCTGCAAAGGCCAAGTGTCCCAGGGGAGCCTGTGGGGTTGGGTCTGGCGCTGACTGTAACTAGTATCTAGAATATGTCTGGGAGGGGAGGGTCCCGAGGTCACAGAAGAGAGGCCAGCTGGGCTTGACTGCGTTCTCTCTTCTTTTTCTTAGAATTTCAGCACTGTTGGAGCAAGTTCGTGTACAGCCAAAGAGAGCTATTTGAGCCTTGGAATAATCTGCCTAAATATTATATATTACTGCACATCATGCTGGGGGAGATTCTCAGGTGAGGGTCTCCCTCCAGGCTCATCGCCTCGCTCCTCTCACCTCCTGCTCATCCTCTTGAGGCCTCCCCTCTGTTCCAGACCAGGTCCTCTCCTGGCCAGGCCCTCCTGCCTTCCCTCCTGCCCCCTGCCTGCCCTCGTGGTTACACTCCCTCACCCACACTCCTCGTGCTCCCTCCACCTCCCTGCCTCCCACCTGCTTTCCTGGGCCCTTCCTGTGAGTGAGAGGCCCCTTCTGCCTCCAGAGCAACCTCCATCCACCCCCACAGCCTGGGAGCCCCAACCTGGCCCCTTCCATCTCCCTGGCATAACCGAATTTGTCGTAAAACTGGACGTAGTAAGTGGGCATGAATAGTCACAAGCCCGGCAGTCAGAAGCTTTGAGCAACATCCTTAAAGGCCAACCTGAGCCCCTGAGAAGGAGCTGCCTCCATGGAAACAGAGCTTCAGGCTTCGGCTGCCATAGAAGATGGCCGGGCTGGGTGCCCACAGGGCAGGCATTTATTTTCTCACACATCTGGAGGCTGCAAGTCCAAGGTGGAGGGGTGGGCGGGGTTGTGTCTTCTGCAGTCGCTCCTCCTGGCTGGCAGGGGGTCCCTTCCGGCCCTGTCCTCTCTGGCCTTTCCTCTGTGCACCTGCACTCGTGGGGTCTCTCTGCCTCCAAATGTCCTCCTCGTTTATGGACCCCAGTCATGTGAATTTGGGCCCACACTGAAGGTCTCATTTAAGTTAATCATCTGATGAAAGGACCTGTCTCCAGGCCAGGTGCAGAGGCTCATGCCTGTAATCCCAGCACTTTGGGAGTCCAAGGCGGGTGGATCACCTGAGGTCAGGAGTTCGACACCAGCCTGGCCAACATGTTAAAACCCCATCTCTACCAAAAATACAAAAATTAGCCGGGAGTGGTGGTGGGCGCCTATAATTCTAGCTACTCGGAAGGCTGAGGCAGGAGAATCGCTTGAACCCGGGAGGCGGAGGTTGCGGTGAGCCCAGACTGCGCCGCTGCACTCCAGCCTGGGCAAAAAAGCGAAACTTCTTCTCAAACAAACAAACAAGAAAGAAAGGACCTGTTTCCAAATACAGCCACCCTTTGAGGGAGCGGGGGTTAAGGCTTCAATACATTGATTTTGGGGAGAAACAGTGAAGGCCACGGCAAGAAGCTGCAGTCATTGTGGGCGGGCCTGGGTGGGGAGTGCAGGGGTTCCTGTCCTGTGTGTCTGTTTCCCAGGGGAGTCCTGACCTGACTCTCACAGCCCCTCCACCCAGATGTTCCTGTGTGCTTCACCCACCCCATTCCTTCTGCACCCAACACTCCTGAGCCCCTCCTTAGCTCCCCCGACAGGCTCCCCTGCTCCCCCACTCCCGGGCTGCTCCTCTTCTCAGCCTCTCTCTGGGCCTCTCTGGGGTCCGGACATGACCCCTCAGCTGATGCCTGTGGCTTCCCCAGCCAGAATCTTCCCAGTTCCAGGCTGGGCTCTGCAGAGTCCTATCAAAGGTGGCATCCTCCCCTCTGTCCACTCCAGGGTGAAGATCTGGTGTTTCTGGTTTGGAAATGCCTCTGCACTGGGTGCTAATAATTCACTTTTACCTTTATAATTGTGGTTTTGTAAGGACAGGTATTTTTGGCAACAGAAGAAATCCTGTGAGTTATTTAAAAAAAAACAAAAAAACTCCCTGGCAGGCTCTTCTCCCCGCTGGTCCCGCTCAGGAGTGTCTCTGCCCTGATGCTGGGTGTGGCAAGAGTTAACCCTGTAGGCAGGAGGGGTGCCCCAGTGGGTCCACCTCCAGCAAGGACTGAGAGCGAGCAGAGCCAGGACTGGGGTCTATGGTGAGGCCAGGGAAGAAGACCCAGCTGTACCCCAGGGAGAGGGCCTGAGCACACTGAGCTGACCCTGGGGAGACCCTGACAAGGCTTAGACAGGCCCCAGGGCTGCCGTGATCTCCCAGTGAGCCCCAGAAGGGGTCAGAGGGGGAGGTTTGGAGGCTCTAGCAAGTGAGTGGGAGCCCCTTCTGACAGGTGCTAAGGGATGTGGGGAGCCGGGGGAAGGAAGGAGGGTGGGGTGCAAGGGAGGAAGCGTGGAGAGGGAGGGGGAGGTGGGACAGACCAGGAGGGCTCTTACTCCTCTGGGCTTTTCCCCCACTTTCCAGACACTCGATGGATCCACCCACATTCACTTTCAACTTTAACAATGAACCTTGGGTCAGAGGACGGCATGAGACTTACCTGTGTTATGAGGTGGAGCGCATGCACAATGACACCTGGGTCCTGCTGAACCAGCGCAGGGGCTTTCTATGCAACCAGGTGACCAACCCAGCCACCCGCATCCAGGCAGGGCCCTCCCAACCCAGGGACACCCATGGGCAGAAGGTTCTGGGTGGTACCTGTGGTGTCCTGCAGAGTGTCTGTCACCTGTGCTTCCTGTAGCTGCTGCTGCTTGGCCCTGGGGTTGGGGGAGACTTCGGCTTCAGTGACTCTCCAGGATTGGTGGCTTCCAGCCCCACACGCCTAACCAGCCACATGTCTCAGGGGCTAACACCACTAGTCCAGAGTCACCCCCAGGTCCAGGTCTCAGCCGTCCCCACTCCTGCTGTGCTCTGAGAGGGTCAGGGCAGAGGAAAAGGGTCTGCACCAGGGCCAAGTGGGATCAAAGAAAAAGCGCTTCCGGCCGGGCACGGTGGCTCATGCCTGTAATCCCAGCACTTTGGGAGGCCGAGGCTGGCGATCACAAGGTCAGGAGATCAAGACCATCCTGGCTAACACGGTGAAACCCCATCTCTATTAAAAATACAAAAAATTAGCCAGGTGTGGTGGCAGGCGCCTGTAGTCCCAGCTATTCAGGAGACTGAGGCAGGAGAATGGCATGAACCTGGGAGGCAGAGCTTGCAGTGAGCCAAGATCGTGCCACTGCACTCCACCTGGGCAACAGAGCGAGACTCCGTCTCAAGAAAAAAAAAAAAAGTGCTTCCTGAGGACCCTCCCAGGATCCCCTCACAGACACAGCTCCCACCAGGAATGATTCAGAACTGTGGGATTTGAGGATCAGGGCCTACCTGACCTCACAAGGCCAGGATTCCCCAGTGCCTGCTCCTGGGCTTCATCCTGCGGGAAAAGAGACTGAGGCAGGAGAGGCCGACCAGGGATTCTGTCCTGACCAGGATGGAGCCCACAGCAAGGCCAGAACAGGCCCCAAGTCAGGATGCAGGGATGGCCAGCATTTGAAGAAGAGCTGGGCCAGGCCAGGCCGAGGGGCCCTGAGCCCGAGGGACGTTCTTCCCTCGCCCTTGCCCAGCACAGCCCCTGGCTGGAGAGGCCAAATTCTGCTTGGCTCTGGTGCTGGAAACGGGGTTCCTCTGGGCTCTATGAGCTTAATATGGGCCCTGCTGGGCCCACACACACTGCTTGGAAGCTACTTTCAAAGGCACCGGTCCCCATCACTGTCTAACCAGTGGGATGGGACTCCCCCAGGAATGACCCACAGCCCCTTCTCAGCACAAATCGTGTCATCCATTCTACCCCGAGTCCTCTCTGCACTGGACTCCTGGGCTTGACTAGTTCCCAGTCGAAATTTGGACAAAACACCATCATTCCTTGGGCTCAACAAGGACAATCACCCCATGACTGGGGCCCTTCCCAATGTGGGGTTAGTCCTGCTGGGGGCCCCTCATCCCCACTTCTCCCTGCAAAGGGAGCCCTCTGGCCTCAGTCTATGTCACTCGTGGGCTTAATACAGGGTAAAGCACAATGTGGAAGCTTCTAGAATTATAGGTCACAGAAGGGGTGGGGCAAGGGGAATTGACGGGTAGACAGGTCAGCCTCCCCATGAGGGAAGCACACGCAGCTCAGTGGCATCTGTCCTCCCTCCCCCAGCTCTACAGCCCCTCCCTGCAGGCCTGGGGCGGAGTGAGGGTCCTGAAGGCACTGACCTCATGTGCAGAATGAGAGGATGCTCCAAATACTCAGTATCAGAGAAATCTCATCGTAATGGAAAATTAAATTATTTAATAGATTATTGTAAAAATCCGGTCAGGTGTGGTGGCTCATGCCTGTAGTCTCAGCACTTTGGGAGGCTGAGGCGGGCAGATCACTTGAGGTCAGGAGTTCAAGACAAGCCTGGCCAATATGGTGAAACCCCGTCTCTACTGAAAATACAAAGATTAGCCAGGCGTGGTGGTGCATGCCTGCAGTCCCAGTTACTGGGGAGGCTGAGACACCAGAATCGCTTGAACCCGGGAGGTGGAGGTTGCAGTGAGCCAAGATGGCGCCACTGCACTCCAGCCTGAGTGACAGAACCAGACTCTGTCTCAAAGAAAAGAAAGGAAAAGAAAAGAAAAGTCATCTTGATAACTGGGGTTTGGTGCCCCCGTCTAATTTTGTGCTGGAGGCTGCCCCGCACCCACCCTGATCCAGGCTGTCCCTCCTGACTCACTAAAAATTCCCTCGGCCGGGCGCTGTGGCTCATGCCTGTAATCCCAGCACTTTGGGAGGCTGAGGAGGGCAGATCACCTGAGGTTGGGAGTTTGAGACCAGCCTGAACCACATGGAGAAACCCCTTTTCTACTAGAAATACAAAATTAGCCTGGTGTGGTGGTGCATGCCTGTAATCCTAGCTACTTGTACACTCCAGCCTGGGCAACAAGAGTGAAACTCTGTCTCAAAAAAAAAAAAGATTACCTCATGGCTTGCTTTCTTTTCTAGGCTCCACATAAACACGGTTTCCTTGAAGGCCGCCATGCAGAGCTGTGCTTCCTGGACGTGATTCCCTTTTGGAAGCTGGACCTGGACCAGGACTACAGGGTTACCTGCTTCACCTCCTGGAGCCCCTGCTTCAGCTGTGCCCAGGAAATGGCTAAATTCATTTCAAAAAACAAACACGTGAGCCTGTGCATCTTCACTGCCCGCATCTATGATGATCAAGGAAGATGTCAGGAGGGGCTGCGCACCCTGGCCGAGGCTGGGGCCAAAATTTCAATAATGACATACAGTGGTGAGAATGGAAGCCTGGAGTAGGATGGGGTCAGCCAGGGCAGGAGAGGGCCCCGGGAAGTTACTAGAAAGTGGGGAGGGTCGGCATCCCTGTGGGAAAGGCCTTGATCCTCTGCCTGCAGAGGCGATGGCTGCACTCTGGACCTGACTTTGGGGTCGACGGGAAGAGAGAGGCCAGGCCAGGAGATGTGGACCTGGGGAGGGCGGGGAGGGTGGCTGGAAGTGGAAGCAGAACTTGGGGCTTCCAGAAAAAATGAGAACTGGGCTGGCCCAGATTCCAATAGGAAAGAAGTGCCTGATGAAGGAGCTAAGTCCCTAGGGGAGGGAGAGGGAAAGGAGGGACTGAAACCAGGATGTGGGAAGTCTGTCTTGAGAGTCATGGGCCTTTGGTGCCACCACGATCCCACAGCGGGAGTGTGACTTATCTCCCCTGTCCCTTTTCAGAATTTAAGCACTGCTGGGACACCTTTGTGGACCACCAGGGATGTCCCTTCCAGCCCTGGGATGGACTAGATGAGCACAGCCAAGACCTGAGTGGGAGGCTGCGGGCCATTCTCCAGGTGAGGGCTTCTTCCCTCTGCCCAGTGCCCCATCGGCCTCCCCCTCCTCCCCTCTCCCCTGCGCCGTGCCTTCCCCTCTGCTCAGAGCCTCCTCTGGGTTCCCTGCTCCCCCAGGGCACCTGTCTCTGTCCCTCCCTTTCCTTCTCACAGCCTCCCTTTCTCTCCCACCTCCCACATCCCTCCCTCCTCTCCGATCATTGTCACTGTCCCCAGGCCTCCACCATATGCCTACTTTCCACTCGCTCACCCTTTGCTCCATTCAACCTCCCTGCTCTTCCAGAATCAGGAAAACTGAAGGATGGGCCTCAGTCTCTAAGGAAGGCAGAGACCTGGGTTGAGCCTCAGAATAAAAGATCTTCTTCCAAGAAATGCAAACAGGCTGTTCACCACCATCTCCAGCTGATCACAGACACCAGCAAAGCAATGCACTCCTGACCAAGTAGATTCTTTTAAAAATTAGAGTGCATTACTTTGAATCAAAAATTTATTTATATTTCAAGAATAAAGTACTAAGATTGTGCTCAATACACAGAAAAGTTTCAAACCTACTAATCCAGCGACAATTTGAATCGGTTTTGTAGGTAGAGGAATAAAATGAAATACTAAATCTTTCTGTATATGTTTCCCTGTGTGATTGTATCATGAATTGCAAGTGTTTCCATAAACACTAGCAAATGTGTAGATGTCTTTCCTTGTGTAGCGGACCTGTAGCCGGGAAAGGTCACACGACATCCCTCTGGAGCCAGAAAACTCAGCTAAACCTCACAGGAGAGGAACCTAAATGCAGACCCCACCCTCACTCACAGAGCCCCGCCCACTCTCACTCACAGAGCCCTGGGCGCTGATTGGAAGGGACAGGCCCAGCAGTAAGAGGACAGCCAGCAGCCAGTCTCCCTGTTGGAAAGGAACCACACACGTGCAGTCAGGGGCCCTCGGGAGCAGCCCTGTGTCCACCCCTTCCTGAGTCCACCTCCTAGAGAGGGAGCCCAGGGAAGGCCATGGCTGAGACCCAGGACAGGCCCAGTCAGGGGAAGGAGCCCAGGGAGCGGGCAGGTGTCCAGGCTGGGCCCAGAGAGAGGGCTGGGAAGAGGAGCAGCCCAGGAGGCAGAGCCCAGCCACAGAGGGGAGGGGAGCTGAGTCCCAGGGACAGGAGGCTCCAGAGGCAGAGACGGAGCCCAGGGCTAGGGCGGCAGGTGTCAGGGCTGTGGCTTCAGCTTGGTGTCTGTCCCGGGTGTTCTGCATTGGTTCCCGACTCTGGGATGTGTTATTTATGTGCCTGATTACAGCAGGTGGCTCCCACCTCACGATTTCTGGAAAGTCCTCAGAAGCTGCGTATAAGACCAAGAAGGGGCCTCACACGCAGCTGCTCCTGGGCAGAAACGACTCACTGTTTCCCTGGCCTAGACACACACAACACGCACACACAATACTCGCACTACACACAACACACACACAACACACACAATACTCACACGACACACAATACACACATACAAGACACACAAAAACACACATGCACGTACACAACACACACAACACACGTGCACACACACACACACACACAGTGACAGAGACTTGACAATAAGAAACCTCCTCCAGGTGCCCCAGAGCTCTCCTGGGATGGGAACTGGACACAGCCCCATGACACTGCTGAGACCTGGGCTGGGAACTGAGAGCCTGTGGTCCCTCTGGGCTGTAGGGAGGCGGGCCCCCACAGTGGTGGCAGAGCCGGGACCCCGGACACAGCAGCATGGACTCCAAACCCAAGCGGAACCTCCATTCTGGTCCCAGGCTGCACAGCCCAGCACCTGCCCAGGGTCCCTCTGCCCTGCCTTCTCCCTCAATAGTCTGGACCCCAGCTGCGTGCCTGCCTTGTCCCCCCCTTACAGGGGACCAGGGTGAATCTCAGGTGAAGCCTGCACCTGTGAAGGAGGCCATTCTCCCTGCTCCCATCCCTGCCACCCACATGGGGAACCAGCTCCTTCTTGTCCCCGAGGACTTTTCCTGGGCTCTGGTGGAAACTCCAGCGGGATATGGGGTCTTACATTTTCCCTCAATGTTGCAGAGGCTGAAATGGGGGCGGGGCTGTCACTCCCCAGGAGCTGACCCCTGTCACCTGTGCTTAGAAGTGTCTCCGGGAGGCACAGTGTTTTATCAGTGTTATCTACAAGCATTTTACAGTGTAGTTTGTTTTTTTTGTTGTTGTTTGTTTTTGTTTTTTTTGAGACAGAGTCTCGCTGTGTCACCCAGGCTGGAGTGCAGTGGCGCGATCTCAGCTCACTGAAACCTCTGCCTCGCAAGTTCCAGGATTCTCCTGCCTCCACCTCTCGAGTAGCTAGGATTATAGGTGTGCACCACCACACCCAGCTAATTTTTGTAGTTTTAGTAAAGATGGGGTTTCACCACTTTGGTCCAGGATGGTCTCAAATTCCTGACCTCAAGCGATCTGCCCGCCTGACGTCCCAAAGTGCTTGGATTACAGGCGTTAGCCACCGTGCCCAGCCGTGAGTGCTAGTTTTAGATCGGATCCCAGGCCCCAGGCTGTGTCTGTCATGGGCAATCATGATGAACTTTTGTTGCGCTGTGCTCTGGGAAAAGCTGGACATTTTGCCACCCACTCCACTCCACTCCACGTAGCAAACAAAACAAACCCATCAGGATCCCAGCATGGAGGGCCATGCAGTCTAATGATGGTTGGACAGACTGGCAGAGGCAGCCCCGAGCTGTTCCTGGGTAAGACCAAGGGAATAAGACCATGATTCCGGTCAGTTCTTGGTGAATGTCATCCCCCTACCCCACCCTCAGAACAAATACAGATTTTCAAAATCTACCACTTTTTTCTTTCAAATTTTCTACCCATGGAAGAATGAATGACCATCCGGAGACAGCAGGGAAGGTTATTGCTTAATCAAGATGCTGGTGTGTTTCAGGGAGCTGGCCAGGGTGGAGTAGGCTTGTGGCCACGTTCCCTGGGTGGGAAGACTGAGATGGAGGTGGGCGTGGTCCAGGGACTGTCAGGAGCAGGGCTGGGGGAGACGACCTGGCACAGGGCCGTGCCTGCACACAGAGCAACAACGCCCACCATCAGGTCTGCCCTGTGCCAATCAGAAAATTCTGGACAGAGACTGTGACCCTCTGTGTCACTCTGGGGCAGGGGGTAATGGTTCCACACACTTCTATGGGGACCTGGAGAGTGGAGACCAGAGCACTGGTGGGCAGGCAGGCGAGCCTGGGTCTAAGAGCCCACTGTGCCTGCCACTGTCCCGTACCTCGGCACGTCACCTCCCCTGAAACCTCTCTTTACTCATCTGTAAAGTGGGGGCAATTATACCTCCCTCTCAACTGTGCACTTGGAGGGCAGTGAGGGCTGGATTTGGGACAGACCTGGTACGCACCAGGCGTTGGGCAAGTCTGAGTCTCCTCCTCTCCCTGAGTCAAGCTGCCTGACGTGATGGCAGTCTTCCTGCCCACAAGTTCTGGTCCAGCCCCTCCACCCAGGAAGCCCTCGGGGAGGTGATGCCACCGGCAGCGCTGTGGTTTTGGCACCCACAGGCATAGGATGGGCTGCCGTGGAAGGTGCCTGCTGTCCCTCAGGGTCTGTACCTCAGCCACCCTCCAGGGTGGGGCCCTATCCTCCTCCCACTGCCTTCTCCGGCCCTCACCACCCCGGGCAGGCACTGCTTCCCAGAGAGCCACCCGGGTCAGGAGTAAAGTGGCCTCTGTGGTCAAAGTCTGAAAAAGTTGCCCCCACACCTGCCTAACGGTGCACAGGGCTTTCTGGGGGGGTAGGGAGGAGGCAGGCAAGACTCTGGCACCTTTTCTGAGTCACATCCCTTCTACCGGGGCCCTGAGCCTGCAGGACGGAAGGATGTGGCCTTGCCTGTCAGAGGGTTCTGAGAACACGGAAGGCTCCTGAGTCCTCGAAGGGCATCCTCAGTGGGAGAGTGGCCCTGAGCAGAGAGGAGCGTAAGGGGCAAGGCACACCCCTTGAGAGGTCGGTGTCAGCAGCAAGCCCGTTTGCCTGTAGACATCTGTCTCCACTCTTTATTTATACATATTTTTTGAGTAAGGGTCTCACCCTGTCACCCAGGCTGGAGTGCAGTGGCAAGATCACAGCTTGCTGCAGACTCAATCTCCCGGGCTTAACCAATCCTCCCACTTCAGCCTCCCAAGTAGCTGAGACTTCAGGCGTGCGTCACCACACCCAGCTAATTTCCGTGTGTGTGTGTGTGTGTGTGTGTGTGTGTTTGTGTTTAGTAGGGATGGGGTTTTTCCATGTTGCCCCAGCTGGTCTTGAACTTCTAGGCTCAGGCAATCCTCCTGCCTCAGCCTCCCGAGGTGCTGGGATCACAGGTGTGAGCCGCCACTGGCAGGCATCTCCTCAACTTGACATTGCAGTGAGAAAGGGCAAAAGTAGCCGGTCTCACAGAGCAGACATGTGCTTCCCGTCCTGACCTGCAACGTGCTGCCTCCTTACAAGTGCTACCAGATCACCTGGTTCATATCCCGGAGCCCCAGCCCGGACCATGTGGTAAAAGTGGCCGAGTACAACAAAGTGAAGCTGAGCATCTTCATTGCCCGCCTCTATCACGACTGTGACCCGGGATTCCAGCACGGGCTTCGCAGACTGCAGGACACAGAGGCACGCGTGCACATCATGTCTTCTAAGGGTGAGAGGTTGGGGCCTGAGGGGTGTGTGTGGGGGAGGGACAGCATGAGGGGCAGGGGAGTCTGGGATGCCATTGGGACGATGTCCCAGGAGAGCCTGCAGGGACTGAGCCAGCACTGACAGCCAGGAGATCACACCTAGGAGGGGCAGGCCCAGGGTCAGGGGAGAGAGGTCTGCCGGGCCTGACTTCTTTCTCCCCTCTTTTATCTCAGAATTTGAACACTGTTGAGAAGACTGTGTACAAGAGAGATGTGCCATGTCAGCCTTGCAAGGGACAGCGTGAAAACTACCCATCTCCGGTCACCAAGTTGCAGGGTAGCCTCACAGCTGATGCCCTCGCTCCTCTCGGCTCCTGCTCAGCCTCCTGATGCCTTCCCTCTGTCCTGGATCAGATTCACCCCTGCCTGGGCCTTCTGAGCTGCTCCTGCCCTGAGTACCACCCCTCAGTGCCCCCCACCTCACTGCCTCTTCCCCACTTTCCTGACCCTGCCTGTGAGAGGCTGCTTTCTGCCTCCATAGCAACCTCTATCCACCCCCCAGTCTCCTTCCTCCCATCCTGGGGGCCCCTAGCCTGGCTCCTTCCATCTCCTCATCATACCTAAATCTTGTCATTGAACTGATATAAATAGGTAGTAGAAATATACATAAGTGTGAAAGTTAAGTTTTGAGAAACACCTTTTGTAAAAAACCGATGGTAAGTATTGGGTCATTCTTGTCACACCCAACTCAAACAGAGGCCAGGAGCCAGGAGGGGAAACCACTCAGTTTGCAAAACGTCGCTTCCACAAGCCTGATGGCTGAAACTGCTCACTGTACCCTGAAACCAGCTTTACCTACAGCTTCTGAGATAAACTGCTGCAACTCTGGGACCCACGATGCCTATCACAGTGGCTCATCAATGGAACCTGCCGGCTCCCAACCCTTCCTAGGGCCCATGAACTCTCTGAAAAGAGGAACAGAAATATTTCTCCTTTTTGTAAAATCTTTAACCTTCCCTTTGTTCTTCATGTACACGCTGAACTGCAATTCTTCTTCCCAAATAAAACATTAAATTTAGAAATTTCTCTCCATAGTTTTATTTTGACTTCAACATACGTGGGGTCAGAAGTGGGATCCAATTCTCACTTCCCTCCAGGGGAATCAGCAGCCCACAGAACGATGGTGGGAGGTACCCACGCTGGTAACCTCTTCTGCCCCCTGGCAGATCTTTCTTGGACAAAACTCCAGAATTGGGTTTGCATTCTGTTTCATTTGGGATAAGGCTGGGGAGGGGTCTTTCCCCTTCCTGTTTGGGAGATTTTCTGTTAGGAGGGTTGTTTTCCTCCCGTTGATCTGGGCTGTGAGGTTTGGACCTCGACAAGTTTGGAAGAGGTGATTCCCCCTCATTTGGAGAAAGCTATCATCCTTCCTGGTAAACACCTACTTTATTTCCCATCAGTGCTTGCATTTATTGTGCTTTTGTGTATTTGATGTCAAACTAAATTACCTAGATAAACTGAGCAACAGGCAGGGCGCGGTGGCTCACGCCTATAATCCCAGCACTGTGGGAGGCTAAAGCAGGTGGATCACCTGAGGTCAGGAGTTTGAGACCAGCCTGGCCAACATGGTGAAACTCTGTCTCTACTAAAAATACAAAAATTAGCTGGGCGTGGTGGCGGGCGCTTGTAGTCCCAGCTACTCGGTAGGCTGAGGCAAGAGAATTGCTGGAGCCCAGGAGGCAGAGGCTGCAGTGAACCAAGATCATGCCACTGCACTCCAGCCTGGATGACAGAGTGAGACTCTGTCTCAAAAAAAAAAAAAAAAAAAAAAAAAAAAAACTGGATTACAAATGAAATCAAAGTTCAAAGGCATGCCAAGATATTTTCTGGGACTCCCGCCTGTAACGTCTTCAAACATTATAGGGATTATTCAATCTATTGTTCTTTTTGTTTTGAGATGGAGTTGTTTTTTGTTGTTGTTTTTGTTTTGTTTGTTTGTTTTTTGGAGATGGAGTTTTGCTCTGTTGCCCAGGCTGGAGTGCAATGGCTTGATCTCAGCTCACTGCAACATCTGCCTCCTGGGTTCAAGCGATTCTCCTGCCTCAGCCTCCCGAGTAGCTGGGATTATAGGCATGCGCCACCACGCCTGGCTAATTTTTGTATTTTTAGTAAAGACGGGGTTTCTCCATGTTGGTCCAGGCTGGTCTCAAACTCCCGACCTCAGGTGATCGGCCAGCCTCGGCCTCCCAAAGTGCTGGGATTACAGGCATGAGCCACCGTGCCCGGCCCAATCTATTGTTCTTAAAACTAAACCAAAAGACCATGGTTTAAAAATCATACACTTTAAATAAGATATGCATATCTCATTGATATCTTTTTTTTTTTTGAGATGGAGTCTCGCTCTGTCGCCCAGGCTGGAGTGCAGTGGCAGGATCTAGGCTCGCTGCAACCTCTGCCTCCCGGGTTCAAGAGATTCTCCTGCCTCAGTCTCCCGAGTAGCTGGGATTACAGGTATGCTACCACCACGCCCACCTAATTTTTGCAATTTTAGTAGAGATGGGGTTTCACCATGTTGGCCAGGCTGACCTCGGACTCCCAAAGTGCTGGGATTACAGGTGTGAGCCACCATGCCAGGCCCTGGATAACTTTCTTTAAATCAACAAAGTAATAAATTTTGTCACACTGTCAGCTTGCTTGCATGTAGACATGGCTTAGGTTTTACATTGGTAAGACTCCAATATAAGGAGAGTTTAGGCCAGGCACAGTGGATGAGGTCATTGGGGTAGTTCCTAATCCAATAAATCTGGTGTTCTTATAAAGGGGAGATTTAGGCCGGGCGTGGTGGCTCACACCTGTAATCCCAACACTTTGGGAGGCTGAGGTGGGCAGATCAGGAGTCAGAAGTTTGAAACCAGCCTGGCCAATATGATGAAATCCCCTCTCTACTAAAAATACAGAAATTAGCTGGGTGTGGCACTGCACACCTGTGAACCCAGCTACTCGGGAGTCTGAGGCAGGAGAATTTCTTAAACCTGGGAGGCAGAGGTTGAAGTGAGCCGAGATCGCACCATTGCACCACATCCTGGGTGACAGAGCGAGACTCCATCTCAAAAAAAAAAAAAAGAAGCTTAAAACAAAGACGGGACGTTCTTCCTTCTGCCTTCTGAGGCCTCCCTAGTCTGTAGTGCCGGAGCTTCTAATAAATGATCACAACTTCACCGCACCCTGTGGCTCAGCTTGAGTTCTTTCCTGTGAGAGATCCAAGAACCCATTCTTGGGGTCTGGATCGGGTCCCCCTTTGCAGCAACGAACACAGGCCAGAGTGGCCAGCCTAACCTCCCGTCCTCCTGGAGATAACACCTAAGCACAGGCCCGTCCTAGACACCACAGGGTCTCTGCTGCAGGAATTCACTGGAGGAGTAGTGGGAATGCTGCCTGTGGGAAGGACCAGGAAAGGGTTCCGCCTTCCTTTCCATCCTCCCTGCTTCTCAGCCTGGGAGACTCAGCTCTGTGATTAACCAGCACTACAGTGTGCAGATCTGATGTCTCTCCTGGCAGGACCCCGCTCATTCTGGAATCTTCCATGGACTGTAGCCCCAACATTTAGGACAGATAGGGTGGAGGGGATGCCATTCCCAGGAACCTTCTAAATTCTCACCCAAGCTCCTGTGACCCCAGGGGCCATGCAGGGTCTAGAGGGCTGTCAGGGTGTGCAGGGCGGGAGGATATGGAGGGACAAGCTGGGCAAGGTTCAATGGGACTCCTTGGTGTGGAACCTAGACTCCGCAGTGACTGCCCCTAGTCCTCGCCCTTGGGATTCAACTTTCCTAGGGGTTCTTTGGTTTTTCTTTTTCTTTTCTTTTAGACAGAGTCCCGTTCTTGTCGACCAGGCTAGAGTGCAGTGGCACAATCTCGGCTCGCTGCAACCTCTGCCTCCCAGGTTCGAATGATTCCCCTGCTTCAGACTCCTGAGTAGCTGGGATTACAGATGCCCGCCACCACGCCTGGCTAATTTTTGTATTTTTAGTAGAGACGAGGTTTCACCGTGTTGCCCAGGCTGGTCTCGAACTCCTGACCTCAGGTCATCAGCCTGCCTGAGCCTCCCGAAGTGCTGGGATTACAGGCGTGAGCCACAGCACCTGGCCTGGCTCTTTGGTGTTTATGATCTGAAGGGTGTTGGTTGATATGCATGAAGACGAGGACATGGGTTCCAGAATGCAAATGTGAAGTCCAGGTCCTTCATCTCTGACCTGGGAGGCCCTTTAGGAGCAGTAAGTCCCCTCCCTCGTGTCTCCTCTCCTGCTCCTTTCCATGGAGCAATGAAGAACCTCAAAGTAGCTAGCTGTGGGGGAGAAGGGACACAGGAAGTCCTGGCCAGCACTCCAGCTCTGCTGTTGATTTGCTGTGTGACGTGGGGACAGTATCTTAGCCTCTCTGTGCTTGGGACCTCCTCTGACTGTCAGGATCACTGCCCTCCCCTCCCAGTGCTATCTGGGGACTGGGCTAGATAATGGGCACTGGATCCGCTGGAGATGCAGTCCTGAGCCTGACCCCAGTGCTCATTTCACATCAGGCTCAGGGTCCTGCCAGGAGGCTGAATGCCAAAGGTCAGTGGGGTGGTGGGGAGGGGGCTGCAGCCTGCCCTGTCCACCAGGGGAGTGGCATCTGGTCTATGGTGTCAGCCCTGGTCTGGATCCCTGCTCCTTTCTGTGGCTTCTATTCCTTTCATTTATTTTAGTTTAGTTTAGTTTTTGAGACGGAGTTTTGTTCTTATTGCCCAGGCTGGAGTGCGGTTGGCCAGGTTGATTTTGAACTCCTGACTTCAGGCAATCCACCTGCCTCAGCCTCCCAAAGTGCTGGGATAACAGGCACCGTGACCAGCCATCAATTCCTTTCTTTTTTCTTTCTTTTTTATTTTTATTTATTTATTTATTTTTTGAGACAGGGTCTCGTTCTGTTGCCAGGGTGGAGTGCAGTGGTGCGACGTCGGCTCACTGCAACCTCTGCCTCCAAGGTTCAAGCAATTTCCCTGCCTCAGCCTCCCAAGCAGCTGGAACTACAGGCGCAGGCCACCAAACCTGGCTAATTTTTTGTATTTTAGCAGAGACGGGGTTTCACCATGTTGGCCAGGATGGTCTTCATCTCCTTACCTTGTAATTTGCCCACCTCAGCCTCCCAAAGTGTTCGGATTACAGGTGTGAGCCACCGCATCTGGCCTTTGTTCTTTTGTAAACTATACCTGGGGAGGGAGTTGAGTCTGGCTGTACCTGGAGAGGGAATTGGGGGTGGGAGGATGGGAGGTGAGCCACCTCCATCAGACTTCCCCTGCCAAGCCCGAGGAAATAGAGAAAGAAAGGAGCCTGAGGGATCTGAAGCACCCCAGGGCCCTCCCACTCCAGTCCCACAAAAGGAAGAGGGTGGAGCCACCCTCATCAAGCAGTGACTTTTTGTGACTTTTGGGAGAGCTGACCTTTTGTGACTTTTGGGAGAGCTGCCAAAAGTGAAACTTAGTGCCTCAGACAAGCAGGGGCAAGTCTGCTAAGGAAGCTGTGGCCAGAAGCACAGATCAGGTACTGCCGCCCACTCTGTCCACTGGGCCCTCTGCTGCCACTTCCTGCCTGGCAGCCCTTCTGTGCCTCAGCCCTGGCCTCCCGCTGCCCCAGCCCCAGCCCTGGGCTCCTTCTCCTCTGGCTCCCCTGCCATCCCCACTCCCACCCAGGCTCTTTGCCCTGCTGTGTGGTCACCCCACTGCTGCTTCTGAACGGGCCGCCTCCCCGGCCTGCACCAGCCCAAGACCCCTGCTGAGACTCTCCCCTAAGAGTCATGGCTGGGCTAGTGCTCCCCACCTTGGGAGGGTGCTCTCTCTGTGTGCTTCCTGCCATTCCTGGGCTCTGGAACTGGGAGAACTGAACTAAAGGATGATGGGAGCAATCTGGAATTTTGTTCACAGTGCTTTGATGAACTTTGTGTAAGATTACTTTGTTTCAATACAAAGTCTTAGGAGAGGGTGTGGGGAGGCAATGATCTCTGAAGCACAAGGCAAATCATCTCTTCCAAGGATGTCTCCACTGTGGGCAGAGGAGGATGCAGATGACCCTGAACACACACTCCTCCTCCATGATCAGTATTCACATTCACCGTTTATAATGACACCAGTAACACGGAATATACGGAAAAACTCAATGATCAGGAGAAATGCTTTTATTTTAAAATTTAGGAAGAAGAGAGCCTGGTTCCCAAAGGCTCCCTCCTGCAGGGCCCGTGATGCAGAGGCTGGCAGGGCTGGCCAGGAAAGTGGCCCAGCTCCATGGCCTGGGCAGGTTACCCCACCTCTCTGCACCTCTGGCCCCTCCTCTGTAAGATGAGAATGGCCCCTGCAGGCCTAGGGCAGCCTCACGTGAGCTCAGATCCTCTCAGCACTTAGAAGAGTGGCCTGGGCCTGGGGATGGAAGTGCTACCCTGATTTTTTGTTTCGTTTTGTTTTTTTGAGAAGGGGTGTCTCAGTCTGTTGCCCAGGCTGGAGCGCAATCTCGGCTCACTACAAGCTCCACCTCCTGGGTTCACGCCATTTTCCTGCCTGGCCAGGCAAAATGGCTCATGCCTGTAATCCCAACACTTTGGGAAGCTGAGAGGGGAGGATCATCACTAAAGGCCAGGAGTTCCAAACCAGCCTGGGCAACACAGGGAGACCCCCTTATCTACTAAAACTAAAAAAATAAAATAAAATAACATGAATAGGTAAAATGCCAGGAATTAATTGAACTGAAATATTAAGAGCTCTTATTTTGAAGGGGAGAATTTTATTCACTTTTCTTATTTTTAATGGGTTAGAGGATGGGTGGCAGAAATACTGGGAGGATGGGAGATCCATCCCTGGAAAGACCAGAGCTAGGGCCCTGAGCTGGGAGAGGTCACCCCGGCCCTGCTGCCCCTGCCAGCATCTCCTTCTCTTCTCCTCTCCCTGGTCTTCCTGCTTGGGAAAGCTGCAGAAATTCTCAGGACTTGGAGGCTTGAAATGCTCAGGGGTTTTCCAGAAAGCAGAATAGAAAGTAGATGGGCAACCATCAATCAGACAGGCCAAAGAAAAGGAGCTCAGGCCCTCGGGGAGACAGGAGGTGAGCGCATGGGTCACAATCCTGGCGGGGCGCGGTGGCTCACGCCTATAATCCCAGCACTTTGGGAGGCCGAGGTGGGTGGATCACCTGAGGTCAAAGGAGTTCAAGACCAGCCTGGCCAACATGGTAAAACTCCATCTCTACAAAAATACAAAAATTAGCCGGGCATGAAGGAGGGCGCTTGTAATTCCAGCTACTTGGGAGGCTGAGGCAGGAGAATTGCTTGAACCCGGGAGAATCACTTGAACCTGGTAGGTGGAGCTTGCAGTGAGCTGAGATTGGACCACTGCACTCCAGCCTGGGCAACAGAGCAAGACTCTCTCTCAAAAACAAAAAAAAAGCAAAATCCAAAATTGAATCCTCTGTAGAATGTAATCACAATTCAGGAGAGCAAAATCTATGTAATTTCTTCAGCCAAAAATGTGTCACAACACTCCCTTGGTGACAACAGCTTTTCTGTTCACTCAACTGTGTTCTGTGCAGACAAACTTGTCAAACACACACCTGAGCAAAGAGCACAGTGCTGGAGGAAGCCCCAGTTTCCACCCCATCACTCCCCAAGGGGAAGGGTTCTGGTATTGGACATGTAGGGGTCGAGAGGCCTGTGGACCTCAAGGAGGGGGTGTCCAACTGCAGCTGGAAAGAGGGATCTGGGACTCAGGCCAGAGGCGTGTGAGCAGCTCAGAGCAGCTCTGAGCCCAGGGGAGCCAGAAAGGCACACCCACAGTTCTCAGGCAGGGGATCCCCACCCAACCCAGGAAGAATAGTGACGAGGTCGGGGCATCCCCATGCAAAGAGCCTCAGCTGTGGGCAGCAGCCGGTGCCCTCCCAGGTGGGAGGATGGGAGATAGCAGACAAGGTGGGAGGGAGCACTCCCCTCCTCCTGTCCTCCTGCCAGCCCTTCCTTCCCCTGCTCCACTGCAGTCCTCCTGGCCAACAACTAAAGGGGAGACCCTCCCTCACCAAGGGGAAGGGCCCAAATGAACAGAAAGGGTTGGGTTTGGCTGGGCGCAGGGGCTCACACCTGTAATCCCAACACTTTGGGAGACCAAGGTGGGTGGATCACCTGAGATCAGGAGTTCGAGACCAGCCTGGCCAACATGGTGAAACCCCGTCTGTACTAAAAATACAAAAATTAGCCAGGCGTGGTGGCAGGCATCTGTAATCCCAGCTACTTGGGAGGCTGAGGCAGGAGAATCGCTTGAACTTGGAAGGCGGAGGTTGCAGTGAGCCAAGATCGGGCCACTGCACTCCAGCCTGGGCGACAGAGCGAGACTCTGTCTCAAAAAACAAAAAAGAGTTGGGTTTGAAAAGTGGCTTGAGCCTGGGGTGACTCAAGAGGACGCTCCCTTCATCTTTGGTTTTCCCCTTTCTGTTGCACAGAAACACGATGGCTCTGTTAACAGCCGAAACATTCCGCTTACAGTTTAACAACAAGCGCCGCCTCAGAAGGCCTTACTACCCGAGGAAGGCCCTCTTGTGTTACCAGCTGACGCCGCAGAATGGCTCCACGCCCACGAGAGGCTACTTTGAAAACAAGGTGCCACACGGGCTCTCTGGGCACAGGGCCGGCAGGGGCTAACCCCATCTGATGTGTGCAGAAAATACATGAAATGCCTGCCTATAAATTTCTCAATTTTTGATGTAACACCCTCTGTGTTTTCGTAACCCTTGGTGCCTGCCTGGGTTTTGGCTTAGCTGGATCTGAGTGGCCCAGTTTCCCTAGGACACTCCCATTCTTTCCCGTCCCCGGACCTCTGAAGAGGCCAACCCTTCTGTAGAATGCTCCTTCTGCCCCTCTCATTTACTCATTCTCCCGATCTCAGCTCAGTCACTACTTCGGGAAAGCCGAGGTGCCGTGCCACGGTCCGAGTGCAACTCCATCACACCCCTGTCCTCTCCGCTCTATTGCCAGCCCCTACCTGCCCTGCCTCCCCGCCTCCCCGCCCCCCGCCCCGGCTCTCACCTGCTCTTTAGGATCATCCCGGGTTGGACACAGCCTCCTAGGCGGGTGTCCAAAGGCAGGGTCCACAGAGCTTCGGGACTGGGGCGTGGAGGTGTTGTCTCCTCCTCTGGACACAGGGATCTTTGTCCAATTTACAGAAAGATGTGGAAGTCCTGGGACAGATGAATTAACACACGGGTGCGTGAGTGCAGGGCTGTATAAACCAGGGAAGGCAGGAAGCGGGTGCTTGCCCTGCACTAGGCCAGGCCACGCACTAGAAAGTTCACCGGACAGACCCCTCTGCCCCCCCATCCCCGCCCCCGTCCCGGCCCCCGCCCCCAGTCACATGACTCCTGGCCTCTCTCTTCTCCCCTCCCTTCTCTCTGTTTGGGACCCTCCCCAGAAAAAGTGCCATGCAGAAATTTGCTTTATTAACGAGATCAAGTCCATGGGACTGGACGAAACGCAGTGCTACCAAGTCACCTGTTACCTCACGTGGAGCCCCTGCTCCTCCTGTGCCTGGGAGCTGGTTGACTTCATCAAGGCTCACGACCATCTGAACCTGGGCATCTTCGCCTCCCGCCTGTACTACCACTGGTGCAAGCCCCAGCAGAAGGGGCTGCGGCTTCTGTGTGGATCCCAGGTCCCGGTGGAGGTCATGGGCTTCCCAGGTAGGAAAGAGGCTTTGCAGTTATAAGAGTGCAAACCCCCGGGGGCACAGGCTTGGCAGGGGCTGGGGGTTGGGGGTTGGGGGTTGGAGGAGGTTGGCGGGGGGCGGGGGCGGGTTGGAGGAGGTTGGCGGGGGGTGGGGGCGGGTTGGAGGAGGTTGGCGGGGGGCGGGGGCGGGTTGGAGGAGGTTGGCAGGGGGTGGGGGGGTGGCGGGGAGCGGGGGGTCTGTGGGAGGCCAGGAAGGAAGGATTGTGGCTCAGTCAAGGCCCAAGATCTGACACCACCCGGGAGGGAGAATTCCCCAGACAGAGCAATGTCCAGGGAGAGGAAGAGAAGAGAGGGGAAAGGAAGCAAGAGCTCCTGGCACTGCAGCTGCTGCCCCTGGGGCCTGGCTGGTTTCCCTCTTCCCTCTCAGAGTTTGCTGACTGCTGGGAAAACTTTGTGGACCACGAGAAACCGCTTTCCTTCAACCCCTATAAGATGTTAGAGGAGCTAGATAAAAACAGTCGAGCCATAAAGCGACGGCTTGAGAGGATAAAGGTGAGGCACTGTCCTGCCTGCTGCCCCCGACCTCCTCACCGCCTGCCGCAGCCCCATACCCAGTCACACCTCTGCCCACTGCCCTTACCCCTACCTTTTTTTCTTTTCTTTTCTTTTCTTTTTTGAGACAGGGTCTCACTCTGTCACCCAGGCAGGAGGGCAGTGGTGTGATCTCGGCTCAGTGCAACCTCTGCCTCCCGGGTTCAAGTGATTCTCCTGCCTCAGCCTCCCGAGTAGCTGGGAGTACAGGCACTCGCCACCATGCCCAGCTAATTTTTGCATTTTTAGTAGAGATGGGGTTTCACCATGTTGCCCAGGCTGGTCTTAGAACTCTTGGCCTCAAGTGACCTGCCTTCCTTGGCCTCCCAAAGTGCTGGGATTACAGGTGTGAGCCACCGTGCCCCGCCCCACTACCTGTTTCTTTTTTGTGTTCTCCTCTCGCACCAGGGGCTCCTTCTTGTTCTTTTAGATTCCAGGGGTACGTGCGCAGGGTCGTTACATGGATATATTGTGTGATGCTGAGGTCTGAGTCACCCAATCTACTGGAACATAGCACCCAATAGGTAGTTTTTCAACCCTGGCCCCCCTCCCACCCTCTCTTCTTTTGGAGTCTCCAGCGTCTATTATTTACATCTTTATGTCCATGTGTACCTCTCACCATATACAAAAATTAACTCGGCCAGGCACAGTGGCTCACGCCTGTAGTCCCAGCACTGGGAGGCCGAGGCAGGTGTATCAAGAGGTCAGGAGTTCGAGACTAGCCTGGCCAACATGGTGAAACCCTGTTTCTGCACCTATAATCCCAGCTACTCAGGAGGCTGAGGCGGGAGAATTGCTTGAACCCAGGAGGTGGGAGGTTGCAGTGAGCCGAGATCATGCCACTGCACTCCAGCCTGGGCAACAAAGCAAGACTCTGTCCCAAAAAAAAAAAAAAAAAAAAAAAAAAAAATTAACTCAACATGTGCTGAGCATGAGGACTCATGCCTGTAATCCCAGCACTTCAGGAGGCCAAGGCGGGTGGATCACTTGAGCCCAGGAGTTCAAAGACCAGCCTGGGCAACATGGCAAATCCCCATCTCTACAAAAAATACAAAAATCAGCCAGGCATGGTGGCATGTGCCCGTGGTCCCAGCCATTCGGGAGGGTGAATGGGAGATTGCATGAGTTCAGGGAGGTGAAGGCTGTAGTGAGCTGAGATCGTGCCACTGCACTCCAGCCTGGGCAACAGAGTGAGGCTTTGCTTAAAAAAATAATAATAACCCAAGATGAATTAAAGACTTAAATGTAAGACCTCAAACTATAAAAATCTTAGAAGAAAACCCGGGAAATATGAAATACTCTACTGGACACTGGTCTATGCAAAGAATTTATGATTAAATTCTGAAAAGCAGATGCAACCAAAACAGAAATTGACAATTGGGATCTAATTAAATGGAGCACAGCAAAAGAAACTATCAACAGAGTAAACAGACAATCTCCCTTTTCTAAGATGCTCTTGTCACCTCCGTGTTTTTCTCCAGGCCTTCTGGGCCCTTCTGGTGCCAGTTCTTTTCTCTTCCTAATGATCTCATCCTCACCTCTCCCTCCCTTCCTCCCTGTGGTGTCCCACCAGTTGGTACCTCCTAACTTCTCTCTTTCCCTCTCAGCAGTCCTGAAGTGTGGATGTTTTAGAGAATGACTTAAGAAGTTTGCAGCTTGGACCCGTATCCCACTCATTATCAAGAAGCAACTCAAGATGACTTTCCCTGGGGCATGTCAGTTGCCTCATAGCCTGCTGGTCCTGTAAGCAAGCACTAAGCTCCACAGTGCCAGTTCCTTGCCCCAACCTGGCCCCATCCAAGTACAGAAGACCTTCCTTTCCTCCTTTTTCCATATTGCTTTCTGTTCTAAGTGGGTGAATAATTTTATAATTGAAAAAATAAAGATAAAGTCTGTAAATCCAGCCGGGTACGGTGGCTCACGCCTGTAATCCTAGCACTTTGGGAGGCTGAGATGCTCGGCCAATAAATTTCTATTGTTTATGAATCACCCAGTCTGTGGTATTTTGTTATAGGACATATGGACTAAGATACTGAGTTAAGGCCAGGTGCGGTGGCTCATGCCTATAATCCCAGCACTTTGAGAGGCCGAGGTGGGTGGATCACCTGAGGTCAGGAGTTTGAGACCAGCCTGACCAACATCGCGAAAACCTGTCTCTACTAAAAATATAAAAAATAGCCAGGCATGGTGGCACGCGCGTGTAATCCCAGCTACTTGGGAGGCTGAGGCAGGAGAATCACTTGAACCTAGGAGGTGGGGGTTGCAGTGAGCCGAGATCACGCCACTGCACTCCAGCCTGGGCAAGAGAATGAGACTCCATCTCAAAAAAAAATAAGAAAAAAGGCCAGGCACGGTGGCTCACCAAAATGCTGTAATACCAGCATTTTGGGAGGCTGAGGCAGGTGGATCACCTGAGGTTGGGAGTTTGAGACCAGCCTGACCAATGTGGAGAAATCCCGTCTCTACTAAAAATACAAAATTAGCCTGGCGTGGTGGCGCATGCCTGTCATCCCAGCTACTCGGGAGGCTGAGGCCGGAGAATCGCTTGAACCTGGGAGATGGAGGTTGCAGTGAGCTGAGATAGCGCCATTGCACTCCAGCCTGGGTAACAAGAGCAAAACTCCATCTCAAAAAAAAAAAAAAAAAAAGAAAAAAGAAAAGTACAAAGGATTTTATTCTACAGCACCAAAAAAATAAAAATAAAAAAACAAACAACAACAACAATGCTCTATTGAAGGAGTCTCTGTTGAGTCTAGAATCGCTGCATTATTTTGTAGTCCAGGTAACCTCTGTCCTTTCTCAGTATCTGTGTTCAAATAAATAAGGTCAAACTCTATGGAGCAGAGGTGCCCACAAAATTGATTGAAAAAAGCAAAAAACAGCCAAGTGCAGTGGCTCACGCCTGTAATCCCAGCACTTTGGGAGGCTGAGGTGGGCAGATCACAAGGTCAGGAGTTCGAGACCAGCATGGCGAACATGGTGAAACCCCGCTCTACTAAAAATACAAAAAAATTAGCCGGGTGTGGTGGTGGACACGTGTAATCCCAGCTCCTCAGGAGGCTGAGGCAGGAGAATTGCTTGAACCTGGGAGGCAGAGGTTGCAGTGAGCTGAGATCACACCACTGCACTCCAGCCTGGGTGACAGAGCGAGACTCTATCTCAAAATAAAATAAAATAAATAAAAATTATAATTATTTATAGTCATTTCCACAGTTAATTGCTTAAGGCTGATGCAGTTTCTGAAAACTTCAGAAGCATGCAAAATCCTAGAATATGGTATCTTTTAAAAGGTTCATAAAAGGACTCTGAAAAGCACCTTTGAATACAGGTTTCTAGTAACTTTAAAATCATATCATGTAAAAATAAATAAATTTTGAAAGATCACATCATAAGTAAGAATTTCCCATGAATTCCACAATTCCCCAAGAATTGGACTGGGTAAGAATTCCTGTTGCTTCAATAAGAAAAGAAAACAACTGACTGGTTTATAAAACTGCTAACACAAGTAAAACAAAAATTCATGAAATACCAAAAAACTTTGCCAGATTATCATGCTAAATCGGCCAATATTAAAATTGTTTAGATATACAATTTGAATGAACTTTATGGTCTAAATCAAATTACCTATGATAACCCATTAGTTATCACTGCTATGCACCTAGATTGGAGAAGCAGCTGGTATTCAAGAGGACATAAGTCCAGTGTTAAGCATGGACTCATGGAGAACCAGGACGGCCGCCTTGTCCTTCCTGAGTCCTAAAAACTTTTGTTATTAAAGGTTCTATATTCCATGACTCATCATGGAAAAGATAAAATAATCCAAATTGAATATGTGGACTTACAAATTGAGGAAATAGTTTATTTTTATTTATTTATTTATTTTTGAGATGGAGTTTCACTCTTGTGGCCCAGGCTGGAGTGCAATGGCGCAATCTCAGCTCACTGCAACCTCCACCCCCCGGGTTCAAGCGATTCTCCTGCCTCAGCCTCCCGAGTACCTGGGATTACAGGTGCCTGACACCACGCTCAGCTAATTTTTGTATTTTTAGTAGAGACGGGGTTTCACCAGGTTGGCCAGGCTGATCTTGAACTCCTGACCTCAGGTGATCCATCTGCCTAGGCCTCCCAAAGTGCTGGGATTACAAGCGTGAGCCACTGCGACCGGCCAAGGAAATAGTTTAAAATCAATGTTTGGTTGCATATTCTTGGGAAGACAATCAAAGCTTCAGGTACATTTGGCTGCGTGATGGGCCATTTAAACATTTATAAAGGGATTTCATTCAATTGTCATTTTCAGTGCTTTTTTTTTGGTTGTATAAAAGCTTTCCCATGCAAGAGGGCTAATGTAGCAGTAGATTATTGTGCTACAGTGTATTTTCACCAGATAAAGAAAGCTTTGTGTGGTTCACTGAGGACAACCCTTTCACAATCCAGAACCCGAAGAATGGATCTTCTGAACATCAGAGAAAGACTGTCCTTGCCATCCACATTGCAGCAAAACTTTGGAACCTTGAACTTTGGGTTCATAATCTCACAACTGAGAAGCGACCCTCCACATTCTTGGAACTGTTCACCCACCAGAACCCTTAAAGTAAAACTAACCAGAGATGTCACTCCCCAGAAGAAGATGGCATCCTTAATGTGAACAGCTTTTCCCAAGATCACAGATCAAGACTTCTCTAGGCTGGGCGTGGGGGCTCACGCCTGTAATCCCAACAATTTGAGGTGGGAGGATCACTTGAGGTCAGGAGTTCGAGACCAGCCTGGCCAACATGGTGAAACCTCTTCTCTACTAACAGTATAAAAAATTAGCCAGGCATGGTGGTGGTGCAAGCCTGTAATCCCAGCTACTCAGAAGGCTGAGGCAGGAGAATTGCTTGAGTCTGGGAGGCGGAGGTTGCAGTGAACCGAGATCGCGCCACTGCACTCCAGCCTGGGCAACAGAGTGAGACTCCATCTCAAAAAAATAAAAAAAGGTTTTTCTATTATCGTGAGACTCTTATCCTTGAATATTTTTTCTTATTTATGCCTCTATGAACAATAGAAGTGGAAAAGGGGTCTATTATGTGCACTTATGGGGTATACTTTTATTTGTAAAGGAGTTTGCAGCCAGCCTTATATATGAATAACCTTATACTTTAATAGATAAAAGATAAAGGCCCAGTGTAGGTGAAAAACTTTAATGGTACATATGTTGCCTCATAATAAGTCAGAAACAGAACATTCATTCATGTCTCTTAACCCACATCACGAGTTAAAGAAAACACTGCCTTTACTCTTCTAGAAGGACATCATTTGTTAGGTCCTTTTTCCATAGTTTAGAATAAAAGTGGCAATACTTAGTATGTATCCCTCACAATAGACTCTATAGCAGATTCTACTTTTTTTTGGGTGGGGGGGGTAACAGAGTCTCCCTCTGTCACCCAGGCTGGAGTGCAGTGACACGATCTCGGCTCACTGCAACCTCTGCCTCCTGGATTCAAGCAATTCTCCTGCCTCAGCCTCCTATGTAGCTGGAATCACAGGCGCCCACCACCATGCCCAGCTAATTTCTGTATTTTTAGTAGAGATGGGGTTTCACCTTGTTGGCCAAGCTGGTCTCGAACTCCTGACCTCAAGTGATCCGCCCGCCTCGGCCTCCCAAAGTGCTGGGATTACAGCATGAGCCACCACAGCTGACCCTTTTTTTGTTTGTTTTTAAGATGGAGTCTCGCTCTGTCACCCAGGCTGGAGTGCAGTGGCGTGACCTTGGCTCGCTAGAACCTCCGCCTCCCGGGTTCAAGCGATTCTCCTGCCTCAGCCTCCCCAGTAGCTGGGATTACAGGCACGTGCCACCATGCCCAGCTAGTATTTGTATTTTTAGTAGAGACAGGGTTTCACCATGTTGGCCAGGCTGTTCTCAAACTCCCGACCTCAAGTGATCCTCCCGCCTCGGCCTCCCAAAGTGCTGGGATTACAGGAATGAGCCACCATGCCCGGCCAGCAGAGTCTACTTTAAAGGGTAGCATTATACAGCAGACTTTAAATTCTCTTGTGAAAGTTATGCTGAACAATAGAATTCACGAAACAGAAAAGTACCTGGGCTGCTGTTGACACTTGTGGCCTGTGGAGAAATACATCAAATGTAGGTTACACAAATTCAGTTGTAGTAGATTAATGAAAAGACTACTTAGTCAAGATGAAGAGTAGACTCTTCATCCAGCTCATTTTCTATTTAATTTTAAGGTTTGGTGTATGGGGACCCTGGGTACTCCAAATTCTTGGTGTTATCCTCCCGATAGTCATAATAGTCTCCCTGATGTGCTGTATTCTCTCAAAGGTTTTTAATGTTTGTACACAGCCAGCTCTAAAACATCAAATGGTCTCTCTTCAACTGGAATGACAAAAGCTAAAAGAAATGTGTGACCATGAGGTCACCATGACCTATGAATGACATGCTGAGACCCACAACCCAAAATGATAACAGAGTGGTGATAAGGCCCTAAGTTTTGGTCACACTCTCACTTAAGTGAGAACCTGGCCAAAAAGGGGGAATTTTTAAAACAAAATTAAGGACGGCCATTATTTTGGACTGAGCTCATACACTAGGCCTCAACAGACCAAACCAAACAAAATGGAGTCACTCGTGCTAAATGTGACATAATCAAACTAAGACTTTAACGAAACATAGATCCTAGAACACACCAGGTTTTGTTTTTCTCCTGTAAACAGAACATCCCAGCATAAAGGGGTACCGTCTACTCAGTTCTTGTTCCCTCCTCACAAAACCTACTGTTCTACTGTTTCCCAGTGGGTTTCAAGACCAAATAAGCACATTTATGATGGTAACAGTGACATCAATGACTAATGTTTTCATCAGTCTCTCAAATTGAGAAAATTATCAAAAGGGGGAAACTGGCCAGGAGTGGTGCCTTACACCTGTAATCTCAGCACTTTGCGAGGCTGAGCAGGCAGATCATGAGGTCAGGAGATCAAGACCATCCTGACTAACACGGTGAAACCCCTTCTCTACTAAAAATACAAAAAGTTAGCTGGGCCTGGTGGTACGCACCTGTAGTCCCAGCTACTCGGGAGGCTGAGGCAGGAGAATCACTTGAACCCAGGAGGCGGAGGTTGCAGTGAGCTGAGATCGCACTGTTACATTCCAGCCTGGGCGACAGAGTGAGACTCCATCTCAAAAAAAAAAAGAAAAAAAAAGAGGAGGGGGATTGTTATAGCAAACTAAATATGGCCTGAGAAGGACTCCATACTTCTATATTTGAGTCCTTGTGGATGAACTGTAACCTAGCTTAACAGTCAGACAACATTTAAAACCTCATTTAGGAGTATGCACCTGTAACAATAACTGAGGCTGGGCCAATCCTAGCAGCCATACTTCAATCACTCATAGACTGCTGTGTTCAAACTGTGTTCAAATAAAGTAAACGCTAACCTGTAAGCAATCCGTCTGTTTCTGTACCTCGCTGCCGATTTCTGTATGTCATTTCCCCTTTTCTGTCTATAAATCTTTTTCCACCACGTATCTGCACTCAGTCTCTGTGAATCTGCTGTGATTCTGTGGGCTGACCGATTCGCAAATTGTTCATTGTCCAATTAAACTCCTTTAAATTTGGGCCAGGCACCTGTAATCCCAGCACTTCGGGAGGCCGAGGTGGGCAGATCACCTGAGGTCAGGAGTTCGAGACCAGCATGGCCAACGTGGCGAAACCCCATCTCCACTAAAAATACAAAAATTGGCAGGGCATGGTGGCAGGCGCCTGTAATCCCAGCTACTAGGGGGGCTGAGGCAGGAGAATCGCTTGAACCCAGAAGGTAGAGGTTGCAGTGAGCCGAGATTGACCCATTGCACTCCAGCATGGGGGATGGAGTGAGACTCAGTCTCTAAAAAAAATAAAAATTAAAATTAAAAAACTCTTTTAAATTTAATTCAGCTGAAGTTTTTCTTTTATCTGTACCGAGCTTAATACCTGGGTGATGAATTAATCTGTACAAAAACCCCCATGTCACAAGTTCATTGTCGATAAAAAGAGTAAAACTCTGTAAAATATTTGAAGAGATTTATTCTGAGCATAATATGAGTGACCATGGCCCATGACACAGCCCTCAGGAGGTCCTGAGAACATGCGCCCAGAGTGGTCAGGGCGCAGATTGGTTTTATGCATTTCGGGAAGGAATGAGACATCAATCAAATACATTTGAGAAATACATTGGGCTGGACGCGGTGGCTCACGCCTGTAATCCCAGCACTCTGGAGGGCTGAGGCGGGTGGATCACAAGGTCAGGAGATCGAGATGATCCTGGCTAACACAGTGAAACCCTGTCTCTACTAACAATATAAAAAATTAGCCGGGCATGGTGGCGGGCGCCTGTAGTCTCAGCTACTTGGGAGGCTGAGGCAGGAGAATGGCGTGAACCCGGGAGGCAGAGCTTGCAGTGAGCCGAGATCGTGCCACTGCACTCCAGCCTGGGTGACAGACCAAGACCCCGTCTCAAAAGAAAGAAAGAAAGAAAGAAAGAAATACATTAGATTGGTCCAGAAAGGCGGGACAACTCAAAGGTAGGAGGGCTTCCAGGCTATGATAAATTTAAACATTTTCTGGTGAAGCAGGGGTTAAAAGAGAAAAACAAGTTTCCTCTTGCTAGGCTGACCCACTCCAAGACCTGGTGATAGGCAGCAGAGCTCTGGCAAAGATTTGATAACTATCTGCAAAACCAGAGCCCTCAAAGGATGTGCTCCAGAGCCCCCTCCCCTCCCAGTTATGGGCAAGGACGAGAAAACAGGTTCTTCTCCTATCCCAGCTCCCCACTCCCCTCTTAGTAACCCTTCCTTAGTGAAACTCAAGGTTACTTTACAAAGTTTTACGGATTCCTGTTTCTCCTCTGTGTAACATAACAAGGTCATCAGACATGCTCAGGTAAGACATGTACCAGCTGTAAATCCTGCCTTAGTTTGGTAAGTTCCTGTTTTTTCCTCAGGTTGCAAAACCTGTCACTGTATGATTAACTGCCTTTGTTCTGCCTCTGTAAGTCCGCTTGCCTGCCTTGTAAGCTTTGTGCAACTAGATGGCCAACCCCCTCAGTTGTATGTATAAAAGTCAAGCCCCGTCTTTGTTCAGGGCTCAGCCTTTCGGATGCGAATCTGCTGAGCCGGTGCACACTTTAATAAAATCCTCCTGTTTCACCCATTTGGTCTCTTTGGTCCTTTGATTCCTACAACACTAGTTGACGATTTGCTTGTGATACCCTACCTTGTTTAACCTGAGTAACTCTCTCCTAGCAGAGAGAGAGCCGGACAGACTCCATTTTAGTTTCTTCACTTGCAGCCTCCCTTAAGGCATAACTAGTGTAAACCGACTCACAGCACGTCCAGGAATGCACCTACTGAGAAGATACTGAGGCAAGCTGCACTAGCAGCTCCTGGGGACGCGCGTGGTGGATGGCACCCAAAACCCCTGCATTTATCTCTTCGTGATAGTTTAGGCCCCTGCACCTGGAACTGTTTATTTTTTGTAACTGCATTTGTAACCAATTAATTTTTTTAACTTTTTGCCAGTTCTGCTTCTGTAACAATTGCCTCAGCTAAACTTCCCCCTCCCCTATTTAGACCATGGTATAAAAACAAAACTAGCCCCTTCCTCAGGGCTGAAAGAATTTTGAGCATTAGCTGCCTCTCGGTCGCCGGCTAATAAAGGACTCCTTAATTTGTCTCAAAGTGTGGCATTTCTCTATAACTCGCTTGGTTACAGCAGCTGAGCTGTCTAAAGACCTGGGATCACTAGGATCATAGAAAAGAAATGTTCAGGTTAAAACATTGTGGAGACCAGCCAGGTGCAGTGGCTCACGCCTGTAATCCCAGCACTTTGGGAGGCTGAGGCAGGTGGATCACCTGAGGTCAGGAGTTTGAGACCACCCTGGCCAACATAGTGAAATCCCGTCTCTATTAAAAATACAAAAATTAGCCAGGTGTGATGGTAGGTGCCTGTAATCCCCCACTCCAAAGGAAAAAAAAAAGACTGCAGAGACCAAGGTTCTTTTGAAGTCTTATAGTGGCTGCCTTTAGAGATAATAGATGACAAATGTTTCCTATTCAGATTTTTTTTTGAGATGGAGTCTCGCACTGTCGCCAGGCTGGAGTGCAATGGTATGATCTCGGCTTACTGCAACCTCCGCCTCCTGGGTACAAGCAATTCTCCTGCCTCTCAGCCTCCCGAGTAGCTGGGATTACAGGCACCCACCACCATGCCCGGCTAATTTTTTGTATTTTTAGTAGAGACGGGATTTCTTTATGTGGGCCAAGCCGGTCTCAAACTCCTGACTTCGTGATCCACCCACCTCGGCCTCCCAAAGTGCTGGGATTACAGGTGTGAGCCACCACGCCTGGCCCTATTCAGATTTTTTAAAGGTGCTAGACTCCTAGTTAATCTGTTTAGGATTGGGAGGGCCTGGATCTAGCTACATTAATAGAGATTCTTTACAGTTGCAAATTTTCCCCCACAAAGGACAGCTTTGCAGGGCCATTTCAAGATATGGCAAAGAAACATGTTTTAAGATAAAATATTTTTATTTTCTTCCTTGTCTCGTAATGCTATGCCAGAGTCAGGTTGGAAAGTGAGTCACGATATGTAGGGTTAAATAAAACCCATCTAGTGAGAATTTATGATTTGTAGGGCATGACTCCTCAGATCCCTTAGATAGGAATTTGAGCAAAACAAAAAAATCACAGTGTAGTCCTCATCACCCATGTAACAAACCATTCGTTGTCCCCCTGTACCTATAATCAAAGTTTAAAAAATAAAGTATTTTTGAAAAGAAAATGCAGTATATACAAACAGTAGAATATTAGGAGATTCTATCATGTGCTACAAAGTAGGTGGTATGTACACATAGTAGAATATTATTCAGCCTTGAAAAAGGAGATTCTGTCATACCTATAATATGTTTATAATAAAAGTTTTAAAATATACCCCTGTACCTATAATAAAAGTTTAAAAAATAAAATAAAGTGTTTTTTGTTTTGTTTTTGTTTTTGTTGTTTTGAGATGGAGTCCCGCTCTGTCGCCCAGGCTGGAGTACAGTGGCACGATCTCGGCTCACTGCAACCTACGCCTCCTGGGTTCAAGTGATTCTCCTGCCTCAGCCTCCCGAGTAGCTTGGACTACAGGCACTTGCCACCACGCCTGGCTAATTTTTTGTATTTTTAGTAGAGACGGGGTTTCACCATGTTAGCCAGGATAGTCTCAATCTCCTGACCTCGTGATCCGCCCGCCTCGGCCTCCCAAAGTGCTGGGATTACAGGCATGAGCCACCACGCCCGGCCAAATAAAGTAGAAATAAAGCCAAATAAAAAAGAAAATGTGGTATATACAAACAGTAGAATATTAGAAGATTCTGTCATATGCTACAAAGTAGGTGGTATATACACATAGTAGAATATTATTCAGCCTTGAAAAAGGAGATTCTGTCATGCACTACAAAATAGGTAAACCTGGAGGACACTATAGCAGGTGAAATAAGCCAGTCACAAAAAGACTAATACTGCATGATCCCACCTCCTTGAGATATCTACAACAGTCAAACTCAAGGAAACAGAATGTAGAACAAGGGCTATCTGGGGCTAGGGGAGGGGGAAACTGAGAGTTGTCATTCAATGAGTATAGAGTTTCAGTTTTGCAAGATGAAAAAGCTCCAGAGATCTGTCACCAAACAATGTAAGTATAGTTAACAACACTGGGCCAGATGAGGTGGCTCATGCCTGTAATCCCAGCCTCCCTGAGGAGGGCGAATCGCTTGAGCTCAGGAGTTCAAGACAAGCCTGGGCAACATGGTGAAACTTGTCTCTACCAAAAATAGAAAAAAAAAAAAAAAAAAAGCCGGGCATGGTGGCGCATGCCTGTCATCTGAGCTACATGGGAAGCTGAAGTGGAAGGATTGGTGGACCTAGGAGGTGGAGGTTGCATTGAGCCGAGATCGCACCACTGCATGACACAGTGAGACCCTATCTTCAAAAAAAAAAAAAAAAAACCCACTGAACTGTACACTTAAAAATGGTTAAGAAGCCAGATGTAGTGGCTCACACCTATATTCCCAGCACTTCCCAGAATTTATGGTTTGTAGTGTAATGCCTAACTTTGTTTTTTACTAACCTTATTTTAACCTTGTTTTTACTAACCCTATTTTTAAATGTTCCCTTTTTGTCTCCTTAATTACCTAGCCTTGTTTCCCATATGAATAGACTCTCCCTTAGCGGGGAAAGCCGACGAACTCCATCTGGCCCCTTGATTTACAAGACGTTAAGGGCTCCTTACCCGACCCCCTTCGTCAAGGAGTTAACCTGTGTAAGCTGATCCTCAGCATTTCAAAGGAGCTCAATGAACTGATAAGGTACTAGAACAAACAATGTATGAAGTTCCCAGGATTTTGCTCAAAAAGATAACAACATAAAGCCTTGAGTCTGTGTCCGGCATAGCATCCATATCTAACTCTTATGAAGGATTTAGAGCCCCGCACCTGGTTCCGTTGCTTTTTTTGTAACCATTTGTCTTTTAAATTGTTTATTTCTCTGTAACCATTTGTTTTTTGATTCTTGCGTGTTTTTACTTCTGTAGAATTATTGCATTTGAGCTCCCCTCCCCTTCCTAAACCAAGCTATAAAAGTAAATCAAGCCCCTTCCTCGGGGCCGAGAGAATTTTGAGCGTTAGCTGTCTCTTTGGCCACCGGCTTAAATAAAGGACTCTTAATTCGTCTCAAAGTGTGGCGTTTTCTCTAACTCGCTCGGGTATAACAGTAGGGCATGACTCTTCAGACCCCTTAGATAGGAATTTGCACAAGCTGAAAAGATCAGAGCTTAGCCCACACAAAGTAGATGAATAGGAGAAAAGGCATACTAATTTATTAACATGTCCATGAGAGAGAATGACAGAGGGAGCACTCCAACCCCACAAAGAGCTGTAGCAGTTCATATACCATCTTGAGGTTACAGAAAGATTTGGGGCTTGGATCCTGGCAAAACAGGCTATGGGAAAGGGAGAAGAGGAGGCCTGGCTGGCAAAGGTGGTCTTGTTATGTAGATGAAACCTCACAGATAGCAGTCCTCGGAGGAAAAAGATGGTAAATGTTTCTTTCAGAGTTTTAGGGTGTCAGAATCTCAGTTCCTCTTTCCTAGATCTGGACAAGGGAGGGCCTGGGAGAAAACCAGGCTGCAGCAATGCAGATTTTCTACAGATGCAAATCTCCCCCACAAAAGACCGCTTTTGCCGGGCGCGGTGGCTCAAGCCTATCTGTAATCCCAGCACTTTGAGAGGCCGAGGTGGGCGGATCACCTGGGGTTAGGAGTTCAAGACCAGCCTGGTCAACACGGGGAAACTCCATCTCTACCAAAAATAGAAAAAAAAAAAATTAGCTGGGTGTGGTGGTGTGTGCCTGTAATCCCAGCTACTCATGAGGCTGAGGCAGGAGAATCGCTCGAATCCAGAAGGCGGAGGTTGCAGTGAGCAGATATCATGCCACTGCATTCCAGCCTGGAGGACAGAATGAAACTCAGTCTCAAAATAATAATAATAATAGAAGACCGCTTTGCAGGGCTGCTTCTGTTTGCAGGAGCAGCCATCTCAAAATATATCAGAGAAGGATATTTTGATTACCTTTACTAGCCTTTCAGGTCTCAGAAGCAGATAGATGATGATGGATAGATGGATGGATAGATGAATGGATGGATGGATAGATAGATAGGTAGATATGAGGACTAAGCTCTGCTTTTTTTTTTTTTTTAATCTTGCCCAAATTCCTATCTAAGGGGTCTGGGGAGTCATGCCCTATAAACCATAAATTCTCATCAGATGAGTTTTATTTAACCCTCTGTTTCATGACTTACTTTCCAATATGATCGCTGAAGGGGTTCACCTTGCCCACTGCCTAGACAGAGCTGATTTATATCAAGACACAGCAATTGCAATAGAGAAAGAGTAATTCACGCAGAGCAGGCTGTGCAGGAGACTGGAATTTTATTATTACTCAAATCAGTCTCACGGAAAACTTGGGGATCAGAGGTGGTTTTTTGTTTTTTGGTTTTTGGTTTTTTCTAGAAGGAGACTTGCTGTCATCCAGACTGGAGTGTTACCGGTGGTGACAGTCTAGCACCTTTTAAAGGTCTGATAGGAAACATTTGTCATCTCTTGTCTCTAAGGGCAGCCACTATGAGACTTCAAAAGAGACTTGGTCTTCACAGTCTTTTATTTTATTTTATTTTATTTATTTTTGAGACACAGTCTAGTTTTGTCACCCAGGCTAGAGTGCAGTGGACCTCTGCTCACTGCAACCTCCCGCCTCCTGGGTTTGAGAGATTCTCCTGCCTCAGCCTCCCGAGTGGCTGGGATTACAGGCGTGCCACCATGCCTGGCTGATTTTTATATTTTTAGTAGAGATGGGGTTTCGCTGTATTGGTCAGGCTGGTCTCAAACTCCTGACCTCAGGTGATCCATCCGCCTCGGCCTCCCAAAGTGCTAGGATTACAGGTGTGAGCCACTGTGCCCAGCCACAATCTTTTATCTTAACCTCAACATTTTCTTTCTGTTGATCCCAGGTCTTTAGACAAACTAAACCGACTGTCAAGCAGAAAATGTTTAAATTTACCTATAGCCTGGAAGCCCCCTGACTTCGAATTGTCCTGCCTTTCTGGACCAAACCAATATATGTCTCGAATGTATTTGATTGATGTCTCATGCCTTCTTAAATATATATAAAACCAAGTTGCACCCCAGCCACCTTGGGCACATGTTCTCAGGACCTCCTGAAGGCTGTGTCATGGGCCATGCTTACTCATATTTGGCTCAGAATAAATCTATTCAAATATTTTATAGAGTTTGACTCTTTTCGTTGACAGATAGACAGACAGATACTGGCATAGGAATAGACAGGCAAATCTAAGACTTTTAATCTCTCTCTTTTTTTTTTTTTTTTTTTGAGATAGCATCTCACTCTGTCACCCAGGCTAGAGTGCAGTGGCGCGATCTCGGCTCACTGCAACCTCCGCCTCCCGGATTCAAGTGATTCTCCTGCCTCAGCCTCCCGAGTAGCTGGGATTACATGCGCTCGCCACCATGCCCAGCTAATTTTTGTATTTTTAGTAGAAACGGGGTTTCACCATGTTGGCCAGGCTGGTCTAGAACTCCTGACTTGAGGTGATCTACCTGCCTCAGCCTCCCACAGTGCTGGGATTACAGACGTGAGCCATCATGCCCGGCCTTGATCTCTTAATTAAAACATCAATTTGCTGGAATAACAGGATGTATTTTTCTTTTATCATGCAGGACGGAGATGAGTAAAATCTCAGTAATCCTCTTCAGGGTTGACACAGCCCCCTTTTTTAAGTATTTAAGTGCTTAAGGAATATACAAAGATGTTGATTACAACATTATTACCAGGAAATATGGCTATCAATTAGAACCGAAGGCTTCTTCTCAAAGGTTAAGACTATTTTCATATTGAGGTAGTTCAGCAGGGCTGGTTTCACAAGTTACAGATCACAAGGACCCCCTGATAAAACAGGATGCGGTAAAGAGGCCCGGACCAAACCTGCCAAAACCTCTGATCATCCTCACCGCTCATTATATGCTAATTAAAATTAATTCTTGTGCTAAAAGACGCTACCGCTACCACCAGTGACTTGACAGTTTTACAAATGCCATGGCAACATCTATACATTACCCTGTATGGTCCGAAACGGGAAAGAGTCCTCAGTTCGGGGAATCCCCCACCCGCTGCCCAGAAAATTCATGAGTAATTGAATGAATAACTGTTGATAACCTTCAAGTCATGTTCAACAGTAAGCAGGCTTCCAAAGCAATCCACCTTGGGAGCTGTAACCCAGCCTATGCTATAACAACCATAAGATGTTGGTTACTTATTTTCTTCTCTGTTCTTTTCTTCCTCCACATGTGGTCATTGAAGTAGAGGGTGTTCACCAATTCACTAGTAATTGATTAACGTCACATTCTGCCCCCTGGAGGCTGCCTGCAAGATTCATGAACTTGTTTTGCTTCTGAAGAATGAAGATCCTGAGGTCATGCGACCTCCTTGGCGATGTCCAGAAGTTTGATTGACGAAGGGACGCAAACAGCTTTGATCATGGGGGAATCTCACCTCCCGCCCTACCCACCTTACAAAGGAAGGTCAGATTCGAGAGTTTGGGTCTCCCATCCTCAGGCCGTGGCCAAATTGAATAAACCTTTCTCTGCTCCTAAGCGCCCACATGTCAGTGCTTGGCTTACAGCGTGTCAGGTACTCAAACCTACCCTTTGGGGTTCTGCAACAGTCTTTTGACTCGATGGTAACATTGCGTCTCCAACTAAAGAATCTTATCATAAATTTCTCAAATGATTGATGTACTGATCAGTGTGTAACCTGCAGACACTAAATAGGACACTGATTTCTTTTAAGGTGAGCTGAAGTCTGAAGTTCGACTGATTGTCTTGTGTGTAGGCATTCTTATCCTGTATGATGTCATCTGTACCCCATGATGGTGATGGTAACCTCTGTGTTGTACCCTCTAAGGAAAGGAGTCCCCCTCCATTGTTTTTTGTTGTTGTTGTTGTTGTTTTTGAGATATATTTTTGCTCATGACACCCAGGCTGTGGTACTGTGGCACAATCTCGGCTCACCGCAACCTCCACCTCCTGGGTTCAAGCGATTTTCCTGCCTCAGCCTCCCAAGTAGCTGGGATTACAGGCATGCACCACCATGCCTGGCTAATTTTTTTTTTTTTTTTTTTGTATTTTTAGTAGCGACAGGGTTTCACCATGTTGGTCAAGTTGGTCTCAAACTCCTGACCTCAGGTGATCCACCCACCTCGGCCTCCCAAATTGTTGGGATTACAGGCATGAGCCACTGCGCCCAGCTCCCCCTTCCTTCTTTTAAACTTTCCTAAAAAAAACCTTGTGACAGACTCTGAAATACCCCCAACCTTGTTGGTGTGTCTTCCTGGGTCGATCATCACATTTGGCTTCCAATAAACCTTTATCAAATTATTTCTGCCTCAATAGCCTTAATTTCGGTGGACACTCTGGACTGCTTAATAAATGGTGCTGGCACAACTGGCTATCCATCTGGAAGAAAATTGAGTCCTTTTTCATACCATATGCAAAAATAAATTCCAGATGGCTCAGAGCTTCAATGTAAAAAATTAAAATCTTAGAAAAAAATCCAGAAGACATGTACAAAACAGAAATTAGGAAAATCCTTATAATTAAAAGAGAGAATCCAGAGACCTTCAACAAAAATATAGATCTATTTGATTACATAAAATCTAAAATGTCTGTATGGGAAAAGATACAAATAGACAACTAGGCCAGGCATGGTGGCTCACACCTGTAATCCTAACACTTTAGGAAGCCAAGGCAGGCGGATCGCTTGAGGTCAGGAGTTTCAGACCAGCCTGGTCAACATGGTGATACCCCATCTCTACTAAAAATACAAAAATTAGCCAGGTGTGGTGGCGTGTGCCTGTAATCCCAGCTACTCGGGAAGCTGAAGCAGGAGAATCACTTGAACCCGGGAGGCAGAGGTTGCAATGAGCCAAGACTATCCCACTACACTCCAGCTTGGGCAACTCTGTCTCAAAAAAAAAAAAAAAAAATCTGCATGTGACTTTTTTTTTTTTTAAATAGTTAGGGTCTCACTATGTTGGCCAGGCTGGTCTAGAACTCCTGGGCTCAAATAATCCTCCTGCCTCGCCCTCCCAAAGATGTGGGATTACAGGCATAAGCCACCATGCCTGGCCTTTTTTCTTTTCTTTCTTTCTTTCTTTCTTTCTTTTTTTTTTTTTTTGAGAAGGAATTTCACTCTTGTTGCCCAGGTTGAAGTGCAATGGTGCGATCTCTGCTCACCACAACCTCTGCCTCCTGGGTTCAAGCGATTCTCCTGCCTCAGCCTCCTGAGTATCTGGGATTACAGGCATGCGCCACCAAGCCCGGCTAATTTTGTATTTTTAGCAGAGACGGGGTTTCTCCATGTTGGTCAGGCTGGTCTCAAACTCCTGACCTCAGGTGATCCACTCACCTCGCCTTCCCAAAGTGCTGGGATTACAGGCATGAGCCACCGCGCCCGGCCCTTTCTTCTTTTTTTTTTAATGGGAGAAGGAGCCAATGCAATGGCTACTCTTTATTGGAAAGAAGAAACTTTGCAGCACATTTTGGGTAACTTGGTGCAGGTGCTCAGTACGTCAGCTGGCGGGGCACCAGCTTGTAATGGGTTCCATAGCTGGGGCATCACTGGGTCTCGCCTTTGTGCAGCCCAAAGCAGGTGATGGTACTGTTGTCCTCTACGCAGATGCAGCCCACTCTTCTCTTGTTGGTGATGGAGAGGACTAAATTAGGGTCTTCTTTGGTGCCTGAAGCTGCCTTTAGGGGTAGTATATTATATGGGTCCGGTCCCTTCCTTGCAGCCATGATGACCTCCCTCTCCAACGCAGTTGCCTGCTTGTCATCAGTAGTGCGATGCTGTTTGCAGGGTAAATAAATTGGAAATAAAGTGAATTCCCACTGGTGGATGAATGTGTAATTTATGGTACATTCACACCATTGACTAGTATGCAGCCAAAATTTCTACAAGAAATTATTGAGAAAAGGGACAGAATGATGTGTATAATCATGTGTGATGGTTAATACTAAGAGTCAACTTGATGGGATTGAAGGATGTAAAGTACTGATCCTGGGTGTGTCTGTAAGGGTGCTGCCAAAGGAGATTAACATTTGAGTCAGTGGGCTGGGAAAGGCAGACCCACCTTTAATCTGGGTGGGCACCATTTAATCAGCTGCCAGTGAGGCCAGAATATAAAGCAGGCAGAATAACGTGAAAAGTCCAGACTGGCTTAGCCTCTTAGCCTACATCTTTCTCTCATGCTGGATGCTTCCTGCCCTCGAACATCAGACTCCAAGTTCTTCAGCTTTGGGACTTGGACTGGCTTTCTTACTCTTTAGCTTGCAGATGGACTATTGTGGGACCTTGTGATTGTGTGAGTTAATACTCCTTAATAAACTCCCCTTTAGATAGATAGATAGATAGATAGATAGATAGATAGATCTTATTAGATAGATAGATAGATCGACAGATAGATAGATAGATCCTATTAGTTCTGGCCCTCTAGAGAATCCTAATACATCACGTGATGTTGTTTTTATAAAACAATGAAAAAACCTACATATGCTCATGCACAAGTACCTATGTTCCTTTGAAATTCTATGATCATGGAGAATATTTCTTGTATTCCAAGATCATTTACATGAGTTATCTGAAGAGCCGTGTGAAGTGGGAGAGAAGAAACAAGGGATGTGGGGAGCAGGGAGCAGTAAACCAAAAAGAAGGCCGGGCAAGGTGGCTCACATGTATAATCCCAGCACTTTGGGAGGCTGAGGCGGGTGGAGGTCAGGAGTTTGAGACCAGTCTGGCCAAGATGGTGAAACCCTATCTCTACTAAAAATACAAAAATTAGCCGGGTGTGGTGGTGCACGCCTGTAATCCCAGCTACTCAGGAGGCTGAGGCAGGAGAATTGCTTGAACCCGGGTGGTGGAGGTTGCAGTGAGCCAAGATGGCACCACTGCACTCCAGCCTGGGTGACAGAGTGAGACTCCGTCTCAAAAAAAAGAAAAGAAAGAAAGAAAGGAAGAAAGAAAAAAGCCAAAATGAAATAAACTGCATTCAAAAAAAGAAATTATACACAATATATTTTCATTTGTTCATTTAAGTGAGAGAGAGAAAGAGATTGTGTGTGTGTGTGTGTGCGTGTGTGTAATATAGAGAAATTCTTAGTGGTCAGTAAAACAACAACATATTTAGGTAGGATGATGTAAAAAGTCAAGTCAGAGGTATTTATATACTTAGAAATGCTTTTCTGCTCTGCCACCAAAAATAATAATAACTAAGAAGAAGAATCAATTTTAGGCTGGGCACAGTGGCTCACGCCTGTAATCCCAGCACTTTGGGAGGTAGAGGTTGGAGGATCGCTTGAGGCCAGGAGTTTGAGACCAGCCTGAGCAACATGGAGAGACCGCAGCTCTATTTTGTAAAAGTTAAAAATAAATAAATAAATATAAAGAATAAATTTCAGGGGCCCTCTAGTGGCTGCACATCATTTTCCTCCACTCTGACAGGTACCCCAGTAGCACCTCTATGACAAAAAGAAACTTAGTCCCGGATGCCACAAATAAACATTGTTATCATGATTTAAAGAGACACGGCCTGACGATGAAAGGTCTCCGTTTAAATCTCCTTGGTTTGTGCAACTCTGTAAAGAATCAATCATTAGATTGCTCAGATCCCGCCATCTCGATCAATCTGAAATACTGTATTTGTGTGTGTCTGGCCTGCTAGTTAAGATGTCTGGAGTGTTCAAAAGAATCAGTCTAGATTTATAATACTAGATTTATAATTAATCAAATTAATAATGTTTAAATGCTTAAGGAAAATTGATTTTCAGAGTTATATTACTTGAATAAATTGAGCAATAAAGTACCAATGTTAATGAGTATTCCTCTCCATACACAAAAATATCTTGAATAAAGCAACTATTAAAAAATCTGTTTTATTACTTAAAATTTTTTTTTTTTTTTTGAGACGGAGTCTCACTCTGTCGCCCAGGCTGGAGTGCAGTGGCGCCATCTCGGCTCACTGCAAGCTCGGCCTCCCGGGTTCACACCATTCTCCTGCCTCAGCCTCCTGAGTAGCTGGGACTATAGGCACCCGCCACCACGCCTGGCTAATTTTTTGTATTTTTAGTAGAGACAGGGTTTCACCGTGTTAGCCAGGATTGGTCTTGATCTCCTGACCTCGTGATCCGCCCACCTCGGCCTCCCAAAGTGCTGGGCTAACAGGCGTGAGCCACAGCGCCCGGCCATTTTTACTTAAAATTAAGATCACCTGCAAGTAACTGAAGCCTCAAAGCCAGAGGCCAAAACCAGACAGAAGCAGGCCTTCTGAGGATGGCCATGCATTTGTTCACCTTACAACCCCAGGTGAACCGGACATGCACAGTGTCAGCTGGATGATCAGACAGACAGGGGAAAAGTGAGCCCCCAAATGGACAGGTGAGAGGCATAGGCTCTTCCTCTCTGGCAAAGTGCTCTCCCTCCAGCAAGGCAGGGACGATGGCCTGCACTCCCGCTGGCCTGACTGCCCTGGCCTGGCCATCAACCGGAACCTGGCCCTCCTTCTCCAGAGGAGACCTCCCCGCATCCCCCCAGCCACATGGCTTCCTTGAAAGATTCCCACCCCCTGTCTGTGGTGGGCAGGGACCCAAATCCCACCACACCCTCCCAAAGTCAGAATGGACCCGGTGAGGCCAGGCGAGATGGCTCACACCTGTAATCCCAGCACTTGGGAGGCTGAAGCGGGCAGATCGCTTGAGCTCAGGAGTTTGAGACCAGCCCGGGCAACATGGTGAATCCCCATCTCTACCAAAAATACAAAAAACTAGCCAGCGTGGTGGTGGGCACCTGTAGTCCCAGCTACTTGGGAGGCTGACGTGGGAGGATCACCTGAGCCCAGGAGCTCAAGGCCGCAGTGAGCGCAAATGGTACCACTGCACTCCAGCAGGGGCAACCAGAGTAATATTCTGCCTCAATAAATAAATAAATTAATTAATAAGAACGGATCCAGTGAGGTGAGAAAGCACCGAAGCCACTGGAGGAGGCCAGCAGAGGAGCACAAGGAGGAAGGAGGCAGGGGGTGCAGGGGCAGGCGGGGCTCAGAGCCATCGGATTCCATCTAAAAGGCAGGGCCCAAAGGTGCAGTCAAGAGGAGGACAGGGAGGTCCTGGGGGTCCGGGGGTGGGGCAGCTTCTTCCCCGCTTTCCCATGGGATTTATTTTCAGGACAGCTGGGCAATTTGGGGAGCCGGGAAGGCTGCACCTGCCCCACCCCAGGCCAGCCGGGCGGCCTCCCTCCCCTGCTCCACCTTCTTGGGGTGCTGCTCTTCCTCTCCCTCTCCCTCTCATGGCACCCGGCCCTTGGGGCCTGCTTCCTCTGTGCCTCCTCCCTCTCAGGACAGTGGAAGAGGCGTCCGCCTTCCCCTGACCCCAGCGACCGCCGTCCCCTCCTCTCCCCTAGTGCCTGCATTCCTTCCTCTTTCCTTCTGCAGCTTTTCTCTCTTGCCCCCTCCCCTCCAGCTTCACAGGAACTTTCCCGCGCCTGCTTTCCTTCGTGCTGTATGGCTTTTCTTTCCAGGAGGCATCCGGACTGAACAGTGAAGCGGCCAGGGATGGGGGGGTGCGGAGGGGGTCGGGGAGGGGGGCGGGGGAGGGCAGTGAAGCTGGGAGGTGGACGGTGAAGCGTGGGGGACTGTGAAGCGGGGCGCTGACAGGGGATCTCCACGCAATGAGCTCTCCCGGGGCACCGGCCAGAAGCCACGCCTTCCAGGAATGGACCACGGACCGGCCTCAGATGGCTAGCTGTGGCCACCTGCCCAGGCGAGCTACAGGGAAGAAGACGGTGGCTTCCAAGTGTGCCCCCAGCCTTTTCAGGGCCTGTAAGGTCCACGGTTCTCATCATCATGTTTAAGATGTTGTCTTCCCGCTCTCATGTTCTCACAACGAACTGCGGAATTTTCCAGAGGCTGCATGCCATGCAATACTGCAACAGGTTTTTACGCAGGAGATATGATAATCCACCTAACTATTAAGCCAAACAAAAAAGAGGCAACGGGGCGTGGGGGGGACACGGCGGGGAGTAAAGCAACGCCAACTCTCCTCACTGAATCTTTCTGTTTTGGAAAATATATTTTTCATAAAATGTGTTACTTATGTTAATAGGTAATGGCTTCAGGCCCAGTGCGGTGGCTCACATCTGTAATCCCAGCACTTTGGGAGGCTCAGGTGGATCACCTGAGGTCGGGAGTTTGAGACCAGCCTGGCCAACATGGCGAAACCCCATCTCTACTAAAAACACAAAAATTAGCTGGGTGTGGTGGTGGGCACCTGTATTCCCAGCTACTCGGGAGGCTGAGGCAGGAGAATGGCTTGAATCCAGGAGGCAGAGTTTGCAGCCGAGATCACGCCACCGCACTCCAGCCTGGGCAACAGAGCAAGGCTGTCTCCAAAAAAAAAACAAAACAAAAACCATATATATATATATATATATATATATATATATATATATATATATATATATATATGAGAAATTTAAAAATATCTAATTCATTAAAAAATAATGAAGCCATTACTTTTTTTTTTTTTTTTTTTTTTGGAGAGAGTCTCGATCTTGTCGCCCAGGCTGGAGTGCAGTGGTGGGATCTCGGCTCACTGCAACCTCCACCTCCTGGGTTCAAGTGAATCTCCTGGCTCAGCCTCCCAAGTAGCTGGGATTACAGGCGCCTGCCACCACGCCTGGCTAATTTTTGTATTTTTAGTAGACATGGGGTTTCACCATGTTGGTCAGGCTGGTCTCAAACTCTTGACCTCAGGTGATCCACCTGCCTCGGCCTCCCAAAGTGATGGGATTACAGGCGTGAGCCACTGCACCTGGCCTCTAATATGATAAATATTGATAGCTATAACCCACATACACAAAAGCTCTCTGGGGTTCTTAACAGTTTTTAAGAATGTATATGGATTCAGCAACCAAAAAGTTTGAGAACTGCTGTAGAAGGATTAGTCATGAGGTGTCTGGTGCCAGATACAGGTTCAAGTCTCTGCTCTGCTACGTCCTAGCCATGTAGCCTTGAGTAACTAACCGCAGCCTCTCTAACCACTTGTCTCCACTCACAGAAACAGGTGCAACAATAGTACCTACCTCAGAGAGTCGTTGTCAGCATGCAGGTAACAACATACACAAGAGCTATACTGAGCACGTGTACCAGGGCAATTCTGAGACTTTTCTTGTTTTTCGTTTTTTCCTTTGAGACAGGATCTCACTCTGTCACCTGGGCTGGAGTGCAATGGCATGATCATAGCTCACTACAGTCATGACCTCCTGGACTCAAGCAATCCTCCTGCTTCAGCCTCCCATGTAGCTGGGACTAGAGGTGCCACCACACCCAGCTAATTTTTTCTCATTTTTCATAGAGACGGGGTCTCGCTATGTTGCCCAGGCTGCTTTCCAACTCCAGGCCTTAAGTGATCCACCTGCTTTGGCCTCCCAAAGTGCTGGGATTACAGGCTTGAGCCACCACACCCAGCCATGACATGTTCTTGGGGATTCAGAACTTGGGTTAAGGCTTAAAGCTAAAGACAAAGCATGCTGAGTGCCCCACTTTTTATTTTATTTTATTTTATTTATTTATTTTTTGAGACAGAGTCTCGTTCTGTTACCCAGGTTGGAGTACAGTGTCAAAATCTCGGCTCACTGCAAGCTCCGCCTCACAGGCTCAAGTGATTCTCCTGCCTCAGCCTCCCAAGTAGCTGGGATTACAGGTGCACGCCACTATGCCTGTCTAATTTTTATATTTTTAGTAAAGACGGGGTTTCCCCAAGTTGGCCAGGCTGGTCTCAAACTCCGGACCACAGGTGATCCTCCCGCCTCGGCCTCCCAAAGTGCTGGGATTACAGGCATGAGCCACTGCGCCCGGCCCTGAGTGCTCCACTTCCTAAAGGGAGCCACCAAGGAGTTGCCAGCAATCGACTAGAGCCAGACTCTACCCCCAGTGCAGGAAACTAGGACGAGGCAGAATCAGCCCTCATGTTACCACCTATGAGCATACACATGTGCGTGCATGCGTGCGCACACACATACACGAGCGTGCTATAGGAAAACAGCAAGAGTGACGCCACCTTGAAGCGTAACCGCCAGGAGGACTGGTGTCTGACCCTTGCATAACAATGTGTCCTGCAGCAAGGTCTTTAAACAATGCCCATCGCACAGATGACCCCTCGTAAAGATGCTTATCCAGCCTCCCCAGTGCTCATGAGTCTTGACAACAAAGTCTGAAGACATGACCAGCTACACGTTTCACCCTAAAAGCTTGCTATATAAAGAACACTTTCTGGAGGGCGGCTACGGGGATCTGCCATCTCTCAGCTGCCGGAGACACGGCCTCTGTTCTTAAGTCCCCATTAAATGTTTCTTTCTCAGAAACTGGATTTGTCAGCCTCTGTCTTTGGTCTCTTGCCTCCCTTGGTCTTGGGGGCAGGCATGCATAAATCTACCCACCACCAAACACAGGCACATCGCCTTCTTCCTCCTCTGACCCTTCCCCCACCCGTGGCTTTATCTACCACTATGTGCCCAGGCCCCAGCATCTGCATCCCAGCAAGTGTGGGGTAGCACTGAGGATGGTGGAGTCTGGGTGAGTGGCGCATGAGGGTCTTTATATTGCTGCCTCTACTTCTGCATGTTTGAATTTTTTCATAATAAAAAGTTTAGGCCAGGCACAGTGGCTCACGCCTGTAATCCCAGAACTTTGGGAGGCCAAGGTGGGTGGATCATGAGGTCAGGAGTTCAAGACCAGTCTGGCCAAGATGGTGAAACCATCTCTCTACTAAAAATACAAAAATTAGCCGGGCGTGGTGGCATGCGCCTGTAATCCCAGCTACTAGGGAGGCTCAGGCAGAGAATTGCTTGAACCTGGGAGGCAGAGGTTGCAGTGAGCCAAGATCGTGCCACTGCACTCCAGCCTGGGCAACAGAGCAAGACTCTGTCTCAAAAAAAACAGGGTGGGCGCAGTGGTCACACCTGTATTCCCAGCACTTTGGGAGGCTGAGGCGGGTGGATCACGACGTCTGAAGTTAGAGACTAGCCTGACCAACATGGTAAAACCCCGTCTCTACTAAAAATACAGGCATGGTGGTGCGTGCCTGTAATTCCAGCTACTCAGGAGGCTGAGGCGGGAGAATCGCTTGAACCTGGAAGGCAGAGGTTGTAGTGAGCCGAGATCACGCCATTGCACTTCAGCCTGGATGACAGAGGGAGATTCCGTCTCAAAAAAAAAAAAAAAAAAAGGCTGGGCACAGTGGCTTGTGCCTGTAATCCCAGCACTTTGGGAGTCCCAGGCGGGTGGATCACGAGGTCAGGAGATTGAGGCCATCCTGGCTAACATGGTGAAATCCCGTCCCTACTAAAAAAGATACAAAAAATTAGCTGGGTGTGGTGGCAGGCACCTGTAGTCCCAGCTACTCAGGAGGCTGAGGCAGGAGAATGGCATGAACCCGGGAGGTGGAGTTGCAGTGAGCTGAAATCGTGCCACTGCACGATTCTACCAAATGTGTTTTTCTCCCCTAAGCTTCAGAACTGTTTGTGAACTGCTTGTGGGACCACTCTACCTCAACACCTGTATCATGGACTGAATGTCTGTGTGTGTGTCCACCCTCTCATCACCCACCGCAAATTCTTATGTTGAAGCCTTAGGCCCCAGTGTGACGTTATTTGGAGGTGGGGCCTTTGAGAGGTCTTTAGATTTACTTGAGGCCATGAGGGTGGGGCCCCCATGATGGTATTAGCATTCTTAGAAGAAAAGAAAGAGACATCAAAGCATCCTCTCTCTGCCAGGTAAAGACACAGTGAGAAGGTGACCCTCGCCAGATACTGTATCTGCCGGCATCTTGGTCTTGGACTTCCCGGCCCCCAGAACTGTGAGAAATGAATATCTGTGTTCTGGTGTATGACACTGTGTTAGAGCTGCCTGTACTGCCAACCCACACACACTCTGAACTCAGTGAAACCAGCCCGGCCACGCCTTCCTCTGCCAGGTGTTTCCACTTGCTCAGCTCTCACCCTGCCATCCTCATCTCTGCCTTTAGCCATGGCCAGGGTCCAGTCTTCACTTTCTGCCTAGTGGGTAATTTGGATGCCAGGTGGGGGTGCCTTGGCCTCTGCATGGACCCAGCTGAGAAGTGCACGAAGTCAACACGCCAGAGCAGCTTCAGTAATGGGATGGGAAGGATGGGAGAGTGGCTATAGATTCCTATCCCCAGTTGGACGGACAATTTCGGGAGGCGTTTCGAACCCTTCCCCGAAAGTCCAGGTGGAATCAAACTCCTGTTCCCACAGCACCCACCTCAATAATGTGCCCTTACCCTGGCTTTCCCTCCTCCCCTGGCCCTGTCTCCACTCTTGCTTCCTAGAACCCCCTCCCAAATAAACTACCTGCACCCAAGTCCCTGCCTTAGACTCTGTTCTCATGGACGCTGCATCAGCTTGCTACGGCTGCCATAATAAGCTCCCACAGACCAGGAAGCTTAAACAACAGAAATGTATCCTTTCACAGTTGTGGAGGCTGAAGTCCAGGATCAAAGGTCAGCAGGGTTGGTTCCTTCTGAGCTTGGAGAGAAGGCTCTGATGTAGGCCTCTCTTCCTGGCTTATGGATGGCATCTCTGTCTTCACACAGTCATCTCACAGCATGTGTTTGTGTCCAATATCCCCCTCCCCCCCTTTTTTTTTTTTTCGAGATGGAGTCTCCAGGCTGGAGTGCAGTGGCGATCTTGGCTCACTGCAACCTCCACCTCTTGGGTTCAAGAGATTCTCCTGCCTCAGCCTCCAGAGTAGCTGTGATTATAGGTGCCCGGCTAATTTTTGCATTTTTAGTAGAGACAGGGTTTCACCATATAGGTCAGGCTGGTCTCAAACTCCTGACCTCAGGTGATCCGCTCACCTCAGCCTCCCCAAGTGCTGGGATTATAGGCATGAGCCATTGTGCCAGGTCCCAGGCATATTCTTGATCCCTCACTTTCATCAATTCAGTGGCCACATCTTGACGCTTCCACCACCTAAACCTATCCCCAGTCTATCTGTTTCTCTTTCACTGACATGTCCACAGTTGCGGCCACCATCCCCTTCCACCTGCATGGCTACAACAGACTGTTTAACTCTTCTCCCCACCATCAGCCCTGCCTGCTCCAGCCTAGCCTCTGTCCTGCAGCCCATGATGCACTGAAATGCAGACGTGCTCCCAGGACTTGCCCTTGGCTCTGACCACCTGTCTCAACGTTCAGATGTGTGTGCTAAGCTTGGCTGAACACACAGTAGGTGAGCGTTAGCCCCATGACAGTCCTGCGATCCGGAATCTGCCGTTGCAGAGACCTGCGATGCTCACCCCTCCAAGGTTCTGGAATAAAGGACTCTTGGGGAGAAGCAGATAAAAGGTGCCAGAAGCACTTCCAGGCCTCTGATGACACACTACGGACCATGGTGATGGCCTCACCCAGAGACACCCGCAGTTTCCTGTTCCCGTCACCTCAGTGAATTCTCTGTCCATCTGGGGTCTCAGCGAAGGGAAAGACTTGTCCGAGATTATGGCCGGTGACCAGCAGACCTGGGACCTAAACCCCAGGCATTGCCAGGGGCTGAAGCTCTTTCTTCAGCACAGTGGGGACACCACTGTCTGGCCTCTGAGCTGCAGCTCAGCCATTGTAACCCCTGTGACCTGCACATATACATCCAGATGGCCTGCAGGTCCATTATGGCTTGTTCCTGCCCTGCCCCAACTGATCGACCTGGTGACCTTCTTCCGGACAATGAGTATTATGATCTCCCCAACAGGCACCTTGTGACCCCCTCCCCTGCTGACAATAGCTAACCACCTTTCACTGTAACTTTCCACTGCTTACCCCAGTCCTATAAAACTGCCCCACCCCTATCTCCCTTGGCTGACTCTTTTTGGACTCAGCCCACTTGCACCCAAGTGAAATAAACAGCCTTGTTGCTCGCACAAAGTCTGTTGGTGGACGGATGCACTTGACAACCACCAGAAGGAATAATCAAATGCCCAGGAATTTTCTTTTTTTTAAATCATCTTTAATGTATTTTTAATAATTTTTTTGCCTCATTTACCAGATAAATCATCTAAATAAATAGATGCTATACAGTCTCTTACCAATGTCAGTACAAAAATAAAACCGCGCTCTACATCCACTCTGACTCTCCCAGCACACACACACTCAGCAAAGGCATGTGCTTGGAATCAACTCGTGCCCCCGACCCCTCCCAGATACATTCATTTAGTCTGAACAAAGCTCGAAGCTCATTCTGTGCAAAGGAAGCGCTCTTGTGCTGAGACCTGGTGGCCGCAGCTGGCCACTTCGAAAGCAAAAGCTAAACCACCTCACAGAAGCACAGCGCCTGCCCCCAGAACAAGGGGACAGGAGGAGCTTGGCAACGAGGTCATCACCCGAACAGCAGTGACAGTCCTGCATTCCAGGCGGCTGTGCCAGGGGTGGGGGTACCTCCTCCGCACCCCCCACCACAAAAGGAAAAGTGCCCACGGGTCTCTACATTCAAAGCGGGTGGGGGCTGGGGGAAAGAAAGGCAGATGGGCAAATGCTTTCTAAACCCTCCCCCCACCCCCAAGAGTACTGGCCTTTTAAGAGGGCTGCGGGGGTGGAGGTCACTGTCTGCCTTGCTCTACTGGGCCACTCTGGGCTGGAAGGAGGCCTGCACGGCCACAGCCGTAGGTGACCTCATAGAGGTCACCTGTCCTGGAGGATGGTCCTAACGGCCCACAGCCTTTTCCCCCAGGGAGCTGGCTCACTACAGCCCATGAGCCACCTGGCTGCCCTGAGCTGGGCACCTCAGGCCCACCCGTCCCAGGTCACACCCCTGGAGTTCAGCTCTCCCTGAGCCACGGAGTTCCCCATGGGCCATAAAGGGCTGAGTAAGAGGAAAGATGTGTCCTGCTGCTGCAGACAAAAGCAACTGCAGCACCCACACAGAAAGCCCCGTGAATCCACAGACCCACAGATTGCGCAAATAGTTCTTTGAAAGTGACCAGGAAGCAGGAAAAAGGTCCTATGTCCCCTGGGGGATGGGGAGCGTGACTTCTGCTGGAAGCTGCCAGCCATGTTCCAAAGTCATGGGCCAAAACATTCAACTAGAGACCCCCCACAACCCTCTATCATCTTTACCTCCGCTGGGCACCCCTCTCCTGGAAGAGTCCCCTCTGAACCCCAAGCTTCCCCTTCCCCTCCACAGGGCTCCACAGCTGGAGATGGGTGGTGATTCCTGCCGCTCCTTGTCCAGACCCACCCCACGTATTCCTCTAGATTCCATTCCCTGGGCTGGAGGTGAATCAGGTCATCCCGGAGGGGACTGTCCCCCAATGGAAGCACTGAATTGACCGTGGACAACTAAAGATCGAGGAGGAAGGAAAGAGAGACTCAGGGATCTGGGAAGCCTGTCAACAGAGCACCCCATGCAGAAAGGGCTGCAGGCTGTCTTTGGTTTGGGAACCAGGGAAGAAGGGATTTGGGGAAAGAATCACCCTCTCCTTGCCTCAGTAGACTCTGTGACTTCCTGAGGACACAGAGCAGAGCTGCGAGGAGGGCGGGCAGGTCTCAAACTTGCTGGCCGCACTCCACTCTTGGTGTGTGTTACCCTGACTCTGACAGCCAAGGAAAGACAGGGGAGCCGGCCTTTTCCATGCTCCCCTTGGGCCCCCCAATCTGGTTTTGTCTCCCCTACAGGACTGGAAGAGAGGGAGAAGTCACTCCTCACTGGCAGGGAAGCCACGGGCCCCCAGGACACCTTGTACAAACCAGAAAACAAGTGCACCTTGCCAGGGGTGGGCTGGGGCAAAGCCTGCCCATCACACAGCACAGCCTGACCTCAGAGAGGCACGGCAGAGGTCCCTCCACAGGAATACAGCTCAGCCCCAGCTGTGGCATTTAGGTTGGATGGGGAGGGGATGCAGAATGGAAGGAGGAAGGGGCTTAGGAGTCAAGGGCTGCCCTGAGAACGTGGTGGGACACTCCCTCCCTCCCTGACTGCCCACACCTGGGTTGGCTGAGTTGGAGGGGAGGGCAGAAAAAGAGGGGAATTGGAAGGGCTGAAAAGTCACCTGAGTCAGAAAGAACAAGAACCCCTCACGGGAGGAAGGACAGGGTCCAGACGTCTCAAAGCCTGTGCTGATACATCACACAACTTAGCAGACGCCTGCACACCCGCAGCCTGGCCCGGTGCAGCCGAGAAACCACATCTGTATGCCTGGAGCATGGGGTGCCATCGCACCTGTGCCAGACCCCTGCCCTCCACTGAAAGCCGCAAGCAGGTAGCAAGGTGCATGCAAGGTGGGGTGAGTGCAGGTGTGGTGGTGAGGTCTTTTGTGCTGTGAATCACCCCACGTTCGCCTGGCCAGGGTTTCTAACCCAGGTTCGCAAGGCCCATGTGGACACGTCTGCAGCCACACATGCTTTCACGGGGCACATGGGAACGTACACGCGAAGGGTAATGCGTGCACACCTGTGCAGCCAGGTGTGCATGAGCGTTTCTGCACAGGCCAGGTGATGAGGGGAGGGCAGAGCTCTCAGCAGAAGGGTCTCAGCGGCGCCTCCTCCCTGGGAAGGATAGAAGCCTCTCTGAAGGGGAAGGGACTCGCCCCAAGTAACCTCAACCCTTCCTCCTGCCCCTTCCTCCCGCCCCACTCACTTTTGGTCAAAACCAGCCTCCACAGCCCACCGCAAAGCCAGAGAGGAGAGTTCAAGGTAAAGACCCAATTGAAACAAGAGAAAAGGGGAAAACCAGCCAACCAGGCTGGGGTGGCCACTCAAGGGAGAGGGTTTGGGCCTTCCAATGCTCCTTTAACTCCCAGAACCAGCTGCTGCGTCACTAGAGGAGAATGATAATGGTGGTGTCCCGGGCAGGTGATCCTGTCCCCATCCTGCCCTGGGGGTGGTACCCCAACTCCCAGAGCAACTCTCTCCATCCCCAGCCTGAGGCCTCGTGGTAAACGTCCCTCAGAGAAAGGGCAGGTGGTGGGAGAGTAGTGGGATCTTCTCCCCTTTTGCTGCTCGGTATTTTTTTAAATAAAATAATTACCCCGCCCCCAACCCATCCCTATCTCTGGAAGTCCCACCCCAAGCCCAAAAGAAAACAGTTTAAGAAGAGTAAAAACGGTGATTCAGAACTTCCCACTGCGGTCTCGGAAGAAGCCCTCAGCTGCCTGGGCCTCGCGGAAGGTGACGGTGATGGAGTTGGCGGTGATGTCGGTCACGGTCACCTCACTTGAGGGGAGCGCAGGTGTCCAGGGAGGGGGCCCCTCGGCCAGGTCGGCATCTGCTGCAGCGTCAGACACACAGATGGGGGCAGCGTTGACAAGGTGGGAAGCCATGCAGACCACCCAACCCGACCCCAACTCCAGCTCCTCCTCTCTGTGTCTTCAGTCAGCTCAGGGCCTCACACAGGGCTGGACACTTGGGAGGAGGGCACTGGGTGCATCCTCCCCACCTAGACAAGAGCTCAGCCAGAGCGGGACGACAGGAGGAGCCCTGGGCTAGTGTTGGGCCCTGAGCCCAGACCCGACTGGCCCCACAAAGCACTACAGGCCCTCTTTGGACATTGAACCAGCTGGACCTTATGACCCATAGGGCCCTTTCCAGCTCTGAGGGTCTCTGGGCTGGGGCCGCCTTACCCTCCTCTTCAGGGGGCTGCGCAGCAGGCTCCCACTCGCCAGCCGCCTGCAGGACGTCTGGGGCCGGTGGCTCCTGCAGGAAGAGCTCCCGTCGATGGCTGTGGCTCTCCAGGTTGGGCCCGCGGGGCGGGAACTTCTTGCGCGAGAGCCGCAGGTACTTGTGGGCCTTTCGGGGCTTGCGGAGCGGGAAGGGCAGGGTGGGCACCAAGGGGCCCTTGTCCACCAGCTCAGGTGCCCCCGCCTTGACCACCCCCTCAGGGCTCCCGCTGCCGAGTGGGCACGTCAGGGAGAAGCAGAGCTTCTCCTTGCCCTTGGCCTTGTGGGAGCTCCGCAGGTCCATGCTGTACAGCCGCTGCGGGGGCAAGCCAGGGCAGCGCGGGTCAGCCCCACCCTCCCACCCGCCACACCTTTGCTCATGCTGTTCCTCCCACCCGGAATGCCCTTCCCATGCCATGTCTACCCACTCAACTCCTTCCCATGCCACGGCTGGCCATCACCCCACCCCACCCCAGCCCAGAGAGTGCGCCCCGGGCAACCCCAGGGTCGGCCAGCTCAGCCCTGCCTCTGGGCCCCACAGAGCACTCGCGTCCCAGCGTTTACTCCTTTGATACCCAGCAGAGAAGCATACAAGAAGGACAAACTGAAAACTGGCCAAGAGAAACAAATCTGGATGCATTAAGGAGTTAGCCTTCGTTTTAGGAAAGGCATCTTTGCTTGCCAGAGCACCTCCAAAACTGACACTGCCAGCTCACCCGGGAGATGGTGCAGGCAGAGGGCCAAGGTGTGCTCTTGGAGTTGCTTGGGGCAAAGCCAGGCCAGCAGCACACACAGCCCCGGATGCCCATGCTATCCAGCCAAAGGGACAGGGCTCCACCTGGCCTGCAGATGCACCCCGACCCCTCCAGGGGGCTCCTGGGCTCTGTGATTGCAGCCCGCTCTGCTGATTGCCCGCGACACATCTGGAGCTGGAGGGCAAGTCTGTCCACCCCTGGAGTTTGTAATGTCGGGATTTATCTTATTTACTTGGGGAGAATTTACATGAATCTACAAAAGATTCATGGTGCCAAGATGTTGGGAGACTCTGGATCACTGGGACAGTACCTTCTCCTGCCACCTGCTACCAGAGGTCAGGAGCTCCCAGGAAGATAGTGCAGCCATCAGATGGGACCTGTGAGGTCAAACACCTCCAAGCTGAGGGAAGGGATGACACACGCAGGTCCCACTCACAGTCGTGCCTGTTAACGGCATCACATGTCCCCAGGTGCCGGCTGCTGCAGTGATGGGAGGAGGGCTAAACTGGGAGGGGACTGGGAAAATACTGCAGTGCCTGGGAGGCACATCTGGTAGGCAGCTGACTCAAAACCCACTCCTCCCAGCGGGCTCACAGGCCATCAGAAGCCTAGTATGGGCCAGGCACAGTGGCTCACGCCTGTAATCCCAACACTTTAGGAGGCCGAGGCAGCTGGATCACCAGAGGTCAGGAGTTCAAGGCCAGCCTGGCCAACATGGCGAAACCCCATCTCTACTAAAAATACAAAAATTAGCCGGGTGTGGTGGCAGGTGCCTGTAATCCCAGCTACTTGGGAGGCTAAGGCAGGACAATCATTTGAACCCAGAAGGCAGAGCTTGCAGTGAGCAGAGATCGCACCACTGTATTCCAGCCTGGGCGACAGAGCGAGACTCTGTCTGGGAAAAAAAAAAAAAAAAAAAAAGAAGCCCAGTACATTCTACCATTCTGCAAGGCAGGGTCTTCTACGTCCTTGGCAACCTCATCACGAGAGAACTACAGCTACTAAAGGGACGCGGGTGCCAACAGTCAGGTCCTGGGTAAGCTACCGGCCTCCCTGGGCCTCAGTTTCTTTCTCAGCGAAACAATGAAGAGACTGTAGGAGCCAGCCTCCGAGGAGGGCCCCAACCACACCCACCTCCTGGAATTCACACCTATGCGCCGTCCATTCCCACACCCAGTGCTGTGTTGTGTGACTTCCCAGGCTAGGGCATAAAAGACACTGTGGCTTCTTCCCTGCTCTCTCTCTCAGGTCACCCACTCTGGGAAGCTGGTGGCTGCACTGTAAGGACACTCAAGCAACCCTCTGGAGAGGTCCACATGGTGAGGACCAGTCCCTGTCAACGTCCAGCCCTGACTCGATGGCACGTGAGCAGCCCCCTCGGAGGCAGATCCCGCAGCCCTGGTCGAGCCTGCAGATGACTGCAGCCCAGCCAACACCTTGACTGCAGCCCAGACTAGAACCACTGAAGAACCAGCTAGCACAATTCCAAATTCCTGACCCCCAGAAGCCATGTGAAATAATCAATGTTTATTGCTTTGAGTTGCCATGTTAGAGGGGAAGAGATAACGAACACACCTGCCCTGTAGGCTTAGTATGTGGATGGAGTATATTCATCTGTGAGGCACACTGGGCAGACAGCCTGGCACACAGACGTCCAGGAGATGTTACTTCCCTTCCTAGGCTCAATTCATGCCAAACCCAATGGAACATGCCCACTGCATGAAGGGAGGCCCACCCCCTCTGGCGAAAGCCTCCATGGGTTTTAATCAGGAGTGGCCAAGGACGCTTGACATGGACCACATACAAGTGGACCAAGAATCCTGACTTTCTGGCTTCCAATATCCTGCCTGGTGGGTCTTATTACATTAAGGAGAGCGGGTATTCTCTTCATACCCATTTTACAGGTGAAGAGGCTTACCTACAACCACACACAGGCAGAGCATTCCTTATCCGAAATGCTTGGAACCAGAAGTGTTTCAGACTTCGAATTTTTTTAGGATTTTGGAATATTTGCATTATATATACTAGCTGAGCATCCCCAATCCAAAAATCTGAAATTTAGACTGCTCCAATGAACACTTCCTTTGAACATCATTTTGGTGCTCAAAATGTTTTGGATTCTGGAGCATTTCAGATCTTGTTTTTCTTGTTGGGGTGGGGGGGCGGGGCGGCAGGGGACGGAGTTTCACTCTTATCACCCAGGCTGGAGTGCAATGGTATGATCTTGGCTCCCTGCAACCTCCACCTCCCGGGCTCAAGTGACTGTCCTGTCTCAGCCCCCTGAGTAGCTGGGATTACAGGTGCCCGCCACCATCCCCAGCTAATTTTTGTATTTTTAGTAGAGACAGGTTTTCACCATGTTGGCCAGGCTGGTTTTGAACTTCTGACCTCAGGTGATCCACCCGCCTCGGCCTCCCAAAGTGTTGGGATTACAGGCATGAGCCACCGCACATGGCAGCATTTTGGATTTTGGATCAGGGAGACTCAACCTGTGACTGCACTGCTCCAAGATCCACGTCCCTGTCACTGCAAAGCACTGAGGTCAGGAAAGGCCCCCAAGACCTACGACGTGGGTACTCCGGGATGCTGCAGAGACTTGGGTCCCCAACTGACTGAAGGCTGGAACAGGAGGCCCACTCAAAAATGACACACTTCTAGGGGTCTGACATTCCAAGGCTGTAGTTCTACAATTCTAAGATTCTGTTTCTGGCTGGGCGCGGTGGCTCACGCCTGTAATCCCAGCACTTTGGGAGGCCAAGCCGGGCGGATCATGAGGTCAGGAGATCGAGACCATCCTGGCCAACACGGTGAAACCCCGTCTCTGCTAAAAATACAAAAATTTAGCCAGGCGTGGTGGCGGGCGCCTGTAGTCCCAGCTACTGGGGAGGCTGAGGCAGGAGAATGGCGTGAACCCGGGAGGTGGAGCTTGCAGTGAGCCAAGATCGCGCGCCACTGCACTCCAGCCTGAGCGACAGAGCGAGACTCCGTCTCAAAAAAAAAAAAAAAAAAAAGATTCTGTTTCTTAGATTCTGAAACTCCAGCCTCTCATGTTTCCTCAATTCTCAAGTTTATGTTTCTGAGATTCTCAGTGATAATTTTGTGTTTAGGGATTCTGAGCATCGAAAGGCTCAAAGCTTTCAGGGCTTCCTTACAGCAAGATTCTAAGCTTTGAGAATTCTAGGATTCCACTGGCCATATGCCTACTCCCCCTCCCAGGTGGCACCGCCCACCCAGGCTGTCTTCCCCGGGCACCAGCCCCACACGCAGGCTTTTCCCAATTCCTCCCATCAAAACTTACCCAAGTGCCCCACCCCACAGTGCCCTGGGTGGTACAGGCGAGGGGACACAGATCAGCTCAATCAGCCAGTGCAAATGCACCAAGGGGCAGAGGGGGACTTGGGGTTGGGCAGGGGGAGAAAGGAGGCACAAAGGCAGGCTGGTTACCTGCAGCAGAAGCCGCTTGGGTTTCGGACCTCTCTTCCTATACCCCGATGCTCGGTCTCTCTCCTCCCTGGGGTGTGAAGCAGGTGGCAGAAGAAAAGGAAACACTGGTGACATCTAAGGGAAGGGAAGGCATCCGCTTCGCCCGCCCTCTGCTGTCTGTCAGGGAGGGGACACTCCCCACAGGCCTGCCCACCAATCCTCCCCATTGCCTGGCTGGGGCCATAACAACGGGGTCAGATGTTCAACTCCCAGGGCCAAGGTCTTCCCATCTGACAAACGTGGAGGGCAACTGCTGAGGGGGGACTTGCAGCATCTCCAAAAACAGTGGGTCCTTAAGGGGCTCCAGGGCCATGTGCGGGCTCTGCTCTACGTGCTCCTAAGGACCCCCTAAAAACGTGGCTCAGTTTTTCCTCCTAGGGGAGTGATACAGAAGCCTGTCAATCCAATTTACCTTGAATGTCCCAGGAGAGCTGATGGGAATGGCTAGTCCCTCTGCAAGTAAAGCTCTGCACAGACTCCCCCGAATTTGGGATCTCTGTGAACCTGGGAGAGCGGACCGGCTCCTACCCTGTCTGTCCCATCTTGTCGGGGGACAGGATGAAAACCAGCCTGTTCTGAGTGCCCAGCAGATGCCTTCCCATGTATCAAAAACACAAAGCACAACTCAGGCCGGGTGCGGTGGCTCACGCCTGTAATCCCAGCAGTTTGGGAGGCTGAGGTGGGTGGATCACTTAAGCTCAGGAGTTTGAGACCAGCCTGGGTGACATGGCAAAACCCCATTTACCAGCCAGGCACGGTGGCTCACGCCCGTAATCCCAGCACTTTGGGAGGCTGAGGCGGGCAGATTACAAGGTCAGGAGATCGAGACCATCCAGGCTAACACAGTGAAACCCTGTCTCTACTAAAAATACAAAAAAATTAGCCGGGCATGGTGGCGGGCACCTGTAGTCCCAGCTACTCGGGAGGCTGAGGCAGGAGAATGGTGTGAACCTGGGAGGCGGAGCTTGCAGTGAGCCGAGATCGCGCCACTGCACTCCAGCCTGGGCAACAGAGCGAGACTCCATCTCAAAAAAAAAAAAAAAAAAAGAAAGAAAGAAAAAGAAAAAAAAACAAACAAAAAACCCCATTTACCAAAAATACAAAAATTAGCCAGGCACGGTGGCATACACCTGTAGTCCCAACTATTCAGGAGGCTGAGGCAGGAGAATTGCTTGAGCCTGGGAGGCAGAGGTTGTAGTGAGCCAAGATCGCACCACTGCACTCCAGCCTGGGAGACAGGGTGAGACCCTGTCTCAAAAAACAAAAAAAAGCACAACTTGACAATGCCACGAAGCTACACATGACACATAAGACAACACAACCAGAGACTCCAAACAACTGCCAAAAGTAATGAGGAGATTCAGTCATTTCATCCTGCCTCCCACTTCAGTTCTTTCCATCCACACTCTCTGCAGCCCCCAGTACAGAGGTCACGTGGACAACAGAAAGAATGTGGAGGCCTCGTGTGACCTTGGGCCAGGCTCTTACTCTGAGCTTAGCACATACCAATGAACCCCACGGCACCTATTGCAAATGTCTGACCATCCACTGAGCATCCATCCCCAGCAGGACACCAACGGACCAAAGGGAAAGTGTCCCTGGTGGAGGACTAGAATCCGGGCCTTTGATACCTGTCCACTGCTCTCCTTACCACGCTCCATGGGATTCCCAAGTGTCGCACCCTGTTGGACCAAGGCCCCACCACACACCTGGGAGGCAGAAAGAAACCCTGGGATGGGGACACCCTGATTTTAAAAGGAAAGAACAATAAAATTTGTCTTTTGAATCCATGGCAGGAAATCTCCTGGAGAAGGAGCCAGAAGAACCCAGCAGCGAGGGGCAGTGGAAAAGCCCCCACCTGGAGGTGGCAGCCCTGGCCAGGTCCTTGCTCTGGGCTCCAGGTAAGAGCCTCAGTTTCCTTCTCTGTCAAACAAAACCCTCATTCCTGCCTCAGGAGGTTGCCATAGGGGCCAAATACAAATGATTTTGTGAAATGGTCCCAAGCCGCACAAGGCAGGCGGGCTGGGAGAGGCAGGGGACCTGGGCTGCCTGCTGGTGGGGGGGGCGGCCAGAGAGGGCACACAGAACTGTTAGGGTGTGCCCAGCTTCCCTGAGGGGCCCTGGCAGAGGTGGGAGACTGTGCCTGGGCCACTTGGACAGGAGGTGGCAGGGGGACAGGCCAGAACTCAGAAATCCCAGCCCCAAAGCCCACGCTCCTGCCCAGCCTTCCTTGAGCTTCGTCAGACACTCCTTCCTGCCCTAAGAGGTCCTCTAGAGACACCGTCTCTGATCTGTCACCCCCGCACAACTGGCAGTGCCGCCTCCTAGCACACAGGGCATCTTTGTGAAGCATTTTAACATTCTTCACTGGAACAGAAACCTCTTACGGCCCCTCTGAGGTTTCACCCTGGGAAATGGGTGTACTCTTCAGGGTGGCCCATTTGACAGCAGAGAGACTGAGGCCCGGGTGGGTAAAGGAAGTGACCGAGATCACCCAACAACAGGAAAGGGCCCCAGGGTCCTCAGCTGCCCTGGGACTCAGTGCCCACCATTTTCACCCAGCTGCAGGCTGGGCTGGCCTGCCCCATCGGACACCCCTGCCCTGCCCCAACAACCCCTGCCAAGCCAGCAGCAGGCTCCTGGGAAGCCTCTGAGCCGGCCCTAAGCCCCACCCGGCGGTGCCGAGGACACCGTACTTCTCCTCGTAGGCCATGACGAGGCGGGGGTCCAAGATGTGCTCTTCTGGCTCCCACGTGCTGTACCTGGGGAGAGGAATGAAAGGTCAGAGTTGGGGCTGGGCGCGGTGGCTCATGCCTGTAATCCCAGCACTTTGGGAGGCCGAGGCGGGCAAATCACCTGAGGTCAGGAGTTCAAGACCAGCCTGGCCAACATGGCAAAACCCCATCTCTACTAAAAATACAAAAATTAGCCGGGCGTGGTGGTGCATGCCTGTAATCCCAGCTACTCAGGAGGCTGAGACAGGAGAATTGCTTGAACCCAAGAGGCAGACGTTGCAGTGAGCCAAGATGACACCATTGCACTCCAGCCTGGGTGACAGAGTAAGACTCTAAAAAAAAAAAAAAAAGGTCAGAGCCATCGCTTCTACTGGGCAGGTGCACCAGCAGAGGCCACTGCTGCTGACCCAGTGCCCACTGCAAGTGTGCCTTCACCCTGTCCTGGTAAGGTGTCATTGTCACCTACTTCAAGGACAGACCCAGCCTGGGCCTCCTGAGGGCTCCAGCAACACCAGAGTTGTCCTGGTTCATATCACTCTACAATGTGACTGGGTCCAACTCCTTGTTAGACTCCACAATCACTAGAGACCCTCGGGTGCCAGGAGGAGAGAGGGCGCCTGTAAGCCCCACACCAGGCAAGAGAGGATGAAAAGGAGCCAGGGCTCTGGGGACAGGCTCACGGCCTGGGTTCAAGTCCATCTCTGCCCCTAGCTAGCTGTGCGACCTTGAGCAACTTCCTGAACAGCTCTGTGCCTCAATGTCCCCCTCTGTAAAGGACTCTTGTGCTGATGAGATGTGTATTCCAAGTGTTTAGAGGGTGTTACAAGAGTAACAGCGTGCCTGATGTGTCGTCAGCGCACTGTGTTTGCTGCTGTTGCTGTTCCTCCCCGCCCTCCAAACCCCATCCCCATCCCCAGCATAGTCTCCCTCTTCAGTGCACCCCACCCAGGCCACAGCCAGGTCTGAAGTTCCCTTGTCTCTGGGCCTGGTACACAGCAGGTATTTGGTAAATGTCTAGTGGCTGAATGGTTCAGCAGGCCTAGCGCAGGCCCCCGGGTAATGCTACAGGGGATCTTCTACCCTCGCCACCCAGCCAGGGAGCACCCTCCTGCTGGGGCAGACCCTGTGATGTCAGCGCAGCGGCTCCAGAGCTCACCTATCTGTGGAACCACCGTGGTGACACCCACCACACCCTCGTTCCACTAGCACTCCTGTTTACTTCGTATCTGCCTTTAGAGGAGCTTTTTTGGTTTAAATTATTTTAAAAGCAAACTATGACTTCCATAAATGGAAAAACCAGTATCACTCACCATCGACGCAAACATAAAAACTTTTCCATTAAAAACAATATATGTACAGTCAAGTGCCGAATAACATTTCTGTCCGTGACGGCCTGCGCATGTAATGGTGGACCCATAAAATTACAACGGAACTGAAAAATTCCTGTCATCTAGTGACGTCTTGATGATCCTGACCCTGTGTAGGCCTAGGCCAATGTGTGTGTTTGTGTCTTAGGTTTCAAAAACAAAGCTTTAAGGCCAGTGTCTTAGGTTTTAAAAACAAAGCTTTAAGGCTGGGCACAGTGGCTCACGCCTGTAATTCCAGCACTTTGGGTGGCCAGATCACTTGAGGTCAGGAGTTTGAGACAAGCCTGGCCAACGTGGAGAAACCCCATCTCTACTAAAAATACAAAAATTAGCCAGACATGCTGGCGGGCGCCTGTAATCCCAGCTACTCGGGAGGCTGAGGTGGGAGAATCGCTTGAACCTGGGAGGCAGAGGTTGCAGTGAGCCGAGATCGTACCACTGCACTCCATCCTGGATGGCAGAGCAAGACTCCAGCTCAAAAACAATGAAAATAAAAATATAAATTTTATTTTAAAATTAAAAAAAACTTTAAAAGTAAAATAAATTAAACTTTTTTAAATAGAAGAAAGCTTATAGAATATAAAACAAATATTTTGTACAGCCATACATGTTTATGTTTTAAGCTAAGTGTTACTACAAAAAGAGACAAAAAGGTTTAAAAAGTTAAGTTTATAAAGTAAGAAAGTTACTATAAGCTCAGGTTAATTTATTACTGAAGAAAAATATTTCTGTATAAATTAGTGTAGCCTAAGTGTTCAATGTGAAAAATATTTCTGCATAAGTTAGTGTAGCGTAAGTGTACAATGTTGACAATAGACCAGGTCTTCATATTCCACTCATCGACAGTGAGTGACATGTGTCTGGGTGACAGAGCAACTTCCAGCCCCGCAATCTCTGTGCCTGGGAAGTGCTCTAGAAGGTGTCCCAGGTTTTATCTTTTACACTGTATTCTTACTGCACCTTTTCTACGTTTGGATGTATTCAGTAGTCACACGCTGTGCATGCTTGTAGCCTGGGAGCAGCAGACTCTATTACACAGCCCAGGCGTGCAGTGGGTTGTACCATCTAGGTGTGCCTAAGGTCACTCTGATGTTCGTACAATGAAATCACCTAACAATGCATTTCTCAAAATGTATCCTTGTCATTAACCGACGTGTGACTGTGTATAAAACATACAGACAAAAGCAAAGCGATGCCCTATGGTCCTGGCCAGAGGCTCTGCTAGGTAAGACGGAAGGCAATGGGCGTTAGCGAGGGGTTAAAAGGCAGAAAGAGCCTGGGAGAGCCCCTGCCCTGCCGCCTCCCAATCCCTAGAGCTGAGGCCTCTACCTTACAGTATCCCGGGAACTACCTAACGCTAGTTCAGTCCCAAAATGCTGCCCAACGACAGAATGCTCGCCTCCTTGCTTCCTCTAACACTCTGGCACACCCACTTGGTGTCGGGCCTCTATGGGCTCGCAGTGAAGCCCTGAGCCTGGGCTGCCCCTTCCCATGTGCCCCCTGCCAGCCGGCCCTCCCTCCCTTTGGGTGCCCCATCCCTCCAGTCAACTCCTAGCCGACCCTTAAGAGTCAGGTATTTGTAGCCTTCCCTGACATCCCTCCCAGGCTGTCCCACTGCCAGCAGGACGAGCCTGCCCCTCCTCCACCCTCCTTACAGCTATACCTAGCCTTGGCCATAATCACTAATGGACCAGGAAACACCCTGGCGCGCAGAGCCACCGCAAAGTGGCCCGCTCAGGCCCGCCCGGGGCTCTGGGAAGGGCTGGGGAGCCCCTGCAGAATGCCGAAAGCGAAACTACAGCAGAAGCCACGAGAGGCTGGCAGACACTCTAACCCTTCCTCCCCCCGGAAAAGGCTGAATCTCCTCACTCTAACTGGTAGGAAGGGGAATTTCGTGCTCCTCTCTCCACAGCGTGCTCCTCCACACCGCCCTGCCCATTGCTTGCTGATGTCCCTGCTGTGTGGATCCTGGCAGGTCCCAACCCTTCTCTGAACTTCAGTTTCCTCATCTCAAGAATAATGACCACTACAGTAACAGCAGGTGTGCGGCCGGGACCGCCAGGACCGCACCCATCCTCAAAAGGCGCTGGCGAGGTAGGTGCTTAGTTCTTACCCCCATTTTACAGATGGAGAAACTGAGACACGGAGGTTGGGCAGCCAGCCCAGCGTCACTGAGCCAGTCAGTGGCCGGCCCGTGTTGGCTCTCGGCCACACTCCGCCTTCAGGCTCCTCCCAGGCCACCGCGTCTGGGACCCCCGACTGTGCAGCCCGCGGGAGGGGGCGTCGCCCCCTCTCCAGTCCTCAGTGTCCGACCGCAGGGCGCGGCGCACAGTGAGCGCCCCGAAAGGCTCGGCTGGATGCAGAAGGGGTGGTTGCCGGCCCGGGCAGCTGGGTCTGAGATAACAGGGTCGCACTTGGCTGCCGAGTGCAGCCCCAAGTGGGGGGCAGGGGCGGCACCAGCATCTTAATTGTTTGGACCCAGCCGGTAAGGAGGACGCCGCGCCGCACCGCGCCGCGCCCTCCGCAGTGCAGGAGCCCAGAGGCGCCAAGGGGAACGCGCTTCCGAAGAGCCGGGCGCTGGCAACCCAGGAGCGCGCCACTAGCGTGGGCGCCGCGGATCGAAGGGATTAGACCCCACGACCATCGGAGACCCTCGGGTGCCTGGAGGAAAGCGGGCTCCCGCAAGTCCCAGGACACCCTTCCCACACCAGGGGAGGGAGAGTGGAAAGGAGCCAGGGCTCTGGGGACACGCTCGTTGCCTGGGCTGCGCGGACCGCGGCGTGGACACCGGGGGACTGCGGGGGTCTGCACTGGGCTCGCGGCGCCGGCGGGGCGGGAACCGATCACCCCGTGGGAGGGGGCGGAGCGCCAGGCCCCGCCCCCGCCGGCCGCGCGCACGCACGCACGGGGAGGGGCGCGCGCCGGGATTACCGGCAAACCGAGGGGGCGGGGGCGGGGGCGGGGACAGGGACGGCGCGCGCCGGCTCCGAGATAAACACGGCCACGTGACCTCCCCGCCCCGCCCCACGGCCGGGTAAACAAGCCCCGGCCGCCCAGCCAAAGCCCCGCCGCGCAGGGCTCGCCCTGCTGCGGTGAGGGCACGCAGTGGGAAGGGGCGCAGCGGGTGCAGGACCCCCGCCGGCCTTTCCCGGGGGGTCGGGGGAAGCGGGGTTTGGAGGCGCTGCTGAGCTGTGACGCAGGCGGCCTTGGGGCAGGTGGAACCACCCGGAACCCCGCAGAGCCAGGCCAACCCCCAAGCCCCAGTCCCCACTCCGATTTAAAGCTGCTGCACAGAAGACACAGCACGGGCTCTGGTCCAGACTGCGGGGTGCGGCCTCGTTCAGGAGACGCCACCGCTCTGGGGCCTCATCCTAAAGTGGGCCCACCAGTAACCCCAGTCGTATAGGGCTGTAGTGAAGATTAGATGTGTTAAGCCACGGAAAGCATTTCGATCAGTGTGGTACACAGTGAAGGCAAATAAGCCTGAGTTAAATCAATGAAAAGCCCAGGGAGCGTAAAAGTCTGCGGCTCCTAACTCCAGTCTCCCCAGCCTGGGTGGAGACAGCTCCCACTCTGCCCCTGGCAGGGTGTTAATGAATCTTGTCTTGTCTCAGGCAATCTTCAGCAGGGCCCTGTGAGGTTAGGGCCTCATTTTTATAGGTGGGGAAAGTGAGGCACAGAGAGGTTGAGGGCTTTGCCCTGGGTCACACAGCTGTAAACCTTCAGAGGTGGAAAGCCTCAGCACTTCTCACTGAACTGGCCAAAAGGCCAGCAGGCAAGAGTCCTAGTCATCTCTAGTGGAGTTGCCTGTGTATCAGGCAGCCCGTAGTTCACATCTGCCCAGCTCTATGACCCTGGGCAAGGCCTCATTTGCTGTAGGCTTCTGTCTCTCCATCTGTAAAATGGGTTGCTATGAGTGGTTCAAAGAGTCAATGCCTGATTCATAATAGGGGCTTATTGACAGCCTGGCCATGGCTGTGACCACTGACATCATTCCTAAAACTCCATAGGGCCACTCCTTCCAAAACGATGGAGAACCATTCACAAGTGGGGAAGAGAGGAAGTCATTCTGGAAGGGGGAACAGCAGGGCCCTGGACAGGCTGAAATGTTATCTGGAGGCCTCAGGCACAGCTGGCACCTGTACCTGATAATGTCACATTCCCTGTCCCGGGCCCCGAGCCCCTCCCTGTGCCATTTGCTGTGCTTTCCAGAAGAAGCAAGAGAGCCCCTCTGCCACACTTGTTTGCTGGGGAGATAAAACAGGCAAGGCATGTAGTGGTTTAGCCTAGGCCTGGCACAAAGTGTCCACTTTTTTTTTTTTTTTTTTTTTTTTTTTTTTTGTGGGGGACGGCGTCTCACTGTGTTGCCCAGGCTGGAGTGCAGTGGCACGATTCTCCTGTCTCAGCCTCCCAAGTAGCTGGGATTACAGGCGCACATCACCATGCCTGGCTAATTTTTTATGCTTTTGGTAGAGACGGGGTTTTTGCCATGTTGGCCAGGCTGGTCTGGAACTCCTGACCTCAAGTGATCCGCCCACCTCAGTCTCCCAAAATGCTGGGATTACGGGCATGAACCACCATGCCCATCCTAGAGTGTCCATTTAAATCATGGTTCCTGTTACTGTTACTGAGAAGAATGTAAGTCTCCCCACCTACAGGGCAGATGCTGAGCAGGAGAATCACTACCCCACCCAGGCCGGCACTGCCCAGCCAAGGCTCCCAGGCCTGGAGGACACAGCCTGCCTAACTCCCCACCCCCCACCCTCTTTCTCAGCTTTTTCTCCAAGCAGGGCCCCCGAGGAGGGGAAGACAGAGCTGGCTCCCCTGCTTCTCCCCCAGAGTGAACCTCTGTTTCCCCCAAGTGAGGTGGGGATGGTTAGCAGCCATACCTGCCTCACTCCCAGACCGTGGTGGCACTGTGGATGGCATGAAGTGGGCACCACAGTGCATGGGGTTGGCAGTTATATTTTTTTAAGGACCAACCCTCTCTGGGCCTCAGTTTCCCCATCTGAAAAATCAGAGGACTGGCCTAAATGATTTCTAAGGATACTTTGCACTCCTGAGAAGAATGGAATCCCTTAGGTCCCTTTCCTGACTGGGGAAAACAAAAAGAACAGCTAGGCTATCTATCTAACTTAATCTTAAAACCAAATGTTTACTAAAGCACTTGGACTGGGCTGAACATGCATTCGCTCAATTACATCCACCCTCTCACCCTCACAGTAGCCTGCAAAGGAGGCTTCACCATCTCAACTCGAAGATGAGGAAGCAGAGACCCAGCCATGGTGGGGCCCTGTCCCAGGGCTCATGCCTGTCGGGTGGGCAGCCAGGCCTAGAACCCAGGACCAAAGTGGAGGGGGGTGAGAAGAGGCAGCCATGAGGGCCCATCTGGTGGCCTCAGCATGTTAAGAAACAAATGGGTCCCCAGGCTAGGGGCACAGCGCAACAGAAGCATCGAGGGCCTCTGCTCTGGGAGCCTCGTTCCTTCCCTCCTGACGAGCTGCAGTGGGCAGATGGATTCACATCCAGGATCAATCAAAGTGGGGGAAGGAACTTTTCATTCATAACGGCCTCTGTTTACAGAAGAGAATCTTCCAAAGAGTGGAGTCTCCAGAGGAGGAAAAATAGCCAATAGTGTCCTGAAGGCTAACAGCTGGTGGCCACAGCTTCCTGGTGCGAAGCGAGAGAGGCAGGGGTGTGCGCGCCCAGGGAGGCGGTGCTCCTGCTGCCCACTCTGGGCATCGTCACTCCCTTTACTGCCCCCTTCACTCAGGCTGGAAGCCCACCTTCTAGCAGCTGGGTGTGGCGGGGGAGGGATTCTCCTTCAGCCCTCAGAATATTCGGGAAGGGAGAACTGAAGTGGGGGTTGGTGTGAGGGGTGGAGTGTATTCTCGGCCTGCCAGCTCCCAACCCCTGTCATCAGGATATCCACAGGTCACCCAGAACATGTGCCCAGGCCTTTCATCCGATAGGGCCACCAAGCCTGTGAGATGAGTGCAGGGCCTGGGTTTCTGAACCCATTTTGCAGAGAGGGAAGCTGAGGCACTGTGGGCTGTCTTCCTCTCTGCTGTCTCTCCCCACCATCACCCCAGAATGCCCACAGGACCCCATACCAGGTCAGCCCCCACCAGCACAGCAAAAAGTCCCTGCCCGACAGCAGCAGCTCTGGGCAGAGGGGGTTTCCAGGACTCAGTCTCCGGGAGGCGGGGCAGGGGGTGGGGCACCCACAGACCAATGGGGAGGCCCCACGACTAGCTCATTCCCTCCCAACAACTCCCTGCTGGAGGGCATTGGTGGGTTCCTGATGGGGCCTCAGCAGGAGAGGTGGAGAAGCTGGGAGGTCTCAGATACAGCTCCCTGCCTCCCAACTCCGAGATGGGAGGCTGGGAAGGCACAGAGGAGACACCTGAAAAGGAGAAGGCCTAGTTCAAGTCCCAACTCTGCCTCCACTTGCTGTGTGACCTAAGGCAAGCTGCTTACCCTCTCTGAGCCTGTTTCCTCACCTTGAGAGCGCCTGATCACACCTACCTTACAAAGCTGTATGGGAACCTGCTCTATAGACTGGAAAGTGCCGTCTAGAGGTGAGGGGGATTCAGGCTCTGCCCCTGGCCACACAGCACTGAGGACTCATGCAGCACTGTGCTTAAAGCAGCTGGGGTCCCCTCCTCCTGTCCAGCAGCCATCTCCAGTAGCCCGGATGCTGGGCCTTCACCTCCCAGTTGCCAAGAAAAGCCACAGGGAGGGGAGGAGGGAGAGCAGAAGCTCCAACTAGCAGAGGAGCTCAACACTCAGGAGGGCAGGGTGAGAAGAGAAGCTGGAGACCCACCTTGACCCTCCTGTGGTCCAGGGGGAAACTGAGGCCCAGAGAAGATGATGATTAAATCAAGGTCAGCTGTCCAGTTACAAGAGTAGCTGGAGCTAAAAGCTAGGCAGGGGAGGGGGCAAAAGGCAGGTGGAGGAATGCATGGGTCGGTAGGCAGACAGACAGACACACACACATGAAGGAGCTTACTTTGGGGGCCATCCTTTCCACTTCACCAGATACTCGACTTTACCCTGAGAAGAGAGAGAAGCAGACACAGTGAGTCTCGTGGTTGCCCCTACAGCCACTCGGAAGGACAGTTAAGGCCCAAAGGAGCCCAGCTCCAAATCCCATCTGCAGACAGGTGTCTCCCCAACACACAAACACAATCCGGGGACTGTCCACCAGATCCTCGCCAACCCATATAACCGCGACTGCTGCATGCCCGCCCCATACTGCCCTCCCTAGGACAGCACAGGAGTGCGTCTGGCTCCAGCCACCTCTGAGGCTCCTGAGGCCCAAGCCCAGGGCTCATGTCACACACTGGGAGCTGAGACTGCATGGAGGTGTGCATGCGTGGCCAAAGACCCACAGTGTCTAGAGCCCCAGTGCACAGGTGGGAACGCTTACTTTCTTTTTTAGATTGGAAGAGTCTCCAAATACGAAAACATTCCTCTCTGGGGTAGTCCCCACGCTCCTCCCCCATCTGCTGAGTCCCCTTTCAGTCTGTGAGTGGCTGCCTCTGGCTCAGAGGTAATGGGCCAGTGACTTGAGGACTCTCAACTCAAAAGACCCTGGCAGGACCCCATGGAAGACTGGCAAAGTCTCCACCTTCAGAAGGGGTGGTCAGCCCTGTGGTTGTTAGAAAGTAGAGCCAGGCCCCTCCCTTCCTCACAGGCTTTAAAAGTTTACAGTTACGGTGGCTCAAGCCTGTCATCCCAACACTTTGGAAGGCTGAGGCTGGAAGATCGCTTGAGCCCAGGAAGGAGTTTGAGACAAGCCTGGGCAACACGGTGAGACCCCTGTCTCTGAAAAAAGGAAATTAGTTGGGCATGGTGGCACTTGTCTGTGGTCCCAGCTACACAGGAGGCTGAGGCAGGAGGATCGTTTGAGCCGGGGAGGTTGAGGCTGCAGTGAGCCATGTTCATGCCCCTGCACTGCAGCCTGGGTGACAGAGTGAGATCTTGGTGCCAAGAAAAAAAAAAGTTTACAGTCCAACCCCATTGTGAGTGAAGCCCCTGCACGCCAGAACTTTAAGACCAAAATATGATACCTCCTCACAGAGGCTTTCCCTGGTGACCCTCTCCCATGCTGTCTCCACTGGCACCTTGCAGTTCTATTTCTGCAGAGCACACAGCTCCATCTGAAGGCATCTGTCTGTATCTCCTCATTCACTGTGTGCCGCCTCTGCAGAATGCCAGCTCCCTGAGGGAAGGGGTGGATCCCTGGGGCTTAGACTGGTGCCTGGTACCTGACCAACCCTCAATAAATATTTTGAGTGACTGGCCGAAGGAATGATGATCTCGCCCTCTTGTGCTACCCTGCGGGCTCCATCGTAGAGGGAGTTAGTGCTGTGCCTGCTTCAGGCTACACAGCACGAAAAGCACTGAGCTTTGTGGAATAAATCAATTCTCTTTTAAGTGGAGAAAACCCTAGGAAAAAGGAGAAGGAGGAGGAACAGCTGCCTCAATCAGAAGAGTAAAACCCCAAGCACAGCTGGAGGAAGAAAAGATGCTCCTGACCACCTTGACCTTCACCCTTGGCCCGAGATGCCAGGACTGAGTTTTCTCTATGGAGAAAGAAGATGGGCTGCCAATCAGCCCAGTTGAGCTCCTGCTCTACCTCCCTATCTAACTTGCTCGGTGACCTTGAGCAGGTCACTTCCTCTGCCTGGGCCTCAGTTTTTGTCTCTGTTAAATGGGAGGAGGTGACCCCCTAAGGCCCCTCCCAGTCGGCCTGGAGCCTCCCAAAGGGCTGCAGGGAGGAGGAGACAAAGGAAGGACAGTAGTGCGTACCAGGAAAGGAACTTCTCCCCAAGGATTTCCCCAGCCTTAGGCGAGCCCCCTCGCCAAACAAGTGCACGGGAGGTGTAGACGCCAGGCCCGGACAAAGTCTAGCCCCAAAGTGTGGGGTTCTGAAACCAGCAGAACAGACACCTCCTTAAATTGCAGGGTGTATGTTTTGAAGAAGGCAGATGGGGTAGGAGACTAGGGGATGCCCCAGCGCAGGGGGCGGGCTTCAGAGCCCTGGCCTGGGCTAGGAGTTGAGGTGGGGGTGGGGGCGGGGAATAGGGATGTGCTCGGGTGGCGTAGAGGGGGCAGGATCGGAAAAGGCCAAAGTCCAGCAGGAAAAACTTCAGAGGCCGGAGGAGACTTTTCCAAAGCTCCACTTACAACTTGAAAGGATTTGGTGCCAAGCGTCCAGAGTCCCGAGTTCAAAACCCAGCTCTGACCATAACGCGCTAGGCAAGTCCTTTCAACTTGGGCCTCAGTCTCCCCATATTTACAATAAAAGGGGAGCGAGGTGGGATGGCGCTGAGGATCCCTACGTCCGATCCTAATCTCCAGCTCAGGCAGGCTCGGCCGCCACTAGCATCCTGGAGCGACAACTTTTGTTCTACTCGCCCTACACGGTGGCAGGGAAACTGAGGCACGGGCTGGGGAGACGGGCCCAGCAGCGCAGGGCTGCCGGGGCCCCCGCGCCCCGCTTTCCCCTTCAGCCCCAGCGTGGAGGGAGCGGTGCTGGGGACGGGAGGGACCCCACTGGGGTCCTGGGAGCCGCCCCCGGGCAGCCTCACCTTCCGCACGCGCTTCTTCCGGATGCTCTCCACGGCGAACACCTGCTCGCCGATGGCTGACAGCTCCATGCGGGGCGGCGGGCGAGCGGGCCCGGGGCCGGGCCGGGCCGGGGGCGGAGCTGCGGGGCCGCGGCTGCGGCGCGCGATGCTGGGGCTGGCGGGGTCCCCGTCACCCTCGTCCGGGCGCGCACGCGCACGCGCACGCGCGCACACCCCCTCGCGCTCCCTCACGCCGCCGACGTTCCATTTTTGAACCTGCGCAACGTTTTCCTCGGCGCCAGCGAGCGAGCGCGCGCAAGGAGGGGGCGGGGCGGGAGCGCGCGGAACGGCCGCGGGCTCGGCTCGCGCCCTGAGGGTCAGCTCCGCCCCCGAGCCCCGCCCCCATCGGAACCCCGCCCCCGGGGCCCGCCCCCGCGGGTTGCGATTGGGCCGCGGGCCGCGAGCCGCGAGCGCTGCCGTGGGACTTATTTGGCTCGGTCACCGGCTGGGGCGGGGCGGAGGCTCGCGCGCCCCGTCTTGCTGTGACGCCGGGGCGGGACGTGATCCTTAATACCCAGGCGGGCGCCTCATAGCCTCCCGGTGACTGCCAGGGGCCGAAGTGGCAGGGCCCAGTGGAGCCGACGACAAAGTCAAGGCTCAGAGCGGGGAGGCCATTTGCTCACCTCCCGCAGCGGAGGAGACTGGGCCCGAGGCGCAGCCCCTCGAGTTGCAGGAGAGCCGGGACCCAAAAGGCTTCCCACCGTGTCCGGACGTCGCAGGGCCGAGGTCTCCCTAATCCGGCCTTCTCCGCGGCGCAGTTTGGCCAGTGTCTCCACGTCCGTCCACCCACCCCTCCATCCGCCCTTCCATTTGTCCATCCACCCGACCCTCGGTGGTCGGTGCCCAGACGCACGGGTCAGACGCGGGCGCTGCCTCGAGGGCTCCCGGGCCGGGCCCTCGTTCGCGGCAGGAGCGGCCGCGGTGGAGCTGAGGTCCCCCGGGGACGGATTTTGCCGCCGCGCTGCCCCAGCCTTCCCCAAACCCGCGTGTACTGGGCGCTAGGTGCTTAGTGGGGGCTCAACCATTTGTGGCACGAGACGAACTCTTGATTCCCCACCCCCCTTCCTTTTTCGCTAACGCGCCTCCATTCCTCACTGGGAGCCCGGCGTCGTCCCTGCTCCTTCCTGTACTGACCCCAACTTCTGTCGCTCCGGCATCCCCTCGGGGACTCGGGTCTGCCTGCCCTCACCGCACCCACCTCCCAGGTTCGCCCCGTCTTTTCTCTGGACCACAGCAGAGACCTCGCGGAGCTGCCCTCCCTCCGATCTCAGCCACACAGTGCCAGAGTGTGCTTCTAAAATGCAGATCTGACGGGGTCACCCTGTGCTTAAAAATTTTCCTCCCTATTTCCCTCACAATAAAATCCAACACCTCTTTCTGGCACATAGAAAAAGAGAATAATAGATTCACACCTGACTTTTCATCAAGAGCAACAAAGCCAGAGAGAAAATAACCATCATCTTAGAATTATATATTCAGTGAAAATGTATTTCAAGAATTATGTACCCAGTATGAGGCACATGTATCCAGAACGTAGGTGAAATCATAGCACTTACAAATACAAAAACTTAAGAGTTTGCCACTGGTAGACCCTCCGGAGGGAGATTCCAAAGCTGGAACTTCAGGCAGGAAAAAGATGATCCCAGACGGAGGTCTGATGCAACTGGGAATAAAGAAAAATGAAGAACAGCGATAGTGTGAAACAATAACAATGACTTCTGGATAAAAACAGATTTAAAATACACAACAGTGATGGCATTTACTTGGGTGAATGGAGTTAAAGTGTTCTAAGATCCTTATATTCTTCAGGAGGAAGGTGAAGATAGATACCAAATACACTTTGACGAATTTAAGAATCCAGATTGTCATTACTGGGATAAACACTGTAGGACTGGAAATACTGTGTATAGTTATCCAAATTATTGGAGGAGGAAAAAGAATGATTAAACCAACCCAAACAACTGTAAAGCAGGCAAGAATGGAGAGAAAAATAAATACAAGACGGGGCAGGGAGGGGACAAATAGACGATAGCTATAAATTCGAATATTTTGTGATTCAATAAATGCAACTAAATATTGCAGTTAAAATACAAAGATTATCAGAATGCATAAATAGCTAGATGCAGTTTACAAGAGAAACCCACAAGAGACACTTCCAAAACATAAAGCTAGTGATGGTCAAAAGTAAACACATGGGGGGAAAATACCACGCAAATGCTAACGAAAAGAAGGCTGGTGCAGTTATTTTAATATCGAGGGAAAAACATCACTAGAGATAAATAAGGTCATTTCATAATGAAAAGTGTCCAATTCACCAGAAAAATAGAACAATTTCACATTTGTATGCAAATCATCTTAAAATATAAGAAACATGAAGAAGACAGCTAGATGGAGAGATAGACAAATCCACAATTATAGTGGGAGATCTTAACACTCACCCCTCCATAAGTGGTAGGAGAAGAAGAAAAATATTCAATAGTATATAGGAGATTTGAACACAATTAATAAACTTAACTAATGGACTTCATAGCACACTGTTATCTACCATGGTAAAATACTCCCCTTTACAAGACATGGAATACTTACAAAAACAGTTCATTTCAATAAATTTCAAAAGTCAGAAATAACAGAATACATTCTCTGACCACAACACATATAAGCTAGAGATGAATAATAAAAAGTTCACTTCAAAAGCCCCATATGTTTGGAAAGTAAGAAGTATGGGTTTTTTTGTTTTTGTTTTTCATTATATTTATTTATTTATTTTGAGACAGAGTTTTGCTCTTTCACCCAGGCTGAAGTGAAGTGGCACGATCTTGGCTCACTACAACCTCTGCCTCCCAGGTTCCCAAGTAGCTGGGATTATAGGCACCCGCCACCACCCCCAGCTAATTTTTGTCTTTTTAGTAGAGGTGGGGTTTCACCATGTTGGCCAGGTTGGTCTCGAACTCCTGACCTCAGGTGATTCAACCATCTTGGCCTCCCAAAATGCTACAATTACAGGCATGAGCCACGGAAGAGGTACGTTTTTATGTTAACTAGCGGTTCAAAAAAAAGAAATTGTAATGGAAATTATAAAATATTTTTAACTGCTCTTCCGCTGTCGCCGTGGGAATGGAAATCTGTCCCTCGTGCTGGAAGCCAACCAGTGGTGATGACTCTGTGTGCCACTCCGCCTCCTACAGCGCGGATCCTCTGCGTGTGTCCTCGCAAGACAAGCTCGATGAAATGGCCGAGTCCAGTCAAGCAAACTTTGAGGGAAATTTTGAGTCGCTGGACCTTGTGGAATTTGCTAAGAAACAGCCATGGTGGTGTAAGCTGTTCAGGCAGGAATCTGGACCTTCCCCGAAAAGTGAAGGGTGGCAACCCAGCCGTTCATTGGGGGTGTCACTGAATGGTGCACGGGTTTCATATCCCAGAAGGTTGGAAAGTTGGCTGTAACAGTTGTGGGAGGTGTTTTGTTTTTTTCTCCTTCAGCTTGCAAATCATACTGGGTACATCAAAGTTGACTGGCAACGAGTGGAGAAAGATATAAAGAAAGCCAAAGAGCTGCTGAAGATCCCTTAAGAGCAATCAGATACCTACCAAGGTCAGGAGCAAAGCTGAGGAGGTGGTGTCGTTTGTGAAGAATGTTCTAGTGACTGGGGGATTTTTCGGAGGCTTTCTGTTTGGCATGGCATCCTAAGGAAGATGACCTTATTTTCATTGTTCTTGTTTTTTTTCCATCCAGCAGTCTCTACACTCCATCATAGGACATCAAGTCTCTCCTCTTCTCCTGTGCCTTCCTCCCTGCTGTAGCAAATCCGAGTGGCTTCTATAAGCATCTCTTGGTACAAGTTAATGTGGCCCTTGGCCAAGTGCGGTGGCTCATGCCTGTAATCCTAGCAATTTGGGAGGCCGAGGCGGGTGGATTGCCGGAGCTTAGGAGTTTGAGACCAGCCTAGGCAATATGATGAAACCCCATCTCTACTAAAATACAAAAAAAAAAAAAATTAGCCAGACGTGGTGGCAGGCACCTATAATCCCAGCTACTTGGGAGACTGAGGCAGGAGAGTTGCTTGAACCCGGGAGGCGGAGGTTGCAGTGAGCTGAGATCGCGCCACTGCACTCCAGCCTGGGTGACAGAGTGAGACTCCGTCTCCAAAAAAAAAAAAAAAGTTAATGTGGCCCTACCATGAGCTTGATGGTGGCAGAAGAGGCAATAGTTGTTAGGTCTCCTCCCATACACCCCGTATGTGGCCAATCTGTAGGTCAGCAAGAAGGTTCCTTTTCCCCCATGCAAGACACTTACCAGATCACATTGCAAGATGACTCGCCATGGAGGATGAGCAGACCCTGAAAGGTTGTCTCAAACTGTTGATTTGGAAAAGAAATAAGCACATAGATAAACTTATTGTGTGCTGCATGGAAAGGAACTGAATACATTTGCCTTTAAGCATGAAAAAAATATTTTTAACTGAATGACAATAGAAATATTACATAGTAAAAATGTTGGGCTATGGCTAGTGCGCTTCTTAGAGGGAAGTTTATTGCCTTTTGTGCTTATATTAGTAAAGAGAAAAGGCTGAGAGTAATGAACAAGCGCTCGTTTCAAGAAGCTAGAAAAAGAGCAGCAGAATAAACCAAAGAAAATGAAAGGAAGGCAAGAGTAAAGGTACAGGAGAAAATAGGCCAGGCACAGTGGCTCACGCCTGTAATCCCAACACTTTCGGAGGCCAAGGCAGACGTATCACCTGAGGTCAGAAGTTTAAGACCAGCCTGGGCAACATGGCAAAATTCCATCTCTACTAAAAATATAAAAATGAGCAGGCTTGGTGGCTCGTGCCTGTACTCCCAGCTAGTCAGGAGGCTGAGGCAGGAGAATTGCTTGAACCCTGGAGGCGGAGGTTGCAGTGAGCCTATATCATGCCACTGCACTCCAGCCTGGGCAACAGAGTGAGACTCCATCTCAAAAAAAAAAAAAAAAAAAAAGAAAGAAAGAAAAAAGAAGAAGAAGAAATGGTAAAGAGAAAATAATGAAATGGGATCAGCAAAACCAAACATTATTTCTGTGAAAAGACTAATGGCATGGACGACTCCTGTTGAAATTGATCAAGAAAAAAGAGAGAAAACACAATTAACTAATATCAGTAATTAAAAGTTACAGAACCTGTAGACATTTTAAAAAGGAAAATAAAAGAGGATATTATGAATAGTCTCATTACAATAGCGTAAAAATTTGAATGAAAGGGGCAAGTTCCTAGGAAAATATGCCTTACCAAAATGGTCGCAAGATGAAGAGAAAACCCGAATGAGTACCATCCCTAGTCATAGTACCAAATTATGAAATACTTTCATAGCCAGTTACTGACCATTTGAAACACTTTCCAGCCTTCACATGGAGCAGGGTCCAGAAGGCTGTCCAGGCAGTAATTCCGTGATTTATGTGACATCAGAAGGTCTGGGGGATCTGGGGCATCCCTGGAAGAGTCATTGCACTTAGGAGGTTGATCGTAGCGGCTACATACCAATTGGTATGAAATTATTTTGGAATTTGAGCAACCTGAAGTCCTATGGCACCAGCTGGACATCAGACCTCCCCATAATGATTAAAGGAAGGAAACCGGTAATGCTTCCACAAAGAAAGCTCAGACCCAGAAGACTTCACCTATAAGCTCTTGAAAGAACTCATTCCAATGCTACCCCCAACTTTTCCACATAATAGAAAAAGAGAGACTGCTTCCCAATTCTTCATATGGCAAGTACAGCACAAGAGAAAATTACAGGCCAATGTCACTTATGAATATAGATACCAAAATCCTAAATAAAACAGCAAATCAAATTGAGCAGTATGTAAAAATGATACTACATAGTGGTAAAATTGGGTCTAATCCAGAAATGCAAGGTTGGTTTAACATTTGAAAACCAGTCAATATAATTTGCCTCATTAAAAAATGAAAGGAGAATTAGCCAGGCATGGTGGCGGGTGCCTATAATCCCAGCTGCTCCGGAGGCTGAGGCAGGAGAATCGCTTGAACCCGGGAGGTGGATGTTGGAGTGAGCCAAGGTCGTGTCGTTGTACTCCAGCCTGGGCAACTAGAGCAAACTCCACTCAAAAAAAAAAAAAAAAAATTAAAGGAGGAAGACATGTGATCATCTCAGTATATGCAGAAATAGTTCAACATCTGTTTGTTTTAAAACTTGTAGCAAACTATCAACACAAGGGAATGTCTTTATCCTGGTAGAGGGCTCTATAAAAAACCTACAGCAAATATCTTAATGAATGTTGAAATGTGGAAAACATCCCCTTGAGATCAGTTACAAGGCAAGATTGGATGAATCCCCATTTCTGCTAAACATCACACTGGATATCCTGAATCTGTTGCCCACTGTGGTGGCCATTGGCCAAATGTGACTGTCAAGCATTTGAAATGTGACTAGTTCGAACTCAGACAGAAGAATAAAATTAGATACAGGCCAGATTTCAAAGATTTAGTACCCAAAACATGTAAAATGCCTCATTAATAAGTTGATATTTATTTAATATGGAAATGATAATATTTTGATACATTAGGTTAAACAAAAAATTCATCTTTTTTTTTTTTTTGAGACGGAGTTTTACTCTTCTTGCCCAGGCTGGAGTGCAATGGCGTGATCTCAGGTCACTGCAACCTCCGCCTCCCAGGTTCAAGCGATTCTCCTGCCTCAGCCTCCTGAGTAGCTGGGATTGCAGGCATGCACCACCATGCCTAGCTAATTTTGTATTTTTAGAAGAGATGGGGTTTTGCCATGTTGGTCAGGCTGGTCTCGAACTGCTGACCTCAGGTGATCCGCTCGCCTTGGCCTCCCAAAGTGTTGGGATTATAGGCGTGAGCCACCGCGCCTGGCCTATAAATTAATTTTTAATGAAGATTTTAGAAAATTTTAAATTACAGTTGATCCTTGAACAACACAGGTATGAACTATGTGGGTCCACTTATTCATGAGTCTTCTTCCACCTCTGGGAGGTGGCAAGACAGCAAGACCCACCCCTCCTTTTCCTCCTCCTCCTCAGCCTACAAAGCATGAAGAGATGAAGACCTTTATGATGATCCACTTCCACTTAATGAAGAGTAAATATATTTTCTCTTCCTTATGATTTTCTTAATAACATTTTCTTTTGTCTGGCTTACTTTATGGTAAGAATACAATATATAATGCATGTAGCATATAAAATATGCGTTCATTGACTGTTTATGTTATAGGTAAGGCTTCCAATCAACAGTAGATTATTAGTAGTTAAGTTTTGGGAGAGTCAAAAGTTATATGAGGCCAGGTGCAGTGGCTCACTCATGTAATGCCAGCACTTTGAGAGGCCAAGGTAGGTGAATCACCTTAGGTCAGGAGCTTAAGACCACCCTGGTCAACATGGTGAAACCCCATCTCTACTGAAAATACAAAAATTAGCCAGGTGTGGTGGTGGGCACTTGTAATCCCAGCTGCTGGAGAGGCTGAGGCAGGAGAATTGCTTGAACTCAGGAGGCAGAGGTTGTAGTGAGCTGAGATGGCACCACTGCACTCCAGCCTGAGTGACACAGAAAGACGGTCTCAAAAAAAAAAAAAAAAAAAAAAAAAAAAAGACAACAAATGAAAGAAAGGTGAAGTGATTTGAAATAAGACCATCAGCCAGTCGTGGTGGCTCATGCCTGTAATCCCAGCACTTTAGGAGGCCTTCAATAGCTTATAGGTGAAGTCTTCTGGGAGGCTGAGGTGGGCGGATCACAAGGTCAGGAGTTTGAGACCAGCCTGGTCAACATAGTGAAATCCCGTCTCTACTAAAAATACAAAAATTAGTCGGGCGTGGTGGCTTGCACCTGTAGTCCGAGCTATTCGGGAGGCTGAGGCAGGGGAATTGCTTGAACCTGGGAGGCGGAGGTTGCAGTGAGCAAAGATCGCACCAATACACTCCAGCCTGAGCTACAGAGTGAGACTCTGTCTCAAAAAAGAAAGAAAGAAAGAAGACCATCATTATTTTCAGATTTTATGTAGAAAATTTTAAAAATCTTCAGAATATTTATTATAATTAATAAGAAAATTTAGCAAATTGTTGGATAAAATATCAACAGACAAAAACCTATTGTGTTTTGTGTTTCCATATGCCAGTAATAATTAGAAAATGAAGTAAAATATTATTTATATTATAATAAAAATATGTAAGATATCTGGGAATAAATCTAATGAAAATATGCAAGGCCCTTATGGAATAAAATCATAAAATTATATTGCAAGACATTAAAGAAGATCTAAATTTATTTTTTTGGCCGGGCACGGTGGCTCACACCTGTGATCCCAGCACTTTGGGAGGCCAAGGCGGGAGGATCACTTGAGGTCAGGATTTCGAGACCAGCCTGGCCAACATGGCAAAACTCCATCTCTGCTAAAAATACAAAATTTAGTCAGGCATGGTGGCATGTAGCTATCTATGATCCCAGCTATTCTAGAAGCTAAGGTAGGAGGATCGCTTGAGCCTGGGAGGTTCAGGCTCCACTGCACTCCAGCCTGGGTGACAGAGCGAGACTGTTTAAAACAAAAAACAAACAAAAAAAAACAACAACAAGACATAAAGCTATAGCAAATAAAACAATGTCCTATTGTTCAAGACTAGACAAATAGAAAAAAAGGAATGACAATGAGAGCTTAGTCAAAGAGAGAAGGAGAGAGAGAGAATAAAATTGCAGTCACTGGGTAAAGGATACACTTTTCAATAAATGGTGATAGTTATTCATACAGGAAATTAGACCATTAGACCTCCTGCCTGGCAAAAATTGACTCCATCTGACTTCAAATCCTAAATGTGAAAGACAAAATTCTGAAACTTTTAGAAGATGATATTTTAAAATATCTTTATCTTTATGATCATGAAGTAGGGAATCGTTTCTTAAACAAGAAACCAGGAACATAATTCATATAGGAAACAATTGATAACTTAGACTCCATTAAAACTATGAGCTTTCTTTATGAAAATACATATAAAGTCAGCCAGCGACTTGAAAAGCTGAGGCAGGAGAACCGCTTGAACCTGTGGGGTGGAGGTTGCAGTGAGCTGAGATCGTGCCACTGCACTCCAGCCTGGGTGACAGAGTGAGACCCTGTCTTAAAAAAACAAGGCCAGGAGCGGTGGCTCATGCCTATAATCTCAGCACTTTGGGAGGCTGAGGTGTGTGGATCACCTGAGTTCAGGAGTTCGAGACCCGCCTGGCCAGACTGGCCAACATGGTGAAACCCCGTTTCTACTAAAAATACAAAAAATTACCGGCCGTGGTGGTGGGTGCCTGTAATCCCAGGTACTCAGAAGAATCGCTTGAACCTGGGAGGCGGAGGTTGCAGTGAGCCGAGATTGCACCACTGTACTCCAGCCTGGGCAACAAGAGTGAAATTCCATTTCCAAACCAACAAACAACAAAACAAAAAGAGCCAGGCGCGGTGGCTCACACCTGTAATCCCAGCACTTTGGGAGGCTGAGGCGGGCAGATCACCTGAGGTCAGGAGTTCAAACCAGCCTGGCCAACATGACAAAACTCCATCTCTACTAAAAACTACAAAAATTAGCCAGGCGTGGTGGCAGGCACCTGTAATTCTAGCTGCACGGGAGGCTGAGGCAGGGTTGAACCCAGGAGGCAGAGGTTGTAGTGAGCTGAGGTGGCACCACTGCACTCCAGTCTGGGCGACAACGTGAGACTCCGTCTCAAAAAAAAAAAGAAAAGAAAAGAAGAAAATATATATAAAGTGAACAGAAAAGAAAAATATTTAAAACACTCATAAATGGACAAAGGAGGTGATGTAAAGAGTTCCTGTGAATCAAGTGGGAAGATGGACAATCAGTTGTAGCAAAATACAGGAGTGCAGAATGTGGCAAAGACTTGGACAGGCAAAGAGAGGAATCACCAGTGGCCAACAGTTGTGAAAAGTTGTTCAAGCTCATGAGTAACGCAAATAAAATCCCACAATGAGATACGACTGATTAACAAAAATGTTAAAGTCCGTTTTAAAAATTATTGCAAGCAGGCTAGGTGTGGTGGCTCACGCCTGTAAACCCAATACTCTGGGAGGCTGAGGTGGGAGGATTGCTTGAGCCCAGGAGTTCGAGATCAGCTTGTGCAATATAGCAAGACCCTTGTCTCTACAAAAAAATCAGAAATTAGCCAGGTGTGGTGGTGCATGCCTGTACTCTGAGCTACTCAGGAGGCTGAGGTGGGAGGATCACTTGAGCCCAGGAGTTCAAGGCTGCAGTGAGATATGATCACGCCACTGCACTCCAGCCTGGGTGACAGCGAGAGACCGTTAAAAAAAAAATCTTGCAAGCACTGGCAAGAATGTGGAACAATTCTTCTTCTTCTTCTTTTTAGACAGTCTCACTCTGTCACCCAGGCTGGAGTGCAGTAGTGTGATCTCGGCTTACTGCAACCTCCACTTCCCGGGTTCAAGTGATTCTCCTGTCTCAGCCTCCCGAGTAGCTGGGATTACAGGCATCTGCCACCACACCTGGTTAATTTTTTTGTATTTTTAGTAGAGATGGGGTTTTGCCATGTGGGCCAGGCTGGTCTCGAGCTCCCGACCTCAGGTGATCCACCTGCCTCGGCCTCCCAAAGTACTAGGATTACAGGCGTGAGCGACCGCACCCGGCCTAATTTTTGTATTTTTAGTAGAGATGGGGTTTTACTATGTTGGTTAGGCTGGTCTCAAATTCCTGACCTCGTGATCCACCCACCTTGGCCTCTCAAAGTGCTGGGATTACAGGCATGAGCCACTGTGCCTGGCCTATGTATGGTAACTTTAACTTTTTTTTTTTTTTTTTTTTTGAGATGGAGTCTTGCTCTTGTTGCCCAGGCTGGAGGGCAGTGGCGTGATCTTGGCTCACTGAAACCTCCGCCTCCTGGGCTCAAGCAGTTCTCCTGCCTCAGCCTCCCAAGTAGCTGGGATTACAGGCACGCACCACCACGCCCAGCTAATTTTTGTATTTGTAGTAGAGGCAGTGTTTCTCCATGTTGGTCAGGCTGGTCTTGAACCCCTGACCTCAGGTGATCTACCCGCCTCGGCCTCCCAAAGTGCTGGGATTACAGGTGTGAGCCATGGCACCTGGCCATGTATAGTAACTTTTAAAGAAAATTCCAAACTGTTTTCTAATGTAGCTGTGCTATTTTGCATTTCCACCAACACTATTTGAGAGTTCCAGTTGCTCCACATCCTCACCAACTCTTGATATTGTCAATCTTCAATTTTAGCTATTTATTGCCCATATACTGACTGAATGTAGAGAATTTGCATTTCTCTAATGGCTAATGATGTTGAGGACCCTTTCAAGTAGTTATTTGCCATTCATATATCCTCTTTGGTGAAATGCGTTTTCAAATATTTTGCCCATTTTAAAAATCAGATCATCTTCTTAGTCTTGAGTTACAAGAATTTTTGGCCAGTCATGGTGGCTCACACCTGTAATCCCAGCACATTGGGAGGCCGAGTCAGGCAGATACTTGAGGTTAGGAGTTTGAGACCAGCCTGACCAACATGGTGAAACCCCGTCTCAACTAAAAATACAAAAATTAGCCGGGCATGGTGGTGTGTGCCTGTAATCCCAGCTACTTGAGAGGCTGAGACATGAGAATCACTTGAACCCAGGAGGCAGAGGTTGTAGTGAGCTAAGATGGCACCACTGCACTCCAGCCTGGGCAAACGGAGCAAGACTCTGTCTCAAAAAAAAAAAAAAAAAAAAAAAAAAAGATTTCTTTATATAAATATTTTCACCAAGACTGGTTTGCCTTTTAATTTTTTTCTTTCTTTTTTCTTTTCCTTTCTTTCTTTTTTTTTGAGCTAGGGCCTCACCCTGTCACCCATGCTGGAGTGCCATGGCATGATCATGGCTGACTGTACCCTTGACCTCCCAGGCTCAAGTAATTCTCCCACCCCAGCCTCCTAAGTAGCTGGGACTATAGATGCACACCACCATGCCCGGCTAATTTTTGCATTTTTTTTGTAGAGATAGGGTTTGGCACTATTGCTCAGGCTGGTCTCGAACTCTTGAACTCAAGCAATCCACCTGCCTTGGCCTCTCACAGTGCTGGGATTATAGGCATGAGCCGCTGCATCTGGCCACCTTTTAATTTTTTAAATGATGTCTTTTGAAGAACAAAAGCTCTCACATTGCAGAATAGGATCCATTTTGGGTTAATTTTATATATGATGTGGGGTGAGGGTCAAGGTTCATTTTTTTCTCCATAAGGTTAATCGATTGTTCCAGCACCTTTTGTTAGAAAGACTGTACTTCTCCTTACTGAATTGCCTTAACACATTTATCAAAAGTCAGTTGCTTTTATGTGCATGGATTAAATTCTGAACTCTCAATTCTGTTCCTTGATCACTTGGGCTCAAGTGATCCTTCTCCCTCAGCCTCCTGCGTAGCTGGGACCACAGGTGTGTGCCACCATGCCTGGCTAATTAAAAAAAAAAAAAATTGTAGCAATGGGGTCTCACTATGTTGCTCAGGCTGGTCTCCAACTACAGGCCTCAAACGATCCTCTCACCTTGGTCGCCTAAAGTGTTGGGATTACAGGCATCAGTCACCATGCCCAGCCCTATATTAAGTCTTAAAATCAGGTAGTCTAAGTCTTGTAACTTTGTTCTTTTTTTTTTTTTTTTTTTTTTTTGGCTTTTCTAGATCCTTTGCCCTTTCATATAAAGGGCAAAGGGCACATTGTCAATTTCTACCAAAAAGAAAAAAGACTACTGATATTTTTATTGGGATTATTTTGCATCTATAGATCAATTTGGAAATAATTTACATCTTAACAATATTGAATTTTCCAACCCATGAAAACATTCTATCTCTTCATTATTTAGGTTCTGTTTAGTTTCTATAAGCAATGTTCTACAGTTTGGGGGTACAACTGCAGTTTCACATCTTCACCAGGTTATCCCTAAGTGTTTCATGGCCATTGTTAAGTGGTGTTTCTAATTTTCTATTTTAATTGTTCATGACTAGCTTATACAACTCAATGGTATTTCTTTATATTGGGCTTGTATTTGACAACACTGCAAAACTCGCTTGTTAGTTCCACTAGCTTTTTTGTGAATTCCATTCAGTTTTCTTTTTTTCGTTTTTCTTTTTCTTTTTCTTTTTTGAGATGAAGTCTTGCTCTGTCGCCCAGGCTGGAGTGCAGTGGTGCCATCTCGGCTCACTGTAACCTCTGCCTCCTGGGTTCAAGTGATTCTCCTGCCTCAGCCTCCCTCGTAGCTGGAATTACAGGTGTGCGCCACCACGCCCACCTAATTTTTTGTATTTTTAGTAGAGACCGGGTTTCATCAAGTTGGCCAGATTGGTCTTGAACTCCTGACCTCAGGTGATCCGCCTGCCTCAGCCTTCCCAAGTGCTGGGATTACTGGTATGAGCCAGGATACCTGGTCCAGTTTTCTTTTTTCTTTCTTTCTTTTTTTTTTTTTTTTTTTTTTGAGACAAAGGTTTTTGCTCTTGTTGCCCAGGCTGGAATGCAATGGCACAATCTCGGCTCACTGCAACCTCCACCTCCTGGATTAAAGTGATTCTCCTGCCTCAGACTCCCAAGTAGCTGGGGTTACAGGCATAAGCCACCACGCCCAGCTAGTTTTTGTATTTTTAGTAAAGACAGGGTTTCACCATGTTGGCCAGGCTAGTCTCGAACTCCTGACCTCAAGTGATCTGCCTGTCTCAGCTTCCCAAAGTGCTGGGATTACTAGTATGAGCCACAGAGCCTGTCTCAGTTTTCTATATAGATGATAATGTCTGTGAATAACGACAGCTTTAATTTATTTCTAATCTGTATGCCTTTCTTTTTCTTGCCTTATTGCACTGGCTAAGACCTTCAGTACAATGTTGAATAGAAATATTGAAAGTAAATATACTTGCTTTCTTCTTGATCTTAGGGAGATAGCACTCAGATTTTTACCAGAATTTGTGATGTCGGCTATAGATTTGTGTAGACACCCTTTATTAGATTGAGAAAGTGCAGTGGCTCACACCTGTAATCCCAGCACTTTGGGAGGCTGAGGTGGGCAGATCACGAGGTCAGGAGTTCAAGACCAGCCTGACCGACATGGTGAAATCCCCTCTCTACTAAAAATAGAAAAATTAGCCAGGCATGGTGTCATGCACCTGTAATCCCAGCTACTCAGGAGGCTGAGGCAGGAGAATCGCTTTAACCCAGGAGATGGAGGTTGCAGTGAGCCGAGATCACGTCACTGCACTCCAGCCTGGGTGACAATGCAAGATTCTGTTAAAAAAAAAAAAAAAAAAACAACCAATGGGTCATATACAAAAATGATGACCCAGAATGACTTCAGACTGCTCAATAGAGACAGTAGAAGTAGGAGGACGATAGAGGAATCCCTTCACATTCCTGGAAAAACATCATTTCAACTTAGGATTCTATACCTAACCAAACTACCAAAGAAGTATGAGGAGGGACACAAAAACATTTCAGACACGCAAAGTCTCCCAAATTTTATTGCCCATGCACTCTTTCTCAGGAAGATACTGCAGGATTTTTGCCACCAAAAAGATGGAGTAAAACAAATAAGAAGTCATGGGAGGCTGGGCGTGGTGGCTCATGCCTGTAATCCCAGCACTTTGGGAGGCTGAGGTGGGTGGATCACCTGAGGTCAGGAGTTCGAGACCAGCTTGGCCAACATGGCAAAACCCTGTCTCTACTAAAAATACAAAAATTAGCCGGGCATGGTGGTAGGCACCTGTAATTTCAGCTACTTGGGAGGCTGAGGCAACAGAATTTATTCAATCCAGGAGATGAAGGTTGCAGTGAGCCAAGATCATGCCACTGCACTCCAGCCTGGGTGACAGAGTGAGACTCTGTCTCAAAAAAACAAAACAAAGCAACAACAACAACAAAAAGAAGTCATGAGAGCCAGGGGGAAAGGAGAGAACTGAAGGAGATTTCCAGAACAACGGGTATAGCCTGGGTGCAGAGGAGAGTCGGTTCAAACCACAGCAACTTAGGAGGCACTGGGAGAGCTGCCTTCAGGAAGATGAAATTGACGGAATAGCTGATGGGCCCAAAAGCATTGAGATGGCTTAGGTAATTGGCAGGATGTCTGCGATCAAACTAGTAATAAGCACATTTTAAAAAATGAAGCAGGCCAGGTACAGTGGCTCACACCTGTAATCCCAGCACTTTGGGAGGCTGAGGCAGGAGGAAGACTTGCTGTATACAGGAGTTCAAGACCAGCCTGGGCAACATAGTGAGACCTAGTCTCTACAAAATATCAAAAATTAGCTGGGTGTGGTGGTATGTGCCTGTAGTCCCAGCTACTCAGAAGGCTGAGGTGGGAGGATGGCTTGAGCTCATGGGGTTGAGGGTGCAGTGAGCTGTGATCACATTACTGCGCTCCAGCCTTGGTGACAGAGTGAGACCCTGTCTCAAAATAAATAAAATAAAATGAAGCAAAATAAAAGACAAATAGAAAGCCCAGAAAAAATACAGTTAATTTTGAGAAGTGAAAGTAGTCATAGTATACCATGTGGCTCAGCTATGAAGCAAACTGACATAATCTTAATGATATAATACTGGATATTGCTATAACCAAAAGGACAATATTATTATGCTGGGAGAATGGAGGGAAAGGAGGAGCAGAGGAGAGCCATACCCTCCCACTCTATAGTAGCCATCAATAGGTAATGTTAAACACCAAAAGATCCAGAAGTGGCCCATAGCATGCAGTTTTCGTGGTTTACACAAAAGAACCAGCTAAAGGAACTGAAATGGTTGCCTCTGGAAAGAGGTAAAACAGGGTGGGGAATATTATTTTTCTCAATGAACCTTGCAGAGGGCCAGGCGCGGTGGCTCATGCCTGTAATCTCAGCACTTTGGGAAGCTGAGGGCGGCAGATCATGAGGTCAGGAGTTTGAGACCAGCTTGACCAACATGGTGAAACCCCATCTCTACTAAAAATTAGCCGGGTGGGGTGGCATGCACCTGTAATCCCAGCTACTCAGGAGGCTGAGGCAGGCGAATCACTTGAACCCAGGAGGTGGAGGTTGCAGTGAGCTGAGATCACACCACTGCACTACAGCCTGGGTGACAGAGCGTGATCCTGTCTCAAAAAAAAAAAAAGAATCTTGCAGAACTATATGATATGTGTGTATATGTACACATTATAAATATAAATTATATGCATGTATAATGACGTGTGTATCCATATAATAAGAAAATACATATATATACATTACACAGGTATAATTTTGATGTGTAAATACCAAAAAAAGAGGCCCTGAATATAATCTCTAAGGGAAGGCAGTCGGGGGGCCTCTGCAACTGCCTGTGGACCTTCGCTGGAGGGAAACAGGACTGAGGTGGGTGGGCTACTCAGGAAGCCTCTGCATGGCCCAGCAAAGACAAGAGCATGGCCTAGACTATGGCCCTGCAGGAGAATGGAGAGAGGTAATCAGATTAGAGAGAGAGAAAAGATGTGGTGAATTAACTGGGGTATGGGGCAGGTAGAAGGTCAGTTTGGATGCCCCAGTCTGGGAAAGCATAGTGCCCTCCACTGAGCTGAGGCTTCTCCTTTCAGAGGGGAAACAGACGTCATCAGAGGAGAAGCCCCTCACCTTCCTGCCTCAAACCCCCGCCCCAGGAGGACCACCTTCATGGGCAGGTGGTCAGTCAGTCACACAGGACTTCCCTCCTCAAAGGGCCAGGCATGTGGCTTAATGCTCTGCTGTCTTGAAATTCATAACAATTGTTGAACAAAGGGCTCCATGTTTTCATTCTGCATGGGACCCCACAAATTATGCAGCCACCCCTTCCCACCCCCAGTATGTCTGTACCCATGTCTGGCTCGCGTTACCTGCTCAGGCATCAAAATTATCTGTAGAGCTTGTAAAAACCCAAACTCTCAGACCCACCTCCACCTCTATGTGGGTTCCTGATGTCAAGGACAACTGCCACCATCCTCTAAGTGTCTTAGACCTTCTGTCCTCAAAGTGTGGTCTGAGACCTGCAGCATCAACCTCACTCGAGAGCTTGTCAGAAATGCAGATTCCCAGGATCCACCCCACACCCACTGAGTCAGAACCTGCAGTGTAGCAGGACCCCCAGGGGACTCACCTGCACATTTATTTGTGAGAAGCACCGTCTTAGGCTATCTCAAGGGAACATTCTAGACTTTTCCCCCTAATTCACAGGTCACCAGGTACTGCGAGTTATTCCCTAATTACATCACACATCCCGCTGCAACTGCCCCCAGGATGGCTCCTCTTGGAGGTCCCACGACCTCTCAAACTGAACATACCCAGACCTGAGCGCCCTGCCCTCTTCTTCTCCCAAGTCACTTCTTCCTCCCCCTCCTCCTCCCCTTTTTCCAGTACCTGTCCAGGTGAACTGAGCCAGCCAAGCCAGGTACCCAAGGAGTGTTCCAGGGCCTCCTCTGGCTCACCTCCCTCCACCTCTCACCATCCCCTTCTCCCAGTCTCTATAGCAACCACCAACCACCCTCCAAGACGTAGCCACCAGCACCTCTCACTTCAGCCACCTCCACCATCTCGCACTGGCAGTGGACTGACCATGTCACTCCCTAGAACGACCCCTCGGTGGCTCTCAGCTCAGGGCTGTTCTGCAATGGCACACCTCCACACCTGCTCTCTGCTTACTAAATGCTTCCACTATTACTATTGCTTCCAGCTTTCAAAACGAAGCCTGATCAGCTTCTCCTCCACAGCCTGCCCTGGCTACCCCTCTGCCTGCCCCCACCAAAACTTCTGGGCTCCCCTTAGCCACAGCCCTGGTCCTGCTGTGGTCTGTGAGTTTCCCCCAGCAGCCTGAGAGCTCCTCTGGGAGGGACAGGGAACTGCCTGATTCAATCACCAGCCTGGTGCTCTGCCTGGGGCCATGCACACAATAGGGGTCCTGTGTTTGAGTAGATAAAGGCCCAGTGAGGGGCTAGCCTTCAGCAAGCCACAGGGAGATGGCAGAAGATGGGGTTACGCAGCGGGAGTGGGGAAAGCTGTTACAGAGGTGCCCTTGTGGACCCAGCTATAGGCGGGAGGATTGCTTGAGCCTAGTTCAAGACCAGCCAGGGCAACATAGCAAGACTCCATCCCTAAAAAAAATAAATTTAACATTTTATTTTATTTATTTTTAGACGGAGTTTCACCTTGTTGCCCAGGCTGGAGTGTAGTGGTGTGATCTCAGCTCACTGCAACCTCTGCCCCCCAGATTCAATCGATTCTCCTGCCTCAGCCTCCCTAGTAGAGCTGGGATTACACGTGCGCATCAACATGCCTGGCTAATTTTTGTATTTTTAGTAGAGACGGGGTTTCATCATGTTGGTCAGGCTGGTCTCAAACTCCTGACATCAGGTGATCCACCTGCCTCGGCCTCCCAAAGTGCTGGGATTACAGGCGTGAGCCACCACGCCTGACCAAAAAATTAAATTTAAACTCTTAAAAAGGTCAGCCCCGGTTGAATAAAAAACAGAGAGGGATGGCTACAGGACGCCTGGTGCCCAGTTCCCGTCCAGAGCCCTGGAGGACAGCAGGATTCTCTCTGCCCACCAGGTGGCGCCAGATTCCCGGCGTCCGGCTGCCCAGCGCTCGGTGTTGGGTGGATGGGGCCCCAGGGAAGCCAGAGGCAGAGCCTGCAGGACCCACAGCAGGTCCTCGAGGGGACATGCCCCATCTGCTTTCCTTGCCTGAGCGTCCACCATCAGCACCCTCCACAGTACAGGGAGGAGGGCTGTGGATGATGGGTGTGTCACGGGAAAATGGAAGAGAAGGCTGAGCGTCTTGCAAAGCAGCTATCGGGTGATGGAGCTAGACATTTGCACACCTGCAGGCTGGGTCACATCCTGTTTTCTGAAGACGCTCACCATGGGGCCTGTCTGCGCGGCCACCGGAGCCAGGATCGAGCCCAGACAGTCCAGTCCCAAACAGACCCACACTCTTAAGCACTGGGCTTGCCTGCTGCCCCTCCCTGCGGTCAGATCCCCTCCTGTTACAGATGAGGAAACTGAGGCCCAGAGAGGGGAATCGCTTGCTGAGGATCCACCCCTTGTGTGGAGCAGAACCAAAATGAGGGCTTCTGCCTGGTGGCTCCGAGGCCAGCACGCCTTCCTCCGCCATCGTGGAAACCCCTTGTCCCTTCCTGTCCAAGGAGCCCCGGCCCCCCTCCCGTGGGCTTTTCCCAGGAGCCTCCCTGTTCTGCCCAGCTCCCCTCTCCTCCCTTGCTCCAGACCCAAGCCACCCACAGACTACAACCCTTCCTACAGCCCCTTTCAACAGCCCCCGAGAGGATTTCCACCAGGGATTGGAAGAGGTCCTCATTCCTCCCACCCCCGGGCCGGATGGGGGCCGGAGGGGCAGGTGCGCGAGCGGCGCCGGATGGAGGATAGAGGGGCAGGAGGAGGTGTGGGCAGGCATGTCTTTTCCGGGTCCCACCTGAGGCCCCAGGTGCAGCCCCCTCGCACCATCCCCCGTCTGCCTGTGTTTGGGACCCAGGGCTGCGGCCGAGATCCATTTCCTCCCAGCCTCTGACCACCTGCTCCTGCCTCTCAGCACGTCTGCTTCTCCCCTCATCCCCTTAGCAAGCCCTGGCCTCTGCTCCTTTCCTGCAAGCGCCCCACAGTTATCCTGCCTCTTCTCAGGGCACCCTTCCCTTCCTCCCATGTCTCAGTGTTGTCTTCCCCCAGCTGGGCCCTGGGCAGCCCCCTCCCTGAGCACTCCTCCACCAGCCCTCAGTCCACAGCTGGGAAAACTGAGGCCTCTAATCTGGGGGCTACTCAGGCACATGGTTGGAGTTCAGTTATCTGTGTGTCCCCCAGGCCTGGCACAGAGCCCCGCACTGGGGTGGACTCTGCAGTGGGAGATGGTGGATGGGTTCAGCACAGAGCCCAGCGCTGGGGTGGACTCTGCAGTGGGAGATGGTGGGTGGGTTCAGCACAGAGCCCAGCGCTGGGGTGGACTCTGCAGTGGGAGATGGTGGGTGGGTTCAGCTGTGCTGGAATCTTGCTCCACCACAGCATGCTGTGCAGCCTGGAGCAGGTCCCTCAACCTCTCTGAACCTCCATTTTCTCATTTGTAAAACCAGGAAGAATGAGGCCTATTTTTTAGGCTTGTAGTGAGAATTGACAAGACAACGTATGCAAAATAAATATCACAGTATAAGGTGGTTGCCATTCATTCATTCTATAAATATTGATTGAACACCTTTTTTTTTTTTTTTTTCAGATGGAGTTTCACTCTTGTTGCCCAGGCTGGAGTGCAGCGGTGTGACCTCAGCTCACTGCAAACTCCGCCTCCTGAGTCCAAGCAATTCTCTTGCCTCAGCCTCCCAAGTAGCTGGGATTACAGGCGTGTGCTACCACGCCTGGCTAATTTTGTACTTTTTTTTTTTTTTTTTTAACTAGAGATGGGGTTTCACCACCTTGGTCAGGCTGGTCTCAAACTCCTGACCTCAGGTGATCTGCCTGCTTCGGCCTCCCAAAGTGCTGCGATTACAAGCGTGAGCCACTGTGCCCGGCCTGATTGAACACCTATTATGTCTCATTATTATTAAGTTCAAAAGAAAAGAAGCCAATTCAGCAGACCCCAGATTCTGACCTCCCATCCTATGCTGTTTCCTGGTGCATCCTCCACTCCTAATCCACACGGAGGCGTCACCCTAAATTACCCGGCTGCACATATCACTACCCTGGTCAAAAGCCCCCAGCAGTTCCCCGGTGCCTAGGGTGTCAGCTCCCGACTCCTGGCAGTGACACTGAAGACCCTCTGTGATCTGGTTCCAGCCTCTTTTCCATGGGATCTCTCTATCTTGTGACACCAACTTTGACTACAGGTGTGCAGATCTGGGTCCCGTGGCCAGAACACCCTGGGCTTTCTCACTGCCACGCCTGTGCTCCTGCTATGCCCTTGAGTGGAACAGCTACCATTTTTGTCCTTACCCAACAAAGTCCCGTCCGCATTTTCTGGCCCATTTCCCCCAGGTGGCCTCTCTGACCACCTGGAGCCAGGCTCTGAACCTCAGTCAGCCTCCTCGCCTAAGCATCCCGTTCCCCACTCCCCAACCGGGCCCTGCAAGGCCAGCTCTATCACCAATCATTGGCAGGAACCACTGGGCTAACAGCAGGTGCTGGACCGATCCACATGACAGGGGATGGCCTGACCTGCCCGTGTGATCAGAGTCCAGCTCTGCCACTGTCCCACGGGGATCATTCTTATCCGTCACATTCCTAAATGGACTAGAATGGTGGCCTCCTCTGCCCTGGGACCCTACTCTCTCCAGGCAATGGAGAAAGAGCCAGGGGTCCCCCCACCACTAACTGCCCCACTGACACTGTGGGGTCTCTTCCCATAGTCACGGTGCAGGCATCAACCAGATACCAGACTAAATGGGATTATCCAGACAGGACCACTGGGCCAGAGCCTTCTGCTGGAGGGAGGGAGCTTTGCTCCTCCCCTACACCCTCCCTGTTCCAGGGCTCAGTCCCTTCCACAAGGTCCCACCAAGCCTTCACAAGCCTGCCCCGTCTAGCGATGGGGAGCCCCATACCCCCTGGGGCATCTTGTCCATCTCTGATAGTTAGTTCAGAGCTGAGCTAGCTGCCTCCACGGAATTTCTGCCCCATTCATTCATCCTCTGTGAGTTCCTTCTGCACGCATTGAGCACCTACTGGGTGCTAGTTGATGTGCCAGCTCGCCTGAGCTTTGCAACACCTCTGTGAGGTGTGAAGGCGGATGCTGATGACAGTGATGGTTACAAAACCAATGAGGAAAGTGAGGTGCAAAACCAATGAGGAAAGTGAGGTGCAAGAGAGATCGCCACCCACACAGAATCTCACAATCATCAGGCAGCGGCTGGGCCAGGAGTAGATTTTCCATCTGGGTGACCCAGGAGCCTGTGCTCTTTCTTCCACTGAACTGAATACGTCCCCTAGCAGGACTTAGGAGGGGTAATACTTGGGGAGGTGGGGGCAGGACTAGCCTATCCAGTCCCCCAAAGCCTTCAGTAGAGGGCATAGAGCTGGACCTGCGTTGGGGTTACCAAGGGTAGCCAAGGGTAGTTTTGGAGCTGCTGCAGCCGCTGCTCACCCCCGGGAGCCTCCTTCTGAGAAGGAAGTATTATTGAGCCTACATTGTGTTGGGAGGGAAAACGTGGGGTCCTTGGAGCCCTGCCAGCCCCCTGCCTTCAGGCTGTTTGGCTTTGTTTGTTTTTTTGGTCTTTTTTTTTTTTCCTTTTTCTTTGGGCTGATTGTTCTCATTAAATCTTTTTGTCCTGTTTTGTTTTTTACGGGGCTGACAATGCTGCTCAGTGCTTAGCGCGGCTTCCTGTGTTTCTGCCCCAGCGCAGGCCTCGATGGGGCTGTGCTTCCTGTTGTGAGCCGTCGCCATGGCAACTGGAGGCCTGGTGGGCTCCATGGGGGTATGGGGAGGGGTGACATCAGTGACGTCACCGGGTGAGAAGGCAAGGGGCAGGGGTCTGGAGGGGGTTGCATGGGGGAAGGGCAGCCAGCAGCCAGCCGGCGCATTGCTGGGAGCTGACTCACAGCCCGGGAAGGGGAAGAATGCCCTCACATTCTTTTGGGAGGTAAACAAGGTCAGGGAATGCGGCTGGGATCCTGTTTACCTGACCCTGGCCCCCCGGGGGACCCGAAGCCCTTACAGGACAACACACTGGAATAGAACCAGCCAGACTTGGGGGGCTAGGGAAGCAGGGGAGAAGAGAGGAACCGTGAGGGGCCCCCAGGTGGGGGCCAGAGACAGAAAGCCCAGGATTCCAATCACATCTCCACTAGGTGACAGCGTGACAGCTCTATGACTCTGAGCAAGCCACATGGCCTCCCTGTGCCTCAGTTTCCCCTATTTCTAAATGGGGAGAATTTCTCGTGCAGATGGTCCCTTGGTCTCCAATCACTTTGGGCTGGTTTCGGGGGTTGCGAGGGTGGCAGCACAGCCCGTGCCTCTGCATTTTCTCCGTTCTCCACCCGCCCAAGGCCTGATCCAAGGCTAGGGTCTCCACGTCTCTGCCTGCACCTGACCCTGCTAGGGTAATGCCCCAGACCTGTAGCCAAACCAAAGGGCCGAGGTGGGCTGGCCTCGAAGGGAGGTGATGGGCGTGCAGCCCAGGGCGGGGCGCGGCACCTCTAGGATCCCAGGGCTGGAGTTGGTGCAGCTAGCCCCGCTCTCTCCCCTACCCTGTGTCCCCCCTTCAGCTTTCTCAGAGCCCCACCTCTTATCCCTGAACCTCCAGAGTGACGGCCTCCCCTGCTCATTAGGGAGGGTCCAGAGGAGCCCCTCCTGGTGCCAATGGTCTGTATCCTGATCAAACTCTGGGATTCCATGGTGCTGAGATCTGCAAGAACAGCCCCGGGGGCAGGGCCGGACTCTGCATCTCTAAGACAAACCTTTGCCACCTTTGAAACTGACCAGCTGGGAACAACGTGCCCTTCCCCCACAGGTGCCATGTGAGGGCACAGGCCATGCCCCCATGGCCACAGTTGAGTTGGGGCCACCTGGCCTATGGCTGAGAGTCTGGGTATCAGAGTCTGACTGGCTTTGCGGCTTGCTAGCTAGGGCCTTCGGTCAAGCTCCTTAGCCTCTGTGAGCCTCAGTTTCCTGATCTGCAAAGCAGAAGCTCCCAGGGTTGATGTGAGACTGAGTGAGTTAATTCACATGAAGCCCTTAGCGCATAGTAGGCCCTCATATGTGCTGAACCCACACAGAGCCAGCCCCCACAGACCCCTGCATCCTCCGCAGCAGCACCCAATGCCCCCGTCTCTGAGGGCTCCCCTATGCTGAACACCCGTCCCAGTGCAGGAACAGTGCCCACCAGATGCCCCATGGTTTTCCCATAAAGGGACCGGACTTGGGTTTCCCTGGACAGGGAATATCCTGTTCTGGGCTGGCGGGGGGGAGGAAGAGGAGCGGGAAGGACACGGCGGCTCCGCATTCCTGGCATTCTTGGCGGCCGCCCTGTCCAGCTGCCTCGGCGCTGCCGGGGGCCCTGGCCTACTGCCATGCTGGCCCGACACGGCACAGCAGCACCCCGCTTGGGGCGCCCCTTGGACTTGGGGTGATAGAGGACCCATCTTGTGCCAGTCCCACCCATCCCAGACTATCGCAGAAGCAAATGAACCCCAACCCTGGAAGCAGAGATTCGGGGGCTCTGGGAGGAGTCAGTTAACAGGGGAGGAGTTTCTGCTTTCAGTTCTACCTTATGGGGCTCCCTAGCCCACCTACCGTTCCCCAGGGAAGCTCTCGGGGTCAGAGCCGGAAGAGGGGAGAGGTAGAAGACTCCTGGGTTCTAGTCTCCAGTGCCCAGACAGCCACTTCCCCTCTCTGGGACTCAGTATCTCTGTCTGCAAGATGGGAGACTTTGATCCCTTCCTTGGGCAACCCCAGCATTGCTGCCCTTGTCACGCTCTATGGCATCATCACTGCCTCTCTGCAGAGCCTGTGCCTCTGGCTAAGGGCAGGAGCCCATCCCTTCTCCGCACTGGGCCGGGCCTGGTGGGATATAGTGGTTCCCACCGCCACGCAGCCATGGTATGCAGGATTCGAACATTCAGAGGGGAGGGCCTGGGGGCGGTCAGGCTCTGGAGCCCTCACCCTGGGAGTGCCTTTGGGGTCCTAGGAGGAAAGGGGTCCTTGTCCAAGATCCCACAGCTAGCTCGGTCAAGCTGACCCGGGAATCCGGGGACTTGCTGTTCTGCAAAACCACCAGAAACTAGGGTAATTCTTTTCCATGTTTTTCTGCAAACGCCCCCTAGTTTCAGGCCCAGAGCAGTCTGGGGAGAAGCTGGGAGCTGGAGGCTTCAGAGACCTCCACTCTGCAGGAGACCAAGCCCGCTCCCCATGCTGCCCTCTGCCCTTGGGGAGCCTGGAGGGGTCTTCCAGGGCCGGGAGGGGACAGGCAGGAGGGGCTGCAGTGGGATGGATGCATCTGGGCTGCCAGTCTCTAGCCTCCCACCCTCTCCCTCCCCTCTCCTGCTGGCTCGAGGACCACCCCAAGCCCCTGCCCAGTCCTGGGAACTCCAGCTCCATCTGCACTGCAGGCCCCATTTCCCACTTCAACAGCTCACGGTGGCTCTGGGCACAGGGACCAGAGCAACCTGGTCCAGGCCACAGCGAGAGGCAGGAGCAGCTCTTTGCTGGAGTCAGGAGGCCTGAGAAGTCCCTGGGCCTCTGCACCTCCACTTGATCATCACAGGGTTAGAGGATGTGGTCCCTGGGGCCAGCCTCATCAGTCCTCTGTGGTCCCAGGATTCTGAAATTCAACTGTTTGGTTCTGAGACCATCAGTCACCTCCTTCTGCCTGCCCTTGAGAGGATTAAGCAGAGGAAGTCCCTCCCTGTTACCTGCTCTTCTCTAGGGCTCACCCTGCAGAGTTCAGCTCCCATCCAGGCCAGGGCCCTGCTCCCAAGGACCCCATCTCCCTACCACTTGACCCCCCCAAAAGGCCAGACACCCCCAACGCTATTGCCTCCGCCTTCCCCTGGTGCCTCCTGCCTGCCTGTCCCGCCTGCCTGTCCCACCCGCCTGTCCCACCCGCCTGTCCTGTCTGCCTGTCTGGCTGGCTGGCCATCTGTCTGTCTCTCTGTCTGTCTGAGGGACAGTAGGAGGAAAAGGCTGGAACCCCACCCTGCTGGGTCCACATGTCCAGGGCATTGTTCAGCCTCCTCTGGGAAATCACCTCAATTGTGAGGCTTAGGGGCCACTGCGGCACGGCCGGGTGTGTTTACAGATGCGGGGGTGGCCAGGGGTTGTGTCTGTGGAGGAGGATGGGCACAGGGGGTGTCACGATCATCTGTGTGTGGCACGCTTGATTAAATAATGATAAAATGACGAAATGGAATATTATGCAGCCATCAAATACGAGGCCTTTGAAGAAGAGTGAGGACATAAGAAATGGTCCCAGTGTAAGATTTACTAAAAGGGAAAGTGCACAATGAGAAGAAGTCAAAGTGACCCACCAAATGCTAATCACAGTGATCTCTGCGCAGCCAAATCATGAGTAATTTCCTATTTCCTGTGTATTTACGGTGTATTTTCAATGTTTTTGGCAATGAGCACGTTCGTTTTGTAATCAGAAAAAGGAGAATAAATGTTGTAAAAATCAAACTAAAGATGAACTAGAAAACAAATGAACATGACTAAAATAAAATAAACTCACTGGGCATGGTGGCTCACACCTGTAATCCCAGTTCCTCAGGAGGCTGAGGCAAGAGGATCACTTGAGCCTGACAGTTTGAGACCAGCCTGGGCAACATAGTGAGACCCTGTCTCAAAAATAAATAAATAAATAAATAAAATAAGGCCAACAGAAAAGACTAAACATAAAACTAAGGCAAATGTTCAACTCCAGTTAGCAAACACTGAGTGGGCGCCTGCTGTGTGCAGAGGCTCTGCTGAGTGCCGGGGTTACAGAAATGAAGGAGACGGAGCCCTTGGCGAGTTAACCGTCCATCAGGAGGGTGGGAGAGTCACCAGTCATGAGGCCCCCTCAGGAGGGCACCGGAGAGAGGGAGACATGGATGAATCAGGAGGCCTTCAGGGAGGAGGTGACGGCTCACACAGAGGCTGGGGACAGGGGATGTGGTCCTGGTGGGAAATATGGCCGGTGGTGGTTGGAGGGTCCGCTGGTTGCACGAGCTCAGTTTAAGTATAGCGTGGGGAAGATAGGCTAGCTTCAACTCGCTACAAGTCTGGAGTGCCGGGTGGAGAGAGATTCTTAGCCAAGTGGGCATTCCTCAGGAAAGAACACAGGGAATGGTCAGCCATTCATTCACTCATTCATTTATTCAATTCAACAACTACTTCTTGAATACCATCCACACGCTAGGCACTGTGCAGCTTCCATTCAAATGCAGGGAAATGGGCAGGAAAGCAACCAATGAGTAAAGGGAATAGAAGTTGGTGCTGTGCGGAAGGATGGGGCAGGGTCCAGAGGTGGGGGTAGCTTGATGTGGGGTGACCAGGGAGGGCCTCACAGACTGAAGGAAGTGAGGGAGTGAGCCCACTGAGGCTGGGCTCTGCAGGAGGAGGGCTGTCAGCAGAGGGGGCCCAAGCAGACAGAGTCAGGGTGAAATCCCATAGGTCCTTGCAGGCCTTTGTAAGCACCTGAGCTGCGGCTCTGAGTGAGGACCGGAGCAGGAGCCGGGGAGGGTCTGAGCAGAGAAACACATGATCTGACTTAGGCTTAAGCAGCCTGTAGGAGGGGAGCTGGTGGGGCTAGGCTGGGCCAGCAGCCCTGGTGAGGGCGAGGAACAGAAGGCGGAGCCAACAGCAGTACGGCCTATCTGATGAAGGGTGGTGGTAAAGGAAAGAGAAGGTCAAGGCCTATTCCAAGGTTTGGGCCCTAGCACTTGGAAGGACAGAGCTACTGAAACTGATGGGGCCAGCTGGGGATGGCAGGTTTGGGGTGGGATGGAGCAGGGAAGACAGGCACTGAGGCTGGACAGGTCGAGGTGGTGATGCCCGGTGATAAATCCGAGACTTCCACCCGGCAAAGCTGAGCAGGCAGGGGCCAGCTGGGGACACTCATCGGGCGTCACTGGCTCGTGGGTGGGGATCAGCCCCTAGAGCCGGATGAGACCACCCTGGGGAAGGGTGTAGACAAAGAGTAGCTCCAAGGATTGAGCCCTGGCACCCCCCGCCAACGTTTAGAGATGAGGGGGGCCGGCAGGGGAGCCTGAGAAACAGCATCGGGGAGGAGGGAGGCCCAGGAGGGTGGGGCCTCAGCCGAGGTGCCTGCAGGCAGCAGATGGAACAGCCACAAATGAGGCTCCCACAGAGCCATAGGTGACAGCCTGACGGGGAGGAGACTTGCGAAAAGAACAGGAGAGAGGACATTAAAAGGCAAGGAGGGCCGGGCGCGGTGGCTCACGCCTATAATTCCAGCACTTTGGGTGGCCGAGGCAGGTGGATCGCCTGAGGTCTGAAGTTCAAGACCAGCCTGGCCAACATGGTAAAACCCCATCTCTACTAAAAATACAAAAAAGTTATCCGAGCATGGTGGCACATGCCTATAATCCCAGCTACTGGGGAGGCTGAGGCAGGAGAATCGCTTGAACCCAGGAGACGGAGGTTGCCGTGAGCTGAGATCGCGCCATTGCACTCCAGCCTGGGAGACAAGAGTGAAAATCCATCTCGAAGAAAAAAAAAAATGGCAAGGAGAAAGAACTCTCCCCTCAGAGATTCGAGGGCCCCACCCTTGTCCCTGATGGCTGCCCCTCTCAAGGGTGACCAAGAGGTGGCTGTTTGCTGCGGGGGTAAGGGTGATGGGCAGAGCTTGGTCTGGGTGCTCACGCACCAGCGCTCCAGGCCATTCAAGGTGTGGATGAGAGCTGGGGGCCAGAAAAGAAGGGGGGTGCTGTGGAGCGAGGCCAAGGCCAAGGCTGGCTCTCCCCAAAAAGCCAGGTCCCAGGAGCCGGAGAATTCTAAATCCAGCCCTCATTGAGAAGATCTACTTAGCGAGTAGGAAGAAAGCATACTTGATTTAACAGTTTGTTCACGTATTTATAACATCTTGATATTTAGCCTCAGAGCGTGCAGGCCTCCATCTGTGCTCTGGGCCCGAGCCCTGCACATGTTAGGGCTGAGCTGGGAGCAGACAGCTTGAGGGGAGAGGTGAAGGGAGAGGGTTTTCTTTTTGCTTCGGTTCAGTTTTTAGTGGTTGCTGGTTTTTGTTGTTGTTTGTTTGTTTTGAAACGGAGTCTCACTCTGTCGCCCAGGCTGGAGTGCAGTGGCGTAATCTCGGCTCACTGCAACCTTCACTTGCCAGATTCAAGCAATTCTCCTGCCTCAGCCTCCTGAGTAACTGGGATTACAAGGGCCAGCCATGATGCCTGGCTAATTTTTTGTATTTTTGTAGAGACGAGGTTTTGCCGTGTTGGCCAGGCTGGTCTCTAACTCCTGAAACTTCAGGAGATCCACCCACTTCCCAAAGTGCTGGGATTACAGGCTGGAGCCACTGTGCCCAGCCAGTGGTTGCTGTTCTTTTTAAGAAGAAAGAAGAATGAGCATTCTCCCCTGGGGAATGATCCTGAAGAGCGGACACTGCGGGAGGAGGAGAGGGGTGTGCATGGCGGGAGGGATAGGTCCACCCGCCTTGACACACAGGCCCTCCATCACAGTGGCAGCAGGAGGCAGCGTCAGTGGGTGCAGGGGTGCACAGTGAGCACAGGGAGGTTCCCCAGGACCCCTTCTGCTTTCTCAGTGAAAAGGCAGCAAGGCCCTGGAGGTCTGAGGGGTAAGGAGAAGGTGTGGAAGAGCCCTCTTGGAGCGGTGCGTGTAGACCCAGGAAATGCAGCGGCATTGCCCAGCAACACTCTGGCAGATTGCATTTTCCAAGATGGCTGCAACAACATCTCCCGCCCCACAAGTTATTCTAGAACCTTTCGCTCCTCCACCAAGAGGTAGAGTCTAATTTCGCCTCCCCTAGAACCTAAGCAGGCTTGCGACTCACTGTGCTACCAATGGACTGCAGCGGAAGTGACAATGCATCACTTTTGAGGCTAGGTTATCAAAGCTTCTGCCATATGGAGTGCTCAGGCTGGCGCCTTGAGCCTCCATGCTGTGAGGAAGCCCAACCAGCCCCTGCACATGGAAAGGCTCTCAGAGCACCTGAAGAGAGAGTTGCTCCAGCCACCACCTGTCTGTCACCTGTGAGACCCTGAACAACCCAGCTGAGCCTCTCCCAAGTTCATGACCCACAGAATTCAGGAAAGATAATAAAAAATATTGTTGTCTTAAGCCTTTAATTTATTATGCAGAAATAGCTAATTGGAATAAATGCCAAGGACTAAACTGAGATTTGTGGTTGTGAATTTAAAGTGACACTCCTTTTTAGCCAAATGATATCTAAGGCATTTCTGCAGGGACAAGAGGCTGCACAGTCGCTGCAGGTTTCCCCTCCTTGCTGCAAGGGAGGAGAGAGACAATGGAGGAGGAAAGGTAGAGGAGATTGGGCCTAAGGTGTCAGGCAAAGTTGTGTGAACTGGACTCTGTAGGTAACCGGGAGCTACTGAGGGTCCTTCAGTGAGAGATGTTACATTCCATGCATAGGCTGAGCTCATTCTGGACTTAGCAATACAGAATGCAGCCTGCATCCTTGGATGAACTGGGGGTATGAGGAGGAGAGAGGTCTCCCCAGAAAGCCTGGCCACAGGTCAGAGGCTGGGGACTCTGGGCGTAGCTGGACCTTCAGCCCCTTCTCTATCTGCCTGTTCCTTAGACATTCAGCCAACTAGGAGAGGGGTGGAGAGTGGTGACCCTCAGTGTTCCCACCTGAAAAATGGGCACATTGGACTTCAGGTCTCTAAGTGGGCTTCTGGCTCTGAGGCTACAGACAGGAAAGAGACATTTGTGGTCATATTTCCACATACACATTGCTTGTGGTCAGGACAGATGCTAGGCTGAGCCCTGGCTCCGTCCTGGTTGCTGGAGATGCAGGAAGAGGCCTGGCCCTCACTATACAATAGGCCCTGCTCAGGATTCTTAGGTTCAAAGGAAGAGAAAACCCAACTCATGGTGGCTTTAACAACTGGAATGTGGCTGGGCGTGGTAGCTCACGCTTGTAATCCCAGCACTTTGGGAGGCTGAGGTGGGTGGATCGCCTGAGGTCGGGAGTTTGAGACCAACCTGACCAACATGGTGAAACCCCATCTCTACCAAAAATACAAAATTAGCTGGGCATGGTGGCTCATGCCTGTAATCCCAGCTACTTGGGAGGCTGAGGCAGGAGAATCACTTGAACCCGGGAGGCAGAGGTTGCCATGAGCCGAGATCGCGCCATTGCACTCCAGCCTGGGCAAGAAGAGCGAAACCCCTTCTCAAAAAAACAAAACAAAACAAAAACACAAACAACTGGAATGTGTGAGCTACTGAGGACCCGAGCTACTGAGCAACCAAAAAGCATGGGGGTATTTGAGGGTTCGAGCAAAACTTGATCCAGCCATGAAACTGAGTGACAGGACCCATTTCTCTGCCTCCCTCTCTTAGCTCCTCTCTTGGGCTGGCTCTCCCATGGGGGTCTCAGGCGGCTCCCAATCGGTCTAGATCTTTTTTTGGCGGGGGAATGGGGATGGAGTCTCGCTCTGTTGCCAGGCTGGAGTGCAGTGGCGAGATCTCGGCTCACTGCAACCTCCACCTCCTAGGTTCAAGCGATTCTCCTGCCTCAGCCTCCCAAGTAGTTGGGACTATGGGCGCGTGCCACCATGCCCAGCTAATTTTTGTAGTTTTAGTAGAGACGGGGTTTCACCATGTTGGCCAGGATGGTCTCGATCTCTTGGCCTTGTGATCCGCCCACCTCGGCCTCCCAAAGTGCTGGGATTACAGGCGTGAGCCACCGCACCCAGACTCTTTTTTGTTATTATTATTATTATTTTTTTAGAGACAGGGTCTCTCTGTCACCCGGGCTGGAGTACAGTGGCATGATCTCAGCCCACTGCAACCTCTGCCTCCCAGGGTCAAGCGATTCTCCTGCCTCAGCCTCCAGAGTAGCTGGGACTATAGGCTCAGGCTACAGCGCCTGGCTAATTTTTCTGTAGAGATGGGATTTCGCCATGTTGCCCAGGATCCAATCCGGGTGTAGATATTGTCCTTCTCTCCATGTTCAGTGGAGAGAGAGAGACAGTCTTCTTCCCGGGGAGCTCAGATATCTTTGCTCTGATTGGCCTGACTTCAGCCTTGTAGCCATCCCTGAACCAATCACAATGGCCACCAGATGGGATATAGTAATTGTCTTAGGCCAATGAGAGCCCACCTGGGGCGGGGCAGAATCTACCCCACCCTGGGCTGGGAGACACTGGGTCCTGTTGGGAGAGAGGAAGGGATGGACGAAGACCCAAAGCATGTCCCTGGCTCCACCCAGTAGAACCTTCTGGAGACTCTATGCTCTGTCAGAGACGAAGTGGTTGAGCACCAGAAAGGGGGCAGTCTCCCCATCAGAGCTATTTCCTGCCACCAGTACCAGCTGCCCATCTGGCCCGGCCTGGAGCCCCGGGATGCAGGCAGCCGCTGTTGGCGGGAACCCAGGGCCTGCTTGGGACGCTTGGGCAGCTGGAGACTGATTAAGCTGGGAAAAGTGCAGGCTGGAGAAGACTGGGACGGGGAAGTGATCCGACGCTTCCTTAACACCAAAAAAGGGAACAGAAAGGGTCAACCTAGGCGCCAGGAGGAATCCAAACAGGTAGCACATAACAAAAGCAGATGACTCTTCCGTTTGAGTCTGACTGTGTTCCACGTCCGCACGCTTCCTCCCCCACTACCCACCGGAGCACGGCTCCGTAGGGATGACTCCCTTGCTATGACAGGGAGGCTGAGGCCCTGAGACAAGTGACTCACCCAAGGTCACCGTGAGGTGGGGCAAAGCCAGGGTATCAGCCTGAGCTCTCCCAGGACCCCCACTCCACGGCAGCAGAACTGAGCCATACCTGTGCCCACTCCTGCAGCAAGGTGATGGTGACGGTGAAGCTCCTGTCACCACCACTGGGGAGGCCATTCCAGTCCCTCACGGCCCCCACTATTGGAGAGGCAGGGGAGCGGACAGGAAAGGGGCTGCCGGGTCCAACTGGCTCAAGTTCAAGTCCTGCCTCCCCCACTCTGGCTGGGTGAACTTGGGCAAGTCAGCATCCTCATTTGCGAAATGAAGAAACCGATGCTTCCTTTAGCAGGAATGCTAAGGAACGAATGCAGGAAGCGACTGACATCACACGTGGAAAACAGCTAGCACACCGGGCACAGGGAAAATACGACATTTCTCATAAGAAGGAAGGAAGGTGTTTGAGGCTTAGTTACCACACCACGGCAGGAACACTACAGTACACATGTGAACCCAGTGCTGTGGGGAGTAGAGGTTTGGTGGACCCTTTCAAATAAATGCTGAAAACCAGAGTAGGGGTGGAGGGTGTTTCCCAAGAAATAAACCAGGGGTGCAGGAACTTCAGTGCTGTTCCTGCCACTCAGCAGGGACCCAGGCACTCCAGAACCTGCTCTCACACTTTCCCCAGGCACTGGAACAGAACTCTCACCCCCTGAGCCTGGGCTCAGCAGGGGCAAGGAGGCTGTAGACAGGAGGTCATTGTCCAGCCCGACTGTGTCCAGATCCCACAGATGCCAACCCATCTGGGGGACAGGGTCTTCTGGGGACCCGCCTGCCATGGGGGAGGCTATTTGTCCCCTAGTTGCCACGGGAGACTTAGATTCAACACTAGGCACTCTCTCCAGTGTCCTGACGGTGACCCGAGAGCATCTCCACCAGCAGGCCTGGGTGGGGCCTGCATAGACAAAGCGGCCTTTGGCTGCCAGCGGCCGGGTTGCAGAGCGTGCGTCAGCTCAGCAGCCAGCCAGAGAGGCCTGGAAGTCAGCCTTGCTGCCCCCCTCCCTTGTCACCATGTACATCTTGTTTCTTGTCATGACACGATGTGGCAGATGTTTCTTGTCAGCTCTGCCGCTGGTCCCTTCTGTCCACCCCCATAGCTGCTGCCCTGGTCGCCCCACCACCCCTTCCTGGTCTCACAGTCAGTCTGTGCTGCACACCGCAGCCAGAGGGAGCTTTCAGATATGCAGTTCAACCTCATCAGTTCCTAGTTTAGAATCCTTCTGTGAATATTTGCAAAACGAGTACCTGACAAAGCATTCATATCCCAAATATGTAAAGAACTTCTACAAATCAATAAGAAAAACAGAGGCAACCAGTAGAAAGGGGGCAGGAGACTTTGAGCAGGCCCTTCACAAAAGAGGTTCTCCAGGCTGGGCGCGGTGGCTCACACCTATAATCCCAGCACTTTGGGAGGCTGAGGCGGGCAGATCACTTGAGTTCAGGAGTTTGAGACCAGCCTGGCCAACATAGCAAAACCCCATCTCTACTAAAAATACAAAAATTAGCCGGGCATGGTGGTGCACGCCTGTAATCCTAGCAACTCAGGAGGCTAAGGCAGGGAGAATTGCTTGAACCCAGGAAGCAGAGATTGCTGTGAGCCAAGATCACGCTGCTGCACTCCAGCCTGGGTGACAGAGTGAGACTTCATCTAAAAAAAAAAAGGTTTATAAATATGTAAAAGTGTTATTATTCATCAGAAGAAGGTAAAATAAAGCCACAATGAGATACCACTGCACTCCTACCAAAATTGCTCAAACGAAAATCATAAAAAATGTCAAGTGTTGGTGGGAATATGGAGCAACTGGAACTCCCAGAACATTGCTACTGAAGGGAGTGCAAATTGGTGCAACCACTTTGGAAAATTATCTACTAAAGCCGAACATATGCCCAGCCTGTATTCAGCAATTCCACTCCTAGGTAGGTGTCCAACAGAAATGCGTGCATATGTCCACCCAAAGACATGACAGGAACACTGACAGCAGCTTCATTCATACCAGCCAACAACTAGGAACAACCAAATCTCCATCAGTAGTAGAATGGATTGGGAATGAGTGAGATTTGTGAGGTGCAGGTGCACACAGTGACATGGGTGCGTCTCACATTGTGTCGAGAGGAAGAAACTACACATGAGGTGCCGTGGTTTGGACATGTTGAAATGTAATCCTTGGCTGGGCTCAGTGGCTCACACCTGTAATCCCAGCACTTTGGGAGGCTGAGGCGGGTGGATCACTTGAGGCCAGGAGTTTGAGGCCAGCCTGACCAACATGGCGAAACTTTGTGTCTACTAAAAATACAAAAATTAGCCAGGCATGGTGGCAAATGCCTGTAATCCCAGCTACTCAGGAGACCAAGGCAGGGGAATCGCTTGAGCCCAGGAGGCAGAGATTGCAGTGAGCCGTGATTGTGCCATTGCTCTCCAGCCTGGGCGACAGAGGGAAACACTGTCTCAAAAAAAATTAAACAAACAAAAAAAAAGAAATGTAATCCCCAGTGTTGGAGGTGGGGCCTGGTGGGAGGTGATTGGATCATGGGGTGGATCCTTCATGAAGGTGCTTAGCACCATTCTCTTGGTACTAAGTGGGTCGTTGCTCTGAGTTCGTGTGAGATCTGGTTGTTTAAAAGCGTGTGGCACCTCCCCGCTCTCTCTTGCTCCCTGTCTGGCCATGTGACACACTGGCCCTGGCTTTGCCTTCCACTGTGAGTGAAAGCTCCCCAAGGCCTGACCAGAAGCTGAGCAGGGCCAGGTAACTGTGGCTCATCCAGGAAATCCCAGCACTTTTGGAGGCCGAGGAGGGAGGATCTCTTGAGGGTGGGAGTTCAAAACCAGCCTGGCCAATAGAGTGAGACTCCATCTCTACAAAAAATTTAAGAATTAGCCAGTCACGTTGGCATGGCACACACCCGTGATCCCAACTACTTGGGAGGCTGAGGGGGGAGAATATCTGGAACCCAGGAGTTCAAGATGACAGTAAGCGATGATCATGCCACTGCACTCCAGCCTGGGCAACAGAGTGAGACCTTGTCTTAAAAAGTAAAAATAACAAAAGAAGCCGAGCAGATGCCGGCACCATGCTGGTATATAGCCTGCAGAACTCTGAGCCAATGAAACCTCTTTATAAATTATCTAACCTCAGGTATTTCTTTTCTTTTTCCTTTATTTCTTTCTTTCTCTTTCTTTCTTTCTTTCTTTCTTTCTTTCTTTCTTTCTTTCTTTCTTTCTCTTGCTTTCTTTGTTTCTTTCTTTTTTTTTTTTTTCAGAGTCTCACTCTGTCACCTGGTCTGGAGTGCAATAGAACGAACACAGCTCTCTGCAGCCTTGACCTCCTGGGCTCAAGGGGTCCTCCTGCCTCAGCCTCCTGAGTAGCTGAGACTATAGGCACACACCACCACACCTGGCTAATTTTAGTATTTTTTGTAGAGACAGGTCTCACTTTGTTGCCCAGGCTGGTCTCCAGCTCCTGGGTTCAAGCAATCCTCCTGCCTTGGCCTCCCAAAGTGCTGGGATTACAGGCGTGAGTCATGGCGCCCGGCCTGGGTATTTCTTTACAGTCACGCAACAGACTAACAAAGAAAATTGCACACATTGTGTGATTCCATTTATATGAACTTCAAAAACAGACAAAGTCAGGATAGTGCTTATTCTTGTGGGGAAAGGAGGAATTACACCTGAGGAGGCACGGGAGGATTTCTTACAGACTGGTACCATCCTACCTCTTGACCTGGGCAGTGGTTACCCAGCTGAGTTTAACTGGTGAAAATTCATCAAGCTGGAGACACGATATGACTACTTTTCTTTGCATATGTTATCTTTTTTTTTTTTTTTTGAGATGGAGTCTCGCTCTGTCACCCAGGCTAGAGTGCCGTGGTACCACCTTGGCTCACTGCAACCTCTGCCTCCCAGGTTCAAGCAATTCCCCTGCCTCAGCCTCCCCAGTAGCTGGGATTACAGGCATACACCACCACACCCGGCTAATTTTGTATTTTTATTAGAGACGGGGTTTCACCATGTTGGTCAGGCTGGTCTTGAACTCCTCACCTCAGGTGATCAGTCCGCCTCAGCCTCCCAAAGTGCTAGGATTACAGGTGTGAGCCACCGTGCTCGGCCGCATATGTTACTCTTTAAAAAAAGTTAAAAAAAAAAAAAAACCAGCCTACTTGGCCAAGTGTAAGTTCTCACCGGCTTATCTTCAACGTCGTCATATCCATACACCTTCCAGCATTACTCCCAGTTCCCTGGACATGCCGTGCAATTTCTTCTGCCTGGAACCTCCTTATCTAGTTGGCAATATGCTCTGGGGTCGCTGCCACCACGAAGCCCTCCCTTCTGGCCCCAGATAGAAGTGTGGTCACTCTCTTCTTGGGAAGCCATATGCACCTCCATTGCAGCCCTTATTCATCTGACAGTCACTCCACCAGTATTCAGTGAGCACTGGTTATATGCCAGACACATGCAGTTGTGAATAAACAGTCATATGTTGACAAATTAAATTTAAACAATTTAAAATATCACAAAAATAGATAGATACTAACAAATTGTGATAAAGCCTCCAAAAGCAAAGTCCAGGCAATCCGTTGGAGGAGAAGGCAGGGTACGGGGAGGTGGAAGGTGCTGGTTTATGCTGGAAGATCAGGGCGGGCCCCCAGTGCAGAGACCCAGGGATCAAAGAGGAGCAAGGCCAAGAGTGGGAGGAACTCCCGAGGCTGAGGGATCCACGCTGAATTGAGAACACTAAACTGAATTTCCTGGGGTCACAGACTGGGTCATTCCTTTCTCAAGCCCCAGGAGCTTAGCGCAGGGCCTGGCCCAGTTAGGCATCTGGCAGCATTTTATGAATGAATGAATGAATGAATGATAGGAAAAGAAGGGCAGAGCGACCACAGACAGAGTGGTTTGAGGGCCCCTGGACACTGGTTGCCTTCACAGGTGTGTGCCTCCAACTAGCTGAGCCAATGTGGGAGACAGAGATTGGGATTCCCAGCAGCACACACCTCCAGCAAGTGCCCAGAGCCCCAGGCCAATGATTCTTTTCTTCCTTCATTCATTTTGTTGACAAATATTAATTAAGCATCTACTATGTACTGGGCTTTAAACTAGAAGCTGTCTCCTTTGCCTTCCACTCATGCCAGATCTCCAGCAGGCTATTGCTCTCCTGAGCTCTCTGAGGTTTGAGTCTCTCTCCACTTCTGGATGTTTCCCTAATCCCGTACCTCAGTCACCTGCCATGGGACCTGCCAGGACATCCTCCTGATCACCAGGAGAAATCCAGGGCCATCTTTGATTATACTGCCTTGTTATTCACAAGCCCAAACATGATTTAGGGGGCAGTTGCTCACTTTGCCAAAAGAATTTCTGCTTTACCAAAAAAATTCCCAAAGTTATTTTAATTCGTCTTCCTAGGAAGATTTCCCAGACGTTGCTGGCTGGAGGGTAAAGTGGTGCTGCCCTCTCAGAAAGCTATTTGCCAGAGCTTGGAGCAATTATGAAAGCGGGTGTCCATGCCACAGCAGCCCCACTCCACGGTGTCAACCCCAAAGCACAGGGCACCCAGGTCTACAGGGGAGCATACCTGAGAGGTTCCCGCAGCAGCTGAGGGTTGGAGGCAACCCAGGGGTCCCCCTCTAGGATAAGTAAAAAGCGGTGGATACACATGTAGTCAGAGGAGGCCCTGACATCTGCAGGGCAGCATGGGTCAAACCAAAAAGACTTTTCTGAGGTCGGGCGCAGTGGCTCACGCCTGTAATCCCAACACTTTGGAAGGCCAGTAGGGGTGGATCACCTGAGGTCAGAAGTTCGAGACCAGCCTGGCCAACATGGCGAAACCCTGTCTCCACTAAAAATACAAAAATTAGCCAGGCGTGGTGGCACATGCCTGTAATCCCAGCTACTGGGAAGGCTGAGGCAGAAGAATCGCTTGAACTTGGGAGGCGGAGCTTGCAGTGAGCTGAGATCGCGCCACTGCACTCCAGCCTGGGTAACAGAGTGAGACTCCATCTCAAAAAAACAAAACAAAACAAAACAAAAAAACTTAGCTTTGATTAGCTTTGAGTAAAAAGGGAGATAAATAAAATGGGATGCCTGACATGATAGAATTTGTGTAAATTTAAAAGGCACACACACACACAACGACAAAAAGCTATACAATTATTGAGGATACACACGGATTTAAGGGCACATATTGAGTACATTAGAGCGGAAGCCTTTGTGTGGGGGTGGGAGAGGAATGGAAGTTTGGCCCAGGAATGAAAAAGAGATTTTTTTTTTGAACTCATACATACACCTATATATATATATTTTTTTGGTTTTGTTTTATTTTACTTTGAGACAGGGTCTTGGCTGGAGTACAGGGGCACGATCTCGGATCAATGCAAACTTCCCCCTCCCAGGCTCAAGTGATCCTCCCACCTCAGCCTCCCAAAGTGCTGGGATTACAGGAATGAGCTACTGCACCCAGATCACATACATAGTTTATATAAAATAAAGGAGGGCTTTGCATGAACAATGAAAGTGTACTACGAACCAAGGAATAAAATTATCTCAACAATCCCCACAAGAGATAAAAATGTAAACTTAAATTTAAATTTCAAAAGTTGACTGCTACTGGGATGTAATAGACACTGCCTCCCACCAAATATACTGTAAAACTCTAGGCATGATATATAAGACAAGCAGGAGGAGATCTGAAAGGAGGGAAGGAGAAGGCAGATCTGCTAGGCCCCCGGGACCCCAGGAACACCATGGGGTGAGTTTGCTGGAATTTTGTTCGTTTGTTTGAATTTGCCTCCTGTATCCTCGACTTGGAGCTGAAGACGCCAGCAGCCAGAAACACCAAGGGGCATAGATATTTTTTTAAAACTCCACAAAGGCCTGCCTTCTTCCCAAAGAACTAGAAAAGAGGCAACCTGGCAAGACAGAAAATTTTCAGACAATAATTACTCTACTGTAGCCAAGCACCTCAGAAAAATCTGTGTCTGTGCCGATGCCAGCAATGGCCGAGTGGAGAGCATAGACATCCGCCCTCAACAGGTTATAACAAGGTTCTCCAACCTCCCTGCCAGGGCACCATCAGAGAAGGCCAAGTACAGAGCTGGGACTTTCATCCCTACCTAAGCGGTAACAAAGCACTCCGCCAGCTCATCCGCCAACAAAGGCCAAGTGGAGAACTTGGATTTATTTCTTTTCTTTTATTTTCTTTTTTTTTTTTTTTTTTTTGAGACAGAGTCTCGCTCTGCCACCCATGCTGGAGTGCATGGCGCTGTCTCAGCTCTCTGCAACCTCCACCTCCCAGGTTCAAGTGATTCTTCTGCCTCAGCCTCCCGAGTAGCTGGGACTACAGGCGAGCACCCCTACACCCGGCTAATTTTTGTATTTTTAGTCGAGACTGGGTTTCACCATGTTGGCCTGGCTGGTCTTGAACTCCTGACCTCGTGATCCACCCGCCTCGGCCTCCCAGAGAGTTAGGATTACAGGTGTGAGCCACCGAGCCTGGCCCGAGAACTTGGACTTCGAACCCCACCTGGCAGTAATGAGGCAGCATCCTTGCTTCCCCTGCTAATGCAGCATCAGAGGCAACTAGCTAAAGCAAAAGGTTTCATAAGATGCAGAGATCTCATAACAGAATACCCACAATGTCCAGTTTTCAATAGAAAATCACTCATGGGGCCCTGTGCGGCGGCTCATGCCTGCAATCCCAGCACTTTTGGGAGGCCGAGATGGGTGGATTACTTGAGCTCAGGAGTTTGAGACCAGCCTGGACAACGTGGTAAGAACCTATCTCTACAAAAAATACAAAAATTAGCCAGGTGTGGTGATAGACGTCTGTGGTCTCAGCTACTCAGGAGGCTGAGGCAGGAGGATCGCTGGAGCCTGGGAATTTGAGGCTGCAGCGAGCTGTGATCATGCCACTGCATTCCAGCCTAAGTGAGACCCTGTGTTAAAGACAAAAAACAACAACAAACAAAAACAAAAACAAAAAACTCTGAAAAATCACTCATGGCAAGAACCAGGAAGGTCTCAAACCAAATGAAAAGGTAATCAATAGATGCCAACACCAAGGTAATAGAAATTTTTTTTGTTGGCGGCAGTGGTGGTGGTTTTGTCTTTGTTTAGAGATAGGGTCATACTCTGTCACCCAGGCTTTAGCGCAGTGATACGATTTTGGCTCACTGCAGCCTCAACCTCCCAGCTCAAGTGATTCTCCAGTGATTTTCTCACCTCAATCTTCTGAGCAGCTGAGACTACACGCACATGCCACCATGCTCAGCTAATTTTTGTGTTTTTTGTTGAGACGGTGTCTTGCCATGTTGCCCAGGCTGGCAGAAACGTTACAAACACACTTGAAACCAGTGAAAAAATTGAAATCCTCAGCAAAGAAACAGAAAATATAAAGAGATGCCTCAAACACAGAATGGAGAGCACAGAGGAAGGAATTCGTGAACTGGAATGTGGAGCAGGAGAAATCATTTAACCTGGATAACAGAGATAAAACAGACCTAAAAAAAACCAAATAGAGCTTCCAGGAGCTGTTTGACTATAATGAAAAAATCTAACGTCATGTCACTGCAGTCACAAAAGGAGGGCAGGGATGAAAAAGTACTCAAAGAAATAAGGGGCTGGGCGTGGTGGCTCACACCTGTAATCCCAGCACTTTGGGAGGCTGAGGTGGGTGGATCATGAGGTCAAGAGATTGAGACCATCCTGGCCAACATAGTGAAACCCCGTCTCTATTAAAAATACAAAAATTAGCTTGGCATGGTGGCACACCTGTAATCCCAGCTACTTGGGAGGCTGAGGCAGGAGAATTGCTTGAACCCTGGAGGCAGAGGTTGCAGTGAGCCAAGATCACACCACTGAACTCCAGCCTGGTAACAGAGCAAGACTCTGTCTCAAAAAAAAAAAGAAAGAAAGAAAGAGAAAGAAAGAAAGAAAGAAAGAAAGAAAGAAAGAAAGAAAGAAAGAAAGAAAAAAGAAATAAGGGCTGAAAATCTGTCTCAAATTTGGCAAAAGACATAAGCTGACTGAATCAAGAGGGCTAAGCAAGGCTGGGCACAGTGGCTCATGCCTGTAATCCCAGCACTTTGGGAGGCCAAGATGGGCAGATTTCTTGAGCCTAGGAGTTCAAGACCAGCCTGGTCAACATGGTGAAACCCCATCTCTACTAAAAATACAAAAAAATTATTCAGGCATAGTGATGTGCACCTACAGTCCCAGCTACTCAGGAGGCTGAGGTAGGTGGATCACTTGAGCCCAGGAGTTCTCCACCTCCTGGAGGGTGCAGTGAGCCATGATTGTGCCACCACACTCCAGCCTAGGTGAAATCCTAGAGTGAAATCCTGTCAAAAAAAAAAAAAAAAAAAAAAAACAGGCTAAGCAAATACCACACAGGATAAACCCAAAGAAATCCACACCAAGAAACATGATAGTCAAATTTTCCTGGAAACTAAAAACAAAACAAAACAAAACAAAAAAATCTGGAAGGCAGCAAGAGAGAAACATTTTACCTATAGGATAAAAAAAATAAAGAAAAACGGTGGATTGCTCTTCTGAAACTATGGTGTTCAGAGGGAAGTGGTATAGCATTTTTAAAGTGCTGGGGGAAAAAAATGTCAATGCAGAATCCTATGTCCAGAGAAAATTTATCCTTCAAGAATAAAAGGCAAATCAAAGTATTCTTGGATTAAAAAACAAATCTAAGAGAATTTATCATCAGCAAACACACTCTAAAAAACTAAAGGAAGTTCTCGAAACAGAAATAGAATGATAAAAGAAGACATCAATCTGGAAACAGAAAGGAAGGAAGAAGGAAGAACATAGCATGAAAAGGTTTGGGTAGCCATGAGACTTCTCCCTTCATGTTTGATAGTGGAAGCAAAGATGATAACACCTTCTGATATGGCTGTCAATGTATGTGGAGGAAACATTTAAGACAATTATAAATGGAAGAGATAAAAGAACTTAAAGGGAGATAAGGTTTATACAACTCACTGAAACTGGTAAAATGACAACATCAGTATATTGCGATAAGTTACGTATATATAATGTAATAACTAGAGAAACTACTAAAAAGCTACATTAAAATATACACTTAAAAACACCACTGATAAACCAAAATAAAATTCTAAAGAATGTTAAAGTACTCCACAGGAAGGCCAGACAATGGAAACAGATAGAAGAGAAAAAGAGAGAACAAGCCAACAAAAAAGAATTCAGCCCTAACATATCCTAATTATATTAAGTGTTAATGGTCTTAATATGCTAATTAAAGACAGAAATTAACAGAGCAGATTTTAAAACATGACCCAATTAGATGCTGCTTGTAAGAAATTAACTTTATTTATGTTATGTTTTGTTTTTTGGAGACAGAGTCTCTCTCTCTCCTCCAGGCTGGAGTGCAATGGTGTGACCACGGTTCATTGCAAGCCCCACCTCCCAGATTCAAGGGATTCTCCTGCCTCAGCCTCCTGAGGAGCTAGTATTACAGGCACCTGCCACCACGTCCAGCTAATTTTTGTATTTTTAGTAGAGATGGGGTTTCACCATGTTGGTCAGGCTGGTCTTAAACTCCTGACCTCAGGTGATCTGCCTGCCTCGGCCTCCCAAAGTGCTGGGATTACAGGTGTGAACCACCATGCCCAGCTAGAAATTCACTTTAAGTATAACAATACAGGCAGGTTGAAAGTAAAAGGATCATCAGACACGGTAGCTCACGCCTGTAATCCTGGCACTTTGGGAGGCCGAGGTGGGTGGATCGTGAGCCCAGGAGTTTGAGACCAGCCGAGGCAACATAACCAAACCCTCTCTCTACAAAAATTACAAAAGAATTAGTCAGGTGTGATGGTGCCAGCCTGTGGTCCCAGCCAGCTACTTGGGAGGCTGAGGTGGGAGGGTCACCCGAGCTCAGGAGGCAGAGGTTGTAGTGAGCTGAGATCGCATCACTGCACTCCACCCTGGGCAATGGTGAGAACTGGAAAAAGAGAAAAAGAAAGAAGGATGGAAGGAAGGAAGGAAGGAAGGAAGGAAGGAAGGAAGGAAGGAAGGAAAGAAGGGAGGGAGGGAGGGAGGAGATAGAAAAATATGTATCATTGCTTGAGCCCAAGAGTTGGAGACCAGCCTGGGCAACATAGTGAGACCTCGTCTCTATAAAAAATTTAAAAATGAGGTGGGAGGATCTCTTGAGCCTAGGAGGTCCAGGCTGCAGTGAGCTGGGATTGTGCCACTGCACTCCCACCTGGGTGACAGAGCAAGACCCTGCCAAAAAAAAAAAAAAAAGATATGCAAGTATTAATCAAAAGAAAGCAGAAGTTACTATATTAATATCAGATAAAGTAGGCTTCAAAGCAAAGACAATTACCAGTGGCAGACAGAAACATGATATAATGATATAAAGTCAAACCACCCAGAAGACAGTAACACTAATGTATGCACCAAACAATAGGACTGTAAAATATGTGAAGCAACAACTGATGGAACTAAAAGGAGAAATAGACAAATCCTCAATTATAGTCGAAGGCTTCAACAGCCTCTCTTAAAGGGAGGTGTACAAATCCTACCTCCCTTTAAATCATTTTACTCTCTCCTGTTTATAACATAATTGTCTTAAACATTGCCTCTACTTACATTTGAGAGCCATGTCAGACAGTGTTATAATTTTTTATTAAACTAGCAAACATGGGAAGAAAAGTCTACTGTATTTACCCAAACTTTTCATGCCATGTTCTTTCTTTCATATGTTCCAAGATTCCTTCTTTTGTCATTTGTTTTCTGTTTAGAGAACTTCCTTTAGTTTCTTTCTTTTTTTTGATGGAGTCTCACTCTGTGACCCAGGCTGGAGTGCAGTGGCGTGATCTCAGCTCACTTCAACCTCTGCCTCCGGGTTCAAGTGAGTCTCCTGCCTCAGCCTCCCAAGTAGCTGGGACTACAAGCGTGTGCCATCACACCCTGTAATTAATTTAAAAATTAATAAAAATAACTTTTTTATTTTTAGTAGAGACGGGGTTTCACCATGTTGGCCAGGATGGTCTCAATCTCTTGACCTCGTGATCCGCCCACCTTGGCCTCTCAAAGTGCTGGGATTACAGACGTGAGCCACCGTGCCTGGCCCTCCCTTTAGTTTCCTTGGGGTCACTTTGCTGGTGACAAATTCTCCTAGTTTTTCTTTATCCAAGAATGTTTTGATCTTCCCTATATTGTTGAAAAACGAGACATAAGATCAGCAAGAATATAGAACAGCGTATCAACTAACAGGAGCTGATCAACATTTATAGACTGCTCCACCCAACAGTAGCAGAATATACATTCTTTTCAAGTGTCTTTGGAATATATATCAAGATAGACTTGGACCATAAAACAAAACTCAGTAAATTTAAAATAATTGACATCACATAGACTATGTTCTTAAGCCACAATGGAATTAAGGAATCAGCAACGAAAAGGTGACAGAAAAACCTCCTAACACCTGGAAATTAAACAAAACATTTCTAAATAATCCACAGATCAAAGAGGAATTTTCAAAGGAAATCCAGAAATACATGGAACTGAATGAAAATAAAAATACAACATAGCAAAAATTTTAGAACACAACTAAAGCAGCGCTGATAGGAAAATATAGCACTAAATGCATATATTAAAAAAGAGGAAAAGTATTCCATCTTAAAATCCTAGAATAAGGCTGGGCACGGTGGTTCACGCCTGTAATCCCAAAACTTTGCGAAGACGAGGCAGGCACATCACGAGGTCAGGAGTTCGAGATCAGCCTTACCAACATGGTGAAACCCCATCTCCACTAAAAATACAAAAATTAGCAGGGCTTGGTGGCAGGCACCTGCAATCCCAGCTACTCGGGAGGCCGGGGCAGGAAAATTGCTTCAACCCAGGAGCCAGAGGTTGTAGTAAGCCGAGATCGTGCCATTGCACCCCAGCCTGGGCAACAGAGGGAGACTCTGTCTCAAAAAAAAAAAAAAAGTCCTAGAAGAAGAACAAAATAAACTCAAAACAAGGAACTAATAGAGATAAGAACAGAAATTGAAAGCAGAAAAACAGTAGAGAAAATAAGTGAAACAAAAGGTTTGTTCTTTGAAAAGATTAATAAGATTGACAAGCCTCTAGCAACACTGACAAAGAAAAAGGGAAAGAAGACACAGATTACCGATATTAGGAATGAAACTTGGAATACCCCTGTAGACCCTTAACAAAAGTATAACAGGAAAATACGATGAACAACACTATATACATAAATTTGACAACTTAGATGAAATGTATCACTTTTTAGAAAAATACAGTTACAACTTACCCAATATGAAACAGATAATTTAAATAGCCCGATACTATTAAGGAAAATGACTTTGTAATATTTTATTTTATATTACATTATTTTTAAAAGACAGCGTCCTCATTATGTTGTCCAAGCTGGAGTACAGTGGCTATGCACAAGTGCTATCATGGCACACTGCAGTCTTGAACTCCTGGCCTCAAGCCATCCTCTCACTTCAGCTTCTCAAGTAGTGGGGACTATAGGCCTATGCCACCATGTCCAGCTACTTTGCAATTTTAAAACTCCCCCAAAAGAAGTCTTCAGGTGGCCAGGCATGGTGGCTCACATCTGTAATCCCAGCACTTTGGGAGGCCAAGGTGGGTGGATCACCTGAGGTCAGGAGTTCAAGACCAGCCTGGCCAACATGGTGAAACCCCATCTCTACTGAAAATAGAAGACATTAACCAGGCGTTTTGGCTGGCGCCTGTAATCCTAGCTGCTCAGGAGGCTGAGGCAGGAGAATCGCTTGAACCTGGGAGGCGGATGTTGCAGTGAGCCAAGATCGCACCACTGCACTCCAGCCTGGGAGACAGAGTGAGACTCCATCTCAAAAAAAAAAAAAAAAAAAATCTCCAGGCTCAGAACACTGCCAAACATTTAATAAAGAATTAATACCAATTCTACACAAAATCAAACATTCACTCATGGTAAAAACTCTTGGGAAGAAAATAGGAATAGAAAGTGAACCTCCCTAACTTGATGAAGAGTATCTATAAGAAACCTACGGCTAACATTAAACTCAATGATGAAAGACTTAGTGCTTCTCACACTCTTATTCAACATACTGCTAGAAGTTCTAGCCTGTGCAATAAAGCAAGAAAAAGAAATGAGAGACATACAGATCAAAAAGGGAGAAACTGTCCCTATTTATAGATGATATGATTGTCCACATAGAAAATCCCAAGGAATTGGCCGGGCGCGGTGGCTCACACCTGTAATCCCAGCACTTTGGGAGGCCGAGGCGGGCAGATCACGAGGTCAGGAGATCACGACCACCCTGGCTAACACGGTGAAACCCCGTCTCCTACTAAAAATACAAAAAATTAGCCAGGCGTGGTGGCGGATGCCTGTAGTCCCAGCTACTCAGGAGGCTGAGGCAGAAGAATGGCGTGAAGCAGGAGGCGGAGCTTGCAGTGAGCCGAGATCACACCACTGCACTCCAGTCTGGGCAACAGAGCAAGACTCTGTCTCAAAAAAAAAAAAAGAACTGCTTAGGTATAAATCTTATAAAAAATGTACACAAGGTTTGTGTGCTGAAAACTACACAATACTGATGAAAGAAAGAAAAAATAAATAAATGGAGAGACACATCACATTAATACATTTTCCAAAACATAGTAAAGATTTTAATTCTTCCCAAATTGACATACAGATTTAATGTGCTACCTATAAAAATTCCAGCAAGATTTTTTGTAGATAGAGACAAGCATATTTCAAGACTTACATGGAAAAACAAAGGAACTAGAATCATTGGAACAAATTTTAAAAAGAAGAACAAAGTGGGAGAGATCAGTCTTCCTGATTTATTATATATGAGATATATAAGACTTATTATGTAATATATTTACAATAATCATGACTGTGGTATTGGCAGAGGGAGAGACACATAGATCAGGGCAACAGAATAGAAGACTCAGAAAAGACTCCACAAAGATATGCCTGGCTGATTTTTTGTTTTTATAATAGTATAAATCAATTCAGTGGATGAAAGACAGATGTTTTAACCAAGATTGTTGGAGCAATTGGACAACCATAGGCAAAAAGAAAAACAAAAGGAACCTCAAACTAAGTCTCACACTTTACACAAAACAAACTCAAATGGATCATGAACTTAAATGTAAAATGTAAAAATATAAAACTTTCAGGAGAAAATATTTAAAATCTAGGGCTACGCATACGGTTCTCACACTTGACACCAAAATTATGACCCATAAAAGGAAAGACTGATACAATGGACTTCATTAAAATTTAAAACTTTCTTTCTGTGAAAGACTCTGCTAAGAGGATGAAAAGACAAACTACAGACTGGGAGACAATATTTGCAAACCGCTGTCTGACAAAGAGCCTAGAACATATAAAGAACTCTCAAACCTCAACAGTAAAAAAAAAGAAAAAAATCCAATTAGAAAATGGGCAAAAGACACGAAGGTACATTTCATCAAAGAGGGTATACAAATGACAGATAAGCACATGAAAATATGTTCAACATCATTAACCATTAGTGAAACGCAAATGAAAACCACAATGAGACAGCATTATACACCTATCAGAATGGCTGAAAGAAAAAACCGTGACACCACCCAATGTTGGCACATTGGATCACTTATACATTGCTAGTGGGAGTGTAAAATGGTACAGCCACTCTGGAAAACAGTTTGCCAATTTCCTTTTTTTTTTTTTTTTTTTTTGAGACAGAGTCTCACTCTGTGGCCCAGGCTGGAGTGCAGTGGCGCGTTCTTGGCTCACTGCAAGCTCCGCCTCGCAGGCTCACGCCATTCTCCTGCCTCAGCCTCCGGAGTAGCTGGAACCACAGGCGCCCGCCACCACGCCCGGTTAATTTTTTGTATTTTTAGTAGAGACGGGGTTTCACCATGTTAGCCAGGATAGTCTCGATCTCCTGACTTCGTGATCCACCTGCCTCGGCCTCCCAAAGCACTGGGATTACAGGCGTGAGCCACCATGCCCGGCCACAGTTTGCCAATTTCTTTAAAAATTAAACGTGCAAGAACCATGCATACAACCCAGCAGTTGCACTCCTGGGCATTTATCCCAGGGAAATGAAAACTTATGTTCACACAAAAACCTGTACGGGAATGTTTATAGCAGCTTTAGTCATAATAGCTCAAAACTGGAAGCAACCCAGATGTCCTTCAACAAATGAAGAGTTAAACAAACTGTAGAACATTCAGGCGATGGAAAACTACTCAGCAATAAAAAAGAATGAACTGTTGATACACACGACTCCCGGATGACCCTCCAGAGAACTGCGCTGAGTGAGAAAAGCCAATCCCAAAAGTTTACACGCTGTATGCTTCCATTTACACAACATTCTATGTATTTATTTAGAGACAAAGTCTGTCTCTGTCACCCAGGCTGGAGTGCAGTGGCGCGATCTCGGCTCACTGCAACTTCCGCCTCCCAGGTTCAAGGGATTCTCCTGCCTCAGCTTCCTGAGTAGCTGGGATTACAGGCGCCCACCACCATGTCCGGCTAATATTTGTATTTTTAGTAGAAACGGGGTTTCACCATGTTGGCCATGCTGGTCTGGAACTCCTGACCCCACATGATCCACCCGCCTCGGCCTCCCAAAGTGCTGGGATTACAGGCTTGAGCCACCGCTCCCGGCCTATATAACATTCTTGAAATGACACAATTACAGAAATGGAGAACAGAGCCGTGGGTTGCCAGGTGCTGAGGAGGAGCTGGGCTTGGAGGGAAGTGGGCGTGGCCATAAAAGGATGCCTGGAGGGATCCTCATGGTGACGGAAATGTTCCGAGTCGATGTTAATCTGGTTATGACATCTTATTATAGGTTTGCAAGATGTTATTTACCATTGCAGGAAACTGGGTAAAGGATACACAAGATCACTCTGTGTTATTTCTTACAACTGCATGTGAATCCACAATTATCTCAAAATAAAAAGTTTAATTTAAAAAAGTTTCTCGATGACAAGATCTGATATTCTATATCCACAGTAGAATTTAAACTGAAATCTGGCCAGGTGCGGTGGCTCACGCCTGTAATTCCAGCAATTTGAGAGGCCAAGGCGGGTGGATCACCTGAGGTCAGGAGTTTGAGACCAGCCTGGCCAACATGACAAAACTCCGTCTCTACTAAAAAATACAAAACTTAGCCGAGTGTGGCGGTGGGCGCCTGTAATCCCAGCTACTCGGGAGGCTGAGGCAGGAGAATCACTTGAACCTGGGAGATGGCGGTTGCAGTGAGCCAAGATCACGCCACTGCACTCCAGCCTGGACAACAAGAGTGAGACTCCATCTCAAAAAATAATAATAATAATTAATAAATAAATAAATTGAAATCTAAAAGGCTGGGCACGGTGGCTCACACCTATAATTCCAGCACTTTGAGAGGTGAGGTGGGCAAATTGCTTGAGGCCAGAAGTTTGAGACCAGCCATGGCCAACATGGTGAAACCGTGTCTCTACTAAAAATACAAAGATTAGCCTCTACTCCCAGCTACTTGGGAGGCTGAGGCAGGAGGACTGCTTGAAACCGGGAGGCAGAGGTTGCAGTGAGCCGAGGTCACGCTACTGCACTCCAGCCTGGGTGACAGAGTGAGATTCTGTCTCAAAAAAAATTGGAATGTGGAAATGTGGCTAAGAGTCTCTCTTTTTTTGAGACAGGGTCTCCCTCTGTCACCCAGTGTGGAGTGCAGTGGCCTAATCACAGCTCACTGCAGCCTTGAACTCCTAGGCTCAGACGTTCCTGGCCTCAGCTTCCCAGCGGTCTTTGTTGTAGGCAGCTTGAAGGATTCTCATTGGCACAGAAGATTAAACAATGCCTTTCCATTTTAATAAATATCTGCAATCAAAATAAACAATGTTCAGTCAGAATCACCTTCTTCTTCCCCTCCCTTTAGCCTTCACTCCCTGAAAGCTACGGAGGATGCCCAGCTTCCACAGACCGAGTTGCTGCCGAGAGCATCCAGACGCAGCCAGGGAGCCAGGAACCACTGCCATCATCTTGGAGGAAACTCAGAGAATGGGAACTGGAGCCAGACGCCAAAGGCAGGCAAATGTTTGAAATGTTGAAAAGGGGCCGGGCGCAGTGGCTCACTCCCAGCACTTTGGGAGGCCAAGGCGGGCAGATCACCTGTAGTCAGGAGTTTGAGACCACCCTGGCCAACATGGTGAAACCCCGTCTCTACTAAAAATACAAAAATTAGCCAGGCGTTGTAGCAGGCGCCTGTAATCCCAGCTACTAGGAAGGCTGAGGCAGGAGAATCACTTGAACCTGGGAGGCGGAGCTTGCAGTGAGCCGAGATTGCACCATTGCATTCCAGCCTGGGCCACAGAATGAGACTCTGTCTCAAGGAAAGAAAGAGAGAAAGAAAGAGAGAAAGAAAGAGAGAAAGAGAGAGAGAGAGCGGGCGAGAGAGAGAGAGAAGGAAGGAAGGAAGGAAGGAAGGAGAGAAAGAAAGAAAGAAAGGTTGAAAAGGAGGAACTGTTGTTGATAACAGAAAATGTAAACTGGTGAGCCTGACATCAAATCCTGGCCGACTTCCAGGGTGGAGGAGGACACAGATGGCCGGAGAGGACCAGGGTGGGTACCTAAGTCACCAGGAGCCCACATGGTTCTCTAAGAAGCAGTTGTGGTGGCTGAACGTTTGGGTCTCTACAGGGCCACCTGGCTGGGAAACACAGGGAAAAGCCAGGAACCCTGGATGTAAATGTTGCTACGGCATTTGAACATCACTCTTGGACATTCTTGTGCTCAGATAAAAAATCGGGGCTGACCGGCAGCCTAGCTTGCTGGAGGGGAGGTATAGCTGATTGAATACACAGACCAAAATGTGGGGTTGGCTTGAAAACTGTCAGGATGGGCCACGTGTGTTGATCCACGTGGGATTGCACAGACGCACCCTGTGGGTTCTTACTGTAAAACCCCTGCGTCTGGGAAATGCTTTGTCTTCGTGGCACAAACTGTTCCTCTGTTCCTTTTGTCTCCAAGTCCCCTGTTACTCCAGAAGTCCCTTCTCCCAAGCCTTTTCTTTTTTCTTTTCTTTTCTTTTCTTTCTTTCTTTTTTTTGAGACGGAGTCTCGCTCTGTCGCCCAGGCTGGAGTGCAACGGCACAATCTCAACTCACTGCAAACTCCGCCTCCTGTGTAGCTGGGATTACAGGCAACTGCCATCATGCCCAGCTAATTTTTGTATTTTTAGTAGAGGTGGGGTTTCACCATGTTGGTCAGGTTGGTCTCAAACTCCTGACCTGAAGTGATCCACCCGCCTCGGCCTCCCAAAGCGCTGGGATTACAGGCATGAGCCACCGCGCCCAGCCCTCCCAAGCCATTTCTCTGGATCCTGAAGCTAGAGAAGACCTCAGAGAATGGTCTGATGCTGCCCAGAAACCACAAAGGTGGAACATGGTGCATCCCTGTTTTACAGACAAGGGAGGGGACTGATTCTTAGGGAAGGGAAGTGACCTGTCCTATTAGAACCCAGGCGTCAGCTCTCCACCCATCTTCACTTGGTCAAAGTTGGAGGAAAGGGGGCCTTCAGCAGCACCAGGAGGGAATGATAACCAGGCTTCCCTGTCCAGCGCCCTCCCACCATCCCCGCAGCCATGGCCCAGTTGAGATCTTCCATACCTGGGACATGCAGTCAGTCATCACTGATCCAGCCATCTGTGTTGGGAGCCTACTGTGCATCTAGAACAGCCTACTGTTCTAGATGGCGAGGGAAGAGGGACGAACGCAACAGACACAGAGGTCCTTGCCACAGTGCTCCTAGCCCAGCTTGAGCAGCCAGTGCCCCGCCCTGCCTTCCCCTCATCCACGGCCTCTGTGGTCTCCTGGTTGCACACAGAGGGTCCTATTAACCTCCGGAGGCCAGGAGGTCTGTGAGTTTGGGCCTCATATTCAGGAAAGATCTACTTCAACTTTCAAGATTTTGTAGACCCAAACACGGGTCTACAAATGGCCGTTGCATGGTAGTTGTGTCAGAAGTGTTAGTTTGATCAATGTAAACTATTTAGAATGCAGAATGGCTTTGCTACCCCTATTTGATATTTCTTCACGCTTTCAATATAACCAAGCCTTATGCACCTGCTCCAGGTAAGCACCCTGTCCTGGCTGTGACTTAGTGGCCCCCTCGGGTTGGGGCAGCTTCCATGAGCTCATGCATTTTATTTTATTTATTTTTTCATTTTTATTTTTTGAGACTGTCGCCCAGGCTGGAGTGCAGTGGTATGATCTCGGCTCACTGACACGGCCGCCTCCTGGGTTCAAGTGATTTTCCTGCCTCAGCCTCCCGAGTAGCTGGGATTACAGGCACCTGCCACCACACCCGGCTAATTTTTTTCTATTTTTAGTAGAGATGGGGTTTCACCATTTTGGCCAGGCTGGTCTGGAACTCCTGACCTCAGGTCATCCACCCACCTTGGCCTCCCAAAGCGTTGGGATTACAGGCCTGAGCCACTGCGCCCGGCCAGAGCTCATGCATTTTAAAGGTGAGAAAGCCAAGGCATGTCTTCTCCCCCTCCCCCAGCTCAGCCCCCTCACAAAACATGCACAGGTGCACACAAGCATACATGCATGAACATTTGCCTATGCACACATGCTGACCGTGCACACACACATGCACATGCACACTGGACAACTGCACACACTCCCGCCCCAGACCCTGGCTGTGCCCTCCTGTGAGTCACAAGGTGACTCACAGGCACCTCCCTCCTCTCTGATCTTCAGGGTAGGGGAGAGACAGTAAAAGGGAGAGGGAGAAGAGATGTCTCAAAGCCAAACCTAAGAAAGTGACTTTGGGTCCAGCTGGGGCCTGAGGGACAATCAGGGTCAGGGCTGGGGATCCAGGGTGTCCTGCCTGTGCCAGCCCGGAAAACAAGGCACATCAGCACCAAGTCACCAAGGCCCTCCTTCTCTCACAAGCTCCCCTCCCTGTGGGCTCTTTCCCCGCCTGCTGGACCCAGGTTCCAGCTGGAGGGGAGGAAGCCACTAAGATGCAGTGGGGGAAAGTGATGCCCTCACAAACATAATACCACGACACCACACCCCGGGACACCCCCCAGTCACCACCCACAGCCTCCCAGTGGCTTCGTGGGGGATGTGGGTTGTTCAGACTGCAGCCAGCAATCACCAATAACCACCTGGCCCCAACACATCCCTGGCCTAGACACAAAGTCTTCAAATACCCAGGCCTTTTTTTTTTTTTCAGACAGAGTTTCGCTCTTGTTGCCCAGGCTGGAATGCAGTGGCGCGATCTTGGCTAACCGCAACTTCTGCCTCCCTGGTTCAAGCAATTCTCCTGCCTCAGCCTCCCGAGTAGCTGGATTACAGGCATGTGCCACCACACCTAGCTAATTTTGTATTTTTAGTAGAGATGGGGTTTCTCCATGTTGGTCAGGCTGGTCTCGAACTCCCGACCTAAGGTGATCTGCCCACCTCAGTCTCCCAAAGTGTTGGGATTACAGGCATGAGCCACCGCGCCCAACCTACGCTTTTTTTTTTTCAGCTTCAATCACCTGGGCTTGAGTGATCCTCCTGCCTCAGCCTCCCAAGTAGCTAGAATTACAGGAATGTACCACCACGCTCTTTTTTTTTTTTTTTTTTTTTCGGTTGTAGAGATGGGGTTTCTCCATGTTGCTCAGGCTTGTCTCAGACTCCTGGCCTCAAGCAATCCACCAGCCTTGGCCTCCCAAAGTGCTGGGACTGAAGGATGAGCCACTGTGCCCAACCTTCACCTGGTTCTTTACATGCAATCCCTGGGAAGGCTGTGTAGACAGAGTGGGAAGAGTCACTTGGCTTCACAGACGGAAGCCTGGAAGGGGCAAGGCAGGATTTGAAACCCAGGGAGGGGCTGGGGGTTCTGGAGCGCTAGCTTCCAGAGGGTGGAGGCCAGGTCACCGCTGATTTTGGTGGTCATGTTACCTGTACCCCACCCGGGCCATAACCTCCATGGAGTGAGCGGCAGGTGCGCTGGGAGAGCTGGGGGTCTGGGGTCAGGACTGCTGGGGGTGGGGCGACCTGGCCAAGTCAGCACCCCACCCCTGCCTCAGTTTCCCCATTTGAGGAATTTGCCATTGCTGACTCTTCTGAAGCTCTATTATACCAGGACTCAGAAAAGAAAATGAGGGTACCCTGAGGCTGTCTGCAGCTGGGCTGACTGATGGGGGGACCTCTAAGGATGCTTCCCCGCTGTTCCCCTGTTGCTGCCCCCAACTCAGCTGCCAGGGAAAGACGCCCAATATCCCCATTTCCTCAAAGCCCCCTCCTCATGGGAGTCCTCCTCTGGGCTGAACCCTGGACTCCATTCTCCTCTCCTGTCCTGGGGGGCTGGGAGGGAGGTGAATTGGGCCTGACCTGAGCCTCCTGGGGAGATGGGGCTTGGAGAGTAGGGTCAGCCCTGGGTCTAGAAGCTTCTCCCTAGCAGTGCCCAGCTGCTTCCCAGGCCATAGACAGGTGGCCTGGAGCAGGGCTGGGGCAGGCCTCAGGCGGCCCCCACACCCCTGCTTCCGCCTTGAATAGCAGAAACATTCCTACATCTGTCATGGGAAGACGGCCAGCTCCGCCTTCACCCAGGAAACCAAACATTCCCGCTGTGCCCAGCCTTCTTCCCACAAAGTATCAGGGCGTTCGGGGCACCCCACCCCACCCCATGGCCAAGGGGCAGGTGTGTGGGAGAAACCCCCAAGACCTGAGACCTCAGCTTCTGCTGCAGATGCCTGCTCCCTTCCTACACACACACACACACACACACACACACAATACTACCAGCAAAACACAGACATACTCACAGGTGCAAAAGCTCCCAGCCACACCCACAGACAGCTGTACACACACGAACACACACTGGCCACTCACCACAGACCCACAGAGAGGGGGTGCAAACATGCACACACAGTGTTGTTCCCTGCAGCTGAGCTCCCAGAGAACGGAGATCCTGACTCAGTAGTGCTGGTGCACAGTAGGTCTGCAGTGAGTGCCCTTCGGCACCTACCAGCTTTGAACCTCAGTGTGAGGGGTATATTCCTCCATCCACTCCGTTGCCCTCTTCCGCCGCTAGGCTGTGAGTTTCCATGGACAGGATCCTTGTCTGGGGCACAGCTGCATCCCCAGAACGAACACAAGACTTGGTACGTAGCAGGTACCATCCCACAGGATCATGGTCCTGCTGTCACTCCTCCAATCTCCCAAACCAGCTTCCAAGTCACTGCCTGATTCTTCAGGAGAGGAGAGGTGGTCTTGCCATCCTGCCAGAACCCAGGGCACCGAGCCCCTCCTCTCTCACGCACTCAAAGTCACCACTATCTGACCCCTCACCCCTGCACCCTCATGTCCCCAGCCTGCCCCGCCCTTCTCCCAGGACATGGTCCTGCCTGTCCTGCCTCCTGCCCTGGCCATACTCACTTCCCTGCCGCAGTCTGGCCAGCCTCAAGGTCAAGTTCACTGTGCCAGGTGTGAGGGTGAAGAGGACACCCTCAGTCCCTGTCTCAGGGAGCACAAGGCAAACAGGCAATGACAACCTAGGGTGGGGACAAGGGCTCTGATGAGGGGATGAGGGCACGTGGGCAGCTGTGGGGGTCCGAGGAGGGGATACGCAGTCTGTGGCCTTGCTTAAGGAGGAGCAGAGACAGCTGGGCTCCAGAATTCAAGCACTTGACCAACCATCATGCTGCCCTCAAACCATGTCTCCTGTCCCAGAAACAGGTGAGGGAGCAGTGAGGCCTGCTCGACAGCTGGGCCCGGGACTCTGCTCCGAAACATGCCTGTTGCTTTCTTCTCTCTGGCTACAGTTTATTTCATCCTCACTCAAGGAAGCCCTGGTCTCCGGGAGAAAGGCCACATTAGTCCTCCTCAGCTGAAGCCTTCACAGTCCACAGAGTAATTTCACAGCCCCTAGCTCCTTTAATCCTCACAATAGTCTATGGGGACAGATGTCTCTGCCTTCATTTTCTTTCTTTCTTTCTTTCTTTTTTTTTTTTTTTTGAGACAAGAGTCTCACTCTCTGGCCCAGGCTGGAGTGCAGTGGTGCAATCTTGGCTCACTGCAACCTCCACCTCCCGGGTTCAAGTGATTCTCCTGCTTCAGCCTCCTGAGTAGCTGGGATTACAAGCGTGTGCCACCATGCCTGGCTAATTTTTGTATTTTTAGTAGAGACGGGGTTTCACCATGTTGGCCAGGCTGGTCTCGAACTCCTGGTCTCAAATGATCCACCTGCCTCAGCCTCCCAAAGTGCTGGGATTACAGGCGTGAGCCACCTCACCCACCCTACTTTCATCTTCTAGATGGTGGGAAGCTCAGAGAGTTGTAAAAGCCAGGTAAAAGCAAACATTTACTCGGCTGTGTGGCAGTGAATTCTATAGGAATGTGTTTGGTGTCAGGTCAAAGAAAAATCCAATTTATAGTGGTTTAGGGAAGAAAAATAGGCGTTAATCTTTCTTCCATAACAAGAAATCAGGAGGCAGTAACGCTTGCCTTGATGATGGCAGGGCTGGATTTCCTGCAATCTCTTTGTCATCCTTATCATCTCATTACTACAGAATGGCTGCTGACCCGCCAACTGTCACATCTGCATTCAAGGCAGGAAGAAGGGAAACAAGGAAAGGGCAGTCTCCCTGGAAGTCTCTGTCTTCTGATGAGGATGAGTCCCCACTGTCACCCTCCCTGCACACCCCACAGACTTCCTCTCATGTCTCATTAGCCAGAGTGCCGTTATATGGCCACACTCAGACCCACCATCGGTCCAGGAGAATCAGATGCCCAGGACTGATGAGACCAGCCTCTGGCACTGAGATCGCAGCATTTCAGCTGGTTCCATAAGCAGACCAGGGCTCTGTTTAGCAAGAGAAATAAGGAGGGATGGCTGCTGGGCAGGGTCTGCCCTCCCAAAAATTGCCACAGGAAGCAGTTCCCAGGCATAGTCCCATTTGATCCTCACACAATCTCATAAAGCTGAGACGATTCTCTGCCAATTTAGCAGACAAGGAGACAAAGCTAGCAAACAGCAGAGCTGGCACCTAGACCCAAACCTGGGTTCCTCACCACTCTGCCGCCTGCAGGTCACCAGAGGCCTCAAATGCACGGGGCTGCTGCCGGGTGTCAGTTACATCCGCCTCACCTGCACCTGCCGTCTCTTGGCTCTGAGTGTGCAGGTCAGGGTACTTGAGTGCCCAGGTACTGACAGGTGACTGCACCATGCAGAGCTCCATGTGGCCGCTGTGCACTGGAGAGCTTTGCCCAGAGCTATGGGCTGAGCCCCTGCCATTGGTTCCTTCATCCGTCCAGCGTCTGCAGGCCCCAGGCACCAAGGCAGGCCTTAGGAGGCACAGGCGCAGATCCTGACCTCAAAGACAGACTTTGGCACCCAGTGCCTTCCTAATTCAAGGAGATCTTGGGTAGAATGTTTGAATGCATTCAGAGAAGAAAAACCTCACTTCTGGCCAGAGAGCTGCAGGAGCAGGTTTTTTTTTTTCTTATTTCTTTCCCCAACTTTTTATTGTATTTTTGTTTGTTTGTTTGTTTGAGATAGCGTCTCACTCTATTGCCCAGGCTGGAGTGCAGTGACATGATCTCGGCTCACTGCAACCTCCACCTTCCAGGTTCAAGCAGTTCTCCTGCCTCAGCCTCCCGAGTAGCTGGGACTACAGGTGCCCACCACCATGCCCGGCTCATTTTTGTATTTTTAGTAGAGACAGGGTTTCGCCACGTTTCCCTGGCTGGTCTTGAACTCCTGAACTCAAGTGATCTGCCTGCCTCGGCCTCCCAAAATGCAGGGATTACAGACGTGAGCCACTGCGCCTGCACTTACTGTGTTAAAATACACATAACAAAAAATTTACCATTGTAAGCCAGGTGCAGTGACTCATGCCTGTAATCCCAGCACTTTGGGAGGCTGAGGCAGGCAGATCACAAGGTCAGGAGTTCGAGACCAGCCTAGCCAATATGGTGAAACCTTGTCTCTATGAAAAATACAAAAATTAGACGGGTGGTGGCGTGTGCCTGTAGTCCCAGCTACTCGGGAGGCTGAGGCAGAAATATTGCTTGAACCCGGGAGATGGAGGTTACAGTGAGTCGAGATTGGGCCACTGCACTCCAGCCTGGGCGACAGAGGGAGACTCTGTCTAAAAAAAAAAAAAAATGTGCCATTGTAACTGTTTTAAGTGTACAGTTCGTAGTATTAAGTACATTCATAATGTTGCGTGACCATCGCCCCCATTGTCTCCAGAACTATTTTCATTTTGTAAAACTGAAACTCTGTATCCATTAAACGCTAACTCCGCAATCCCCCCTCCCAGCCTCTGGCAACCACCATTCTACTTTTTGTCTCTATAATTTTGACTAATCTAATTATATCATATGATGGAATCATACAGCACTGGCACTTTTGTGAATGGCTTCTTTCACTTAGCAGAATGTCCTTAAGGTTCTTCCATGTTGCAGCATATCCCAGGATTTCCTTCCTTTTGAAGGTTAAATAATATTCCATTGTACGTTGATATAGTTTGGATGTTTGTTCCCTCTAAAATCATGTGGAAATGTAGGCTGGGTGTGGTGGCTCATGCCTTTAATCCCAGCACTTTGGGAGGCCGAGGCAGGCGGATCACTTGAGGTCAGGAGTTCGAGACCTGCCTGGCCAACATGGTGAAACCCTGTCTCTACTAAAAATACACAAGAAAGTAGCCGGACACAGTGGCAGGCGCCTGTAGTCCCAGCTACTAGGGAGGCTGAGGCAGGAGAATGGTGTGAACCCAGGAGGTGGAGATTACAGTGAGCCGAGATCGCGCCACTGCACTCCAGCCTGGGCGACACAGCAAGACTGGGCAACAGAGCAAGCCTCCTTCTCAAAAGAAAAAAAAATTTTAAAAAAGTCTGTGGCGGCCGGGCGCGGTGGCTCACGCCTGTAATCCCAGCACTTTGGGAGGCCGAGGCGGGTGGATCACGAGGTCAGGAGATCGAGACCATCCTGGCTAACAAGGTGAAACCCGTCTCTACTAAAAATACAAAAAATTAGCCGGGCGCGGTGGCGGGCGCCTGTAGTCCCAGCTACTCGGGAGGCTGAGGCAGGAGAATGGCGTGAACCCGGGAAGCGGAGCTTGCAGTGAGCCAAGATTGCGCCACTGCAGTCCGCAGTCCGGCCTGGGCGACAGAGCGAGACTCCGTCTCAAAAAAAAAAAAAAAAAAAAAAAAGTCTGTGGCACCCCTGCCCCCCACTCTCTCGTGCTTCTGCTCTCACCATGCGACATGCCTGCTCCGCCTTTGCCTTCCGCCGTTATTGTAACGTCCGTAAGGCCTCACCAGGAGCAGACACTGGCGCCATGCTGGTACAGCCTGCAGAACTGTGAGCCAATGAAACCTCATCTTTATAAATTGCCCAGCCTCTGGTATTTCTTTCTAGCAATACCAAAATGGAATATCGCTCTGTCACCCAGGCTGGAGTGCAGTGGCGCGATCTTGGCTCGCTGCAACCTCCACCTCCCAAGTTCAAGTGGTTCTCCTGCCTCAGCCTGTCGAGTAGCTGGAATTACAGGTGGCCGCCACCACGCCCGGCTAATTTTTGTATTTTTAGTGGAGACAGGGTTTCACTCTGTTGGCCAGGCTGAACAACAGAGAGTTGGCTGGCCAACTCTCGAACTCCTGACCTCAGGTGATCCGCCTGCCTCAACCTCCCAAAGTGCTGGGAGCACAGGCGTGAACCACCGTGCCCGGCCATGCTTCCACCTTTTGGCTATTGTGAATCATTCCACTGTGAACCTGGGTGTGCAAATATTTCTTCGAGACCCTGTTTTAAGTTCTTTGGGGTATCTACCCAGAAGTGGGATTGCTGGGTCATATCGTAATTCTGTGTGAATGTTTCTGGGGAACCACCCTGCTGTTTTCCACAGTGGCTATACCATTTTACATTCCTCCAGGGGCGGTTTTCTAGTGAATTTGAGGTTGACTTTGAAGATAGTCAGTGAAGTACAGATGTGGAGAAAGGCACGGCCTGGATATGGAGGAGGAGGGCAGGTGACAGGCGGGGAGGCTTGGGAGGAAGAAGCCTCCCTGGGCTGACCACAGAGGGTTCTGCATGCCTTGTTGGTGAGTGTGAGCCTCGCCTGGGGTCAGAAGTCATAGAAGGTTATGAGCAAGGGAGTGGCTTGACTACTCTGTGTCAAGAAGCCTAAGGGGGCAGCAGAGAGTGACGTGGCTCATGGTGGGATAGTCCGGGGTGAGGAGAAGGAACCCCAGAGGAGTTTCTCAATGGTTGGGTCAAAAGAGAGTGAGGACCCAAAACCAAGGCCACAGAAGGAAGAAGAAAGGACAGTGAACATGGAGCTGGGTCAGCAGGGCCCGGGCTGCGGTGAGGCAAGCCAGGCACACACCCGGAGCACAACATTTTAAAACAAGACAGGATCTGACAAAGCCAAGATTAGAGTGAGGCGAGCGAGGCATTGTGTAAGTGCTCGTTTCAACTCCTGTCTTGAAGTGAAATTTTGAAATTTTGGCTCATGGTAAATTTTTTTTCTTTCTTTCTTTTTTTTTTTTTTTTTTTTTTTTTTGAGTTGGAGTCTCGCTCACCCAGGCTTGAGTGCAGTGGTGCAATCTTAGCTCACTACAACCTCCGCCTCCCAGGTTCAAGCGATTCTCCTGCCTCAGCCTCTCAAGTAGCTGGGATTACAAGCGCCCGCCACCATGTCTGGCTAATTTTTGTGTTTTTAGTAGAGACGGGGTTTCACCATGTTGGCCAGACTGGTCTCAAATTCCTGACCTCAAGTATCTGCCCACCTCGGCCTCCCAAAGTGCTGGGATTACAGGCATGAGCCACCACTCCCGGACTGGCTCGTGGTGAACTTGTTTGCATTAATTTTGATTTCTTAAAATACTGCATGAGGCTGAGCGTGGTGGCTCACGCCTGTAATTCCAGCACTTCAGGGGGCTGAAGCAGGCAGATCATTGAGGTCAGGAGTTTGAGACCAGCCTGGCCAACATGGCAAAACCCTGTCTGTCCTAAAAATACAAAAATTAGCCAGGTGTGGTGGCATGTGCCTGTGGTCCCAGCTACGCAGGCAGCTGAAGCACAAGAATCACTTGAACCCAGGAGGCGAAGGTTGCAGTGAGCTGAGATCACGCTACTGCACTCCAGCTTGGGTGACAGAGCACGACTCTGCCTCAAAAAATATATACATATTGCATGAAATGATGACTTATTTTGATCACTGAGAATTTTTGGTGCCCCTTTAACCTTTGCACCTGGGGCAGGTGTCTCACCCTTAGTCCTGTCCCCACAAGACATGTTCCATCACCTAACAACATGAAGTGAGTGCCCATGGTGTGTCCGCAGCTGAGCTAGGATCTGGGAATCCAGTCATAGGTAAAACAGCTACACACTTCTTCATCCTTCAATGTACAGCCAAAGAGATCCTAAGTCAGAAGGGACAGCTATCTGGGCAGGCAGCCTCATCCTGTGCTCAGCTGGAAGAAATGGAAGAAACGTGGTACAGAATGAAACAGACATTCCACTTACGTTTCGTTGTTTTGACCACACACCGTCTGAACCGCACCTTGTAGGCTGTGGACCCAGGGACCACCCCCCGCCCGCCCGCCTAGAAACTAAAAATCCCCACTACGCCCTTTCTCAGACACAGCTGAAGTCTGTGAGGCTCACCAGTCAGGCACACCAACTCAAGACTGAACAACAAAATTAGTGCTGCAAAGAAGCAGAGCGTCTCCCTGGCTGAGCCGTGGAGCCACAGTGCCCAGTGCTGGGTATTCAGTTGGAAGGTGCCAGTCACAGGGGCTGCAGTGTCAAACAGGTGTTCAGAGCACTGACCTCAGGCTGCATTGGAGAGGACTGATCCTGTTTGCATACCACAAAACCAGGTCTCCAAGCCTGCTCAGCAATGCATGAGTCACCTGGAATTCTTTGAATATCCTTTTCAATATCCATTCTTTGAACATCCGTTTCTTTATAAGTTAACCGGAGCTGGTTTATGTTACCTGCAACTAAGAACCTTGCCTTATATAGAAGTTGGTGTCAGGAGTGGTTACAGGCAGTGGATGTTGGAGGAAGCTCGGAGAAGCTGGAATTGGTTATCTGGACTGCTTGGGGCTGAAGTCAGTAAAAATTCAGCACATCATAAGGGCTCAGATCTGGAAGCCATGGCATGCAGGGGAAGCAGAATGTCAGATTTGCCACCTGGAGTCACCGGGAAGGAAGAGCCCGTTGAAAACAAAGCTTCATTGAGAATTCATTGCCTTAGAAAAGAATGAAAGGAATGAGGAATTAGACTGAATGGGCTCTACAGCACTGCACTGTTAAAGATGCAGAAGCCCGTCTCCTAAATTCCTAAATTCTTGGCTCAAGACCCAGATCAAAAACTGAGGACTTCTGGGCCAGGTGCAGTACCTCATGCCTGTAATCCCGGTACTTTGCGAGGCCGAGGCAGGAGGATCACTTTTGCTCAGGAGTTCGAGACCAACCTGGGCAACATAGTGAGACCCCCATCTCTACTAAGTAAAGACCCTGTTTTTACTTTTTTCTACTAAAAAGTTTAAAAATATATATATCAGCCAGGCATGGTGTGTGCACCTGTAGTCCTAGCTACTTGGGAGGCTGAGGCGGGAGAATGGCTTGAGTCGGGGAAATCGAGACTGCAGTGAGCTTTGATCACACCACTGCACTCCAGCCTGAGTGACAGAGCAAGAACCTGTCTTAAAAACAAAAAAACTAAAAAATAAAAAATAAGGGAAGAAAGAAAACGAAGGACTTCTATAACTGCAGTAAAAATGTTTCCTAATTCTCACTGTGGTAAGACTGAGACAGCCAAAAATGAAACTCAAAATTCGAGCCTACAGAATGGTGAATTACATCATGAGCGATGCCATGGCCTCACCAGCTCTAAGGAGGATTCTGGCTGATTGGAACACCCTGAACCCTCACTCCCCGCCAAGTCCCCTTGCCAGCTGAGCAGCTCCTCTTCGCTGTCTGATGCGGCTGGTCCTGCCGAAGAAGGGACCCTGTAATCACCCTCATGTGGCCCCCATCCTCAGAGTCTTCAGCTGGAGTCAGGTGGCAGGAGGCCCTGAGGGGCGAGATTAAATAGCAATCTCAAACCAAAACCTGTGTAGAATGTCATTTCCTATCATCAGACATCTGGGGGAGATGTGTGAGTGGGTTCTGAGGACATACGTCAAGGAGGAGCGAATGCAGCTTTGGATGGGGCTGAATGTATCCATGCTGCTCCACCAACAGGGGGCCCTGCATCCAAGGTGCCAACTTCATCAGCGGGGGGCGGCCCTGATTGTTTCTACCACTGCTTTGTCGGCTGGCAGGTGAGGTGAAGGCCAACGCAGAGGTTGCCCCCCCCCCCCCCAACCTGGAGATGACAGAGACACCAAGGCATGACAGAGCCAGAGGAATGGACTGAGCATGGATGACCCTTTACCACAATGCCCAAGGACCCAAAGTACCGGCCCTACACCCACACGGCGAGCCACCTTGCAGAGGGCCCAACACCCTTCGGAATGTGTTAGTGTCCAGGGAAGGTGTCTGGCCAGTGGCCTGCCTCTGGATTTCTGGAGTGGAAACCAAGACCTGAGATGACAGAAGCCCGAGGCAGCAGTGACTGCCAGGGGTGGTGGGGGTGCATCACTGTCACAGGCACAGGGCCGGGTGCTGTGGCACACGCCTTTAATCCTAGCACTTTGGGAGCCCGAGGAGGGTGATCACCTGAGGTTAGGAGTTCGAGACTAGCCTGACCAACATGGTGACACCCTGTCTCAACTAAACATACAAAAAATTAGCTGGGCATGGTGGCAGGCGCCAGCTACTTTGGGAGGCTGAGACAGGAGAATTGCTTGAACCGAGGAGGTAGAAGTTGCAGTGAGCTGAGATTGCACCATTGCACTCCAGTCTGGGTGACAAGAACGGAACTCTGTCTAAAAAATAAAAAATAAAAAAAATAAAAAAAATAAAAACAGGCACAGGACCAGGTCACTGTCCCAACAGCCTGACCAACAGGGATTAGTGAAATATAAATAATAAGAATATGAATAATAAATAGTAAGAGCTATTTATGACAAACCCACAGCCAATATCATACTGAATGGGCAAAAACTGGAAGCATTCCCTTTGAAAACTGGCACGAGACAGGGATGCCCTCTCTCACCACTCCTATTCAACATAGTGTTGAAAGTTCTGGCCAGGGCAATCAGGCAAGAGAAAGAAATAAAGGGTATTCAACTAGGAAAAGAGGAAGTCAAATTGTCCCTGTTTGCAGATGACATAATTGTATATTTAGAAAACCCCATTGTCTTAGCCCAAAATCTCCTTAAGCTGATAAGCAACTTCAGCAAAGTCTCAGGATACAAAATCAATGTGCAAAAATCACAAGCATTCCTATATACTAATAACAGACAAACAGAGAGCCAAATCATGAGTGAACTCCCATTCACAATTCCCTAGGAATCCAACTTACAAGGGATGTGAAGGACATCTTCAAGGAGAACTAGAAACCACTGCTCAACGAAATAAAAGAGGACACAAACAAATGGAAGAACATTCCATGCTCATGGATAGGAAGAATCATTATCGTGAAAATGGCCATACTGCCCAAGGTAATTTATAGATTCAGTGTCATCTCCATCAAGCTACAAATGACTTTCTTCACAGTATTGGAAAAAACTACTTTAAAGTTCATATGGAACCAAAAAAGAGCCCACATTGCCAAGACAATCCTAAGCCAAAAGAACAAAGCTGGAGGCATCATGCTACCTGACTTCAAACTATACTACAAGGCTACAGTAATCAAAACAGCATGGTACTGGTACCAAAACAGAGATATAGACCAATGGAACAGAACAGAGGCCTCAGAAATAACACCACACATCTACAACCATCTGATCTTTGACAAACCTGACAAAAACAAGAAAAGGGGGAAGGATTCCCTATTTAATAAATGGTGCTGGGAAAACTGGCTAGCCATATGTAGAAAGCTGAAACTGGATCCCTTCCTTACACCTTTTACAAAAATTAATTCAAGGTGGATTATAGTCTTAAATGTTAAACCTAAAACCATTAAAAACCCTAGAAGAAAACCTAGGCAATACCATTCAGGACATAAGCATGGGCAAGGACTTCACGACTAAAACACCAAAAGCAACGGCAACAAAAGCCAAAATAGACAAATGGGATCTAATTAAACTAAAGAGCTTCTGCACAGCAAAAGAAACTACCATCAGAGTGAACAGGCAAACTACAGAATGGGAAAAAATTTTTGCAATCTACCCATCTGACAAAGGGCTAATATCCAGAATCTACAAAGAACTTAAGCAAATTTACAGGAAAAAAAAACAAACAACTCCATCAAAAAATGGGTAAAGGATATGAACACACACTTCTCCAAAGAAGACATTTATACAGCCCACAGATACATGAAAAAATGCTCATCATCACTGGTCATCAGAGAATTGCAAATCAAAATCACAATGAGATACCATCTCACACCAGTTAGAATGGTGATCATTAAAAAGTCAGGAAACAACAGATGCTGGAGAGGATGTGGAGAAATAGGAACACTTTTACATGGTTGGTGGGAGTGTAAATTAGTTCAACCATTGTGGAAGACTGTGTGGCAATTCCTCAAGGATCCAAAACTAGAAATACCATTTTACCCAGTGATCCCATTACTGGTATATACCCAAAGGATTATAAATCATGCTACTATAAAGACACGTGCACACGTACGTTTATTGTGGCACTATTCACAATAGCAAAGACTTGGAACCAACCCAAATGTCCATCAATGTTAGACTGGTTAAGAAAATGTGGCACATATATACTATGGAATACTATGCAGCCATAAAAAAGGATGAGTTCATGTCCTTTGCAGGGACATGGATGAAGCTGGAAACCGTCATTCTCAGCAAACTATCACAAGGACAGAAAACCAAACACCGCATGTTCTCACTCATAGGTGGGAATTGAACAATGAGAACACTTTGACACAGGGTGGGGAACATCACTCACCAGGACCTGCCGTGGGGTTGGGGGCTGAGGGAGGGATAGCATTAGGAGAAATACATAATGTAAATGATGAGTTGATGGGTGCAGCAAACCAACATGGCACATGTGTACCTATGTAACAAACCTGCACGTTGTGCACATGTACCCTAGAACTTAAAGTGTAATAAAAAAAATAATAATAATTTAAAAAGAAAAAACAGGCACAGGACCAGGTCGCTGTCCCAACAGACTGACCAACAGGGATTCGTGGATCTAAGGGATTCGTGGATCTAAGGGATTCGTGGATCTAATGGATCACAAGTTCCCAAGGGCAAAAATGGATGGGACCCTACAAGGACCTGTGGCTTTTACAACCAGAAAGGCCTGGGTTTGGTAAACAGGGGTCCGACTTGAGACCCCCTCCCCCACTGTCCCCCGGACAGAGGCACGCATTCCCTCCCCCAGTCCCAGACCCGAGTTAGTTTGCAAACCCAGACCTCCCTCAATGAAGGAAGACCTGACGTTACACCTGGAGTCTGCGCCGTGAATCTCCCCACAGGGGGACTGTGGACTTGGTCGTTTACCACATTTACAGGAGAAATAACTGTGTAACGGGAAGCCGGTGGTGGGGGTGAACCTTGCTGAGCCCTTGTTTCCCTTGTTTCTTCATCTGTAACAGGAGGACTGGAAGTGAGGCAGGAGGCAAGACTCGACACTGGACCAGATTGAGGACTAGCTAAAACAAGGAAGAGGCAAAAGCACCTTTCCATAAGACACACCCATCAGTGTGCCTTGTCACTTTACCATTGCCATGGCAACATCCAGACATTAATGCCTCTTTCCATGGCAACGACCCATGACCCGGAAGTTACTGCCCTTTATCTAGAAATTTCTGCATAATTTTCCCCGTAATTTGCATATAATTAAGTGGGTATAAATATGACTGCATAATTGCTCCTGAGCTGCTACCCTCAGCATACTGACCTTGGAGTAGCCCTGCTCTGCAGGAGCAGTCTCAGAACTGTTAACACTTCCACTTCAATAGAGATGTTTTCTTCCCCTATCAGCTCACTCTTGGATTCTTTCCTGAGCAAAGCCAAGAACCTTCCTGGGGTAAGCCCCAATCTGGGGCTCACTTGCCCCACATGACAAGTATCATCAACTTAATTGAGCAGAATAACGGGACGGTGCCTGAGTATGCATGCACACACTGACTGCAGCTGAGCTCTTAATCCTCTGTGATTTTGTGTTCATTCTTTCCATTGTTTCCATCTTTAGTCCACCATGCTGTGATCAGCCAGTTTCAGGATGCTGAGAGGAAAAAGATGACAACTCCTACCATTGACCAAAGGCCAAATATGTGCCAGGGGCAGTGCTCAATCCTCATGTCTCTAACCTGTGCAACAGTTCCGTAAGGTCACACAGAAGGAGTGAGCAATGGGGGTCTGATGTGTTGTCTCCTCTGTGGCACCAACCTCCTCAGAGGTAATAGAACAAGGTGACAACAACAGAGCCTGGGAGTAAGTGAGGGTGAAAAATAGAAAAGGGAGGAAGAAAGAGGATGGATGGATGGATGGATGGATGGATGGATGGATGGACAGGTAGATGGATGGATGGATGGATGGATGGATGGATGGACAGGTGGATGGACAGATGGATGGACGGATGGATGGATGGATGGACAGGTAGATGGATGGATGGATGGATGGATGGATGGATGGATAGATGGATGGATGGATGGACAGGTGGATGGATGGATGGATGGATGGATGGGCAGGTGGACAGGTGGATGGATGGATGGATGGACAGGTGGACAGGTAGACGGACAGAGGGATGGACAGATGGATGGATGGATGGACAGGTAGATGGATGGATGGATGGATGGATGCACGGATGGATGGACGGATGGATGGATGGACAGGTGGACAGGTAGACGGATGGATGGATGGACAGGTAGGCAGGTAGACGGATGGTTGGACGGACGGATAGGTAGATGGGTGGGTGGATGGGCGGGTGGATGGGTGGATGGATGGACAGGTGGATGGATGGATGGATGGATGGATGGATGGATGGATGGATAAATACGCAGATGGGTGGGTGGGCGGGTAGGTGAATGGACAGGTGGGTAGATGAAGAAGTATAGACATGGAGAGAGACAATGGCTAGATAGACTTAGAAGGTGAATTAAACATGATCCCAACCCTCCAGGATTTCCCAATCAAGGAAGAGGGTGTGCTAAGTGTGGAGCTTGCCAAGAAGTTGAAATATTTTATCTGTAGTGACACACTCAGAGTCTTGCATTTTCCAGCCACACCATAGTGTGTGTGATGAAGACCAGCCAGGCAGGCTGTGACTTGGAGCCAACATACTTGATTGCTCCAATAACAGATTTGTATGTTGCTTCATTTGACAGGCTGGTCGAGTGCCTACTAGGTACGAGGCACTGTTCTAGGCTCTGAGGACAGAGTAGTGAACAAGGTAACTCCAGGTGGAGTTTCCATGGGGAGTGGAGAAGGGAGATGAGGAGAGATATACACGTGGAGTGAGCCAGATGAGGCCAGATGCTACAGAGATCAACAGAGCAGAGTGAGAAAGGGGGGCTTGGGGCAGGGGCAGGTGGGACAGGATGGGTGTCACTTGCATGGATGCCTGAAGGCAGCATAGGGGTGAGTCACAGCTCCTCTGAGATTGGGGAGAAGCAGGGACTTCCCCAGGATCATCAGTAACAATGTGGCCGGGTCAAGGCTGTCACCCAAGTACATGGACAGGTGTTGGGGTTCTGGGGTTCCTGAGCTGACACTTTAAAATACTGGAAACACACCAGACATGGTGTCAGCAGAGGAGGAAAGGGTGGAGCTTGGACCTAGCCACCAGCAGCTGCATGCTCTCCCTAAGCCTGCGTGCCCTCCCTAAGCCTGCGTGCTGTCCCTGTCCTGTCTGTTATCTCCTTCATCCCTCAAAAACGGTCTTATGTGTACTAGGAGCTCACGGATAGTTTACTTTAGTAGCAGTAAATGTTTCACATTTTATTATTTTACAAAAGCAAAAATTGCTGTCCAAAGAAAGCTACAGCTCCACGCTCTGGTTGAAGGCTGAGGGCCGGGACCAAGAAGACACCTTGGGGAAATGAGGATCTGAGTGAACAGAGGAGAGTTCCTAAGAGTTCGCAAGGTGAAGCTGAGTGCCTGAGGAGGGTAGGAGAGAAAAGGACCAGCCCAGCAGCCATGTTCTCTCTCTCCCAAAGTAAACGGGGCTATTAGGATTAGGTTCAGTTGCAAGGGACAGAAAACCCAAAACCAGAGTAGCTCAAACAGAAAGAAGTTTCTTTCTTCCGTGAAAGCTCCTGAACAAGGCAGCCCAGGTATTGGGGACCCTGCCTTCCATCTTGCTCCATAATCCTCAGCATGTGGCTTTCACCTCATGGCTCAACATGGCTGCTTGAGCACCAGACATCACATCTGTATTACAGCCAACAGTGCAGTGGAAAGGCATGAAGAAAAGAATGCTTTCTCTCCAGCAAAGGGGTTTCTGGAAGAATGCCATTTTAGCCTGGCAACATTAAGACCTTGAAAAAGCCCACCGGGCCCCTGGAAGGCCCACGGACTCTGCTGCGCTGCTGTATGGGATGGCACCCAGGAAATGGGCACCCAGGCCTCGGAAGTGCCTGCAGCAATCCATGGCACAGACCAGCTGTTGGTAGCTGCCAGGATGCTGCACGCACTGGGCTCTCCAGCTGACTTCTGATGTCCGTCTCCTGGTGGAGTTGTCTCTTCCTCCTCCCAGCCAGATCCTTCTCCTGTGCCCTGGAAACTGAGAACACTGGGGATTTAGGGGAGAAGGGAAGGCCCCAGTCACGATTGGGCAGGCAGGGGTAGGAGCTGCCAGGTAAACAGATCCCTCTGATGTGCACGGCCCACTACCACCATGGGTAGACTCTACTTCCTCAAGGGCAGGGCTAGGAACCCCAGGATGAATTCAAATCAAATGACTATAAAATCTCCTGGCCGTGACAGGCACATGTCAGAGGTTCAAGAAAGTGAGTGAGTGAAGGAATGAATCAGTCCATTGATCAATCAATTGCTGGGAGCCCAAATGTTATTCAGTCTAACCTCAGCCACATTGTTCCCCAGTTTTCGCTTACACACTTCCAGTGACAGGGAGCTCACTACTTCAGGTGGCAAAATGGTTTTAGTTTTAGATTGCCCTTATGAGCCAGATCTTTAGCTTCTGGGTCCCTCTCAGCCCCAGTCCACGCTGCAGGTGGGACCTAGAATACATTTAGCCTCTTTTTTATGGGCTGGTACCCAAGTCTTCATGAGCAAGAGAAAGCGCAGAACACAGGAGCTTGGAGCCCACGCACCTTTCCTCATCCTCTCTGGCCAGAGTGGGTCTGTGACTTGCCCAAGGCCACACAGCTGGCTAAGGGCTAAGCCAAGACCAGACCGCAGACCCGGCTTTCCACTGTTTCCTTCTAAATCCCACATCCCCTCTGGGACTTCCTTCAGTGTTCCCCACAGTGGGCACTCCCTCCCCACATCCAGCCCACCCCACGATGCTGAGGATCCACTTCCTCTATGGAGACCCTCAGGCTGCAGAAACCCATCTCTCGTCACTGCCAGAGACACGCACAAGTCCACGTGTCAGGAGCTGTGCCAGGACCAAGACCAACAGAGTAGCCTGTGTGTCTCTTCTTCCCGCCAGACAGAGGCCTCCCCCAAGTTGCAGGCCTGCGTGTATGTGCACGCATGTGTGAGCATGTATGTGTGTGTGTGTGTATGTGCACGCCAGTGTGTGAGATCACGCCTGAGGCTCCCAGAGTGAGAGGAACACGCCGCAAGCTGTCGGCACATCCTGCCAAGGCAGAAAGGTTAATTGTCACGCACGATGCCAACAGACAGACCTCCGGCGGATTCATTTGGTTTTGTTTTGTGGTTATTTTTTTTTACAACTTTAAATACGGAATATAAATAAATTTTACATTTAAAAAATAAAAGGAAAGCCCCCAAAAATATAATCACCGACTTTACAAACTGAAGGAAGCAGGTTTTGGAAGGCGGGAAGGGGGAAAGTGCAGTAGGTGGGAAGGGAGGTGGGAGCTCAGATCCCACCCCAGGGGGTCTTGGGGATCTTTTCCCTTCTCTCCCCCATTCCCAGCCCACGAGCTGGTTTCCTAGGAGGAGCCACCAGAGGTGGAGCTCAGAAGGATCAAAGATGGGGAAGTGTGCAAGCAGGGAGGGGTGCGGGCAAGAGGGCTGCACCCTCCCTTGGAGACCTTCTCCCAGGTGTCCCACACCCACCTGGAAGGGCAGTTGCTGGAGCAGAGGACTTTGGGAAATGGAGGTCATGTGGACAGCAGTGTTGCCTCCCTGCCCCTACCACAGTCTCCCTCCTATTTGGCCACTCCAAGCCACAGGCTGCATCAGGGGCACAGCCAGTCCACAAGGAGTCTTTGTGTGAATTAGGAAAAGGATCCTTTTCCTCTTTACCTACATCTGCCAGAAATTGTCATAATAAATATACAAATCAGCTTTATCTATGATGTGAACAGTGCTCCCTGCATACAATGTCCTTGTGCAGTACACACCCTGCACAACCTTACATGGCAGTCGTGGCTGGGTTGGAATATGATGAGCAGGTCCCTTGCTGCCCTGGCCTCTAGTCTTCTGCCCTAGAGAGGAGTGACTGGGATCATCTGGGGCCTTAATAAGGGGTTCAAGAGCCCCTTGGTGGAGCAGACTGAAGGGCCAGGACAAGAGGAAAATGCAGGGTGGAGGTAGAGAGATGAAAGGAACCAGAGGAAGAGGTGAATCAGAGTGGAGTGTGGGGAGGAAGGGGTGGCAGGAGGCAGGGGATACCCAGGTCACCATCTACAGCCACCTCAACAGCAAACTCCATCTCTAACCCACCTGAGAGGGCACCCAGCCACTTGGTGTGCTGGCCACACCCACCAAGAGGAGTCCACGTCTTCAAAACGAAAACGAAAAGAAGCCACTGTGCACAGAGGCACCAGGGAGACGAGGTGACTGGTGTTTGGGCACCGTGGGAGGGGTTTTCTCCAGTCTGTGTGCCCGTCTGTGGTCTTAGCCATGGAGTCCGAGGCAGCCTGGCCTGCCTGGAGGTGCCTCCCCTCAGAGCTGGCCAGGGGTTCAGGGATCAGGCAGGCTATGCTGAGAGGTCCTCAGGGCTCCTCAGGACAGTCCACAGCGCTCAGGTGTGGCCCAGGCCAGGTGCAGGGGAAGGAGCCCGTTTCCCCCAAAGAGCGACCCCATCAGTCTCTCTCACACTCTTATCCCAAGTTCTTGGAGTTAAGGGAAGAAGATGGCGATGGAGTTCAGTCCTTCTTTTTCTTCTTGAGCTGCTGGGCAAGACGCCGGAGGCCGCTGGGAGGAGACCCGCTGATGGAAGGGTGGACGGACACGTGGAGGGGTGGGGGAAGCACCATTGGCCGTCCGAATCAGGCATCGAGACAGACGGACGAGGGAAACAATATTATCACTCCAAGGACCCCATGGGGGCAATACAGCAAATACCATATTAAATAACCCTGCAGGCCAAGCAGAGAGACACAGGGGTCAGAGACAGCCTAGAGGGTCCATCCCATGTTCATATGTCCCCGATGCCAGGGGCAGGGAGCTGGGGTCAACTAGCCACCCCTGATTTCCAGCAATGCTCAGGGCTGGGGGCATTGAGGGGCTGGGAAGATTGAGATTTAGACCTCCCATCCTCTTAGGGCATGCTGGGACACAGCTGGGCTGGGGTCTCCAAAGCCCACCACCCACCCTGCCCCAGCTGATAACTGGACAGGGAGGACCAAGGCTCAGAGGCTGGATTTTCTATGGAAAAATCCTTTCCCCTGACCCCATCCACAGACCACAGAGAAGAAAACACAGGATTCTGGGCCTCAGTTGCCCCGCCTGGCCCTCACCTGCCCACACACTCTCCTGCCGATGCCCCTAGGCTCCAAGGGTCTCCTTCAGTGCCGTCTTGTCATGCGTGTGCTTGAATTTCCGGTGCTTGCCCTTGGGGGGCCGGCGGACTCGCACCGTCCGAATGGTCACCCGAGTTTGGGGCGTTTTGGCTGCACAAGAAAAAGAAAGACCTCGTCAGCATGTGGACCATTGGGGAGGTCTCTCCCCACTGACCAAGGCCTGCCATGGACCTTCTGGGCTCAGGAAAGGGACAGGAGGGGAATCTGGACCAGGGTCCTGGGTTTGGATCCCAACTCCACTGCTCACCAGCTGTATGTGCCTTGGGGACAATGACTGAAACTCTCTGAGCCTTGGCGCCTCCATCTGTGGAATGGGGGTAATAAGACTGCCCACCTCATAGAACTGGTGGGAGGAATAAATGACAGTATGCTGGCAAAGCTCTTTGCACAGTACTGGACACAGAGCCGGGTAGATTAAATATGGCTTCAAGTTCTTTGTCATTGCCCACTGACCAATAGAGTTTATTTCCCTGCCCCTTGAATCTGGCCTGGAGTTGGATCTGGTTAACCAACAAGAGGCAGACGTGGTGCCGTGCCAGTTCCAGGCAGAGGTCTTAAGAAGGGCTGGCAGTTCTCACCTTCATGCTTTGGGGGACCCTGGGCTGCCACATAACAGGTCTGGCTACCTTGCTGGAGAGGCCACATGGAGAGGCCTGGTGGGGACTGGCTCTCCCCGTAGAGCCAGAGGCCCTGGACTACAGGGAGAGGAAAAGAGGCCCAGCTGTCCCCGTTGAGTCTCCAGATGACCACAGCCCAGGCCACCAGCTGACTGCAACCAATAGAGGGGCCAATAGAACTGCCCAGCTGAGCCCAGTCAACCCCCAGACCTGGGAAAGATAATAAAAAGCTCCAAGTATGAAGTGGTCAGCACATGGCAGCTGCTACGACTCACTTTTTTTTCTTATTTTCCTTAGCTTGACCTACTATTGAGGTTTCCTCCCAACCTCTCAGCCCCGTCCGATCACGTGGTGTGGAGGCCACTGGGCTCTGGGCCAGAATCATACTCCCACCATGAAGCTGGGCCTTCGGGTCAGTTGTGCCTGTCACCTACCTGCCCCTTGCCACTCTGAGAAATGGTAGAGTGGGATGGGCCACAACTCAGGCTGAGGATCTGACCCACCTGGGCTCAAATCTGGGCTCTCCCACGTATCGTGGACATTGGAGCAAGTCACTTAACTGCCCTGTGCCTCGATTTCCGCATCTTTATTTATTTGTTTTTAAGATGGAGGCTCACTCTGTTGCCCAGGTTGGAGTGCAGTGGCGCGATCTCAGCTCACTGCAACCTCCACCTCGCAGGTTCAAGTGATTCTCCTGCCTCAGCCTCCCGAGTAGCTGGGATTACAGGCATGCACCATGACACCTGGTTAATTTTTGTATTTTTAGTAGAGATGGGGTTTCACCATGTTGGCCAGGCTGGTCTTGAACTCCTGACCTCAAGTGATCCACCTGCCTTGGCCTCCCAAAGTGCTGGGATTACAGGCATACGCCATGACACCTGGTTAATTTTTGTATTTTTAGTAGAGATGGGGTTTCACCATGTTGGCCAGGCTGGTCTTGAACTCCTGACCTCAAGTGATCCACCTGCCTTGGCCTCCCAAAGTGCTGGGATTACAGGCGTGAGCCACCACGCCCAGCCGATTTCCACATCTTTAAAGCAGAGAAGACAGCAGCCCTGGCCTCCTAGCGTTAGGAGACAATACATGGAAATGGCCAGAAACCCCCCAGCTAGTGTTTACCATGTACCTGGTGCTGTTCTATGCTCATTTCCCTTCACGGCAGGTGCTGTTACCGGCAGATGCTGTTACCCACACTTTACAGATGAGGAAACTGAAGCAGAGAGACTGGGATTTGAACTCAGGGATCTGCCTCTAGAGTGCACACCTCCAACCACTCAGCACAAACGACAGTGCCTGTGAGCCTCAGTCAAGGGGAGCTCTTATACACTTCTCTCCGTCCTGGATTCCCAGGTGGCCACCCTGGCAGGGACAGCTGTGTCTGCTGAGCTCAAGGCCAGCCATTTCCTGGGAGCCTTTTGAGCTCTCCCAGCCTACCGGGATCTGACACCTGACCTCCCACCTTACAGACACCAGCTCCCACGAGGCAGCTCTCCCATCTCTGCAATTGCGCAGATTTTCTAGCAGTTCAGGGACTTGAATGGGCTTCAGATCCCCTCAGACAGAAGACACCAGGAGGGCCACTGAAGGGCCCAGGGAGTTTCTTCCCCAGAGCCTGGGCCATCAGCAGGACACTGGGCTATACCAAGCCCAGGCAAGCACAAGGTCACCACACAGCTCAAGTGACAACACGCAGATCTGAGCCCAGGAGGTCTGACACTGACCACATTATCACAGAGAGCCACACTACCAAGCCTTAGCCAGGCCCATGGACAGGTGACAGAAACACCGTCATACTCAACCAAAATACCGGAACTAAAATGATGGGACTTTACATCATCTACGTTTCACTGGTATAATGCGCCTCCCAAGAAACTGGTTTAGAAAATTACGTCAAACAAATACATGAAGTAACTCACTCTAAACATAAAGAAGGCCAGGCGTGGTGGCTCAATGCCTGTAATCCCAGCACCTTGGGAGGCTGAGGTGGGAGGATCACTTGAACCCAGGAGTTAGAGACCAGCCTGAGCAACGAATCAAGACCTCATCTCTACAAAAACTTAAAATATTAGCTGGACGTGGTGGCACATGCCTGTAATCCCAGCTACTCAGGAGGCTGAGGAGGGAGGCTCGCTTGAGCCCAGGAAGGAGTTCAAGGCTGCAGTGAGCTATGATCATGCCATTGCACTCCAGCCTGGGTGATGGAGAGAGACCCTGTCTCTTAAAAAAGAAAGAGGCTGGGCGTGGTGGCTCACGCCTGTAATCCCAGCACTTTGGGAGGCCGAGGCAGGTGGATCACTTGAGGTCAGGAGTTCAAGACCAGCCTGGCCAACATGGTGAAACCCCGTTTCTACTAAAAATACAAAAATTAGCCGGGTGTAGTGGCATGTGTCTGTAATTCCAGCTACTCGGGAGGCTAAGGCGGGAGAATTGCTTGAACCCAGGAGGTAGAGGTTGCAGTGAGCCAAGATTGTGCCACTGTACTCCAGACTGCGTGACAGGGTGAGACTGCCTCAAAAAAAATATATATATATATAGATATATATAATTTTCCCTTAATAGAGAAATCACCCTCCATATTAACTCAATAATTTACAACATGTCAGTTTGAAGCTGTCATATGATCAGCCTTTCCATGGCATCCAGCGACTCAGCTCAGCTCTGGGAATAAGACACAGATGCCAAGAAATGGCTCCGTCTTCAGGGTCTTGTTAATAAGAAATGAGAATGAAAAGATTGTCCTGTCCCTAACAATAGAAAGTTACTGAAAAAGAACTATCACTTACGTGATTTTTTTAAACGCTCATCTAATCGTATTAATCATTTTTTTTTTGAGGCAGGGTCTTGCTCTGTTGCCCAGGCTGGAGTGCAGTGGTGCCATCACGGCTCACTGTAGCCTCGACATCCCAGCCTCAAGCGATCCTCCCACCTCAGCCTCCTAAGTAGCTGAGACTACAGGCGTGTGCCGCTATGCCTGGCTAATTTTTGTATTTTTTGTAGAGATGCCTCACAATGCTGCCAATTCCACCTTGCACCCCTGACTGATCACCAGCTAGCTGTTCTGCATATGGAGCTGAAATCTCTCTCCAGTGGCTTCTCCCCACTGGTCCTGGTTCCCCCGCTCAAGGATACGAGAAATTCGTTTGATTTCTCATCCCCAGGACAAGCTGCTCACTATCGGAAGTTGATGTGCGCGGAGCTTTCTCTCATCCAGGCCCAGATTCCTTCCACCATCCCATCCCCACATCCAACAAAGCAGGGGGCTATGGTAGCAAGACTGGAAATGGCGCTGCTCTGGATGGGGTGGTCAGGGCAGACTTCTAGGAGGAGGTGACTTCTGAGCTGAGACTCTAATGAAGAGAAGGAGCTAGGCTTGTGGAGAGCTGGGAGAAGTGTTCTTCAGCCACAGCAGTGTGTGCTAAAGCCTTGAGGCAGAAACTCCATTAGTTACTGAAAGAGGCCTGCCCGGCGGGGGTGGCACAGGTGAAGGGTACTGGTTGGCAGAGACCAGAGAGCCAGCCAGGGGCTAATCCTCATGTAGGGCTCTCAGGCCAGGGAGGAACCTGGCTTGTGTCTCAGCAAGATGAAAAGAAAGCCTCCCGTGAATTTAACCGGGGGCGGGCCTGATCCCATTTCCATTTTTAAGACCGGCCCCTGCCCCCAGCTGCTGCAGGGGAAGGGGGCTGAGGGCTGAGCCTGGAAAGGTGGTTACCTCGCTGCTCCTGGGAACCCCCCGGGCTTCGGGTCACAGGCCGTGCAGCTGCCACTGTCTCACACTTGCATGCCAGGTGGTCTTCCAGCGTCACCGTGGCCTTCTTAAAGATTGGCTTCTTCCGCACAATCTCGATCTTTCTCACCTGGAGGACAGAGCCACAAAATGCCTCTGTAGAGACCACACAGCCAGGAGCCCGGGAAGCCCGAATGGCTTGCGCTTCCCACCCCGGTGTCCCCTGCAGCAATCTTTCCTCGAAAGCCCGGAGAGCAGGCTGTGGGGCAAAAGCTTTGGCCCAAACAATAGCAGGACCTTGACCTCTGCCCTTCTCGTAGCTTTTCCATCAAAACAAGCCCTCCCGACCTGGGGCCCCCCTCAGTGCCCCCAGAGAGGGACAGCCAGAAAGGCATTTCCGGGTTGAGCTGGGGCCTGCGGTATCCTCATTCCCGGAGCGCCAGCCAAGGTCAGGGCTGCGGCAGAGGCGGGAGATGGTTGTCTGGAAGGAAGTGGGGGGAGGCTTCATCTAGGAGGGAGGTGGGAACGGGGAGGTCAGATGTCAGGTGTCCATCCATAGAGCTGGAAGCATCGAGGACAGGAGATACCACGAGAGTGGGCAGTGGGGTGGAGTGACATTCGTAGTCTCAGGCGTGGGGCCCAAGCCAGGGAGGGAAGGTGGGCAGGAGGAGAGGCCACGGGCTGGTGGCAGGAGAAGGAAGTGCGGCTAAGCAGGCAGAGCATCGGGCAAGGGCCGGTGCTGAGCTAGAGAAATGCGCACTGCCCAGCCTGTGGGCGAGGCTGGCCTGGGGCGTGCAGGAATCTTTCCACAAGAAGCAGAAGCAGCAGCTTCTCTGACTCTGCCCCGACTAGGGTGAGACCAGGGTGCTCCCTGAGACAGCCTCTACTCTAGAATTTTCCCTGAGTCCAGTGTATGTATCCCCCGTCCCTCCGAAGAAAAGCAGGATCAGCATTCCACTGTTGTCAGGGGACCTGCCCCAGCTCCGCAGTGTCTATCACCTGGTGGGCCTCTCTGCACTCTCTTTATTAAAGACACAGCTTGTCAAAGAGAGACAAGCAGGTGTCAAAGATGCAGGGCCACCCATCTGAGCCTTTCTCAAGACAGCCCTGAATAGGGAGAGCTTTGGGGGAACCTGAGTAGCTCCCCAAAACATTCTGAGTGTCAGATAAATGTTTGCGGATACGGCTCTTCAAGGGACGTTTTGCGATTTTGTCCTTGTAAAGGAGGTGACATCCCTACTTCACGTTGGCTCCACACCTCGCCCAGCCCGGGGGGTCTGTCTGTGGCTTTTGGCTACAGTGGCCTGAGCCACCTCAGAGGACTCATGGTCGGCCTCAGTCCACCTGCCTAGGAAGAGCTTCCCAAGAGTGGGCCTCTCTGGACAGAGCCCAGGAACAAATCAGGAATGTCCTTCGACACACCACTCTGCCCAGTCAAGGAAGCCTGGTCAGGTATGAGCCCCAGAAGGGTGGTCTCCACCCACCACCGGGACCAGCCTCGGGGGGCCGCGGAGCCTACGCACCTGGACAGGTCGCAGCTGCACCTGGGTGGGGCGGCACTGCACGTTGCGGTTGTTGCAGCAGCCGGAGCAGCGCTGCACCTCCACACAGGGCGGCCACACCAGGAAGTTGGCGTTGGTGCGGTCTATGAGGCGCCGGGAGATCTCGAACACCTCGGTGCGCGTCTTGCACTCGGCGATCATGGCCGGCTCAGCAATGGTCAGGGAACCTGGGAGGAGACGAAACCTGGGTCAGGAGCGTAGGCCTGTCCAGAGTCCCCCCACTTGGCAGGGGAGCTCAGCGGGTGCCTCCGGGACTGCTCTTTCTCACGCCCTTCAACCCCAGGGTTCAGGTTTCAAGTCCTGGCTGTCATTAGCCATGGGACTTGGGCAGATGGCTGAGCCACTCTAAGCCTGTGTTTCCCCATCTGAAAATGGGACCATGAGATCTACACCCAAGAACCACTGTAGTTTCAAGTGAGAAAATTCAGAGTGTGGGGCATGTTGTAAATGCTTAGTAAATGTCCGCTTCCCTCTGCTGGCACATGACTATTTTATTCTTCTTTATGATTTTACACATTTATGGGCTTGCCCAACATGTGGTTTTTATGCAGGTACCATATTAGCTCGAAACCACGCGTGCACTGCTGTCTCACGGTGCCTTGGATTCCTGCATCACTGCTGCTTTCAAAGCCTCAGCTTCCTCCTCTATGAAATGGGATAATAACAGCACCTCCCTCCCATGTGGATCTAAGGTGTAAAGTGAGTAAGCCTTGCCTACAGCAAGCACTGAGGTTACCGATGCTATCCATGTACAGAGGACAGGAGGCTCTGAGAGCTGAATATCCCGTCCGCCCACATTCATAGATTGGGGGTGGAACTCAGGCCACCTGACTTTTTTCTTTTTTTTTGAGACGGAGTCTTGCTCTGTCGCCAGGCTGGAGTGCAGTGGCGTGGTCTCGGCTAACTGCAACCTCCGCCTCCCTGGTTCAAGCAATTCTCCTGCCTCAGCCTCCCAAGTAGCATGGACTACAGGAACCTGCCACCACGCCCAGCTAATTTTTGTATTTTTAATAGAGACAGGGTTTCACCATGTCGGTCAGGATGATCTCCATCTCTTGACCTCGTGATCTGCCTGCCTCAGCCTCCCAAAGTGCTAGGATTACAGGCGTGAGCCACCATGCCCGGCCCAGGCCACCTGACTCTTATTCATCGTTCCCCCAGCCTCTAACTGCAGTGTTTTGGGGACTCCAGGTGTCAAAGAGGAGGAGGGGTTTGAGTGGACATTTGCCTCACCTGGGAGGGTTTCTCTGGGACCTAATGATCTACGGTCTCCTTTAGGTCTCTGCAAGGGAGCAGGAGGAAGTTCCAGGCTTTGCTCGAGGTCTACCAGCCTAGGCCGCGGCCCTTTGCCACAGGAGATACCCATAGCCCATCAGGGACCACGCTGGGTTCAAGTGAGGGGAGCAGGTTGGGATCTCAGCCCTACCGCTCCCTAGCAGTGTGACCTCGCCTAGTTCTTTACCCTCTCTGGGCCCCAGTTTCCAACTCTGTGAAATGGGGTTAATAATATCTACCTCCAGGATTGAAATAAGGAACGAATGAGCTTTGCAGCACTATATTTAGAAACCAGAGAGTGTGGGGGCGAGGGGCTGTGATGACTGAACACAGGCATTTAAGGATGGTTTTACTCTCTCAGTTCGCTCAGTCCTGAATGTGGGGGGAACGGGAGTTGTAAGAGGACCCTCGGGGCCCTCCGACTGGCTGCCCGCCCCCGTTCTCTTTCCCTGGCCCCCATGCTAATTTGAAGGACCCTTGTTGGGTGTCTCAGTCTTACCCAGGCTCCTTCTTCCACGAGCCAAGCTCTCCAGCTCGCCTCCAGAGTGGGAGCGGGTCATGTTCAGGTCCAACTCGGCCCCATCTTCCTCTGCAGGAGAAGTCACAGTCAGACACCAGGCGGCCCCACCTTGGGCAGGGGCTCCCTCCGCCGGGGTGTCTGGGCAGGCGGGAGGTTTGCCTCTCCCCCACTCCAGAGAACAGTCCCTCCTTCCAGCCCCCATAAATGCACGGGTCCTGGCCCTGAGCAGGGACCCTCCAAGCAGCCCCCAGGACAGCTGCAGGCCCAGGATCCTGACTGCATCCCTGGCTCTTTAGCCAACATTTTTGGCCAGAACCCATGTCAGTGGAGTTAAAAATAACCCTTCCCCTTTGCTACTGTAAGTGAACCCTCCTCGGCCTCCAGGGCGGGGCCGGGACCTAGGGCACTGAAGGCCAGTTTCCAGTGCCCCTCCACCCAGCGTTCCCATAGGAAGTGCTGAATGGAGAAATTCCCAGAAGCCCCAGGGGGACCGCATGCCCTGAACACAGCCCCTCTGGAGCCCCGGACAATGGCCGCGCTGGGCAGGCGGGAGCCACGGAGGGAGGGAGGGAGGGAGAGGGATGGGGGTGGGAGCTGAAGACAGAGAAGAGGAGAAGAGGGGTGGGAGTTGGGCCTGCTGGGGGTGGGGAGTCCCTGCCACACACCCTTCTAGGGCCTGGTCTCTCTAGCTCCGGGGCCCTCACACCGTATCTGTATCTGTGTCTGTCTCCCTCCCCTTCTCTAAACTGTTGCCCCACCTCTGCCCCCAGCCGTCTGTTGATTCCTCTGGTCACAAATGACAGCTCCCTTTTCTAGCCTGGGCACCATCTCAGTCCCATCAGCCCTCCTTGGAGACATCGGTCCTTTCCAGAGCCCATGGCCAGAGGTTGGCTGCTGGGAAGTGAGGGCTGAGGGAGGCCTCTGAGCTGGATGTTAAGGCGTGGACAGACCCTTCTGTCTCTCTCATGGGTGAGGAGCCACAAATAAACTAAGGGGCATTGGGAACACGCTCCTGCCACCTCCACACAGCACCCCATGGCTCCAGTTCTGGCACCGACCCACTGGCCCCATCCAAGACAAAGGCGCCTGCCGCCTGTCCGTCCCGGGTACTGCAGGGAGTCTGATGACTAGTCCGCTTCCGTCCAGCCTGACAGCCCCTACGTCAACGAGCCTATCTGTCCCTCTGGCTCCTTTCCTTTCTCCCTGCCATCTCTGGAATGTCCCTGGTGGGGAGGAGATGGGGAAAAGATGCGCTTTGTGGAAAGGTTAAGTTGATTAGGAAAAAATAGCCACATGGTTGCCTTGAAACAGGCCTGCTATTGAAACCTCATCTCCAAGATCCCGACCCCCACCAGGGGTGTGGAGGGGCCGTCTGAGGGTGGGGGTGTAAAGGCTTGGAAAGAAATGGTAGAAAGGCTAAATTTGGAAGTTGCCCCATTGTGTGTGGCCAGGGGCGGCCAGTCGGGCATAGGGTGGGGGTTGTGGGAGACATCGGGTGGGGGCCCTGGCGAACAATAGGTGGGCCCAGCTGGGGCCCCCTCCTGCCTGCCTCACCGCCCCCCAGCACAGGCGGGATTGAAAGGGCCCGGGAATGCTTTTGAGAGGGAGCCAGGGGCCCAACGGGGAGAGGAAACAAAGGCAGGAAATGCTGTTCCCCCGTAGATAGCGTCTGGGCAAGGATTACAAAGTGACAAAGAGACAGAACCCCAGAGGGAAGGGGACCTGGGGGTGCAGGGGGGCTGCTGACCAGGGCTCCAGGGAACAGGCCAGAGGTTAGAATAGAATGGAATTTGCTCTGAAGACAGCGTTTATAAATACATTGTCAATCCAGCCCGCCAGCCCCGCCACGTGTGTGCCACCGAGCACGTGCCCATTCGCTGAGTGAGCTCTGGGGCACGGGCAGGGCTGCCTGCTGGTCGAGGCCAGGTGTCCCCAGGGGACCTCACAGACCGGGCCCCTAGCCAGAGGGGCGGGGAGATGACTCCTCCAGTGCCACCCTCCCTGGCTGGGCCCACACCTGGAGACATACTCGGCAGATGCCCTGGGCACCTTCTCCCCGCCCTCCCTCCTCCTGGCACCCCACCCTTGGCACCAAGCCGGAGCCACACGTGGGTGCTTCTCCTGCCACACCCCAAGTCCCAGGTACCAACCCGCCTGCTGACTCGGCCCTGCCCTGGATGGGTGTGGCCACGCTCTCTCTGGGCTGCCATGGGCCTCTAGTTCTCCAGACGTCAAGAAGGAGGGATGCCTCCTGTCCTGCCCCTCCCAGATCTCTTAAAGTCTCCTCGGAGGGCCGGAGCGCGGGGCGAGGATTCCATTTACCTCCGGGGTCTCCGTGCAGCAGGCGTTGGAGATCATCAAAGGAGCGGATCGAGTGGTCACTCAGCATCTCATAAAGCTCCTCGGGAATGGGGTCCCCCTGCCGGGCAGACACCAAAAGGCTGAGTGAGCTGGGAGTGGGGGCTTTCCAGCATGGCTGTCTCCCCCACCACACGCTTTCTCGCTTTCTCCTGTGGAAAGCTCCAAGGTCACAGGGAGACGGACAGGCAGGATCCAGGCCTGATGATCAGGAGCACAAAGGCCTCGGGGCCTGGACCTGCCGAAGCCTCTGAGACCCAGCTCAGTCCCTGCACCCTCAACCCCCAACAGGAACCCCAGCTTGCTTTGAGTTGGACCTGCTTGTCTCTATGTCTGTCTCCCCCACCAAACTACATGTTCTGGGAATGCACCAAAATCTGATTTCTCCCTGAGTCTCACAACACACCTGACAGCTGAAGACAGCCAGCATCTCCCATGGCCAATCTAACCCCCATTTTACAGAGGGGAAAACAAACGTTCAAAGAGAGGCTCAATTATTGGCAAAAGCTGCATTCAAACCCATGCCTTTGGGATGACAGAGCCTGTACTCCCAGGCTCCTGGGTACAAGAGGTGCTTAATAAACGCGTGCAGAGTGCGATGGCCTCAGGAGGCCCCAGGTCCTAGCGGTATCTATGAAGTCTCTCACTCGAAAGAGGCGAAAAGGGAATCCTCGGACACGGCCGGGAAACCTGAAAGCTTACCCGTGCCCTGTGCCCAACCAAACCCTATTTTTAGAGCCCCTTTGGCCTGTTGCCAAACATACTCGAAACCTGATAACACTTCAACAGGCCTCATTCGGAGCTGGGCTTCCTCCAGGGAAACCGCAGGTCCCACAATGACACAAGAGCAGCCCCGTAGGAAGGTCACAGCCACGTCCCCCACAGTCCCAGGAGACCCAAGGGGCGGATGCCAGAGATCCCAAGAAAGAGGCGAGGGCAGATGGGAGACTGAGAATCACAATCCAGACCACCAGCCACTGAGAAGCAAAGAAAATTCCTAAGATGTCGCTGCACGTTCAAAGGCTGGAACCGGACTTCCACGTGTGCAAACACACACGTGCAGGCACAGGCACTCGGGCTGCACGGTCTGGACAGACAGTCCTGGAGAGGGCATCAATAGGCTTGGCACATTACTATAGAACCTTGGGTTAAACTATTTTCTGCCTCAGTTTCCCTGGATTAAGAAGGGAGGACTTCCCTTCTTGGTTCGCTCCACATTCCCGGAGCCGAAGGTCGGGGGGCTCAGAGGGGGTCGGTGCAGGCTACCTTCACAAAAGGGATGCTGCTTTCTCGCTGCCTGACGGCGGAGGGGGAGCGAGGGAGAGGAGAAGAGGTCGTCTCAGCCCTGTGGCCAGCCTCAGGGGGCTCTCCCCGAAAGCTCTGTTTCCTCCAGCTTATCATGAGGTCTAGCAACACCTCCAGGGGTTCATCCATGACCAACTCTGGCCACCCACATCGATCCAGGAGCCAGAAGACTCAGGGCGGGGGGTGGGGGTGACCACTTTTAAAGCTACATCATTCCCTGAAACCCCTGAGTCTCCATGTCTTTGTTTGAACATGGAGCTTACAACTCCGCCCAATGTCTAAGGGCTGCTGGGCAACTTGAGGAAAAAAAGGTGGCAGGGCTTGGCTGAGAACTAGGGTCTTTCCTTCAATATCCGGGCAGCCAGGGGCTGCACGTGCAAGACAGAGGAGGGTATGGGCCCCGCTGCCCCTCACTTTCGGCCCCATCTCCTCCGGGCTCTGCCTCCTCCCGCCCTCAAGCAAGTTCATTCTTTCCACCTCAGAAGAGAGACCACGCCTCCGGTGCTCTCCAAATGTTGACAAAGTACCCAACCCACAGAACAGAGGGCTTGGTCTCCAGTGAACACCAGCGAAAGCCGCTTCCCCTGAGAGTTCTGTCAAACCCAGAACTGGCAGGCCAGAGAGCTGAATCCCACGCCTTTGGACCAACTGCCGTGTGACCTCGGCTGGTCACTGCCCCTATGGTCCTGGCTCTCATCTGTGAATCGAGGGGCTTGAAGAACATTCGATTCAATTCTAATTCTGCCAGGAGGCGTTAGAAGGGGCAGAGAAAACGCCAAAGCCGGGTGCCTAGCCAGGCCTCCCTGGATCACTGGCAGAAGGAGAACAAGAAGCGTTTGTGGAGTAAAGATTCAATTAACCCCCCAGGGGAGGGGCCCAAAGGCCTAGTAGCAAATGGCATTTAGTGCTTGTGCCAAGATCTCCCTGCCCACTGGAGAGCCGGCTGCAGCTGCCAGCCACGGCAGAGGAGGCAGACCCCTGAACAGGCCGAGTGGACACCCCAGATCCAGGCCCACGACACATAGGAGATGCCCCTCCAAGGCTGAGTGTGAAAGAGCCCAGGATAGGGTCTGAGGAGGAGAGAGAGGCACATAGTAGGTCCTCGGTAAATACTGGTCAAATGCATGAAGGAGTCTACCATTTTCCAGGTTCTGTCCAGTATGATTCTTCTGCCTCCTCCACCAGGAGGGCCACCTGGGATATTCTTCCCCAACCCTAGGCAAATGAGCAACTAGAGTCCCTTTTAATCTGAGCAGGGAGACCGTCCCTGAAGATGCTTTTGGTAATGTGGCCACTAGATGCCCAGAACTACCCATAAGCCCCCGGATTTGGTAATAATACCACAACTAACATCTATGAATGCCAGCTACAAGCCACACGCTGAGAAAAACACCGTATAAACTACCAATCCTAAGAGGCTGGCAGTATTTGTATCCCCATCCTCCAGATGAGAACACTGAAGCTTAGAAAAAATTAAACAAGCAGCAACAGGTCCAGACAATTAGCAAGTGGCAGAGCTGGGTCGTTCCCAGGCTCCAGACTGCCCACCTGTTCCAGCCCACCATGGGGCGTCTCAGCCTCCCTCTCCTGTGTTCTAAGGCCACTGGCCCTCAGCATCACACAAGGTTCGTGTTGGCTCTTTACTCTGCAGCATGTCCCACGTCAGAGGCTCTCAACCAGGGCCCAGTGGGCCCCCAGGGGACAGTGGCAATGTATGAAGGCATCGCTGGTGGCCACAACTTGGGGTGTGCACTGCATCTTAAGTTGGGGGAGGCCGGGGATGCCGCTCACCACCCTTCAGGGCACAGGACGGCCTTCCCAAACATCAGGAGTGCAGAGGCTGAGAAACCCTGTAGCGGAGGAAAGAGCAAGGGCTCCAGATGCCAGGGCAACCTGGATTCTTGGAATCTTGTCACAATCTAAAACCTCGGCTTCTGCATCTTTTAAATGGGGCTAATAATACCTCGCCCGGGGTTACTGGGAGGCATAATTGCACAGAGCAGAGCTGCCAGCAGATAATGGGAGCTTAATGAGTTGTCACTGTCATCATCATTAATTCTTTCCGGATGGCTCCTTTGTGGGCAGCAGCGAGTGGCACACGTGCTCAGGGCCAGCAGCACAGGACATTTTTGAGGATGACAAGGAGTGGGTGGAGAGCTGCCTGCCCATGAAAGAGTGCGTGACTTTGCATTATCCCTTGTGCTGGGCCACAGGAAATGGTACCCTACCTCCACACTGGCAGAGCCTGGGCCGTGTGGGCTTACAAGGCCCTTCCGGGGCTGGGGGTGGGTGAGGGTGGGGGGACACTCAGCACGTGCTCAGCTCCAGGATGCAATGCTCTGGGGATGACGAGCATGAGCACCTGTTGGGAGTCACAGGCTCTTCTTGGTATGGGAAGGTGAGCCGCCCGGAGCCTGGTTTTCCTGGGCACAGGTTCCGCAGGCCTCCAGGTGGACAGCTCACTTCAGAGATGGGAAAGGAGGCCTGGCACCCTGAAGAAGCTGTCCCAAGATCTCAGGCCCGGGGTTTCTGGCAGAGTGAGGGCGTGGCGAGGAGGCAGCTGGGGCAAAGCCAGCCGTGGGAGCCAAGGTAAACAGCCTCCTCCGACCCCGCCCCCAGCGCCAGCTGCAGCAGGTAGGAAGGGCACGAGCGAGCGTGAGGCCAGGTGAGTGATCTGCTCCCAACCAGGCTGGCAGATCAAAGGGGCTTGAACCCCACCCTCCTCCTGGGCCCAGCACACACACACAGATACACACTCCCCGGCCCGCCTGCCATTCCCACCAAGGGACACACAGGCCCAAGCAACCAGGGGCGTTGTCTGTGGCTGGCAGAGGAAGAAGCTGATGAGGCCTCCCAGAGCCTGCCTGCCTGAGAGTCGCAGGCCTTATTTAGATCGAATGCCAAAGCCAACCAACCCCTTTGAAGAAGCCCTCTCGGGGCAAACCACAGAAGCCATTAGAACCAGTGTTTCCCACCTAGCATTCCCCTTCTTTATTGCTCTTGGGACCCTCCCGCTCAGCCTCTGCTCCTTCACGTGGGCCCAGAACCCTGGCCTCCCCACCTCTTGCAGGAGCAGAGGAAAATTAAAGCAGGAAGAGAGGAACCAGTCCAGCCATTTATAATACTGGCAACCACGGCAATCACTGCCCATCCCCATCCCAGCCAGGGGACGGGGCCAGGGGATTCTGCCATTCTTTGGGAACTCTGCACTAATCCAATCTTCTCTCTCTCTTTTTTTTTTTAGGTGGCAGAAACTTAGCCCCAGCTAAAGATACACAGAACCTTTGCAGTCTGATTTTCTTTCTGTTTCTTCTCCTCTGTCCTGTCTAATCCTGGTAGCCCAAGTCCCAAGACAGAGGAGAGACAGACATGCTTCTCTCTCAAGATGGGGGGCTTTGAAAGACTGATGCCTACCAGAGGGCTGAAAAGGGGGGCTGCCCTCGGAGCAGAGCAAAGCGAGGACTCAGTGGGGCCATGGAGCAACAGGGGGCCAGGTCCTGCCCTCCCCACCAACCCAGCACTAACTGTTCTTTGCACTAATAGTTACTGATTGTCCACAGGGCTCTGGGCACTGTTCTAAAAGTGGGGACCAGGAGGAAAGCTCTCTAATGGGGTTGACACTCCAGTAGAGAAAGCAGGTAATAAACAATGAAATAAACCAGAACATAGGAAGAGTTGTCACAGAAGAGGCTCCTCAATGTGGGGAGGGGAAGACAAGACGTGGAGAGGTACTTACGAGGCCCATGATAAACATCTCACCATTCCTGCTCAGTCAGTCTCTCTCTCTCTCTCTCTCAGATGCGCACACACACACACACACACACTCTCTCTCTCTCTCTCTTCCTGGCTCTTGCACCAGATCCTCCAAATTCTGTTTGACCTGCCCTTGCACACCTCCAGGGCTCTGGGATTCCAGCAGTTGGTCTCCTGCCCCCTAGGGCCATTAGCAAAGCCAGAGGAAGCTGGATGGCAAAGGGCAGTGGGGCCCTTCACTCTTTCCCGGAAGAAGTGTGCTGAGGCCAGACGCGTCACGTGACAGTGGGACTCGCCCTCCTGGAAGCCAGCTCAGCTGGTGGAGATGGCACCTCAGAGGCCTCGGCAGGCCCTCCACCCAGCCCTGCCTCACGGCTGCCTGCCGTCTGCTGAAAGATTAGTCCGAGCACGACCAGGACGTGGACAGCTCCAAGGCCACCTCCACCAGCAGGCCTGCCCTGACTCTCCCAGCACTGGCCATTACAGCTCCTTCCTGGACTGACCCCTGCGTGGTTCCATCCCCATGCAGGTCCCCTCCCCCAGGGCCAGCCTGAGGCTCACTCAGGCTTAGCAGCAAAGTGCTTCATAAACTGCAAAGTGCCACATACATCGCGCCTGTGGCCATGTGTTCAAGAATGCTGTGACTAAAGTGAGGAGAAAGGCAGTTTCTGTGCCACAGCCTCCACCCCAGATACACGAGCCCGTGGAGCTGTGGGAAAGAAGGAGGAGGTGCTGGACGAAGCTGGAAATGGTAAGGGGAGGCTGGGGAAACATCCAGCTGTCAGCGGCCTCCCCGGGGCACGCTGGGATCAGCCAAGAGAATGCAACAGCCAGGGGTGGGAGCCCCCTCCGCGGTTGCACACGCCAGGTCCCTCCAGTCTTGCAGGTTCAAATGAAGGCTTATGTGAAGGGGGAATCGCTCTGGACAGCTCAGTGCCCCTCAGAGTCACATCACCACCATTTTCCACCACGCGGAGGTGGTTGAAAAAAAGGAGTCACAGATGGGTAAGGTTTGAGGGGCGTCGGGCTGACGAGGCAAAAAAAAAAGTAGGTGCTGTGGTGCTGATGGGAGGTTCTCCCTCCCTCACAGGACGCCAGGAAGGAAATGGGGCCGCTACAGAGGTGGTGAGGTGCCAGGGCCCACGGAGGGCCCACCTGTTGCGCGGGGGCGAGCACCAGGCGCTGGGTGCACGGGGGCCCGTGCGTGCCTGTGTACGTGCGTGGGTGTGCGCGCACGTGTGCTCAGGCCGCGCGTGCAGGGGCCGTGCGTGCGTTTGTGTGCGGTGCGCGCGCGTGTGTCCCGCGTGTGCACGGGCGTGGCAGAGGCGGGCGCGCGACCTGGCCGCGGTAGTGCGTGCCCGTCGCTCTGCGCGCCCGCCCGCCGGAGCGCAGCATCGCCTCCGGCCAGGAGTGTGCATGCGTGGGGTGAGTGAGCGAGTCGGGGGCCCGGGCGGGGTGGGCTGCGGAGAGCAGCCACGGGGCGCCGCCGTTCCCAGGACGCCCTGGCACCGGGCCCAGCCCCCAGGTCCCACGGCGAGGCGAGGCGGCAGCTGGGGCCGGCCGGCCACCCCCTCCCCAACAGCTGGCCGCGGCCCGGGGGGCTGCGGGAGAGGCGGAGAGGGGGCGTCGGGAGGGGCCTGAAGGCGGCCCGGCCGAGCCCCGCGTCCTCCCTCCCGGGTGCGGGCCGCGGGGGGCGGCCGCGGAAGGGCGGGGCCCCCGGGCGGGCGGCCTGCGGCCCTCGAGGAGCCCCGAGAACAAAAGGAGACGGCGACGGCTCCTCCGTGGTCAAAACAACCTGCGCTGGCGGCAGCCCAAGGCCGGGCCGCGGCCTCCGAGCCCTCCGCCTTAACCCCTTCGCCGCCGCTGCCTCCTTCCTGCGCCTGGCTGGAGGCCGCAGGGGCCGACCCTCCCCGGGAGCCGGCGAGGTGCGGGCGAGGTGCGGACTCCCGGCCGCAGCCGGGCGGAGGTGGGACGGTACCCAGTCACGCCGCGCTCCCGGCTGCCCTCTCCTCCCCTCCACCGCGCGCGTCGTCCTGCCCCGCCCCCTTTCCCACCTGGATTCCGGGTAGACTTGCCAACTCACGGCTACGTGAGGCTGGGAGGGGTGGGGACGGCTCCGACCCCAGCGCTCCCTCAGATGTTTTTATACCCCATCTCCCGTGCAGCTAGGCTTTTGCAGGCGGCGCGCTCCGCACCCTGCATGCGGGGGAGAGAGGTGCTTCCTCCTGCAGGGCGCGGGCACAGGTACGGCAAGGCCTCAGGCACACAGCGCCCCGGGGGCTGGATTCCTTCAGAGCCCCTAGTCCTCCCCCTACCCGAGTGCCCGAAACCTACCTGCGTCTCTATCTTTCTCTCCCTCTCTCTCTCCGTCTCTCTCTCCGTCTCTCTCTCTCTCTCTCTCTTTCTCTCTCTCTCTCTCTCTCTCCCTGTTACTCCCACCCCAAACCCCGCGCCCGAGACACAAGCTGCTTCCAGACCGTGCTCTGGGGCCGGGCATGCCCTGCGCGTGCCGGAGGGCGTCCACCCGGACCCCGACCGGGAGCCAGGGTGGGACCCGAGCCCCGTCAAAGGTCGGCGTGGATGGCACCGGTGCGCAAGCTTGCACCTCCTGGGCAAGCCGATGGCAGGACAGAGCCTAAGCCGAGGCTGGCGCCGAAGTGGGCTCGGGAGGACGCGCTGCCTTCTGCACCCTGGGCACCACCCCACCCCCTCTCCCCCGGCCGGGAAGGGGCTTGTTCTCGGGTTCCCAAAGGGTGGGGGACAGGGCCACACACACCCTCCCCCGACACGGAACGGCTTAGGGAGCCAGATTCGCCCGCCGGTTGGAAAGAAAGCCACCGCTGTTGCCTTCCCTTAGAGCCTGTCACCCCCGGACCTCGCTCCCAGCCCGAAGAGGTCACCCAGCGCCCGGCGTCAGGCTCGCGGGCTGCAAGGGTCCAAAGTTCACTGCAGGGAGAGGAGGGGGCGGTCAGAAGGGGGGGGCGAAGGTAATGAATGAAGAACCAGCCCCAGCCGCCGTGGCAACTCACCTCGGCGCTGACCAGACGCAGGTAGCAGCAGAGAGACAGGAAGAGCGCCCAGCAGCGATTCATGCCGACTCCGGGCCCGGCCCCGCGGGGCCCCGGACGCGTAGATCGAGCGCGCCGCCCCCGCGGCCAGGGTGGGGGGCTGGGGAGGGGGGTGGGCTCGGCTCGGGTCCGCGGCGATCAGGCGCTCAGGCCTCTGCAGCCGCGGCTCACCCGCATGGCCCCCGGGCGCCGCCGCCCCCGGCCCCGGCTCCGTCGCTGGGGGGCAGGGGAGGACCTGGGCGCAGGACCTGGGTCCGAGGCCGCTACCTGGGCGGATCCCGAGCCCGAGTGAGCATCCACGGCCGGGGGGCTGCGTCGCGAACCAGCCGAGGCGTCTAGCCGTGTGGGGGCGCCCAGGGGACTCCAACCTCCAAGAGGAAAAGGAACACGGCAGTCGATGGTTCGTCTTCACTCGCCGGCTACAGGCGTTTTCCTCTGCCCGCCGGCTTAGCTTTTTTGCAACATTTTCTGGAAAGGCCCCCAAAATCGGAAAGCGCGGAGCTGGGCACCTCAAGGCCCAAGTCTCCCCCAAAAAACTTTTTCCAAAGTTGGCTTTGCAACGGCAGCTCGAGCACCCGGGCAGGGAGAGGTGCAAACTCCCGCCCGGGCCGGGTAGGGGGGCGGGAGCGTGTGCGCCCTGGCGCGGGGCCCGGGCGGCGGGCACGGCTGCTCCGCGCGCGCGGCGTGCCCGCTGCGCGCTCGGCTGGGCCCGGCCGACAGGTGGACGCGGCGCGAGTCCGTCGGTCCGTCTGCCCGCCCGCTCGCCGCTCTGGGCGTCCTCTGCGGGCTGCGGGCTGCGAGCTGCGAGCTGCGAGCTGCGGCTGCTCCGGTTTTCTCTTTGCAGCGAGGCTGGAGGGTGGGCTTTTTTTTTTTTTTTTCCTTTTTGCGCGCGTATGTATGTGTGTGCGCGCAAAGTATCTCTATCTAGGGAATGAAAAATGGGCGCTGGCGGCCGGAGGGGAGCCCTAGGGAGGCAGCGGGGGAGGCTGCGGGTGCGCAGGGAGGCAGGCAGGCCGCTCCCGGCTGCAGGAGGAGAAGTTGCCACCCTTTCAGCTGTTCCGGCCTTTATAAAGGAGAAGGGAGAGTGCGAGAGGTGGGTGGAGACAGCCTTTCCTCTTCTGGCCCGGAGTCAGCGCCAGGAGGGGGGGGACGCGGGAGCTGGGGGAGGGCTTGGGGCCAGGGCGGGGCGCTTAGGGGGTCTCTGAGAGCCGAGCAACCCTTCAGTCCATGAATCTGGCCCTGGGGAAAAAAGAACTAGGGGTGACCCACCGTCCCGCCCCTCAGCACAGTGACCATGGACAGGTTAGGAGCCCACGTGGTCTAGGGGGATGTCTCCAGAGCCAAGGCCAGGAGTCCACGCTCCCCTCCAGGACCAGACATTTCCACCCTGGCACAGGCATGGCAGGGAGGGACTCAGGCTCTGCAGTCTGAGAGCCTGAATTCAGATCCTGCCCTGGCACTCGGGAGCTTGGGTCACCTTGGGCAAGTCACTTCCCTCTGTCCCCTCCATCTAGCCTCAACCTGGAGATGGGGCTATTGTAAGGACTCAGTGTTAGCAAGGGAAGACACCGCAAGGTGAACCCACAGAACCCGGCAGCCAGCGCCCTTCAGCTGCAAGCTGGGTCCGAGTCTCCTCCTCCTAGCTGGTTGCCTGGCACAACAGGCCCTGCCAGCGTTGGCTGAATTTGAATTTGTTGAACTGCAAAGTCACACAAACCCCCACAGCCCTGCAGCATCTTCGCAGGGCTACCAACATGATCTTCCCGTCAGTCACCCTGCTGTTTACTATCTCCCTCAGCCCCCGGGTTCGAGGCCCAGAGCCCACCCACCCACAACCAGCCTTCACACAGTTAACGCCTTCTGCCCCCAGTCAGGGAGCTGCTGTGTCCCTGCCTTCAGCAGTCACACTGTCTCAGTCACAGTCACACGTACTCACACTGGGCCCAGCACCCCCCTCGGGACACGCAGGCTCCTGCATCACCCAGCCTCCCGGCTTTGAGGCACCCTCATCTCCTCCGCTTGCACTGTCTCTGTTATCCGCCCTTCCCTTTGGGATGTCAGCCTGCTTCTCACAGAGGAGCACACTGAGAGAGTCACACCTGCTCTCTCTTCATAGACTGTCTTCTTGGACCTGGACAGGGTGGAACAGAGGAGGAAGGACATCTCAGGTGGTCTTTACAGACCACTGCAGGCACCCACCCACTGCTGCCTACCACCCAGCAGCGTGGCACAGTGGCAGAGACACAGCCTGAAGACACATCACCTTGGTCCAAATCCTGGAGTGGCCACTTGCTGGACAAGTGTCTGCAGGAAGGTTTTTTAACCTCTCAGTACCTCGGTTTCCTCCTTTATAAACTGGAGATGAATTTATAAACTGGAGCTGGGTGTGGTAACAAGCTCCTGTAGTCCCAGCTACTCAGGAGACTGTGGATCGTTTTGAGCCCAGGAGTTTGAGGCTGCAGTGAGTTGTGACTGTGCCACTGCACTCCAGCCTGGGCAACAGAGCAAGACCCTATCTCTAAAGAAATAAAAATAAATCTATAATGGGAAGGAGTGAGAGAGAACAGAGAGGCATGGCAAAATTTTAGTGGTGATGGAAATGTTTGTCATTTTTGATTGTGGTGATGGGCTTATGGGTGTATACGTACATCACAACAAAATGTGTGCAGTTTGTTGTACCTCAGTGCAGTTGTAGAGAATTTTTACCCTGCTCCTGGAGTGGTCTGGAGGCTCCCATGAGGTCCTCCATGTGGAGGCGCTCAGCAAAACACCTTAGCAGGAAGCAAGCGCCTGGAACCTTCCATGCAGCCTTCAAGTTCACTGGTGGCCCCGCACTGCTCCAGGCACTGGGGAGACAGGTGTGAACCAGCCTAATGCAGGCCCCTGCCTTTGAAGAGCCCCATTGAGAAGGACAACCAGATGTATAAACAGATAAATTAGGAGACAGGGTGACAAGGGAGATGGGGCAGCGGGACGAGGAGATAACCCCCAAACACTAGATTTGAAGTCTAACGACTCAGAGATAAAAACCCTCTTCCACCGGACAGCTGGGTCATTTGACCTTGACCTTCTGTGTCTTCTATAAATAGAATGGTAACAACTACCATGATTAGTGAGCTGACTATGTGGTAGCTAGTGTTTTTCTTACTCTACCTGTAGCCTCTCCATGCTCCTGTGAGATGTGTTATTCCTATCTTACAGATGGGGAAATGGAAGCACAGAGAGGCCAATACACTTGTTCAAGGTCACACAGCCCGTAAGTGGTAAGGCCAGGACTTGAATCTGAGCAGTCCAGCTACAGAGCCCACATGCTGAGACCACCGTGCTGTGCAATTTTCTGGCAGGTGATGCTGATGACAATGATGACACTTTTGACACAGCGCTTTGGTGAGCGCCACATGCATTAATATGTGGGAACCTGCTCTGCCAGCTAAAAAGTGATGGACCCATATGAACTCTGACTTAGGTACAAGTTGAGGGAGAGGGAAGGCTACTCAGAGCAGCATCGTAGAACGCCTACTGTTTGCAGACCCTGTGTGAAGCGCTGAGAAATGGAATGAGGAAGGAGTCCCAGCCTCGGCACTCAGGGACTTCCCATGCTCTCAGTGAGATAGACCCAAATCATTGCAGTGCAGGTGCCAGTACATGGGTTAGAAGTGGCAGAAGAGGGCCCAGCAGACACCTGGGCCTGAATGCTACGTGACACCTGCGTGACACCTGGGCCTGAATGTTGTGCTAAGGGCTCCTTTCTTGTACCTTCTCTGTGCAGAGGAACAGTCTGTAAAGAACACCTCCCCAGGCACGGTGGCTCACCCCTGTATTCCCAGCAATTTGGGAGGCTGAGGCCAGAGGATCATGTGCAGCCAGGAGTTCGAGACCAGCCTCAGCAACATAGCGAGATCCCATCTCTTAAAAAAAATTACCAAAAAAAAAAAAAAAAAAAAAAAAAAATATATATATATATATATATATATATATATATATATATATATATATATATCTGAGTGTGGCCCCAGCTACTCAGGAGGCTGAGTCAGGAGGGAGAATCCCCTGAGCCCAGGAGTTCAAGACTGCAGTGAGCCATCTCAGAGACGGGGTCTCGGTCTGTCGCCGAGGCTGGAGTGCCGTGGTGCGATCTCTTCTCACTGCAACCTCTGCCTCCCAGGTTCAAGCGATTCTCCTGCCTCAGCCTCCCGAGTAGCTGAGACCACAGGCGCCTGCCACCATGCCCAGCTAATTTTTGTATTTTTAGTAGAGACGGTTTCACCATGTTGACCAGGGTGCTCTCGATCTCCTGACCTCAAGTGATCTGCCCCACTCAGCCTCCCGAAGTGCTGGGATTACAGGCATGAACCACCACACCCAGCCTAAAAATTTTTTTTTAATAACACCTGATCGTCTGCCTCCTGCCAGGCTGGGTGTAGCAGGCACCTCCTCCAGAAGGCCCACCAGGCTTGGCACTTGTTCCAGGCTCCACAGCATGCACACCTGGCATCGTCATGGCCTGATCATCAATCTAGCACTAGACTGAGTCCAGAGTGTTCAAGGGCCTCCTGCCAGCTCCTAGCATACAGTGGCTGCTCAGGAAGTGCCGCTCGCTGAAGGAATGAATAAATGATTAAAATCCTGCCAATTTCTCTTTCTGAGTCCTGACCAGTTATTGCAGAGATGCCAGGCCCTTCCTAAAGGGTGGAAAGAGTTGGGGAGGGGCTTGTAGCATGAGCCTCTAAGCTTGGAAGCACAGGGCCCCTGAAGGGCACCCCTTCTGGAGGTATCAGAACTGGGAAGGGTCTGAAGCCACACCACCCTGAATGCACGTGGTCTCATCTGACCTCGGAACTTCATCAGGGCTGGGTCTGAGGAGCACTTGAATGAGAGAACTGGGAAGGCCCCCGCCCATCTTCGCGTTCAGGCCACTGGGAAATAAGGTTCTCCAGCAGAGCTAGGGATGGGGGCGCCCACACCCCCGTAACTCTCCACCCTCCACTCCAGGACAGATCTGAGCCAAAGGGAAAAAGAGTGGCCACAGCCGTGGGGGATGGGGGTGCTGCCCAAGGTTGGGGGCTTTTTAGACTGTGTGCTCAGAGCTATCCAAGCCCTCATCCATGAAGAGCATCTTACACCCTGGGCGTGGGGGTCCAGGACACTGGCTGGGGTGAAGAAATACCAAGGAAGGAGTTGGGTTCCATCCCGGGGGCAAACTCACGCCCTCAAGTCCAGAAAGGTGAGAGCGATGATCACTGGGAGCCTCCCCGCCACTGAGAGGGGCCAGCAACACCTGGGCCAGGCAGCTCTGCTTCTCCATACTTGATGGAGAGGAAGTGAGGCTCTAAGCTGGAGACCGTCCAAGACCATGCCACAAATGGTCTGAAACTCCAAGCCCTACCCCACTCCGCGTGGCCCTCATCAGCTCCCCCATGCCCCTTGCTGCCCCATCCCCTGCCTCCCTGTCTACAGGGCCTTTGGCTGTCCACAAAGCACTTCCTTCCCCTCTGCCTGCCTCACCCTCACAGTCGCCCAGGGAGAAGGCATTGCCATCGTATATGCCCATTGTACAGATGAGGAAAGTGAGGCTGAGAGAGGGCAAGGGACTAGGCTTCCCGTCAAAGACCACCTGGGTTCAAAGCCCTGCCCTACCATCTACTAACTCTGTGACCTTAAGCAAATTCCTTAACCTTCCTGAGCCTCACGTTCCTCCTCTGTAAGTCGTAGGGACAATAGTCCCTACCTCACTGGGTTAAATGAGTTAATTCACCTGAAGTGATAAAGCCTGGAGTGAGCACCCCACAGATGTTGGTCATCACAGTGATGGTTATTACTGCAGGCTCTGCGCGCGCGCGCACACACACACACACACACACACACACACACACACACACCCCTACCTCACTTGCAAATTCACCTCTGAGCTCCAGAGCCAGCGCTAGGAGAGGGGCCACAGGTCTTCACCTGGAGAGGGTGGAGGTTGTTCTTACATAGAACTCCCGCCACTTCTCTCAGACCTTCTCACCCTAATGAGGCTCTGGCCACTGGCCTGTGAGTGCCAGGGAGGCAGGAGAGGAGACCCCCAGGAAGGCAGACAGATGGACCCCCAGGCCTAAGCCAGCCTGGAGGAGCCCACCCTGCGGCCTTGGGCCTTGTCCTGTATACAAAGGCGAGGGAAGCGCAGTGTTTGTTTTCCCAAAGCTGATGCATTTTTAGCTCCTCCAGGCTCCAGACAAGGAAGAGGATGTTTGGACGGGGCAGCTTGGACCTATCTGCCCTGCAAGCTGGCTGGAATTCGAGTGAAACCGTCCTGGGGTGAGGGGAGCTGGGCCAGATGGGCTGGAGGATGACCCTATCGGGGGTCTGGGCCCCCCCTCCCCACCTTGATGCTTGAAGTCTGGCTCTCCCCAGAGAAGGCCCATCCTGACAGCGTCCTTTGCTGCCTGCCTCTTGGGCCTGGAGTGAGCCCGTCATCAGGACAGCCTCCCTTGCAGAGCATTCACCCTGGGCCAATCGTGCTCTTGAGCTGACAGCCTGAGGAAGGCGGTAGGACAGTGATTACCATTTGACCAGCAAAGAAAGAGAGCCTGGCTGAGCCCTGACCCACTCCTGGTGCTCTGATCTGTTCATCCGGGGGAGGAGAGGAGACTGAGGCTCCGAGAAGCCTGCTGGCTTTCCCACCGCCACCCAGCAAGGAAGCAGCAGTGTCGGGATTTGATCCAAGGCTGTGATGCCGAAGCCCACAGCTTTGCCACCTCCCAGCCACACGATGCCTCCCTGTGTGCCTAGATGGCAGCTGCCTAGCCTTCTTCATGCCATGATGCATACATACAAAATTATACGGACTACATGGAGAGGCTATGCAGGGCTGGAGGCAGTGGGCCCAAGGATTCGGGGGGGCCCCGGGTCCACCCCCACCCCAGAGACAGAAGCCATTTGCTTGTGGTGGGTCCACAGGTGGGAAACGATGGAATAGGTATGGGTTAGCCAGCCCTTTCCAAATCAGGGCATCCTTTCAGTCGCTTTCTAAGAGTTTGACTGAGGATTCTGGAAGGGATGGAGCTGGGAAGCAGAGACGGACAGGCAGTGAGCGGGCACCCCTCTTGGTGGGGATCCCAGCTTGCTAGAGGAGACTGCTTGTAACTGCAGGAAGCATGGTGAGCCTATCAAAAGAATGGGAAGCCAGCCACAGTATAAAAGTCACAAACTTAGGCAGGAGCAGTGGCTCACACCCATAATCCCAGCACTTTGGGGGACCAAAGCAGGCGGATCACTGGAGCCCAGGAGTTGGAGTCCAGCATGGGCAACACAGCAAAACCCCATCGCTACAAAAAAAATAGTAATAATACAAAAATCAGCCTGGTGTGGTAGCGTGCATCTGTAGTCCCAGCTACTCAGGAGGCTGAGGCGGGAGGATCGCCTGAGCCAAGGAGGTCGAGGATGCAGCGAGCCATGATCACACCACTGCACTCCAGTCTGGGCAACAGAGTGAGACTCTGCTTCAAAAAAAACTAAAAGTCACAAACTTTCCACCAGTATTCATAAGAGCAAACTCTGTGTAGCCTTGGCCGTGCAGTTGGGCAGCCGGCTCTGCACCTGTAGGTGCAATAACTCATTTGAGCTGCACGACACGTGGGCATGAGAGGAGCTCTTGCCACCCCCATTTCACAAATGGGGAAACCAAGGTCCACAACAGCTCTGCCAAAGTCAGGGATGGCTGAGGGCAGAGCCAGGACTTGAACCCAGGCAGCTCAGTGCCAACATCCCTGCCCTGCACTTCTCTACCCATCTGCCAGGCAGGCAAAGATGAAAACACACCCGCCCAGTTCACTGGGGCCTCACCCTCACTCACCCATAGATTCCCATGGGCTATCTCTGTGCCTTCCTCTCACTGCTGCCGTGAATTGAAAACTGTACTAAAAAAAAGTACTTTTTAAAAAGTTAAACACTGTGATTTTATATGTTTCAAACTCATACATTAACTCACTGAACCACCCAACAATCCAGGGAGAGAAAAATACGTTATCCCCATTTTACAGGCATGAAAACTGAGTCCTGGGCCTGGAGGAACAACGTCCGCAGCCTCGGTGTCGTCGTCTGTAGAATGGGTATCCAGACACGATCTGATTGTGGGGAGTGTGTGCGGACGTGCATGGCACGCCTCCGGAGTTATCCTCGGGAAGAATTGGCCATTCCACCACCAGCTCACCTCTCTGGAGCCCCCTGCCCTAGGGGGGGCTTACAGGCCAAAGCAGGCAGGCAGGTAGACAGTCGGAAAGACCCAGACGACTGTATAAACACCCTGGGGCCGTGGTTATATAAGTCAATAAGCAAACAGAGGGCAGCCGGCATGAGTGACTAAGAGTCTTAATAGGAACCACCGCAGCCATGGGCATAGTACGTGCTCCCCGGGCACAGATGTGCTCTGGCCATGGGGCACGTCCCTGCTGAAGCCACAGAGTTATCATCGATGGTCCCAGGTGGAAGGGGTGTTCCATGGAGGATGGGCTTTCCTCTGCCCCTTCCCCCTTGGGGCACCAGGGGACCTCCCTGTTCTTCCTTGGATAACGACAGTGCTCACCACGCCCCCTCCCAGCTGTGGGACCCTGGGTGAGTGTGATTCTGGAACCTGTCCCATTTGGTAATGGGGTTAAGCTAGCAAATGAATGAAGGGGGTTGGCACAAACGGAGCACTCCATACATGGGAGCTGTGGTTACCTTCCTCCCACTTGGCTGAGGCACCTGAGGCACAAACCTCATTCAGTCGCACAATCTGCCTCAAAGGGAAGCAAGCGGCATGGGAAGGATCATACCCCTCTTACAGATGGGAAAACTGAGGCTCAGAGAGGGAAAGTGACTTCTCTAACATCACCCTGTTGGTTAGAGGTGGAGCTGGGTTTGAACTGAAGTCACAGCACTCCCAGGAAAGTGCTCAAAGGGAGGGAAGAATGAATTAAGCCAGAAAGACAGATCCCCCCATCCCACCCACCAGTGTGAGTGAGATATTTTCCCATGTGGGATCTGGTGGGGGCGTGCAGGGAGGGTGAGCGTGCCTGTGTGATGCGGTGTGAAGGGCGACTGGGGGGCCTGCGTGCACACAGGCATTGTGGGTGTAAACCAATGTACACTGGCCCGGGAGGAAGGGAGGATGAAAACACCCCCTGGCAGCCAGCAATGTCCCACTCGGGAGACACCCAGGGCGCCGGCCCCAGCCGAGCAGGCTAGAGACCCCAGGCGCCGGGGCTTCCCTTCCCTAAAGACCACCAGTGGGGGAGGGGAGGATGCACCTCAGCCTCCAAGCCTCATCTCCCTGTCCATCCCCCTCCCCAGCTCCTTCCTGTTTTGATGGAAGGAAAATTTTTCAGCTTTTTCCTTCTTTATTTTTCCAGACGGGTGACTCGCTCGGGAAAGGAACTCCCCCCTCCCCAGACCATCATAACACCTATAGGTCCATGCCATCGAGGCAGGCCCATCCTGTTATGCTGAAATAGGCATGGTTATTTTGGGGTGCCTTACGGGGGTGGTGCCCCAGGGGAGGGGACGTGGGGGTGCTCAGCTGCCTTCTTCTAGTCCACGTCCCCCTCCCAGGTTCCTCCCCACCCCCACCCCGTCCTCCCTGCCCGAGTTCTGGGAGGAGGGAAGGAAGCCTGCCAAGCCAGGGTATAAATAACCCAGGTGGTTACTCAGCTCCTGAGAACATGATAACATGAGTCATGACGTGAAATCAACAGGAGCAGCGAGCGCCCGGGCCGCCGCCCCGGCAGGGCAGTGGGCTGCAGGGAGCGACCGCGAGGGGCCGGGACTGCAGTGGGCAGGGCCCAGGCTGATGGGTGAAGCTGCTGCCCTGTGCCTGGTCCCAGGCAGGCCTCTTCCCAGCTCAGACCCTTGGTTTACTCATCTGGCATACACGGGGTGGGGGCTGCCTTCCTTCCCCAGGTCCTCCTGCAGCTGGAGAGAGGAAAGGAGGGCGGGGGTGAGCTCTGAACATCCCTGGGGCCTTTGCCTGTGCCTGACACACAGTGGTGGACAGAACCAGCCCACTGGAACTTCCAGTCCCCTCTCCCCATTTCCAGGGCAGATGGCCCAAGGGGTTCCCTGAGCCTCAGTGGGACTTGCGGGAAGGGAGGAAGGGGGCTTGGACAGGAGCAGGAGGGTCCTGAGCACAGGGACTGCAGAGCCTTCACCCACCAGGGTGGCCCTGAATCCAGGACAATCTGCAGCCTCCTCTGGCGCCCGCTGCAGTGTGGCCTGAAGCGTGGGCACAGAAACAGGACACCCTGGAAGACCTCCGGCCAAGCCAGTGTGACCAGCCCAGGCAGCTTGGCCGGGCTGCTGGCCCATCTCTGGTGCTCGCAGGCCAGGGGGCAAAAGCCAGCGCCCCTGCATCCTCACCCACGTCCTCGGCTCCGGGCTCATCTCCAGAGCATCACAAGCCTGGACCCCAGGTTGCCATGGCAATGGGTTCTGGAGTCTGTGCAGGGCAAGTCACCCTCTCCTGTCCACCCGCAGCTGCTAGGCCTGGTGGGGGGCAGCAGGGCGATGTGTGGGGGCAGGGCCTGTCCTGGTCGTAGGACAAAGGGCGGGGGGCACAGCTGGTGCTGCTGACCTGGGCTGGGAGCTGGGGCATTATCCTCCACGTGGCCTTCAGCAACTTAGTCTCCCAGCCGAACCTCAGACCCCTGCCTGGGCAATGGCAGAGGAGGGGGAGGATAACGCCTGTCCTGGCTATTATGAGGGGCACGCTGCAGAGGGCGTGTTATCAGGAGAGCAAAGACCCCTCTTCCTCTTTGAGGCATCGCCCTCTACACCTTTGGCCTTATCAGAAGGGCAGCACCCCCAGAGCTCGCACCCCACCTCATCTGCCCTGACCCTTGGCCCAGCTTTCTCTCCAGGTGGGGGGTTCACCGCACCCACCGCCCGCGACCCCTGCATGCCCAGACAGCTTGGCATGGCTCAGACCCAGCATTCAACGGGCAGCCTGCCCTCTGGCCCCTCACAAACAATGGGGACTCCAGGAATATTGTCCCGCCCGGGCTGAATCAAACGCTCTAAATTTAGTCTCTCTGATGTGTCCTCCGTTTCCTGCCCCTGCTGCCCTCCTTTCAAGGCGATGAGGTCACCCCGGAACTGCCTGCCCCAGCAGCCAGACCAAGGGGGTTTCCAGGCCCAGGACTGCTCTCCTGCTCTTGGGGAACGGGGTTTCATGGGGACCAGGGGACATGGGCCTTCCCTCCTTCCCACCCTGTGCTGCCTTGCCAGGCCCCCGGGCTGCTGGGCCCCATGGTCAGGGCCTGAGGCAACCCTGTCCCAGCGCTGAGGACCCAGGAACATGCCACCAGCCTGGGATGGGGGAGGCCACGGAGGGAGGGAGCAGTGAGCCCCCAGGGAGGAATCTCGAGCTGAGGGACCAGGAGTTCGGGCTTGTTCTGAGAAACGCACAGTGTCAGAGTCACTCATTCAGAAAGACTGAGAGAGCCTGCCGAGAGCTGGGTACCGGAGACGCGTCCCTGCCCTCTCAGAGTTGACAGTCCAGAGGCAAAAAGGACAATCGGCAAGTAAATAGTAAATGAACAAGAAGACCCCGGTTGTGAGAAAATGTTATAAAGCAAATAAATCAGAGAAATGTGATCACAAACCCTGGGTGGGTGAAGGGTACAAGTTTAGGAAACGGGTCAGGGAAGGCCTCTCTGACATTTGAGCTGAGCCTTGGATGACCAGAAAGAACTATTGAAAGATCTGGGTGGGGCCAGAGGAGGGGTGAGTGGCAGATGCCCCAGGAGAGAAGAAAGTTGTCCAGGAGGGGCCCGTGCACTGGAGGCAGGGGACGGGGCAGGCACAGGGGCAGGGGGACGAAGCCAGAGGCACTCCCTCCCCCAGGGTGCTGAGCAGGGGAGCCCCCTGACTCAGTTTTACAAAGAGCCGTTGCCGCTGTGTAGAGATGGGACAGGGGAGGCCAGGGAGGAGGCTAAAGTCACAAGATCTTGGAACAATAAAAACCAAGTGTCCTAAGTCGTTTGCTCGAAGGCGCCTTCAAGATTTGCCTGTTTCAGCCCTGTCATGAGTCTCTGAGGCCCAGAGAGGGCATGTGTCTTGCCCAAGGTCACACAGTGAGTCAGAGCTCTGCCTGGAAAACCTTCGACCGGAGGGAGTGAGGGGTACCTGACCACCTGAGAAGGATGTATCTTTTTAGGAACACCACGTCTGAGATGCTGTCCTCGGCCTAGCTCCCCCCAGTCTGGAGGCTGTGCTGTCGCCCCATCCAGGCTTCTGTTGGGGTGGGGCAGCCCAGAGATGCCTAGTTCCTGGGGGGTGGGGGCGGTCTGCCCTGTCCCTTCCCTGGTCCCTCCTACGTCCTGCGGGCAGGTGTGCCCGCTCTGGTCCCACCCACAATCCTCCCCAGCCACAGCCCTCTCCCCACACTCCTGCCTTGAGCATCTCCCAGAAGCCCCTGCTCTCCTGCTCTGCCAAGAATCCAGGTTTGGCAGGGAATTGGGGGGGGACTCTGGAATGTCGCTTTCCGGTGCCAGCACCAGCGTGCCAGCCTCAGCAGAGGCCCCGGGGGTGGACAGGGGATCACCGGATCTCGTCTGGAAGGGGAGGCTGGCAGCCATGTGCCACCGGAGGAAGGCAGGGCCCTGCCTGCTGAGTCGGATGGGGGACATCCGGGTGTCGGAGCTGCCCGGGCTCCCTGGCTCCTGACCTGCTCTTTCTACCTGCCGTCCGTCCTGTGCCCAAGCAACAGTGCCCCCAGCCCACCCTTTGGTGCCTCTTGGTTCACACATGGACCTTGTAGAGGCTGGGTAGTGTTCTGTGTTGGGGATTCCTATTAGCCCTTCAGACACTGAGTGTGAGGAAAGGCTTTAGACAGAAACGGATCTAGGTTCAAATCCCATCTCTTCTGGGCCTCAGTTTGCTCATCTACAAAACAGACAGAGCCCCTGCGTGAGAGCTGGGTGTGAGAATTTAACAAGCTGACATGGACACCCCACCACAAGCCCTTCTCTGCTGGCTCCCTCCCTCCCCCAGCACCCTACATGGTATCCCCAAGCCCTGGCCACTCAGGGGAAGCAGAAAGCTTCTTGGCTCTGCCGGCCAGAGGGAGGGCCTGGAAGGGGAGCCCAGGGGAGGTGGAATAGTGGGGAGGCGAGGGGTGGTGGGGTACATGGTTAGGCTCTGACTCAGGAGCCAGGCAGACCTCTGCTTGAGCCATGGCTCCTCTGCTGGCCAGCTGTGTGGCCTTGGACAAGTTACTCAACCTCTCTGAGCCTTGGTTTCCTCATGTGTCTAACAGTAATGACAGTGGTGCCTACCCCACTGGGGTAATGGAGACATCATTACTGTTAAGTTATCTGCTAGTAGGTGAAAGAAGGCATGAGGGGAGCACCTGTCCCCCACCAGCCCCAGATTGTTGGAAGCTTCTGGTGGGGAAGGGGCAGCTTGAGCCCCTGGAGGAGGAGAAGGCCCCAGACCCAGCCTCACTAGGCAGCAGAAGCCGGGGTGCCAGGACACTCCGAGGACCCCAATGCTCCCAGCCGTACTGGAGGTGGAGCTGGGTGGGACCTCCCTTTTCAGCCAGTTATCCTTCAGGCCTGGGCCAGAGCTGCCCCCTTCCCTCTGCCAGCAGGGCCAGGCCAAGAAGCCTTTATTTTCAAACCTTTGAACAATGCCTGGCCAGGCATAGCCTCGCCACAGAGCAGAGGATGGAGAGCTGGGAGAGGAGGGGCCCCACACTTCCTGGGCCAGCATTCCTCACCCCCAGACAGGTGCCAAGGGCTCTGCCCTCCATCTGACAGAGGCACGGAGCCTGCTCAGGTTCCTCTCGCCCCCAGCCTCAGCCCTTCTCTCCCTCGGAGGGTCCGGATTCCAGAATCCTCAGTAGTCCCTGTCCCCTGGCTGGGACAGGCCCCATCAGACATAGATGAGACACACCTGCTGTGCTCAGGCACCCAGGGGCCGGTCTCAAGAATGGCTGGTGGGGCCCCTCAGAGGGGCCGGCTCAGACGCCCTCCATCCCTCACAGCCCCTCCAAGACCAGGTTGGACATCCCGCCTCTCTAGAAGGCCCCTCCAACCCAGCGTGGGCTGCACCATCCCTCTTCAGATTCCACTTGCTCCTGGCTGTCCAGAACATTCCTGAGTCTATGCAGCAGGAGGGCAGTGCACCTGGAGGTCCCTGAGGCCACATTCCCTCCCCAGGAGCAGAGCCAGACCCACGGACAAGCAGCCGGGAAGCGGGATCTGGTCCTGGTTCTGTCATCAACCCCCGAGCAACCTTGAACAACTGTCCTTTGTCCCTTGGTTTCTGCTTCTGAACAACGGGGATGATTAACACCCCTATCCCCCATTCACGGGGCGGGAGGAGGCTTTGCAAGCTGCGAGGTGCTGTGCACGTGTAGGGCACAGGGCTTCCAATGGGGCGGGGCAGGAGACACTGGACATGGGGGTCCCCCACACCTGGTGGTCTCTACGGACAGCCACAAACACCAGAGCCCGGAGCCAGAAAGCCTGACTTCTCATCCCATCTCTGCCACTATCAGTCTCAGACTTTGAGGAAGATAACAAACCCTCAGTGGCTTGGTTTCCTCATCCGTAAAATGGGCTAAGATAGTACCTGCCTCACAGGACTGCTGGGAAGATTGAGATGAAATACATAAAAGCCTGGGCGGCGAAGCAAGACCCCATCTTCACAAATCAATAACTTACCTGGGTGTGGTAGTGCACTTTTAATCCCAGCTACTTGGGAGGTTGAGGCGGGAGGATCCCTTGAGCCCAGGCATTCGAGTCTTCAGTGAGCTATGATCGTGCCACTGCCCTCCAGTCTGGGCAACAGAGCAAGACCCTGTCTCAAAAATAAATAAATAAATAAATAAGAAATAAAATACGTAAGAGTAAGTGCTCAATAAACATGAGCTCTTACCATGTGCACAAGTATGCGTGTGTGTACGTGTGTGTGTGTGCACCAGCCTGTGTGTGTTTGTGCCCAGAGGTGGTGCTCCCAGGGTGTGGAAGCCATTGGATGTGCATGAAAGAGATCAGGCACCAAATAAGTGGCGCGGATTTGCTCATGGGCCCAGCCCAGGTGTTTGTGCACCAGTGTCCGAGTGAGACGTGTGTGCCAGGCCTGGTAAGTGCATACCACTGACCTCGTGTGAGCGCCCAGGAGACGCACACAGGACCTGAGGCAGCTTGTCCCCTCGCCCCTGCCATTGATCGGGGAGCAGGAGTATATATTTTTTGTCATTGTTGTTTTTTGGGTTTTTTTTTTTTTTTTGAGGTGGAGTCTCTCTCTGTCGCCCAGGCTGGAGTGCAGTGGCGCAGTCTCCGCTCACTGCAACTTCCACCTCCCGGGTTCAAACGATTCTCCTGCCTCGGCCTCCCGAGGAGCTGGGATTACAGACATGCACCACTATGCCTGGCTAATGTTTGTATTTTTAGTAGACAGGGTTTCACCATGTTGGCCAGGCTGGTCTTGAACTCCTGACCTCAGGTGATCCACCCGCCTCGGCCTCCCAAAGTGCTGGGATTACAGGCATGAGCCACCATGCCCGGCAGGAGCATGTCCTTGTGTCTCTACCTCACTGGCATCTCCTCCTGCTGGATGGTGGGCACAGGTCACCGGGGCCCCTCTCTCCCACAGCCTGGCCCACCCCAGACCACTAAGGGACCCAGCCTCAAAGAGAGACATCAGGGTGGGTGGGAGGTGCGTGGAGAGGGTCCAAGTGGTCAAAGGCCTCAGGGCTTGGTCTCTCCTGTCTCCTGGGCTGCTCTAATGGTCCCCTTGGCGTCCTTAGCATCCCTGCTGTAATGTCCCATGTCATTATATTCTTGGCCGACTCCCTGGCCTGTGAAAACAGAGGTTCTGTGTGTTTTGTCTACACTGCACCCCGGAGCCTGGAACAAGGCCAGGCACACAGGAGACATTTAACAGGTCCTGGAATGAATGAGGAGCCTGGGAGGGATTTGCTGTTGTCAGCTTTGCAAGGTGTAATTTCCACACAATACAACTCACCCATTGTCCAAACTCTGGGACACAGTTGAGTAGCCACCACCTCAATCAGAATGGAGAACCTTTAGAGCACGTGACCACCACTCCAGGTCCCCTCTGCTCCTTTCCAGGCAGGTCCTTCCCTTCCCAGGCAGGTCCTTCCCTTCCCAATTGCCCTGGGCACCACTGACCTGCCTTCCAGCACTAGAATTCTGCCTTTTCTTTTTCTTTTATTTTTTTTCAGCTCTGTCACCCAAGCCGGAGTGCTCCCACTTCAGCCTCCTGAGTAGCTGGGATTACAGGGCCCCACCACCATGCCCAGCTAACTTTTGTATTTTTAGTAGAGACAGGGTTTCACCATGTTGGCCAGGCTGGTCTCAAACTCCTGGCCTCAAGCGATCTGCCCCAGCCTTGGCCCCGCAAAGTGCTGGGATTACAGGTGTGAGCCACCAAACCTGGCCTGAATTTTGCCTTTTCTAGAATTTCACATAAGCAGGAGAGTGATGCTCTCATACCTGCATCTGCATAGGCTGCTCTGGCTGTCCAGTGGGCCTCCAACAGGGCCGTGTTGGCGAGGGCCAAGGAGGAGCGAGGAACCCTTCAGGGTGAGGTCACAGGGGACAGGTGACCATGGTGAGCCTGGCCCAGGAAGGGAAAGGAGGGGCCGCATCAAAAATGATCAAGGAGGAGGCCGGGCGCAGTGGCCCACGTCTGTAATCCCAGCACTTTAGGAGGCCGAGGTGGGCGGATCACGAGGTCAGGAGATCGAGACCATCCTGGCTAACACGGTGAAACCTCGTCTCTGCTAAAAATACAAAAACAAAATTAGCCAGGCGTGGTGGCAGGTGCCTGTAGTCCCAGCTACTTGGGAGGCTGAGGCAGGAGAATGGCATGAACCCGGGAGGTGGAACTTGCAGTGAGCCGAGATCGCGCCACTGCACTCCAGCCTGGGCAACAGAGCGAGACTCTGTCTAAAAAAAGAAAAAAAAAAAGATCCAGGAGGAGCCCTCAGGCCCAGGTGAGGATTAAGCGGGGCTGCCTGCCAAGGCTGCTGTTCAGAGCCTAAGGTGTGCCTCCCAGAGAAGAGGACCGGAGAAACTTCTGGTGTGGGCAAGAGAAAGATGCGCTCACAGGCCCATGAGCGCACGAGTGTGCACACACCCGCACATGCAAAGGCACACACAAGCACTCGTGGAGCAAGCAGTCCAGACCCAGGCAGATGGCGCAGAGTCGATGCCCCCACAAGGCACAGCCACTCCACTCACGTTTGTTTCCATCTTCCCTGTGGAGGACCTTCTCCAGGCTGCACAGAGTGGAGCAGGCGTGGGTGGCAGGAAGTAGGGAAGGGAAGTTCACAAGAATCATTGGATCATTTCTCATAGTTTCTGTGGGCCAGGAATTTGGGAAGGGCTTAGCTGGGTGGGCTTGCTTGGGCTCTCCATGCAGTTGCAATTGCAGTTGCACTTCGTAGCTAGAGCAGGTGCAGTGGGCACTGGCCAGGCCTCTCTCTACTCCCCTTGTACTCTGGGGGCCACTCTGTTGTGTCTCTCCGTGTGGGCTGGTTGAGCTTCCTCACAGCATGGCAGCTCATGGCTGAGCCTGTCTGAGCTCATCCCCACAAGAGGCATGGCCCATATGGAATCCCAATCTGAGGAGGCAGCTGGTCTCTGCTCTCTTTTATAAATGAGGAAACAGAGATATCAAGGGGCTGAGCAGCTTGCCCATGGACACACAGTGACAGGATAAAAATTCAGCTTCGTCAATCTCTGGCAGGCTGCATTTTCCAGCAGGGACCACAACAATGCCTGATATCCCACATGCTCCTCTTGCAATGCCATATTGATGTTCCTCCTGTGGAGAGGTGAGGTCTGCATTCCCTTTCCTTGAATCCAGATAAACTGGAATCCACAGAACCAAAGCTCTGTGGCCTCTGAGGCTGGGTCATCAAAAGCAATATTGTTTCTGCTTGGTTTTCCTGGGACGCTTGCCTCAGGAGTCCTGAGCTGCCATGCTGTGAGGAAGCTCAATCAGCCCACACGGAGAGACCCAACAGAGGGACCCAGAGAGTACAAGGGGAGGAGAGAGAGGCCCGGCCAGTGCCCACTGCACCTGCTCTAGCTACGAAGTGCAACTGCAATTGCAACTGCATGGAGACCCCAAGCAAGCCCACCCAGCTAAGCCCTTCCCAAATTCCTGACCCACAGAAACTATGAGAAATGATCCAGTGATTCTTGTTGTTTTAAGCTACTACATTTGGGGTTGGTTTGTTATGCAGCAGTAGCTAGTTAGATCATGACCCATTGCAAATCCTGTTGGACTGAAGTTCAGAATAACCTAGAAGCCAACCCATCTCACATCTCTACCCACTACCCAAATCCAAGCCACTGTCACCTCCTGCCTGGATGGCTGTGGTAGCCTCCTGACTTCTGCCCCGACCCTGCAGTCTGTCCCCTGCACAGCAGCCCAAGTGGGGCTACAGGGCAGAGATGACCCTGCTCAGAGCCCTCCAGTGGCTCCCATGGCACTCAAGTCCTGACAGTGACCCACAGGCCCAACAAGACCTGCCCCAGGACCTATCTGACCTCAGTTTGGCCCACCCGCCCCACCTCTCTCTGCTGCAGCCCCTCGGGCCTCTTGGCTGTGTCCCCAAACTCACCAAGCACTTCCCTTCCTCAGAGCCATTGACAGCGCCGTTCCCTCTACCTAGTTCTTTTCCCCCAGGTGTCTGGCTGGCTCCATCCCTCAGCCCTTCAGCTCTCAGCTAAAACATCACCTCCCTGGGGAGGCCTCCCCACCCCCACTTCCCCTCCACCAAAGTCCCTAGTCTCCTCTGCTTGATTTCTCTCTGTTGAATGCCCCGCCTCCTCATGGTGGTGATAAGTTAGATCTCAATTGTCTGTTGTCTACCTCTTCCCATCATTATATGAGCCCTTGCCAACAGGGACTTTGTTTTTACTGCTTTATCCTCAGTGCATAGAGCAGGCCCTGCACAAAATAGACCTTCAAATGTCTGTTGAATGAATGAAGGACACCAGAACCTTTCCGCCCAGTTGAAACCCTTGCTTAGTCTGCTTTCTGTTGCTTATAACAGAATACCTGAAACTGGATACTTTGTTTATTTATTTATTTTTTGGAAACAGAGTCTCGCTCTGTTGCCAGGCCGGAATGCAGTGTTGCGACCTCAGCTCACTGCAACGTCTGCCTCCCACATTCAAGCAGTTCTCCTGCCTCAGCCTCCTGAGTAGCTGGGACTACAGGCGCCCGCCACCACACCCAGCTAATTTTTGTATTTTTAGTAGAGACAGGTTTCAGCATGTTGGCCAGGACGGTCTCAATCTCTTGACCTTGTAATCTGCCCGCCTTGGCCTCCCAAAGTGTTGGGATTACCGGCGTGAGCCACCGCGCCCGGCCTTGAAACTGGATGCTTTATAAAGAAAAGGAATTTATTTCCTACAGGTGTGAAGCCTGAGAGGGCCAAGGTTGAGGGGCCACAGCTGGTGAGGGACTTCTTGCTGGTGGGGACTCTCTGCAGGTTCCCAAGATGGCGCAGGGCATCCCATGGTGAGGGAGCTGGGCGGGCTAACATGCTCAGGCCTCTCTTCCTTCCCCTCCCATGATAACCCATTATCCCATTAGTCCACAAATGGATTAATCTATTCTTGAGAACGGAGCCCTCCTGACCCCATCACCTCTTAAAGGGCCCACCTCTCAACATTGCCACACTGGGGATTAAGTTTCCTTAAAACGTGAGTTTTGGACGGAACAAATATTCAAACCATAGCACCCAGTGGGTGAGAGAGTAAGAGAAGGGGCGTCGAGCCTCTCAAGATGGGTTGCTCTCCTGCCTATTTAAGATACACCCCATACTTCAGATGTTGAAACTGATGCTTAGAGAAGGTGAATCATTTGTCAAGGCCTAACCAGTCGCTCACATAGTCAACAAATATTGATTGAGTTAAAGCTATATATAGCATCCAAATCTCCTGGGATCTTTGAACCCACACCTCCTGGGATCAAATCCCAGGGCTGCCACTTGCGAGCCAAAGGGGCAACTTACTTAATCTCTCTGTGCCTCAGTTTCCTCACATCTACCATGGGGCTACCCCCCACCCCAGAGGCAGGGGCATATTTGCCCTTTGGCTCCTGACTCCTAAGCTCTGGCATGCCTCATGTGCATGGCCCCTTCCAAGGCACCCTGCCTCTCTCATACCCACAATCATGTGTTTTCCTGGAAGAAGATCTCGAGACTGACTCAGCTTCAGGCCCCTAGTCCCCTACCCAGAGGGTTGTTTTGAGAATTAAATGAGTTACTGCCCATGAGGCGTGCCTGGCACATAGCAAGTGCTCAGTGCTGTTGCTGAGGGCCCACTGTGTGCTGGGCACGGTGCTTGGAGCCGGGAGTCAGTGGCAAAGACAGACCAAGCCTGCCATCATGGAGCCCATGTCCCAAGAGGGGAACAGACAGTGAACAAATGAGCAAATTGGAGCCTGCTCTGGGGAGGCAAGTGGCTGAAAGGAGAGAGCATTTTCAGGCAGGAGGAACAGCAGGTGCAAAGGCCCTGTGGTGGGGACGAGCTTGTCGCATTGGGGAAGTGAGTGAGGAGGCGCCGCAGGAGCTGTGGTCAGAGAAGCCGGGTGCTGGGTCTGCTTCCCTCTCCCCTCCCCGCCTCTGAGGGACCAGCTGGGGTACTGATCTACCATCTCCCTGTCCCTGCCTTGTGACCTCAGACCCTGTGCCCAGCCCCCACTTCCCCTTCCAGCTGTGACCCAGAAGTGGAGGGCACGTCCTTCCCTAGACTACATCTCCGTCCCCAGGGTGGGCCTGAAACTTCCAGAGCCTCAGTGGACTCAGCAGCTGTCCCCACTCCCTGACCCACCCACCTGCCCCCAGCAGCGTCAGACCCTCAAAAACTCCTCTCCTTTGCTTTCCCCAACCCTCCCAGAAACCATGGAGATTCCCCAGATGCATCAGACATTTCCCCAGCCCGGAACGCCCTGTCTGCCCTCCTCCATCTGACCAAATCTCAACGTCACCTCCTTCTGGAAGTCCCTGGGTTATGAGCAGAAAATGAGTCTTGCTCGTCTCTGTACCCCAGGGCCTGGTACAGGGCTTGGCACAAGGATAGACTGGTGATAAATGGAAAGCTATTCAGGTCCAATTGACACATTCTCCACTGGCCTGCTTGCCTGGCCCGTGCTGGGCATAGAAGCCAGGACTCTGACAGATGGCTCCACTCACGTTCATGGGCAAAGAACCCATTCCCAAGTCCAGGGTCCTGGAGTGTGCCTGGGCTCTGCACTAATCTGCGACGTGACCGTGGAAAGCCACCGGTCTCTGCTGGGCTTCTCCTTATCGCCAGAGCAGCAGCTGGAAGAGTCTATGCGTGAGTCACGGTGTGGGCCTGATCCAGACAGCCTGGGTTTGAATCCTGCCTGCCACTTGCTGCTGTGTGACCTTGGGTGAGTTTCTTAACTTCTCTGAGCCTCTGTTTCCCCATCAGTAAATGCTGAAGAGAATCAGTGCCTGTCTCACAGAATCGTTCTGAAGGTTCCTGGCGCTGGTTCTGTGGAAAGCTGGGCCTGTAGAAAGCACAGAAAGTGCATGCACCATGATTAGGCTTTGAGCTGCGTCTACAGGGACGTGATGTGCTTGTCGCACACATCTACTACATGTGTCAGAGTGGGAGCCTGGGAGTGCTCAGGACTGAGTCCTTTCTGAGGTTCCTCATGGCACCAAGGACAAGGGTAGCCAGAAACTCCCCGGGCCCCATCACAGCTCCCTGCTCGCGCGGGCTGGGGATGTGTGTGCACACCACACGGACGGGCGTCCGGTCCATCACAGGCACTCTCTTCCTGGACACACCACCTGCTCCGAGGCAGCCTCCATCCTCCCCCACCACTAGACACTCCGAGCAGTGGAATACCATTGAGGAGGTCCAGGGAAACAAGGTGATCCCATCATGGTGAACTGAGTTTCCATAGACCCACACACACATACCCTTACACACATACATACTCCCCTAGGGAAGGGTGGCTGGAAATAAGGTAACAGGACACATATGAAGGTTCTGGGAGGCTGGGCACAGTGGCTCACACCTGTAATCCCAGCACTTTGGGAGGCCGAGGCGGGTGGATCATGAGGTCAAGAGATCAAGACCATCCTGGCCAACATCATGAAACCCCATCTCTAATAAAATACAAAAATTAGCAGGGCGTGATGGCACGCGCCTGTAGTCCCAGCTACTCGGGAGGCTGAGGCAGGAGAATCGCTTGAACCCGGGAGGCAGAGGTTGCAATGAGCCGAGATTGTGCCACTGCACTCCAGCCTGGAGTAACAAGAGTGAAACTCCGTCTCAAGAAAAAAAAAAAAAAAAGTTTCTGGGGACCACAGCCGGTAAGGGGCTCACTCTCAGACTCCTGGGTTCCTGCCCCTTAGGGCCTGGGGGAGAAGGCCTCGTTTAAACAGAGAGTTTATTCATCTTAGTGATCTCTGTGTCCAAAGCCCATTGCACAGGGGAAGCTGAGGCCCAGGAAGCCTGAGTGACTCGTCTAAGATCACACAGCAGTATGGGAAGAGCCAGCCCTAGAACCCAGGACTCTGACTTCCTGGCCATGCCCCTCCCACACAGAGTGATGCGTGTCTAGAGATCACCCCAGTTCTACTTTCCAAAATGAGTCAGGAACATCTGTACCTCTGGGACTAAAAATACTCCCAGGGACACCCCAGTAAGAACGCTGACATCTTTCCGGGTGTCTGAAAACAGAACTGGCCTTCCTAAGAACTAACAACGATACTGTTTTCAGCCACGTTCCCTTCCTGTTCTTGCTACACGCTCTGTCAAATAGGTGGCCAGAGGCCCGGGTGCAGATGCAGTGGCTCACGTCAGTAATCCCAGCACTCTGGGAGGCTGGTGGGCGGATCACTTGAGGCCAGGAGTTTAAAGACCAGCTTGGGCAACATGGTGAAACCCTGTCTCTACTAAAAATACAAAAAATTAGCCGGGTGTGGTGGCACAAACCTGTAGTTCCAGCTACTCAGGAGGCTGAGGTGGGAGGATCACCTGAGCCGGGAAGTCAAGAGTGCAGTGAGCCATGATGGCATGCCACTGCACACCAGTCTGGGCAACAGGAATGAGACCCTTTCTCCAAAAGAAAAAAGAAAAGTAGGTGACCAGGCCCCATCTGACAGGATGTGCCACTGAGGCCTAAAGGGATCTGCCCAGGATCACACAGGCAGCCCCTGACACCTGGCTGCCACCTCCAAGCCTAGAACCTTCCCTGATGCCAACTCCCTCTCAGAGACTCGAGGGCAGAGCACAGACAGCATCCACCCCATCCCCACCCCGAATTCCTTTGATTTTTTTTTTTCATTTTTAATGTCTTGGCCGGGCACAGTGGCTCATGCCTGTAATCCCAGCACTTTGGGAGGCCGAGGTGGGCGGATCACAAGGTCAGGAGTTCGAGACCAGTCTGGCCAATATGGTGAAACCCTGTCTCTACTAAAAATGCAAAAAAAAAATAGTCAGGAGTGGTGGCGGACGCCTGTAGTCCCAGCTACTCGGGAGGCTGAGGCAGGAGAATCACTTGAACCTATGAGGCGGAGGTTGCAGTGAGCCAAGATCATGCCACTGCACTCCAGCCTGGGCGACAGAGCAAGACTCCGTCAAAAAAAAATCATTTTTAATATCTTTACCATAAAAGCAACAATACATGTTCATTTATGAAAATCTAAAAATTGCAGAAAAGTCAAAATAAGGAAGAAAAATCACCACCCACAGCCCCACCACCCAGAGACAATCATTGTTAAGGTTTGATGTATTTCCTTCCATAGTTTTTTGTTTGAGGACTTTAAAAAAAAAATGGGGCTGAGGTCATACTGTATATTAAAAGAAAAAAAAAAGGTGGTATCCTGCCTTTTTGACCTGCCATTATATCATGGCCACTTTTCTAGTTCTTTCACTCTCTGTAATCTCGTTTCTTTTTCCTCTTCTCTGAACCTCATTTTTATTGGCTGCCTAATATTTTGTCAAACCATATTCCATGGTTTATTTTGCCATTCCCTCATTGTTGGAAATCTCAGTTATTTCCAGTTTTTCGAAGCTATAAATAATATATTTCGATTAATATCTTTCTACAGATAGCTTTCCTTTTTCCATATTTAGGGGTTGCTCCTTGGCTGGCATGGAATTCCTGGGTCAGCAAGCCATGTGTGATATGCTTCTGACTCAACCCAGTTGCTTTTCTAAGGACCTGAGCCATGCCTGGTCTACAGAGGAGCAGAGAAGCCCCAGGAGGTGACATACACTGCTCATGGCCACTCAGCCGGTTAGCCATGCCCACGCTCCTTCCTCTGTCTCTCGCCTATCTCTGTCATCATGCTTCCATCTAATCATTTTCATTCATTCATTCGATTCAACAGAGAAGGTGAACCCACTGTGTGCCAGGCGCAGGTCCGGGCTCCAGAGACCCGGCAATGGACAGTCAAAGCCTGTGCCCTCCAGGCGTTTCTACCACAAGGCATGATGGGAAGAAGGGTATATCCTCACCCACCTCCGCATTTGGTTATATGCAATGTGAGGTGTTCGTTTGCATGGCTTCTCATTTGCATCCCACCTGGGGACAGGTGGGCCGGCAGAGGGTGACATCTATCAGCTCTAAGGGCAGGGTCCTGGTTTTCCTCAGCCCCAAACTGTTTTCTAACATTTGGCCTTCCCTTAAAACTTGGGAGATTTCACAAGAGTCTGGATTTCTGACTTCTTCTGAACACTCTGTAGGCCTGGCCACACTGGGCCCAGGTCCCAGAGGGCCCCCAGGGATTGGAGCTCAGTCGTGGCACCCCCTCTGCCCAGGCCCGACCTGGCTACCTTGACACACACCACACTGAGCTTCTTGGCCGTCCTTTCTGCACACATTCATTGGGTCCTGGCCATTCCTGACTCGGCTGGAGGGATGTTAATGATTGTAATCCAGAGACAAGTCACAAGAAGATGAAGTCACTTGGCTGAGGTGACAGAGCTACAAGGGACAGGGGCAGGATTTGAACCAGAGCGACTCGGATCCTGAGTCCAGGCTTTTGGCCACGCCTGCCTGACAGTCCAGTGGGAAAACTGTCAGGTCCTGGGAGACCCTGGCAGGGGGACAGACTGCCCCACCGCAGCCAGGGGCAGCTCAGAGGGTCCCCAGGGCAGCAGAGGTCTAAGACCACTGTGGACATGGGCCTGAGAGCCAGAGCTCAAAAGTCAGGTTGGAGGTTTCCTATTTGAGGAGAGCCTCCCTCTGCCCAGAACACCCTCTCCTCCTGCCTTTACCTGCTTCATGCTTACTCTTGCTCAGCTGAGACGCCACCTCCTCCAGGGAGCCCTCCCTGACCCCAGGGAGGGTTTACAGCTAGCTTCAGAGCTCCGGTCCAGCCCAGAGGGAGGTGTGGCCCTGACTGGATGGGAGAGACTAGAGCACCAGCACCAGTGACTTACACATTCCCAAGTTTCCACTGCCTCCCACGGGAGACCCCCCGCTCGCACTCCAAACCCCAGCCACCTCCCACCCCCTCAGCTCCATGTGGATTAAGAGAGAAAGGAAGAAACAGCAGTGACTGCAGGACAGTAGGACGGCTGCTGGCCTAGGGTGGCCCAGAAAACCCCAGCTTCACCCTACACTGGCTGCATGACCTGAGGCATTTCCTAACCACCCTGCGCCTTGGCTTCCTCACCTCTAAAACAGACTGTAGTGGAGTTCCTCCCTCCCGGTCACTGTGAGCCTTCACGGGAAGAGCCCCTGGTGGACACCCCAGTAAGTGGTCATCTTATTATTAATGAACAGGGGAGCACCCACCCCCGGGGTCATGGGCTCACAGAATGCGGGGAGCCTAGAGCCCCCAGCCCCACCGTCTCATTTTATAGCTGAGGAGACTAAGCCCAGGGAGGGAGGAAGCCATGGCTTCAGCAAGAGGCCCTGACCCTAACTCCAGAGGGAGCCCCTGACCCTAACTCCAGAGGGAGCCCCTGACCCTAACTCCAGTTGCTGCCGCCAGCTGCCCTTAGCCCTGGTCCACCCCCTCTAAGGGTTCCTGATAAGAAGGGACCCAGGGCCGGGTGCAGTGGCTCTCACCTGTAATCCCAGCACTTTGGGAGGCCAAGCAGGGGCGGATCACTGGAGGCCAGGAATTCGAGACCAGCCTGGCCAACATGGTGAGAACCCCACTCCCTGTCTCTACTAAAAATACAAAAAGTAGCCAGGTGTGGTGGCGGACACCTGTAATCCCAGCTACTCTGGAGGCTGAGGCAGGGTAATCGCTTTAACCCAGGAGGTGGAGGTTGAAGTGAGCCAAGATAGTGCCACTGCACTCCAGCCGGACCAACAAAGCAAGACTATCTCAAAAAAAAAAAAACAAAACGAAACAAAAAAACAACAACAACAATAAAAGAAGGGACCCAGTGATGCAGCCCCCACCCCGGCCCCTTCCCCTTAAAGGGCCAGCATGTATCTCTGTCCTGGGCCCAGCCACGGCCTGCTTCCTGGCCATTTGCTTCTCTGGGAAGGAACCCTCTCCCCAGAGACTGTCTCTTCTGGCCAAGGAGGGAGGGGGTGGCTTCCTGGCCTAAACAATGGGGCCAAGAGGCATGAAGCCTCCTGTAGCCTCTGGCATGCAGTAGTGTGGGGACATCTGATGGGACGTCATTCCAATCAGGGAGCACAGGGAATGTGGAGATGGGGACCGGAGAGGGCAGGGGTGCAAGGGGGCTGCAGAGTGGGAACCCACTGCAGGTAACATGAGTCCCCTTCTCCAGCCCCAGCAAGGAGGCAGCAGCATTGGGGAACACTCTCTGGCCTTGTGACCCTGAGCAAGGGGCTCCATCTTCCTGGGCCTGTTTCCCCACCTGTAAAATGGAGAATGACAGGAACATCTACCCCATAGGATGGTGGTGACGTTAAACCAAATCCTTTCTGTAAAGGGCCTAGTCCTGAGCAAACGGGGTCAGAGTTCACAAACACGCTGCTGCCGGGCAGTGGGGGGCGGTGGTCACAGGCACAGACTCAGCCACCACCTGCCTGGGTGAGAATCCCCCTCTGTGTTTGCAGCTGTGTGGCCTTCGGTAAGTTACTTAACCTCTCTGTGCTTTTGTGTCCTTGTCTATAAAACAGGGATAATAATCATCCCGCAGAACAATATCTGAAAACTAACTGAGTTAACCTATGTAAAGTGCTTGAAGAACATGTCTGGGCCCTTCCTAAGCACTCAAAGTACCCATCACTGTGGCCATCGTCATCAGTATCGCCTCCTTGCCTTCTGCGAGTTTCTTATTGCTGCTGTAACTAACTACCATTCACATGGTGACTTACAACAACCCAAAGTTTTTCTCTCACAGATCTGGAGGCCCAGGTCTCGGCAGGGCTGAGTTCCTTTTGCAGGCTCCAGGGGAGAACCGTTTCCTTGCCTTCTCCGGCTTCTACAGGCTGCCTGGACTCCTTGGCTTGTGGCCCCTTCCTCTGTCTTCAAAGCCAGCAGCATAGCGTCTGCAAACTCTCATCTGATCTCTCCTTCTGCCACATTTCCTCTCTGACTTTGACTCTCTCCCCTCCTATTTTTTCTTTTTTTGAGACGAAGTCTCACTCTGTCACCCAGGCTGGAGTGCACTGGAGCAATCTCAGCTCACTGCAACTTCCACTTCCCGATTCAGGTGATCCTCCTGCCTCAGCCTCCTGAGTAGCTGGGATTACAGGCACTCACCACCATGCCCGATTAATTTTTGTATTTTTAGTAGAGACGGGGTTTTACCATGTTGGTCAGGCTGGTCTCGGACTCCTGACCTCAGGTGATCCACCCAGGCCTCCCAAAGTGCTGGGATTACAGGTGTGAGCCACTGCGCCCAGCCACCTTCTATTTTTTTTTTTAATTTTTCGTTTTGAAATCATCTTAGATTTATAGAAGAGTTGTGACAATAATTCAGAAATTTCTCATGTACCTGCCTCCCAGTTTCCCCTAATGTTAACATCTTACATCACCATGGTGCCTTTATCAAAGTGCGGGAGTTAGCATTGAGATACAGACTGTATTCAGACATCACCAGCTTCCCCACTGATGTCCTGTCTCTGTTCCGGGATTGGCCAGGATCCCACATGGCATCAGGTCATCAAGTCTTAGTCCCCTCCCAAACGTGATGGCTCCTCAGACTCTCCTGATCCTGATATTTTCAGGAGTGGTGGTTGGTGGTTGGGTATTTGGTAGAAGGTCCCTCCTTTAGGATTTTTTATTTTATTTTATTTTTTTTAGACAGAGTCTCACTCTGTTGCCCAGACTAGAGTGTAGTGGCACTATCTCAGCTCACTGAAACCTCCACCTCCCAGGTTCAGGCAATTCTCATGCCTCAGCCTCCTGAATAGCTGGACAGCTGGGACTACAAGCGCACACCACCACGCCCAGCTAATTTTTGTATTTTTAATGGAGACGGGGGTCCGCCATGTTGGCCAGGCTGGCCTCCAACTCTTGACCTCAGGTGATCTACCCACCTCGGCCTCCCAAAGTGCTGGGATTACAGGCATGAGCCACTATGTCCAGCCCCTTTTGGATTTTTAAAAACAGCTTTATTGAGATATAAATCATATACCACATAATTTATCCATTTAAAGTGTAGAATTCAGTAGGTTTGGTTTATTACATTATTAACCTGTTAAATTATGGTAAAGTATATGTAATGTAACCCTTATTATTTTACCTTTTTTTTTTTTTTTTTTGAGATGGAGTTTCACTCTTGTTGCCCAGGCTGGAGTGCAATGGCATGATCTCGGCTCACTGCAACGTCCACCTCCCAGATTCAGGCGATCCTCCTGCCTCGGCCTCCCAAGTTGCTGGGATTACAGGTGCTTGCCACTACGCCTGGCTAATTTTTGTATTTTTAGTAGAGATGGGGTTTCACCATGTTGGCCAGGCTGGTCAGGAACTCCTGACCTCAAGCAATCCACCCGCCTCAGCCTCCCAAAGTGCTGGGATTACAGGCATGAACTACCACATCCGGCCTATTTTACCATTTTTAAGTTACAGTTCAGTTTGCTTTCCTCTTAGAAAGACCTTGTGATCACAGCAGGCCTGCCTGGATAATCCAGGCCTGCACCTGAATCACATCTGCAGAATTGCTTTTGCCATGTGAGATGGCATAGTCACCGATTCTGGGAATTGGGACGTGGGTGTCTTTAGGGGGCTGTTATTCTGTCTACCTTCCTTCAAGCCACCAGCCACCTCACGCCCACAATCACCTGTGTCCCTGTTGGATCTGGGCTCCCCAAGGGCAGGGCTAGGCCCGCCTCCATCCCTGCTATGTCCCCAGTGCCTAGAACAAGGCCTGAGACACCTGAATTCCAACATGCATTAGCACTTACTCTAACTTGGGCATGGGAAACAGCCATTCTTGTGAAAAATGGTCAAACCTCCATTTCATCGGGTCCGCCCTAACTTGCATGAGGCACACCACGCAGAAGCTTACCCAGAGGACCTCGCCCCTCCGAACAACAGTCTGTGCAGAACAAGCCACCCTCAAACCCACTTTACAGACAAGAAACCAAGGCCCGGATAGGTGAATGAAGTCCCCATAGTCACACCTACATTTGCACGTAGGTGTCCCTGCCCCAAGGTGGGAGTCACCAGGAAGCCATTTCAGGATTTGCTGTTGAAATCCTGAAATACAGACCAGGCATGGTGGTTCACACCTGTAATCCCAGCACTTTGGGAGGCTGAGGAGAGTGGATCACCTGAGGTCAGGAGTTCAAGACCAGCCTGGCCAACATGGCGAAACCCCGTCTCTACTAAAAATACAAAACTAGCCAGGCATGGTGGCGGACACCTGTAGTCCCAGATACTCAGGAGGCTGAGACACGAGAATCGCTGGAACCAGGGAAACAGAGGCTGCAGTGAGACAAGATGGCACCACTGCACTCTAGCCTGGACAACAGAATTAGACCCTGTCTCAAAAAAAGAAGAAAAAAAAAAGAAATCCTGAAATACACCTAAACCAATGGTAACTAGTCTCTGCTTCAGGCCTCCCAAATGCCCCTCGCACTGCCCGGACCCTCCAGAGCCCCCAGGCCTCCTCATGAACCAGTAACTAGTGGTCAGTGCTTGTGGCAACAGGGGCTCCCCAGGCCACCCGATTGGTCAGCACCAGCCCTGCTGGGTGGAAAATGCTCTCCCCTGTTCTGGCCCACAGTAGGCACTCAGTGGGCATAGCGGGCTGGAAAAGTGATGACTCAGCCTCACTCTTTGCTCCCCACCGCAGACCCCATGAGGGAATGGCACCTCAGCACTACAGGCTGTGCCCCCCTTCCTCTGGGGCCAGTGGATGTGAGGGGACTGTAGGGTGCAGAACAAGAGGGCTTTGAGGCAGCCCTATCTCCGGAGGGAAGTGGAGGAGATAGCACAGCTTCTCACTTTCCCAGCCTGTCCCAGAGCAGAGATAACCTGGAGGAGACGGGGTGCCTGGAGCCCTGTGAGCAATAGGGCCACCCACCTGCCCCCCAGGTCTCCCACAGTCCCTGCTATCGCAGACTCCAGGCTGAAACCCGAGGAACCGCTCGGAAGAGTGGCCCAAGACAGGCAGGTGATAAGCTGGGCCAGTCAGCATCCCCTGGAAAAAGGCCTGCAGGCTGCAACTGCCCCTTCCGCAAGCCTGGTGCCACCCGAACCTGCCCCGGGGAGCCCACCATCACCTGCCCCATGCTCCCCAGAGCTGCCCTAAGACATGGCCTCAGCCTAGCTGCCTTCAAAAGCGCCCGGTCCAGCCCTCTTGCTGACCAATGAAGAAGCTGAAAACAGAGAGGCTGGGGGTCTTGCCCAAGTCACACAGCATTTTGATGGCTGAGGGAGGACTTGAACCCACATCTCCTGGCTGCTGCAGGGAACACACCAGACTGCTGTTCTCAAATACGGCTCAAATATTAAGAGAAGGGGGCAGGGGGCTGGAAAGCACTAGGTCTAAACTCCAGAGGGGTGGGTTGGGGAGTGCAGAGAAAGAGGCAGAATCATGTGGAGAGTCTGGAGCTGGGAACCAGACAGCAGGTTTCTGTCTCCAGCTCTGCAACTAACCCACCGTGACACCTTGACCCAGTCTCTGCTCCTCTCTGAGCCTCAGTTTCCCAATATATGAAAAGGAGATAAGAATGGTTTTATCCCATCCTGGCTAACACAGTGAAACCCTGTCGCTACTAAAAATACAAAAAGATTAGCCGGGCGTGGTGGCAGGCACCTGTAGTCCCAGCTACTTGGGAGGCTGAGGCAGGAGAATGGCGTGAACCCGGGAGGCGGAGCTTGCAGTGAGCCGAGTTTGCGCCACTGCAGTCCAGAGCTTGGGCAACAGAGCGAGACTCCGTCTCAAAAAAAAAAAAAAAAAAAAGAATGGTTTTATCACCAGGCACGGTAGCTCACGCCTCTAATCCCAGCACTTTGGGAGGCCAAGGCAGGCAGATCACGAGGTCAGGAGTTTGAGACCAACCTGGCCAATATGGTGAAACTCTGTCTCTACTAAAAATACAAAAATTAGCAGGGCGTGGTGGTGGGCATCTGTAATCCCAGCTACTCAGGAGGCTGAGGTAGGAGAATGGCATGAACCCTGGAGGCAGAGGTTGCAGTGAGCCGAGATTGCACCATTGCACTCCAGTCTGGGCAACAGAGCAAGACTCTGTCTCAAATAAAAAACAAAAAAACAAGAATGGTTTTACCATAAGAGTTGCATAGTGGATTAAACGACTTAATTTGATTAAGGGACTTGGGGGAGTGGCTGGTCCCTAGCAGAGACTCTAAGGCGCTGCCGTTGTTACTCCATCTGTCCCTCCTCCTCCGCCAAGAATGCGGTGAAGGCAGGGGCTGGAGGTATTTGACTCTCAACACGGGTCCCACGCTCATGGTGTCCACTCCTTCAGCAAGTTTCCTGAGGAATGGCTGCATTGCAGTCAGCGCTTCCATCAGGAAAGCATGGGGGCCACGAGAGGCCAGCACACACGGCTGGATGAATGAGTGAGTGAGTGAGTGAATGAATGAGTGAATGAATCCATCTGCCCAGTTTCTCCCCAGTGGAGGCGCTCTCAGCCTAGTTTCCTCCTAGCCCTCCCCCGCCTCTGCTCCCTTGATAGCTCTATGCCCCGCACCCACCCTGGCCCCAGGTAGAAGCAGCAGGTGGCCGGGGCTGCAGGTGGCCAGTGCAGAAGAGGCTCTTGCTCAGGGACAAATGTGCTGCTTCCCACAGACTAGCAGCCCAGACACTGCCTGCGTGTTGTCTGCCCAGCCCCAGCCTGAGCAAGCCTTCCTTGCAGGCCCAGAACTCTTAGTGCTTGGTGGCCAAGAGTGCTGGCTGGCCTGAGACCCAGAGCAGAGGCCTCACCCACAGCCAGCCCTGGAGGGCCAGCGACTGGAGGGTGAGTGATTCCCAGGTCTGGAACCACCAGGGCCCTGCTCTGGCCTTCAGTACATTCACATGTAGCACCAAATCTGATTCCCATGGCAGGATGAAGGCATTGTTAGCTGGGGAAACTGAGGCTCAGGGTAGGAAGTGTCTTGCCCAAGGTCCCAGAGTAAGACAGAGGCAGAGAGGAATAGGAATCAGGGCTCAGTTCTTCCAGCCTGCAGTGCTGAGGGGGTCCTCATATCTCCTTGTTTCCCCCATCACCCACACCCCGCCCCCCAGGCGCAGTGTCCCAGCACGGGGCTCCTGTCTCCACTATCTCTCAAGAGTTCCTCGGAACCCCAGTTTCCTCATCATCGGTGTGACTGACCATAGTTCCAGTTTCCTCCAACCGTGTGGTTGTGAGGATTCAATGACAGGCTGTCATTTGCATAGACATTTCTCCAAAAGAGATCTACAAATGGCTAATAAGTGCATGAAAAGATGCTCAACATGACTGCTGATTACGGAAATGAAAATGGAAACCTGTCCCTTCAGTGGTGGGACCATGTCACACCCACTAGCATCGCTGTGATCAAAAAGACAGGGTCCAGCGTTGGTGAGGATGTGGGGAAACTGGAGTCCTCCCAGGTTGCTGGTGGGAATGCAAAATGATTCAGCCGCTCTGGAAACCAGTTTGGCAGTTCCTCAAAATGTTAAACATGGAGCTGCCACATGACCCAGCAATTTTCCTCCTAGATATTTACAAAGGAGAAATGAAAACATACGTCCACACAAAGGCATGTACAAGAATGCTCACGGAAATATTATTTTTAATAGTCAAAAGGTGAAAACAACCCAAATGTACATCAACGGATAAGTGGACACACAAATTGTGGTATGTCCTTACAATGGAATATTACTTGGCCATGAAAAGGAATGTTCTTTCCAGCTGCTCTAGTGGAAGAACTAGCAACAAACAACAAGGAATGGAGGAGTGACACATGCCACAACATGATGCTCACTGAAAGAAGCCAGTCACAAAAGGCTACACATTGTAGGATTCCATTTATACGAAATGTCCAGAACAGAGAACTCTCTAGAGACAGAAAGCAGAGGAGCGTTCCAGGGGCTGGAGGAGGGGAACAGGGAGTGGCTGCTGATGGGTGTTGCGTTTCTTTGCGGGATGATGTAAATGTTCTAGAATTAGATTGTGGTCATGGTTGTACAACTCTGTAAATATACTCAAAACCACTGACTCATATACTTTAAGTGGGTAAATTTTAGGGTATGTAAATTATCTCCCAAGAAAGTGCTGTAAAAAATGGGCTCGTCCAAGTCCAGGCTGGACAGCCTGCAGTTCAAGCCCAGGAGGCAGGAGCTACCGTGGATCTTATTCTTGCTATCTGCACTCTCATCTCTTTGACTCCTCACAACCACCCTGTAAGGTGGGCACTTGGCAGAGGAGGCAATTCAAGTTTTGGAGAAGGAGGAGACCCACTACTTCCCTGGTCTTCTGGACAGACAACAGCAGGGTGAGACTGGCTGGGGGCTCAGTGAGCTTCAATTCCACATGCCGGGGCTCTGTAGTAGACTTGGGGAGGGGGGACTCTAAGGTCTCCAGGCCTCTGACCCTCCTACCCCCCCAACTGCAGGCCTCTGTTTTCCCATCTAGCAAAAGGGCTCCATCAGTGGTTTTCAAACTGTGCTCCAAGGCACCCTGGGGCCAAGAAGAGTTTGCAACCACCCTGAAGAGAGGATGTCCCCAAGGTCCTCCTGGGATCCCACCCACCTCCCTGCCTCCCCTTCAGTCCTGGTCCACCCCTGAAAGGCAGGATGTGGCTGCCAAAGGTAGGTAGGGAAAAGGAAGGCGTGGGGGGCTGTGCGCAGGAATCTACATCCTGGGGACCCGGAGATGGGAACTCCAGGTGCCTGGAGCCTGGCTTCCGGCTCCATCCTAGGGAAGAAGCCTCGGCCGCCGCCTCCCGGGATGAAACCGCCTGGCTTGCAGCCCAGAGCTCTTCCCGGACACGGTGCCGGCATCTCAGCTTCCCTTCTGGTGGAGGAGACACTCTGGAGCCGCTTGCTCAGGGCTTGGGTTTCCAAGACTGGATCATCCATGGCTGTGGCTACTGAGTCCCAGATACCCCAAGTATCCAGCAAGAGAGTGAGGCTGGGCCTGTGCCGAGCGCTGGGGACCCTGCCCATTCTGTTTGCATGAATTTAACCCCAGCACTCCCTTCTGCGGAGGAGGACTACCAGGTTGGGGGATGTCCGTGAGCAACAGGACGCGGTGAGGCCTGAGGCCAAATGGAGCACCCCTGGCCCTTCCAAAGCGGGCAGTGGCTACTTGGCTCCAGCCTGCAATGGCCAGACTTTTGATTTTTCAAGAGAAGCCAGAAATCTGGGTTATAATTTGAAATCTCCAGAGTTTGGAAAAGTTTTATGAGCAAAACACATCCACAAACGGGGCACAGCCCGCAGGCTACCCACGGGCAACATTATCTCCTGGATGGGTACAACCACTGCCTTTTTTATTTTTATCTTTTACTTTTTTTTATTTTTGGTAGAGACAGGGTCTTGCTGTGTCACCCAGGCTGGAGTATGGTGGTGTGATCATAGCTTACTGCAGCTCCGACCCCCTGGGCTCAAGGAATCCTCCTGCCTCAGCTTCCCGAGTAGCTGGGACTACAGGCACACAGCACCATGGCCAGCTAAGTTTGTTTTTTTGGGTGTTGGGGGGGATGGTCAGGGGTAGAGATGGGGCCTCACTATGTCTCCCAGGCTGGCTTTTTTTTTTTTTTTGAGATGGAGTCACGTTCTGTCACCCAGGCTGAAGCACAATGGTGTGATCTTGGCTCACTGCCACCTCTGGGTTCAAGCGATTCTCCTGCCTCAGCCTTCCGAGTAGCTGGGATTACAGGCACGTGCCACCATGCCAGCTAATTTTTGTGTTTTTAGTAGAGACAAGGTTTTACCATGTTGCCAAGGCTGCTCCCGAACTCCTGACCTCAGGTGATCCTCCTGCCTCAGTCTCCTAAAGTGCTAGGATTACAGGCGTGAGCCACTGCGCCTGGCCCCAGGCTGGTCTTGAACTCCTGCCCTCAAGCGATCCTCGTGCATCGACAGCTCAAAGTGCTGAAATTACAGGCATAGGCCACCGTGCCCAGCCACAAGCAGCATCTTGCAGATGAGAACACTGAGGCTCAGGGGAAGCAACACGTGCAGTCCCCGAGAGGCAAGTAGCCCAGCTCAGACTCAAGCCCGTCTCCGAATTCCAGATTCCAGGAAGGACGCTTCCATGAAGCTATTCCTTTGCTTTGAAAAAAAAACAACCTTCCCTTTACAGCCTCGTCAAATAACAATGGAACACCCACCCATACACCGCAGCTCAAGGAAGCTGTTTCTGTGCTGATGCCTGCCATTCTCCAAGAAAAAACTCCGCCATTCACAGGGTGTGTTTAAGGCGGAGAAGAGAATACAAATGCATCTCCCCGCGTACCCGCCTAGGGCATCTCTGGGAAAATATACTCAAATACTCAAGAAACGGTGGGGGAACGGGGTGGGAGGAGGACTTCTCTCTCACTGCATATCCTTTGAGTATTTTGATGATTTGGACATGTGAACATATTCGCTCTTCAGCAAGTAAATGGTTGTTTTGTTTGTTTTTCATTGTTCCCTCAATTCATTCTGAGCCTGGGACAGGAAGGGGCATTTCCAGGTGTCTCTGGGGCCCAGAGCCAACTCCCTGGGAGCTGGAGAGAATTGGGGAGGGGAATTAAGCCTGGATGGGACCCCCCGTGTGCCAACCACCCTGCAAATCCCCACCCACCCCTGTGTGCACAAGTACACTTGGTCCTCACAACCACCCCAGAATGGGAAAAAGTTACAATCCCTGTCTACACATGAGGAAACTGAGTCACACAACCAGAAGTTATGGAAGCCTGTTTGGAGCTTGGGGGTCAGGTCCTAGGCCCACCCCTGCTCCTCCCCAGGCCCTCCCGTTTCTCAGCTGAGGATCCACAGCCTGGGATCTGTCACAGCCCAACCCAGGCCCCAGGCCCCAGGCTCATTCTCCAGTTCCCTCTGGTGAGCTAGTGGGGCGGTTCTGGCCCCAATGGCACCACCACACTCCTGCCTACCCAGCTGGGCTTGGAGCAGCTGGATTCCTTCTGGGAATGGTCCCATCCCAGGTCCAAAGACCATCTGGGCTCCATCCAGAGTCATTTCCACCCCTGAACCTCCGGTGCAGCTGGGGGCTACACATACACCCCCGCCCGCCCCATGGAGCCTGTGCCTGGGAGTCCCTCGGTACTTCCTGCCCAAGGTAAGATTCGCAGGCAGGATACCCAGAGAACACAAGGTGTCCCCTTGGGCATCTCACAGCATCGCCAGGAAGAGTTTGGCACCCCATTGACTCCTCCTGTGAAGAGACCAGAGAGATTAGACCATTAGGTTAAAGTCACGCAGCCAATGGGCAGGAAGATAAACTGTGCTGTTATTCAGAGTCACCTAGACCTGCTTTGGGTTATAGAAGAAATATGCCAATAGGGCCAGGCGTGGTGGCTCGCACCTGAATCCCAGCACTTTGGGAGGCCGAGATGGGCAGATCACCTGAAGTCAGGAGTTTGAGACCAGCCTGGCCAACATGGTGAAACCCCATCTCTACTAAAATTACAAAAAATTAGCTGGGCGTGGTGGCAGGTGCCTGTAATCCCAGCTACTTGGGAGGCTGAGGCAGGAGAATTGCTTGAACTTGGGAGGCAGAGGTTGCAGTGAGCCGAGATCGTGCCACTGCACTTCAGCCTGGGTGACAGAGCAAGATTCCGTCTTGGAAAAAAAAAATTAAAATAAATACATAAATAAAAAATAAAAATACAGAAAATTAGCTGGGCGTGGTGGCGCAGGCCTGTAATCCCAGCTACTCAGGAGGTTGAGGCAAGAGAATCTCTTGAACCTAGGAGACAGTGAGCAGAGATCACACCACTGCACTCCAGCCCGGGTGACAAAGCGATATCAAAAAAAAAAAAAAAGAAAAAGAAATATGCAAATATGGCAAATCCATTCTCATTGGAAAGGAGTCATACTATGCAGATGAGGCTCCCCACTGCTCTCCATCCCCCTCCTCTGCTTCACTTTGCTCCCCAGCATCTACCCTTCCAGACGTGTCACAGGGCTACATGTGAATTACTGTCTGTCTCCCACGAGACAAGGACTGTGTCTGTTGTGTTACCCACTGTGTTGTGTTCCCAGCACCTTGAACATAAAATAAGGAGATCATCCTGGATGATTTGGGTGGGCCCAGCACAATCACAAGAATCCCTGGATGTGCAAGAGGGAGGCGGAAGAGCAAGTGTCAGGGTCAGAGGGAGTGGAAGACGCTGTGCTGCTGGCTTTGAGGGGAGGAAGGAACTGCAGGCCAAGGAATGCGAGCGGCCTCTAGGAGCTGCAAAGCCAAAGGAGGGCCCATGAAGGCACAGGCCCTGCCCGCACCTTGACTTTAGCCCACAAGACCCACTTCAGACTTCCGACCTCCAGAGCTGTAAGAGCTCACATCCCTGTTATTTTAAACCGCTACATTTGTGGTCATTCCTCACAGCAGCAATAGGAAACTGATAGGAAACTAACGCAGTTACAGTGTGGGCTCAAAAACACTTTCCTCTGAATGTACATTTGTTTTGTTTTGAACTGAGTCTCACTCTGTCACCCAGGCTGGAGTGCAGTGACACAATCACGGCTCATTGCAGCCTTGACCTCCCAGGCTCAAGCGATCCTTCCACCCCAGCTTCCTGAGTGCTGGGACCACAGGCGTGCACCATCACGCCTGGCTACTTTTTTTTTTTTTTGAGATGGAATTTTGCTCTTGTCACCCAGGTTGGAGTGCGATGGCGTGATCTCGGCTTACTGCAACCTCCACCTCCTAGGTTCAAGCGATTCTCCTGCCTCAGCCTCCCAAGTAGCTGGGACTACAGGTGTGCACCACCACACCTGGCTACTTGTTGTATTTTTAGTAGAGACAGGCTTTCACTATGTTAGCCAGGCTGATCTCAAACTCCTGACCTTAGATGATCCGCCTGCCTCATCCTCCCAAAGTGCTGGGATGACAGGTGTGAGCCCCCGTGCCCGACCGTGTTGAAGTGTTGGAAAGTGTGCTTCTTCATTGGTATGGAGCCCCACCTGGTCAGCACGGATCCAGCCCCCTCTTGCGTGTCCCTTTGTGCGGAGGGTGCTCACAGAGTACTGGCAGGCGTCCAGGGCCATTTTTCCTCTTTCACTATGACACACAGTGCCACGAGCGTGTCCATGAGCACGAGGGGGTGTTTCCTAAGACCTGCCTAGGCCGTTCCTCACTGTGGGACCTCGGGGACATCACATCCCCTCTCTGAGCCTCAGTGTCCTCATCTGTTAAATGGAGCATCTGATGGTCCCTCCCTCACAACGCGCTCTCCCTATGCCAAGCTGGTGCCCTCTCCTCTCCTCTTGGCAGGGCCCTGCAGGGGGGCAAAGGACACAGCGGGAGACTCCACCCTGACGCTCAGCTGTGATCAGCGTGTCAGGCCCTGCCTGGCTTGCCCTGTGGAGCTGAGCTCCAGGGAAGGCCCAGCCCAAGCTGCACACGCACCAGGCTCACAGAATGAAAAATCAGTCATGGGTGCTTGGGCTGGGTCATCAGAGCCTCTGAGGTCAGGGGCTCCAGGAGGAAGGATCACAGTGGCACAGTGATGGGGAAAGCAGGACATCCGGGAACAGCCTCCACACTGGCCACCCCTTGGCTGGGGACTGTGAGCCAGTCACCATCCATGCCAGGCCTCAGAGTCCTCCCCTGTAAAGGAAGACAACAATGACCCCTCCTGGGCTGTGCTGGGGACCCAGCGAGGGAGCAAGATGTAAACAGAGATGGAAATGACACACTTCCTGGCCCTTAAGAAGCTCAGGTCTGGACACGAGTAAACAGGCTTTGACTTTGTAGAGAGAGGGGCTCCAAGAGGGAGCTGGGATCTCAGAGCCCCACCCCCACTCCATCCAGCCTGGGGAAGCAGGGAGGACTTCCCGAGGAAGGGGCATATGGAACCCTTGGGGCCGTGTAGCTAAGCCTGGAAATGCCCTTCTGCAGGGGTGGCCATCAGCCCTCCTGAGGCCCAGCAATGACCAGGCCAGGGCAGGAAGCCAGCCAGGGGACTCCAGAGGGGCTTTCTGGGCGGAAGTGGAGGTGGGGTTCCTCAAGGTGGAGAATGAGGTCAGGGCTTGGCCGACCCGGCAGGTGATTCCTCCTGGCCAGCCCCTGGCCTGTCCAGGGAGGCGGTCCCACCCCCAGGCCTGCCCCATCACCAGCCAGTGGTCAGGCCCGGGCTGCCTGATGCCCCCTGTGCTGACTCATGTCCGCCCGGCTGTCCCTGGCCGGAGGGAGGGGGCGGACCCTACTCCACACTTGACCTTATCAGGCCTTGCTGGTGTCCAGCCGCTGGAACGTGGGCAGGGCCTCGGCCTAGCAGGCACGACTCTGGACCTCCCAACCCCCTCCCTGACCTGGTTGGGCAGGGTGTGCATGAGCTCATGGGAGCCCCAGGCAGGGCAGGGCAGGGCAGGGCAGGCAGCGCGTCGGCCCAAGAAGGGATGAGGCCAACAGCCTGGCTGGGGTGCCCCCGTGGAGCTTGCCCGCGGCCCCCTGCCCGGCGGGACAGGGCTGGGCATGGGCTATTCTTAGTTCCCGAGTGGGCCCCAGATGTAGCAGCTGGTACCCTACATTCCTACCATACAGCCCAGCCTGGCACACAGGGCACGCACCAGTATGAAGGCACACACATGTGGACACACCCATGCACAAGAACACTCCTACAACTGCACGAGCATACACATGAGCGTGAATGTGCAGTGGTGTGCACATGAGCATGTGCCTACATCTGTGTACAGAGACACGCTCACTCCACCTGCCTTTACGCAGACACACCAACTGCTATTCACATGTGTACAAACATGTGCACACCCACCTCCCACAGGCACGCCAACATACACAGAGGCCTGCATATAAGGCCCACCCAGGTGTACACTTCGGGGACACCAGCTGGCTGAGCGTCACTCAGCAACATAAGCAGCCCCGGGTCCCGGCCTATGTGTGCACACATCGAGTGCCAGCTTTAGAGAATTCCATTCCTTGCTGGCTCTGCTAATGATGCCCTCAGGGATGTCCCATTCTGGCAGCTGTAAACAGGCAACGAGCACAATGGGACTCTTGTTCTTTCAGGTGTAGCACAGAGGGCTGGAGGTGCACAGAGGAGTGGCGGCCCAGTGTAGGGTGGTCAGGGAAGGCTTCCTGGAGGAGGGGGTCTTCGAAGGAGCAAGCAGGGAAGGACATGCCTGTTTGAATGAACCCAGCCTAGACTGAGTAATTTTCTCTGCTTAGGGAAATAACAACCATGGCGGTAAACCCTTGTCACGCTCCTATTTACCACACACTTCCTCGGCACCAGACTCCATGTGTGTCATCTCATTTCATCCTCATGACAACCTTATGAGGCGAGTCCTACTACGGTCACCATGTGCAGATGAAGCCCTTGAGGCAAAGACGGGCCTTGACATATGGCTGGTGAGTCTGATCCCAAAGCCCGTGTTCTTAACCCAGCCTGCAGGCACTGGTGGCGACTTTGTTGGTCATGGAGGGTGTTCCAGTTATCCATTGCTATGCTGCAAATGATCCCAAAATTTAGTGGCTTAAAACAAGAGCAATCATTTGTTTCTCTCACAGATCTGCAAGTCAAGCCAGATGCCGCAAGAAGGCACAGCACTGCTCTATGAGGCATCAGCTGGGGCAACTTGAGTGGGAGCTGGAGGTCCCATTGGCTCTACTGGGGCTGACAGCTGGCAGGGGTAGAGGGTCCTCTGTTCCTTCCCACACCGGCCTTTCCATGGGGCTGTTGAGCTTCCTCACAGCATGGTGGCTGAGTCCCAAGAGGTGGGAAGTAGAAGTTGCAGTTTTTTATGGCCTGGGTCCAGAAACTGACACAGCCTCACTGGCAACATATTGATCAAGCATCCACGGAGCCCAGATTCAAGGAAAAAGGACATAGACTCCCATCTTTCAAGAAGAGGAGTGTCAAATAATTGGGGGAAGAGCATGTTCTAAAACCACCAGAATAAGAATGGAGGGGACTCCAAGGCAGGCGACCAGTATCTAATGCAGAGCCTCCTGCCCTGTTCCAGACCTCAGAACTCCAGCCAGGGCCACAAGTCAGCCTAGTGCAGACCATAGACCACCCCACCCACCCCTGCTCATTTCCTTTACATTTTTTTCTTTCTTTCTTTTTTTTTTTTTTTTTTTTTTTGAGACAGTCTCACACTGTTGTCCGAGCTGGAGTGCAGTGGCACTATCTCGGCTCATTGCAACCTCTGCCTTCCAGGTTCAAGTGATTCTCCTGCCTTAGCCTCCCCAGTAGCTGGGATTACAGGTGTCCACCACCAAACCCGGCTAATTTTTTTTTTTTTTTTTTTTTTTGTATTTTTAGTAGAGATGGGATTTCACTATGTTGGCCAGGCTGGTCTTGAACTCCTGACCTTGTGATCTGCCCACCTCGGCCTCCCAAAATGCTGTAATTACAGGCGTGAGCTGCCGTACCTGGCTTTTTTCTTTTCTTTTCCTTTTCTTTCCTTTTTTCTTTCTTTCTTTCTTTTTTTCTCTCTCTCTCTTTCTTTCTTCTTCTTTCTTTCTTCTTTCTTTTTTTTTGAGATGGTCTCACTCTGTCACCCAAGCTGGAGGGCAGAGGCACAATCTTGGCTCATGGCAGCCTCAACCACCCCAGCTCAAGCAATCCTCCTACCTCAGCCTCCCCAGTAGCTGGAACCATAGACATGCACCACCACACCCAGCTAATTTCTTTTTTCACGTATTTTTTGTAGAGACGGAGTTTAACCATGTTCTCCAGGCTGGTCTTGAACTCCTGGTCTCAAGGGATCCACCTGCCTCGGCCTCCCAAAGTGCTGGGATTACAGGCTCTGTTCACATTTTTGTGTGTGTGTGCCAAGCACAGAGGGGCCACTGTGTGCAGCTACAGAGGCCCAGCTGGCCTGGCACCTCGGCTGGAAAGGGGCAGCCTCTGGGTAGAAGAGCTGGGTGCCCAGGTGGGGAAGGCATTTCACTCACCCCCTGCCAGAGCTCCCTTGGAGCCCCAGAGTTCCAGGCTCCTGGGTCCTATCTCCTCTGCTTTCTCCAAGCCCATTCCAGGGAAACAGAAACCCAGACAGGGCTTGGAAGATGTCACTCCTGGGTCCTGAAGTGAGACCCCAGAATAGATGTTCTCCTGAGGTCCCCTCTCCTGAAGTTTTATAATTCTGGGGTTGGAAGTGTCCCATGCTGTAAAATCCAAAAGTCTGTTTCCCTGCTTCTCTTTTTCTTATTTATTTATTTATTTTGAGATAGGGTCTCACTGTGTCACCAAGGCTGAATAGCAGTGGTGCAACCATGGCTCACTGCAGCTGTGAACTCCTGAGCTCAAGTGATCTTCCCACCTCGGCCTCCCAAGTAGCTGGGACTACAGGCATGCGCCACCACACCTGGCTAACTTTTGTATTTTTTATAGAGACGAGGTCTCCCTGTGTTGCCCAGACTGGCCTTAAACTCCTGGGCTCAAGCGATCCTTGCACCTTGGCCTCCCGAAGTGCAAGGATTACAGGCATGAGCCACTGCACCAAACCTTCTCTCCTTCTTAAGATTCTGAGTTTCTGTTTTGACTCTATTTGACAGCATCAGTCAAATTGCAAACGGGCTTACCCTTTGACCCAGCAATTCTCCTTCTAAGGAATCTTCCAGCCTCCAGAAGTCATCAAGCATGTGCAGAAGAGACAAGGCAAAAGTGTTCACAGTGGCTTCTTGTGTAACCAAGGAAAACTGGGAGCTGCCCCCATCTGCACCAATGGCCAGAGCAATTTATGGAACGTTTACGGAACACCGCGTCTGGTATGTGCCTATGAAACTTCTGCATTCAACAGACAAAACTTCTGCATTCAAAACACCACATTTCAAAACAAAACTTCTGCATTCAGCATGCCACAGTCATGTGTGGAGAGCAGAGAGGAACCCTGGAGGGAGGAGCTGCAGACGGAGCAGGGCCGTGGGGCAGGTGTCTACTGGTTTCCTGTAATAAATTACCATACACTTGGTGGTGGAAATAACAGGCATTTATTCTCATAGCTCTGGAGGCTAGAAGTCCAAAATCAAGGTGTCTACAGGGCCATGCTGCCTCCACAGCTCCAGGGGGCAATCTTTCAGCTTCTGGGGACTCCCGGGTTCCTTGGCCTGTGACCGCACTGTTCAATCCCTGCCTCTGACTTCACAGGGCCCTTTCCTCTCCTGAGTCTCTGTTTGCAAATCTCCCATCCCTTTCTCTTGTAAGAACACTCTAACTGGATTTAGGATCCACCCCAACCCAGGGTGACCTCATTCTGAGATCCATACTCTAATTACATCTGCAAAAATCCTTATTCCAAATAAGGTCACGTTCTGAGGTGCAGAATAGACATGAATTTTGGGGAGATCCTTTTCAACCCACAACAATGTGGAAGGCCAATGTGTCTTCTCCATCATTTGGTCCTGCTGCAAGGAGGGTGTGTTTCTGGACCTGTGTATTATTTGTGTATCATTTCATTTATGCCTAGTGTTCCATTATTGGGAATTATTTCTGTCCTCCTTCTCAAGGTCATTGCCAAGGTCTGATTGCAAAAGTTTTAAAAATTGCAACTTAAGGCATAAATGGGTTAATTTTTTTTTTTTTTTTTTTTGAGACAGGGTGTCTGTTACCCAGGCTGGAGTGCAGTGGCACAGTCATGGCTCACTGCAGCCTTGGCCTCCTGGGTTCAAATGATCCTCCCACCGCAGCCCTGCTGAGTAGCTGAAACTATAGACATTCGCCACCACACTCGGCTAATTTTCTTTAATTTATTTTTTGTAGTGATGGAGTCTCACTCTGTTGCCCAGGCTGGTCTCAAACTCCTGGGCTCAAGCGATCCTCCCTCTTCAGCCTCCCAAGTAGCTAGGATTTCAGGTATGCACCACCACGCTTGGCTAATTTTTAAAATTATTTTAGAGACAGGGTCTCACTATGTTGCCCATTCTAGTCTGGAACTCCTGGCCTCAAGCGATCCTCCCACCTCAGCCTCCCAAAGTGCTGGGATTACAGGCATGAGTCACTGTGTCTGACCTCATTTTAACTTTCAAAAAGTTCTAAAATCCCAGAAGACAAGTTGTCTTCAAAGATCCTCTGCCTCCCAGGGTCAATGACTCCAGTTTTCTGGGAGGCCCAGGGGGCCCCTCGGCAATGAGGTGGAAATCGTCAGCATGGCAGGGTGGACGCCTCTGATACCTGCCCTGCTGACCAGGCTGGAAGTTGCTGTGGCATCCTCAGGCCTCCAGATGGTGAGCCTCCCTGAGTCAATGGCGAGGTGATGGCCGACGTTCCCAGCCCAGCACTTGCTCCGGGTAGGAGCTGGGCACCTTGGAGCATGGCAGGGCTAGGGAGTGGGGGACAGTGGACTGGGAGCTCTGCCTGGTACCAGCGGCCCACTTGCCCATGACAGGCTCCTCAAGGGTCCTGGGCAGTCACAGATCCCAACCCCTCATTTTGGGGTTTTGTTTTGTTTTTGAGACAGAGGCTTGCTCTGTTGTCCAGGCTGGAATGCAGTGGCACAATCTCGTCTCACTGCAACCTCTGCCTCCTGGAATCAAGTGATCCTCCTGCCTCAGCCTCCTGAGTAGCTGGGATTACAGGCGCCCGCCACGACGCCCGGCTAATTTTTGTACTTTTAGTAGAGACGGGGTTTCACCATGTTGGCCAGGCTGGTCTCAAACTCCTGACCTCAAGTGATCCACCTACCTCGGCCTCTCAAAGTGCTGGGATTACAGGCATGAGCCACCACACTGGGTCTCCAACCCCTTTTTTTATCAATAGGGAAACCGAGGCTGACAGAGAAGAAAGGGCTTGGCCAGGGTCACCTCCTGAATTAGGAACCATGTGGCCTGTCCCACTGCTGCTCAGCAAGAACCTCCCCAGCCTCCTCCACACCTGTTAGGGCAGCCCCAGTGCCTCTGCCAGAGTGGCTCTTCATTCTCCCCAGCTCACCCTGAGAGGAGAGCGGGAAATGACCAGCCCTGTGCACAGATGAGGGAAACTGAGACTCAGACTGGCAGAGGGGCAGAGGGGGTCAGAACCAGTCAGCAGACACTGGGCTCAGATCCCCCCGCCAGTGCCCCAAGGACACAGAGACACCAGACCCCCCAGTGTGCCGCGGCAGGGTCCACTGGGGCTGGGAGGAGCCCTCCTAGCCCCGCCTGGCCTCTGGGGTTCTGTCTTCTTTCCTGACCGTGCCTTGCCTGTCTCCTGCAGGCTGTGCTGTGGCCCAGGGCCCAGGACAGAGCAGGGTTTGCTGGACCGGTGACAGTCGCATCCTTGCCTGTGTCTGTGAGTTTGGCGGGCCTCGTCTGTGTTTCTCCTTGCTCTCATCAGGGGCTGGGAGACCGGGGTACTGCAGAGAGGGTGCCCTGGTCGCAGATACCAGGGGCACTCAACCGAGTCCCTGTGGGTCTTGGGTAATTAATTAATCATTGGGCCGTTTAAAGATTAACAGCAGGACGGTGGGAGAATGGCTTAACTCATGATAGGGGCACGGAAGGGGAGCTTTCCCTGTCCCTGTCGACCCCTGGACTCTGTGATATGAGTTAGGGGGTATGGAGGCTGGCTCTGCACCCCCACCCCTTCCTTCCTGTCTGCCCACCATCCCCAGCCTCTCCTGGTCCCCAAGGAGGGGGGTTCTGAGCTCACAGTGAGGGGCTTGAGGCGTATAAGATGGGGCCAGAAAGTTCCAGGAGCAAGAACCAGCCGCAGTTGGGCTTCCCTCCACAGGCACTGGCTGGGCTGTGTGGCCTTAGGCGAGTCACTGCCCACTCTGAACCTCGTTTCAGAGGAGGGCACTCACAGCAGGTGGTTGCAGATGGGAAGAGAGGACGTCCACACTGTCCACGAGCTCAGCGCACAGTAGGTGCTCAGGACTTCCTCCCAGAGACTCGACACCCCAAGTCTTCGCGTTGTGCCCCCTCGTGTCAGAGCCACTCTCCTCTGAGAATAATAGTCAAGTTCATTCTAACCCCCAGGCAAGGGAAAGGGTCCCTTTCTCCAGGGCCAGGTGGGGAAGGTGAGTCAGCTTCCTCACCTGGGCTGATTCACACCTGTGTGGAGTGCGGGTGGGGAGGAGACAGAGACTATTCCTCCCTTCGCTCTGGGGCAGCCCATTCCAGCAGGCCTGAGCTGGAAGGGGGAGGGATTCAAGATGAACCAATACCCCCAGAAGGGGTGATATGGTCCCGAGGCCCAGAGAGGGGCGAAGATGCCTGCCCTCACACAGCACCTCAGAGGCAACACCACGGGCAGGGAGCCATGACCCTGCTCCTTTCCCCAGCTGCTCCTCCACTGTTAGGTAACAGAGCCCAGCCCCACCTCCCACCAGCCCACCCAGCTGAGCCGGCCATCGCCCCTCCCTCCAAAGGTGCCCAAGGGGTCAGTGAGCCCCTGTGACTCAGGGCGGGAAAGACCCGTGAAGTCATCCAGCGGCCGGGGCCACCTCCTGAGGCTGTCCTGGCCTCTGGTCTCACCGGCCTGGGAGTTCCCCAGCTGTCTGCTCCCCTGGCTGCAGGACAGAGGCAGCCGCCGGTGTGGATGGAGCATGACCTCAGAGGCTCCCAGCCCTTGGCTCAATGCCGTCGGCCCCAACTGCAGGCCTCAGAGGAGCAGGCCCCAGGCCCGCCCAGCGCCTTCCTCGTGGCCCCACCACGGAGAAGAGTGAAGGAGACACCTCGAACACAGTGTTGGCGCAGGGCCCAGGGCTTGGCTGGAGAGGGAGTCAGGGAACACTGTGATCATTTGTATGATCTGCGGGGCACCCACCTGAGCAGCCAAAGCTTCATCACTGTGCTCATCAGAAAGGCGACAAATGGTGTTGCCCAGGACCCAAGGCCCCAGACACTGGAGGAACAGGGACACAGGCTCAAATCTGACCTTCCCCAGCCTTGAGGCTTGGACCCCTTCACGCCCCCTCTCTGGACCCCTTCACGCCCCCTCTCTGGGCCTCAGTTTTCTCATCTGTCAAAGGAGCTGGTGACAGCTGCCTGGCCTGGTGGCTGGGAGGACAAAATCAGTGTCCCAGCAGGAAACAGACAAGGGGTATGCAAGGAAAAGATCTTAGAGACCTGGCTGAGGGGACTAGATCCAAGCTGTGCTAATGGCAGGAGCTATTTCCAACCCGGAGCCGAGGGCTCTGACAGCCAGTGAGAGCTGGAGGCAGAAAGAGGGCTGAGAGACAGGAGCTACAGCTGTAGGGGCCGGCTGGGATGAGGAGGGAGCAGGGGTCACCCCACTTCTCCCCATGGCCCCCCTGTCTGCAGCGCCTCCCCCTGGCCAACCCCACTGCCCAGAGAGCCCAGTTCAGGGCACAGCCCGCGGGGAGGGGCCTGATGAAAATGGCTTCACAGCCACCTCTTACTGAGCACAGCCACGGCCAAGCTTCGTCCTGGGCCCTGGGGACACAGTGGTGCGCAAGACAGCCCAAGACCCCATTCCACGAGGAGAGAAAGAGGGAGAGTGAAGGAGGTGAATTGGGCAGCAAGAGATGTTTTAATCCAAGGAAAACCCTACAGGGCGATCAGAGACCCCTTACACAGACGAGGCCCCGACGGTTGGTGGCACAGGGAACCGACGCCTGCCCCCATCACTCTTCCAAGGCCCCACAGAGGTTGCTCAGGCTTGCAGGGGGTGGGGACCCAGGAAGGCTCGGTCAGCCAGCGCCTCCCTGGGCCATTCCAGGCTCTGAGCTGCCGTGTGGCGGGGTGGGCAGGCTGCCAGCCGAGGGAGCCCACCACAGGGGAGCCGTGTGCATTCCCAGACGGGCACATTCCCGGGCACATTCCTGCCGGGGAGCCACTCTGCCACCCGCACCGCCCCGCCCGCTCCCCGCACACAGTGCCCATTGTCTGCCCAGACACTTTGAGCTGCCGCCGCCCCCGGCCTCTGCCACATCCCCACGCCTCCCTTTCCCGGGTGGGGCTCCACAAGCCCAAGCACCCCTCTCCTGGTCCCCAGCCCTGAAGGGCACCTGCCATTTTTCTTGGAACCAAGGAAGGATTAGAGGAGGGAAGTGACTTGCCCCAAGTCACACAGGCCAAATCCAAATCCAAATCCCTGGACCCCCAGTGAATTACTCTTCCCTAAGAACCCTTCCTCCTCCCAACCCTACACCCCTGGGCTGCGGGGCACCCTGGCTCAACAGCTTAGACCCTGCCTCCTGAGCACCTGCTGTGGGCCAGGCCCTGTGCCGGCCCCTACAACCCTGCCTCCCTCACGGGGCCCAGCAGCCCTGCTGGGTGTGAATTTCCCCAATATCACACAGGACCAGGAAGCTGACTCAGGGCGGGGAGGAGTTTGCCAAGGCCACCCAGCGAGGAAGCCAGTGAGCCGAGATCCAGCCCGGCCCACGCGCTTTCCACCTCCTGCAGGGAACAGTACAGGGCAGAGCCTGCTGGGGTGGGAGGGACTGTGGGAGTGTCCAGGGGAGAAAGTGGTGTCCAAACAAAGCCTTGAGGGGAAGGGCCCTGCTCCACAAAGGCGGGCTGGTTTGCTGAAGCCGGGTAGGCCTTTGTTTGCTCATTCACCCAGCATGTGGATCCAAGCCCTAGACGAGGCACCGGGCTAGGATACAGGTGAGATACAGGGTGAGGAGTCAGGACAGCCTGACTTCAGGCAGATGGGTCAGATAATATGCACTCCCCAGGTGATAAAACCAGGGGGTCGGCGGGCTCGGTGGCTCACGCATTTAATCCCAACACTTTGGGAGGCTGAGGCGGGTGGATCACGAGGTCAGGAGTTCAAGACCAGCCTGGCCAATATGGTGAAACCTCATCTCTACTACAAATATAAAAATTAGCCCAGCATGGTGGCGTGCGCCTATAGTCCCAGCTACTCGGGAGGCTGAGGCAGAAGAATTGCTTGAACCGTGGAGGAGGAGGTTGCAGTGAGCCGAGATCGCGCCACTGCACTCCAGCCTGGCGACAGAGCGAGACTCCATCTCAAAAAAAAAAAAAAAAAAAAAAAAACAGGGAGCCGCTGAGTCTAAAATATCAAGCCCCCCTTCCTTCCCACTCCCTACCCCTGGTTTCCATCTCTCCTTAGCGCTCATGGGGCTGGTTCTAACCCACTTCCATGCCCATCAGTAGAGAGTCACTCTACTGAACTTCCCGGCTAAGAGGTTTTGCAGGCGCTGTTCCCTCCCACTGCTGACACCCTTCCCCAGGGAGCCTCAGGGCTTCTCCCTCGCTTCCTTCAGGGCCCTGTTCAAACAAGACCACCCTATAAAAATAGCAACTCCACGCCCACCCCCGCATGCAGTACGCATCTCCCCCTGACCCTGCACCCTTATTCTGGCTCTTCCCATGATCTGGTTTCCCACTTATTTACTTGCTTTTCATGTTTAATGTCTGCCCTCCCATCACCCCCACTAGAATGGAAGGTGTATGAGAGCTGGGATTTTTATCTGTTTTGCTGTATGAAGTAGATGAGGGAAGAATCAAGACTGATGATAAGATTATTTCAACTCAACATACCAGTAAAACCGGCTCCAAGATCAAGACAGAGAATATTTCCAGCCCCGAGAAGCTGCCCTGGCTCTCCTTCTGGTCAGTACCCACCCCTGCCCCCAAGGGTAACCACTCTCCCGTCACCAGGAGCCCACCCGGTCTGGACCTTCCTGTCAGTGAGACCAGCGTGTGATTTTTTGCAGGCGTGGGCTTTCTGCACTCGGCATGAGCTCCGCCCCTGCTGCTGCCTGTAGCCAGGGTGACCAGTGGGCTTTTACCTTAAGCAGCAGGTAGACAGTGGGGCTGGTGACAGCTGCGGGGATCCAGAGTTCTGGGAGGTGTGGCGGACCAGCTGGGCCCAGGACTGGGGTTGGAGGTGAAAGTCAGGCAACGTCAGCTCATCGACAGCATTTCAAGCCGTGGAATTTGAGTACTATTGAGCTGGCCGTGCCACTGATGGAATCGTTTCTTGCTGCTGCAAAATTGAGAGCCACATGCTACAGGTCAGGCCTTCTGCCCCCCTATCCGCTGTGAGGTGCTTGAAGGACTGGTTTGGAAACAGACCCCTATTTCAGAAGCAGAGTTGAGGCTTAGCAAGGGAGAATGACTGGCCCAAAGTCACTCGGCTGGTAGGTTTGGGCCAGGACTCCTCGCTCCGCACTGGACACCCCTGCACTGCCTTCTGGGTGTGCCAGGTTGGCATGGGGAGGCTGGGCTCACACCCAAATCAGGACATAGCCTATCGTGAGGGTCTGGGTGAGCTGGGAGGTGTTCAGAATAGAAGAGCAACCCATGAAGGCTCCCCGGAGGAAGCAGGCCTGGCGCTGAGTCACAGGAGCCTGGGGCAGGGTAACCCCCACCTGAAGTCACTGTCTCCCCAGCAGTGACATCATTAGCAAGCCAGAATGCGCAGGGCATACAGCTGGAGGACCAGGCAAGCTGAGGCGGGGGCCAAGTGGGTAGTTCGGGGCCAACCCCCATCAGCGGCCAATGGCCTCTAGAAGATGGCTGGGCCTCACACGCCTTGGAAACCAGAGCGAGAGGCCATCAGGGTGGGGAAGGCAGCCCATCACCTCCTGTCCAAGTGCCTCATTTTACAGGTAGAGGAACTGAGGCCTGAGGCAGGTCATGACTATCCCAGGATTACACGGCAAGTGAGGGGCGGATGCAGGAGAGGGGCCCAGGCCTCCTCCCTCCCAACAGTGTTCTGTCTACCCTCCAAGTTCTGTCTCGCCCAGCCAAGGGCCACTCTGCTCCCGCACTGCTGGGCTGGGGTGGTGGAAGAGATGGGAAAGTGGAAGAAGGCAGGGGCTGTGTTCAGAAGGGGCCCCTGAGGCTGTGAGGATGGTCCATGCCCTCAGGGAGTCAGGCTGGTGGAGGGGGAGGGAGCACAACTCAGAACTCATCTTCCTCCCCAACACGCTCCTCCCACAGTCCTATCTCCTCACCAGGCCCAGGAGCTGGCGCCTCAGCAACTGCTGCATTTTCAGGAATTTTGCAAACTGGCTTCAAAACACAGCCATAATTAGACGTCAAAGTATTTAAACTTACAGTTCAGGGCCAGGCATGGTGGCTCACGCCTGTAATCCCAGCACTTTGGGAGGCCGAGGCAGGTGGATCACTTGAGGTCAGGAGTTCAAGACCAGCCTGGCCAACATGGTGGAACCCAGTCTCTACTAAAAATACAAAAAAAAAAAAGAAAAAAGAAAAAACTAGCCAGGCGTGGTGGCGCACACTTGTAATCACAGCAACTCAGGAGGCTGAGGCAGGAGAATCACTTGAACCTGGAAGGCAGAGGTTGCAGTGAGCTGATATCGCACCACTGCATTCCAGCCTGGGTGACAGGGCAAGACTCTGTCTCAAAAAAAACAAAAGAACAACAACAAAAAAAAACTTACAATTTCAATAAACATTCAAAACTCATCACCCCCCAATTACTTGACCACATTCTCCTACGTATCTATGTTTTTGAGGTTATTTACATCTGTGGATCTGTGCTGGGAGACGTGCCCCTCTCCCCAACCCCAATGCAGGGACTTCAGGTTTCTAACTTGAACTTACCCGTGGTGGGTATGTTTACACCACAGAAATTGGCAAATGTGGCAAGTTAGGGATCTAAGCCAGCCCCCACCCTGCCCAGAGAGCCAGTTGTTAAACATTAACTGGAAGGGCGTGGTGGCTCACGCCTGTAATCCTAGCACTTTGGGAGCCCAAGACAGGCAGATCACCTGAGGTCAGGCGTTCGAGACCATCCTGGCTAACATGGTGAAACCCCATCTCTACTAAAAATACAAAAAATTAGCCGGGCGTGGTGGCGTGTGCCTGTAGTCCCAGCTACTCAGGAGGCTGAGGCAGGAGAATGGCGTGAACCTGGGAGGCAGAGCTTGCAGTGAGCCGAGATCACGCCACTGCCCTCCAGCCTGGGCGACAGAGCGAGACTCCGCCTCAAAAAAAAAAAAGAATAAATGACACAAAACAATAAAACAAAGATGCTGCGCCTGGCTTCAAAGTCCTGCCCTCTCCCATCCCGCAGCTACAGGGGGTCCTGGCTGATCTGTCTTCCTCCAGGCCAGTTCCAGCCTCTCCCCTTCTCCTTGGCCTCTCATTACGCAAGCCTCCGCTAAGACAGCTCCTCCAAGAGACCCTCCAGATCTCCCCAACCCCCCATCTCCCTGTAGAAGCAGCCCAGCCACTCGCTGACCCAGCACCCACTGGATTTGTGTCTTTGCACAAACCTCTCTGCGCTAATCTTCCAGATTGTGTCTGTCCTCACGCTAGACTGGAAGCCCTGTGTGGTGTGGGCAGGACTTCTCTCTGTCCCACTCATGATGTCTCTCCAGCACCTAGGGCAGTGCCTGGCATATAGTAGATGCTCAGTAAATACTTGAGCGAATGAGTCCATAGGAGGGCACAGGACTCTAAACTTGTTATCTATCATCTGTGCCCATGCAAGGAAAAGAAGTGTTGGGGGCATGGTCAGAACCCATCCCCCGTTCTCCCCCAGCCCACCCCAGCCTGTTCTGCCAGCCCCAGGCCGGGGCTCCCTCCCCAACTCTCCCTCAGTCCAGACTTCCAGCATGTGCTTGGTCCTTCCCACAGCAACCCCTTCCCTTGGGGCTGGTGGGGAACAGGCGGGAGGAATTCCTGGCCCCGAGTCAGAGGAGGTGCCCCGGCAGGCAGGCGGGAGGCAGCGCACACACGCCAGGGACTGCTCCAAATTCCAGCTCCCACGGGCCCGCTGGGAGCCCGCCAGGCAGGGCTGGGGAAGGGCAGGGAGCCCCTCCTCGCAGGAGCCAGGAGGGCACGGGAAGCCTACCGCAGGACAAGGGAAGAAGTCAGCGTGGAGACAGGGCGGGAGGGCCGGCCTGATGGCCCACCACTCCCAGCACCCAGATGGGAAGACTGAGGCCTCCTGACAGCAAACTCTGAGCTCCTGACTCCTCCCAGGCCAAAGACCTGAAGCGGCCAGTAGTGCATGGGGAGAGGGTTGGCTGTGACCAGAGACCAAACATTCAGGGATGAAGCGGGGGCGTCTGAGGGCCGATTAACAGGAGACCCATGGAAAGAGCCCCAGACTGGCTGTGGGGAGTCCTGGGCTACCCCAGCTCTCAGTCAGACCAGGAGGAGGCCCTGCCCCTGGCTGCAGGGCCTGGACGCCCCACTTGCCCAAGGCAGCCCCAGCACGTTCTGCCACTGGGAGTTCAGTGGGGCAACAGGAGAGGAGTCTCAGGGGAGGGCAGGGGAGGGCAGGGGAGGGCAGAGCTCCCGGGAGGCTCTCAGCCAGGCCTCTTCTGAGTCCTCTTCCTGTCCCTGCCCCCTCCCCTTCCTGGGTCAGGGCCAGGTGCGATGGGCTCAGGCAGCAGTCCCTCCCCAGCTGTCAGCGCTGGAGCTGCCGCCAACACCCACACCGGCACACCTGGCCTGCCCTGTGCCACACTGCCACCCGGCCACCACCCCTTTCCCAGCTCCTCCCTGGGCCCCACCAGCTCTTACGGCGCCCTCGGCCCACAGTGTGGTATCTGAACTCTGGACAGCTGGATCCAGACTTCCAGAACCACAGTGCCTTTGAACTAGAGAATCCTAGAACAACACATTCTTACAACCAGAAAATTCCGGGACCATCGACTACTGGGATATTTTCCATTCTAGTCCCAAGAATTCGTAGAACTAAATAATTTCAGGAATGCGTATCTTACAAACGAAGATCAGACCATGGAAACTAGGACTTCTAATTTCAGGAGCGAGGGCTCTTAATTCTCAAGTAACAATCCCATTGTCCCAGAGGATAGAAGCCCCATGTTCTTCACACCACCCAGACTAACAGACACCCAGGAGCAGAGCAAGGCGCTTTGGTTGGGGGCCATTCACAAGGCCTGTACCTTGTGAGCCTGCGCCTGGAACAGAGAAGGCAGGAAGGGACAGGGGAAGAGAGAGGGCACCTCTGAGCAAACTGGAGGCGCTGAGGGCCTCTCCTCCAGGCCCAGGGAGGCTCCCTCCACCTTGGCCAAGAGAGGGGAAACGAAGAGAAAAAACGCAGTTGATGCCACAGGGTTTGGGCGGCGGGTGTGTGGTCACCGGGGGTGGCAGGAGCTCTCTCCTTCCTGGCGGGAGTTTGGAATTTTCTCCTGGCAGGAAGGGCCCACCCTCCCAGGAATGGAAAACACTCCTTGGCAGCTGGCCCCTGAGGCTTGCAAGGTCTTTGACAATCAAACGCGATTGTCCTCCCTGCCTGACCCCCAACACAGTGCAGGGGGGAGACCGAGGCAGATTCTCCGTCTAAATCAAGAATCTGAATCTGCCTCTGGCGGATTCCATTCTTGCCCATCTGTGATCGTGGAATGTCAGAGCCCAAGAGAGACACAGGGGTGGGGCCAGGTGAGTCCCTGCCAGGGCAGGTGGGAGCTGAGACCAGAGAGGGCAGTGGTTTGCCTGAAGTCACTCAGCAGGCTGAGGAGGTCTCTTATTGGCTCCACTGAGGCTCACTTCCAGGGCCTCCGCCAGGAAACCTTCACAGGCCCCTTTGCCCCTTAAGACTTTTTCAGCCACCGAGTCGGGTGCTCTGGCTTTTTTTTTTTTTTTGAGATGGAGTTTCGCTCTTATTGCCCAGGCTGGAGTGCAATGGCGTAATCTTGGCTCACTGCAACCTCCGCCTCCTGGGTTCAAGCGATTCTTCTGCCTCAGCCTCCTGAGTAGCTGGGATTACAGGCACCCGCCACCACGCCGGGCTAATTCTTTGTATTTTTAGTAGACACAGGGTTTCACCATGTTGGCCAGGCTGGTCTCGAACTCCTGACCTCAGGTGATCCATCCGCCTCGGCCTCCCAAAGTGCTGGGTTTACAGGCGTGAGCCACCGCGCCCGGCCTCTGGCCCTGTTTTCTAAGTGTTTGGTATGAGTGTCTCACCTTCCTGACCTGGGCTGTGATGGTGCCTCCCCATCAGCCTGGAACCAGATGGAAACCATGAGCTGAGGCCTCCGAGCCCCTGCTCAAAAACCTCCCATGGCTCTGCACGGCTCCAGGACAAAGTCCAATGCAGCCTGGCACTTGGGGGAGGTGGAACATGTGGCTGCACTCCAGCCCCATCCCTTGGTCCCACTGGGCATGGGTATCCCCGAGTTTCTCGCAGCCCTCACCCATCCATCTCTCCCCCTGCAGGCTTGACCCTTGCTGCCCTGTCCCTGTGGCCACTTTCTCTTCTTCCTCTTTCCTGGCCTGTTCAGCCTCCCCTGAGACCGCCTTCCTCCGGGCTCCCTGCCTGGGGTGGGACCCCTCCCCAGCTTGCCTCCCCAGCTTGCCTCCCCAGCCCTCACACCACTGCACAGCACTGGCGGCCTCTCCCTCTGCCTGGCGCCCCCTCCCTGAGGCTGGCCTGGGTCTCGCTCACACTGGATCTTAGACTGACGCCCGTGGTGAATGTGAGCTGACGGCCAAATGTGGGTCTCAGCCGCTCACACGCCTTCATTCATCAAATCCTGGCAACAACAGGAGGTGGCCTGTTAATTAAAATTAGCCAAGCATGGCGGCAGGAGCCTCAGCATGTCCATTTCTCAGATGATGAGACTGAGGCACAGTGTGGTTAAATCACTTCCTCAAGGTCACGCAGGAAGTGGTGCAGCTGGGAATGGAACCCTGAAAGTCCGCTCCAGAGTTTACACGCATCCTGTCCTCTTAGGTCACTCTGCCCCAGGGGAAAAGGACAGAAGCACCCAGCCCCACAGCTCTGCGGAACCAGAACCCCTGTCTGGAGCCCCTGGGCCAGAGACCACCTAGCTCTGCCCCCTGAGGCTCTGAGAGGTCCCTGGTTCCAGAATCCACTGCCCCCCACCCCACAATATACACTCACACAGACAGACATGCAGACACACAAGTCACACACAGACCCAGACACATGCCCTGGGCTCCGGACCGGCTGCAGGAAGCACGCAGCTGCCCGAGCCTTTTTCACTTCAGCTTTTCCTAAATTTGCTTTGAGGAAGTTGCTGCACCTTGGAGTTCTCCCCGGTCTCTCACGCGCTCCAGACCACATCTCCCCCGCCCTCCCTTCTCTGGAAGCCTGGAGAACAGAGACCCAAATAAAGGGCCCTGCCCTAGTGGGACTCGGGGAGACACGCAGTGACCATGACACAGAAGTGCATCCTGCTGCCGGTGGCAGGCGACAGTGCCTGGAACAGAGGAGGCAGAGTGGGGTGCGGGGTCAGGAGCCCTGGGGCAGCAAGGTTGCAGCTGAGAAAGTGGCCTCTGCAAATTTCCAGGGACGAGCATTCCAAGAATCGGGGAGAGCCAGTGCAAAGGCGCCCGAGGCGGTGGCCAGCCTGCTGCATTGCAGGAACAGAGAGGAGACCTGTGTGGCCATGAGGCCTGGGAGGAGCGGGTCCTGGGCACTGTGGTGGCCTGAGCTCTCACTCTGCATCCAGCAGAGCTATGGAGGGTGTGCAGCAGAGGCAGGGTGCAATCTGACAGGGGTTTGTTTGACTCTGGCCGCCGGGTAAAGGATAGATGTGAGCATCAAGAACAGAAGTGGGGCTGGGCACGGTGGCTCACGCCTGTAATCCCAGCACTTTGGAAGGCTGAGGCAGGTGGATCATTTGAGGTCAGTAGTTCGAGACCAGCCTGGCCAACATGGTGAAATGCCATCTCTACTAAAAATACAACAACAACAAAAAATTAGCCAAGTGTGGTGGCAGGAGCCTGTAATCGCAGCTACTCCAGAGGCTGAGGCAGGAGAATCACTCGAACCCGGGAGACTGAGGTTGCAGTGAGCCAAGATTGTGCCACTGCACTCCAGCCTGGGCAACAGAGGGAGACACCATCTCAAAAAAAAAAAAAAATAGAACAGAAGCAGGAAACCAGGCAGGAGGCCAGAGGGGATTGGGTGCTGCTGTTCCACCAGGGCCATGCAGCCCTGACCATCTGGGTGACCCTGGGCAAGTCACCTCATTCATTCTTAGTTTATGCGTGCGTGCCTTCAGGCAATGGGTCTTTCAACAAACGTTCATTGAACTCCTACGATGTGCTCAGCACTGTGCTGGGTGCAGAGGGTACAAAAAAGGCAAGACAGACACAACCCGGGACCCAAGGAGGTCCCCGCTTGGCTGGGAAGATGGACGTGGAGCACAAAGTGGGGAGGGAGAAGCAGAGAGTGCAAAAGAGCAAACATCAGGCAACCCCGATGCAGGTGGGGGTCAGGGAAGGCTTCCAGGAGGAGGTGACATTGGAGCCAAGCCCGGAAGGGCAAGTTGGGGTTCCCACCACAGACAAGAGGGAATGGCATTCTGGGCAGGAAGAATGGCCACACAGGAGCTCTGAGCATTGGCCTCCTGCTTCCCCAAGGGGCTTCCTCTCCTCTACCTCCCCAGGTAGACGAGCCCAGAGGAGCCTGGCTGTGGAGCCCAGTTTCTTCTCCTGTGAAACGGGGGTGACCTTTGTGCCTGCCGCCCCCTTCCTCAGGTGTGAGGAGCAAATGGACCATGCACGACAAGAGCAGGTGCAATGCCTGGCTCATGGGGCACAACGAGCCATGAGATCCACTTCCCACGCCCACCCACCCATCCAGGATGGAGAAGTGAGTACCCTGGGATGAGGTCCAATGGAAGATCTCAGGGAAGGCCTCCCACAGCCCACCCGCAAATATCTCCCTAACTCACTGCCTGCGTGCCTGAAGTCTCTCTCACAAACTCATTCCGAGGTAGGAGGTCGGACTTGACTCCAGAGGCACAGCTCAGACACTGGACCAAATTGAGGACTAGCTAAAACAGGTCGGTGAAGCACCTCCCCCTAAGACACGCCCACCAGTGTGCCATATCAGTTTACCATTGCCATGGCAACTCCCTGAAATTGCCAACCTCTTCTATAGCATTGACCTAACAACCCAGAAGTTGCCCCCTTGTCCTGTAAATTTCTGCATAACCCGCCCCTTCATTTGCATATAATTAAAGTAGGTATAAATATGAGGGCAACCCTGCTTCTGAGCTGCTGGTCTGGGCCCACTGCCTATGGGGTACCCCTGCTCCAGGAAGAGCGAGACCTCTGCTGCTACTGTACACTGTCACTTCAGTGAAAGGTGCTGTTTAACACCATCTGCTCGCCCTTGAATTCTTTCCTGGGAGAAGCCAAGAACCCTCCAAGGCTAAGCCCTAATTTGGCCAGCCCTTTCTTGTCCTGCATCAATCAATTCCTTGGCATCATGAATGCCCACCCTTCCTGTTCAGGTTAACCCTGGCAGGGCATTGCTCAGCCTTCACAGCTCAGCTCAAGCCCCCTCTTTCAGGAAGCCTTCCCTGATTGCTAGAGCCCACAGCATCTCTCTGTCAGTCTTTTCACTCTGTACTTCCTTTGAGCTTTGGAGTCCCAGCCTCACAGCTGAAAGGGCTCTGAGAAATTGTGCAACCCTGCCCTCCCTCAGCCTGAGCCCCCATGCCACAGACAAGGAAACTGAGGCCCAGACAGGCCTCACCAAGCCTGCACCATGAGTTCTCAGGAGAGCTGGCACAGGAGGCCACCCCAGTGCCCATCCCGGTCACTGTCCACTATGCCATGCAGCCAATGCAGACTGGGTTTGCCATTCATTATTTATTTATTTATTTATTTATTTATTGTATTATTATTATTATTATTTTGAAACACAGTATCACTCTGTCGCCCAGACTGGAGTGCAGTAATGCGATCTCAGCTCACTGCAACCTCCACCTCCCGGGTTCAAGCGATTCTCCTGCCTCAGCCTCCTGAGTAGCTGGGATTACAGGCACCCACCACCAGGCCCCGCTAATTTTTGTATTTTTAGTAGAAACGGGGTTTCGCCATGTGGGCCAGGCTGGTCTCAAACTCCTGACCTCAGGTGATCCACCTGCCTCAGTCTCCCAAAGTGCTGGGATTACAGACGTGAGCCGCTGCGCCTGGCCCCATTTGCATGTTTTTAATAAATTATAAAATCCTTCACACATGCCGAAAGAAGGGAACAGCTATCTCTCTGCAACATGGGAATTTCTCTGCAACTTGCCCTTTTTGCTCTGCACTGAGAGGTCCCTCCGTGAGGGGCGTCTGTGACTCCAGCTCCACCTGCACTGCCACGTGACGCTCCCAGGCCGAGGAGACAACGCTGTGCATGATGGCCTCAGGGCCAGTGGACTTTTGGATGGTTTCCAGGCTCATGCTATTGATCAGGTTTTTAAAGATCAAAGTGTAGTGGCCAGTTGTGGTGGCGTCCGTCCGTAATCCCAGCACTTTGGAAGGCCGAGGCTGGAGAATTGCTTGAGCCCAGGAGTTCAAAACCAGCCTGGGTGACATAGTGAGGCCCTGTCTCTACAAAATAATTTTTTTTAAATTAGCCAGGCATAGAGCTGGGCACAGTGGCTCACGCCTGTAATCTCAGAACTTTGGGAGGCTGAGGCGGGCTGATCACGAGGTCAGGAGTTGGAGACCAGCCTGGCCAATATAGTCAAACCCGTCTCTACTAAAAATACAAAAATTAGCTGGGCGTGGTGGCACACGCCTGTAGTCCCAGCTACTCAAGAAGCTGAGGCAGAAGAAATGCTTGAACCCAGGAGGCAGAGGTTGCAGTGAGCTGAGATTGCACCACTGCACTCCAGCCTGGGCAACAGAGCAAGACTCCGTCTAAAAAAACAAATTTGCCAGGCGTGGTGGCATGCACCTGTAGTCCCAGCTACTTGGGAGGCTGGGGCAGGAGGATCACTTGTGCCAGAAGGTCGAGGCTGTGATGAGCCAGGATGGCATCACTGCACTCCAGCCTGGGCAACAGAATAAGACTCCGTCTCAAAAATAAAAAATAAAAAAAGGTCAAAGTCTGCCAACTCCTGAATTCAAGGCCTCGTGTAAAACAAGCTCACCCAAACAGGGGTTTCATAGGAGCGGCTGGTAGGCGCTTCATTCGTCCCTCTGTCCCAGTCTCTTCCACCTCCCAGTTCTTCACTGAGCACCTACTGTGTGCTGGACCCTGCTGGCTGCCAGGCCTGCAGAGGTAACCCTGAGACAGAGGCTGGGGAGGGCCATGGTGGGAGGGCAGCAGCTTTGCAGCTCCAGCCTGTTGCCGCCAGATCACCCTATTGCCTAAAGAAGCTGGAAATGTGAGTTCTGCGTGAAAGCAAAGGTCAGTACCCTTTAATTTTCTTTTGCAACTCTGAGGACCAAACAAAGCATAACTGCGAGCTGGGCTGGCCCTTGAGCTGCCAATTGCCAGCCCAGGCAGCTCTTTTCCACGCACCACACCAGGATTGTAGACAGGGACACCGAGGCACAGGTGGAAGGGCGACTCTGGTGGTCTCGCACGGCTGAGGCACAGCAGCCTGGGATGAGCTGGCAGGCTGCAGCCGCCTAGTGAAGAGCCTTGAATGCCTGTTGGTGCCTAATAAAGGTTGGTAACGGTGACATATGAATACAATTGACCCTCAAGGCTGGGCGCAGTGGCTCACTCCTGCCATCTGAGCACTTTGGGAGGCCAAGGTGGGTGGATCACCTGAGGTCAGGAGTTTGAGACCAGCCTGGCCAACATGGTGAAACACCAACTCTACTAAAAATACTAAAATTAGCTGGGCGTGGTGGTCTGTGCCTGTAATCCCAACTACTCGGGAGGGTAAGGCAGGAGAATCTCTTGAACCTGGGAGGCAGAGGTTGCAGTGAGCCGAGATTACACCACTGCACTCCAGCCTGGGCGACAGAGCAAAAACCTGGATCAAGAAAAAAAAAATACAGCTGACCCTCGAACAACACGGATTTGGACTTGGAGTTTCCACTTCTTTTTTTTTTTTTTTTTTTGAGATGGAGTCTCACTCTTGTCCCCCAGGCTGGAGTGCAATGGCGCGATCTCGGCTCACTGCAACCTCCACCTCTTGGGTTCAAGCGATTCTCATGCCTCAGCCTCCTGAGTAGCTGGGATAACAGGCGCGCGCCACCATGCCCAGCTAATTTTTATATTTTTAGTAGAGACGGGGTTTCACCATGTTGGCCAGGCTGGTCTCGAACTCCTGACCTCAGACGGTCCGCCTGCCTTGGCCTCCCAAAGTGCTGAGATTACAGGCATGAGCCACTATGCCCAGCCAGATTATCTTAATAACATTTTCTTTTCTCTACCTTACTTTATTATAAGACTATAGTATATAATACACGTAACACACAAAATATGTGTTAATCAACTGTTTTCACAGTCAACAGTAAGTTATTGGTAGTTAAGGCCGGGTGCAGCGTCGCATGCCTGTAATCCCAGCACTTTGGGAGGCTGAGGCGGGCGGATCACTTGAGGTCAGGAGTTTGAGACCAGTCTGGCCAACATGGTGAAACCCTGTCTCTACTAAAAATACAAAATTAGCCGGGTGTGGTGGCAGGCACCTGTAGTCCCAGCTACTCGGGAGGCTGAGGAAGGAGGATCTCTTGAACCCAGGAGGCAGAGGTTGCAGTGAGCCGAGATGGTGCCACTACACTCCACCCTGGGCGACGGAGCGAGACTCCGTCTCAAAAAAAAAAAAAGTTACTGAGTGTTAAAATTTTTTTTTTTTTTTTGAGACAGAGTCTCGCTCCATCGCCCAGGCTGGAGTGCAGTGGCGTGATCTCGGCTCACTGCAAGCTCCACCTCCTGGGTTCAGGCCATTCTCCTGCCTCAGCCTCCCAAGTAGCTGGGACTACAGGCACGCACCACCACACCCAACTAATTTTTTTGTATTTTTTTAGTATAGACAGGGTTTTACTGTGTTAGCCAGGATGGTCTCAATCTCCTGACCTCGTGATCCACCCACCTCGGCCTCTCAAAGTGCTGGGATTATAGGCATGAGCCACCGAGCCCGGCCAGTAGTTAAGTTTTAGGGGAGTCAAAAGTTACACCTGGATTTTTTACTGCATGGGGGGTTACTGCCTCGATCCCCACATTGTTCACAGGTCAGCTGTAAATGAATGTGCAATGTGGAGCCAGGGAAGCTGCTGAGGCGGGAGGTCCTGCCTCTGATTAAATGTATATGAGAAACGCTGGGAATAGTGGTTCCCAGGAAGCAAGAGGGAAGCACTGGGCATTGGGCTGGATCTTGTGTCTGTCACTCCAGATCCTCAAGCCGCCCTTTCACCCACTTCTCTGTGCCCCAGGATGCTGACTTCTGGGGACTATATCAACTAAACTCCCTTGCCACTTCCAGCTGGGTTCAGCCATTGGTGTCACCAGCAGAACAGAAGGTTGGGGTCAGTGCTGTGCTGGTAAATGTCTAACAAGCAGCTCCCTGGAGGAATGGCCCTGATCTCTAGTGTCTGCCTGTTTCCCTGATGTAAATATTCCTGCTGCGGGTGGAGATGGTGTCACAGATGGATGGGGGATGACATGGTGTCTTCATCATAGGCTCTGGTGTTGCCAAGCCAGTGTGTCCATAGGCCCTGGGCCATGGGGGAAGATGGCGTGGCGTGTCAATGTCCAGGTGTGTTCCCAGCTGCTGGCATGAGGATGAGCTGGGGCTTTCACACCAGCTGGTCCTCCTCTGTGCTTGGATCCCCATCTATCAAGTGGGGGTGACAGGCAGCTCCTTGCTGCCCCCTGTTGAGGGGTTTCTGTGCAGTAAGGCACACAGTCCTGCCTGGCCCAGTGCCTGGGGCCCGTGAGTCTTCAGTAACAGCGGCCATGGTGGTGACCATCGCCTGGGTCCCTGCTTATGCCCCGGGCTGGCTGACCAGGCTCAAGGATGGCCTGGGGTGGAGGTCTGCTGGAGAAGCCCACTGGGGAGGAGACAGCGGCCAGTAGGATGGGGAAGTTGGCGAGGCAGCTATCTTTAGTGCCTTCCCTCACAGCCGTTTTCCTCTGCCGGGCTAAGCAGGACTCTGGTGGGGACCGGGTGGGGAGGGGTCACTTCTCCATAGTCACATGAAGCCCAGTGACCTGAAGACCAGCTGTGCAGGCTCAGGGCCCAGCAAGGGTGGGGCTGGCTGTGGTACCGGGCTCCAGGAGACCTCATCCGTAAAGAAGCAGGGGCCCACTGTAGGAGCCTGGGAGAGGGTAGGGGGCCAAGGAGCATTGGGGGTCGCAGTGGCTGCTGGGAAACAGTGTCCCTCCAGTCCTCACCCAGAGCTTTCGCAGCCCTCCTGCACCAGGACAGCGTGGTGTGATGGTTGTGCGCTCGTGTCTGGAGCCTGGATTTTATATCCCCGCCTCGCCACTCCAAGAGTCTGACCTCGGAGACTGTGACTTAACCTTGCTGAGCCTCAATTTCCTCCCTGTGAAAACAGAAGTGATGCCGGGGCTCAGTGGCTCACACCTGTAATCCCAGCACTTTGGGAGGCCGAGGCAGGTGGATCACCTGAGGTCAGGAGTTCAAGACCAGCCTGGCCAACATGGTGAAACCCCATCTCTACTAAAAATACAAAAATCAGCCAGGCGTGGTGGCGTGCCTATAATCCCAGCTACTCAGGAGGCTGAGGCACAAGAATCGCTTGAACTCGGGAGGTGGAGGTTGCAGTGAGCTGAGATCGCGCCACTGCACTCCATCCTGGATAACAGAGTGAGACTCTGTCTCAAAAATAAGTAAATAAATAAATAAGGTAACTCTGGGCTGGGCGAGGTAGCTGAACGCTTTTAATCCCAGCACTTTCTGAGGCTGAGGGGGGAGGATTGTTTAAGCCTAGGAGTTCGAGACCAGCCTGGGCAACATGACAAGACCCACTCTCTACAAAAAATACAAATATTAGGCCGGGCGCGGTGGCTCATGCCTGTAATCCCAGCACTTTGGGAGGCCGAGACAGGTGGATCACGAGGTCAGGAGATCGAGACCATCCTGGCTAACACGATGAAACCCTGTCTCTACTAAAAAATAAAAAAAAATTAGCCGGGCGTGGTGGCGGGTGCCTATAGTCCCAGCTACTCGGGAGGCTGAGGTGGGAGGATTGCTCGAGCCTGGGAGGTCAAGGCTGCAGTGAGCCGTGATCGCACCACCGCACTCCAGCCCTAGGCGACACAGTGAGACCCTGTCTCAAAAAATAAAAATAAGGTAACTCTGAAAAGAGTTGAGTACAAACCTTGGCACACCGTAGGTGCTCAACAAATGAGCCCTCTCCTTCACCCTTGAGGCAGCATTCATTGGCTTTACCGACCCCTGGTAGCCTAGAGTGAGGGTGAAGAGATGCCTGGGCTCACGTCCCAACCCCACCAATCATACAGCATCCCTGGGCAAGTTATTCATCCACAAGCCCCAGTTTCTTACTGTAAAATGTGATCATAACAGAACCTGCCTCAAGGAGTGAGCCTGATGACTTTTTCTCTGTGTGAAATGCTCAGTGCCTAATACAGAGCAAGATGCTCACAATGATTGCCGCCTGCTGTCCCGCGCACTGCCTTGACCTGTGAGTGCTGCTGATTGTGGGTGAGCGGCTGGTGAGGTTGGGCTCTGGATGGTTCCTGGATGCTCCCTTCCTCCCTCACTCTCAGGCCCGTGGAGTTACCGCAGCGCCCCCATTATCTGTGGTTTCACTTTCCTTAGTTGCAGTTTCCAGCAGTCAGCCACAGCCTGAAAATATTAAAGAGAAAATTTCAGAAATAATTCATAATTTGACATTGCATGCCATTCTGAGCAGGGTGATGAAATCATGCAGCGATGATCGTGACTCATTCCTCTGTCCAGCGTCTCCGCGCTGCAGGCGTTCCCGCCCGTGAGTCACTTTGTAGCCCTCTTGGTGATCAGAGAGAAAAAGCCTAATCCACAGAGGGTTCCGTACTATCCGCGGTTTCAGGAATCCACGGGGGGTGTCGGAGGGTAGGGGCTACTGTAATTTCCTGCCTCCCGTGAGGTTTGCATCAGGCAGTCTCCTGTCGGTGGCCTGGCCCGGGCTCCTGAGACTGCTCCTGAAAGGGAAAGGGACTTTGGGCTCCTGGGAACTGCCCAGGAGGCAGGGCAGAGGGACCCCCAGAAGTTGCAGCAAGTAGCTGCATTATCAGCTACGAGGTTGAGAACCAAGGGGAGGAAGGTGAGCTGCCAGCTGCATGGGGCTACATCTGGGTGGGGGGACAGAGACAGAGCAGCACAGCCCCTGCCAGCAAGGCTGTCAACGAAGATCTAGGCAGAGAGCAATTTGGGGTGAGCCCACAAGGTGGCGGCCAGCCACTCACCCCTCTACACCCCGTGGCCATCCCCAGGTGAGCTGAGCGAAGTCCCTGGCTCCGTCACACCTTTTAAGGCAAAGGCAGCTCCCGCCACCACCTCCCTGTTCCCACTTGCTCAGAAATTCCCAGCAGGTATTTTTTCTTTTTTTCAGGAGGAATGGAATGGGACTTCTTGTTCTGTCACCGCAGGATTCCGGCGAGGCCTGTCTAGGGGTTCTGGTGAGAGAAAAGCGTGACAGGAAGCGCATGCCAGCAGGCACTTGGAGATGTACCCTTGGTGACATGCACAGGCACGGCAGCCGCCCCACCCACCACAGGCCTCCGCTCGGGACAGCGGGGCACACGCACAATACAGACGAGGCCCAGAGATGCAGAGACCCCCAACAAACCTTCTCCATGCTAGGGAGACAGGAGATCCAGCTGGGAATGAGCCCATATCATGAAGCCCCTCCCTCAGGAGCTCATACCGGAGCCCAGGAGCCTTGTCCCACCCCAGGGCCTTCGCACTCACCATTCCCTGGCGGGAGTGAGTGTTCCAGCACAGGGCTCCACAGGCAGGACCCTTGATACCTTTCAAATCTCAGAGAGGCCTCCCCGACCCCACCCACATGACTCCATCCCAGTGACCTGTTTTATTTCCTCACAGCCGTCTTCACTTCTAAACTGCCTTTTTTCTTGACAGGATCTTGCTCTGTCACCCAGCCTGGAGTGCAGTGGTGCAATCATGCATGGCTCACTGCAGCCTTGACCTCCCAGGCTCAAGCGGATCCTCCCACCTCAGCCTCCCAAGTAGCTGGGACTATAGGCACGCGCCACCATACCCAGCTAACTTTTAAATCTTTTGTAGAGACAGGTCTCACTAGGTTGTCTCAAACTCCTGGGCTCAAGCCATCCTCCCGTATCAGTCTCCCAAAGTGCTGAGATTACAGACGTGAGCCACCACACACGGCAGGCAAGGAAGGGCTGAGGGGCTGTCAACAGCAAAGGCTCAGCCCCCAGTCAAGCCAGGCTGCCCGTGAGAAAGGCTTTCTGTGCACTTGGGCACATGTGGATAGGTACGGGTGTGATGCCAGCCTCCACTTGCAGCCTGCAGGTGTGTCTGTGGTACTGGGTGCCTATGTGTGTGTCCTGAGCCTGGGGGAAGACAGACAGACTACCCCTAGGGGCCTTTGTTCTTTGCGTCCTGTCATCCTGGCCATACCCAGAACTCGGTACAGAGCCCTGGACAAGCAGCCAGGCTCGGCCAGGACATCTCAGACCAGCAAACCCTTTCCTTTCTGGGCTGGTAGGCAGCGGGGCTCCAGGCCCAGCCTAAGGGATGGGGAAGGGAGGGGACAGGCTGGGACCCCTGCCCAGTCAGCATCCCCACCAGGACGAGATCTAACCATGGAGACTGACAAGAGGCAGCACCCAGGAGACCAGGCAACCAGGTCTCACACCTGGCCCTGCCACTAAGGTGCCTGGTGGCCTTGGGACAATAGGTCATGACCCATTCCAGCTGTGCACTTGACTCCCATGACTGCGGGGCATCCGAAGACCCTGATGCAGAAAGGAACCCTGCCCAATCCAAAACCCCTAGCAGGGCCCTCTTGCAGGGCACGTGCCGCACTCACCCCCTGGTGGCTCCAACCTGAAGTGCAGCTCCAGTCACCTAGGCCCAGGCTGCAGAGCCAAAGATGGGAGGGGCTGCAGGAAGGAGGGTTCTGCCTTGAGACCAACTGCCCCAAGCCAAGCTCAGAAGGAGCTGGAGACTTGCAGGGTGGACAGACACACGTGGGGAAGGTTCCCGCTGCACACAACTCAACTCTGACCTGCCCCTGCCTCAGGACCTACATGGCACTTATCCGCTCTGCACCTGGATGACTTTTTTTTTTTGAGACGGAGTCTCGCTCTGTCATCCAGGCTGGAGTGCAGTGGCGCCATCTCGGCTCACTGCAAGCTCCGCCTCCTGGATTCACGCCATTCTCCTGCCTCAGCCTCCCAAGTAGCTGGGACTACAGGCGCCTGCCACCACGCCAGGCTAATTTTTTTGTATTTTCAGTAGAGACGGTGTTTCACCGTGGTCTCAATCTCCTGACCTCGTGATCCGCCCACCTCAGCCTCCCAAAGTGCTGGATTACAGGCGTGAGCCACCGCGCCCGACCGACTTCAAGATATTTTAGTGCTTCACCCTGCACCCTCAGGTCCACAGGGAGACAGTGACAACTTGGGCATCTCCACAACTGTTCTCCCGCAGTCCCACACACGCCCCGAGCCCACAGGTGCACCCTGCACGCTGATCCTCAGATCCCAGCTATTGCCAATCCATCCGAATAAACAGAGACTCAGACACACAGTTAGGGTCCCGGTGACTAGCAGGCCTGCCAGACACTGCTGGGTGGACAGTCAGCTGGCGCAGCTGGGGACTCTATCCACAAGTAACTCAGCGAGGGATGGAGTACAGCACAGCGCCTGCTCACAGCCACAGCACCTTGAGTCTGAGGGAGCAGCTTCGACAGCATCAGGGGACCTGCATTCCACACCCCGTCCTGGTAGAGCCTAGGTGCAGCTTGAGCAAAGACGGGGAGTCAGCAAGTGGGTCCAAGCACCAGGGTCTGTGCTGGGCTTCACCGAGATCACCGGGCTCCAGGCCAGGTCACAGGGGTCAGTCCAGAGCCTGGGGGCTTCCTTCAGCTTACAGCAGCAGCTGCACCCCAGCATCCTGGGCTCCAGGGACTGAGGGCAGCAGGCACTCAACGTGCAAGTCAAGAAAGCACATAAGTCCCATGCCCGAGGGGGCTGGGGTACAGGGGCCATCTCCAGTGGGAACAGGGACTGCACCAGCCAAGTCCCAGAAGGTAGACCCCAGCCCAGAGGGGACACAGCCCTCTGCCACATGTTCCAACTAGGCTTCCAGCTGCCGAGCCGGGGAAGTCCCTTAACCTCTGTGCCTGTGTTCATGTTCTCCCAGTACCAGACTTGGGGTGCAGATTACAAAAGAACCTGAACAAGCCTTAACTGGAAGCCACCCTTCCCTGGATTAATTTAAAACCAAATGAACTTTTTAAACAAGTAACAAACCCACGGTCTGCCTGCACACCAGCATCAAACGCGCCAGGGAACATCCAGGCCTCCCTGTCTCCTTCTCGTCTCCACAGCACTGGCATCACCCAAGCTGTGCAAACAGCAGAGACCCAGCTGCCTCACCCTGGTGACAAACATTTGCACAATGCCCACTGCTCCAGGCTGGATTTCTACAGCTCAGCTGCAGAACCAGGCCCAGCTTTTACCTCCCTCCAGGGACTGAGGGTGGGGGACAGAGTGGGAGGCCAGAAGGCAAACCCAGCGAAGCTACAGAAAGGAGGGCAGTGGCCTTGGGGAGCACAAGGCACCTCAAGGGCCCCCATCTGCCTCCCCAGTCCCAGCCTCTCTCCTGAAGAAAGAGGCAAGATGTCAGTGGAAAATAACTTTTATTGAGACCCCACCAACTGCAAAATCTGTTCCTGGCATTAAGCTCCTTCTTCCTTTGCAATTCGGTCTTTCTTCAGTGGTCCCTGTGGGGAGAGAGGCAGTGGTCAGAGGTAGAAGATGACAGGTGACAGCAGATGCCCACTCTAGAGGAGACCAAGACTCTGGGCCAGTCTCCACAGCCACAAGAGAGGCCTAAGGCATCAAGACCACCCCTACCCCGGCTGGAGCCAAAGGCAGGCGGCTGCCCAAGCCACCACACCCAGCGAGGGGGGCAGGCAGAGGTGCTCACCATGAATGCTTTCTTCTCCTCCATGGTCTGGAAGCGGCCATGGCCAAACTTGGAGGTGGTGTCAATGAACTTAAGGTCAATCTTCTCCAGAGCCCGCCGCTTCGTCTGCACCAGCAAGGACTATGGGCCAAGAGGGGAAGGGATTTAGGATTACGAGGAGCCAGGCTTTCCTCAGCACTGTTCACAGCGCCCCTGCATCTGGGAAGCCACACGATCAATTCAGCCTCCCCCACCATCCGGCAGATGAGGACACACTCAAAGCAGCAAACAGCCCAGCAAGGCCAGACTGGGAATTTCCTCATCTCAGGACTTCAAAGCCAGTGTGAAAGGACTGCCAACACCCTCTCCTTCCTTTCCTCTCCCACCACAGGGCCACCAGCGTCTGTGGCCTTGGATCCTCCCTCTACAAGAGCCCCCCCATGACAAGTCAGGACCTGCCTCACCTTGCGGAGGGTGAGCACCCGCTTCTTGGTTCCCACCACACAGCCTTTCAGCATGACAAAGTCATTGGTCACTTCACCATAGTGGACAAAGCCACCCTGGAAAACGAGCATCGGATCAGCACAGGCCCAGGAGGGGATTGTCGTGCAGATGACCCCTCCAGGTTCAGGCCCTCCCTGACCACAGGGCTGTTCTCAGAAGGAAGGCAACAAGGAACGGTTCCGCAGTCTGTCTCGGGCGCTGTGCCCAGCGCACATTCCAGGCCTCATCACTGAACAGCTGAGCCTGAGACCCCACTTCTCACCAGCCAACCCCGACGAGTGGACTCAGATGACAACATGCCACTTACAAGGGACACAGCTAGGTGTTGTGTTGGCTTCAGTTAACGATCCTGCTAGCAGCCCCTAGGAAGCAGCCTATCCCCAAAAGCACGAGGCCTGGGATGGCCTCACAGAGCAGAACACCCATTACTTACCAGAGGGTTGATGCTCTTGTCAGATAGGTCATAGTCAGTGGAGGCATTGTTCTTGATCAGCTTGCCGTCCTTGATAAGGTAGCCCTGGCCAATCTTATAAATCTGAATGAACAAGAAGGGTGTAAGGCTGGGGCATTAGGGACAAATAACCCAGACATGCCAGTGTGCTGACCTGCAAAGCACGCTAGAAGGCAGCTGAGGCCTCAGTCCCAGTCACAGCGTATCCCAAGGTCAGAGCAAAAAGCTGGCTGGCCCTCCAGGTTCCTTTCTGTAAGGCGGCTGGGCTAAAACTAAAGATCCTGCTGTACAACACAGGCCTGTCACCCCCCTGGTGGTGGCATCAGGGACCAATAAGACTAGTATCCCCAGCCACACCAGTCAGCCCCACCACAGCCACTCTACAGGATGGCACCTTACAAATCATCAAGATGGGCCAGAACTGACCATGAGAAGCAAGCCACTGATGTCCACGTGATGCATAAGCTACAGTCAGTGAAGCAGCACTGACAGGCACAGAAACCCCACTCCCCATCACGGGGGCCTCTTCCCACCCCCAGGGAGCCACTCTCAGAACCTCACCTTCTTGTTGATCTCAGTGCGGTGATGGTAGCCTTTCTGCCCAGCGCGTGCCACAGAGAAGGCTACACGAGCAGGATGCCATGCCCCAATACAGGCCACCTTGCGCAGGCCTCGGTGGGTCTTGCGGGGCAGCTTCTTGGTGTGCCAACGACTGGTGACCCCTGGAATGGATACACATTACTTCACCTCAGCGCCCAGCACCTCCCACTGACCCCTTCCTGCTACTCAGCAATTACCAACCATGGCTGGGTCATCTGAGGGAGTGATAAGATTATTTCATGTGCATTACCCACAGGTCTCCCCTGTCAAGCTGGATAGGCTCTGGGGGTGTCACCCTGAACTCAATTCTGAATGGGTGCTTTTTAAGGCATCCATTAGTTTAAGCTCCCCCATTCACAGGGACTGACTAACATAATTCCAAGCTCCCCTTTGCAGTTATCAGTAGGCTACAAAGAGCAAAGGGTCCAGGAACGTGTTAAGAAGTTGTCCCCTGGCCCTCCGCTATCCCAGCCACTTCTGACCACAAGGCTGTTCTCAGAAGGAAGGCAGTAGAGAATGGTTCTACACTGTCCGATTCGGGCGCTGTACCCAGCGCTCACTCTGAGCCTCATCAACGAACAGCTGGGCCTGAAACCACTTCTCCCCCAGGTTTGCACAGCAACTCAAGCCACCGCAAAGCTCACCTTTGTAGCCTTTGCCCTTGGTCACCCCGATGACGTCGATCATCTCATCCTGCCCAAACACTTGGTTCACAGGTACCTGCTGCTCAAGCCTCTCGCGGGCCCAGTCCAGCTTCTCGGCCACAGTGCCTCCGTTCACCTGGATCTCCATCAGGTGGGCCTTCTTCTGGCGCAGAGGAAGCAGGCGCATCTAGGAGAAGGTAGACACAGCTCAGCTCCAGCTGCCAGCGCTCCTCCCACAGCAGAGGAACTGCAGCTCCATGCGGCCTGATTGATGTCAAGCACACGGCAAAAAGCCAGTAACTCTGAACAAGTCACTGAACCTCACCAAGAGGAAGGAACTTTCATTTTTGCCAACAGCAACAACTTAACTTTGGATACTGGTGCCTGAGTTACTGTCAGGATGAGCGGACAAGACCCACACCACAGGCAAACAACCAGATCCCAGCCCCTACCAGCCCAATGTTCCTGTGGCTGTCCTTTGGGTCAGTTCCTTTTGGGGTACTGCAGTGGTTTTACCTCAGCCACCTACACTTGCCCTAGTGACAAGCCTGCTTTTGAGAGAGCACAAGCTCTAAGTAAGAAAATGCATCACCGGGAGCGGTGGCTCACACCTGTAATCCCAGCACTTTGGGAGGCCGAGGCAGGTGGATCACCTGAGGTCAGGAGTTCAAAACCAGCCTGACCAACATGGAGAAACCCCGTCTCTACTAAAAATACAAAATTAGTAGGGCGTGGTGGCGCATGCCTGTAATCCCAGCTACTCAGGAGGCTGAGGCAGGAGAATAGCTTGAACCTAGAAAGTGGAGGTTGCAGTGAGCTGAGATAGGGCTATTGCACTCTAGCCTGGGCAACAAGAACGAAATTCTGTCTCTAAAAAAAAAAAAATGCATTTAAGCATAAAGCTTTCACTCAAGGACAGCCTGGCAATGTCCTGACAAAATTTCAACGGTGGACATGCACTCTCATCCGTGGTGGCCCTCACCACATGGGGTTGCACTCAGCACTTGAGATCAGCCAGGATAACCAGTAACAGGACAGCAAGAGGCACCCACTCTAACCAAGTCAATAAAAAGCCTGCTCAGCTCATCAACTAGGTTTCCAGGAGAGCAGCCAGTACCTCACAACCGACTTTCAGGCAGGCATTTCAGTGTTACTGGTGAGTCACCAGTTGAATTTTAAAGGGGAATGGTTCCCTTGCTAAGGGCCAGTAAGGACACAGTGCCCTCTGCTGGCAAGGGAGAAGCCTACCCATAAGCGTGCGGGCACGGGACCCCCATGATCACATAGGTCACTTCTACTAAGTGGCAGGCCAAGCCACCCCGGGGCACTGGGCTCACCTGGGTGTGGGCAATGACACGGATGACTTGGCAGTACTTCTTCATGCTGCTGAAGTCCTTCTCCAGCTGCTTCTTGCCATCCTCATCCTGCCATTTCTTGCAGTACTTGGTAAAGGCCTTCTTCTTAGATTTATGCCTTCAGGAGCAGAGCAGAGTTGGGGAGGGGACCAGGTGCAGGCCTTCATCACCCCTCCGAGGGGTGAGCGGAAGGCACACTGGCACCGCGTGGGGATGGAGCTCATTGCCGGCTTCTAAGGAGCCTTTTCCACCAGCAAGCGGAGCCTGGATGGAGCTCATCGGGCAGAGCCGAGCGGAGCTGAGCAGAGGTCCACAAGGTTAATTTAAGTTACACGCATTCAAACAAAATTCTTGCTCCGGGACAAACCTTTCTGCCCTGGGGAAGCCCACTCAGTGATGAAGGAAATGGGACATTCCACCCAGGGCCAGAGGCCCTTGCCACCCCTATAGGGGTTTAATTATTCTGCTACCTCTCCTGGTTTCTAGTTGGACTCCTCAACCAACTGGGTCCTCAGCCACCACCCACTAGCCTGGACTCAGAATGAGGGTGTTAGCTTCCGGCTGAAACCAGATGGCTGGCCAAGTCTGATCCCAGGTATTTTTCTGTTCGAGAGGCAAACTAAACCCAAGACAGCAGCTCCCTGCCTGCTACAGAGCTGAGAAACCATGCACACGCTGCTCCCTGCTCTCCAGCTCCCAAGCTCCCAAGCTAGGGACTGCATGGCCTCCTCCCTTACCAATTCTTATAGAAACGCCTCTTGCATTCATCACTGATGTGCTCAGCAAAGACAGTCTTGAAGGTCCGGAGGCCTCGAGGGGTTTCCACGTAGCCCACAATGCCCACAACCACCATGGGTGGTGTCTCTACAATGGTCACAGCCTCCACCACCTCCTTCTTGTTCACCTCTGCAAAAAAAAAGCAGTAGTCAGACTTGGCAGGAGCCCAAGCAAGGGGTGTAATGTTTTCTAGGAAAATGCAAAGTGCCCATTTAGGCCGGAAGGGCAACTGGGCCCCACACCTGCAGTACGGACTCACAGGGCTGTCCTTACTGCCTATCTCTCATTCAAAGCACATTTATGTTATTCAAACAAAAAATATCAGGACCCTAGACAGCCAAATACCTGTCCAGCTTCAATTCTCTTCTACAGAAACCTCTGGAGGCAGACAAGATTGCTATTTATCTGGAAAATTCAGTGCCCTAACAATAGCTCTGAGCTCAGAGATTAGTCAGTATCAACTGCCTAACATTAATGTCTCCATGGCTCAGCAACCAGTGCTGTTAGACATCTCTAAGTAGAACACACACAGGTAAGTGGCCATTATTCAAGCTTTCAGGTGAAAAAAACATGAATGAGGCAGTTCTTATGCCAGCCTCAGCAGCTCCAACCCCCCACACTAGTGTTAACTTCTCTTTGCTAAGGTTCCTGGCAAATTTACTATGCTCTGAAATCAATACCCCACACCGCACCTAAAGCAAACAGTGCTGACCATCTGTAGCCTTGGAATATTAGTTTTCAAGTTAAGCATTCCCATTCTGCTGTCGCAGCAGTTCTGACAACGTGTAACTCCTGCTTAAAAAAAAAAGTCTGCCCTCTGCTAACAGCTTGACTCCATCTCTACAATTTCCCTCCCCCTCCACTCCTATTCCCCCAACTTTTAGGATGTCTGTACATACTGGATCCCGGCCTGTCGACTTCCCGCACGATGTGAGTCATGCCAGCCTTGTATCCCAGGAAGGCTGTGAGGTGGACCGGCTTGGACGGGTCATCCTTAGGGAAGCTCTTCACCTTCCCACGATGCCTGCTGCTGCGCTTCCGAGGCAGGAAGCCGAGGGACCCATGTCTGGGAGCGGAGAACTTTCTGTGAGACTAGGTGGGAAAAAAATCACCGTCAGCACCCAAACCAAAGCAGTGCCCCCTTCTCTAGTTCCCAGCTGCTTAAGTTCCAAATCTCAGCAATACTGAAGAATCCTGACCAGACACCCAGCAAGCCGAATAAAAAGGTCATTATCTCTTCCAGGCTCGCACGTGTCAAGAATGCTTTTGTATTCGACAAAATTTAAGCTGAATCTTATTTCAAATCCTCTCAACCTGTAAGAAAACGACCCATTTTTTTTATCTAACCACACAAAAATACACTAAGTAGTGGCACTAAAAACTGCTTAACAGGCAGCTTTATATGCCAATTAGCAAGGTTTTGACCGCTAAAGAAAGGGACTCCCGGGACAAACGCTGGGTAGCAGCTAGCAATGTTAAGCTATAGGCTGCCTCCGGTGCCCGGACACTAATTACACTGATACACACAGGCCAAAGAACTCCGCAGAGCCAAATCAGAACGTGACAATCAGCACACAGTTTCTGTCCGCCCGTCAATAAGTTCATCATCTGTGGTTTCTGCGAGCTCCAGAGGCCTTCGGAGTGCACCAGCGGCCCCAGATATTCAGGAGGACTCCACAACACTCCCCTCCCCCAAGCTTCTTTACCTCCCAATGAGAACGGCGCCGAGAACCTCCACCCAAGGTCCTTCTACCCAGACAAGCAGGTTATGGGCCCTAATCCCAACTAATGATAGAATTGGTGAGGTCGAAACTTAGAAATGACTCATGGCTTTAAAAACGCCGGGCCTCCAAGCCTGCTCCCACCCTTACGGCCTCTCTCTGGCCGACCTGCAGGCCCAAAGCCAGTCCTCCAAGCGCTCTTCACAAGCCTCTCGACTTTCCAGAAAATAGGCCAGACTGAAGTCCCCGCTGGGTCGCCCGTGCCCCTAAAGCAAACCCCCGGCGCCGGCCAAGACGGGATGGCGGCGATGCGTCGCGGATTCAGCCGTGCCGACGCCGGTGACAATGAAACGGCCGCCATTACAACACATACCATCACGCCATCAAATCCCGCCGGTAGAGGCCGGTCGGCCTTACGGGTCCGCTATATAAAGCCAAATCTGGCCCCGCCCCTTCCGGCGTGCGAGCGCGCCCCCGCGGCAGACGACAGGTCGGGGGCACGTACCGAGCGCCATTTCCACGCACGCTCTTCCGCTCCTAGCTTTCGTTCAGAAGTTGACGTCAGCTTCGGAGACAGAAATTACACACTCTACGGCGAGGGGTCGGGTTCAAACTTAGTGAAAAGCCGCGGAGAGGTGGGCTAAGGGTGGGTGAGCCACAAATCTACGGCGTCCGGCAGCAGCCAAATTTGATAATAACGAAGAAAAATGGCTGCGTCGCTTCTCCTCCTGTGATATGCAGCTATCTCTGGAATTAGCGAAGAAAGACTGAAACTCTCGTTTCCTGGCTCCCACGCTGGTTTTGCGGCGACACCAATTTACCTTTAATACCTTTAATCTCGGGCATCCCTCCCTCAAGCCCTATCTCTGCCATTTCTCCCATGCTAATGCAGTGGCCCGCGCTTGATTCTGAGGGTCAGGAGCGTCCCAAGCCTGCGGAACGGCCTCACGACCTCTGGTCATGCCGAGTCCAGCTGCTCAGCCTCCCGGAGCCCCACGCCTTCCAGACCTATGCATCAGCGAGGGCTTTCGCTGATCTCTGCCTAGGCTCCAGGGTGACTCGGATCCTGACCGATTCCCTGCTTCCAGGCTGGTCCCTTACAAATCTCTTTTTTGAGACGGAGTCTCGCTCTGTCGCAGTGGCGCGATCTCAGCTCACTGCAAGCTCCGCCTACCGGTTCCCAGTTCAAGCAGTTCTCCTGCCTCAGCCTCCCGAGTAGCTGGGATTACAGGAATGCGCCACCATGCCTGGCTAATTTTTTTTTTTTTTTTTTTTGTATTTTTAGTGGAGACGGTGTTTCACCATGTTGGCCAGGCTGGTCTTGAACTCCTGATCTCGTGATCCGCCCGCCTCGGCCTCCCAAAGTGCTGGGATTACAGGTGTGAGCCACCGCGCCTGGCCCCCTACAAATCTTTCTAAGAATCAAGTATCTCGTTACTTTCCATGGCCGCCTCGTTGTTTCCTCGGAATTAAGCATCAACTTCAGCGGCCACCAAAGACGCTCCCCTAACCGTCTACTTCAGCCTCATGGCTGCGCCAGAGCACACGCTCTCATATCACCTGCTTCCTCTGTCCCACCCTGTCATCTTCTTTAATTCTGGGCCTGGCCTTTGCTCCCACCGTCGTTTGAAAAGCATTCTCTCGGCCAGGCGCGGTGGCTCACGCCTGTAATCCCAACACTTTGGGAGACCGAGGCGGGCGGATCACCTGAGGTCAGGAGTTCGAAACCAGCCTGGGCAACATGGCGAAACCCCGTCTCTATTAAAAATACAAAAATTAGCGGGGCACGATGGTGTGCGTCTGTAATCCCAGCTACTTGGGAGGCTGAGGCGGGAGAATCGTTTGAACCCGGGAGACGGAGTTTGCAGTGAGCTGAGATTGCGCCAGTGCAATCCAGCTCAAAAAAAAAAAAATTATCTCAATCCTCACACCATTCCCGAAGGACATAAGTGATAGATCTTCAATCCATTATTAGAAATCCTGGGGGCCACATATGTTTCAAAATTGAGCATTTTTTGATTTTTAGAAAGGTAATATGGTGCACATACTGTATATTATGTAATACAGCACTTTTTAAAGAAAAACAATATTCCGTAAGGAAACATGAATATTCACATGGAGTGGGACAAATATAAATAGACTCACATCAGTTCAAGGCTGACTTTGCTGCTCAAAAAATGCATCAGTTTACTTTTTGCTGCCAAATAATTTAAGAAGGTTTTTAAAATTTCAGGATACAGGCCAGGCACGGTGGCTCACACCTGTAATCCCATCACTTATGGGAGGCTGAGGAGGGTGGATCACTGGAGGTCAGGAACTTGAGACCAGCCTGGCCAACACAGTGAAACCCCGTTTCTCCTAAAAATACAAAAATTAGCAGTTGTTGTGCACGCCTGTAGTCCCAGCTACCCCGGAGGCCGAGGGAGGAGAATTGCTTGAATCCGGGAGGCAGAGGTTGCAGTGAGCCGAGATCGTGCCATTGTGCTCCAGCCTGGGTGACCAATCAGGATTCTGTCTCAAAAAAAAAAAAAAAAAAAAAACAAGACCAGGCGTGGTGGCTCATGCCTGTAATCCCAGCACTTTGGGAGGCCAAGGTGGGTGGTTCACCTGAGATCAGGAGTTCGAGACCAGCCTGGCCAACATGGTGAAACCCCGTCTCTACTAAAAATACAAAAATTAGCCAGGGGTGGTGGTGGGCGCCTGTAATCGCAGCTACTTGGGAGGCTGAGGCAAGAGAATTGCTTGAACCTGGGAGATGGAGGTTGCAGTAAGCCAAGATTGCACCATTGCACTCCAGCCTGGGTGAGAAAAGCAAAACTCCATCTCAAAAAAAAAAAAAAAAAAAAATTTCAGGATGCAGACAAAGGATTATAACCTACCCATATTGCCCCCCGCCCTTTTTTTTTTCCGATACGGAGTCTGGCTCTATCGCCCAGGCTGGAGTGCAGTGGCGCACAGTGGCACTATCTCGGCTCACTGCAAGCTCTGCCTCCCGGGTTCATGCCATTCTCCTGCCTCAGCCTCCCAACTATCTGGGACTACAGGCACCCGCCACCAGGCCCGGCTAATTTTTGGTATTTTTAGTAGAGACAGGGTTTCACTGTGTTATTCAGGATGGTCTTGATCTCCTGACCTCGTGATCCACCCGTCTCAGCCTCCCAAAGTGCTGGGATTACAGGTGTGAGCCACCGCGCCCAGCCTATTGCCCCGTTTTTACATAGAAAACTAAACTTCCAGCCAAGAGGTTAATAACTTGACAAAGTCACATAATTAGTGAAGGACAGAGCTCAAGTCTATCTGACTCCAGGTTGGTTTTTCACGGCATTAGACTCAGGGATCAATAATCCCCTTATCGGAAAAGGAGCTTTGGAATCCTGAGCAAGAAGAAATTCTTACTGGAGGCCTGCTCTGTGCCGGGTCCTGCACCAGGCTGCAGGAATATAGAGAACAAGATGGCCACTGTCACAGACCAAATAAGACAATTTAAAATTGTAATGAAGGTTCAAAAGAAAAGTGCCACTAAGGGTCCTGGGCAAACTATTCTCCCTCAAGAATTCCCTTTCCAGTCAAGAAAGAAAAGAGCATCAGTAGACCTGAACTGCCTTGCCAGCATACAGATAGCTCACTAGGTGTAGGGTAAATGCACCTAATAGCAATAACTTAAGCATACCCTTAGAATGACCTTGTATGGCAGATGCACCTGCATGTGTGTTCGAGCTAAGGAATCTGGGCAAGGCCAACCCGAAGACTGGTTCCTTGTCTATGAGGAACACCTGAGCCCCCAGCCAGTCCTGTGGAATACAGACTATACCAGGGATTGAGGTCCTAAGTTTTGGGTTAAATGAAGGCTACCAGAGAGAGGTCATTAAGGGGAAGGTGTTAAGTGAAAATGCTGTATAAACTGCATGCTGTCTGCAACCACCTGCAGTTTTCCTATCCAGCACACCACCACTGGAGTGTATGTAAGGAGGATATGTGGTCCAGCCCGCCACCATTAGACTCTCTCCTCTACGCCCCTAATAAAACCCTATGTTGGCTAGGCACAGTGGCTCATGCCTGTAATCTCAACACTTTGGAAGGCCGAGGCTGGTGAATAGCTTGAGCTCAGGAGTTCGACACCAGCCTGGGCAACATGGTGAAACCCCGGCTCTACAAAAAATACAAAAATTAGCCAGGTGTGATGGTGCATGCCTGTGGTCCCAGCTACTCAGGAGGCTGAGGTGGGGTGATCCCTTGAGCCCAACAGGAAGTTGAGGGTACAATGAGCTGTGATCCCACCACTGCACTCCAGCCTGAGCGACAAAGTGAGACCCTGTCTCAAAAAACAAACAAGCCAGGCGCAGTGGCTCACGCCTGTAATCCTAGCAATTTGGGAGGCCAAGGTGGGTGGATCACGAGGTCAGGAGTTCAACCCCAGCCTGACCAAAATGGTGAAACCCCGTCTCTACTAAAAAACTACAAAAATTAGCCAGGCGTAGTGTCAGGCGCCTGTAATCCCAGCTACTCGGGAGGCTGAGGCAGGAGAATCGCTTGAACCCGGGCGGCAGAGGTTGCAGTGAGCCGGGATCATGCCACTGCGCTCCAGCCTGGGCGACAAAGTGAGACTCCATCTCAAACAAACAAACAAACTCATGTCTCATTTGCTGGCTCTGGGTCTCTTCTTTGGTTTCTTGAACCTGATGCCTTCCCTATTGAGGTTAATAGGGATTCAGCGGTAGCGTACTTTGGCCAGGCATGGAGACTCATGCTTGTAATCCCAGTACTTCCAACTCCCGACCTCAGGTGATCCGCCCACCTCAGCCTTCCAAAGTGCTGAGGCGGGCGGATCACCTGAGGTCGGGAGTTGGACACCAGCCTGACCAACATGGAGAAACCCTATCTCTACTAAAAATACAAAATTAGCCGGGCGTGGTGGTACATGCCTGTCCAGCTACTCAGGTGGCTGAGGCAGGAGAATCGCTTGAACCCAGGAGGCAGAGGTTGCAGTGAGCCAAGATAGCATCATTGCACTCCAGCCTTGGCAACAAGAGCAAAACTCCGTCTCAAAAATAGATAAATAAAATAATAAATAAAAATAAAAATAGGGATTCAGCACAACATTGGATTAGGCCTCAGTTTCCTTATCTGTCAAATGAGGAATTCATTCATTTATTCAACAAATATGTACCGAGCCTGCTTTGCCTAGCCCCATGCAGGGCTCTGAAACACGGAATAAAACAGAGGTGGGGTTGGGACCCCTGCCCTGGAAGAGATCAGTCTACCTACATCATAGCTATGAAACAGAGGCCTGTGCAAAAAGAACTGGTGAATTCCCCAATTTATGGGCAGGGTCATCAGGGAAGCCTCAACCACAGAGATGTCATTTGAACTGGGCTTCAAAGGATTCTTATTTGTCCAGCAAAAAGGGCAGCTCTCCAGGCAGTAGGAACGTGTGCAAAGGCAGAAAGGATAAAAGACAGTGGCCTGCAGAACTAGCTGTGATTTGGCACAGCCAGACTAGAAGACAGTGGCAGGAGGCCAGTTTAGGAAGATAGGTAGGGTTCAGACCTAAAGTTTCCAGCTGGAAAACATCATCCTGAGGCCAGTGGAATGCATTGAAAGCCTATGAACACCTGTGCACTTATTTTTATTTTTATAATGAGACAGGCTCTTGCTATGTTGTCCAGGCTGGTCTCCAACTCCTGGGCTCAAATGATCCTCCTGCTTCGGCCTCCCAAAGTGCTAGGATTACAAGCGTGAGCCACCATGCCAGATCAGCACCTGTGCATTTTAGAAGGGTGATTTTACGGGGCCAGCTGGATTAGGAGAGGATGGAAGGAGTTTTCACTGTTCTGTGTAAGCCACCAACATAGGCACCTGGCAAAGGGCACTGAAGGTGAATATACAGAAGAAAGGGATGAGTGGCCAGGCGCGGTGGCTCACGCCTGTAATCCCAGCACTTTGGGAGGCTGAGATGGGCGGATCACAGAGCTCAGGAGTTCAAGACCAACTTCGCCAACATGGCGAAACACTGTCTGTACTAAAAATACAAAAATTAGCCAGGCGTGGTGGTGCAGGCATATAATCCCAGCTACTTGGGAGGCCGAGGCACAAGAATCACTTGAACCTGGGAGGTGGAGGTTGCAGTGACCCGAGATCACACCACTGAACTCCAGCCTGGGCAACAGAGCAAGACTCTGTCTCAAAAGAAAAGGGAGGAAGAAGAAGAAAGAAGAAGGAGGAGGAGGAGGACGAGGAGGAGGAGGAAACAGAGAGAGAGGGAAGGAAGGAAGGAAAGAGAGAAAGAAAGAGGGAGAGAGAGAAGGAAAGAAAGAAGGGAAGGAAAGAAAAGAGAGAGAGGGAGGGAGGAAGGAAGGAAGGAAAGAAAGGAAAGGAAAGAAAAAAGAAAAGAAAAGAAAGGAAGGAAGGGAAGAGAAGGAAGGAAGGGAAGGAAGGAAGGAAAGGGGATAAATCAGATGTTGAGACTGGACAGGCTCTGGAAACTATTTGTATGAGTCAGGGTGGGTGGGACAGGAAGTAGCGAGTATGGGAATCAGGATGCCCATTTTGGATATTGGGTATGTGTTGTTATTTTAGAAGGAAGAGTTTGATTTATATGTGTAGGGATGGATTCATTTATGGGGTTAACTATATCCTTTCTCCTTTCAAGTACAGATGTAAGGCTACATATCAAGACATATGTAATTCATCAGGGTAAAAGTAAGGACATGGCCAGGTACGGTGGCTCACGCCTGTAATCCCAGCACTTTGGGAGGCCAAGGCGGGTGGATCATGAGGTCAGGAGTTTGAGACCAGACTGACCAACATGGTGAAACCCCATCTCTACTAAAAATACAAAAATTAGCCTGGCATGGTGGCGCACGCCTGTAATCCCAACTAACTCAGGAGGCTGAGGCAGGAGAATCGCTTGAACCCGGGAGGTGGAGGTTGCAGTGAGCCAAGATTGCGCCACTGCATTCCAGCCTCGGTGACACAGTGAGACGCCGTCTCAAAAAAAAAAAAAAAAAAAAAAGGTAAGGGCATGATGGAGGGATATAAGAGGAAGCCGGAAGTGGGATCACATCTAAAATACACATTATGGATCTCTGTGTTTGTGCCAGAGGTGGTCCTCTCATTTGGTTCAGAGTTTCTGTGTAGCCAAATAAAAACGATGAATATGGCTAAACATGGTTCACAATATCCACATGATAAAAGCAAACCAGTGGCCAGAAGGAGTCTGCTGTTCCTGAAATAAGGCTTGAAAGACATTTCTCCCCAGGGGTCCTCCTCAAGGGGGCCAGGGTAGTACAGCCGATGATGCCTGGAACATCAGCCCACAGTGAACACACAATGGCCGTGTACGCTCAGTGCAGACCAAAGAACTCACAGCGACATGCTGATCCGTGTGAGCTGTTTACAAGAGGCCTTTTAAAACGAGTGGGTTGAATGATATGATCACTGACTGCCAGTTTAATGCAAAAATCAAATCCAGAGTCTGAAAAGAAATGGGTTAACTTTATTTACAAAGAGTCCCCCATCGAATTTTTTTTTTTTCAAAACGGAACTTGTAGTAAGCAGCAGAAAAGACTCCAAGATTTTGCTCACATACCTGAAGGGCAGATGGTCTCTGCTGCCAGGTAAAACCCAAGGTGTACTCTAACTTTTGTGGAAGATTAGGAGGACTTGAGGAGGAGGAGAATGGAGGAAGCAGGAGGGCAAGAGAGGAGTTGGGTGGGACAGTTTTGCCTTGATGGTGTTTAAAGGTCTGTGTTCCCCCACTAGCCTGGGGGCTTCATGTTGGCAAAGCATATGTCTCCTCCCCATGTGCTCTGCCTGGAGGCAGAGCCTAGCATAGAGAAGATGCTGAGTCGCATTTGTCAGATGAGGGCATGAAAATAGTGGACCCAAACGAGGACATTACAGCTGCATTTTCTTTCTTTCTTTATTTTTGAGACAGAGTTTTGCTCTTGTTGCCCAGGCTGGAGTGCAATGGCACAATCTCAGCTCACTGCAACCTCCGCCTCCCGTTTGCAAGTGATTCTCCTGCCTCAGCCTCCCGAGTAGCTGGGATTACAGGTGCCCACCACCACGTCCAGCTAATTTTTGTATTTTTAGTAGAGACTGGGTTTTGCTATGTTGGATAGGCTGGTCTCGAACTCCTGACCTCAAGTGATCCACCCGCCTCGGCCTCCCAAAGTGCTGAGATTACAGGTGTGAGCCACTGCGCCTGACTTATTATTATTTTTTGAGATAGAGTTTTGCTCTTGTTGCCCAGGCTGGAGTGCAATGGCGCAATCTCAGCTCACTGCAACCTCCACCTCCCAGATTCAAGCGATTCTCCTGTCTCAGCCTCCTGAGTAGCTGGGATTACAGACACCCGCCAGCACGCTTGACTAATTTTTGTACTTTTAGTAGAGATGGGGTTTTGCCATGTTGGCCAGACTAGTCTCAAACTCCTGATATCAGGTGATCCGCCCGCCTCTGCCTCCCAAAGTGCTAGGATTACAGGCATGAGCCACTGTGCCCAGCCTACAGCTGCATTCTCAATGGCTGCCTGCATTGCCCATTATGGACAAAGCAATTATGCCCTCTCTTTGACATAAGTTCATATCCTGATCTTTTGTGCTGTCATTGATCACTGCAAAACTACCCTGCCCAGGTGACAGGATGTTTGGTCCAGAGGGTCAGCTAATATGAGCTTGGGGCGTGAGTGCAGCCTCATGTCCCTGGGGCAGGAGCCTGGGTACACAGCCTTTGGGTCGTGAAGGCCCCTTGCTGTGCTTCTCCACGAGGAGCTGTGGGGGAAATGCCCCACAGAATGGGAGCTGGCTGGGCAGGGAGGTCTGGCAGATCCTGCTTCCGTTCCTGCTGCTGTGTGGCCTAGGCCTGGTGAACTTCTGTGCATCCCTGCTGGGGCTGCAGGCGGAGATGGCAAATCCAGCCTCCCACTGGCTCTCGGTCTCCATGCTGGGCGCCTGCATCCTGTGGTGCAGCAGCCTGCCAGTGGGTGGAGGTCTCATCCTCATCCTGTCCTGGAGACTGTGCATGGAGGTGATGCTGGCTGGCCAGCGGGCCTTGTGGCAGCAGCTGACTGTTGTGCGGATCTGGAACCTACAGCTGTTCATCACCCTGATCCATGGAGCCTGCCGCTGCATCTCACGACTCCTGCAACACCTGTGGTGGGAGGCCGGCCTAGCCGTGTTCTCCATGGCCCATTGGGCCTACTACAGCCTGGTGGGCTTCCGCCACGATAACAGCAAGGTGTTGGAGCTGCTGCTGCAGGCCGTGCTATAGCACATGGCCATGTCCCTGCTGGCCTGCTGCCTGGACAGGCTGTGGGTGGCCATGGGACGGGTGGCCTAGGCCATGCGGGGCTGTGGCCTTCAACCCCTGGAGAGGGCCAGGCTGTGCCGGGCAGCCTCCACAGACCTGGATGCAGTCACCACTATCCTCCCAGCGACCACCATCCCTTTCAGCCAGCACTTCCCCGGACCTGACCTGGCCACCATGAGTAGGCTCTCACCAGCCTCCATGAGCCTGTGCATAGTGGTTGGGGTCAAGGATGCCAGCGAGGGAGAAGAAGGCTGTGGCTATGGGGCCACCAACATATCTCTTAGCACCAGGTTCTGGAGCAGTAGGACAAGCAAGGTGGCCTTGAAATCTTCATCCAAGCAGGCCCTCGCACAGCAGCTCAAGACGACCTGTCTCCTCATCATTTTTCTGTATATCTGTGCCGTGTCTCTCTTCATGCAGAGCTTAAAATAAAGCGATTAACTGTGGGCCGGCCCCCGGTATGTTCCCTGCCTAGCTTTGTCAGGGGGAGATAGAATGGCGACAGATCTGTCCACTTAGGCCTTTACTGGGCTGGTGGGTGGTTCCCAGTATGCAAGACACATGCATACCAGGGGCTGGGCTGGGGGACCTAGTCTCAGCCCTGTCACTACTGTGTATCCTTGCGGAGGTTCCTTTACCCTTCTCAGCCTCAGTTCCCTTTCCTGCAAAATATAGATAATAGGACTCTGAGGAGAGGGGATCTATAAAAAGGTGTCGTTTATGAATTGTAGCATGCTCTTCCCCCTCTAATTACTCGAACAAATAGTGCACAAAACCTTCTTCCTTTTTTTTTTTTTTTTTTTGAGATGGAGTTTCACTTTTGTCACCCAGGCTGGAGTGCAATGGCGCAATCTCAGCTCACCACAACATCTGCCTCCTGGGTTCAAGCGATTCTCCTGCCTCAGCCTCCCAAGTAGCTGGAATTACAGGCATGCACCACCACACCCAGCTAATTTTTGTATTTTTAGTAGAGACGGGGTTTCTCCATGTTGGTCAGGCTGGTCTCCACCTCTCGACCTCAGGTGATCCGCCCACCTCGGCCTCCCAAAGTGCTGGGATTACAGGCGTGAGCCACCACACCCCGCCACCTCTTTTCTATTAAAGGACATAAAAGAAGTCCTGAATAAATGGAGAGACATCACCAGTTCATGGATGGCCTGACATGTCTTTAAAATGTCAGTTGTGGCCAGGCGCAGTGGCTCACACCTGTAATCCCAGGACTTTGGGAGGCCAAGGTAGGCGGATCACCTGAGGTCAGGAGTTTGAGACCAGCCTGGCCAACAAGGCAAAACCCCGTCTCTACTAAAAATATAAAAATTAGCCAGGTGTGGTGCCACACGCCTGTAATCCCAGCTACTCGGGAGGCTGAGGCAGGAGAATTGCTTGAGCCCGGGAGGTGGAGGTTGCAGTGAGCCGAGATTATGCCACTGCACTCCAGCCTGGCCAACAAGGTGAGACTCTGTCTCAAAAAAGTAAATAAATAGGCTAGGCATGGTGGCTCACGCCTGTAATCCCAGCACTTTGGGAGGCCAAGGCGGCAGATCACCTGAGGTCAGGAATTCGAGACCAGCCTGACCAACATGGTGAAACCCCATCTCTACTGAAAACACAAAAATTAGCCAGGCATGGTGGCACACGCCTGTAATCCCAGCTACTCAGGTGGCTGAGGCAGGAGAATTGCTTGAACCCGGAGGTTCAGTGAGCTGAGATCGCACCACTGCACTCCAGCCTGGGCGACAGAGTGAGACTCTGTGTCAAAAATAAATAAATAAATAAATAAATAAATAAATAAATAAATAAAATAAAAATAAAATGTCAGTTGTGGCCAGGTGCGGTGGCTCACGCCTGTAATCCTACCACTTTGGGAGCCTGAGGTGGGTGGATCACCTGAGGTCAGGAGTTCGAGATCAGCCTGGCCAACATGGTGAAACCCTGTCTTTATTAAAAATGCAAAAATTAGCTGGGTGTGGTGGTGGGCACCTGTAATCCCAGCTACTCGGGAGGCTAAGGCAGGGGAATCATTTGAACCCAGGAGGCAGAGGTTGCAGTGAACCGAGATTGTGCCACTGAACTCCAGCCTGGGCAACAAGAGTGAAACTCCATCTCAAAAATAAAATAATAAAATAAAATAAAATAGTCAGTCATCTCCATAGTAATCTTTAAAATCATTAGGATTTCAACCAGAATCCCAAGGGATTTGGGCAAGAGGTGGGGGGATGGGGTGACTCATACATTGATTCTAAAATGTATGTGGAAGGCCAGGCATAGTGGCTCATGCCTGTAATCTCAACACTTTAGGAGGCTGAGGTGGGAGGATCACTTGAGCCCAGAAGTTTGAGACCAGCCTGAGGAACATAGCAAGACCTCATCTCTATTTTTTAAAAATTAGCTGGTCATGGTGCTACATACCTGTAGTCTCAGCTACTCAGGAGGCTGAGGAGAGAGGATCACTTGAGCCCAGGAGTTCAAGGCTGCAGTGAGCCAAGATGGCACCACTGCACTCTAGCCTAAGGCAGAGCAAGACCCTGTCTCAAAAAAAAAAAAGATATGTCCACCTACAACCTGCGAATGGGGGTGGCTGAAATATGAGAATCGCTCAAACCTGGGAAGTAGAGGTTGCAGTGAGCTGAGATCGTGCCACTGCACTCCAGCCTAGGTGACAGAGCGAGACTGTCTTAAAACAAACAAACAAACAAACAAGAGTTCAGTGGAGGAAGGAACTGCAGATGGAGGAACATGCCGAGACCCAGCTCAATGTCCCTCTAGGCCCCTAGTACTGGTGGATTTTAATCAGTGGAATAAAGCGATTTAATCTGTGGTGTAAGAGCCCCCTAGCTGCCGGGTGGAGAACAGATTCAGGGTAGCTGGGATTCTCCATGCTGGCCAGCTTGGTCTCGAACTCCTGACCTCAAGTGATCCACCCGCCTCGGCCTCCCAAAGTGCTGGGATTACACGTGCCTGTAGTCCCAGCTACTTGGGAGGCTGAAGCAGGAGAATTGCTTGAACCCGGGAGACAGAGGTTGCAGCGAGCCAAGATTGCATCATTGCACTGCAGACTGGGGGACAGAGCCAGATTCCATCTCAAAAACAAAAGAAAAAAAAAAGAAAACCACATTCATCACCATCAGAGCTCGTGGGTATCCAGGTGTATTGTCAACGAGCAGTAATATTTTGAAAGAAAAACAGATGTGCTGTCATCCAGGCTTTGGTGTTCCGCTTACAGAGCACAGGCAGAGTAGACGTAGCATAATTCTTAAGGGCCTTCAGATTTTCAGAATTATCAATGAGCAGTTGGCTTCAACTTAAACTCACCAGCTATACCAACTCCTGACAAGAGAGTTAGCCTGTCATTTGAAACTTTGAAGCCAGGAATTGATTTCTCCTCTCTAGCTATGAAAGACTTCCTGGCATTTTCTTTTGATATAAAGCTGTTTCATCTACATTGAAACTCTACTGTTTAATGTAGCCACCTTCATCAACGATCTTAACTAGAACTGGATAACTTGCTGTGGCTTCTCCATGAGCACCTGCTGCTTCACCTTGCACTTTTATGTTATGGAGACAGTTTCTTTCCTTAAACTTCATGAACCAACTTCTGCTAGCTTCTGCTTTTCTTCTGCAGCTTCCTCATCTCTCTCAGCCTTCATAGAATTAAAGAGAGCTAGGGTCTAGGGCCTTGCGCTGGGTTAGTCTTTGTCTTTTTTTTTTTTTTGAGACAGAGTCTCGCTCTGTCACCCAGGCTGGAGTGCAATGACTCGCTACAACCTCTGCCTCCCGGGTTCAAGCAATTCTCCTGCCTCAGCCTCCCGAGTAGCTGGGATTACAGGCACCTACCACTACACCTGGCTAATTTTTTGTATTTTTAGTAGAGATGGGGTTTTGCCATGTTGGCCAGGCTGGTCTCAAACTCCTGACCTCAGGTGATCCTCCCGTCTCGGCCTCCCAAAGTGCTGGGATTAGAGGTGTGAGCCACCACGCCTGGCCTAGTCTTTGGTTTAAGAGAATGTTGTGGCTGGTTTGATCTTCTATCCAGACCCAACTTTCTCCATATCAGCAATAAGCCTGTTTCACTTTCTTATCATTCATGTACTCATTAGAGTGGCACTTTTAATTTCCTTTGAAAGCTTTTCCTTTGCATTCACAACTTGGCTAACTGCATAGTGGAAGAGGCCTAGTTTTCAGCGTATCTCAGTTTTTGACATGCCTTCCTCATTAAGCCTAATCATTTCCAGCTTTTGATTTAAAGCAAGAGACATGTGACACTTCCTTTCACTTGAACACTGAGAGGCCATTGTAGGGTTATTAACTGGCCTAAATCCAGCCTGTCTCGGCTGTTGGCATGCCTTCCTCACTAAGCTTAATCATTGCTAGTTTTTGATTGAAACTGAGAGACAGGACTCTTCCTTTCACTTGAACACTTAGAGGCCATTGAGCAGTTATCAGCTGGCCTAATTTCAGTACTGTTGTATCTCAAAAAATAGGGCTGCCCTAGAGAGGGAAAGAGACAGAGAAATGGTGAGTCAATAGAAGAGTCAGAACACACACATTTATCAATTAAATTCACCATCTCGGGCCGGGGGCAGTGGCTCACGCCTGTAATCCCAGGACTTTGGGAGGCCGAGGTGGGGGGATCACGAGGTGAGGAGATCGAGACCATCCTGGCTAACACGGTGAAACCCCGTCTCTACTAAAAATACAAAAAAATTAGCCGGGCGTGGTGGTGGGCACCTGTAGTCCCAGCTACTCAGGAGGCTGAGGCAGGAGAATGGCATGAACCCGGGGGGCAGAGCTTGCAGTGAGCCGAGATCGTGCCACTGCACTCCAGCCTGGGTGACAGAGTGAGACTCTGTCTCAAAAAAAAAAAAAAAAAGATGGCCTGAGACTCCTTCCACGTATTTACCTTTTAGAATTCTGATGGGCCATGTTTCTTTTTCTTCCTTTTTTTTTTTTTGAGACAGAGTCTTGTTCCATCTCCCAAGTTGTAGTACAGTGGCATGATCTCAGCTCACTGAAACCTCTGCCTCTCCCCAGTTCAAGAGATTCTCCAGCCTCAGCCTCCTGAATAGCTGGGATTACAGGCGCACGCCACCACACCCAGCTAATTTTTGTAATTTTTTAGTAGAGAAGGGGTTTCGCCATGTTGGCCAGGCTGGTCTTGAACTCCTGACCTCAGGTGATCTGCCTTCCTCGACCTCCCAAAGTGATGAGATTACAGGCGTGAGCCGCTGCACCCAGCCCCATGTTTCTAATCCACCCAGAACCTCCTGCTATGTTGTTGCTATCATCTGAATGTTTGTGTTCCCCAAAATTCATATATTGAAACCTAATCACCAGTGTGATGGTGTTGTGGTAAACTGAGGAACGGAGAGACTGATATGAGAGTACAGGAGGATTTTTTTTTTTTTTTTTTGAGATGGAGTCTCGCTCTGTCACTAGGCTGGAGTGCAGTGGCGCGATCTTGGCTCACTGCAACCTCTGCCTCCCGGGTTCAAGCAATTCTCCTGCCTCAGCCTCCCGAGTAGCTGGGACTACAGGCGAGCGCCACCACACCCGGCTAATTTTTTGTATTTTTAGTAGAGACGGGGTTTCACCGTGTTAGCCAGGATGGTCTTGATCTGAGTACAGGAGGATTGTTTATTTCAGGTACGCACCAGCTCAGTGGACTCACATCCAAAAAGCTGAGCCTAGAACAAAGACAGAGCGGGGTTTTTATAAGCTGGCTTACAAAAGTAAAACAAAAGCAGCTAATCATATGATAGGTCACATAATCTATAGCATAGCATAATTTATGGTCTTACATAGCCGGTGGCTTTGTAGCTGCATTGAAAGAAAAACAAGAACTGGCTAAATACAGACATTTGTAAAACATAATCATGCTTAAGAAACCAGGGAAAGGAGTAACAGTAAAATAATTTGTCTTTCTCTCTTTTTTTTCCTTCAACTTTGCTCTGGAGGGGAGGTGTCTGGAGCCCACTCCTTTGGCCTTGACTTCTCAAACAGTGTTATCATATAACTGTCCTTGAAGTGAGCTTGCTGTACTTTCCTTTGCTAGACAGAGGAAAACTTGTTATTTTCCTTTTAACCCTTGCCTTGCCTGTTACTTTTCTTAGAGTGAATGAATGCATATTTATTTTTAAATTTCTGCCTCAGTGGTATTGTTATGGGAAAGGGGTCCAGATCCAGGCCCCAAGAGAGGGTTCTTGGATCTTGCGCAAGAAAGAATTCAGGGTGAGTCCATAGAGTAAGGTGAAAGCAAGTTTATTAAGAAAGTAGAGGAATGGGCCGGGTGCAGAGGCTGACGCCTGTAATCCCAGCACTTTGGGAGGCCGAGGTGGGCGGATCACGAGGTCAGGAGATCGAGACCATCCCGGCTAACACAGTGAAACCCCATCTCTACTAAAAATATGAAAAATTAGCCAGGAGTGGTGGCGGGCGCCTGTAGTCCCAGCTACTCAGGAGGCTGAGGCAGGAGAATGGCCAGAACCCGGGAGGCAGAGCTTGCAGTGAGCCGAGATCACACCACTGCACTCCAGCCTGGGCGACCAAGCGAGACTCCTTCTCAAAAAAAAAAAAAGAAAGAAAGAAAGTAGAGGAATAACAGAATAGCTACACCATAGACAGAGTAGGGCTGCTGATTGCCCATTTTTATGGTTATTTCTTAATTATATGCTAAACAAGGGGTAGATTATTCATGCCTCCCCTTTTTAAATTTTTTTTTATTTTTTACTTTTTATTTATTTATTTAAGATGGAGTTTTGCTCTTTCACCCAGGCTGGAGTGAAATGGCACAATCTCGGCTCACTGCAACCTCCACCCTCCGGGTTCAAGCGATTCTCCTGCCTCAGCCTCCCGAGTAGCTGGCATCATAGGCACCGGCCGCCATTCCTGGCTAATTTTTGTATTTTTATTTATTTGTTCTTTTTGAGACAGAGTTTCGCTCTTGTTCCCCAGGCTGGAGTGCAGTGGTGCAATCTCAGCTCACCGCAACCTCCGCCTCCGGGGTTCACGCCATTCTCCTGCCTCAGCCTCCCGAGTAGCTGGGACTACAGGTGCACGCCACCACGCCTGGCTAATTTTTTGTGTTTTTAGTAGAGACGGGGTTTCACTGTGTTAGCCAGGATGTTCTTGATATCCTGACCTCGTGATCCGCCTGCGTCAGCCTCCCAAAGTGCTGGGATTACAAGCATGAGCCACCGCGCCTGGTCAAATTTATTTATTTATTTATTTATTTATTTTTGTGTTGTTTTTTGAGATAGAGTCTCACCCTGGAGTGCAGTGGCGTGAGGTCAGCTCACTGCAACTTCTGCCTCCCAGGTTCAAGCAATTCTCCTGCCTCAGCCTCCCACGTAGCTGGGATTACAGGTGCACACCACCATGCCAGGCTAATTTTTGTATTTTTAGTAGAGACAGACTTTCACCGTGTTGGCCAGGCTGGTCTTGAACTCCTGACCTCAGCTGATCTACCCACCTCTGCCTCCCAAAGTGCTGGGATTATAGGCATGAGCCACTGGGCCCAGCGAACAAATTTAACATAACTGAAAATACATAAATAATGTTTTCCTACCAAATGTTAAAGCACCAGTTCTCAGAGTGTGGGTTGCAGACTCCTAGGGTTCCTGAGATACTTTCAAGCGAACTGCAAAGTCAAAATTATCTTCACAATAATACCAAGATATTATTTGTCTTTTTCCCTGTGTTGACATTTAAACTAATGATGCAAAATAATTGTAGATAAAATTTCTGGCTCCATAGTATGACAAGGCAGTGGCACAAACTACGTATGTGGTCATTATATGCTTCACCTCCCTGCTCTAAAAGTAAAACAAACAAACAAACAAAAAACAGTTTTACTTAAGAATGTCCTTGAGGCCAGGCGCAGTGGGTCACACCTGTAATCTGTAATCCCAATCCATTGGGAGGCCAAGGCAGAAGGCTCACTTAAGGGCAGGATAGCAGTCTGGTCAACATAGTGAGACTCTGCCTCTACAAAAATATTAAGAAATAAAAATTTAAAAATTAACCAGGCACAGTGGCACGTGCCTGTGGTCCCAGCTACTCAGGTGGCTGAGGCGAGAGGATCGATTGAGCCCAGGAGGTTGAGGCTGCAGTGAGCTGTGATAACACCATTGCACTCCAGCCTGGGTGACAGAACGAGACCTGACTCTAAGAACAAAAAGAAAAAAAAAGTTACAATGGAGAAAATTTTAAAACCACAGTTTGGCTATCAGTTGTTCTTTCAAATAAAAATGATGTTACATTTGGCTGAGCGCAGTGGCTCACACCTATAATCCCAGATACTGTGCCTGTGGTCCCAGATACTTGGGAGCCGAGGCAGGAGGATCACTTGAGCCCAGGGAGGTCGTGGCTACAGTGAGCTGTGATTGTGCCACTGCACTCCAGCCTGGGCAACAGAGCGAGACTCTGTCTCAAAAAAAAAAAAAAAAGCCTGGCATGGTGGCATGTACCTGTAATCCCAGCTACCAAGGAGGCTGAGGCAGGAGAATCACTTGAACCCGGGAGGTGGAGGTTGCAGTGAGCCGAGATTGTGCCACTGCACTCTAGTCTGGGAGACAGAGTAAGATCCATCTCAAAAAAAAAGACCCGTTCCCAAGGTTGATATTTAAGTAATAATTTTTATTGTTATATCAAGGACATCACCTCCATTTAATTTTTAATTTTTCTTTTTTATTTTTTTAACACACAGGTCCTTGCTTTGTCACCCAGGCTGGAGTGCAGTGGTGCAAACACAGCTGACAGCAACCTCAAACCCTGGGCTCAAGCAATCCTTCCACCTCAGCTTCCCAAGAAGCTGGGACTACAGGCATGTGACACCATGCCCAGCTAATTTTTTTTTTTTTTACTTTTAAAAATTTTTTGTAGAAATGGGAGTCTCACTATATTGCTTAGGCTGGTCTCAAATTCTTGGGCTTAAGCAATCCTCCTGCCTCGGCCTCCCAAAGTTGTGGGATTATAGGTGTGACCACTGCAGCCAGCCTTAATTTCTAATATGGTAAGTATTAATAGCATTTTGGGGATGCTCAATAATTTTCTTCTTCTTTTTTTTTTTTTTTTGAGATGGGGTCTAGCACTGTCACCTAGACTGGAGTGCAATGGCGCGATTTCAGTTCACTGCAACCTCTGCCTCCTGGGTTCAAGAGATTCTCGTGCCTCAGCCTCCTGAGTAGCTGGGACTACAGGCACCCGCCACCACATCCGGCTAATTTTTTGTATTTTTAGTAGAGATAGGGTTTCGCTATGTTGGCCAGGCTGGTCTCAAACTCCTGACCTCGTGATCCGACTGCCTCAGCCTCCCAAAGTGCTGGGATTACAGGTGTGAGCCACCACACTCGGCAATAATTTTTTAAGGTATAAAAATGTCCAGAGACCAAAAAGGTCAAGAACCACTGCTTTAAATACATAAATGATATCAAACTATTTATATTATTTCAAAATTACTTTTAAAAAAATTCAACACAGAGCATAAGCTCCATGAAGCAGAGGTTTTTCTTTTTGTTTTATTCATTATGGAAACTAAGTCCCTAGAACAATGCCTGGAACATAGTGGGTGTTCAATAAATACTGATTGAATGAATAAAGAATTATATTTTGGGTTTTACCCATTCTGATACGTGGACCTCAAACTCATTCTGCTGTTCAGTATTCTATTATTCCTGAAGATGAAAATATCACAATAACAATTCTATTAATGAACATTTGTTCATAATTTTTCATGGACATTTTTATACACAGGTAAGAGTTTCTCCAGGGTATATACCTAAGAATGAAACTGTAGTAAATAAATCTGGCCAGGCACGGTGGCTCATGCCTGTAATCCCAGCACTTTGGGAGGCCGAGGCAAGTGGATCACAAGGTCAGGGGATCAAGACCATCCTGGCCAACATGGTGAAACCCTGTCTCTACTAAAAATACAAAAATTAGCCAGGTGTGGGGGCGTGTGCCTGTAGTCCCAGCTACTCAGGAGGCTGAGGCAGGAGAATCGTTTGAACCCAGGAGGTGGAGGTTGCAGTGAGCCAAGATCGCACCACTGCACTCCAGCCTGGGTGACAGAGCAAGACTCCATCTCACAAACCAAAAAGAAAAAAAAAAACACTAGTCTTCATGTTGTTCTGTTCCACCAGCAGAGTTTGAAAGTTTCTCTTGCTCTACAGCCTCAGAATCTAGCATTTTCACCCATATGGTGGGTATAAAATGGTATCTCATGATGGTTTTATTTTTTATTTGCCTGGCTACTAATAAGATTGAACACTTTGTCATGTGTTTACTGGCCATTCTTAGGCCCTCAGTTCTGAAATGCCTGTTCATTGGCCAGGCACGGTGGCTCACGCCTGTAATCCCAGCACTTCGGGAGGCCAAGGCAGGCAGATTACTTGACGACCGGAGTTTGAGACCAGCCTGACCAATATGGTGAAACCCTGTCTCTACTAAAAAAAAAAAAAAAAAAAAAATACAAAAATTAGCCGGATGTGGTGGCGGGTGCTTGTAGTCCCTGCTAGTCAGGAGGCTGAGACAGGAGAATTGCCTGAACCCGGAGGCAGAGGTTGCAGTGAGCCGAGATCGTGCCACTGCACTCCAGCCTGGGTGACAGAGAGAGAGCCTGTCTTAAAAACAGCAACAACGAAAAGATTTGCACTCAATTTTATGTCTTCTCTATTCTCTATCACGTGACCCTTCCTTATCCCCAAATCATAAAAATATTCTATTATTCCCCCTCCTTCTCTCTCTTCTTTCCTTTCTCTCTTTCTTTGTTCACAGTAACGTATCTCAAGGCATTACATCATTCTGATTACCCAGCTCATTCTTCAGCTCTACCCATCTTACCGTTTTCTCCTCCTACTGCATTCTTTATTTCAATGTTTATATTTTCCATTCTTAGTATTTCTACTTGATTCTCTTTTATTATTTCATGTTCATTTATTTATTTATTTATTTATTTATTTATTTATAGACAGAGTCTTGCTCTGTTGCCCAGGCTGGAGTGCAATGGAGTGGTCTCAGCTCACTGCAACCTCCATCTCCTGGGTTCAAGCAATTCTCCTGCCTGAGTAGCTGGGACTCCTCCTGAGTAGCTGGGACTGCAGGTGCCCGCCACCATGCCCAGCTAATTTTTTTTATTTTCTTTTTTTGTTTTTTTGAGACAAAGTCTCACTCTGTTGCCCAGGCTGGAGTGCAGTGGCACGAACTCGGCTCACTGCAACCTCCGCCTCCCGGGTTCAAGTGATTCTCCTGCCTCAGCCTCCCAAGTAGCTGGGATTACGGGTGCGTGCCACCACACCCGGCTACTTTTTTGTATTTTTAGTAGTGACGGGGTTTCACCATGTTGGCCAAGCTGGTCTTGAACTCCTGACCTCAGGTAATCTGCCTGCCTTGGCCTCCCAGAGTGCTGGGATTATGGGCATGAGCCACTGCGCCTGGCCTTCTCTATTTGTTTAAAAAGGAATGTTTTTAATGTTTCCGTTGAGCATACTCATTCTGCAGGAATTTTGTAGATAATCTTTATTAAGCTGAGGATTTTTTTTAGCATAGTAAGAGCTTTGATATTGAGTGTACTGATTTTACTACGTACTTTTACTGCATTTACTAAGATCATCATATAGTTTTTCCCTTCTAATCTATTCATATGATAAATTATATTTATAGATTTCCTAATAATGAACCCAACTGCATTTCTAGGATAAACCCAATTTGTTTATAATGTATTATATTTTTATACATTCCAGGATTAAGTTTGTTAATATTTCCTCAGCATGGTTTGCACTGACATTCATGAGTGAGATTGGTCTGAACTTTTTCTTAAACTAGGATAAAAGTAGGAAAATATTCCCTCCTTTTTTTTGAAACAGGGGTCTCACTTTGTTGTTTAGGCTGGTTTCAAACTCCTGGGCTCAACTGATCCTCCCGCCTCGGCCTCCCAAAGTGCTGGGATTACAGGCATCCACCATGCCATGCCGAGGCTATTAAAATTTCAAGGTACTAGGGAGCAACAGTTGTTAGGGAAGCTGTGCCTTCAGGGCTCACTCATTTCTCTGGGTTCATGCCTTCCTTCCTTTTTGTGCTTTTTGTTGTCCATTCATTTTTCTCCCCTAGCATTTAAAGTTTTCAGCTATCTAGACTTCCATATGGCTAGTCTTGTTCTTTTTTTTTTTTCCTTCATAAAGATTCTTTCTTTGAGGATTCCAAACATTTATTTTAGTCTTTTATCTTTCTATAAATTCATCTCATCTGCAGTTACTTCATTTTCTTTTTCTTTTTTCTTTTCTTTTTTTTTTTTTTTTTGAGGCGGAGTTTTACTCTGTCACCCAGGTTGGAGTCCAGTGGCGCAGTCTTGGCTCACTGCAACCTCAGCCTCCTGGGTTCAAGCGATTCTCCTGCCTCAGGCTTCTGAGTTGCTGGGACTACAGGTGCCTGCCACCACGCCCGGCTAATTTTTGTATTTTTAGTAGAGATGGGGTTTCATCATGTTGGCCAGGCTGGTCTCAAACTCCTGACCCCAGGTGATCCGCCCACCTCAGCCTCCCAAAGTGCTGGGATTACAGGCGTTAGCCACCACACCAGGCCTGCAGTTACTTCATTTTCTGCTTGTTGTGATTGGTGAATTTGCTGCCTCTCAATTTCAACAAGGCTTCTGAAGTTTGGGTTGCAGCCTCATTTGCAATGGGAGGGTTTTGTTTTTCTTTATCCTTTCCCTTCCCTGTGTGCTCACCCTCCCTCTCCAGCAGAGCTACTCCTGCTTCCACCAGCCTTCCAGAAACCCATCTCACAATGATGTCTAGGGCCCCTTCCCATGGACACATTGGGGACACTGCAGCCTCAGTGGCAGATTCAGAGGGAGGTTTGTTTCAGCACCCTGTGGGCCGCCGAAATCTGTCCTTCCCTCCCTGAACCAAGCACTTTGTCTAAGTCAGAGTCCCAGGCAGAGATCCCCTGCAGTTTTATTTTTTGCTTCCATTCCCAATAGTGGAGCGCCACCCCTGTTGCTGGCTTCAGGCAGGAGGCTGACTTGGCTTCTGTCTCTTGTGGAGCATTTTAATCTCATTACCCTAAAAAAGGAAGATTTGGTGGCTGTGTGGACCCCGTGCCCAAGTGCCCATGGCTCCATGGCTTCAGCTTTCCGCTCCACAGAGTTGCTCATTTTTGAGCATGGCTTGGTCTGTTTAGTTTTGCCTTATGTTTTATCTGCAATTGCTTTGGGTAAGATGCAGACATTTCTGTTGAGTTATTAGGCTTGGTATGTATTCCATTGCAAATGACAAATTACTTTAACACTTAGTGGCTCAAAACAACAGTCATTATATATACATACATATATATATATATATATACACATACATACATACACACACACACACACACACACACACACACACACACACATATATATATATATTTTTTTTTTTTAAGGCAGAGTCTCACTCTGTCTTAAGGCTGGAGTGCAGTGTCGTGATCTCGGCTCACTGCAACCTCCGCCTCCCAGGTTCTAGCAATTCTCCTGTCTCAGCCTCCTGAGTAGCTGGGACTACAGGTCCCACCACCACGCCCAGCTAATTTTTTGTATTTTTAGTAGAGACAGGGTTTCACCATATTGGCCAGGCTGGTCTCAAACTCCTGACCTCAAATGATCCACTGGCTTCAGCCTCCCAAAGTGCTGGGATTACAGGCATAAGCCACCGTGCCTGGCCTGTATATTATATGATATGATATTCTATTCTATTATAGTCATGATGGGCTTCATTTGGGGAAGGCTCAGCTGGGTGATTCTTATTTTCAAAGTGGCATCAACTGAGGTCACTTTTTGGTATTCAGTTGGTTACACGAGTTAGTCCGGGGAGCTCAAGATGCTGGTGGTGATGGCTAGAAGGCTGGAATCCACTGGGCCTCCTGGCTAGAGTATTTACATGAGGTCTTGGTGGTCTCAAGATTTCTTTCATGACAGCTCAGGACTGAGAGTGTTCCAAGAGATGAAAATGGAAAGCAAATATTTTCTTAAAGCCTGGGCCAGGAAAATGGCCCAATGTTGCTCTGTTAATCACAAGCCTCCCCATATGCAAAGAGAGGAGTTTCAAGGAATTTGTGGCCATATTTCACCTGCTACCCTTGCTTATTATTATCCCCCCACCCGCGCCCAGGACTTTGAGATCCTTTAGGGCAGAGATCATGTTTAATGTCACTGTTGGATCCCAAGGGTCTTCAACGACCTGGCTCACAGTGATGTTACATAGGCTTGCCGCCAACTAGATCCCGTGTGTACTCCCTTCATCCCTTCTTTGAAAAAAGAATAGGATTGCTGGGTCAAATGGCACATTCTTCAGTCAATTGAAACACACTACCAAGCAGCTCTCCAACTAGGTACCTCTGGTCAATGTTTATTATTATTATTTTTGTTTGTTTGTTTGTTTCTTTGTTTGAGAGGGAGTCTCGCTCTGTCGCCCAGGCTGGAGTGCAGTAGTACAATCTCGGCTCACTGCAACCTCCGCCTCCCAGGTTCAAGTGATTCTCTTGCCTCAGCCTCCCAAGTAGCTGGGACTACAGGTGCGCACCACCACACCCAGCTAATTTTTGTATTTTTAATAGAGATGGGGTTTCACCATATTGGCTAGGCTGGTCTTGAACTCCTGACCTCAGGTGATCTGCCCACGTCGGCTTCCCAAAGTGTTGGGATTACAGGCATGAGCCATCATGCCCAGCCCCACTGGTCAATTTTTAAGATTATCTTTATGCTGAGTGTGGTGGCTTACTCCTCTAATCCCAGCACTTTGGGAGGCTGAAGAGGGCGAATTCCTTGAGCTCAGGAATTCAAGACCAGCCTAGGCAACATGGCAAGACCCCAACTCTACAAAAAATAAAAAGAAAAAAATTAGCTGGGTGTAGTGGCACACACCTGTAGTCCCAGCTACTTGGGAGACAGAGGTGGGAGGATCCCTAGAGCCCAGAAGGTTGGGGCTCCATTGAGCCGTGATCGCACCACTGCACTCCAGTCTGGGCGACATCGAGATCTGGTCTCAAAAAAAAGAAAAGAAAAAGATTATAATCATGCTGCGGCTCATGCACTGAAATACGGTGAATGCATCTCCCTTCTGTTCACGCAACTCCAACTTCACATACAGAAAACAGAACTAGCACCTTGGCTGCCAAACCAGCCTCAAGAGGGCAGGAGAGAGGGAGCAAACGCCCATTGCATTTCAGCTGGGGCTAGGAATTCGAACTACCGGGCATGGTGCAGGCAGCTCTGTGTTTGCAAAAGCTTGTCCTGCAAAGACCAGCCTGACTTTCTCGTTTGGCCTCAACACTAACACAGAACACATAAATCCAGATGGTAGAGGAGGATGTTTCTACAATTTGCAATGACGTAAAGTATATTTATATACTTCGCAATGGTATAAAGTAGAGGTTCATGGGTGAGCCTGAGAACCTACCCACCATTCATAGCTTTGTGTTTCTAAGAAAATGCCTACATACCTTGTTATACTGTTAAATTAAAAAATATTCAACGATATGGGTTAAAGCATGATGAGAAAGACTGCGCAAGACCATCGTTATAGACACGGGAACCACTGCAATGAAGTCTTGCAATGGGAGCGAGAGATTGGGCTTAACTCCAAACATGGCCAAGTGTGGGGGCCAATGGATGGAAAATTACTAAGAGGAAGCATCCGTGGTAAGGCGGATTCTGGCTAAACTGACCTAACGGGATTCTTGCTGAAGACAAGCCCCGGTAATCAGACATCACCAGGAGTGGAGGATGAGAAACCTGATCAGATATAGAGGTGATCCCATGTGGGGGATGAGGGGTTCTTGCTAAACTGACTTAGGAGGGTTCTTTGCTAAAACTGGATTTTACAAGGAAGTGCATAGGGGGGCTTAATAGAAGATCCAGAAGCCTGACTAAAGTTTGGCAATGCAAAGAATCTTTGTCAGTACATACCCACCTTGAAAACCAATCTTTGTCAGTACATACCCACCTTGAAAACCAACTATGATGGTGCAGCTAATAACATTTACTGATCCCATTCTTTGTATCAGGCACCATTCTAAGCATCTCTTACGCATTCTCTCAGTTAATCTCGACAATAATCCTCCAAGGTAGGTACTATGCTTATTTCTGTTTTCCAGATGAGGGAATGGGCTCAAAAAAGTGAAGCCATTTGTCCAAGGTTACACAGTGAGTCAGGATAAGGGAAGCCAAGGCTTCTATCCGTCCCCCCAAAATATTTGAATCTGAAATTCAGGATGCTAAACACCATGCTTTCTGAGATTTAATGTATTAGTATGATCAAATCTTAGGGGCAGAGGGTTAGGGACACTCCAGTTATTCAGCCATATACCCCTATGACTAAGACAAAGCCTAATGTAGGGTGGACTTCAAATGAAGGTTTATTGAATTAATAAATGAAGGAGGCTGGGCGTGGTGGCTAACACCTGTAATCCCAGCACATTGGGAAGCCGAGGCAGGTGGATCATGAGGTCAGGAGCTCGAGACCAGTCTGGCCAAAATAGTGAAACCCTGTCTCTACTAAAAATGCAAAAAATTAGCCAGGTGTGGTGGTGTGCGCCTGTAATCCCAACTACTCAGGAGGCTGAGGCAGGAGAATCGTGTGAACCTGCGAGGCAGAGGTTGCGGTGAGCTGAGATTGTGCCATTGCACTCCAGCCCGGGCAACAGTGTGAGACGCCATCTCAAAAAATTAATAAATAAATAAATGGAGGAATATTGTCACTGAAAGACCAGCCTGAGCAACATAGCGAGACTTCATCTCTACAAAGAAAAAAAAAATTAAGTAAGCTCAGTGGCATGAGGGCACAAGTCTGTAGTCCCAGCTACTGGGGAAGCTGAGGCAGGAAGATGGCTTGAGCCCAGGAGTTCAAGGCTTCAGTGAGCTATGATTGCGTCACTGCACTCCAGCCTGGACAACAGAGCAAGACCCTGTCTCCAAAAAAAAAAGGTGTAACTTAATGCAGTGAAAATCACCTCTTGTATGGATAGTTCTGCAAGGTTTTTTTCTTTGTTTGTTTGTTTGTTTGGAGACAGAATCTCACTCAGTCACCCAGGCTGGAGTGCAGTGGCGCAATTTCGGCTCACTACAACCTCTGCCTCCCGGTCAGTTCAGGCGATTCTTGTGCCTCAGCCTCCTGAGTAGCTGGAATTATAGGCACACACTACCATGCCTGGCTAATTTTTGTATTTTTGGTAGAGATAGGGTTTCACCATGTTGGTGAGGCTAGTCTCCAACTCCTGGCCTCAAGTGATTTACCTGCCTTGGCCTCCCAAAGTGCTGGGATTACAGGCGTGAGCCACTGCACCTGGCCTGTTCTGCAAGTTTTGATAAACAATTTTGTTTTTGAGACGGAGTCTTGCTCTGTTGCCAGGCTGGAGTGCAGTGGCGTGATCTCAGCTCACTGCAACCTCTGCCTCCTGGGTTCAAGTGATTCCCCTGTCTCAGCCTCCCGAGTAGCTGGGACTACAGGCGTATGCCACCACGCCCAGCTAATTTTTTTTTTTTTTTTTTTTGAGACGGAGTCTCACTCTTTCACCTGGGCTGGAATGCAGTGGCTCGATCTTGGCTGACTGCAACCTCCGCCTCCCAGGTTCAAGCAATTCTCCTGCCTCAGCCTCCCGAGTAGCTGGGATTACAGGCCAGGCTGGTCTTGAACTCCTGACCTCGTGATTCGCCTGCCTCAGCCTCCCAAAGTGCTGGGATTACAGGCTTAAGTCACCATGCCCGGCCACTAATTTTTTGTATTTTAGTAGAGACGGGGTTTCACCATGTTGGCCAGGATGGTCTCAATCTCCTGACCTTGTGATCCGCTCACCTTGGCCTCCCAAAGTGCTGGGATTACAGTCATGAGCCACAGCGCCCAGCTGACAAACATTTTTTATTTTATTAATAAAACATGTTTTATTAATAAAATAAATTAACAATTGTATTAATTATGTAACCATTCCCATAAACAAGATATGGAATGATTCTATCATGCCTCCAGATTTCCCCGTGCCTCTTAGTAGTAACTCTCTGCCCACCAATCCCCTGGCAACCACTGATCTTTTTTTTGTCCTTAACAGTTTTGCCTTTGCAAAAATGTCACATAAAGGGAATCCTGCAGTCTCTAGACATTTGAGTCTGGCATCTTTCACTTTGCATAATACACTTGAGGGTCACCCATATTGTTGAGTGTATCCACTGTTCATTGCTTTTTATTCCTGAGTAGTGTTTATTCCTGAGTAGTGCACAGTTTATACCCTCCCAACTTGAGGAGCATTTAGGTTGTTTCCACGTTTGGGTTATTACGAATAAAACTGCTCCAAATATTTCTGTTCAGGGTTGGGCTCGGTGGCTCATGCCTGTAATCCCAACACTTTGGGAGGCCGAGGCAGGCGGATCACCTGAGGTCAGGAGTTCAAGACCAGCCTGGCCAACATGGTGAAACCCCGTCTCTACTAAAAATACAAAAATTAGCCCGGCATGGCAGCGGGCACCTGTAATCCCAGTTACTCATGAGACTGAGGCAGGAGAATCACTTGAACCCAGGAGGCAGAGGTTGCAGTGAGCCAAGATCGCACCACTGCACTCCAGCCTGGGTGACATAGCAAGACTCCGTCTCAAAAATAAATAAATAAAGAAAGAAAAGAAATAAAACTTCTGTACAGGTTTTTCTGTGAGTAAACTTTTCACTTTTTTTTTTTTTTTTTGACACTGTCGCCCAGGCTGGAGTGCAGTGGTGCCATCTCGGCTCACCGCAACCTCCACCTTCTGGGTTCAAGTGATTATTCTCCTGCCTCAGCCTCCCGAGTAGCTGGGATTACAGGCACCCACCACCACGCCCGGCTAATTTTTTTTGTATTTTTAGTAGAGACTGGGTTTCTCCATGTTGGCCAGTCTGTTCTTGAACTCCTGACCTCAAGCAATCCACCGCCTCAGCCTCCCAAAGTGCTGGGATTACAGACGTAAACCACCGTGCCCAGCCTAGCCATATTAATAGATGTGTAGAAGTATCTCATTCTAATTTTAATTTGTACTTCTCTCTCTCTCTTTTTTTTTTCTTTTAACAGTCTCACTTGGTTGCCCAGGCTGAAGTGCATTGGTGCAATCCTGGCTCACTGCAGCCTTGAATTCCTGGGCTCAAGCAATCCTCCAGCCTCAGCTTCCCAAGCAGCTGGGGTCACAGGTACACACCACATCACACCCAGCTTGTATTTCTGACTAATGATGTTGGGCATCTTTTCTTTTCTTTCTTTCTTTCTTTTTTTTTTTTTTTTTTTTTTTTTGAGACAGAGTCTCGTTCTGTCGCCCAGGCTGGAGTGCAGTGGCGCGATCTCGGCTCACTGCAAGCTCCGCCTCCCGGGTTCACGCCATTCTCCTGCTTCAGCCTCCCGAGTAGCTGGGACTACAGCCACTACACCCGGCTAATTTTTTTTTTTTTTTTTTTGTATTTTTACTAGAGATGAGGTTTCACCGTGTTAGCCAGGATGGTCTCAATCTCCTGACCTCATGATCTGCCCGTCTCGGCCTCCCAAAGTGCTGGGATTATAGGCGTGAGCCACCGCGGATGCTGGGCATCTTTTTATGTGCTGAGTTGCCGTGTGTATATCTTCTTTGGTGAGGTGTATAACTATTCAAATCTTTTGCCCATTTTTTAAAAAGTGGGTCCTCTTATTATTATTGAGTTCGAACGTTCTTTATTTGGGATGCAAGTTCTTTAGATCTATGCTTTGCAAATATTTTCTCCCAGACTATCGTTTGTCTTTTCATACATTCTTTTAACAATGTCTTTTAAAGAACAGAAGTTCTTAATTTTGATAAAGTCCAGTTTATCAATTGTTTCTTTTATGAATCATGTTCTTCATGATTTTTTTTTTTTTTTTTTTTTTTTGAGACGGAGTCTCGCTCTGTTGCCAGGCTGGAGTGCTGTGGCGCGATCTCGGCTCACTGCAACCTCCACCTCCTGGGTTCAAGTGATTCTCCTGCCTCAGCCTCCCAAGTAGCTGGGACTACAGGAGCTCGCCACCACGCCCGGCTAATTTTTGTATTTTTAGTAGAGACCGGGTTCACCATGTTGGCCAGGATGGTCTCAATCACTTGACCTTGTGATCCATCCACCTTGGCCTCCCAAGGTGCTGGGATTACAGGCGTGAACCACTGCGCCCGGCCTTCTCTTGTGCTTTCTTCTAAAAGTTTTATATAGTCATAGTAGACACCTTATAAGTGTGCTGGATTAAATGTGAAAATGTATGTAAAGCCCTTAGCACAAGGCCTGGTAGAGACTAAACAATCAGCTGAGCCTAAGATGGACATTGACTATGTAATTTTTATAAGGAGCACCCTCAGGCCCAGCACACATTTCCTCCACACAGATGTTGTGTCCTGTCATCACAGAATGGCAGGATACCAGAGAAGCAAAAGCCTCCACCCATATCCTCATCCAACCTGCTCCTGGAACCAGTGAAGGTGACTGCAGACATAGAGAGGCCATAGAGCTACAGGGCAGCAGGAGAGCCAGCCCTGGAAGGTGGCCCTTCCCCTGCAGGGAGCACTCCTCCATCTAGCCTCCGTTTCCATGAAACCTGGAGGTCTAGCCCAAGCTGTGATGGGGTGATGGGGACTAGGCTCTGTTTACTGAGCACCTACTGTATGCTAGGCCCTTGGGTAAGGCATTGAATAAGTTAGACAACACCTGGGCCTCGGGAGCTCACAGACTAGCAGCAGAAGAGGCCATGAACAAATGATTGCGTAATTAATTGCTAGATTCAGGAAAGGGGCAACGTTCTGGGGTAGGAGGGGATGGGGAAGAGGAAGTCTCAGCCGCCGCCTCTGTGCCAGGCCCCTCCAGGCTGGGGGTGGGAGGGTGCGCGGGCACAGGGACACACATGACGTCATCGTAAGAGGCAGGGGAAGGGTGGTCCTGGGAGGTGGGGGCTGCTCTGGAGGGCTGTAAGAGAGGGTCATTCACTCGTGGTTCATTCATTCGAGAAATATTCATGCGGCGCCTACTGCGTACCAAGCACCCTCTAAGAAGGACGAACACAGCTCCTGCCCTCTCATTATATTTGGGGCCGACAAAGTGGCAGGAAACAGCCAAACAAATCAAGCGTGAAGATGGTTTCAGCAGAGCCGACGGCTCAGAGGGGCTGCGACCGGGGCAGGGGACCGGGGATGCGGGGCAGGGACACGGCCCACACTTGCTGTGCACGCACCGCCCTCCCCCAAACACTTTGCAAAGAGGTCACCGCACTGGCTGCGAGCGCGCCCTGAGCCCCGGGCCGCAGCACGCGCGCCCCCGCGCCCGAGGTCGCGCGCTGCCCAGCCCCCCGCCCGCGCCCCGCGAGCTGCGCCCGCCGCGCACGACGCCCCCTCGCGGGAGCCCTGGGCCGCCGGCCGCGCGCGCAGGGGAGGGGGCGGGGGCGCCGCGCACGCGCACGGGCCGGCGGCGCGCGCCGAGCGGGGGGCACCGCGCGGGTGCAGCCACGATGGAAGGGGGTGCGTACGGAGCGGGCAAAGCCGGGGGCGCCTTCGACCCCTACACCCTGGTCCGGCAGCCGCACACCATCCTGCGCGTCGTGTCTTGGGTAAGGACGGACTGGCCGACGGCTCTGCCAGGCCGGGGTGGTGGGGGTGTGAGCAAAGGCGGCGCGCCCGGACCGACCCCGACCCCGACCCCAACGGGCCCCCGGCGGCGGCGCGGCGGCGGGCGAGGAGCTGTCCTGCCTGCGGGGCCCGCTGCCGCCGCTCCTCCTTCCCGGGCCCGGGGCGGGCGGGATCCCTGGTGCTCGCGGGAGACGCCGCTCCGGCTCCCGGAGCCCTGGTTTCCTGGGGCCCCCGGTTCGTGCGCCCCCCTTCCCGCCCCGATTGCTGTGACCTCCAGGCCGCGGCTATGCCGCGAAAGGCTCGGATTGTGCGCGGCCGCCAGGGCGGACTGGGGACCGTGGGGACGGAGCCAGGGTTTAAGGTGGCCTTTTTTGGGGGGTGGATCAGGGCGTGGACCATCTCGGTGGGGTGCATGCCGCGCCTGCGATGGACGTTGGAGGAGGAGAGGGCCGGGAACCGGGTTCGTATTGCCTAGCCCGGCCCGTGTGGAGCGATGAGTCGGGAACTGAGTACCTCTCTTCCACCCGGGAACTGCCTCTCCTTCTCTGCGTGACCTTGGGCTGGGAGCCACCCAGGAAATGTTCTCGAGAAATGAGGACTTCAATTCCGAGGTGGGGAGTGTCATCTCCTCTCTCATGCCTCAGTTTCCCAATTTATAGACAAGGTGGGCGGAGCCTTCTTGAGGCCCCCTTGGGCTCTGACATTTCATGAACCGGTAACACCCCTCCCACTCAGCATGCACCTGGATGCCCAAGGCGGGTGTCTGGGAGAAAGGTCTGCTCCCACAGTGAAGAGGCCAGGGTGGCCTCCAGCCTAGCTGGGGGGCAGGGTCCTCAGTGCAGAGGGCTGAGTGGGCTCTTGTTCAGACGGGTGGTCAGGGAGAGGATGGGTCAGAGACAGTGAGCACAGAGGGAGGGGTTCAGGTGCCTTGAGTGGCACCTCATGGAAAGAAGCCCTGCTGGGGTCTGGAGAGGGGGTTTCTGGGGCTCCCTGGGTTTGGCTGGCTGTATCCCAGAAACTCCCACTCGAGGTTCTGGCCTCTGCAGGCCTGGGGCCCGTTCCTTGTGGGCTTAGACTAGGAATGGGCTAGACTGTCAGGGACCCCAGGGGCTACCCCAAGGCCAGCTGTGACCTCAGGGTGCCCAAGCTTCCTCCTTTCCTTGGTTTTCAGGGTCTGGTTGGTAGGATGGCTTGGGTATGTATCCCTGGTCTGCGAAGGATGACCCCATTTAAAGCCTTTTCTTCTCAAATGCCGTCAGATGGGAGCTGTTTGAGGGCAGGAAAGCCCAGTTCCTTTAACCCTTGTGTCGGTGCCTGCACAGAGCCGGGCACCCCAGCACATCTGTGTTTGTGGCTCTGAATTCATTTATCTGTGCCAGTCTCCTGCTCCCCAGATGCCCCAACAGACCCTTGCCAAAGGTGGGAGCCCTGGGGGGCACCTGCCGGATCAGGCGGGTGGGCTGCGTTCACTGCTTTAGTCTGCCCACCCCTGGGCCTCTGGCCTGGAAGGGCGAAGCCACTGGCTTTGTGAGGGGGCTTGTCTGCTTGGGTCATTTCTGCCTCTGATGCCTTCATTTAGCAAAGCTTTATTGAATCTGCTGGGCCCCAAGGGAAGGCAGCGTGACTCAGAAGCAGCCCTTGTTCTCGGGAAGCCACAGTCCCACTGGGGAGTGAGCCAGGTGCCCCCAGGCAGAGGCCGCAAGAGCCAGGAGAGGGGTCTCCCTGCTGTGGAATCAAATTTCATGGTGAAGGTGATGTCAGATTGGGCCTGGTGGGATGAGGGTTTATACATATGCACATCCAGGGGAGAGGACGTGGAAAGCAGGAGGAAGGATCAGCCCCTCTGAGCACCCATGGGGTGCAAGACCACACACAGCTACCTAGCTGGTTCCCCAACACTAGAGGAAGCTGCGGCTCAGCGAGCGAGGCCAAGTGCCTGGCCCAAAGTCACTAAGCATGTAAGTGGCAGACGAGCATTTGAGCCTAGGTCTTCCTGTCTCCAAAGAGTAGTTCTCCCCCTGGGGCAGGGAAGAATCCAGAATCCTGGAATGTCAGGATTGGAAAGGACACAAAGGTCACCTGGACCAACCAATGCTCAAACGACCCCACAGCCTCCCAGTCCTGCTCACACACGTGGATACAAGGCGCTCACTACCTTTGTCGAACCAAGAGGTGTCTGATACAGGCTGATTGACACCTTTAAAAGTAGCTTTTTTTCCTGATCAGAGTAATACCTGCCAATTATTGGAAAGTATAAAAATCACATGTGATGGTTGCACGGTAGGAATGTACTTAACACCACTGAAATGGTGAAGATGGTAAATTGTATGTTACGTGTGTTTTACCACAACAGAAAAAGTTTGGTGGGGGGTGGTAATCATGTGATACCACCACTTAGGGAGGGCTGCAGTGAATAGGGTGCTGTCTCCTTCTGGTCTTTTCGAAACTGTGTGGCGTGCTGAGCCATTTAAACACATCAGGAGCTGCGGGGGATGCAGCTGGCGCCTGCTCTTGGCCCTCACACCACAGGGCAGAGCAAGTGAAGCTGAGCTCCAGGACCAGGGTGACCCGTTTATCCTGGTGTGCTGGAACTTCCTGCCTTTAGCATTCTGAGAGGCCCTTAGTCCAGACAAACAGGGACAATTTGTCACCCTGTCCAGGACTCCTGGACAACCCAGACCCCTACCACAGCCCTGGAGGGGCCCTAACAGCATGTGCACATGAACCTGTGATTGTTTTTTTTCTTTTTTTGAGATGGAGTCTTGCTCTGTTGCCCAGGCTGGAGTACAATGGTGCCATCTCGGCTCATTGCAACCTCCGCCTCCCAGGTTCAAGCAACTCTACTGCCTCGGCCTCCCAAGTAGCTGGGACTACAGGCACACACCACCACGCCCAGCTAATTTTTGTATTTTTAGTAGAGATGGGGTTTCACCATGTTAGCCAGGCTGGTCTCGAACTCCTGACCTCAGGTGATCCACCTGCCTTGGCCTCCCAACGTGCTGGGATTACAGGCGTGAGCCACCGCACCCGGCCTGGACCTGGGATTTTTGTAAAATTTGTAAAAGAAAGATTTTTTTTTCTGTTGCTTTTCCAAAAGAGGGCCCCCAAATCATGTAAGCTTCAGGGCCTCACCAACCTGGACCCACCCTGGAACCCAAGCCCTCTGAGCCCCTGGGTCAGCCTGCACAGAAGCAGGGCCTCCAAGACCTGGCTTGTCTCTTTTTTATTTTTTTAGAGACAGGATCTTGCTGTGTTGCCCAGGCTGGTCTCAGACTCCTGGACTCAAGTGATCCTCCCACCTCAGCCTTGTGAGCAGCTGGGACGATGAGGCGAGGCGTGGGCCACTGCATCCGGCATGGCTTGTCTCTTGACTAAGGCTTTCTCACCTCTTGGTGTCATCGCCCCAGTGGCAGATCAGCTGCCACTCCTGGCACCCCCAGGCCACAGCTGTGACCTTCAGTAAGTGTCCCCTCCCCACCCTCTGTGCCTCAGTCTTCCCACCCGAACTGGGCTGGGCTGGGTCAGAAGTGCCTGATCTGTTGCGCGGTGACTGCCGCCTGTCAGTGACTCATTTCTTTGTTCTAAAGCCAGATGGGAAAAAAAGGAGTTACAGCAAGAAGCTAAACTGATTTAATAGAAAGGACCACCTTTTATTTGGAGTTTATATTCTTTTTTGCAGGGGGCTAAGATGGACTATAGGGAATGAATATCAGTGCTGGCAGATGAGTTTTTTGTTTGTTTGTTTTTTGTTTTTGAGATGGAGTCTCGCTCTGTCTCCAGGCTAGAGTGCAGTGGCGCGATCTTGGCTCACTGCAACCTCTGCCTCCTGGTTTCAAGTGATTCTCCTGCCTCAGCCTCCCAAATAGCTGGGATTACAGGCACCCACCACCATGCCCAGCTACTTTTTAAATTTTTAGTAGAGACGGGGTTTCACCATCTTGGCCAGGCTGGTCTCAAACTCCTGACCTAGTGATCCACCCGCCTCAGCCTCCCAAAGTGCTGGGATTACAGGTGTGAGCCACCGTGCCCAGTCAATGTTTCTTTAATTCTCTACTTTGACAAAATGAAAATGATAAAATGTTTGAAATGTTGCCATTTTCAGGGTTCATTTTTTAAGGGCTTTGGCCATAATACCACATGGTTCTGTAAGTGGGGTGGGTATCTTCCCCCCGTTTTACAAATGACAGAATTAAGGCTCAGCCTGGAGAAGTGACTTGTGCTAGCTCAAGGCCTGGGCTTGTCAGAGACTTGGTTTGAACCCGGACTGCTGGGCTCCACATTCTGTGTACTCCCTGTGGGTTCTCTGCCTGGATATCCATGGCACCAAGGGGTGGCCTGAGGGGGGCAGCTTCATACCCCTGGTTTTATTCACCCCCTCCACTCCACCCCCCATCATCCCAAGTGAACACTGAATAAAAAAGCTGAACTTGGCCAGGTGAGGTGGCTCACGCCTATAATCCCAGCACTTTGGGAGGCCAAGGCGGGTGGATCACTTGAGGTCAGGAGTTCGAGACCATCCTGGCCAACATGGTGAAACCCCATCTCTACTAAAATACAAAAATTAGCTGAGCGTGGTGGCGGTCGCCTGTTATCCCAGCTACTCAGGAGGCTGAGGCAGGAGAATCGCTTGAACCCGGGAGGCGGAGGTTGCAGTTAGCTGAGATCACACCACTGCACTCCAGCCTGGGCAACAAAAGCAAAACTCTGTCTCAAATAAAAAAAAAAAAAAGCTGAACGTTTTTTGTAAACACAGCAGTTTCAAGATAAGACCCCTTGCCTCCCCCAACCAACTTGCCATGTGCCAGCCATGGGGCCACAGGAAAATTCTGGGACCAGCGGTTGTTGGGGAAGAGGGTCCAGGGTAGAGACAGAACCTCTGGCCAGTTCTGATGTTCATTTGTTCATTCCACAAGTCCCCTGCTCAGTGCCAGCTGAGTGCTCAGTGCCACCCCAAGGCACTCTCGCTCCAATAACGAGAACAGGATTGAGTGGGAAGCACTGTCCCAGAGGCTCGGGTCACTACAAGAAGGAATTCCCAAGGGGTGGCCCAGGAGAGGCTTGGATGACAGACTCACAAGCTGGACTTCCTCTGAGGGCAGTGGGAAGCTGGAGAGAGGGTCAAGGGTATTTCGGAAGCTCCTGTGGAAGCTTGGTTTGGAGAGGGCTCTGTGGCTGGAAATGCGTGGTCACGTCCAGCCTGTCCTCTCCCAGTACCGGGCACAGCCCTGTCACCTAGACAGGAAGGTGGGCCCACGGCCCTTGTTTGTTATTTATTGCTGACCACCCTGGAGTCTTTCTCACCTCTTCACCTCCTGTGGCCGGCCGCTCCGCCGCTTCTTCTCTCTCAGGTCTAGGACAGGGTCAGCTGCAAGGAGACCGCTGGGAGGTGATAGATTTCTGCTGTGTTTTGGGCACTTCCTCATGTCCAGGGACAGCCCAGGGGCGGCCTCAAGAGCCTGAGAAAGCCTAGGGCATCAGGAGCAGGGCCATCAGAGCGGGACCTTGGAAAACCCCTACCTCTTTCAGCCTTGGTTGCCTCATCTGTAACATGGGATTGGAGGGCCTGGGTTTGGGGAGGCCTCGAGAGTTTATAAAAATGCAAATTTTGGCCAGGTGTGGAGGCTCATGCCTGTAAGCCCAACACTTTGGGAGGCAGAGGCAGGTGGATCACCTGAGGTCAGGAGTTCGAGACCAGCCTGGCCAACATAGCGAAACCCTATCTCTACTAAAATTACAAAAAATTAGCCAGGCGTGGTGGCACGCGTCTGTAGTCCCAGCTACTTGGGAGGCTGAGGCATGAGTATCGCTTAAGCCCGAGAGGTGGAGGTTGCAGTGAGCCGAGATTGCGCCATCGCACTCCAGCCTGGGCTAAAAGAGTGAAACTCCATTTCAAAAAAAGAAAAGAAAAAGAAAGAAAGGAAAAGAAAATGCAAGTTATTTTTGTTTGTTTGTTTTTGAGACAGGGTCTCGCTCTGTCACCCAAGTTGGAATGCAGTGGCACGATCTCAGCTCACTGCAGCCTCCACCTTCCAAATTCAAGCGATTCTCCTGCCTCAGACTCCTGAGTAGATGTCCGCCACCACACCCGGCTAATTTTTATATTTTTAGTAGAGACAGGGTTTCATCATGTTGGCCAGGCTGGTCTCAAACTCCTGACCTCAAGTGATCCGCCTGCCCCGGCCTCCCAAAGTGCTGGGATTACAGGTGTGAGCCATCTTGCCTGGCCTGAATGCAAGTTTAAAAGGCCTGCCGTAAGTCTGCTGTGGTGCGTTTTGTTATCCCCTCCTTAGATGAAAAGCTGAGGCCCAGAGAGGTTAACTGGAGTCACTGGGATCGGAACCCATGGCCCCTGCTCCAGGGAGTCCCCAGCCATGTGGGGAGTCCCACATGAGCAGCGTGTGCAAAGCTGTTGGGCGGGCCTGAGCCCCAGGGAGAAAAAACAGAGGCTGGGAGAGGAAGGGAAGAGAGGAGGAGAAGCCAGGAGGAGGAGGGAGGGAGGAAGGGAGAGGCAGATGGCAGGGCTGTTGGAGGGAGCCACACTTGGCACCCAGACCGGAAGAACCAGCTGTCAGGTGGGAGGGGAGGCAGGGTAGGCGCAGAGGAGTGCCTTGGCCTGGAGACCTGAGGCTGCGTTCTGCACCCTCTCTGCCAGTGATTGGCTGTGTGACTGGAGCAAGAGGCCCATGCTCTCCTGGCCTTGGTTTCCCCATCTATCAAATGGGAAAAGGATAGTTGGATTGCTCTGGTGGATCCCGACCTTTCCACCCTTGAAGAACCCCACTCTTGCTCCTAGTGGACTCCAGGTTGGGAACTTTGGATTGGTCAGTCTTTAAAGAAGTGATGTTGGGGCCAGGCGCGATGGCTCACACTTGTAATCCCAGCACTTTGGGAGGCCAAGGTGGTTGACTCACTTGAGGTCAGGAGTTTGAGACCAGCCTGACCAACATGGTGAAACCCTGCCTTTACTAAAAATACACAAATTAGCCGGGTGTGGTGGTGCCTAGGATTATGCTTGTAATCCCAGCTACTCCAGAGGCTGAGGCACGAGAATCGCCTGAACCCAGGAGGCGGAGGTTGCAGTGAGCCAAGATCCCACCACTGCATTCCAGCCAGGCAACAGAGCAAGACTCTGTTTCAAAAAAAAAAAAAGTGATGTTTGGAGCCATCCCCTCATGCTTTGTAGGAGCCTGCAGCAGAGGGGGCACTGGGCCCCAGGTCTATGCATGGGAGTGAGAGGTGACAGCATGCTGTCCTCACAGCCCTCACTTGCTCTCGGCTCCTCCTCTGCCTGGGCTCCTACTTTGGCGGCATTTGAGGAGCCCTTCAGCCCACCACTGCACTGTGGGAGCCCCTTTCTGGGCTGGCCAAGGCTAGAGCCCACTCCCTCAGCTTGCAGGGAGGTGTGGAGGGAGAGGCGCGAGCGGGAACCGGGGCTGCGTGCGGCGCTTGCGGGCCAGCTGGAGTTCCGGGTGGGCGTGGGCTTGGCGGGCCCCGCCCTCGGAGCAGCCGGCCAGCCCTGCTGGCCCCGGACCCGGGCGTGGGCTTGGCGGGCCCCGCCCTCGGAGCAGCCGGCCAGCCCTGCTGGCCCCGGGCAATGAGGGACTTAGCGCCCGGGCCAGCGGCTGCGGAGGGTGTACTGGGTCCCTCAGCAGTGCAAGCCCACCGGCGCTGCGCTCGATTTCTCACTGAGCCTTAGCTGCCTTCCCTCGGGGCAGGGCTCGGGACCTGCAGCCCGCCATGCCTAAGCCTCCCACCCACTCCATGGGCTCCTGTGCGGCCCGAGCCTCCCCGATGAGCACCACCCCCTGCTCCACGGCGCCTAGTCCCATCGACCACCCAAGGGCTGAGGAGTGCGAGCGCACGGCGCGGGAGTGGCAGGCAGCTCCACCTGCAGCCCCGGTGCGGGATCCACTAGGTGAAGCCAGCTGGGCTCCTGAGTCTGGTGGGGACGTGGAGAGTCTTTATGTCTAGCTCAGGGATTGTAAATACACCAATCAGCACCCTGTGTTTAGCTCAAGGTTTGTGAGTGCACCAATCGACACTCTGTATCTAGCTGCTCTGGTGGGGCCTTGGAGAACCTGTGTGTCCAAACTCTGTATCTAACTAATCTGATGGGGACGTGGAGAACCTTTGTATCTAGCTCAGGGATTGTAAACGCACCAATCAGCGCCCTGTCAAAACAGGCCACTCGGCTCTACCAATCAGCAGGATGTGGGTGGGGCCAGATAAGAGAATAAAAGCAGGCTGCCCGAGCTTGCATTGGCAACCTGCTCAGTTCCAAAGCTTTGTTCGTCTGCTCGTTGCGATAAATTTTGCTACTGCTCACTCTTTGGGTCCACACTACTTTTATGAGCTGTAACACTCACCGCGAAGGTCTGCAGCTTCATTCCTGAAGCCAGCGAGACCACGAGCCCACCGGGAGGAACGAACAACTCCAGACGCGCGGCATTAAGAGCTGTAACACTCACCGCGAAGGTCTGTAGCTTCACTCCTGAGCCAGCAAGACCACGAACCCACCAGAAGGATGAAACTCCGGACACATCCGAACATCAGAAGGAACGAACTCCAGACGCACCACCTTAAGAGCTGTAACACTCACCGAGAGGGTCCGCGGCTTCATTCTTGAAGTCAGTGAGACCAAGAACCCACCAATTCCGGACACAAGAGCAGAGCAGACGGCATCAGCTGGAGCCTGGAAGGGCAGTCATGCCCTGTGTTTCTGGGACAAACGTCCCTTCACAGATAGAGTTTTGCTCATCTCCCCGCTGCTGGTGGAGCAGGGGCCAGGTGAAGGGGACCTGGAGAGAGGGGCGGCTGCGTAGCTGGGACAGCCCCAAGCTGTCAAACCCAAGCTGCAATCATGCAGGAGCTTTAACAAGTTGGGGCTCCTCCAGTACCTCACAGTGCAGGGGGCAAGAGTCCCTGAGCCTTCAGCCCCTCCCAGAATGTCCCTGACACCTTTTGTAAATTGCACTGTAACCTGGCCTGCCCCAGACCTTGCTTCCTGCAGCCTGTTCAGTGGGGGCTGCTTTATCCCTCAGACCCTCCCTCTGCTGGGTGTAGAGGTCGACAGGGTCCTTCTGGTTCCTGAGGCCACTTACAGGACATTGTCCCCCAGCTTTGAATCTCACACCAGCACTGGGTCGCCCACTCCCCTTCATGATGAGCCAGCTCGAGGCCACTTTGCCCGTTCTTCAAAGATGCCCCCCCAGGCCGGGCACGGTGGCTCACGCCTGTAATCCTAGCATTTTGGGAGGCCAAGGCAGGCGGATCACAAGGTCAGGAGATCAAGACCATCCTGGCTGAGACAGTGAAACCCCGTCTCTACTAAAAAAAAAAAAAATACAAAAAAATTAGCCGGGTGTGGTGGCGGGGGCCTGTAGTCCCAGCTACCCGGGAGGCTGAGGCAGGAGAATGGCGTGAACCTGGGAGGCGGAGCTTGCAGTAAGCCAAGATCGCGCCACCGCACTCCAGCCTGGGCAACAAAGTGAGACTCTGTCTCAAAAAAAAAAAAAAAAAAAAAAAAAAAAGATGCCCACCCTAGCTTGGTGTCAGTCCTCTCCAGCACTGCTCCTGCTCCAGTCCTGGTCATTGGAGTGTCTATTTCTGTGACCCTTTCCACACCTGGCCTCCTCTTCCCGCATGGTCTTGTCCGCCAGCCTCAGCCAACTGTCACCAGCTGGACCCTAGCTAGGCCTGGCCCTGCCTTCCCAGTAGCCTCTCGCACTCCCTGATCCTCCATCCAGGCGTCTCCTCCAACCCTCCTACCTTTCCATCTCCCTCTCCCTCCCCTGATCCTAGATCCTTGGGCCTGGGGCCTCTGAACCACTGATCTTCCCCTGTGCACTGGCCCTCACCACCCCTTGGTCCCTCCTGTCTCCCTCCGCACCTCCCAGTGGCCACGTGTTGCAGCTCCAGCCCTTCTGCGCATCACACTCGCCTGGCACAGCTCTGGTTAAATTCAGTCCTAGGCATCTTCACACCTGCCCCCCTCATCCTAGACTATCTCCCCTGTTCTGGTGGCCCAGGCCAGCCTGGCTGCAGCCTCGTGAGCCTGTTCCTCTCACCTACTCAAGGACACACGTCCATCAGTTCTCTCTCCCTCTCTCTCCTCCACCCTCAGTTTCGCCCTCTCTACTCTTGGCTCTTCTGCGTCAGCTTGCAAATGTGCGTGATTCCCCATCTCAGGAAGACACTCCCTCATCCATTTCTCTGGTCCTTCAGAAGAGTTGTCACCGTCTCCAGGGTTTCTTCTGCGGTCTCCCACACGCACTCCCCACGGGCTCTCTCGCCCCTCCTCGCCATCTTCTCAGGCTCATTCCTGACCTTCACATTGCCAATCTCATGGCCAACTGTCATTGATGGATCTCTCAGCAGCGTCTGGCAGCCGTGAGGGGTTTATGCATCCTCCCTTGAATCCAAACGGCTGCAGAATGTGGACGCCCTCACCCCGCTCGCCGCAGAATGTGGACACCCTCACCCCGCTCGTCCTCTCTTTAATATACATGCTGAGCACGGGCCGGATGAGGTGCCTGGTCTGTAGGGAGGGCTGACAGTCTAGTGGAGGGAAATGTGGTGGAAACCAGTTAAAATATGGAGGTGAGCACAGACCCCTAGAGAGGGACAGGCAGGTGACACCAGCGTTGAGTCAGCGTTGAGAGGGCAGGAGCCAGCCAGGCAGAGAAGGGGGAAGGAGGAACAGCGAGGGCAAATGCTGAAAGGCCTGGCAGAGCAGAGACGAGGCTGTCGCCCCTGCTGGGGTGTACGCTTGGAGGGCGAGAACTGCATCTGTCATAGCCCCAGGACTAGATTGCTTCCAGGCATCTCCTTAGGGCCCCAACTATGGATGGACGTGGCGGGAACTGCACTGATCGGTCGTCCTTCTAGCCACGGTTCTTCAGGTGTCCCATCTGGCCTTTAGGGCCCTGCTCAAATATCACCTCCCTGTGAAGCCTTCCTGGATTCTCCCAAGCTTGCGCTCCCCTCCCTGCTTCCCTTGGGCTCTGTGGGGATGACTGACAGAGTTCTCAAAACAGGGAGCTTTCCCCTTCTGTGCCTTTCTTCTCTAGAAGGTGAGGCAGGGCCTGGGACCAGATTATTTCCCTGATGACCTGGAATTTGCACAGCAGGAGAGAAACCAAACAACCTCAGGCATGCAGGGACTGGCAGGGCGGGGGCAGGCACTGGGGTGAGGAAAAGCAGACAGAACTGGATGGTTAACCCTGCCCTTTTTTTTTTTTTTTTTTTTGAGACAAAGTCTTACTCTGTCACCTAGGTTGGAGTACAGTAGCACGATCCCAACTCACTGCAACCTCCACAATCGGGGTCAACCGATTCTCCTGCCTCAGCCTCCCAAGTAGCTGAGATTACAGGCATCCACCACCATGCCTGGCTAATTTTTTTTGTATTTTTAGTAGAGATGGGTCTCACCATGTTGGCCAGGCTGGTCTCAAACTCCTGACCTCAAGTCATCCACCCGCCTCTGCCTCCCAAAGTGCCGGGATTACAGCCATGAGCCATCACGCCCGGCCAATCCTGCCCTTCTTATCAACTGAGAGACCTCACAGAACCTCAGTGGCCGCATCTATAAAATGGGTACAACAGCGCCTACCCCAGGAGTCTCGGGGCATGTAAATGAGGTCTAGCCCTGAAGGGCTCTGCAGTGTTTGGTTGGCATTTACACCCCTTTCCAGGTGGTGATGTTGCTCCCCTCTCCCACCTCTTCCCTGCCTCTGAAAGGGCAGAGGTGATAAGACCTGGGGTAAAGAAGGCCCTGGGGGGGTACAGGATTATGGGGATGGTGGTCCAGATACTTCTGCCACTGAGAGTAAGGCCCTGGGCCAGTCAAGTGAGCCCTCTCTGGGTCTTTGTTTCCTCCTTTCTCTCCTTTTTTTTTTTTTGTAGAGACGAGGCCTCACTATGTTCCCCAGGCTGGTCTCAAACTCCTGGGTTCAAGTGATCCTCCTGCCTCGGCCTCCTACATAGCTGGGATTACACCCATGAGCCACCGTGCCCGGCCAATTTCCCCCTTTTTCTTGAGGCTCCAAGGCCCCCTTGAGGTTACTCAGCCAGAGGAGAGGAAGATGGGGCATTCTGGAAAGAGGGAGGGGCCTGCAGATCACCCAGGCCCAGCCTCAGCACCTTGGGGAGGCAGGGGTCTGCTCGCCCAGGCCCTGCCCAGCGGAGTCCACTCCACCCCCACCACCGAGCACTCGGGGCGACAGCTTGCGGAGATTACGCCTAATCCCCAGTGGGTCACTTCCAAGGCTGCACAACCCGGTGTGAGGCGGGGTGGGGGAGGGGCCTGGAGCCTCACCTGCCCCACCCCCACCTTTTCCCCAGAGTGAGACTCTTCAGGAAGACAAGGGGCTGCCCAACACCCATCATGTGTCCATGCGGCTTCAGCCATTTTCCTCACTTGACCCTGGGGGAAGACAAGGCCCTGTTCCTGTGAAGGGGGGCCCTTGGCAGCCTGACTCATTTCTCAAAGTGTGACCGCTCCCTTCTTCCCTCAGCCTTTCCCCAGGAGGCAGGATGGATGCCTGCACCAGGACAAGGGCAGGAAGGCTGGGTTCAGCTTGTGGGGAGAGGGCTCGGCAGCCCCCTTTTCAGGGAGTGAGCTCCCTGTGCACAGGGGTGTGCAAGCGGAGGTGCCAGCCAAGGACGCTCAGGAGGGGATGATTCTCCTTTCTACCCCCCGTGCTGCCTGGCCCTCTCTGACTATCAGACTTGCTGTCTACTCCCCTCAAAGCCTTTCCTGACCCTCTCCCTGGGTCTGGGGGAGAGACGTGCACCCAACAACTGAACCAACAAATAGGAAAGAAGTTATATTGTGATGTTACCAAGAAAATTAATTGAGGCACTGGAGAATACCTTAGATCTGGAGTCTGGTCTGGAGGGCTTCTCTGGGGAGGTGTCTTTTGTGTTGAGATGTGCGTGTTGAGGAGCCAGCTGAAGGAAGATCTGGAGAAATACAGGCATCCCAGGCAGAGGAAAGAGCCGAGTGTGAATGCCCTGAGGCAGGGATGAACTCAGGAGGGCTTGGGAGGAGAGTGTTGGGGAGCTTCAGAGGAAGGCAGGAGCCCTGGCGTTTGGTGGGGGAAGGTCTTTACCTGGGCAGGGGGCGGTGGGTGAGCATCAATCCAAGAGTCTAGACCTGGGGGGTGACATGACCTGACTTGGGTTTAAGGGGATTGTCTGGCTGCTATGAGGGGACAGAGTGTGGGGGTGCAAGTGGACATATGGGCTGCTGTCATTGCCTGGAGAGGGGTGACAGTGGCCTGCCCCAGGGTGGAGGGACTTGACAGTTTTGGGAGGAGGTTGAAGCAGCTGGCCCGAATGTCAGACTGGTTGGAGGGGTCGAGTATGAACCCAGGACTGGGGCCCAGCAGCTGGTGCTGGGGAGGCTGAGAGAGATCACTGGGGAGGCTGAGAGAGCCTGGGGCACTGGAGGAAGGACTCATGGCCCAAGCAGGGGGACCTCAGGGCCATTCTAGGGTGATGGACTTTATCTTCAGCCAGCGGAGGGATTGTTGAGGTTTGGAGTGGGTGATATCCCCCTGGCTGCTGCCTGGGGACTGCCTGGAGGAGGCTGGAGAGGAGGCTGTGGTGGTGTCAGGCACCTGGACATGGGCAGGGGCCAGCTGCCTGGCTGCCTGCACCGCAGGGCAGGGACCAGGGCTCCCCCGAGCCACCCAGCTCAGGGATGTTCCTGCGCAGGGCGAGGTAGACGGTTCCATTTGGAGCTGGGAGGACAGAGTGCCGTGGGCTCCAGATGTCATCTCTCTGCAGCTTATCTGGGGAAAGCCAGCATTGTCTAAAAACGTTTAAAACGAGGCCTCTAGGAGGTTCCTGGCAGCGTTACAGTGATCTCAGCCACCCCCATGCTGGCTGGGCACAGCTCGCCCTGAGCCTTCGTTAGCCGACGCCCTGCAGTGGGTCCTAGGCACACCCTGGGTGGTCTGTCTGCAGAGGGGAGATACCATCTCCCCTCAAGTAAAGTGGGCCTGTGCCCTTTTGCACTGCGGGACACGGCTCAGGACCAGCAGGCATGCCTCCTTGGTCTCATGTTGACCTTAGAGTTTGGGATTCTGGAATTCGATCCTTCATGGATAGGCAGCTGGACACAGAGGTCGTGGGTGAGCTGGAGGAGCAGGCCCGGATGTGAGGCAGGTTCCCCATCTGCTGTGGGTCAGCGAGAGGCAGGGCCTCTCTGAGCCTTAGCCTCCCTGACTGTGAAATGCTCTAAGTATAAGACTGCTTTGTGGGGATGATTTGCAGATTTTTATGGGGATTAAAATAGATGATTTAGGTGCCTTCTTCCATTGGCACCAGCTCCTGGGAGGCTGTGGGCTGGTTCAGGGTCTCAGAGTGGGGACAGACTTGTAAATAGGTCCCAGCCAGGAGTGACCAAGGCTCAGGGTGGGAAAGAGTGACTGGGAAGTGGGTTGTCCCTGAAGGTGTCTGGGAGTCACTATATCCCAGCAGCGTTCAGAGGGCAAAGAGGAGTTCGCTCCCATTGAAGATGAAGAAGGTAGGAAGGCAGGTGCAGAGTTGTCAGACAGCCTGAGGACACCACCCACTCTCAGCCCTCTGTGGTGGCTGCATAGGGTGGGGAGGGGGACAGATGAGATCAGGGTAGGCCACAAAGGGCTTGGTGCTTCTGGGGTCTCTGTTTCTATGTGTCTCTGAATCCAGTAGCCAAGGATCCTGAAATCCAAGATTCTGAGATTCCTTCTGATTTGTTTTTCTGAGTTTGACATAGATCTCCACCAAGCGCCATCTGGAATCCGTTTTTAAAAAAGACTCGGGATTGGATTTTAAAGAGGGCGGAAAAAAACCAAAGAGGCTTGGCAGGTTTACCTTGATGCCTTTTTTTAGCGTTTGCTTTAGCTCGAGGGAAGCTTGTTTTCCCTCTGCTTGCTGGTGACCTGGGTCCTCCCTTGGCCATCACCCTCCATCCTCCCCTGTTTCTGGGCCTCTGGCTCTGCCTCTGAAGACCTGTCTCCCTTCCCCACAGCAGATCCGCTTGTTGGATGAATTTTCCCCAGTGTCTCGGCTGCTGTGGCCAGTGTGGAATTTCATTCTGGTTTCATTTCCGGTTCTCCAGTGTCTCCTTGTGGCTGCTCTGTGTGCCCCTTGCTGTCCCTGCAGATCTGGCCTTAGCAAGTGACTCAGGGATGCTGCCTGGCACAGGGCACCAGCTTTGGATCCAGAGAGACTCAGGTTCAAGCCTCAACTCCACTCCTGCCCAGCTGCGAGACCTGTGCAGGTCCCTAGAAGCGGCTCTGAAATGGGAATAAGAATATTGAGCTGGTGGAGTGAAGAGCATACATTTCTGGGCACACAGCAGGCCCTGGGCAAGTCTCTGCTCCTCCTCCCATGTACTGTGAGTGGCTGAGGGGCAGAAACCTGAGGCTTGTGTCGTGCTTTGGGGGAGCTCCCACTCAGGGTGGGGTACAGCTGCTAAATGGAGAAGTTAAACCCTTGACACAGAGGGCAGCTGACAGCCCTGCAGGGGGTTCAGGAGACTGTAAGGGACTGCTTCTGTATCCTCAGTGATGTTCCTTCCCTTCCCTGAGCCTCAGTTTCCCCACTTGTGGACCAGCAGGCTGCAAGGGATGTGGCATTTGCAGGCGACGGCTCTGCTCCCCATTATCATCATTGAGCCTAAACCCCACGACTTCCTCCCCCATCTGCTCTTTTTCTTTTTTTTTTCTTTTTCACACCTGGCTAATTTTTGTATTTTTAATAGAGACAGGATTTCATCATGTTGGTCAGGCTGGTCTCAAGCAATCTGCCCACCTTAGCCTCCCAAAGTGTTGGGATTACAGGCGTGAGCCACCGCGCTCAGCCCCTTCTTTTTTTTTTTTTTTTTTTTTTTTTTTGAGACAGGGTCTCCCTCTGTCCCCCAGGCTGGAGTATAGTGGTGCAATCAGAGCTCACTGCAACCTTCACCTCCTGGGCTCAAGCAATCCTCTGGCCTCAGCCTCTGCCTGGCTAATTTTTGTATTTTTAGTAGAGATGGGGTTTCACCATGTTGCCTAGGCTGGTCTCAAACCCCTGGGCTCACCCAGGAGTGATCACTCACCCTCAAGTGATCCACCTACCTCGGCCTCCCAAAGTGCTGGGATCACAGGCGTGAGCCACCATCCCCAGCTTCTTCACTCTTCCTCTCACTCCCTACGTCGGCTGTGTCTGCAGATTCTGGTGGCTCTACTTTCAAAATATATTCAGGCCGGGCATAGTGGCTCACGCTTGTAATCCCAGCACTTTGGGAGGCCAAGGCGGGCGGATTGCCTGAGGTCAGGAGTTCGAGACCAACCTGGCCAACATGGTGAAACCCCATCTCTACTAAAAATATAAAACTTAGCCAGGTGCAGGAGCGCACGGCTATAATCCCAGCTACTCAGGAGGCTGAGGCAGGAGAATCACTTGAACCCGGGAGGCGGAAGTTGCAGTGAGCTGAGATTGCGCCCCTGCACTCCAGTCCGGGCAACAGAGCGAGACTCCATCTCAAAAATATATATATATATTCAGCACCCACCACTTCTCCCCATCTCCACTGCCTGCACCAGCCCCAGGCCTGTCCCTCACTTGGGTGCTGTCGTAGCTCCTGTCTGGGCTGCTTGCATTCACCTTTGCCACCACAGTCTTTTCTCTCCATAGCAGCCGGTCTGATTCTTCTCAAACCTAAGTCGCATCAAGTCACTCAGCTGCTCTTCAGCCTGCAGTGTCTCCTGAACTCACCCTGGCCCTCAAGGCCAACCCATCTTCCTCGCCAGCCTCGCCTCTTGGTGTCTCCCTCACTTGCTCGGCTCCTATCGTGCGGGCCTCCATGCCGCTCCTGAACACACACAGCTTCTTTGCACCCAAGGCCTTGGCACCTGTGGCTGCTTCTTCCCTGGGCTCGGGTCCCTCACTGAGTCAGACTTCTGCTCAAAGGTCGCTGCATCAGAGGCCTCCCTGGGCCCCCAGTCCGCCTCCTCTTGCCCTGCTTCGTTCTTCATGACACTTGTCTCCCTCGGTAAGAACAGGAACCTCATACATCCTGTTCCCAACTGTGTCCTCAGCCTCTTGCACAGGGCTGGTACATACTAGGTGCTCAGGAAATGTTGAGTGAACGAACGGCTGATGTCAAGCCCCAGAAGAGGCCTCCCAGGCCCCAGGGCAGGGCAGGCAGCTCACTCACTCCACTCCAGCAAACAAACAGCAAAGTAGGTTGTAGCTCAGCCTGTAGCAGGCGGTAGGGACAGTCAGTCTTCCAGGGAGGAAAACATGGAAAGGGGCCTGGGGCGTGCAAAGGTGGGGAGGCAGGTGGTAGGGGGAGTGGAAGGAGGTGAGACCCCAGGAGCGGTGGGCGGGGCCAGCACATGAAGGGCCTTGACCCCAGCCTTAGAAGCTTGGGTTGTAGACCGCGCGAGGTGGCTCACGCCTGTAACCCCAGCACTTTGGGAGGCCGAGGCGGGCAAATCACCTGAGATCAGGAGTTCAAGACCAGCCTGGCCAACATGGCACAACCCCGTCTCTGCTAAAAATACAAAAATTAGCTGGGTTTGGTGGCACACGCCTGTAATCCCAGCTACTTGGGAGGCTGAGGCAGGAGAAAGGCTTGAACCCAAGAGGCAAAGGTTGCAGTGAGCCGAGGTCACACCACTGCACTCCAGCCTGGGCAACAGAGCGAGACCCTGTCTCAAAAAAAAAAAAAAAAAAAACAAAGTCCCCACCACAGCAGCTCACCAGGCCTTGTCCCGCTGCATGTCCCATGTACTTAGTTCCCGGGTCACTGCTCCAGCCATATTCCTTCCCACCTCATCGTACAAAACCTTTTCCTGCCTTCAGCCTTTGCACTTTCTGTTCCTGTGCCTGGAACATACTTCCCCCAGATCTTTGCAGGCCTGGCTCATTCTTGTCTCCAATCGGAGGCCCTGCTTCAGGGCCCTTTTCCCTGGCCATCACTGCTCCCTCCTGGCGTTTGCCAGGGACCGCCATTGCCTTTGTGATCTGTTCCATGAGTTTAGTGGCAGTCTAGCCTTCTGGGGCTCCTTACTCCAGGCCACGTGCCCTTCCTTGCATGCATGACCTCACTGATTCCTCACAATGCATCCTTGGTTTCGGTGCTATTGTTGCCCCCACTTGACAGATGCAGAAACTGAGGCTCAAGAGGTTAAGTCAGTGGCCTTAGGTCACCCCACTGGTCCAAGTGGCCACACTGGGATTCAGTGGGCCCAGGTCATCTGACTCAGTCTTGCTCCCCACACAATCGGCTCCCACAGCAGGGTCTCTTGGACTGAATTACCGCCTGGTGCCCCTCCCAGCGCAGTGCCAGGAGCTGAGAAACTTGTGACCTGTGATGAATGCCTGACCGAGGCGGGTGTCTGCTGGGGCCATACGGCCCCGCCCAGTCCCTCCGAAGCTATTCTGTTCTTGCTCTGCACCCTCTTGGGGACACATCCTCTCCAGCACTTTCCTCCTGGCTTCTCTGAGGACTGCCTGCCTCTGTCTCCCAAGAGAGCCCAGTCTTAATGGTTCCTCCTCTGCTGTCCCCAGGGCCCAGGCTTCTGCCTGCCTGTTTCCCCTCCCACCTCCTCTCTGTCTTCAGGGAGCCTGATATTGTTCTGTTTTTGGAAGGAGATCCACACTTATTTTCAGCGCTGGCAGCAGTGGGGTCTCCTCCAGCCCCCGGAAGCATGTGTCTGTTAGTAAGTGTTCGAGAGGGGCCTTCCTGGTGTTATTCCTCTTTTCTGGGGCCTTGAGAGAGGAAATGAACGTTATGCAGCCCCTATGGGGCTTCCAAAGCTCTGCTCTGGGTACTTGCTCTAATTCTCCCATCTGCCCCAGAGGGGATGTTAATTTTTACAGAGGACCAATCTGAGGCTCGGAGAGGTTAAGTCACTTGCCTGAGGCTACCCAGCATAAGCAGCAGGCCTTGGATTTGAATTGGCGGGTCTGTATGATTCCTCAGTGTCTGAAGTCTCTTTCTGATCAGGAGCCTTTTCTGTTCTGGTTTGGTGGCATCTGGTGACATCCAGGACTGGGCCTCAGGTTCCCAACCTGACAGTTTTCTGGTAGGAGCCTTGGACTTGTTGCAGTACACCAGTGCAAGGGGTTGTGTGACTAGCAGTCCCTGGAGTTGTGCAGTCCACGGCCCAAGCAGCTGGCCGTGTACTGCACATCTCCCAGTGTTCAGAGTCTGCCTTGCTTGTCTTGGTTTGTCAGTAGCTCAGGAGCCCCTTTGACAATGGCTCTGTCCTGACTTCACAGGCGCTCCCCACTGTGCCTCTGAGCACCAGACTTGAGACTGAATCGAGTCGCCTGATCCCCAGTCACACTGAAGCTACCCTCCCGGCCTTCCTCCCTGCTGGTCCTCTGCCTGATCCCTTGGGTCTCTGGGAGTAAATTCCATCCCTTCTTCAGGGCCCACCTCCAGAGGCTGAGAGTCAGCTTGGCCAGGTGGAAAAGAACACAGGTCTGGGAATCAGGAGACCTGGGTTCAACTTCAGCCTGTGCTGCTGACAACAGTGCCACCTTCTCTTTCTGAGCCTTAGTTTTTCTACTCTGCCAATTGGGAACACTACAAATAGCCCTCTCCACTCTAGGGGTGATGGTGAGGCTGCAGAGCCTGTGGGAGGCAGAGCTGTGGGCCCCGATGCCCTCACGGGTCTGAAGTCTCATGGTCATGGGGTTTTCCCAAATCAGGACTGGCAAATGGTGGCTCACGGGCCACCACTGCCCACCTCTGTGCCCATGGCTGAACCATGGGCTGAACACAGCTTCAGAATCCTTTCTTTTTTTTACTGTGGCCAGATTAGCCTAACATACCATTTTAATGTTGTATAATTCAGTGTACATTTTTTTCTTTTTTATAATTTGTAATTTATTTATTGTAGAGATGGGGTTTTGCTGTGTTGCCCAGGCTGGTCTCAAACTCCCAGGCTCAAGCAATCCTCCCACCTCAGTCCCCCAAGTAGCTGGGACCACAGGTGCATGCCACCATACTCAGCTAATTTTTGTTTTGTTTTGTTTTGAGACGGATCTCTGTCGCCCAGGCTGGAGTGCAGTGGCGAATCTCGGCTCACTGCAACCTCTACCTCCCAGGTTCAAGCAATTCTCCTGCCTCAGCCTCCTGAGTAGCTGGGACCACAGGCACGTGCCACCACGCCCAGCTAATTTTCTTTATTTTTAGTGGAGATGGGGTTTCACCGTGTTAGCCAGGATGGTCTCAATCTCCTGACCTCATGATCCACCCGCCTCGGCCTCCCAAAGTACTGGGATTACAGGTGTGAGCCACCGCGCCTGGCCTATACCCAGCTAATTTTGGTATTTTTTGTAGAGATGCGGTTTTACAATGTTGCCCACGCTGGTTGTTCCTTTTTATGGCTGAAAAATTGTCCAATTTATGAATGTACCACACTTTGTGTCCCCATTCATCTGCTGTGCACATTTAGGTCAGAATCCCCCTTAACACACAACATCCTAACCCAGAGGTCTCTAACCATTTTTTTTTTTTTTTGAGACAATGTCCCGCTCTGTCGGCTGGAGTGCAGTGACACAATCTCAGCTCACGGCAACCTCCACCTCCCAGGTTCAAGCCATTCTCCTGTCACAGGCTTCCGAGTAGCTGGGATTACAGTTGTGTGCCACCACGCCCAGCTAATTTTTTGTATTTTTAGTATAGAGACAGGGTTTCACCGTGTTGGCCAGGCTAGTCTCGAACTCCTGACCTCAAGTGATCTACCCATCTTGGTCTCCCAAAGTGCTGGGATTACAGGCATGAACCACCGCACCTGGCCGGTCTCTAAACTTTTAATCGTGCTCCTTTCAGGAAAAATGTTTGCACCAATCCTCCCATTCAATGTAGATTTATTGGTTTCATATATGCTACTACTGTACTAATATATCCTGTGCATTATAAAATCCATGTAAACTATAGACATCTTACAGAGATAAGATAATATTAAGAATGCTTCTCATATTTTTCACATACCTGTCCTGGAATCATTACCCATCCTGGGCATCACCCAGGAAGAAAATATGCTCAACTCACATTGAAATTGTAGTTTCTGAGGCCGGGCGTGGTGGCTGACTCCTATAATCCCAGCACTTTGGGAGGCCGAGGTGGGCAGATCACCTGAGGTCGGGAGTTTGAGACCAGCCTGACCAACATGGAGGAACCCCATCTATACTAAAAATACAAAATTAGCCGGATGTGGTGGCGCATGCCTGTAATCCCAGCTACTCGGGAGGCTGAGGCAGGAGAATCGCTTGAACCCAGGAGGCAGAGGTTGTGGTGGACTGAGATTGCACCATTGCACTCCAGCCTGGGCAACAAGAGCGAAAGTCCATCTCAAAAAAAAAAAAAAAAGAAATTATAGTTTCTGGCCGGGCATGGTGGCTCACGCCCGTAATCCCAGCACTTTGGGAGGCTTGGGGCTGGTGGATCACTGGAGGTTAGGAGTTTGAAACCAGCCTGACAAACATGACGAAACTCCATCTCTACTAAAAATACAAAAAATTAACCAGGTATCGTGGCAAACGCCTATAGTCCCGGCTACTCAGGAGGCTGAGGCTGGTCTTGAACTCCTGGACTCAAGTGATCCTCCTTTCTCAGCCTCCTAAAGTGCTGGGATTACACACGTGAGACACCATGCCCAGCCAAAAAGCGTGAACTTTAGAGTCAGGTACCCTGGGTTTGAAGCCAGGTTCTGTCACTGACCAGTTGTGTGACTTTGGGTGTGTTAACAATAGCTGAGCCTTAACTGTCTTATCTGCAAAATGCTGATGGTGCAGGATGTATTGGCAAGCTATTGCTGCACAACAAATTGCCCTACAACATAAGGCTTATAACAAGAAATATTTGTTATCTGACAGTTTCTGTGGGTGAGGAATCTGCTAAGCTTGGTGCCACTGCCTCAGGGTCTCTCACAAGGCTATAATCACAGCATCAGGTAGGGCTGTGGTTTCATCTGAAGGCTCAACTGAGGGTAGATCCATTCTTTTTTTTTTTTTTTTTTTTTTTTTGAGACGGAGTCTCACTCTGTTGCCTAAGCTGGAGTGCAGTGGGGTTGATCTTGGCACACTGCAACCTCCACCTCCTGGGTTCAAGCGATTCTCCTGCTTCAGCCTCCAAAGTAGCTGGGACCACAGGCACGTGCCACCACACCCAGCTAATGTTTTGTATTTTTAGTAGAGACAGGATTTCACCATGTTAACCAGGATGGTCTTGATCTCCTGACCTCGTGATTTGCTCACCTCAGCCTCCCAAAGTGCTGGGATTATAGGCATGAGCCACCATGCACCACGCCCAGCTCTTTTTTTTTTTTTTTTTTTTTTTTTTTTTTGAGACGGAGTTTCTCTCTGTCACCCAGGCTGGAATGCAATAGCACAATCTCGGCTCACTGCAACCTCCGCCCAGGCCCAGCAAACAGTTCTCCTGGGCTCAAGCAATTCTCCTGCCTCAGCCTCCCAAGTTGCTGGATGACAGGCATGTGCTACCACACCTGGCTACTTTTTGTATTTTTAGTAGAGACAGGGTTTCTCCATGTTGGCTAGGCTGGTCCCGAACTCCTGACCTCAGGTGATCCACCCACCTCGGCCTCCCAAAGTGCTGGGATTACAGGCGTGAGCCACTGTGCCTGGCCTGGGTGGATCCATTCTTAAGCTCACTGACATGGTATTGGCAGGATTCAATTACTTGTGGGTGTTGGACTGAGGGGCTCAGTTCCCTGTGGGCAGTTGGCTAAAGACCCTCAGTTCCTTGCCATGCAGTCTTTCCAAAGGGTAGTCCAAAACACAACAGCTTTCATCAGAGCAACCAGGGAGTGGGGGAGAAGAGGACGAGCAAGATGGAGGCAGAAATCCTTTGTCACTTACTCCCAGAAGTGATATCCCATCACTTCTTGCCATATCCTGTAGTGGGGTCAGTGAGATAGCATGTGTAATATACCCTTGGGATCATGCAGGGTGCCCTGTATCTGGCAGGATTGTGTCTATTGTTATTTTCTATTTAATACACACACACACACACACACACACACACATAGATAGATTTTTTTTTTTTTGAGAGTGTCTTGCTCTGTTGCCCAGGCTAGAGTGCAGTGGCTTAATCTTGGCTCACTGCAACCTCCACCTCCCAGGTTCAAGTGATTCTCCTGCCTCAGCCTCCCGAGTAGCTGGGATTACAGGCATCCGCCACCATGCCCAGCTAATTTTTGTATTTTAGTAAAGACGGGGTTTCACCATGTTGGCCAGGCTGGTCTCAAACTCCTGACCTCGTGATCCACCCGCCTCTGCCTCCCAAAGTGCTGGGATTACAGGCGTGAGCGACCACGCCTGGCCCGAGAGTTTTTTGTTTTGCTTTGTTTTGTTTTTTTGAGACAGAGCCTCTCTCTGTCACCCAGGCTGGAGTGCAGTGGCATGATCACGGTTCACTACAACCTCCACCTCCTGGGCTCAAGAGATCCTCCCCCTCATCTTCCCTGGTACCTGAGACTACAGGCACGCACCACCATACCTGGGTAATTTTTTTATTTTTTAGTAGGGGCGGGGTTTTGCCATGTTGCCCAGGCTGGTCTCCAACTGCTGAGCTCAAGTGATCCTCCTACCTTGGCCTCCCAAAGTGCTGGGATTACAGGCATGAGCCACCACCCCCAGCCCACTGTTATTTTTTCATTCATCACTCCATCTACTTGCCAGGCCTGGGTAGGGGCCTGAGACCCCAGACCAGCCCACAGCTCTGCAGAGGGAAGGAGAACACAAGATGGGGCCCGGCACATGCCAGCATCTGGAGGAGTCAGCCTGGGGGTGGGGGCTGGGCAGGTCCACAGCCCAGGAGGGCCTGTGGCTCCTTGTTCTTTGAGAGTCGGTCCAGTCCCAGGATATCTTGGTGTCAGGGCCCAGGAAGACCTTTAGGACCTGGCTGAGGGGTGTTGGAAGGGGCCACATCTATGGTCAGAGAGTCCTCAGTGCCTGTGGCTGAGGAAGGAAGTGATTGACCCCCACCTGGTGCTATGTGACCCACATAAGTTACCCTCCCTCTCTGGGGATCCCCCTCTGAAATGCCTGCTTAACCCGGGTCTTGTAGCTCACGGAGGGCCAGGCAGCAGGCGAGGGTGGCAGCCTCCCCGTCCCCTGGGTGGTGTGAGGCAGGGGTCTGCCCAGGTCTAAGGTGTGGCCCCACCCCCGACAGCTGTTCTCCATAGTGGTGTTCGGCTCCATCGTGAACGAGGGCTACCTCAACAGCGCCTCCGAGGGGGAGGAGTTCTGCATCTACAACCGCAACCCCAACGCCTGCAGCTATGGCGTGGCCGTGGGCGTGCTCGCCTTCCTCACCTGCCTGCTGTACCTGGCCCTGGACGTGTACTTCCCGCAGATCAGCAGCGTCAAGGACCGCAAGAAAGCCGTCCTGTCCGACATCGGTGTCTCGGGTGAGCCCCACCCAGCAGGTACCCCCTGCACAGAGTCTACAGAGGGCTGTCCCGGCCATAGGAGGCGGCTGCCACCCTTCTTCCCATGTTTCAGATGAGGAAATGAGGTGCAGGCGGGTGAAGGGATGGACTCAGGGTCACATGGCTGGCAGCAGGAAGGATGGGACCAGGACAGGGCCTGGGACCCCAAAATAACCCATGCTGCCCACAGGCAGGGGAGCGTGGATGGGATTCTAGTTCCTTCTAGTCTAAGGGACCCATGGATGGCACTGGGCATGTGCCAGCCCCCATGGGTTGGCCCGTGTTTCAGTGGCCTCTTCTGTGCCACCTCCCTGGGGCAGCCTCATGAGGACTAAGCAAGGCGGTGACTGGGTGCCCAGTGCACAGCAGGGGCCCTGGAGCCTCAGCCTCCCCACGCCTCCCAGCCAGACCTTGGCAGGACCAGGGCCTGGACCTGTGGAGCCAACCTGACCTGCTGCCCTTTGCCCTTCAGAAGCAGCCTTTGGCAGAGGCACCCTGACCTCTGCTCCGTGACTTCCAGGAATCTGATTGGTGGATGCTCTCAGTCAGGGGTCCGAACCCGAGGCTTCAGCCTCGCTGTTCTGAGGCTTGGGTCCCCGGACTGGGACCAACCCCTAGTTCTAAGCCTGGAGCTCTCAGGATAAGCCAGGCTGAAGGCAGGTCATGAGGTCTAGTTTTAGAAGGAACTAGAACTAAATGAATGGTTCTCAAACTTCCACAGAGCCTCAGGGTTCCCTGGCAGTGCCTCTGGGAGGTGGGCTGGGCCCCAGGTGGGCACCCCACCTGCTTGGCAGATGCACGCCTTGTCCTGAGCAGGTCTGGGCTTCTCTGGGGAGACCTTGGCACTCACAGGAGATTGCGTGGCTATGAGGCTCCCACTGCTGACGCCCCCAGGCTCGGCTCTCAGTGGGCCCCTCGCTAAACCTGGGGCTCTGTGGGGTCGCAGCACGTTAGAAGTCGAAGCCCAGACCCACCCAGCCAAGCTGCCATCCTTGCCCCAGCCTCGTCCTCCTTCCCATACCTCATTTGTCTGGCAGCCTGAGGGTTGGGGTCTTCCTGCCTGCAGAGTTGCAGGCATCAGGGGTGGACCGGGGGGGCCCACGTCAGCGGTGTGGCTGGACATGGGGGTTTGGCAGAGGCTGCAGAAATGCGGCCTGAGTTGATTACCTTCTTTCTCTGTCTCTCCCTCCATCCTCCCCTCTCACTGCCCGTGGCTCTCCTCTGACTGGCCCTGACCCTGCCCTGTCTGTGGCCTCCTCCCCCCTGCATCTGGCTGGCTTCCCTCTTCTCGCCTGCATCTTCTCTTGGCTCCCCTCTCTCTTCCCCTACCCCCTTTGCCTGTCCCTTTGGGGGTGGGGGAGCATGGGAGATGCACTCTTGAATGTCCCTCTGTTCCTCGGCTTCCCCATTTTCTCCCCACTCACCCTCTCCCCCATGTGTGGCACTGCCTATTCTGCCCGGTCCTGGGACCCCCCAGCCTTCTGGGCTTTCCTCTGGTTCGTGGGATTCTGCTACCTGGCCAACCAGTGGCAGGTCTCCAAGCCCAAGGACAACCCACTGAACGAAGGGACGGACGCAGCCCGGGCCGCCATCGCCTTCTCCTTTTTCTCCATCTTCACCTGGGTGAGTACAGCCACCGCGCACCAGCCCACACTCGTCCCCTTTCCCCACTGAGCCCCTGGATGGGTGGCCTTTCGCTAGCCTGGGACCCGCTCTGCCTCTGGGAGCCCACACTACCCTCGCTCCCTCTTCTGCCTGCCTGTCTGCGGCGCTCACAGTGGTGCTGCCTCCCTCAGCAAGGAGGCTACAGCCCTCGGGGGTAGCATGGTCACTGGAGATGGCAGACCCTCACTGTGGTGCAGAGCAGCCTTCCTGGGGGTCACGGACCACCCCCCCCCCAAACCACTCTGGGTAAATGGTGTTTATTATCCCCTTTCACAGATGAGAAAGCAGAGGCCTAGACAGGAAGGTGAGGCTTACAGGGTTTGAGGCTGGGAAGCAGCCCTGCCTAGGAGTCAGGAGACCTGCTTCCGATCGGGGCTGCCTCTGATTTTCCTAGCCTCTGTCTTCCCATCCATAAAATGAGAGGGTAGGATCTGGGGGACACAGGTGTCGACATCAGATGCACATGGGCCAGGCAGGGCCTGAGAGCCGTGAGCAGGCCGGGTGACACATGCGTGCCTATCCTAAGTCCTAAGAGGGTACCTCTGCTCGGCTGCCAAGCAGGAATAGGGACCTAGAGAAGGCAGAAGTCTGAATTTTTACATGAAATCTGATCTTGATATGTTGGAAGTTTATTCAGGTTTAAACAATATATTGTGTGTGTCAAACAAAGTATGTCTCTGGGCCCAGCAGGCCCTGGGCTGGCAGCTCGGCTGGCCCCTCTTTCCCACTGGTCTGGGTCATGTCTGTTTCTTCTCTCCTAATCACCCTTCTGCAGAGATCTGGGGCCACATCACCTCCATAGCCCCATCCCAAGAGCCCTCCCCATAACCCACAGCTGCCTCCCCTCTGGACCGGCGAGCACTTCTGGGCCCAGCCTCCTGCAAGGAGACTCTTGAGGCTACATACAGGCCGCCAGCCGTCCCTGTTTCCCCCATCCTTCTGGTTTGCCCCGGGTTGACGTCTTTTTCTTTTTGAGGGCCCCTGGATATCCATTTTTGAGGGGTACACCCATCTCCCCAACAATATTAGAAGATAGCATTTGGAGGGGGAGACCCGTGGTTCAGGCCCTAGTGGGCCAGCCTTGGCTGCTCCACCCCTCAGTGTCCTCAAGACTGGGTAGGAAGAACCAGGTGACCCCAGGGGATCTCAGTCCAGAGAAGGTGCCCCAGAAGTGGGGACCACCCAGCCTACAGGGAGGAGTTTAGGGGCGGGGCTCACAGAGGAGTAGTGGATGATTTCTAGCCATGGGTCTGAAGTACCTGACCAACAGGTGCCTGCCCGGCCCCCTGAAGCCAGCCTCCCTCCTGGCACCTCTGCAGCTCTTCCCCACTGGCCTCACCCCTACTCTCTCCTGGCAGAGCCTGACCGCAGCCCTGGCCGTGCGGAGATTCAAGGACCTAAGCTTCCAGGAGGAGTACAGCACACTGTTCCCTGCCTCGGCACAGCCGTAGGCCTCCCCGGCTTGCAGAGGCCGGCAGCCCTGTATCACCCCTGGCAGTGAGGTGGCAGGAGCAGCCTAGTGCCAGAAATGTCCAAGATGCCAGGGCATGCAGGGCAGTGGAAGGCTGGCTTGAGGAACCAATTCAGGTTCTCCACTGACTCATTCATTCCTTCACCGCCTCCTTCATTGATTCTTCATGCGTTCATTCATTCAGTAAACATTTATTGAGCAGCTGTTTTGTGCCTAGTGATGAATTAGGTGGGGTCCTTGGCTCCAGGAGCCCACAGGCTGGGGAGGAGAAAACAAACACATCAATATCTCTTCCAAATGGACAGCCGTGGACAGTTACCAGGTAGGTAGCGGCCCCATACATGGGCTGCCTAGAGGCGTTCATGGTCCCCATTGCTGAGCTGTGGGTGCAGAGCAATAGCCTCTCCCTTCACAGCGGTGTGAAGAGTGACCTCACTGTCCTTAGGGTTAGCATCCTGGCCGAGGATGTCACAGGGCTCCTGGTCTGGCTCTGTCCTCATGTGCTATGTGACCCTGACAAACCCGTGCACCTCTCTCAGCCTCAGTCCACTTACCTGAACTGAGGGGTGATAATGGACCAACCTCTCAAGGCTGTTGTGCCAATGAAACAAAGGCCAGCCCAGGGCTTAGCACAAGCATGCTCAATAAATGTAAGCTCTTTTGTTCATTCATTCATTCATTCATTCATTCTTCTCTCCAGAGAGTCAGGGGCACCTCCAGAATCTCTACTTTAAGAGTAATTCTCATGTGATGAATCCTTGTTCCTCCAAAGGATTTTGGTCTCTGGTTCTACACAGGTTTCCTGCTTGAGGCCCCCAGCTGCCTGGGCAGGAACTCACCCATTCCTCCACTCTCTGCTGGAGTTGAGGAGGCTGGTGGAGCACAGACAGTTCCCCCAAAGCAATGCCTCAACCCTGCGAGGGCCTGAGCACATCGAGAGTGAGCTTCCTGGCACTGGAGGCATCCCAGTGCAGATGCAGACTGCCTGCTGCACGCTGGAGATGCTGCAGAGAGAGCACCTACACTGAGAAAGTGGGGCCAGGGGACCACCAGGTCCCTGGGCTCTCAGTAGAACTCCCATCCTCCCTCTGCAGCCCAGGCCAGCGGGGGCCCAGGCCTCTCCTTTGCTCCTGTCTTGTGGCCCCTTAAACTGGTTGCCCAAATGAAGCTTTGACTTAGTGAGGGCAGAGAGCTGAACACAGAGACAGTATGAGTGCCTACAGCCAGAGGCATCTCCCTAGAAGGATCAGTAGGGGTCATCTGCTCCAGCCCTCTGCCTCTGTACAGGAAACCAGCCTGGATAGTAGAGCCAGGGAGCTCGGGGAGAACCGCGTCTACAGACATTGCTCTCAAGGTTCATTCAGTCAGTTCCTGTGGGCTGGCCAGGGCTCAAGTGTACCCTCAGGGGGCTCTTCACCTCCCCTGCTTCTTCAGGCTCCGGCGTCTGAGCCCCCAGCAGCCAGGACCTCATGCTAACATAGTGGGAAACCCCAGAGGGCTACACCTTATCCCTTAGCCCAATTTCTTTAGACCTAGTCTGCCTTTCCCAAGGTGCTGGCACTTTGCTTTAAATACCCACCTCCCAGAAAGTGCTTCCCCTCAGAACTTTGGTCAATGAGTACAATCAAAAGGTAATGCCCTAGCTGGGCATGGTGGCTCATGCCTGTGATCCCAGCACTTTGGGAGGCCAAGGCAGGCGGATCACCTGAGGTCAGGAGTTTGAGACCAGCCTGGCCAACATGGCAAAACCCCGTCTCTACTAAAAATACAAAAATTAGCTTGGTGTGGTGGCGGGTACCTGTAATCCCAGCTACTTGGGAGGCTGAGGCAGGAGAATCACTTGAACCCAGGAGGCAGATGTTGCAGTGAGCCAAGGTTGTGTCATTGCACCCCATCCTGGGTGACAGAGCGAGACTCTGTCTCAAAAAAAAAAAGAAAAAAAAAAAGGAAATGCCCAGTCACTGGGTTTCTGGAACTTTGTGGAATAAAACGCTAGGTATATTCACTCTCTACCTCTTCACTAAGTGGCTCTTTAGGTTGTTGGTTGACTTAGTGCCTCGTCAGGGGCCAGTGAAAGGGAAGGAGGTGAGGGCGCCCTGACCTGGGAAGGGGTAGGACCCCATGTTTAGGGAAGGGTTCTAGCAGTAACTCTGCCACGGGCACTTCCTTTTCTAGGCCTCAATCTTCCCAGCCCTAAAACAGGGGTCTGGAGAGTATCAGCACATTCCCATCACAGGCAGATTCCCCGGGCCGGGAAAGTTTCTGGAGAAGGCTTTTGCAATAAACCTCTAAGCTGCTTTTCTAATGACAAGTTTGATTTACTTAAACTTTGACTTAGCTCAGTGTGGTCAGTGTCATTGTCCTTAATAACAATGTAATTGCTTTTATTGAAAAATAATTTCCTAACCATGCATGTGTGCTGTAGACAAGTCTTTCCCAATCTGAGATCTGTGAAAAAAAAAAAAAAAACGGGGCGGCTTCAGGCTAGGCGCGGTCACATTGAATAGTCAGGGCTCTGCCAAGTCAGATGATCCTGAAACTTGTTTCACTCTATTTAACTCAGTTTCTCACTTAGAATTAGGTTCAGCAGCAGGTGACCGAAATCCCAGATAACAGTGATTTCAACAAAGTCCAAGGCTGTGGAAGTGGTCCAGGGCTGGCATACTGGCTCCAGAGGTCTTCGGTGACCCAGGCATCTTTCCTTTTTTTTAGAGACAGGGTCTCACTCTGTTGCCCAGGCTGGATCATAGCTCACTGCAGCCTCAAACCCATAGGCTCAGGCAATCCTCCCACCTCAGCCTCCTGAGTAGCTGGGACTACAGGCCAGTACCACTATGCCCGGCTAATTTGGTTTTTGTGGATTTTTTTGGTAGAGATGGGGTCTTGCTATGTTGCCCAAGCTGGCCTTTTTTTTTTTTTTTTTTTTTTTTGAGACAGTCTCACTTTGTTGCCCAGGCTAGAGTGCAGTGGCGCTGTCTCAGGGTACTGCAACCTCCGCCTCCTGGGTTCAAGCGATTCTCCTGCTTGCACCTCCCGAGTAGCTGGGATTACAGGTGATGCCACCATGCCCAGCTAATTTTTTTAATTTTCAGTAGAGATGGGGTTTCACCATGTTGGCCAGGCTGGTCTCAAACTCCTGACCTCAAGTAATCTGCCCATCTTGGCCTCTCAAAGTGCTGGGATTGCAAGCATGAGTTGTCGCGCCTGGCCTCTCCTGCTTTCAAGAAGAAGATCAGATTGTTATTGTGCCTGCTGTTTTTCAAGTGCCTTTAACTCAACATAGTCAATATGCCAGAGGTGCATATTTTAGCCCAGGCTGGTCTTGATCTCCTGGCCTCAAGCAATCCTTCCACCTTGGCCTATCAAAGTTGTGGGATTACAGGCATGAGCCGCGGTGCATGGCCCCCAGGCATCTTTCATTCCTACAGACTTGGCTCATGGTCTTTGTGGTCCCTTTTGGCAATTAGAGCTCCAGCCATCACATCTGTGTTCCAGGCATCAGGTCAGAGGGTGGGACAGAGAACATGAGGGTACCCCATTGGCCAAAACGTAGTCACATGGCCATGCCTAGCTGCAAGAGAGACAAAAGAATGACTCTTAGGAGATGCTAACAGTCCTTTGTCCCGCTGAGAAGCTTTTTTTAAGAAGGCTGTTGTGAGCCTTTGAGCCATCTTAACACTCCATAATGGAGATCTAGAACTTTTGGTAGCCCAGACTGACCTCTGGGATTGGGAGACAGGGGCAGGTGATTTCTGGGGTACTTTCTGGCTGGATGATATGGTTCTGGGCATTTCCGGGGGTGGCTGCGAGAACAGCCTTCCTTCTCCACAGCCAAGCTTGGTCTCATGTTTGGTGCTTTGAGGATCTTTAACCCTCTCCTGCCTGTGTCCTGTGAACTAACCACCACTAACCCAGTGCTCTTGTCTGTCTCTCCCCTAACCACCCCCTCCCGCCTGTCCTTGTCCTCGCCGGCCTTTGTCCCCAGGCGGGCCAGGCTGTGCTGGCCTTCCAGCGGTACCAGATTGGCGCCGACTCGGCCCTCTTCTCCCAGGACTACATGGACCCCAGCCAGGACTCCAGCATGCCTTACGCGCCCTACGTGGAGCCCACTGGGCCGGATCCCGCCGGTATGGGCGGCACCTACCAGCAGCCGGCCAACACCTTCGACACCGAGCCCCAGGGCTACCAGTCGCAGGGCTACTGAGCCACAGTGACCGCCTGCCCCCGCCCCTCCCCATCTGTCCCCTCTCTCCACACCCAGCCCCTGCTCCTGCCCAGGCTGCCCTGCCCAGCGCCTCATCAGCCTCTGCCTTGTCCCACTGAGGTCCAGGGTAGCTCGGGGCAGGGGTGGGGCAGTCCAGTGTTGGGGACTGTCTACGTATGTGCAAGTATATCCCAGGGCATGTGCCCCGCAGGGGCCTAGAGGGTGGGGGCCAGGGGTATTTGCATTCATACATTGTGTCATCAAGCATTCCTTGAGCGCCTACTGGGCATCCGGCCTGTGCTGGGCATGGGTGGTGACATTGGCAGAAATGGCCACTGGAAAGGGGAGCGATGAGCTGTGGAGGAAGCCCTGGTGGTACCAGAGGCCAGAATGGTGGGAAAGACAGATCCAGATAATGCTGGGAAGTGTGGCTACACCGTGGCTTGGTCATAGGGTGAGTGTAAACACCCACAGGACACTGGGGGCTGTCACCCTGCTCTGGCAGTCCTGCTAAGAGTGTCAGGGCCGTCTCCATTTTATGGTTGAGGAAACTGAGGTCTAGAGAGGTCAAGATTACTTGCCCAGAATCACTCAGGCAGCTAGTGATAGAGGTGGGGCCAAGCCCAGGCTGCCCGACTGCAGACCACGTGCTCTTCCCTGGCCACCCACCTCCTACCATCCCCACGCTTGGGGCTTCCCTGCTCAGTGTTACTGTCATTCTGGGAGGCCTTGGGGCCCTCAGCCCCTTGAGACACCCTGATTCTGCTGCATGCCAAGGGCCTGTTCTGCCCCAGCTGTTCCTCCTCCCCTGGGGACAGCCCCACCTCCGGGTCCCTCCACCCACATCCCCCTGGTCCTACCCCTGGCCCTTGGCCTCCTCCAAGAGGGCTCACCCCGGGTGCTGCTCTGTGCTCTGCGTGTCCCACAGACGCTTGTTCCAGGGGGCTCCAGCAAACCCCTTCGTGGTCTCTCAAAGGACTGATCACTGTCCTTGCCTCTAGGAGGGGTCACTAAGCCCTTACCTAGGGCTGGGTGGACAACAAGGCACAGATGAGGGTGTGACTGGCCCGAGGTCACGGTGAGTGAGTGGCAAAGCTGGCCCTGACGCCTGGGTTTCTTGGCCCCAGCTGCCCAGCAGGTGCCTCGATTCCCTGCCCTTGTGACCTCCCAGGAAACAGAACTGATCTGGGACACTATGTCACCTCTCCTCTCATCTGGGGTCAGTCAGGGTTCGGGGGCTGCAGCAGCCAAGCGCATGAGAGGTGTTTCCTTGGCCTTCCAGAAGGCCCACTGTGGAGCCAGCCTCCCTATGGGAGGCAGAGCGGCAAGGACAGGGCTTTGGAATCAGCCAGGTCGGCTCCTGGGCTGTGGCCGTGGAGAGACACTGCCCCCAGGATGACACAGGCAAGAGCCCCTGAGGCATGGGAGGCCCAGGGAAGACCATGGGCTGTAGGGGAGAGTGTGGCAGGTGACCCAAAGGCCCAAAGAGGGCCGTGGGGCCTGAGGAGGTCATAATCTCTTCTGAGTGGGGGCAGGTCGATTCTTGCACAAGGTGGGCTCTTCACTGAGCCATAAGGGACAGGGAGGTATGGGAGAGCGCTGGGGGCCCATCCCCCTGTCCACCCAGTGTCCACTGGCCTGTCCTTCAGGGAGCAGAGCAGAGCAGGTGGTGGACGGGCCCAGTGCTGGGTGTTTTCACCACCATCCCCCCATCCCCCATCTAAGAATCCTAAGAGGCAGGCGATCCCTCACCTGCTTACTCACTCAGCAGTTACCCGGCCCCTGTGCTGGAGATACCAAGGGCATGGGTGGTCCCTGCTTCGATGGCCCCAAAGCTGGGCCAGAGTTAAGGGAAAGAGGAGGAAGTCCTAAGCAGAGAAGTAGCACCATTATCCCCATTTAACAGAAGGGAAACTGAGGCTCGGCAAGCATAGGCGAGTTGGCAGTGGAACACGGATCTAAACTCAGGTGTGTCCAAGTCCTCCCAAAGGACAGCAGTGATGGAGAGGACCCCAGCCAGCTGTGTGACAGCTGGTTGTTGCTGACTTCATTTTCCAATCCGGAGAAGGGGCTCTGTCCACAGTCCCCCGCCGCCAGGTGGCCCACATGGGACCAGCATGGGGGCAGGTTATCTGTTGGCCTGAAGAGTGAAACCTGTACCAGGCCAAAGGTGAGGGCGTGAGTGAGGGCAGGAGTGTTTATGGCAGAGTGAAGTTCTGTGCCCACCACAAGAGGCTGTGAGATGTTCTGACCCTCACCCACTGTCCACCAAAAGCCTCTCCTGCTGATGGGCACTAGGAGACCTCAGGGTACTGCCCATCTGTTTCTCCTCGGGTGCCAGCCAGCTGCTGGTGATCCTCAGCCGGAGGGCAGGGTACCAGGTAAGCTTAACTCCATCTTGGGTGTTTGTGACAGGCCCTGCCTGCCACCCTAGGCAGGGAAAGCTGTCAAGACTCCTGCCAGGAATGGGGGGTGCTGAGTCATCTCACGAAGAATCCCTCACTCTTCCCGGGTTCAGCCCAGAAGCCCTTCCAGGCATGATCTTCCCCATCAGGCTGGGCTCTGGCAGGGACCTGCCCAGGATGGAGATGAGAGAGGGTGAGAGATGGAGGGCGAGATTTGGATGGGACCCAGGGCTCCTGACTCTGCCCTGGAAGGTTCATGGGGAAACTCGCTCCTTCTGTTGGCAGAGGACAGCCCCTGGGGAACCCCAGGCCCAACTCTGTCCGGTATCCCTTTTCCTCCCAGCTGCCCTCCCCTACTTCTCCCTTGCTCCCAAAGCTTTCCTTGGAGAAGGGCCCTCCTGCAGCTGGACCCTGCAGGGTGGCTCCCTCCTCCCCATCAAGCACAAGAGAGGGCCCAGGAAAAAAGGTTTCACATAAGTGTAGAGTCGCAAGGACGCTTAGAGTCGGCAGAGTCTGGGGTAGGGAGACAGCGACTTGTCCAAGGTCAAGCACAGAGGGAGAGGTTCAGGAGTCAGGTCTTCTGCCTTCTGAGTTGGCTCATCCTGGGCAGTCACAGACTGTCCTGCCTGCACGGCTCCTATCCACCTGGGGGTGTCGCAGTTGAGGGGCTAATTCCCAGGGGACTGACGTTAGTTCCCTACTCCATCCTTCCCTGGTGATTCTTGATCTTCAAAGCCTCGGGGATCCCAGGTTTCCCCATGTAACTGAGACACCCTGCCTGTTAGCCCTGGGAGACCCCTAACCTTGGCCCAAGACCCCTTTGATTCTCTAAGGAGCACGAAAGGGGGAATGCCCCTCCCAGGAGTTTATGGGAGAAGGGACTGGGCCGGCTGCCTCCCAGCGATGCACTTGACCTGACACTCCCCATGTCCTGGTGCGCACAGCCCTTGTCGGTGCCCCGGCCCCTCCCGCAGCGTTACTGCCTGTGTATAGTATAAATATATATATTTTCTATATATAAGATGTATAATATAAGGCTCCACAAATATATCTGTGTGTGTGTGTGCGTGTGTGTGCGGTGAAGGGCGGTCCCCATCCTGGGCCCCCACTCTAGACCCCCCCACCACCTGGTTAAGTCTCGAGTGAATCCAGTGGCCCCGTGGCACCCTCCTTTATGACATCCATCCATCTGTGGTGAACCAAGTGAAGGTGGTGACTTCTGGTGACATAGTAATAAAGTGAAGACTCAGAACCCACCAGCGATTGCAAGTGTGTCACCGTGTTTCTTTGTTCTTCATTCTGCGTTTGGCTTGGATGCTCCATCCCGTTTGTCTCCTTAGACAGGCCATGTCTTACTTGGTTATTATTGTTTGTTAATTTTTCATTACACAATGAACCTATGAATATATTATCTTTTTAAAAAGTAAAATTGGCCGACTGCAGTGGCTCATGCCTGTAATCCCAACACTTTGGGAGGCCAAGGTGGGTGGATCACCTGAGGTTAGGAGTTCGAGACCAGCCTGACCGACATGGTGAAAACCTGTCTCTACTAAAAATACAAAAAAAAAAAAAAATTAGCCGGGTGTGGTGGCAGACGCCTGTAATCCCAGCTACTCGGGAGGCTGAGACAGGAGAATCACTTGAACCGGGGAGGCAGAGGTTGCAGTGAGCCAAGATTGTGCCATTGCACTCCAGCCTTGGCATCAAGAGCAAAAATCCATCTAAAAAAAAAAAGGAAAATTATTACAGTTGAAGCCAGAGTCTCTTAGCTTACATGTGCACATGTCCACATACATGCCCCATCACCATTTCCTATCCTGGTTCCTTCCCCAACCACCAGGAGTAAACAAGATTAGATGCTTGGCCTCATTCCTTCCAGACCATTTCCATGCTTTTACATACACATGTTTTACAAGACATGGTTTTTAAATTGACTGGCCTTCAGCTGGGTGCCATGGCTCATGCCTGTAATCCCAGCACTTTGGGAAGTCAAGGTGGAAGGATTGCTTGAGCCCAGGAGTTCAAGACCAGCCTGGTCAACATAGTGAGACCCCGTGTCTAAACAAAACAAAACAAAAAACCTGGGCACAGTGGCTCACACCTATAATCCTAGCACTTTGGGCAGCCTAGGCGGGCGGATCACGAGGTCAAGAGACTGAGACCATCCTGGCCAACATGGTAAAACTCCGTCTCTACTAAAAAGACAAAATTAGCTGGGCGTGGCTGGGCGTGGTGACTCACACCTGTAATCCCAGCACTTTGGGAGGCTGAGGTGGGCAGATCACCTGAGGTCGGGAGTTTGAGAACAGCCTGACCAAAATGGAGAAACCTCGTCTCTACTAAAAATACAAAATTAGCCAGGCGTGGTGGCACGTGCCTGTGATCCCAGCTACTCGGGAGGCTGAGCCAGGAGAATTGCTTGAATCCAGGAGGTGGAGGTTATAGTGAGCCAAGATCATGCCATTGCACTCCAGGCCTGAGCAACAAGAGCAAAACTCCATCTAAAAAAAAAAAAAAAAAAAAAAATTAGCTGGGTGTGGTGGCCAGCACCTCTAGTCCCAGCTACTCTGGAGGCTGAGGCAGGAGAATCGCTTGAACTCGAGAGGCAGAGGTTGCAGTGAGCCAAGATCACGCCACTGCACTCCAGCCTGGCGACGGAGTGAGACTCCGTCTCAAAAAAAAAAAATTAAATATAGTTGCCCCGAGCCGGCAAAAAATTTACCCAGAGCCTGTAAAGTACCAGAAACTTGCTAGGCGCTAGGAGTTCAACACCAAAGGAGGTAGACAGTGCCCTCTTGGAGATGATCACGCAGTGGGGGAAATGCTGTTAACTAAACATGCAAGCAAAAATATCAACTGTGCTAAGTGCTGGAGTGGGTTGGAAAGAATATGCGATGCAATTTAGATCACCCTGACTAAATCAACCACCACCGGTCGAGCAGGTGACCCTCGACTCAAGCGCTCTCCATGAGCAGGGTTTGGACGTGAGCGGGTGGGCTGGTGAGTTATCCAAGCTGGTGAGTTCTGCAGGGAGGACCCAGGACTCAGGGGTCCCCGGCTGGGAAAGAGCTTGGAAGTGGTGGAAGGCAGGTGCAGTGGACGCACAGAAGGGAGAGAGAGGAGAATGAGGAAGGACAGGCCAGAAGGTGCTCATGGATCCCACAGTGTAGGGCCTGGAGGCCTCTGTAAAGCCATGAAGGGTGGGTGACCACAACAGTGCATGCTCTCAAAAGACCACTCTGCTGGTTAGATGGTAGTCAAGAGACAGGTCACCATGACCGTGAGAGAATGGAGAAGTCCAGATGTATTTGAAGAAGGCACAGATCTGCAAATGAACCGAGGCCGGGCACGGTGGCTCACGCCTATAATCTTAACACTTTGGGAGGCCGAGGCAGGAGGATCACTTGAGGTCAGGAATTTGAGACCAGCCTGGCCAACATGGTGAAACCCCGTCTCTACTAAAAAAATACAAAAATTAGGCCGGGTGTGGTGGCTCACGTCTATAATCCCAGCACTTTGGGAGGCCGAGGCAGGCGGATCACCTGAGGTCGGGAGTTCGAGACCAGCCTGACCAACATGGAGAAACCCTGTCTCTACTAAAAATACAAAAATTAGCCGGGCGTGGTGGTGCATGCCTGTAATCCCAGCTACTCAGGAGGCTGAGGCAGGAGAATAGCTTGAACCAGGGAGGTGGAGGTTGTGGTGAGCCAAGATGGCGCCATTGCACTCCAGACTGGGCAACAAGAGCGAAACTCTGTTTCCAAAAAAAAAAAAAAAAAAAAGCAAAAATTAGCCGGGTGTGGTGGTGGGCGCCTGTAGTCCCAGCTACTTGGGAGGCCGAGGCAGAAGAATCGCTTGAACCCAGGAGGAAGAGGTTGCAGTGAGCTGAGATCGCACAACTACACTCCAGCCTGCGACAGAGAGAGACTCTGTCTCAAAAAAAAAAAAAAAAAAAAAAAAATCCCACCAGAAAAGGCTCTGGAGCCCAGGCCGGGTGGGAGGAGCAAGTGGGCGTGGCCTGGGCATGGCCCGTCGGTCAAGGTACTGGCCCTGCCCACGCCCGGGAGAGGGGCGGGCGAGAGAGATGCTAAGCCAATCGGATTGCGGTCATCGGGGGCGAGCGGAGTCTGCAAGAGGTCCGAGGAGTAGCGGGTGCCGAGGGAAGGAGCGCGGCGGGGCGGGTGAGGGATCCCGGGGCTCCGTTCCAGGACACCCAGGTTCTGACCCCGTTTAGGAGTGCGGAGGGCAGGGGCTGCCTGCAACCCAAGGAGCCCGAGCTACCCTGAAGGCCGACCCTGAGGCCGCTGCTCAGCGAGAGGAGCCGACCCTTGGGGGACAGCGGGGTCGGGTTCCAAGCCGGGGCTGCTGGGGCTGGTCAGGCCGCCCGCCCTGCTTGACCCCTCTCACCTGATGGCTCCCTTCTCCAATCTTCAAGAAGGTGAAACGTCACTGTGGTCCGCAGAGGGCAGGCCGCGTGTGCGGAGTCGCTGTCATCCCTTAGTGGCCACGCCCGCCTCCCTGTCCACTTCCCGTCTTCGTCGTTGCGGTTCAGGTGTTCGCTCCACTCTGCGGCACCAAAGGCCCGTCACGTGCTTCCCCTGCCCAGACACCCCAAACACCGAAACTGTCATCCGAAGGCCCCGCACCTGCCGCCTGTCGGATGCTGAAGAACGAATCCCAGGTGGAGAGGACAGCACCCCAAAAGGGATGGGGGATGGATTGGGGCGTCTGAGCCCCGTGGAGTATGTCAGCCTTTCAGAGCGACCCGCTCCACGCTGCGATGTGGTCCTTAAGAAGTTAGGGCCGGGCACGGCGCCTCACGCTGTAATCCCAGCACTTTGGGAGCCAAGGTGGGCGGATCATCTGAGGTCAGGAGTTCGAGACCAACCTGGCCAACATGGTAAAACCCCAACTCTACTAGAAATACAAAAATTAGCTGGGTGTGGTGGCAGGCGCCTGTAATCCCAGCTAGTCGGGAGTCTGAGGCAGGAGAATTGCTTGAACCCGGGAGGCGGAGGTTGCAGTGAGCGGAGATGGAACACCCCTGCACTCCAGCCTGGGTGACAGAGAACGACTCCGTCTCAAAAAAAAAAAAAAAGTTAGGGCCGGTCGTGGTGGCTCACGCCTGTAAGCGAGGCCAAAGCTCCAGAACAGCATCTCTACTAAAAATACAAAAATTATTCGGGCGTGGTGGTGGGTGCCTGTAATCTCAGCTACTCGGGAGTCTGAGGCAGGAGAATCGCCCGTGAACCCAGGAGGGGTAGGTTGCAGTGAGCAGAGAGCATTCCACTGCACTCCAGCCTGGGTGACAGGCTGAGCACTCACTCAGCCTGGAGCGAGACTCCATCTAAAAATAAATTAATAGATAAGTTAGGGCTGGGTGAGGTAGCTCACACCTATAATCCCAGCACTTTGGGAGACTGAAGTGGGTGGATCAATGAGGCCAGAAGTTTGAGGACAACGTCTCTACAAAAAATACAAAAATTAACCAGGCATGGTGGCCTGAACCTGTGGTCCCAGCTACTTGGGAGGCTGAGTGGAGAGGATCTCTTGAGCCCAAGAAGTTGAGGGTGCAGTGAGCCATGATCACCACCACTGCAATCCAGCCTGGGTGACAGAGTGAGACCCTTTCTCAAAAAAAAAAAAAAGTTATAATGTAATGGATTGGCCTTCATTGGACTTAAGGGAAATCATTAAACCCTGCAAGGGTTTTAACTGACTCAGGACAATTTGGAGAAATATGAAAACTATTTCAAAGAAATGCTAGGTTTCAGAATCAGGGCTGCTGCATGATTTGTAGGGCCCAGTACAAAATGAAAGTGCAGGGCCTCTTGTTCAAAAAGCAATATTAAAAAATAGTGTAATTTTTGACCGGGTGCAGTGGCTCTCGCCTGTAATCCCAGCACTCTGGGAGACTGTGGCGGGCAGATCACTTGAGACCCAGAGTTCGAGACGAGCCTGGCCAACATGACAAAACCCCATCTCTACAAAAAATACCAAAAAAAAAAAATTAGCCCAGCATGGTGGCATGTGCCTGTAATTCCAGCTACTTGGGAGGCTGAGGCAGGAGAATCGCCTGGACCCGGGAGGTGGAGGTTTCAGTGAGCCGAGATCACGCCACTACACTCCAGCCTGGGTGACAGAGAGAGACTCCGTCTCAAAAAAATAATAATAATAAATAGAAATAGAAATAAAAATACTAAAATATAAAGCACTTTACTTACAAAATATTACATATAAAATATAATAGGAGTAAGAGTAACACATGAGTAACAGCATAAATTTAAGATTATAAAAAATAATATTTTGGGGTTGGGCGAGGTGGTTCACGCCTGTAATCCCAGCATTTTGAGAGGCTGAGATGGGTGGATCACCTGAGGTATGGAGTTCAAGACAAGCCTGGCCAACATGGTGAAACCCCATCTCTACTAAAAATACAAAAATTAGCTGGGTGGTGGCGGGCACCTGTAATCCCAGCTACTGGAGAGGGTGAGGCAGGAGAATCGCTTGAACCTGGGAGGCAGAGGTCGCAGTGAACCGAGATCATGCCGTTGCACTCCAGCTTGGGCGACAAAAGCGAGATTCCCACTCAAATAATAATAATAATAATAATAATAATAATAATAATAGGCCAGGCGTGGTGGCTCACGCCTGTAATCTCAGCACTTTGGGAGGCCAAGGTGGGCGGATTGCCTGAGGTCAGGAGTTCGAGACCAGCCTGACCAACGTGGTGAAACCTCCTCTCTACTAAAAATACAAAAAAAAAAAAAAATTAACTGAGCTTGGTGGTGTGTGCCTGTAATCCCAGCTACTCGGGAGGCTGAGGCAGGGGAACTGCTTGAACCAGGGAGGTGGGGGTTGCAGTGAGCCGAGATCGCGCCACTGCACTCCAGCCTGGGTGACAGGATGAGACTCCCTCTCAAAAAATAAAAAATAAAATAGTAATAATAATATTTTGGTGTCATTTTATATAATACAAAAATAATGCCTTACTAATATGATTTCTTGATTGGTCATATGATTTTTTGGCTCATTCTTTTTGCAAGTTCATTTATTATGTTATTGAAATTTATACTTATGACAACTTCATTTTCCATTGAAAGCTACAACAGCCACTTTTGGCAAAGGCAAGATTACAAATAATTTCTTATACTTTTTATTTTGAGAAGGCTCCTTCTGCCAAGGCAATTGTTGCTGTAGCTGCTGAGAGTATTTTATATGCTGTCACAGTAGGAGAAATTCATGATTTTAAAGAATTTTTAAAAAAATATTTAGCTCTTCATATTGGCCAGGCGCGGTGGCTCACACCTGTAATCCCAGCACTTTGGGAAACCGGGGCATGTGGATCACCTGAGGCCAGGAGTTCCAGACCAGCCTGGCCAACATGGTGAAACTCTGTCTCTATTAAAAATACAAAAATTACCCAGGCCTGGTGGTGCGCACCTGTAATCCCAGCTACTCAGGAGACTGAGGCAGGAGAATCTCTTGAACCCAGGAGGCAGAGGTTGCAGTGAGCCAAGATTGCGCCACTGCACTCCAGCCTGGGCGACAGAGTGAGACTCCGTTTCAAGAAAAAAAATTTAACTATTCATATAAATCAGTTTCATATGTGTCTGATTTAATTTTAAATGTAAACTTATACAACGATGTTTTAATGTTTTCTTTGACATTTTCTATAACTTGTGAAGGTTGTACAAGAAACTGAAAGTTACTTCATGATTTCTATATAATTTTAATGATCTGTTTATGCATTTGATTGCTGGGTCTTCAATAACAAGGAAAACTTAGCTTTAAAACTGCCTTCAGAGTAAGCTTCACATAAAATAGAATTATTTTCTGTAGAATATGATGATCTATACATTTAATTTTTATTTCTAAGACTGTGGATATTTGCAATATTGCAGCAGGCTTTTTTGTTTGTTTGTTTTTGTTTGTTTGTTTGTTGAGACTGAATCTTGCTCTGTTGTCCAGGCTAGAGTGAAATGACATGATGTCGCCTCCCTGCAACCTCCACCTCCCAGGTTTAAGCAATTCTCATGCCTCAGCCTCCCATGTACTGGGATTACAGGCATGAGCCACTGTGCCTGGCCTGCAGCAATTTTCAAAACCAGAGATTCTTTTTCTTTTCCTAGCATCCCCATGGATGCCAGGGCGAAAACCGAAAATTCTAAAACTCTTTGAAGAATCCTAACAGCTCCCTAGCGTGCTTTATTGCGACATCCATGTGTATGTTTCCATGTTGTAATAACTTACTGACAAGGTTTACTGCCTGACTGCTGGCAGTACCTGTCCCAGCATTTAGGCTGTGAGCTATATTTGTGCAGATGTTACAGGCACGGGCTGTTCCATGTGGAGTCTCTTCTCCCACCATGGAGCCCGTGATGGCATGGAGCCGTGACACCCCCACCAGTTTCTTCTGCTGCTGCCACCAATCTGGGCACAGATCCTGGCCCCCACTGTCCCCACACAGCCCCACAGTGTCGCAAACTGTCCAGCCATGTGGGTGCACACAGGGTGGCCAGGCCAATTGCTAGGCAGCTCTGCTGCCCACCGCCTGTCATCCTTGCTGGTCTGAGCCTGCTGGTGCATATGCTTCTTTGTCCCACTGGACTTCCTTTATAAAACACAAGTTCAAATATAAAATGATGAAGAATTTCAAGATGGCGAAATTCAAACAGAAATCAATGCAGAGCATTCAACCAAATGCTAGGTCTATTCTGAGAGCAGGGCAATGTGCGACTGTACGGGTCCCATGCCCATGAGTGCAGTCCTGCTCAGCACACTGATTCTGGCCCCTCTCCATCTCCCCTTTATTTTATTCTGAATCTTTTTTCTTCTCCTTTTAGTCTCCTTGTCAATTAGATAGCTACACTTGACTATGGGCCTGAGCTATGCTGCGTACTTTGTAAAGCATTGTCTAGTTCACTTCTTTTCTTTTTTCTTTCCTTTTTTTTTTTTTTTTTTTGAAATGGAGTCTTGCTCTGTCACCCAGGCTGGAGTGCAGTGGCGCAATCTTGGCTCACTGCAAGCTCCGCCTCCCAGTTCACGCCATTCTCCTGCCTCAGCCTCCCAAGTAGCTGGGACTACAGGCGCCCTCCACCACACCCGGCTAATTTAGTTTTTGTATTTTTAGTAGAGACGGGGTTTCACCGTGTTAGCCAGGATGGTCTCGATCTCCTGACCTTGTGATCCGCCCACCTCGGCCTCCCAAAGTGCTGGGATGACAGGCGTGAGCTACTGCTCCCAGCCTCCTTTTCTTTTCTTTACTTTTCTTTTTTTTTTTTTTTTGGTCGTTGTTGTTGTTGTTGTTTTGAGACAGAGTCTCGCTCTGTCACCCAGGCTGGAGTACAATGGCGCAATCCAGGCTGGAGTGCAGTGGCACAGTCTCAGCTCACTGCAACCTCCGCCTCCCAGGTTCAAACGATTCTCCTGCCTCAGCCTCCCAAGTAGCTGGGATTACAGGCATGCGCCACCACGCCCAGCTAATTTTTGTATTTTTAGTAGAGACAGGGTTTTGCCATGTTGGCCAGGCTGGTTTCGAACTCCTGACCTCAGGTGATCCGCCCCCCTCGGCCTCCCAAAGTGCTGGGATGACAGGCGTGAGCCACCGCGCCCGGCCTTGTTCACTTCTTTCAACACCTGTGATAGGGGCACTAAGATGCTCCCATTTTACAGATGAGGAGCTGGGCCAGGGAGGAGAAGTGGCCCAGCACAGTTATACCGGTGCAGGGCCTGACTTGACCAGTAGTGAGTCCAGCTTTAAAACCCATGGTCTTAGCCTCTTTGCTGCCTTTTGTTAAACTATTTTTATACATTTGCGGTCACTCACATAATCCTTAAAGCTGTTTTTGATGTGAAAGTTCCCCGAGCTGTGCATGCTTCTGGATCAGCAAAGGCTTCGGCTTTGGTTACCCATCTGTTCTCTGTGCTTATCCAGCGCTGGGGTCTTCCCAAACCCTGTCCCAATTATGTGACCTAGAAATGCGACTTCAAATGTTTGAGAGATCTCATACAAAATTGAATGTGCTTTTCCTCAAGGTTTTTCAAAAGTTACATTGCTGGACGGGATGACTTACTTCTGTAATCCTAGCACTTTGGGAGGCCGAGATGGGCAGATCGCTTGAACTCGGGAGGTAGAGCTTGCAGGAAGCCAACATCACAGCACTGCACTCCAGCCTGGGTGACAGAGTGAGACCCTGTCTCAAAAAAAAAAAAAAAAAAAAAAAAAAGTTACATCAATTGAACAGTAGCAGGGATTGTGCCCTCAGTGTCAATGTGGAGGACTCCCAGGTTCATCCTCCGTCCACACTTGCTTCATTGGTGGCTCATCTGGTCTCACAGCTTTAAATATCCGCTGTATTCTGACCATTCTCAAGTGTGTACACCCACCCCCCCAGGTCAGCTACTCGTATATCCAACTGCCTTTACTCCGACATATCTGGTTGACATCTCCCATGAAGACCCCAGGGATCTGCCTTGCTACTTCTCTCATCCCATAGCTTGCCACCCTCCCCCGTGCTTCAGCCACGCTGGCCTCCTTGCTGTTCCTAGAACATACCTAGCACATTCCTGCCTCAGGGCCTTTGCACTTGCTGTTGCCTTTGCCTGAAATGCTCTCCCTGCTCCACCCCAGATCTCTGGAGGAGACCTGAAACCTTTGCAGTGGGTTCATCCCTGGTCATGCCTTTTAAAAAGGCACCCCCGACCAGGCACAGTGGCTTATATTTGTTTTTGTTTTTGTTTTGAGACGGAGTCTTGCTCTGTCGCCCAGGCTGGAGCGCAGTGGCAGGATCTCGGCTCACTGCAAGCTCCACCTCCCAGGTTCACGCCATTCTCCTGCCTCAGCCTCCCGAGTAGCTGGGACTACAGGCGCCCGCCACCATGCCCGGCTAATTTTTTGTATTTTTTAGTAGAGACGGGGTTTCGCTGTGTTAGACAGGATGGTCTCAATCTCCCGACCTCGTGATCCACCCACCTCGGCCTCCCAAAGTGCTGGGATTACAGGCGTGAGCCACCACGCCCAGCCAAGTGGCTCATATTTGTAATCCTAGCACTTTGGGAGGCCGAGGCAGTCAGATCAGTTGAGCCCGGGAGTTTGAGACCCGCCCGGGCAACATCGCAAAACCCTGTCTCTACAAAAAACAAAATGGAAAATTAGCCAGGTGTTGTGGCACACCTGTAGTCCCAGCTACTCGGGAGACTGAAGCAGGAAAATCACCTGAGCCTGGGAGGTCGAGGCTTCAGTGAGCTGTGGTTGCGTCACTGCACTCCAGCCTGGGTGACAGAGTGAGACCCTGTCTCAAAAAAAAATAAATAAATAAAGTAGCCGGGTGTGGTGTTGTGTGCATGTAATCCCAGCTACTCGGGAGGCTGAGGCAGGAGACTCACTTGAACCCAGGAGGTGGAGGTTGCGGTGAGCCGAGATCATGCCATTGCACTCCAGCCTGGACGACAAGAGCAAAACTCCATCTCAAAAAAAAAAAAAAAAAGGCAGCCCACCTCCACTTTGTTTTCCTCCATAGCACTTGTCACCACCTGACATACTTACTAGTTTATTTATTACCTATCTCTCCTCACCGAATGTGGAAGTCTCATAAGGGCAGTGTTCTTGTCCCTGCTTACCTGGCATGTACTAAGTGCTCTATTGAGGATTGTTGAATTAACGCATGAATCTTCCCACCAAATCTCCTCCTTTCTCTGTGCTCATCATCTAAGTAAAAGGCACCATCATCTACCAGTCATCCCCCTGGGTATTATCCCAGATTTGTCCCTCTTTTCAAAAACCCAAGCATACGCCAGATCTTGTTGACTTAACATCCTAAATATTTCTCAAACCATCCCTTCTGTCACTGCCTTGGTTCTCCTCTTCCATAGCAGATGCCTCAAATGCATAGAGTAACATGCTGCTTTGCACACTGTGAATGTTTCAGCATCCTCTCTGCCCCCTGCGCTCTCTGTCTACCTGCCAGGCCCAGACCTGGCCCTCCTCTAGTGGCCCTGTCTCGGCAGATCCTCCACCACTGGGCCGACGGCCTGGGCCAGGAACCTGGGAGTCATCTTCCACTCCCCTTTCTTCCGCTTCCAATCAACTGCCAGAGTCTTTCTACTTGACCTATTTGGATATTTTTGAAAACTGTCCATTTCTTTTATCCTCATGGCCACCATCCTGGTCCCGGCCACCTCCTTCCTTCTCTTATCTGGGTTATCCCAGCAGGCTCCTAATACTGGTCTCCCTGCTTCCTGTCTGACTCAGTGGGATCCCTCTGAAACACAAATATGATCATGTGACTCTCCCACTTAAATGAGTCCCTACCCTTACAAGATAAAGCCAATTGCTTCTGTTGCACCCATATCCCTCCCTGATTTGTTCTCCTCAGCTCGGCCACAGTCAATTTCTGCCTTTGCCAGTTCCCCCCTCACTTTGACCATGCGATCCCTTGGCCTGAGATGCGCTTTCTATCTTCTCTGCTCAATCCCTCTGCCCTCCCAGACCCAGCTGGAAGGTCACCTCCCCTGTGAAGTCTTCCCTGACTCCCCCAGCAGAATTAACTGCCCCCTCTCTTGGGCTTCTGGCTCCACTCAGTTTGTCACAGGCCTGATGAGCAAGGATATCTTGATAAAGGTGATAACTGGCCGAAAAGCAGTTGGGGCGCCCAATGGCGCAGCCTTCAGAAGCACCTTCTGTGTTTTTGGAACTGTTGGCAGCATCCCAAGGTGAAATGGTAGAAGCATATGGCATGATCATGGGGAAATGGGTCTGGGGAAGGGAAGAGAAGCCACATATTTGGAGCAGATTCTGTTCCTGTTCTAAAGGCTTGGAAGATGTTACTTTATTGAATCCTTGTAACATCCCTGGGAGGCAGGGGTTTTAAAAACAAAGACAGTGGTGGCCGGGCGCGGTGGCTCATGCCTGTAATCCCAGCACTTTGGGAGGCCAAGCAGGGAGAATCTTTTTTTTTTTTTTTTTTTTTTTTTGAGACAGAGTCTAACTCTGTTGCTAGGCTGGAGTGCACTGGCGTGATCTCGGCTCACTGCAACCTCCGCCTCCTAGGTTCAAGCAATTCTCCTGCCTCGGCCTCCCGAGTAGCTGTGATTATAGCCACACACTGCCATGTCCATCTAATTTTTTTTTTTTTTGAGACAGAGTCTCACTCTGTCGCCCAGGCTGGAGTACGGTGGCGCGATCTTGGCTCACTGCAACCTCCGCCTCCCGGGTTCAAGCGATTCTCCTGCCTCAGCCTCCCAAGTAGCTGAGACTATAGGCACATGCCACCACACCCGGCTAATTTTTTGTATTTTTAGTAGAGACGAGGTTTCACCATGTTGGCCAAGATGGTCTTGATCTCCTGACCTCGTGATCCACCCACCTCGGCCTCCCAAAGTGCTGGGATTACAGGCATGAGCCACCGCGCCCAGCTCGGGAGGATCTTTTGAGCTCAGGCGTTTGACACCAGCCTGGGCAACATGGTGATAGCCTGTCTCTACAAGAATACAAAAATTAGCCGGGCGCAGTGGCACATGCTGTAGTCCCAGCTACCCGGGAGACTGAGGTGGGAGAATCACTTGAGCCCAGAAGCTTGAGGCTGCAATGAGCCATGATTGTGCCACCGCACTCCAGCCTGGACAACACAGTGAGAACCTGTTTTTTTTTTTTTTTTAAATGGTGGGGGTCAGGGAGAGATGGCTTGCAAATGAATGTTTGTTTAATTTTATAAAAAGCAGGCAGGTGCCAGGTGCAATGGCTCACGCCTGTAATCTCGGCACTTTGGGAGGCGAAGGCAGGTGGATCACCTGAGGTCGGGAGTTCAAGACCAGCCTGACCAACATGGAGAAACCCCATCGCTACTAAAAATACAAAATTAGCCAGACGTGGTGGCGCATGCCTGTAATCCCAGCTACTTGGGAGGTTGAGGCAGGAGAATCGCTTGAACCTGGGAGTCAAACATCTCTCTACCAATGGGACCCTGTCAATGGCTTGCTTAGAAGGCAACAACTTCCCTCTGTCCTCCAGATGAATAAACTCCTGCCTGGGGCCCACTTGGTCAGAGCCTGTCCCTACAACCCCTTCATCTCTCTCCTCCAACTCTGTGCAAGCCACAGTGGGCTCCCGTGACAAGTGTGCTTTTTTTTTTTTTTTTTTTAAGACAGAGTCTCACTCTGTTGCCCAGGTTGGAGTGCAGTGGAGTGATCTCAGCTCACTCACTGCAACCTCCACCTCCCAGGTTCGTGATTCTCCTGCTTCAGCCTCCCAAGTAGCTGGGATTACAGGCGTGCACCACCATGCCTGGCTAATTTTTTGTAGTTTTAGTAGAGATGGGGTTTCACCATGTTGGCTGGACTGATCTCGAACTCCTGACCTCAGGTGATCCACCGGCCTCGGCCTCCCAAAGTGCTGGGATTACAGGCATGAGCCACCGCGCCTGCCCCCGGCAGAATGTCTTATATACATAAATGTTGTCCTCTCCAATTAAAATGTTAACATTTTAGGTTGGGCGGGGTGGCTCACACTTGTAATCCCAGCACTTTGGGAGGCCCAGGCAGAAGAATCGTTTTAGGCCAGGAGTTTGAGACCAGCCTGGCCAACATAGCGGTACTCCGTCTCTACAAAAAATGTAAAAGATTAGCTGGGCGTGGTGGCGGGCGCCTGTAACCCCAGCTACTCGGGAGGCTGAGGCAGGAGAATCGCTTCAACCCGGGAGGCAGAGGTTGCAGTGAGTCCAGATCACGCCACTGCATTCCAGCCTGGGCGACAGAGCAAGCCTCCGTCTCAAAAATAACATAACATAACATAACATAAAATAATAATAAAATGAAATGAAATAAAATAAAATAAAATGTTAGCTTTTTGAAGGCCTGTCCTGCTCGCTGCAGAACCCACTATAGAGCCAAGCAGGGTCACCTAGGTAGCATTTGCTGAGTGAATGAATTGTCCTCCCCTTACCAACTGTGTTCACAAAGAACCCTCAGGAGTTCAAGACCAGCCTGGCCAACATGGCGAAACCCCGTTTCTACTAAAAATACAAAAATTAGCCGGGCGTGGTGGCTCATGCCTGTAGTCCCGGCTACTCCGGAGGCTGGGGCAGGAGAGGCGGGCACCTGTAATCCCAGCTACTCGGGAAGCTGAGGAAGGAGAATCGCTTGAGGCCGGAAGGCAGAGGTTGCAGGGAGCTGTGATCGCGCCACTGCACTCCAGCCTGGGTGACAGAGTGAGACCCTATCTCAAAAAATAATAAAGATGGGCGAGGAGCAATCGGCCCCGAGGAAAAGACAAAACAAAACAACAACAACAACAACAACAACAAAACGTGCAAGAGCGCGCCTGCGCACACGGTCCGCTACGACCCCCATCCCTCTTCGGGCGTGGGGTGGCGCTGGGCGCATGCTCCCCGGCAGCGCGGTCATCCTCGCCTCCTTCGGGCCGCTCTAGCCGCCCCACTCGCTGCTCTGCGGGGAGGCGGGCGCTCCCGCAGGGGTTCCTCCAAGATGGCGGCGCAGAGGAGGAGCTTGCTGCAGAGTGTGAGGAACAGGCCCGCTCTCTGGGCTTGGGGTTGGGAGCCTGGGCGGGGGTGCTGTCGGGTGCAGGAACGGCTCCTTCTCCGAGTTTGGACAGCCACCCTCTCCGTGGTGGGGTGTGTCAGCCACCTTCTCCTCTCCTCGGGCTGGCCCCCTCGTTCCCGAGGCCAGGGCGTGTGTGCGCGGCGGGCCCGGCCCCCGGGTCAAGGGCGCCGGGGCTGTGGGCTGCTGCTGCCGGGCGTCGAGGGCGGGAGCGTCCTGGAGCCAGAAGGGAACACGGCGGGCGGCAGCAGAGCTATCCGAGTCTCGAGCCCACTGCGACACCGAGCAGACGTGCAATGATAATAACAGCAGCATCCACAGTGTACCGCTTACTGCATCCCCGGCGTTGTGTTAATTGCTTTACATTTGTCAGTTTCATTTTCGTAGCAGCCCCCTGAGATAGGTGCTACTGTTATTCCTATTTGACAGACTGAGACACTGAGGTGGTCGTTTGCCTAAGGCCACACAAATGGTACGTATTGAGGCAGGATTAAAATCAGGCAGTGTGATTCCAGAAACCCCCTTAACCCCTGGGCTGTACTAAAGGAATGACCAGTGGTAGCTGTCACTGGGTTCTGGTCCTGGCTCTGACTGTGTCTCCCTCAGCCTCAGTTTCCTTCTCCTAAGGCGAGAGCGCTGAGTGGAAGAATTGTCTTCAGACTCATCCCTACCCCCGGTCTGGACCCTCATGGGTTTGGCGCTGTCTTCCAGGCCCTGCGTCCTCTGACGCGTATGTGCACATAGATGCACACACATGTTGGCACCATGGACTACTCTGACCTACCAGGGTAGGGTGCTGGCCTCCTGGGTCCTTCCTATGCATGGCACTGTTAGAATTGTCTATGGACTTGTCTGCCTCCTGTACTAGAAAGTAAACTCCGCCGGGCGCGGTGGCTCATGCCTGTAATCCCAGAACTATGGGAGGCTGAGGCGGGTGGATCACGAGGTCAGGAGATCAAGACCATCCTGGCCAACATGGTGAAACCCCGTCTTTACTAAAAATACAAAAATTAGCCGAGCGTGGTGGGGGCGCCTGTAGTCCCAACTATTCGGGAGGCTGAGGCAGGAGAATTAGCTTGAACACAGGAGGCGGAGCTTGCAGCGAGCCAAGATCGGGCCACTGCACTCCAGCCTGGAGCGACAGAGCGAGACTGTGTCTCAAAAAAAAAAAAAAAAAAAAAACGAAAGTAAACTCCTTGAGGACAGGGACCTGTGATCTCTTGTTTACCGCTGTGTCTCTATTATCTATCACCATGTGCTGGGCACTCAATAAATACATTTGTGAAAGGATGAGTAAAGGTTTGTAGCCAGGTCCAGTGCTCGCCCTTGGCGTCACAGAGGTGAGTAGACATTGGCTCAGGGATAACCTGGAACCAGAGCCTTGAAATTATTCTCCCAGGAGCACAGTTCCCAGGCCTCCCCAGTGGGGATTGCTGTCTTCCCCTCCACACCTTTACTACTCCTTTATTTTATTACTGCTGGGCACGTCTGTCTTGTTACCGAGTTGGCATTGATTTTAGACGGCTGGCCCTCTGCTTTGTAAGTTCCCAGAGGGCAAGGTCCCTGTATAACTGTCCCCACTCTAGTTAGCATTTGGGAAACGCTGGTTGGATTGTGACATTGGGAGGGAAAATTGTAAATGGTGCAGGCTGAGTTGGCTTGCTGAGAAGAGAGCAGCCACCTGGGTCATGTAGAGTAGGTGGCTGCCAGCTTCTCCCCTTCCTAGATGTGATGGAACCAAAGGGAATTGTGTTAGGCAGAAGGCCAGCTCTACTAGCCCCAGAATGTGTTTCTCCAGGTGGTGGTGGCCTTTTTTAAAGCAAGAATAGTTAGCTTTAAACACATTGCATCTTGGTGCGTGGCAAAGGGATGGCAGGGATGTCATCAGAAGGCCCCTCCGCCCTCATGATGATCAGGACATCCCTCTCACAGGTTGTATGGATGTCCAGGTGGTGTGTAGGGCTTGCTGATGTCACATCCACTGTCTCAAGTCTGGGGAGAACAACTCAGCTCAGACACCTGCATTCAGAGATGGCTGTGAGGGCTGCTGGTCTGTGGCTACTGGGCAAATATGAATGAGGCGTGGTGCCCACCCTCACTGCGTTTGTAGATCAGCTTGGGAGGAGCATATGCCACTGATACAATACCTGGGGCACTGTCTTGTTATTGTAGACCTGTGTCAAGAGCCCTGGGCAGACAGCAGAGAATTTTAGAGGCTTTAAAGGATGAGAGGAGTTTGCCAAGCAGAGGAGAGGAGGGCCATTCCAGGAGGATGTGTATGTGTGTTTTCTTGACACGTGTGTTTTTGTTTTCATTTTTCTTCCTAGAGATGGGGTTTCGCCATGTTGCCCAGGCTGGTCTAGAATCCTGGGTTCAAGCAATCCTCCTGCCTTCGCCTCCCAAAGTGCTGGGATTACAGGCATGAGCCACCGCATCTGGCTAAGGACAGGTGTTTAAATATGTGTGCATGTGTTTGTTAAGCTTTTCACAAGTTAAGTACAATTAGTACTACAAGTCTATGTGTTGAGGGGCTGCAGAGTGGCCTGATTGGTCTGGGTCAGTGGAGGTTTGCAGGAATGGCATTTGCAAGGGTATGCTGGGGCCACTTGGTAGATCACTTGGTGGGAGCATCATTGCAGGCACTGTGGTACCTTGAAAGGTCTTTTGAAGCAAAAAGCTTTTTTGTGGGTGTATGGGGAAGACAGGATCTCACTGTCACCCAGACTGGAGTGAAGCGGTGTGATCTCGGCTCACTGCAACCTCTGCTTCGTGGGTTCAAGTGATTCTTGTGCCTCAGCCTCCCAAGTAGCTGGGATTACAGGTGTGCACCACCACACCAGCTAACTTTCATATTTTTAGTAGAGACAGGGTTTCACCACGTTGCCTAGGCTGGTCATGAACTCCTGGCCTCAAGCAATCCGCCTGCCTGGGCCTCCCAAAGTGCTAGGATTACAGGTGTGAGCCACTGTGCCCGGCCACAAAGAGGTTCTAAGGAGAGCTTGATGTGTTCAAAAGGACCCAGACCTTTCAGCCGGATAAAACAGTGTTAGTCTCATACTGGCTTTGGGCAAATCACTTTATGTCCCTGAGCCTTAGTTTCTCCAAACCAAGAGGACTCTGGGGAGTATTGTTGGTGTTAAAGGAACTGACACATTCCACTACTAGCCTGGCTTGGTTGCCCGCTAACCAGAAACTTCTACCTTCAGTGCTGCCGTGAGTGAATGCTGTTCATTCCCTTAAATGTCCCTGAGCACTCACTATGTGCTAGGCACCCTGCAGGTGCAGGAGACACCGCCTTTGTGGAGCTGATGGTCTAGTAAAGGGGACAGACAGTGAGCACCGAACAGATACAGATCATCTGTGATTTTGTAATATCCAAACTACAGCATCAGGTGGTGCTATGAGGAACAGTCTAGATTCACACACAGAATGTTGGGGGTGCCATTTTGGACAGGGTGGTAAGGGAAGACTTCTCCACATTTGATGAGATGAAAACGGGGAAATGGGGGCAGCATTCCTGCCCAAGGGAGCAGGAGATGCAAAGGCTGCTGTTTCAGGAGCCTCAGGGGTGCTGGTGCAGCTGGGTGGAGTGCCTTGGGGGAGCTTGGGAGTAGCTGAGGTCTGAGGGAGCCGGGGGCCATGCTGGGCTTCACAGGTCCTGATGTGGCCTCTGGATTCCATTCTTCATGTGATGTGAAGCTTTCATGGGGAGCAGATTGAGTAGGGACCTGATGTGATGTGACTTTTGATTGGAGAAAAATCCCTCTTTTTTTTTTTTTTTTGAGACGGAGTCTCGCTCTGTTGCCCAGGCTGGAGTGCAGTGGCGCAATCTCAGCTCACTGCAAGCTCCGCCTCCCAGGTTCACGCCATTCTCCTGCCTCAGCCTCCCAAGTAGCTGGGACTACAGGCACCCACCACCACACCCAGCTAACTTTTTGTATTTTTTTTTTTAGTAGAGACGGGGTTTCACCGTGTTAGCCAGGATGGTCTCGATCTCCTGACCTCGTGATCTGCCAGCCTCGGCCTCCCAAAGTGCTGGGATTACAGGCGTGAGCCACCGTGCCCGGCCGAAAAATCCCTCTTTTGAGTTTGAGTGGTGAGAGTGGAAGCCTGGGACCTCCTAAGAGACTCCTAGAGTCATCCAGGTGCGAGAAGGTGTCTTGGCCATGGGGATGGCAGAAGAATGGTGGGAAGTATCAGATTCCAGTTGTGTTTTGGAGGAAGAGCTCATGTGATTTGCTGATGGATTGAATGTGAGGTGTGTGACAGAGGAAGAAGAGTCAAAAAGGACTCTTAAGGTTTTGGTTTAAACAACAGTGGTGCCATTTACGGGGTGAGGGAGCCCTGGAAGAGGGGCACCCTGGGGCAGGGGGAATCAAGAGTTTGATTTTGCCTGTACTGTTACTTAATTATAAAAAAGAAAATCAGGCTAGGCATGGTGGCTCATGCCTGGAATCCCAGCCCTTTGGGAGGCTGAGGCAGGAGGATCACTTGAGGCCAGGAGTTCCAGATCAGCTCGGGCAACATAGTGAGATTCAGTCTTTAAAAAAATTAGTGAGGCATGGTGGTATGTGCCTGTAGTACTTAGGAGACTTAATGGGGTGATTGCCTGAGCCCAGAAGTTTGAGGTTGTAGTGAGGCTATGATCCCCTCACTGCACTCCAGGCTGGGTGACACAGCAAGACCTGTTTAAAAAAAAAAAAAGAAAGTAAGCTTAAAATCAATTTTTTAAACTTCGACATGTCCTGAGCAATTATATCTGAGATCATAGGTGCTGCTATCTGTGTAATTTATCTAAAGGATGTTAAAATAAATACATAGCCACTAAAATAAAAAGGTCCATGGGGGTACCACCTATACCCATTGCATACACCCAGCTGCTGCCCTAGCACATTGGAAGTGCCAACAATGATTATTAGCCCCTTTAAGAATGAATGAGGAGCTCTTTAGGATGACGACATGGAGAACCTTCAATGAAAACTCCGGTGGGAGAAGTGGGGGCCAGGAGTGGAGCTGGTCTCAGAGAAGTGGGTCATCCGGAAGGTTGGAGGTGGTGGGGGCATTGGGGCCTTGGAAGCTTTTTGGAGAGAAAGGTCTGCTGCTCCCCTGCTCCGAGCCCTCTTCCTGGGGTTGTGAGTCTCCCTTTCTGAGCTTCCTTTTTGCTTCTAAGGAATGTGGGTGCTTTTACCACAAAAACACTTGGCCTTTTCATAGCATAATTTGGTATTCAAGCTGTGGCCTGAGCTTGGAACCATTCTTTGTCCATTTCTGCTGCCCAGGACTTTGAGATGAGTCTGTGTGGGTACTTTGTGAACTATTATGTGACATGGACACATATATACATGAGGAGTGAATGCTTACATCATGCACAGGGTGTTTGTAAAGGCCTTGTTGGGTTAAATACTGTTGGATCACTGTAGAAGCTTTTCATACCGAAACATTAATTTTGGAAACTCCTTCACAAAATCAAATCAAAATTAGGTCTTTTGAAACAGGCTTCTTAACGTATTCTTGTGAAATTTCTCATGAGCAGTTCATTTCTCAGACATGGAAGAGTTAAGTCCTGCGTTCGCTGTTGTGTGTGTTGCAGTGGCTCCGCGATGAGGCTGTGCTGAGTGAGAGACGCCCCCTTCTCAGCTTCTCGCAGACTCTTGCTCCCTGCGCTCCAGCGCCGCTCACGGCTGGTGCTGGCAGGCCTGGCATTTGGGGGCGTGGGAGAAAGTATGCATCAGTGTGTGCAGGGGTGGAGGGGTGGGTGGTTTGTGTGAATAGAAAGTACATGACCTTTCTGAAAATTGTTCAGAAATGTGGAGGAAGGAAGCGAGAGACTTGGCAGTCCTGTAGGCTTTAATGGAATCAGCAATGGACGCTCGGTATGGCTAATCCTCGATGGAGATGGAAAGGGACGGGAGAACACGATCCAAGCCTACTCAGCTGCAGCAGCGTGAGTCCGCTGGGGAACACGGAGAAGACCAGATACTCTCACTCCCACTTGGTAGAACCTCCTGAGGTTCTCCGGCCACTGTAGTGAACCAGTGTCTGGCGAGCGCCCGAATTACGTGAGAAACTGCCCATGTGTCATTGGATCTAAGACACCAATGTTTTAAGGACACGTCAGTGTTTTGTCTATTGCTCAGAAAGAGAACTCACAGCTAATTAACTTGTAACATACCAACTCCAGAGACGTTAACATGTGGAAAATGTAGGTCTTCAAATCAGTGAAATAAGGTAATCTAATTAACAATACCAGGCTATAGCACAATGGTTGCCACAGGGCCACTTTGGGAGGCCAAGGCGTGTGGATCACAAGGTCAGGAGTTCAAGACCAGCCTGGCCAAGATGGTGAAACCACGTCTCTACTAAAAATACAAAAAATTAGCCGGGCATGGTGGCACGCACCTGTAATCCCAGCTACTCCAGAGGCTGAGGCAGAGAATTGCTTAAACCTGGAGGGGCAGAGCTTGCAGTGAGCCAAGATCGCGCCACTGCACTCCAGCCTGGGCGACAGAGTGAGACTGTCACCAAAAAAAAAAAAAAAAAAAAAGGAATCATTTGAGTGAAAGATAGTTTCTTGAAGATGGTCAGTGGATGATTGAGGTTTGGGAATCATGGGCCTCTGGCCCTAGTTGGATTTGAGCAGTGCCTTTAGGGTAGATAGGACTTAAAAAGACAGAAAGGGACAGGCTTTGCCTTACCATGGGTACTTTTACATATGCTCTTTGGGTAATTTTTTTCTTACTCTTTCTTTATTTTTTTTTAATTTATTTTTTATTTTTGAGACGGAGTCTTGCTGTGTCGCCCAGGCTGGAGTGCAGTGGCGCCATCTCGGCTCACTGCAAGCTCTGCCTCCCGGGTTCACACCATTCTCCTGCCTCCGCCTCTGGAGTAGCTGGGACTACAGGCACCCACCACCACGCCCACCTAATTTTTTTGTATTTTTAGTAGAGACGGGGTTTCACCGTGTTAGCCAGGATGGTCTCAATCTCTTGACCTCATGATCTGCCCGCCTTGGCCTCCCAAAGTGCTGGGATTACAGGCGTGAGCCACTGCGCCCGGCCTCTGGTCACAGTTTTTTAGAGATTGTTTGGAACAGTGAGTAGAAGGCCTTGTCTGTACAAGATACACAGCTGAGTGAGATTGTTAATCTGTCAAAGGGCAAAATTCAAAACTTTCGACAGTCTGGAAGGCTGGGATGAATGCATTAAGATGTAATTCGACTGATATAAATTTAGATTTAAAACAACCTTCTATAGTAGTTTGGCTGGGGGAGACAGACATGGTAGAAACTCACAGGAAAAGGACTTTGTTATTTTACATTACATAGAGGCTAGATGCTCATCTTCTCTTGGGTATATGAAAGCTGTTGATTTGCATACTTTGATTTTCTATCCTGCCGCCTAACTGATTTCTTTTTCTGTTTGCATTAGTTTTTCATTGATTCTTTAGGGTTGCCAGGCGTACTGTCCTATCAACTGCAAATAGAAATGACTTCTTTCCCGGTTTTTATGCTCTCATTCTTTACTCTGTCTAACTGCCTGGGCTAACACCTCCAGTTCTGTGTGAAGTAATAGAGTGGGCAGCCTTGCTATGGCCCTGATCATTTGTTGTTGTTTTGTTTTTTTTTTTTGAGAGGGAGCCTCACTCTGTCTCCCAGGCTGGAGTGCAGTGGCGTGATCTCGGCTCACTGCACGCTCTGCCTCCCGGGTTCCAGCGATTCTCCTTCCTCAGCTTCCCGATAGTAGATGGGACTACAGGCGTCTGCCACCACGCCCGGCTAATTTTTTGTATTTTTAGTAGAGACGGGGTTTTGCTGTGTTAGCCAGGATGGTCTCGATCTCCTGACCTCGTGATTCGCCGGTCTCGGCCTCCTAAAGTGCTCAGATTGCAGGTGTGAGCCACCGTGCCCAGCCTAATTTTTTGTATTTTTAGTAGAGACGGGTTTTCACCATGTTAGCCAGGATGGTCTCAATCTCTTGACCTCGTGATCTGCCCGCCTCAGCCTCCCAAGGTGCTGGGATTACAGATGTGGGCCACCATGCCCAGCCCTATGGCCCTGATCTTAATGAAGTGTTCCCCACTGAGTAAGTTGCCAGCATTAGGGCTGAAGTATACAGAGTAGCATGTTCAGAAAGGAGCCATCAGTTTCTGTTTTCTGGAGTGTTTTTACCAAGAATGGACCAAGACTCCTTAGATAAACAATAGCACTAGTGTCCATACTTACTGACCCAAACACCATTTGCCAGTTTATAAAATAATAAATTCCAGAAATATTACTGCCTCAACATTATGAAAATCAGATTTCCTAAAAAAGTACTTAGCAGTGTTGAAATATCTAGACACTATTCACGGGTACTTAATGAACAAGGCACGTGCTCAGTAGATTGATTGCCGTCAGACACACAGTTTTTCTCATTTGGGAAAGTTAGTTATTCCCACATCAGCCAAATACAGCACAGCATACAGTGGTCAGTAGATCATCAGCTTACTCCTGGTCTCCTGTTGTGAAACGCTCTCAGATGAATTGTTCTTGTGCCATGACACACCAACGTGGCAAGTTCCTCAGTTGCCTGTTTGAGCTTGTTTCTTTCTTTACTTGTGGAAGACAATTTCACTGGCGTTTTTTGTTTTTGTTTTTGTTTTTTGAGACGGAGTCTCGCTCTGTCATCCAGGCTGGAGTGCAGTGGCGTGTGCGATCTCGGCTCTCTGCAACCTCCACCTCCTGGGTTCAAGCAATTCTTCTGCCTCAGCCTTCCGAGTAGCTGAGACTACAGGCGCTTGCCACCACACCCGGTTAATTTTTGTATTTTTAGTAGAGACAGGGTTTCACCATATTGGCCAGGCTGGTCTTGAACTCCTGACTTGGTGATCCACCCACCTCGGCCTCCCAAAGTGCTGGGATTACAGGATTGATCCACCGTGCCTGGCCTCACTGGCCTTTTTTAATAGTGTATGTCTAATGTGGAACAGACCCATAAGTTGCTTGGGTCTTATTTATTTGGCTGGGAAACTATGGATTTTTTTAGAAAGATTCAAGTCCTTGGAAGCCTGTGTCTGTCCCTTATGGGAATTAGATACTGGCAGAGGAGGTAACTGTGATTACAGCATCGAAGACAGGTTTTGCATTGTGGTGACACATTTGTGTTAATATTATTCATCTCATATGAGAGGATGAGTTCATCTTAATCTCATTTTTAATCACAGCCTTCTAGAAAATAGAAATATCTTTTCCTCCCATGCTTTAAAACACCTGTGGCACTTTGGGGTGCTAAATATTGACTTCTTTGGCCATCTTTTCAGGAGGAAGACATGGGATACTCCTGACTGGGTAGATGCTTTTGTATTTCTGCTTAACCTCATAATTAATTTCATTCCAGCTGGTGGCAGGAGACAGACTAGAAAAGGAGCTACCTTTGGAAGTATATTTGCCTGGTTATAGGAGACTTTTGTGAGCTCGCTGGAAATGAAAATATACTAAGCAGATCTAAGACATAGGGGATAATTGGCAACATTTATCAGTTACCTGAAGAATACTTAATTCACTGGTTATTAACTCATTCCCATGGCCCAGAGGCCTTGCACTGCCCTCCCCCCCAGGCACATACGTGCACACATATTTGCAAACACGGCATGGAGCGTCTTTCCCCTGTGCTCACTAGAGAGGCCACACCAGCCTTCTCGTGCTTCCGTAAACCTGACATGCTTTTTTCCATCTTAGGGTCTTTTTACGTTCCGCTCCCTCTGCCTGGAAGCCTCCTTCTCTGCCTTCTAGAAGGTCACTGCCCCATAGTCATTCAGGTCTGGCTCAGACGTCACCTCCCCAGAGAGGTCTGCTTTTCTGACCACTTCATCTAGAGGCCCCCACCGCCCATCACGCTGTGTCCCATTACCATGGTGTGTTTTCTTCCTAGCACGTAGCGCTGTCTGAGATTGCCTTATTATTGTATTGTGTGTTTGAATTCTCTCTCTCCCTAGAAGGGAGGCTTCAAATAAGGAGCCTCTCTGTTTTCTCTTCTGTGTCCGCAGTACCCAGAATACTGCCAGACTGTTGCAAATGCTCAGCAGATATTTATTGAAAGAATGTATGTAGTGATTTAATGTACTGTAATCACATAATATCATATGTGGGTCCGGAAGACCTAAGTTCCCATTTATGTTAAGAGAGGCATTAATTTTGCTTTAAAATGAAACAGTTCAAGATTAGAACTAGACCCAATTTTGTGTTACTGTGAAGCCGTTTTTCTTCTTCTTTTTGAGACTGAGTCTCACTCTGTCATCCAGGCTGGAGTGCAGTGGTGTGATCTCAGCTCACTGCAACCTCCACCTCCTGCATTCAAGTGATTCTCCTGCCTCAGCCTCCTGAGTAGTTGGAATTACAGGTGCGCACCACCACGCCTGGCTAATTTTTGTATTTTTAGTAGAGACAGGATTTTGCCACATTGCCCAGGCTAGTCTCAAACTCCTGACCTCAAGTGATCCACCTGCCTCAGCCTCCCCAAGTGCTGGGATTACAGGCGTGAGCCACTGTGCCAGGTCAGCAGTTTTTCTTTTGGCGTTGCTTGTACTGAAAGTGTTAAATTTAAGCCTGGTGTCATGAGGAGCTGAGCAGAATTGTTGCCATTTCTACTTTTTTTTTTTTTTAATTTAGTTGTGACATACTTGGCTCAGCTAGCACTTACTGCCATTTCATCTTCCTTTTTTTTTTCATTTCCATTAGTAGGGTTTGGTTATACTGTCTATTTTCAAAGGCTATTAGAAGGCGTTAGTAGCTTTTCAGACCTTGTAGTAAAATTGTGTTAATAAAAATAAATAAATAAAAGTCACCCAGTGAAGACATAAATAAGTGTAGAGACACACCATGTTAATGGATTAGAAGACTCAACATAGTGACAATGTCTACTTTCCCCAAATTGATCTGTAGATTTAAAGCAGTTCCAATAAAAATCCCAACAAGACTTGTGGATATAAGTAAGCTGATTCTAAAATTTATATGAAAAGGCAAAGGAACTCAAATAGCCAAAACAATTTTGAAAAAGAGCAAGAAGATAAGGAGACTCACACTAGCCAATTTAAAGACTTACTATAAAGCTACAGTAATCAAGAATGTAGTATTGGTGGAGGGGTAGACACATCGATCACAGGAACAGAATAGAGTCTAGAAGTAGACCCACACAATTCAATGGAGAAAAGCTAGTCTTTTCAACAAATGGTGTTGGAATGATTGGATATTGGAATGAAAAAAAAAATGGACCTAAACCTCCTTCCTACCTTACACAGAAATTAATTCAAAATGGATCACAGATCTAAATGTAAAATATAAAACTATAAAACTTTTAGAAAAAAACATAGGTGCTCTTTGTAACTTGGGACTGGACAGAGAGTTCTTAAACATGACTCCAAAAGCATGAACCATGAAAGAGAAAAAATGGATTAAATGGACTTCATCTAAACTAAAACCTTTGCTCTGCAAAAGACACTACTGAGTGAAATGCTAAGTTACAAATAAAAAGAACTCTCAGAACACAATAGTTAAGAAAATAACCTAATTTAAAAATAGGCAAAAAACTTGCACTTCACCAAAGAGGATGAGTTGGTGCCAAATAAACACGTGAAAGATACTCAGTGTCGTTAGCCGTTAGGAAGTGCAGATTAAAGTCACGATGAGCTACCACTACCCACCTCTTAGAATATCTAAATTCAGAAAAAGACAATACCACATGGTGGCAAGGACGTGGAGCAGCCGGAACTCAACATTGGAAATGCAAATGGTTCAGCTGCTCTGGAAAACAGTTTGGCAGGTTCTTATAAAGTTAAACATATACTTACCATATGAGCCAGCCCTGTCACTCCTAGGTATTTACCCTGGATAAATGAAAAGTTACATTCATACAAAAACCTGTACATGAATGTTTATAGCATATTTCTTCATAGTTATAAGAAACGAAACAGCCCAAATGTCCTTCAGTGGATGAATGGATAAACAAACTTTACTACATCCGAACAATGGTATATTACTCTATGAAAGAGAGAGAGAGACTGTTGATGCACACAGGCTAACAACTTGGATGAGTCTTAGAGACATAATGTTGAGTGAAAGAAGCCAGTCTCAGGAGGTCATGTTTACTGCATCATTTCATTTATGTGACATTGTGTGACATTGTTTTGTTTTGTTTTGTTTTGTTTGGAGACAGAGTCTCACTCCGTCGCCCAGGCTGGAGTGCAGTGGTGTGCAATCTCGGCTCATGGCAACCTCTGCCTCTCAGGTTCAGGTGATTCTCGTGCCTCAGCCTCTTGAGTAGCTGGAATTACAGGTGTGCGCCACCACGCCCGGCTGATTTTTGTATTTTCAGTAGAGACAGGGTTTCGCCACATTGGCCAGGCTGGTCTCAAATTCCTGGCCTCAAGTGATGAGCCCCTCTTGGCCTCCTAAAGTGCTGGGATTACAGGCGTGAGCCACTGCACCTGGCGTTTAATATGACATTCTTAAAAAGACAAAGCCATAGCAGTGGAAAATAGGTTGCCAGGGATTAGGGGAGGGAGTGCGTTGGGAGTGGAGCTGCCCTGTATCCTGAGAGTGGTGGTAGTTACACACATCTCTACATGTGTCAACATTCACAGATGTGCGTGCCCCAGAAGCCAGTTTTACTCCATGTTAATGTAAAAATAAAACAAACTCCCACACCCTGCAGAAGTTGCTCCAGGGTGCAAAATGTAGAGCTGAAGCACCAAAATAGATAAAAGCAGAATAAAACCAATTATATGAAAAAAAGTGAAGTCACTCCTGTCAGTATATAACTAAACAGAAGCTACAATTTGCCACAAAAGCTAACCACAGGCTTTTTATATATATGATTGCAAAAGCCTGTTGAAGTGGTTTCCACATCCTTTCTGGAAGACTTAACAATAACTTTTAAGAAGTTGCACACAGTATCTGTGTGTGTTTTATTTCTTTTACAGATGATTCACTGTTGGCATATAGAAATGCTACTGATTTTTGTATGTTGATTCCATATCCTGCAACTTTTTTTTTTTTTTTTTTTTTTGAGATGGAGTCTTTTTTTGAGATGGAGTCTCGCTCTGTCACCCAGGCTGGAGTGCAGTTGCACGATCTCGGCTCACTGCAAGCTCCGCCTCCCGGGTTCATGCCATTCTCCTGCCTCAGCCTCCAGAGTAGCTGGGACTACAGGCGCCCGCCACCACACCCGGCTAGTTTTTTGTATTTTTAGTAGAGATAGGGTTTCACCATGTTAGCCAGGATGGTCTCGATCTTCTGACCTCATGATCCACCTGCCTCAGCCTCCCAAAGTGCTGGGATTACAGGCTTGAGCCACCGCGCCCGGCCCATATCCTGCCACTTTACTGAATTTGTTTAATCAGTTCTAATAGTTTTTTGGTGGAATCTAGGTTTTTCCAAATATAAGATTATATCGTCTGCAAACAAGGATCATTTAACATCTTCCTTGCCAGTTTGGATGCCCTCTATTTCTTTCTCTTATCTGGTTGCTCTAGCTTGTGTTTGTTTAATATTTCAATAAAGCTTTCAATACAATTTTTTTTTTTTTGAGACAGAATCTCACTCTTGTCGCCCAGGCTAGAGTGCAGTGGCATGATCTCAGCTCGCTGCAACCTCCGACTCCTGGGTTTAAGCGATTCTCCTGCCTCAGCCTCCCCAGTAGCTGGGATTACAGGCATGCACCACCATGCCTGGCTAATTTTTTTGTGTTTTTAACAGAGACAGAGATGGGGTTTCACCAGGTTGGCTAGGCCGGTCTCAAATTTCTGACATCAAATGGTCCACCCACCTCAGCTTCCCAAAGTGCTGGGATTACGGGCGTGAGCCACTGCACCCAGCCAATACAAATTTTATTTTCCTTGAAATTGAACTGTGGTTCTCCCAGTTATTCCAGTTTGCTGTAGTTCTGCATGGTGGTTCTGGGAGTGCCGTTGTGAACAAAGCGCAGTTTTCAGGTGGGAGGCCAGATTTGGGGCAAGCTTTCAGGGAGAGGCAGGGAATTGCACCTGGGCCTTGCATCAAAGTTGTTCCTGGGGCTTAAAAAGTACAGATGCTCAGGATGTACCCTAGGGAGATCTGGGAAATTCAGAAATTGTGTTTAGGCCGGGGATGGGGCCAGGGCCTGGACCGCTGTGTGAGCGTGTTTAAAGCTCTGCAGTGATTATGCTGAACAGCCTGGTTTGAGATCCTATGGGGTAGAATGGGCATTGCAGACAGGCAGGGATGCTGGAATCAGGGTGCCGTTGGGGTACATGAGAGGGCCATCAGCCAGTCCTGGGTAGGGTCATCCTGAAGGAAGACCTCCTGGAGGTGGTGACTCCTGAGCCAAAGAGTCCCGAAGGACCCGGAGAATTGGTAGGGAAGAAGAGGGAGGGTGTTCATGTGGAGGCAAAGAGCAGGGGATGGACAGGGCTGTAGGCATTTGGGACTGGGAGGGAAGGATGTGGCAGGGGAGATGGGAGAGGACATCGGGGTGGCATGAGGATGTCCTATAAACTAGCTCATAAACTCCGACTTAAAAGCCAGTCTCAGTTACTCTCCCTGGTACTTGGAGGTCCCAGTGCCAGAGAGAGTGACTGAGGCTAGCTTATAAGTCGGAGTTTCTCCAGGCTGGGTCTTAGGTCACCTGAAAGCATCACCCATGGGGAGCGGCCTGCACTGCAGATGTCCCGGGCCCTGCCCAGATCAGTCATTCTGAGGGTGGGGCCTGCAGCCTGCAGTGTTGGTAACCAATGCTCAAGGGATTTCTTTGTAGTGTGCATTTGGAGCCAGTGCAGTAAGAGGTGGGGTCCCCAGAGTTTCCTGCCAAGAGTCTGCGACATTTGTGTGTGTTTCACTAGGTTTCATAACGGCTCACTCCTGGAGGTCATTGCTGCGCCTTACATTTGGGAATGGTGGAGTCTCAGTTTTCCTGGGAAACAAGTTTGTAGACTAGCCATAAAAACAGCAAACCCTTCTGCAGGTGTCTGTTCATACAAACATTATTGTTTTCCAGAAGGAAGTGGAACCCTCTGTGTAGGGCTGCGGGCCTGCTAGGTTTTTGTTGCAGAAGGAATAGGTGAAGTGGGGACTACCCTGCAGACGCGGTGGCGTCTCACGGCTTCCTGGTGTCCTTCCCCAGGAGCAGCAGCCAAGCTGGACAGATGACCTGCCTCTCTGCCACCTCTCTGGGGTTGGCTCAGCCTCCAACCGCAGCTACTCTGCTGATGGCAAGGGCACTGAGAGCCACCCGCCAGAGGACAGCTGGCTCAAGTTCAGGTGTGTGTGCCAGCATTTCTGTGTTGGGCCCGGGGAGTTGGTTGGTTTGCAAGCAAGGAAAGACACCGACCTTGCAGCTTTCTCGTATGGGCTTGCCAGTGACATGTGGCCCGTGAGAGGTGGCCTCTGCTGCTGTCTTGCCAAGGGCCTGCTCTGATGGGGTAGCGTGAGCATGGGGAGGAGGGTATCCCAGAATGTCATAGCCAGAGTGAAATGATGGCTAAAGCAGGGGGACCCAGGAGGGCCCCTGAAGCTGCAGCTGCTGTCGCTTTAGTCTCCCCCAATTCCTTTCCCTTTCTCCCTCCACCTCCGTGAGACCCTGGTCTCAGGCCTCCCTCTGCCCTCTCCCTCTTCCAGGAGTGAGAACAACTGCTTCCTGTATGGGGTCTTCAACGGCTATGATGGCAACCGAGTGACCAACTTCGTGGCCCAGCGGCTGTCCGCAGAGCTCCTGCTGGGCCAGCTGAATGCCGAGCACGCCGAGGCCGATGTGCGGCGTGTGCTGCTGCAGGTAATGGTGCCGGGGCCAACAGTGACCCAGCCACATCATGTCCCCCACCCCAAGGCTTGGGCCCTGCACCTCTAGCATGTTGCCAGGGTTGGTGTGAAGATCCTGCCGGCCCCTTCACCCCAGTAGAGGAGCAGCTCCCAGCGTAGGCCCCCCCACCCAACAGGAGTCCAGGACCAGCCAGCGAGCAGCAGGCCTTCAATGGCTGGCAGAGGAGGTACTGCTGGAGACGGGGGGATTTAGGGATGGGAGCTTGGAGAGAGGTGTGAGGTGGGAGCAGGGCAAGGCCTGGTAGAAATGGGGTCATTTAGAGCTACCCCTTTCTTTCCTATGTGGTCAGGTGCTCAGCCTCCAGGTGCAGGAGCCATCCCTGGGCGTCCAGGAAGGACCTTGCCTCCCCTTTCTGAGGGGCCGCCGCCCTCATTGACTGGTTCCACCTTTCTGCTTGCGCTGTTGGCAGTTTTCCTCCTGGCATCTGCTTTCAGGAGCATGTCTCAGGCCCATTTCAGATGAGAAGATGGGCTTCTGTTCCCGGAGAGGGGTGGTGCCAGCCTTTTCCTGCCCTTCACGACCTCAGGCTCCATTGCCAGTGATTCTCAGCAGATCTCACACAGGGGGAGAAGGTGTCAGTGTCACCAGTGTCCTGGGGCTGGTGGGGTTTGACAGAAGCCTCCCAGAAAGAAGTTGTAGTAATCATACGAGCTGTCATAGGCCTGGCAGTTTCTCTGAGCAGTTGCCTTGCTGAGTGCCAGGTTGGACTGTCTTACCTAACCCCTGGAACAACACTTAACCTCCGTTGTGTGAGACTGAGGGGGCCAGAGGTCACACCAGCTGGGCCTACGCCAAGCCTTTGCTCTTAGCTTCCGCACTGTCTCCTGCCTCCCAGCCGTCTGCAGTGCTGCCTCTGCAGGGTGCACACCCCTTCGAGGCTGAAGGGCTTTGTCAAAGACATTGATCTGCAGGAAGCAGCCGGTGCCTTGCAGTGCTGGGCCAGAGGCAGGACTGACATGTGGAAAGCTCCATCACACAAGAACCTGCAGTGAAGACAGCAAAGCTGCTGCTCTGATTAATAGAGGACATTTTGGCACCAGTGACAGTGGTGTTTTGAACCAGCCTTTGCCCTGTCCTGTGTCCCCCTAGGCCTTCGATGTGGTGGAGAGGAGCTTCCTGGAGTCCATTGACGACGCCTTGGCTGAGAAGGCAAGCCTCCAGTCGCAATTGCCAGAGGTAATTTCCCCAGCCGACACCCAGGGGAGTCAAGTCCAGGCCCAGCTTTGCAAGGAGCATGGACTCATCTACTTTCTTGACATTACTGGGCCAGAGCAACAGGCGTTAGGGAGCAGTTCCTGATGGGTGACACTGGTGTGTGGCCACAGGTGAGGGACCTCGCTGCTCTGCTGTGGGCAGCTGCATGCTAAAGCTCAGCAGTGTCTGGGCAGTGGTGGACATGAGGAAGGGCTTTTCCCAGTCCTTCGTCCTGAATGGGTCCCCGCCCTTGTCAACCACCTGCTCACATCGCCTACTGCCACCTGCAGCGCTTACCTCTGTGCTGTGAGTTCGGTCATCTCCAGCTTTCTGGAAGAACCTTAGCCTGGAGCTGTAGCGAAGGCTTCATCTTGGCTGTGCCATGGACCATCTGTCTGTCTGTCCCCCGGGCCCTCGGATCTTTGCTCTTAAGAGCAAAGGGAGGCCGGGCATGGTGGCTCACGCCTGTAATCCCAGCACCTTGGGAGGCCGAGGCGGGCGGATCACAAGGTCAGGAGATCAAGACCATCCTGGCTAACATGGTGAAACCCCGTCTCTACTAAAAATACAAAAAATTAGCTGGGCGTGGTGGTGGGCGCCTTGTAGTCCCAGCTACTCTCGAGGCTGAAGCAGGAGAATGGTGTGAACCTGGGAGGCGGAGCTTGTAGTGAGCCGAGATCATGCCACTGCACTGTAGCCTGGGGGACACAGCGAGACTCCATCTCAAAAAAAAAAAAAAGAGTAAAGGGAGTGGAGAGGGCTAGGAAGATGGTCCAGAGTTCTGTCCTGCCCTGACCCTCTGTTGATGGTTGTAGGGAGTCCCTCAGCACCAGCTGCCTCCTCAGTATCAGAAGATCCTTGAGAGACTCAAGACGTTAGAGAGGGAAATTTCGGGAGGGGCCATGGCCGTTGTGGCGGTCCTTCTCAACAACAAGCTCTACGTCGCCAATGTCGGTGAGCCCCCTCCTGTCCCAGGGCAGGGAGGACTGGGGAGAGGTCAGCCACAGGGGTCGGTGCATTATTTGACAATCTGCTTTCCAGACACTTCACGCACTTTAAACCCAGGGTCTCCTGAGACCGTTGGGTATGTCCCTCTCCACAGTGACGCCTCAGTCCCAACTGGAAGGGAGAAAGGACGGGATGGGAGACAGGTGTCCTGGCCTTTAGTCCCTATTCTGCTTCTTAACTCATTCTGGACGAGTCGTATCCCATTCTGGGTGGCCTTGGGGGCCGCTGCTTCTGGAAGAGGTTACCTGGCCATGAATAACCAACCAGTATCCCCATGAACAGCTGCGAGATGGGGCTAGGTGACAGGGACATTGGGGTTTGTGAGAAGACCAGACAGGTGCAGGTTTCAGTAGAAAGGACTCTGTAGAGACCCTTCTGATGATGCTGCCTTTTTTTAATACTCCAGTGGAAAATTTTCCACAATATAGAACAATAGAGTGACTGATATTTAATGAACATTCATGCGCCCATCCCCAATCCCAGCAGTTATCAACTGTGGCCAGCCTTCTTTGTCCCCACGTTCTCTATTTTGAAGCAAATGCCAGACACTGTATCATGTTATCTGTAAATATTTCAGTCTGTATCTCTAGAGAAGAGGTCTGTTTTATTAAGATCATAATCCTATGATTACACTGAAAAAGTTAAACCCAATTCTTTCGTATCACCAGCTGTCCCTAACTGGTGACTCACCCCGTTGGTCTGAGCCTGTTTTGCCCATTTCAGGTATTTCCATGTGTGAAATGCCTGCCTTTTCCCTCTCTGCCTTCCCGGTATGCCCTATTTCTCTCTGTGTGTAGTCTTTGCTTAGCTGTTCACATTCTGCCACAGGTACAAACCGTGCACTTTTATGCAAATCGACAGTGGATGGGTTGCAGGTGACACAGCTGAACGTGGACCACACCACAGAGAACGAGGATGAGCTCTTCCGTCTTTCGCAGCTGGGTGAGTGGGGAGAGTGGGAGCGGAAGCTGATCCCCATGGGCTCACCCTTCGCCTGCCTTTGGTGGTGGGGTAGAGAGGCGTGTGGTAGAGGGGCTGTGATCTTGGGCTCCCCAGCCAGCCTGCCTGGGGTTCATTCCCAGCACTGCCGCTTACTGGTTGGTGATTGGAACTTAAGTTTTCTGTGCCTCAGATCCCCCGCTGTGTAATGAGGATAATAGTAACCTACCTCGGGATGCTAGGAGGATTCAGTTAGTGCATGTGAAATGCTTCCTGGAGTGCCTGGCACACAGAAGACACTTACTGTTATTGGTGGAGACTGAAAGAGGCCAAAGAAGTCCAGGGAGCCCAGCTGCTGCTGAGCTGCTCCTTCCCTTCCCAGTGAGCTCCAGGCAGATGTGGGGCACACGGGATGGGCAGGGAGACGGCAGGCAAGCTGCTCCGTGCCAGGTGGTGCCTGGAGGACGGGCTCTGAGTGAGGTGTGTCGTGATGGGCGTGGGGACTGAGGACACCAGGGACTTTGGGTCAGCTGCTCTCCCAGGTGCCCTGGTGTTGTCTTCATTTCCTATTCAGTGGGTCCTTATTGCCTTCTTCCCATGACTGTGTCTCTGTCCCCTTCTTTTTGTTCCTCTTTGTGAACAAGAAGCAGGATTGTTGCACTGTTTCCCTCCGTAGGCTTGGATGCTGGAAAGATCAAGCAGGTGGGGATCATCTGTGGGCAGGAGAGCACCCGGCGGATCGGGGATTACAAGGTTAAATATGGCTACACGGACATTGACCTTCTCAGGTAGGTGCCAGCCCAGCTGTCCCCTGTGCTTGAAAGAACAGAAGGTCCTAGGGAGGCCAAGATGGGAGGATTGATTGTGCTGGGAGGTCGAGGCTGCAGTGAGCCGTGATCATGCCACTGCACTCCAGCCTGGGCAACAGAGCAAGACCCTGTCTCAAAAAAAAAAAAAGGTCCAGAAGGCCTGGGGCAGACGCAGACTGTAGGCCCCAGTGACACATGTGCAGTCAAAGTAGTTCAGAGCCCAGGCAAACTCTTTCTTCCTCCCAGAGAGGTTGGTTTGGGGCAGGTTAGGCCCAGCAGGCCAGGAGTTGGGTACTGTAGAAACAAGGGGTGGAGTTGAGCTGGGCCAAAGCTGAGGGCAGCAACTAGTGCCACAAGGGAGGCAGGCGAAGCCAGAGTTGGCATGGGATGGACAGACCAGGCCTGTTGGTCGGTGCTGCCCATGGCTGCAGCAGAGGTGTGAGATGAATTGTGTATTTCCCTCTGAGGACACCTCCTCTGGACATCACCCCAGCGCTCATGGCAGCAGAATGGGCAGTCATCATCACACGGCCAAGCCCGTGCAGAGCTCTGGATGTACCTTCTTTTATGCATTCCCTACTCAGGCCCCCTGAGGCAGTCACTGCCATCACCCCAGAGGCATTTTCATAAGAGGAAACTGAGGCATGGAGACATCAGGCAGCCCACCCTGGTCATGGGGCTTGAACACAGGCAGCCTGAATTTGGAATATGTGTCCTTAACCGTCAGGTAACCTGTATGTGAAGTGTTGGTTGGGGAGATAGGCGCGTCCACTTGCCTGATGCCAATCATGGCATTTAATGTCATGGCCAAGGCTGTTCCCAAAGCCAGAGTTCCCATCAACAGAGGCCTCATGGCCTAGAAAGTGCATGTTAGAACTCCTTGCCCTCACGCGATCTAGGCAACTGAGTGTCGAATATTTGTCCCTAATTTGTGGGGTCCTGTTTCCTTTATTGGAAAGGACATCCATAGTTTAAAACACTTCAGACAGTGCTGGGGTCTATACAGGGAAAGGAAGTCTTCCTACACCACACTCTAGGACTCGCTGCCTCCCCAGAGGCTGCTAGTTTCTTGTGTATCCTGTTCCAAAATCTGGCCACATGCACATATACACACACGGTGTCTCTGTGTGTGTGTGTGTGTGTGTGTGTGTGTGTGTGTGTGTGTGTTTGTCCTGGGGGCCAAGGAGCCTGCATCCTTTTCGGAACACCCAGGTGCTGGGGTGTCTCTCTCTGTGTGTGTGTGTGTGTGTGTGTGTGTGTGTGTGTGTGTGTGTGTTTGTCCTGGGGGCCAAGGAGCCTGCATCCTTTTCGGAACACCCAGGTGCTGGTGTGTCCTGCCCCTCCCAGGTGCTGGTGTGTCCTGCCCCTCCCAGGTGCTGGTGTGTCCTGCCCCTCCCAGGTGCTGGTGTGTCCTGCTCCTCCTTCTTTTCTTTTTTTTTAAACCCTAAGGTGTAATTGGCATATGCAAAGCTGTGCCTATTTCATGCATACAACTTGATGAGTTTGGAGATATGTTTACACACCCCTCACTGCTATCATTAAAGGTGCTCATCTCTTCATTCTGCTCACCTGCAGTTAGGATGGCGTCATTCTGTGTAATAACCGCTCCCAGGGCCCAGCCCTGGCTGACGGACCCTCAGGAAGTTCTTAGACTCCGCTCTTCTGGATGGTGTTGCCAGCACCTCCTCATGTACTTACCTCCATGTGCACACACATGTGTTGGCATGTAATGACTCTGACCCCAGTCACTAAAGGATCCCTGTACACATGGAGAGTATCTGGGGTCTCAGCCATCTGTTTTGGAAAAGCCCAAATAATAGCAAGAGGCTTGGGCTCCCAGGGATAATCCCTCCCTCTTGCTGTCCCACACCCTGCCCTGCCACCACCGGACCCTGTGAACAGGACGTATGGAACAGGCCAGAATCGGGCATTCAACCTTTGCCATCCTGACCTCAGCTGCCTGCCAGTTTTTATGGCCTTCCAAGCTTTATTTTAGCAGCTGCTGTAAGACGATGGGTCTATTTTTCTGACCTTCTCTTTCTCTCTTTTCTTTTCCTCTTGTCAGGTTGTGTGTTTTATTTTACATTCTGGGCATAGATTCCTCCCCTCAGCAGAATCAGCATCCACCTGCGGGCTGTTCCAAGCAAAGCTCTTCCTTCCACTCTCTCCCCATAGCGCTGCCAAGTCCAAACCAATCATCGCAGAGCCAGAAATCCATGGGGCACAGCCGCTGGATGGGGTGACGGGCTTCTTGGTGCTGATGTCGGAGGGGTTGTACAAGGCCCTAGAGGCAGCCCATGGGCCTGGGCAGGCCAACCAGGTGAGTTGGGCCCAGCCACGCCCATGGCCGGAGAGCGTGGCTGGCCTGCATGGTGATGTGCTCACCCTGCCTTCTAGCACTGTGATTCTCGGAGGCCGTCACCAGACATCTCTGGGTTCAAAGCTGGGGGAAGGAGAATCCCAGAGCTCTGAAAACACCCATCCCACCCAAAAACTTGACTCATTTTAGGCTTGAAGCAGTGCCAGTCCTCAGGGCCTGAGCAAGGTCTGAAGGGAAGAGGGGGAGATGGATGTGAATTGCTATGGGCACGGCATTACTCTGAGACGGCCAGGAAGGGGCCAGGGCCAGGAGGAGAGCACAGAAAGAGATGTGCAGAGTCCTTCCCACACCCATCACTTCCTGCCAAGGGCCTGACGGCTTTACTGCCCTCCCTGAGTGGCAGACAATTTATAGTTTGCTTCTCATTTCTTTTTTTTTTTTTTTTTTTTTTTTTTGAGACAGCGTCTCCCTCTGTCACGCAGGCTAGAGTACAGTGGCATGATCTCGGCTCACTGCAATCTCCGCCTCCCGGGTTCAAGCAGTTCTCTGCCTCAGCCTCCCAAGTAGCTGGGATTACAGGTGTCTGCCACCACGCCCAGCTAATTTTTGTATTTTTAGTAGAGACAGGGTTTCACCAGGCTGGTCTCCAACTCCTGACCTTGTGATCCACCCACCTCAGCCTCCCAAAGTGCTGGGATTACAGGCGTGAGCCACCGCGCCCGGCAGTTCACTTCTCATTTCTACAGTGAGGATGGTAACATCTGCCTTTGTGAGATCGCAGTGAGGTTAGGCGTGGTAGACACAGGCCCTCAGCCAAGAGTTGCTTATTTTTCTTATACCTTGGAGTCACCAAAGTGTGACTTCAAGACAGTCACGTTAGGGATGGTCTCAAAGGAAAACTGTCTTTCCCTGACCTCCTTGGATTGCTGACTGGCTAAGATAAGTTCAGTTTGTGTTCCTCCTCCTTTCTGTGATTCTTGTAGGAAGATAACCTTTTCTGCTTTGACTTTTTTTTTTTTTTTTTTAAGACTTGCTGTGTCACCCAGACTGGAGTGCAGTGGCGTGATCACGGGTCACTGCACCCTCAACCTTCTGGGTTCAACCGATCCTCCAGCCTTAGCCTCCTGAGTAGCTGGAACTATAGGTGTGTGCCACCACACCTGGCTAATTTTGGTTGTTTTCTTTGTTTTGTTTTTTTGGTAGAGACAGGGTCTCACTGTATCGCCCAGGTTAATCTCAAACTCCTGGTCTCAAGTGATCCTCCTACCTTGGCCTCCCAAGATGCTGGGATTGTAGGCATGAGCCACTGTGCCCAGCCTGCTTTGTCCTTTTTAATTAAAAATCATGTATTGGCCGGGCACAGTGGCTCATGCTTGTAATCCCAGGACTTTGGGAAGCCGAGGCAGGCGGATCACTTGAGGTCAGGAGTTCGAGACCAGCCTGGCCAACATGGTGAAGCCCCGTCTCTACTAAAAATACAAAAATTAGCCGGGTGTGGTGGCAGGCACCTGTAATCCCAGCTACTCAGGAGGCTGAGGCAGGAGAATCGCTTGAACCCGGGAGGTGGAGGTTGCAGTGAGCCAAGATCGCACCACTGCACTCCAGCCTGAGCAACAGAGCAAGACTCTGTCTCAATCAATCAATCAATATCATGAGGAAAAAGTCTTCTTTAAAATTTGAAAATTAATTTTTATTTCAGTAGCTTTTGAGGTACCAGTATTTTTTTGTTATAGGGATGAATTATGTAGTGGTGAATTCTGAGATCTTAGTAAACCAGTTATTCCAGTAGTGTACATTGTAAGTAATGTATAGTGTTTTATAGTGTACATTGTAACTAATGTATAGTGTTTTATAGTGTACATTGTAACTAATGTATAGTGTTTTATAGTGTACATTGTAACTAATGTATAGTGTTTTATAGTGTACATTGTAACTAATGTATAGTGTTTTATAGTGTACGTTGTAACTAATGTATAGTGTTTTATAGTGTACATTGTAACTAATGTATAGTGTTTTATCCCTAGCACCACTGCCATCCTCCCGCCTTGAGTCTCTAAAGTTCCATTATATCACTCTGTATGCCTGTGCATTCCCATCATTTAGCTCCCACTTACGAGTGAGAACATAGTTTGTGGTTTTCCACTCCTGTGTTACTTAGAATAATGGCCTTCATCTCCATCCAAGTTGCTGCAAAAGACATTCATTCTTTCCTTTTACTGGCTGAGTAGTATTCCATAGTTTATAGATACATTTTCTTTATCTGCTCATTAGTCAATGGCCACTTAGGCTGGTTCCACATCTTTGCAATTGTGAATTGTGCTGCTATAAACATACGTGTGCAAGTATCTTTTTCATATAATGACTTATTTTCCTTTAGGTAGATGCCCAGACTGCTGGATTGAATGCAGATCTACTTCGAAAAAGTCTCAAGTGCCTAACTATCCCCTGTTCCCTGTGTTCTGATTTCTTTTTTTTTTTTTTTTTTTTTTTTGAGATGGAGTCTTGCTCTGTTGGCCAAGCTGGAGTGCAGTGGTGCAATCTCGGCTCACTGTAACCTCCACCTCCCGGGTTCAAGTCATTCTTCTGCCTCAGCCTCCTGAGTAGCTGGGACTACAGGCATGTGCCACCACCACACCCGGCTAATTTTTGTATTTTTAGTAGAGATGGGGTTTTGCCTTTTTGGCCAGGCTTATCTTGAACTCGTAACCTCAGATGATCCACCTGCCTTGGCCTCCCAAAGTTCTGGGATTATAGACATGAGCCACTGCGCCCAGCCTGTGTTCTGATTTCTTTACCTGTTATATAAGCTTACCATTCCTTCCAGTAGCCTTATAACATAGAGGGACAGGGGCTTATTTCCAGGTAGAGTAGGGAATTTGGGGTCCACGGAGTTCAGGTTCTTGCCAGAAGTGACGTTGCTGCTTAGTGTTGAAACTGAGCCCACCAGGACCAGGTGCAGGTCATTTCCTATTACCTGTCCCTGCCCTCCTGCCCCGCCCAAAAGAAACTTTATGATGGTGAGAAAGTGATACATATTCAGTGGGAACTGTGCTCCCATACCCCTACAACCATTCTGTTTTTCACTGTCAAAACAGTACTCAATAAATTACATGAGATTCGGCTGGGCGTGGTGGCTCACGCCTGTAATCCCAGCACTTTGGGAGGCTGAGGCGGGAAGATCACTTTAGGTCAGGAGATCGAGACCATCCTGGCTAATACGGTGAAACCCCATCTCTACTAAAAATACAAAAAAAAAAAAAAATTATCTGGTGCATAGTGACGCACGCCTGTAATCCTAGCTACTCGGGAGGCTGAGGCGGGAGAATTCTTGAACCTGGGAGATGGAACTTGCAGTGAGCTGAGATCACAGCACTGCACTCCAGCCTGGTCAACACAGTGAGACTCTGTCTCAAAAAAAAAAAAATTACATGGGATTCAACATTTTCTTATATAATAATGAAAATAGGCTTTGTGCTAGATGATTTTGCCCAGCCGTAGGCTAATAGAAGTGTTCTGAGCACATTTAAGGTAGGCTAGGCTAAGTGATGATGTTCAGTAGATTAGGTGCATTAAATGCTTTTTCTTTTCTTTTTTTTTTTTTGAGATGGAGTCTCGCTCTGTCACCCAGGCTGGAGTGCAGTGGCTCGATCTGGGCTTACTGATCACCTCCCGGGTTCACGCCATTCTGCCTCAGCCTCCCGAGTAGCTGGGACTACAGGCACCCGCCACCACGCCCGGCTAATTTTTTGTATTTTTAGTAGAGATGGGGTTTCACCGTATTAGCCAGGATGGTCTCGATCTCCTGACCTCATGATCGGCCTGCCTCAGAATCCCAAAGTGCTGAGATTACAGGTGTGAGCCACCACGCCCGGCCAAATGCTTTTTCAACTTACGATATTTTCTTTTTTTTTTTTTTTTTGAGACAGAGTCTTGCCCTGTTGGCCAGGCTGGTCTCGGCTCCCTGCAACCTCCGTCTCCTGGGCTCAAGCAATTCTCCTGCCTCAGCCTCTCAAGTTGCTGGGATTACAGGCATGTGCCACCATGCCCAGCTAATTTTTGTATTTTTAAGTAGAGACGGGGTTTCAACATGTTGGCCAAGCTGGTCTCGATCTCCTGACCTCTGGCAGTCCTCCCACCTCAGCCTCCCAAAGTGCTGGGATTACAGGCGCAAGCCACTGTGCCCGGTCAACTTATGATATTTTCAACTTACAGTGGGTTTGTCAGGACATAGTCCCATCCTAAATTGAGGAACATCTGTATACTAGACAGGGACTTCTCTGAGGTCAGGGACCCTGTTTTCATTCTGTATCCCCAGTTCCTGACAAAATCCTAGCATGTATAACATCGCCTACAACAAGTTTGTTCCAGGAAAGAGTGTTTCATAATAATGACACTTGCTACTAGGCTTTTTAGTGGCTGGCAGAGTGCTCTCACACCACTGTTAGTTAATACTCGTATTCACCCAGTCAAATGGATGTTCTCCCCATCCTAGAGGTGTGCACCCAACAATTAGAGCAATCACAAGAGCACACACTTCCTAATGAGAAAGTTCCAGAAGGATTATCCTGAATACCTTGAAAGGCTCAGATTGCAAACTTGGCTGGCAGGCATTTCCTTCACCTGCTGGGCTGTTGACCACTGAATCTCCTGATTTTAGGCTCCAAGATTATGGCCCATGCCCCCCAGGCCGCACCTCGTTCCTTACCAGGTTCTTCCTACCCCCTCCCCCAGGAGATTGCTGCGATGATTGACACTGAGTTTGCCAAGCAGACCTCCCTGGACGCAGTGGCCCAGGCCGTCGTGGACCGGGTGAAGCGCATCCACAGCGACACCTTCGCCAGTGGTGGGGAGCGTGCCAGGTTCTGCCCCCGGCACGAGGACATGACCCTGCTAGTGAGGAACTTTGGCTACCCGCTGGGCGAAATGAGCCAGCCCACACCGAGCCCAGCCCCAGGTACGTGTGCTGTGCAGACAGGCAGTGCCTGGGGATGCCATCTGGGGGCCAGAGGTGGGTGCAGAGCCCCCGAGGCTGCTTGAAACGGAGATGGAGTCAGGAGGCCTGGCTCTGAGTGGCTCTAATTCAGGTTCTCTGATTTTTAGCCTCTCTGAGCTGAGTGTTGATTTTTGCTCTTTTGTCTGTAAAATGAGGTTAATACCACCTGCCCCGGCAACCTCCCAGAACCTGAGTGCCCCAGCAAGCAATTCACAGAGCCCTGAAGCCACATAATAGAGATGATGGCCACCACTGATTGAGTGCCTCCCTTGTGCCAGGCACACAGCCTGCCTTATTCCCTTCAGTCCTCATGGGCAACCCTAAAGACAGGTGGTACCCCTGTTTTCCAGAGAGGGAAACTGAGGCTGAAGAATGAAGGGACCTGGAAGAGATTAGGCATGTGGACAGATGGTCAGGCCCCAAGGCCTGTCTGTCCCTGGGCTGCACTGGAGCAGGGCAGGGAGAAGGACGTTTTGCTTTTTACCTATGTCATTCTTCAACCAAGTTCTCAGGAAAAGAGGTGGCTGCTCTTTCCCGTGCTCCCCCCAGTGCTGCTCAGCACTAAGACCTTCGGTTCCTGAGGGCTGCATTTCTTTTTCTTTGCTTTAAACAAGCAAATCTTAGATAAAGCTCAGGCATCCACAGACAGATTTGTTCTCCCATGGACACCAGGGTTATTGGAGTTTCTCTGGCCTGTTTTTATTGCAACCATATTTTTATTGGGTCAGCCTCAACTGGGAGCAAACTTATCCTCTGAATTAAAGCATCCATGGGAAGCCAGGCAGTAACCCTTTCCTTGAGGCAACTCGAGCACCAGCAGGATTTACTGCTATAAGGAGTTCTCAGCCCGGCCTGGAAGAGTCTCTGACAAGGGACACTCCTCCTGAGCTGTCCCAAGGGGCAGGGGGCCCCACTGGGCTTGGGGAGCCAGGCATGGCCGCCACCCACACTCAGCCCTCAGGCACCACCCCATCAGGCCATGGAGCAGCTATGCCCCTGCTACCCTGGGTTTCTCCTCAGCTGCTGCCTGAGGCCCCCACTCTCTTCCTCCCAAAGCTGCAGGAGGACGAGTGTACCCTGTGTCTGTGCCATACTCCAGCGCCCAGAGCACCAGCAAGACCAGCGTGACCCTCTCCCTTGTCATGCCCTCCCAGGGCCAGATGGTCAACGGGGCTCACAGTGCTTCCACCCTGGACGAAGCCACCCCCACCCTCACCAAGTAAGTCCCTTCCCCACTGAGCCACCCCCAGCCCTGTCACCCCCGTGTGTGTCCTGTGGCACCAGGACAGAAATGGCCATGGGGCCAAGGCTTGTGGATGAGATGCCCTGGGGTCTGGAATTCCCCAGCTCCGTGCCTGGTGAGGGAGGTCTCCCTAGAAACTGAGGCAGGTGCGATTTTTGGTCAGGTGGCTGATGGTCCCAGCCTACTTCTCGTATTTTCTTGTGGGCCCATCTGCTGGTTTCATTCAGTGGAAGGTTTCCTTTCATTCCTCACCTCGGTGTGATGTGGGGTGGCTTCCTGTGGTGTCCTTGCTTGAGGACATTGTCTGGCCTGTACTGGCTTGTCAGAGCCCATGCTTTCTGGCTAATGTGCTTGATTTTAGCTTTGAAGTGAGTTCTCTGGTTTTGGGGCAGGGGGCGAGGTAGAGGCAACAGCCTGAGGGGGATGCGGCCAGGCCCCCTCCAGCCGCAGACCTGCCTGACAGGTCTGGAGTACACCCCACCCCCTTCACTTCCTTAGAATGTGCACTCCCCACACCAGGGGACCCAGATCTGGTTTCCACATTCCAGCCCTGCATGGAATGATAGAGATGCCACACCCAGCCCACTCTGAGGATGGAGTGCGCAGGATGTGGCCAATTAGAAAGGCCCTGGAGGGGGGTGGGCGGCCTGCATGCCTCTGCCCCATCAGGGGGCCTTCCTTTCCCTCTGCCTCTGGGTTGTGGATGCTGCGACTGCTGCCACGGGGCTAGAAAGGCCTGCCAGGCCGAGCAAGCTCCTTGGGCATCCTGAGTGCAGTAGGGGTGGCCTCTCCAGCACCCCTGCCGGGCTGCCTGGAGGAGTCCTCCAGCTGTGTCCACAAAGCAGAGTGTGAGCGCTGTGGCCCTAGACAAGGCAGGACAACCCACTCTCCTCCCCTGCCTGTGTTCCTCACTCCTTTCAGCGTCTGAGCCATAGTTGGTCCCACCATGGGCTGGCCCTGTGCTGGTGCTGGGCAGCGCTAACAGGCAGTTCCAGCTGTGATAGAAGGTGGGTGCCCGTCCCCACCCAGCTGATGAGAAGAGATTGAAGGGGAGGGGGGCGAAGGAAGGTTTTCTAGAAGAAGACACCTTGCCCGCCCTGCTGAGTAGGTCCTGGGTTGGGACGGGTTTAGAGAGATGGTAATGGACAGTCGGTGGTTCAGCTTCACCCGAGGAACTTCCTGTGATGACGGGAGTGCTCGCGTGGGTGCTGTCCTGTCACGGCGTCTCTAGCCACTTGTGGCTATTAGACGCTTGAACTGAGTGTTCCATTTTCTTTCCATTTTTTTGAGACGGAGTTTCACTCTTGTTGCCCAGGCTGGAGTGCAATGGCAAAATCTTGGCCCACTGCAACCTCTGCCTCCCAGGTTCAACCAATTCTCCTGCCTCAACCTCCCGAGCAGCTGGGATTACAGGCACACGCCACCATGCCTGGGTAAATTTTTTTTGTATTTTTAGTAGAGATGGGGTTTCACCGTGTTGGCCAGGCTGATCTCGAACTCCTGACCTCAGGTGATCCACCCGTCTTGGCCTCCCAAAGTGCTGGGATTACAGGCATGAGCCACCGCGCCCAGCCCCATTTTCTTTACCTTTAGTTCATTTAAGTAGCCACATGCATCTGGTGCTTTAAAATTTGACTTTTTATCTGTTCCTAAGATCATCTGGCTGGGCCAGCTCCTATGGTCACCTCTGCCAGAAAGGCCTGTGGCCCAAGAGGCTGGTAGAGGCAGGGGCCATTCTGTCCCCACTCTGCCCCAGGCCCCTTGACCCGGCTGCTTCTGATTGACTCCCTCCCCTGTTGTCCTGCAGCCAAAGCCCGACCTTAACCCTGCAGTCCACCAACACGCACACGCAGAGCAGCAGCTCCAGCTCTGACGGAGGCCTCTTCCGCTCCCGGCCCGCCCACTCGCTCCCGCCTGGCGAGGACGGTCGTGTTGAGCCCTATGTGGACTTTGCTGAGTTTTACCGCCTCTGGAGCGTGGACCATGGCGAGCAGAGCGTGGTGACAGCACCGTAGGGCAGCCGGAGAATGCAGCCCAAGCAGGGCCTGGCATGGGGCAGGACAGGGTCCAGCCTTTTCCTAACATCTGCCTGTGCCACAACGGCCAGCAGGTGCCCCATCCTCTGCCCACAGCAGACTCTGTCCCATGGCTCTCCGGGCAGTAGAGTGTGTGAGTGCAGACTGGACCTGTGGTTCATACCTTGTCACCACCCGGGAAGCTGAAGGCCACTTCCTCCCAGATGGCCTCAGCCAGGACCATCGCCCTTTCTCAGAGCAGAGGGCCAGGTATAGAAACCGCAGTGGGCCTGCAAGCCGCCCGAGCCTCCCCAGCAGCCTCCTACAGAGCAGGAAGAGGCGCCCTGTGAACCCTGAGTGTTGCAGGCCCAGCAGACCCTGCTGTCCCAAGCCCACCCCTCCTCCCACCATCACCTCCCTCACCTCGGGACAGTAGCCCTCCACTTCTCCAGCCTCTCAGCCCTGTGCTCCTGCATCCAGAGTGGAACCCAGGCTGGTGTCCGCATCTGTCCCTGGGCCCCACCCCTGGACCTGCCTTGGTTGTGTCATCTGTTGTAAACGTTCAGGAGGACCAGGGCAGCATCTGGGGCCTGGGATGGCCACAGAAGGGGCAGGCCAGGTGGAAAGGAGCCAGGGGGAAGTGGTCTAAGAGACCTGGAACTGCCAGAGGATGGCGGCCTGGGCTTCCCCAGAGCCAGGCGTGCGGGAGAGGTGAGGACTGGCCCCGGTGGGCTGAGGCAGGGGCCGCTGTCGTCAGGCCTGAGCCAGGGTGAGCTGGTGCCTGCCTTGCATTTTCCTTCTGGTGCTGTGAAGACCATAGGCTGGCAGGCAGCTGAGATGAACTGTCTTTACCACTGATGAGGGGCCTCTGCCGGCTGAGGGTAGCAAGCAGGGGTTGTGAGTCAGGCTGGGGGACTTGTTTGAAAGAAAGAGGAGTGGAAAATGGTTCCAGGAGGGAAGAGGTTCTTTGAGACACAGTACCCTGGGAGGCATAGGAGAAGGGTCGGGCCAGCCCAGCCCAGGGCCTGAGTTAGACTATTTCCCACATGTTCTCTGCCTTCAGTGGGGAGGGGGTGCCACCAGGGCTGTCGGCCAGGATTGCCACTCCTGTTTCAGAGGAAGCAGGCCGAGAGACTTGCACCTTGGCCAAGCCACACAATCAGTGGGGCAGCCAGAGCTCAGACCTGAGCCATTTTGTCAGTATCCAGGACCCCCCGGATTCTCCACGCCCTCCCCATCTCCCAGTCTCCCTGCCCCCCATGCCCCAGACCGGCCCACCAGGGACTAGCCGCTGTCGCACAGCCTCTGGGGTGCTTGGTCTCTGCGAAGTCAAAGGCCTGACAGCTCTGTGGCCTGGGAATCCATTTTCCTGCGGCAGAGCAGGGCCTGGTGTGGAACCAGGGAGCTGTGGGAAGCCACAGCAGAAATGGAAGAAAAACAGGTCTCAGCCCAGGGTCCTCGCTCACTCCCTCACTCCCCACTTTGAAGCCATCTCTGTTCTGCAGGTGAGAGGATTTAAAGTCAGTCACAAAGGCTTGGGAACAAAAGGAATTCTCTTCCAAGAATGCCTCTGTGGTGCTGTTTGGTCTCTAGAAACAGGGTCACTTTTTTAATGTAGTAAAGAAGTAATAAATGGTGGCATTACACATTGTGATATTAATAGCGCTGTTGCTCATGTTTCCTGTAACTCGCAGTGGCCCTGGGAAGTGGACGCCTCCCCTCTTCACTGCCCTGGAGGTTCAAGAACTCGGCTCGCCAGGCTGCTAAGTGGCAGGGCTGGGATTTGAACCCAGGCCTTCTGGCTGCATTCCATGCTGCCGCCCCCACAGCCCCGGGGAAACATGGCTTGCCTGTTACCTCCCAGGCCCACTCTCGGACCCAGATGTGTTCATGCACATCTGAAGGGGGTGACAGTTTTCCCTGCTGCAGGCCAAGCCCTCTGGCCCATGGCCAGTGGCAGGGTTGTGGTGCCAACTCCACTCTGCTGAGAGTGAGCCTAGGGTCTTGGTGTGTGAGTGGTGCTGTGGCCACCCGGTGCTCAGGTCACCAGGGCGGAGGCCTTGCCCTCTTGCCAGCTAGTTTGCTTTACTGGGTTTTGCTTTGGGGAAGGATCTTCTATAAATACCAGTCCATAGAGCACTTCATCCTGCTTTCTGGGACGTAAGAACTCATCCCTCTAAGAAGAGCCTCTGCAACAGAAACCGAAACAGTGCATCTGCTTAGGAACAAAGCCACTCTCTGTCTGGTGTGGTCAGAGGGTCCCGGATGTCCCCCCCTCCACTCTGCTGGGCAGGGGCTGTGCCTGCGGAGCTTCCTTCCAGGATCTGTCCTTCTCAGCTTCCCCAGCCGAGCCGCCAGGGGTCCTGAGGACCACCATGGCCCCTGAACACTCCTGGAGCTTTGGTGTCAGCCCTGCCACCCGAGAGAGAGAGAGAGACATGGTGAGTAACTGAGGCACAGACAGGTTCAGGCACAGTCCTGGTCACAAGTGGCCACCATGCAACTCTGGGCCCCAGGTCTCTCCCAGCACCTGCTCTGCCCTAAGCGTGTGGGGCCGGGCGCTGCACTGTTGACTTTATGTCCCCTGTCCCCAGCCTTGGTGTTACTTACTGCACTTGAGCCTGTCTCCTGGAGGGAAATGAAGGTGAGAGGGACACTGTTTCATCTAAGAGGGGAAGCTCGGGAATGGGTTTGAGGACTTAAGGGGCCAGGAGTCAAGGTAAGGAAAGTGAATGGCACAGCGAGGCGAAGCTGTGCAGCCCTGGTGGGTCACTGCCACCGTCCACGTCCCCAGGTGGCGTCTGACACAAGGTGGGCCAAAGTGGCCCTCTCCAGCCTGTCTGCCTCCCATAGCCTCCGTGGGGAAAGCACTGAGGCAGGATCAGATGGAACCAGAGAAGCCCATCCCCCACCTCCTGCCCACTCATTCCTTAAAGACATCAGTCTCGGCCGGGCGCGGTGGCTCAGGCCTGTAATCCCAGCACTTTCAGAGGCCAAGGCAGGCAGATCATGAGGTCAGGAGATCGAGACCATCCTGGCTAACACGGTGAAACCCTGTCTCTACTAAAAATAAAAAAAGTTAGCCGGATGTGGTGGTGGGCACCTGTAGTCCCAGCTACTCTGGAGGCTGAGGCAGGAGAATAGCGTGAACCTGGGAGGCGGAGCTTGCAGTGAGCCAAGATAGCACCACTGCACTCCAGAGCCTGGGCGACAGAGCGAGACCCTGTCTCAAGAAAAAAAAAAAAGACATCAGTCTCTCCCAAAACCCAGCTAGGTTGCTGGCTTGACGGAGGTCCTGGCCCTCAGAAATCCCGTTGTCCCAGGACGGGGGCAGGTGGTCTGAGGGCGCCGCAGCACCCGTGAGCCATCCTCACTAGGAGTTGTACCGTCCTGGTCTGGTCGTCTCATTCTCTCATGAGCTGGGAGCTGGCAGCAGAGCCAGGAGCGGAGCTGCAGAGCAGGCTCCCCACGATGCCCGTGTCGGGATGTTCCTGCCAGTGGCAGTGGGGGCAGCCGGGCCTGTCTGGAGCGACTCCAGGCTGCTCAGACATCAAAGGGAAAAGCACCCGATTGTGTTGTTTGCGGGGCTAGTTCCTTCTTGTCCCTCAGGTCTTAGCACAGATGCCCCCTCTGGAAAGAGCCCTTCCCTGGCCCCCACCCCACCGCCCCCTGCCCGTCTCCCTGTTGTTTCCTCCATGGGTCACTCACTCTCAGCCTGTATCCGTGTCGCCTCTCGCCTGCTCCACGGGAGCAAGGGCTTTCTCTCTTATTCCACTAGGTCCCAGCCAGGCACGCAGCAGCCCCTCACACAAGCATGGCATGAGTCAGGGAGGAAGGGACAGAGGGAATGGCCGTGTGACCTTGGGCAGTAACTTGGGCTGGTTTTTCATGTACAAAATGAGGCGACGACCCACTTAGATTGCTGAACACATCGAGTGGCCATAGCCGTGAGAAGTGAGAGCTGCCCCTGCCCTACTGATGGGGAGACAGGTACAGGTGACGGGAGCGTTAGCCGAGATGTCCACCCATCCACCACACGCCTATGGGCACCCTTGTGCCATGAGGGCTCAGCCTGGGCCCTGGTGGAAGCAGGTACCGGGTCGATGCTACCTGCAGCCTCATCAGAGCCTAGCTCTTGGGCAGCGGGCGTGGTTCTGGCCTCTTCACAGCCGAAGTGCAGACAGGGGCTGTGGGCCAAGCTCCTGAAATTTCCGCCGACAAGGGCATCTTTCATGAGTCTTCCTTCTGGGCCCCCTGTTTTGAAACCAAACAAGGATGCAGATTTCTGCCAATCCCGATGAGCTCGGCATGAGCACAGGCTCTGTTCCCACGCGGAGGTGATGTCAGCCCCGAGCAGAGACAGGCGCTTGGCATTCCACGAGCCTGGGCGGCCGCGTCAGGGACAGACACAGTGTCTGACAGCTGGCTTTGAGAAATACTGACACCAGTTCACAGACTCCATTCCTACCTTCAGGGACCCCCAGAAAGGTGAAAGGACCCCAGGTTGTGTGACCAGTCACCTGATCCAGCCCCTTCTTGTCCTGGTTCTCCCATCACAGAGGGGCCAGGGCAGGGCAGGAGTGGGCCTGAGAGCCCATGGCTGGTTTCCACATGCGCCATGATTAAGCTCCTGCACTCGGCATTTCAGTAAAGCCATCTTGTGGTACAGACAGTGCTGACATCAGAACCTTCCGTGGATCCAGCCTCCTACCTCCGGGTACCTGCTGTGTGGGAGTCACTCCCCTCCCCCAGCCCTGGATGCTCCTCCAGTCATCCCAGTAGCTCAGGGCCAGCCCCTGGGATGTGTCTAAGAACATGAGTGGACAAATAGATGGACTGCCCAGAGCAGGGTTTCTGAGACTTCGCTGCAGGATATGTCATCGCCCTGCAGAAAACTACCCCCACCCTAGGACCCCCCGAGTTTTGGGGTTTGTAAGAAATTACATGTCTCATTTATTTTGAACAGGTGAATTTTGCAGTCAAATTCTTGTGTTCCATTTTAGTACAAAAATAGCATTATCTTTTCAAAAGTAACATTTTGAAATTACTCATCAAATAAATTGATGCTTCAGGAAGAGCTGTGTCAATCCTGTAGGTTTATAGATCTGCGCTTCACAGGAAACCCCAGCAGGTCCCCGGCTGCCGGGCCCAGGTGATCCTAATGAAACTCTCCACTGCTCAGGGCCAGGTGCCTTGCTGGGAGCTTGCAAAGCCTTCACTCCCGCGGCCCTCACCCAGCCCCTGAAGGGCAGCGATTTGTGTCTGAAGGTTCGCTGGGTCCTACTGCTGGCGCCCATTTTACAGATGTGGAAAAGCAAGCACAGACCAGTTAAGGAGCTTGGGCAGAGTGACTGGGAGACAGTTCAGCTCCGTATCAGAAAGGGCTTTCTAAGCGTGCGTGCTGTCACATGTAAGCGGCTCCCTGTGGGTGGTGGGCCCCCTTCCCCACCACCACCCTGACATCACAGGTGTGAGCAGCCACCGCACACACTGGGCATCACATGGGCCGGGGAGCCTGGCTCTACAGCACAGTCCTTTGGCCATGAAGAGGGGGTGGTAGTGAAGATACAGAGTCCTTGGCTTGATAGGAGGTGGGGCTGACAGCCTCCCATCTTCCAGCCTGCCCCAAGACCACGTGACCTTTCCTGACCTGGTGCTTCTGTAAGTCCCACCTCCCGGGTGCCCCTGGGCGACCTTGGCCCATAAATCTCTTTGATCCCCATCTCATCTTCAAATGAAGGTTTACAGCTCAGCTTTTTAAAAAAATAAAAATAACTAGTAGGTTCTGGCTGGGCACGGTGGCTCACGCCTATAATCCCAGCACTTTGGGAGGCCAAGGCAGGTGGATCACCTGAGGTCAGGAGTTTGAGACCAGCCTGGCCAACATGGTAAAATCCCATCTCTACTAAAAATACAAAAAAGTAGCCAGGCGTTGTGGTGCATGCCTGTAGTCCCAGCTACTCAGGAGGCTGAGGCAGGAGAATCACTTGCACCCTGGAGGCGGAGGTTGCAGTGAGTGGAGATTGTGCCACTATACTCCAGCCTGGGCAACAGAGCGAGACTCCGTCTCAAAAAAAAGAAAAAAAAAAAGGAGTTCTAACTACGTTCCAGGTATGTAGCTGACGTGTAATATCTCATTTAACCTGGCAAAGAGTTGGTATCCGTGGCCTCAGAGAGGTTTAGAAAGTTGCCCAAGATCACACAGGAGCAAAGATTTAAACTCTGGACTTTTCTTCATGTGTCATGAAGTTTCCTCCTGATTTTCAGAGACCCTTCCAGGCCTGCAAGCGATTTGACAGCCATCCCTCAGTGCCAACTAAACCTCCTGGGCAGCCTGACCCCAGGGTAGGAAGGAAGCGCCTACACCAAGGGGCCCTCTGGGAGCTGAGATCATCCTGGGGTTTTGTCGCCTGGTCTGACTTGTGCACTGGGATCTTCTCGTGCCAGGCCAGGCCCCGCCCCCTCCCCGGGACTGGGCAGACCCCCTCCCTCATGCATCTGTGTCCACTGAGGCTTCCCTCACCTAGAATGGCCCATCCTTCAGGACCCAGCTCACTCTCATCTTCTTTCCAGGGACTTATCCCCCAAGGCTGTCCTCTGTTCTGGTGAGCTCAGGGCTCTTGGAACTTGGTCTGCAGTGACTCTGGGGTTCCTGGTTAGGACCCATGTTCTCTAGGTCCCAGCACCCTGCACGGGGCAGTGTTTGTGACACTGGGCCCAGCTATTCTGAGAGAAGGACTCCAACCTTCCATCAGGTGTGGCCCGAGATGTGGGTGGCCCTGGGCATGGGGCATGGATGCATTGTGACTTTCATGGGCCTCTTCTGCAAAAAAAAAATTAAAATTATACTTTATGACTATTGGTAGAAAGATAAATATATTAATACATTAAAATTTCTCTTTGAGTAAAAGTTCATTTTCTTCTGTTTTAAAGGTAAAATATTTCCACAGCCCCCTGAAAGGATGGTGGGCCCAAGGGTTCATGCCTGCTGCACCTCATCAGGAGGGTGGCTGTGAGTCGGGGGGACCAGCGGGGCCTAAATCAGCCTCTTCAGTGCGGTGGCCTGCAGCTAACGTCCCCATCCCAGCCTTCCTGAACTTTCAACCACCCTGGGGCCTCAGACCCAGGAATAAGATTCGAGAACCGGTAGGGGGAGCTGAGGTGGGAGAATCGCTTGAGCCTGGGAGGCGGAGCTGCAGTGAGCCGAGATCGTGCCACTGCACTCCAGCCTGGGTGACAGAGTGAGACCCTGTCTCCAAAAATCCAAGAAACTTTCAAGAACAGGTGGAAAGAAATCCGGAGATGACAGAGAGGGATGTCCCCTCCCACTCTGCTCCTTTCCTCCGAGCCTTTGCCATGGCTGTGTTGGCTTCCTGGTGTGCCCTCCCTTTACCTCTAGCCAGCAACAAAGCCTGCCGGGCACCAGGCACCAGGTGTGCCGCCAAGTAGGGGCTGAGGCTGGCAGGGTGGGGAGAGGGGAGGCCGTCAGAAAGTCTCTGTTAATACTCCGGCCCTGCAGGGGCTCAGTCTCTGCGGAAGATAAAACTACACCTGGAAGTCTGGCCAAAACGGCCAGAATGGGCCCTGAGACCCAGGCCAAGGGGAGACCCCTTCTGTCTGATGAGTTCCGGAACCTTCCCAGAGCAGGTGGGCTCTGCACCGGGCCCTGGAATGCTCCTGAGGGGTCTGGGCTTCCTGGGACTGACTGCCAGGCTCCTCCTGTGCTGGCAGCTTTGCTAAAGATGACGGGCTAAACACATTCGTCCACTTTCCCTCCCTTCTCAAACCCCCTTAAAACAACAGGGAGGGATTTCTCCCTCCCTCTGCTCCCGCCATCCATCCCTCCCTCCCTTCCTTCTTCGTTCCCTCCATTCCTCCTTCCCCCTTCCCTCCCTCCTCACTCCCTCCCTTCCTCCCTTCCCCCTTCCCTCCCTTCCTTCCTCCTTCCCTCCATCCCTTCCTCCTTTCCTCCCTCCCTTCCCACTCCCTCCTTCCTTCCCTTCTCCCTCCCTCCCTTCCTCCTTCCTTCCCTCCCTTCTCCCTCCCTCCCTCCCTTCTTTCCTCCTTCTTTCCCTCCCTCCTTCCCTCCCTCTCCCCTCCTCCCTCCCTCCCTTCCTTCCTTCCAGGTATAAACCCACAAGGTTGTAGCAATCAGGAGACAACATCCACACAGGTTTTGAAGCTGAAAAGTCGATGTAGAGTGGCAACTGACTTAAGGGACACAGAAGTTACATCCCAGGTGTGTGATGGCAGCTGAATACCAGTGTGGTTTACCCTGAAGAACCACCGAAAGCTCAGCGTGAGCCAGCAGTCCCAGGTGGGGGCAAAATGAGGCGCAGTCAGGTCCCCCGGTCTCCCACCCAGAATGGCCAGGCAGTCCCGTCCTCCGCTCACCAGAGTCCACCCAGAGATAGCGGCACTGCCACAGCACTGGAAGCAGAGCAGTCGGGTGCTTCTGGGCACTGGGACCCCATTTGCCCTGCCCAGCTCCCAGCACACAGCCCAGTCTTCACCCTCCAGCAGGACACTGAGGCTCCTCGCTGGAGAATCTGACGCACAACAAAGTCCTGAAAATACTGACATGGGGGGTCCCTAACAAGTACCCCCCACCTCCCTTCAGTGAAATCAAGAGTCTGTGTATCTAGAACTTACTTTCTTTTTTTTTGTTTTTGTTTTTGAGATTGGGTCTCGCTCTGTTGCCCAGGCTAGAGCGTAGTGATTCAATCTTGGCTCACTGCAACCTCCGCCTCCCAGATTCAAGTGATTCTCCTGCCTCAGCCTCCCGAGTAGCTGGGATTACAGCCACCACCACACCCAGCTAATTTTTGTATTTTACTAGAGACGAGGTTTCACCATGTTGGCCAGACTGGTCTTGAACTCCTGACCTCAATTGATCCACCCGCCTTGGCCTCCCAACCCACCTCAGCTTCCCAAAGTGCTGGGATTACAAGCATGAGCCACCATGCCCAGCTGTATCTAGAACTTTTGATAAGCAAAGTGAATGTTAAAAGATAGAAGGAACCAGCCATTACCATATGAGCCAGCAATTCCACTCCCAGGAAACACAAACATACAGAAACAGTACGGAAGTGTTCACGGCAGCATTACTCATCATAGCCGAATGTCACAAGCAACCTAGATATCCATCCGAAGAGGAGAAGCAGACTGTGCTGCCTCCACGCCACGGAATAGTATTCAGCCGTGAAAAGGAATGACACTGACAGGCCACCACAAGGAAGAGCCTCAAAATCACTGTGCTAATGAGAGAAGCTGGTCACAAGAGGTCACATGTATGATTCCTCCTACAGATGCCGGTGATAGGCAAATCCATAGAGACAGAAAGCAGGGCTGGGGGAAGGAGGAAACTGCAGAGACTGGTAACAGAGCCAGCGTGTTTTTCTGGGGTGAGGTGTTGGTGAATGCATTGAGTGCCACTGACCTGCAGTTTTCAAGCGGTTAATTGTATGCTATGTGAATTTCACCCCAGTGAAATTGAGGAACCAGCCCAAGGCTTCCTCTGCTTGGAAGGAAGAACTCTAGGTGGCTCCTCTGGACTCACAAAGCACCTGAATTGGTCCTCTAGGATGAAGAGTCCAGAGAGAGAGTGTGAGCCTCACGTGCCGTTGTATTATTTCATTTCATTCCACCTTATTTTATTTTATTTTTAAGACAGAGTCTCACTCTGTCACCCAGGCTGGAGTGCAGTGGTGTGATCACTACTCACTGCAGCCTCCACCTCCTAGACTAAAACGATCCTCCCACTGCAGCCTCCCAAATAGCTGGGACCACAGGCATGCAGCACCACACCCGGCTAATTTTTTGTATTTTTCAGTACAGTCGGGGTGTTGCCATGTTCCGCCTGCCTCCCAAAGTGCTGGGATTACAGGCATGAGCCACTGCTCCTGGCCCATGTGCCATTTTATTTATTTATTTACTTAGAGATGGAATTTCGCTCTTGTTGCCCAGGCTGGAGTGCAATGGCATGATCTCGGCTCACTGCAACCTCCGCCTCCCAGGTTCAAGCGATTCTCCTGCCTCAGTCTCCCTAGTAGCTGGGATTACAGGTGCCCGCCACCACGCCCAGCTAATTTTTTGTATTTTTAGTAGAGACGGGGTTTCACTATCGTGGCCAGGTTGGTCTCCAACTCCTGACCTCAGGCGATCCACCCACCTCAGCCTCCCAAAGTGCTGGGATTACAGGCATGAGCCACTGCTCCTGGCCCATATGCCATTTTAGATGTTCTAATAATCACATTTGAAAAAGTAAAAAGGGGCAGGTGGATCGCTTGAGTCCAGGAGTTTGAGACCAGCCTGAGCAACATGGTGAAACTTCGTCTCTACTGAAAAATACACAAAAATTAGCCAGAGGTGGTGGCACACATCTGTGGTCCCAGCTACTCAGGAGGCTGAGGTGGGAGGATCATCTGAGCCTGGGAAGTCGAGGCTGCAGTGGGCCATGATCATGCCACTGCACTCCAGCCTGAGCGACGGGGGTAAAACCTTTTCTCAAAATCCAGCTGTATTTTACCCGTACAGAATAATTCTGTGCAGGCCAGCATGATCTGGGCTTCATGGCTATGGCTCGAGGTCACACCAATGGATGGTCCAGTTCTAGACTGTTTCAGACTGGAGGCTCTGTATACTCTGAAGAGGATGAGAGTTTTAAATTATAGTGCATTTTAAGTCTATGAATTAAAAACAAATAGGCAGCTGGGTGTGGTGGCTCACACCTGTAATCCCAGCACTGGGAGGCTGAGGTTGGTGGATCACCTGACGTCGGGAATTTGAGACCAGCCTGGCCAACAGGGTGAAACCCCATCTCTACTTAAAATACAAAAAAATTACTCAAAAAAAAAAAATTAGCTGGGTGTGATGGTGGGTGTCTGTAATCCCAGCTACCTGGGAGGCTGAGGCAGGAGAATTCGCTTGAACCCGGGAGGCAGAGGTTGCTGTGAGCCGAGGTCATGCCATTGCACTCCAGCCTGAGCAACAAGAGCAAGATTCCATCTCAAAAAACAAACAAACAAAAAAACCCAAATAGGCTATAATCCTCTTTAGGATCATCTGAATAACCACCTTAAAAATTAGTCTTGAGCAACCATAAAAAAGAATGAGATCACGTCATTTGCAGGGACATGGATGCAGCTGGAGGCCGTTCTCCTTAGCAAACTAACACAGGAATAGAAAACCAAATACTGCATGTTCTCATAAATGGAAGCTAAATGATGAGGACACACAAACACACAGAGGGGAACAACACACTGGGACCTTTCAGAAGGTGGAGGGTGGGAGGAAGGAGAGGATCAGGAAAAATAACTAATGGGTACTAGGCTGAGTGATGAATTAATCTTCACAACAAACCCCGATGACACACACTGACCTATGTAACAAACCTGCACATGTACCCATCAACTTAAAAGTTTAAGCTGGGCTCAGTGCCTCACAACTATAATCCCAGCATTTTGGGAGGCTGAGGCGGGTAGATTGCTTGAATCCAGGAGTTTGAGACCAGCTTGGCTCAGATGGCAAAACCCCATCTCAGGCCAGGCGCATGGCTCACGCCTGTAATCCCAGCACTTTGGGAGGCCGAAGTGGGCAGATCACGAGGTCAGGAGTTCAAGACCAGCCTAGGCAACATAGTGAAACCCCGTTTCTACTAAAAATACAAAAATTAGCCGGGCGTGGTGGTGGGTGCCTGTAGGCCCAGCTACTCGAGAGGCTGAGACAGGAGAATCACCTAAACCCAGGAGGCGGAGGTTGCAGTGAGCCGAAATCATGCCACTGCACTCCAGCCTGGGCAACAGAGCGAGACTCCATCTCAAAAAAAAAAAAAAAAAAAAGTGGGGGCGAGGCTGGGCACAGTGGCTCACGCCTGTAATCCCAGCACTTTGGGAGGCCAAGGCGGGCGGATCACCTGAGGTCAGGAGTTCGAAACCAGCCTGGCCAACATGGTGAAACCCCATCTCTACTGAAAAAAACAAAAAACAAAAATACAAAAATTAGCCGGGTATGGGTGTGCGCCTGAAATCCCGGCTACTTGGGGGGCTGAGGCAGAAGAATCACTTGAACCCGGCAGGTGGAGGTTTCAGTGAGCTGAAATTGTGCCACTGCACTCCAGCCTGGGCGACAGAGCGAGACTCTGTCTAAAAAATCCCCCAAAAAACCGTCTCTACCCAAAACACAAAAAAATTAGCCATGTGTGGTGGCACGTGCCTATGGTCCTAGCTACTCTGGAGGCTGAGGTGGGAGGATCACTTGAGCCCAGGAGGTGGAGATTTCAGTGAGCCAAGATCATGCCACTGCACTCCAGCCTGCGGAACAGAGCGAGACCCTGTCTCAAAAAAAAAAAAAAAAAAAAAAAAGATTAAACATTAGTTCTGAATTAAACATTGAATTACCATACGACTCAGTAATTCCACTTCTGTGTATACACCCAGAAGAACTGAAAGCAAAGTCTCAGATGCTCGTGTGGCAATGTTGGTAGCAATATTGTATACATCAGCCAAAAGGTGGAGGCAACTCATCAATGGATGAGATGTCCATGGATAAACAAAATGCGTTCTATCCATACAATGAAATATTATTCAGCCTTAAAAAAAAAAGAAATTCTGACACATGCTACAATGTAGATGAATCTTAAGCACATTATGCTAAGTAAAATGAGGCAGTCACAAAAGGACAAATACTATACGGTCTCACTCAGACGAGGCACTTATGGTAGTCAAATTCAGAGACAGAAAGTAGAATGGGATTGACAGATGCTGGGGGGCAGGGGAATGGGGAGTTAATATTTAATGGGTGCAGAGTTTCAGTTTTGCAAGATGAAAATCCTGCTGGGCCAGGCTGGCTTGGTGGCTCACGCCTGTAATCCCAGTGCTTTGGAAAGCCAAGGTGAGTGGATCACCTGAGGTCAGGAGTTCCAGACCAGTCTGGCCAACATGGCAAAACCCTGTCTCTACTAAAAATACAAAAATTAGTCGGGCATGGTGGCTTACACCTGTAATCTGAGCTACTCAGGTGGCTGAGGCACAAGAATCGTTTGAACCCGGGAGGCAGAGGTTGCAGCGAGCCGAGATCATGCCACTGCACTCCACCCTGGGCGACAGAGCGAGACTCTGTCTCAAAAAAAAAGCATTCTGGAGATGGACGGTGGTGATGGTACCATACAAGGTGAATGTACCTAATGCCACCACACTGTGTGCTAAAAACTGGTTAAAGTGGTAAATTTTGTGTTACGTAGATTTTACCACATTTTTCTTTTTTAAAGTTTGGCTACCCAGTGGATTTGTGCTGACCAGGGCATTGAGACTTCATAGTCACTGGAGCTAATGAGAAAAGATGCGGGGAGACTTTGGCCAGGTGTCGTCCAGGCACTGCCTCAGCCAGGCCTCCCAGGCTGGGTAGGCGTGAACAGAGGATCCTGCAGGGAGGAGCAAGGCCTTGCTTGGCCTCCACACTGGTCAAAGCCACCCGGCCCCAGAGAATCAGCCCCTCATTGGGCACCTCGATTGCTGACTGCCCTGTCTGTGGTGAGAGCCAGCAAGATTTCTTCCTGTTGTTAATTTGATTTTTTATTGGCTCTATGTTTTTTTATATTCATTTTGCAAATTTGCTTTGGTTTGGTTTTGTTTTTTGAAACAGAGTCTCACTCTGTTGCCCTGGCTGGAGTGCAGTGGCACGATTCAGGCTCACTGCAACCTTTGTCTCCTAGGTTCAAGCGATTCTCATGCCCCAGCCTCCTGAGTACCTGGGATTACAGGCGCCCGCCACCAAGGCAGGCTAATTTTTGTATTTTTTAGTAGAGACAAGGTTTCGCCTTGTTAGCCAGGCTGATCTGGAACTCCTGGCCTCAAGTGATCCTCCCGCCTTGGCCTCCCAAAGTGCTGGGATCACAGGCATGAGCCACCGTTCCCAGCATTGCTTTGTTTTTAATGTTGGAGGCAAACATAAACACAAGAGCTTTACACCTAGCTCGGTGTCTGCGCATATTTAAGAAACACTGTGATAAAAATGACTGACGACAACCCCAGAATCCATGAGAATTTTTTTCTTTCTAAGAGCATTAGGATTTGAGTCATGCCATGGTTTGGCTTCTGAATCTGTCTCCCTTGGAGCAGGGTCATCTCTGTGTCTCCGTGGGGACATAGGGCCAGTCTTGAAATTGTTTCCTGAGTGAGTAATGAAGTGAGTGAATGAATGAATGAAGAGCTAGCAGAAGGAGAAATCACTGGGGGGCAGGGTGCAGAAGCAGCAGGAGAATCAGGGAAGTCTTCCAGGAAGAGGCCCAGGCATCCTGGGCCCAGAAGTGGGATCAAGAGTTTGAGGAATAGGAGATGGGGTGGGGATGGGCGTATCTCAGGGTGAGGCACGAGTCCGGGCCTGAAGGGTGCTGAGGGCCTCTGCCTAGTGATGTCACGCCTGGAACCCAGCCTCTGAGCCCAGCTGTCGGGGCGGGCAGTCTAGGGGCAGCCTTCCCCATCAGACCTCTGGGAGTCAGCCCCACAACTCCCTCCCCATGCCACATCCCAGACAACACCTGGTCCTGCAGGTCTCATCTCCTCTTTCCAGCCTCCCATCTCCACCCCAGCCACCATTACCTCCCCTGTTTCCCAGCGCCTCTGCCAGCTCTCCCCACTGCCAGTCTGGCCCCATCTGATCCATCTCAGACCAGCGACATCCAATCATTCCTCCAGCGAATATGCATCGAGCACTTAGTGTGCGCTCAGCTCTGATTGGGAACCAAAGAAAGGCCCTGCCCAGTGGAGAGACAGACAACAAACAAGGAAACCTAAGCGCGTCCTCTGACAGCCAGCAGCAACACGCGCCAGGGGGATAACAGGAGGAATCTGAGAAGGGATCCACGGGGCGCCTTCTCTGTGCCTTCAGGGCCATGGCTCCAGACCCTCTAGCCTTGTCAGGACTGCTGTGAGCTGTGAGTCTGGTCCTAGCCTGGCCAGCCTGGACCAGGCCACCAGCTCCACATGGCCATCACATTGCATGGCAGCACAGTGTGATCTTGGACGAGTCACTTTCCAGTTCTGAGCATCAGCTTGTCCACCTGTAGGATGAGCTTGGTGGCAAGAACACTGCAGGAATCACCAGGGCCCTGAATCCTCCTAGGAGCTGGAGGGTTGGCCCTGTGAGGAAGGAGTGACTTTCATCCCGACCTGATTTAGAAACAGTCTCTCTCCTGCCAGCTGCAGTCAGTGGGGGCTACGTCATACCCCTCATGAGACGGTGGAAGGCTCAAAAGTGATGTGGTTCATGCTGAGACATGGCCACAGTAAGTGTCCCCACAGCAGCAGCCCTTGTTAGAATCCTGCTGCTCCGTTCCCTGGAGACTTTGTCCAGCCGGGGAGGGTCTGCCTGGATTCAGCCGTCTCCAAGCCTCTAATAGTAGTGAAAACGGCTGGTGTTTCTCCGACACAGCCCCTGGGCCAGTGTCACAAGCACCACTCACAAGGCTCGCTCATCCTGCACCATCACTCCAGACCATGCTGGTGCTTTTACTGTCCCTCTTTGGGGGGATCCAAATCTAGGAAAGGCGATGTAACTCACCCAGACCTCCGGTGGGAGCAGGCCTTGTGCCTGGTCCGCCTGCCATGTCACTGTCTCTGCGGTGTTGGCTGGGGCGGCCCCCTGGCCTCCCTCCCAGGCCCAACGCCTGGCAGGGGTGGCTGGAACAGCTGGGGGAGGCGGCCCCTCTCTTCCCTGTGTGGTCCAGGGCCGCTCTCCCCCTGGATTTCCCTCCATAGCTGCTGACCTCCAAGCTGGAGGAAAAGGACATTGCAAGGCCACTTGAGGCCTAGCCTGGACATTTCCTCATCCTAGTGGGCAAAGCAAGTCACAGGCCTGCCCAGGTTGCAGGGAGGGGAAAATGGTGGACATGCTGCCAGGGCCGGGGAGGGAGGGGACCCTGCAGCCATCTTGGCAGACATCTCCCACCCAAGGACCCCAAGCCTCAGAGCCGTCCTTAACTGCTGGCAGCCTCCAGTGGGGCAGGGCAGCAGAGTGTATGGTGATCCCCATGCTTGCAGAAGAGGCCCAGGAGGCTCGAGGCCCAGCTGGGGGTGAGTAGAGGAGGATAAGCGGGCTCTGGACAGGCCCCAGCGTAACCAAAGGCCATTTCCTCCAGAGGCCCCGGCTCTGTCCCCGTCCCTGAGGGTGTTTTCCCGGGAATGAGCTGGGCCTGCTCCTCCTGCAGGTGATAACACTTGGCCCTGCCTGGGGTTTCCGAAAGGCGGAGGGCGCCACACAGCAGCCGCTCCCTGGCCCCGCCTCGGCCTCACAGACTCTGGAGTGCAGCAAATGTCCCCAGACAGTGATGTTCACTGAGGGTAGCAGGGGGGAAACCAGGGTGGATCTTTCCTCTCCTCCAACCCCTAGAGGCCTCGTGAACCTTTCAGTGGCCTCCCAGCACAGGTGCTGCCACTCATTAGCTGCCTGATCTTGGGAAAGTTAACTTCACTGCTTCATGCCTGTTTCCTTATCTGAAAAATGGGGAGAAAGGAAGGGCAGACACGATTGCTCTGTGCCAGGCCCCGTTCTAAGCACTTTGCATCTAGCAACTCATGCAAGCCTCCCAACAGCCCTGTCAGGCGGGGTCTGTTATGACATTCCTCACTTTACAGATGAGGAAATGAAGGCACAGAGAGGGCAAACAAGTTGCCTGAGGTCACACAGTGAGTCAGTGAATCTCGGAGTTGGGCCCAGGTAGCCCAGGTCTGTCTTGTTAGCTGCCATGCCCAACATCACGGCCTGGCGTGACAATGCAGGATGATGCCAGCCCGTGGTCAGTGATGTGGGTTTGCTTCTGTGGTTATCATCCCCGTGCTCTTTCCGGAGCCCGAACTGCACCTGCTCCGCTAGTGCCTGTGCTCCGCCTCCTATTCCTTCCCTTTTCTATACCATAGTGTGGCTGAGGTTGTTTTAAACCTGAATTTGTTTGAGCCCCTGAGCTTTCTAGTTGCAGTTCATTGCACTTCGCAGAGCAACTGGCAGGAAGTGTGTGTGGTGGCCAGAGCTCTCGCCGCAGATGCAGGCCGTGTTAACGGAGCGCAGGGCAGCCAAGGCAGGTGAGAGACCCTTTGTGTGCATCTATGCAAGTCAGGACATGTCGGGGGAGGGCAAATGGAGAGTAACTGGGATGGAAAGGTCTGGAAACCATGTCATAGGAGGAGGCGCTAAAGAACCTGGGAGGAGGCCGGGCGCGGTGGCTCACACCTGTAATCCCAGCACTTTGGGAGGCCAAGGCAGGCAGATAACGAGGTCAGGAGTTCAAGACCAGCCTGACCAATATGGTGAAACCCTGTCTCTACTAAAAATACAAAAAAAATTAGCTGGGTGTGGAGGCACATGCCTGTAGTCCCAGCTACTTGGGAGGCTGAGGAAGGAGAATCACTTGAATCCGAGAGGCAGAGGTTGCAGTGAGCCAAGTTCGAGCCACCACACTCCGGCCTAGGTGACAGAGTGAGACTCCGTCTCAAAAAAAAAAAAAAAAAAAAAAAAACCTGGGAGGAGAAGTGGTGGAGGGACCCTTGCCAAATGTCTGGAGGACCGCCGTGCCAATGAAGAAGCTGGCTTGCTCTGCCCAGTTCCAGGCAGCGGGTTCTAGGGTATCTAACAGCCAAAGTGGTCACATAATAGAGTGAGAGAGTGAGCGCCACATCACAGGACGTGTGTAAGCAGTGGCATGAGACTGGGGCCACAGGAGATGACCTTGAAGCCCCTCTCCTCACCCAGGTCACAGGTGTGAGGCCCAGTGGAACCATATTTGGCCAGTTCCCCAGCCTCAGAGCATGCTTGAGCTAAAGGTCAGTGGCTAAGCCTCCTACCGCCAGCAGGAGACCCTGTGGCCGATCCCAGATTTCCTGAGTGAATTTCTCTCTTCTTCCAGTTCTACTCGCTGGCCCAGGTCCAGCTGGACAGCCTGGACCCCTGAACAGGGCTTCCAGCAGCACCCTGGTTTATTTAAGTTTCAGGCCATCAAAAGGACCAGAGTAACCGCTGGCCCCTAGCTGGCCACCTGGGGTCTGTGGTTTTCGGGTTCCGACAATCACAAATAGACTGGATGTTCCCAAGGTCGCCTCCCAGGCCCAGCCCCTGCCCACCTTCCTGTGGCTTTGTGGCTGCCGAGTGATGACTCGGCCCAGGGGCCGTGAGGACAGAGGCTGAAACTCCCTGACAGGCCTGGGGACCTGAAGTTGCTGTAGGATGGACAGGCCAAGAGTCAGTGTGGCTGGGCCCACGCCCCCACCTCTGAGTTTCAAGGCCCCTTCACCAAGGCAGGTGCTGGGTGTGGAGGAGAGGAGGAGGGTGTGCTGGAGTCAGGAGAGGGGCTCTGCGTGGCCTGACACCACCCCTGTCTGGGCCTCGTGGTTCCCAGCCCTGCCTTCCCTTCGGTGACCCTGTGGAATGTCGTCCTGTGAGTTTGTGGGGAGTGCCTGGCAGGGCTTGTGCGTTCGGGGATGCACCCTGTGTATGCATGTGGGGCGTGTCTGTGTGAGAGTGCATGCATGTATGTGGCACTAGGGTGGGGAGCCTTCCAGTGGGTGCACACGCAGGCTGATGGGGACTTGCTCCGTGTGCACGGAGGGCCTGGGTCTCCATGTGCCAGGCCTGTGCACACAGGTGTGGACATGTCTGCTTCCCTCAAGGGCCCCGAACAAGGAGATGCCAGCTGGTGACACTGTTGTGGCTCAGTGTGTTCCCCTGAGGTCTCCAGCCTCCAAACCTCACTCTGCTAGGCCACCCTCCTAGGCTGGCCACAGGCTACAGTGGGTTCACCTGCTCAGCTTCACCAGGTCACTCAGTCTGACTCTCAGCATCTGTTGCATTCCTGCAGCTTAGAGCCATCCTTGGCTTGAACCCCCTTCTTCACAGCCACCCCCAACACTTTCTGGCTATGCCTAGCCCCTCCCTTAAGTGCACCAGGCACTCCTTTCTGCACCATCCCCGCTGCCCCTGTGTTCCCCCACCTCAGTCTGGATGCCATTCCGTCTTTTTTGGGTTTTTTTTTGAGACAAAGTCTCACTCTGTTGAGCAGACTGGAGTGTAATGGCGCGATCTGGGCTCACTGCTACCTCCGCCTCCCAGGTTCAAGCGATTCGCCTGCCTCAGCCTCCCAAGTAGCTGGGACTACAGGCGCCCGCCACCACGCCCACCTAATTTTTGTACTTTTAGTAGAGACGGGGTTCCTCTCTCTCTGTGGGGTTAGCCACTGTGGGAGACAGGACCCTCTGGGCAGGGAGCAGGGAGGGACATGGCTCCTGGTGGCTGGAGCACTGGCTCTGGAGTCCCAGACCTGGATCTGAGTCCTGACTCTGGCACTCAGCCATTGAGTGGGATTCATTTCTTCTTGCTGTGCCTCAGTTTCTTCACCTGGGGGCTGCCTGGGGAAGGCAGAGGGGCCTGCCGTCACAGTGGAGGCTAGAGATAGAGCAGCTACCCAAGTTTTCTTGGACCCCCCGACTCCCCCAAGTAATGGATGGATCCCTGTCTAATCCATTGCTCCTACTCGGCAAGTGTAGAAAGTAAGGCTTGTAGAGAGGAAGGGACTTGTTCAAGGCCACACAGGCCTAGAGGGCTTGACCAGCTAAGCGTGAGGTTTATGGTACAAAAAGCAGTGCACATTCTGGGCCACACCCATCCACATCCTGCAGCACCCCTGGCCCTCATGGGGCACTTCAGTGCTAATGTTCCTTTGCCTGGAAAGCTGTCACTTCTCTCCCTGGGCTCTCACCAGCCCTCATGCCCTACCGCCAGCGGTAGACACAGATGGGGCAACCCCCAAAATGCACACACAGAGGCCAGGGAGGGGTTGTCTGCAGTTTCCGTCCCTGCAACAGTACCGACTGGGCACCTACCATGTGCTAGGCTGAGCCAGATGCCGAGGAGACAGCAGCAGGAGACAGTGAGGAGACGGGCAAAATACACAAGAAATTTAATCAATGAGTCAATTACCTAGTATGCTGGAAAGAGAAATGTGCTATGGAAGAAAGAAGGGCAAGCAAAGGGACGGGGGGCTGCCCTGAGTTGTGGTGGTCCCAAAGACCCAGATCAGAGCCCAGGCTGGAAGTAGGAGGAGCTGTGGGTACCTGGGGCTGGAGCGTTCAGGCAGAGGGGACCGCCAGCACCAACGGAGCTAGTGTGCCAGTGGATGAGAGTAGAGGGGAGGAGGCCAGAGAGGTAACTGGCCGACAGGTCTCTGGCCTCCCTCTGAGTGGAGGCGGCAGCCACCGCACAATCTGCGCAGAGCAGGGAGGTGAGCTGACTTTGCCCACCAGTGGGGAGGCGGCTGCAAGAACACAGGCCAGGCAAGGGCAGTGGAAGGGGGAGGTGGAAGAGGTGCTCCTGGTGCCCACAGCCGTCTCTCCTGTGGGACAGGCCAGGATTTCCCACCCAGGGCCTGCTCCCTTTGAGAATCTGATAACAGCCATGGATGCTTCCCCCAAAACACGCATGTGCACGTGCACTCATATACACACACAGATGGGCAGGGGCACACACCCATGTACACATGCATGCACACATTTCTGCACATGTATACATGCACCCATGTTCACACACATGCACACGCTTCCACAGGTGTACATGCACCTGTGTTCACATGCATGCACACACTCACACATGCTCACAGTCACACACACCATGCTACTGGGAATTTTAGGAGATTGCTGGATCCCTTGACTCCCCCAAGTAATGGATCCCTATCTAATCCATTACCCCTACTCGGCAAGTGTAGAAAGTAAGGATGGTAGAGAAGGGACTTGTTCAATGCCACGCAAGCCTAGAGGGCTTGACCAGCAAGACTTGGCCCAGACACCCTACCTGGACCAGCAGGGGCCCCTCCCTTAGGGCCCTCTGTCCCCAGCACCAGCTAGGGGCTAGGGGAAACTTCTCTCATCCTAGTTGCCCAAGAGCTCACAGCAAGGCCAGGTGAGGAGCCCAGGATAGCAGACAGGAAGTGCTCAGGTCCCAAGAAAGGGAGTGAGAGGAGACTCTGGAGAGGTGGCATTTGAGCTGAGCTCTTTGGGCTGGGCTGGGAAGGGCACTCCAGGCAGAACCCAGTAGCAGTAAAGGCCTTGAGGTGAGAATTCTCCAAATGGAGGCAAGCAGGGCTCCTGGAAACCAGAAGCCCTTCAGGGGCCTTTGAGGGGAGGAGACACCTGGGCTGGGTCTTTAAGGATGAGTAGGAGTTTTTCCAAAAAGGCGTTTTGGGCAGAACACAGATATGCCAGGTACAGAGATTTTAAAAAGCCAGAGAACTGGCCAGGTGCGGTGGCTCACACCTGTAATCCCAGCACTTTGGGAGGCCGAGGCTGGTGGATCACAAGGTCAAGAGATCAAGACCGGCCAGGCACGGTGGCTCACACCTGTAATCCACACTTTGGGAGGCCAAGGCAGGCAGATCACGAGGTCAGGAGATCGAGACCATCCTGGCTAACCCGTTGAAACCCCGTCTCTACTAAAAATACAAAAAATTAGCCGGGTGTGGTGGCGGGCGCCTGTAGTCCCAGCTACTTGGGAGGCTGAGGCAGGAGAATGGTGTGAACCCGGGAGGCGGAGCTTGCAGTGAGCCGAGATTGTACCACTGCACTCCAGCCTGGGCAACAGAGTGACTCCGTCTCAAGAAAAAAAAAAAAAAAAAAGAGATCAAGACCATCCTGGCCAACTTGGTGAAACCCTGTCTCTACTAAAAATACAAAAAATTTGCTGGGCATTGTGGTGCACACGTGTCTTCCCACCTACTCGGGAGGCTGAGTCAGAAGAATCGCTTGAACCCGGGAGGCGGAGGTTGCAGTGAGCCAAGATCACACCATTGCACCCCAGCGTGGTGACAGAGTGAGACTCCGTCTCAAAAAAAAAAAAAAAAAAAAAAGGCAGAGAAATTGCAAGCATTTCAGAGGGCTGCCAGTGGATGGGACAAGCTCAGCTGAATGGAGTGTATGTGGGGGAGGGTAGAAAGGGGACAGATCTGACTTCACCTGGCCAGTGTTGGGGAAGGAAGTCGCCAACAGAAGAACAATGAGTTTCACAAATTTGGAAAGGAGAGCTTTATTTCTCATAAAGGGTTGCAGCCTGCAGGGCAGCCATTCTGACAGGCTGGGAAGCATAGCTTCCAGCCAGAAGCCAGGAACACATGCTTCAAGGGAGGGGCAAAGGGAACAGGAATTTATACAGAGCAGGGTGGCTGAATATACATATTTAATAAGCTATAGGGGGAGTCATGAATATTGATGTAAGGAGAAACAGGGACCTGTGCAATTAAGCTTCATGCCCCTTAGTGAGTCACACATGCAAAAAAATGGTGGCGTTAGTGTGATCGCAGGGTGTTTTTCAGCCCTCTGATGTCAAAAGGTGAAGCACAGGACCCTACTGTGTGCCAGGCCTCTGTGAATGCGGGAGGGGAAAAGAGTGACAGGGGCTATGTGGGAGGAAGGAATTGGGGGCTGTGTCCCCTTCTGGCCAGCTCTCAGGCAGGCTCCTGGCACCACAGGGCCTGAGCTGGGAGGGTAGAGGGTGGAGGGTGGGGCCTGGTGTGCCTGGCTGTGCCCGGCTGTGCCCAGGGCTGGCTGTGTGCGACTGAGCAAGTCACTTATCTCTGACGAACACCTTCACTGGGCGTCCACTTTAGACTGTCTGGACAATGGTTTCTTATCAGGAAGGGATGATGGTCAGTTATTGTGTCAAAACTGCAAAAGAGGGATAGCATCGGACAGCTGGTTGGTATCAGTGGTGAAGTCTTTCAAAAGGGCTGGTTTCTGGCTAGCCCTAACCGTCAGCAGGCTTTCTTCCCTAAGGAAGGGGTTCAGGAGGGGCTGTATCGAGGAGTGTCTGACCTCCCATTCTGTTGTAGCCAAGCACTCAGCTTTCAAGGTTTCTCTGGGGTTCCCTTGGCCAAGACGGGGGGCTGTTGGGGGGCTTGGGATTTCATTTTAATTTCTCAAAGGACCCTTTATCAAACACCTTCGGTGCTGCCCAGCACCACCTTGTCACACATCCCACCTCCCTCACCCTCCCCACACGCTGTCAGGTGGCCACCTTTATGCCCACTCTGCAGACCAATGGGCCTAGGCTTTGAGTGTGGAGCCCTGGCGCAGCTCGGAGGGCCCCGACCGGAGCCAGCTCACTCTGCCCACTGCACCGCCATGCTCCCTGACCACCTGGAGCCTTGGCAGGGCTGGGGCTTGATGGCTTGGTTCTCTCTTTCTTTCTTTCTTTCTTTTTCTTTTTCTTTTTTGATAGGGTCTCACTCTGTTGCTCAGGCTGGAGTGTAGCGGTGCGGTCCTAGCTCGCTGCAACCTCCACCTCCCGAGTTCAAGGGATTCTTGTGCCTCAGCCTTCCCAGTAGCTGGGACTACAGGCATGTGCTACCACGGCCGGCTAATTTTTGTATTTTTAGTAGAGATGGGGTTTCACCATGTTGGCCAAGCTGGTCTCAAACTCCTGGCCTCAAGTAATCCGCCTACCTTGGCCTCTCAAAGTGCTGGGATTACAGGCGTGAGCCATTGCGCCTGGCCTGTGGCTTGGTTTTCATGGCATGGGTGAGGAGCCTCCCCACCTGGAGACCCAGGGCCAGGAGTGAGATGCCCCAGGGAGGTGGAATGCGGCTCCCACAGGCCAGGCAGCAGCTGCTGAAAGGGTAACAGACCTAGCAATTGTTCCCAGAGCCAAAAAGGCCTGGGTGAAAGGGGACAGCAGGGCTGTAAGGAGACACCGCCTGAGATTGGCTAATCTTGTATCTGGGCTTTTCCCACCTCCAGCTCCCACAGCCTCCTTGTCAGGCAGCTCAGCCCCTAGAGGAGCAGTGGGGCAAGAGGGCCACCAACCACCCTCCCCCATATCACCATGGAGCTTGGAGCCCCAGCCTCCCCCACGTCATCGTGGGGCCTGGAGGACGGCTGGGAGAGGATGGAGAGAACCAGATTCCATTGATGTCAATGCGATGTCAGGGCAGTGATTCGTCCCATTCTGCAGATGAAGATACTGAGGCTTAGGGATTGAAATGACTGGAACACTTGGCGAGCTGGCATAGAACCCAGGTCTTAAGCTCCCTGGGATTCAGCTTCTCCACCTGCTGAGCACCTCCGTGCCTACTGTGTGCCAGGCCTCTGTGAATGTGGGAGGGGAAAAGAGTGACAGGGGCCATGTGGGAGGAAGGAATTGGGGGATGTTTACCCTTCTGGCCAGCTCTCTGGGAGGGAGGCTTCTGGCACCACAGGGCCTGAGCTGGGAGGGTGGAGGGTGGGGCCTGGTGTGCCCAGCTGTGGCTGTGTGACCGAGCAAGTTACTTATCTCTGACAGGCTGGGCGTGGGGAAGATGTACTTGCCACACAGCGCCCAACACACTGAGTGCCGCATTGAGGACATGGAGGCGGACTTTGGTATGAACCCAACAAGGCTGACTCCACTTCGGCCTCCCAAGAAGCTTGGGAATCTGGAAAGGTCAGGAGAACAAAGACCCAAGCTGGGGGAAGATGGAGAGCAAGCAAGTCCCCTGACCCTGGCCAGCTCTGGGCAGGGCAGCTTCCCTGGGGAGTGGGGCGTGTCTTTACTTCTCACTGGGCCTCAAGGGCAGGGGCTGGGGCTTGGGCAGGTCCTCCTCCCCTTTGCCAGGAGCAATGGAAATGGAGGAATGTGATTATTTTGTGCCTGCCTTCGTGCTTGGGGGCCAATGTCAAGGTTTTCTTGATGCTCAGAACGAGTTCAATGGAGAATCCAGACTTGAAACAGCACTTCTTTCATGGGCTGAGGGACGCCCAGAGTTGCTGCTGAAGGCTCAGGGAGGGAGAGAAGGTTCTGGGGAAGGAAAGTGTCTGTGAGGCGGTCCCTTCCAGAGGGGAATGAGTCCCAGGCAGGGAGAGCTGTGGCATGGGGAATTGGGGGAGGGGGACACATTTGAGCAGAAATTGAAGGTTCTTTGGGGGCCGGAGAAGAAGGGGCAGAGAGGGTTGAACAGCCAGGCTGGGGAGAGGAGGAGGGCAACATTTTTGCAGGGCAGAATAGACTGGATTTTGGGGGAGTGACAATTACCTTAAGCACATGTCATGGAGATGATTTATTTTTTTTTTGAGATGGAGTCTTGCTCTGTTGCCCAGGCTGGAGTGTAGTGGCATGATCTCGGCTCACTGCAACCTCCGCCTCCTGGGTTCAAGCAATTCTCCTGCCTCAGCCTCCCGAGTAGCTGGGATTACAGGCGTGTGCCACCACACCCGGCTAATTTTTGTATTTTTAGTAGAGATGGGGTTTCATCATGTTGTCAGGCTGGTCTTGAACTCCTGACCTTCTGATCCACCTGCCTCAACCTCCCAAAGTGCTGGGATTACAGGCATGAGCCACCATGCCCGGCCCATGGAGATGTTATAATGGAATGTGCTTAGAGTGATAGGAACTAGGAATGGATCTTACACTTTCAAATGGTTGGGAAAACATCAAAAAATGTTTCTGGACACGTGAAAATGACACGAAATTCAAATTTTTGTGTCCATAAAGTTTTATTGGAACACCGCCAGGCTCATTCTTTTACGTATTGTCTATGGTTGATTTTATGCTACGATGGCAGAGTTGAGTAGTTGGGACAGAGACCATATGGCTGGCAAAGCCTAAAAGATTTACAATCAATCTCTTAAAGCAAATGGTTTGCCCACCCTTGCTTAGAGAGAGCCTCCAGGAAGAAAAGAGCAGTGAGGGTGACGTTGAAGAAGGGGGCAAGACTAGGTCACCAGGGGCTCCCTGTGCCCCGCCCAGGCACTGAACTTAAGCTGAGGGCAAGTGGGAGCCATTGAAGGTGCAGGCAGGAGAGTGACCTGCTCAAGTGAATGTTGGAGTAGGATCACTCTGCCTCCTCAGCAAGGATGGATGAAGCTGGGCACGGAGGCACCTGGAGCAGGTAGACCAGCCCTAGGCAGCCCGGATGGTTCAGCAAAGGCCTCTGGGACTATTCTGGAGCACATTCGCTGGGATATAGAATAGGTAGCGCATCCCTGCACCTTCGACGATGGCGGCGCAGAGATGTCTGCTGCGTACCCACAATGCCTTGTGCCTCGCACCGCGGGAGGAAGTGGCTGCTCTGTAGGCCCCAGAACGGAACCACTTGAAAGGCGGGAAACACGTGGGGGACGCCTCTGAGCCCTGAGAGGAATGGCCTAGAGCAAGGCCACGAGGAGCCAGGGCACGACACGGTGGGCCCTCGGAGAACCGCTGGTGGGCAAGTGGCAGGAGAGTAGGCTCAAGAGGGTTGGCAGGGCCGACCGGGCCTAGGGTGGCCGGGTGAGGGGGGCGGGGGAGGGGAGGCCCCCCCAGTTACCCCAGGAGTGCGCAGGTGGCTTCGGGCATGTGAGGGACGGAGGGGGTCGGACGGAAGGACACAGGCCGGTGTACAGCGGTCACCCACGCCCCAAGCAGACACACAGACTCTGCAGACACCGTAACAGGCCCGGCACCGTGCACACATCACAGGCCCAGGCCTCTGCACATGGTCACAGATGCCTATGCGAAATCCCGGCCCAGGTTCACGCGGGCACAGGCGCATCCACGCACACACCGCAACACGGATCTGCACGTCCATGCACACACAGGCACAGACTCGGGCACACGGAGTCACACCGACCCGGGCACGCTGCGGAACGCACCCGTCCACGCATACACAGAACGGGACTTGCTGCCCCGCACGCACACCAGGCCCGCACTCCGAACTACCCGCATTCCCCGCACACGCCCCCGCGCAGGCCGCCCCGGGCCGTGGGCCGGCGCACGCACGGTCACAGGAGGGGCGCGCGCACACTCGCACTCACACACACTCGCTCGCACACGCACACACTCGATCCAGCACGCGCGGGCGGCGCGGGGCGGCGGCGGCCGGAGTCTGCGGTGCGAGGCGCCCCCGGCCCGGCGCGGCGGCGGAGCCCGGCTGGCGGGGGAGGGGAGGGGGTTGCGGAGGGGGCGGGGTGGGGGCCGGAGCCGCTTGAGCCGGCGGGAGCGGGCACCCCTGCGCGCCGCGCTCGGCCTCGCCTCCGCGCCCCCCGCGCGCCCGCCGCGGTCCCTCCCCCGCGCCCGTCCGCTCGCCGGGCCCCCGCCGCCGCCCCGGGGTGCAGCCGAGCGGCCGCGCCGGGTCCCCGGGACGGGGTGGAAGTGGGGGTGGGGGGAGGGGATCGGGGCCGGGCCGGGGCCGCGCTGCCTGCGATGCCGGGCGCCCGCCGCAGCCGCTGCCGCCGGAGCCCGGGATGGGGCGAGAGGCTGCGGCGGACGCCAGCATCTCCCCGCCGGGGACCCCGGGGGCCGCGGAGCCGCCGCCGCCGCTGCTGCCGCCGTTGCTGAGACCCAGCGGGCGATGGGTGAGTTGACCCCGGCGTCCTGGGGGGCGCCGCGGCCCCTCTATCCCCGCGCTGCCCGCCCTCCCGCGCTGCGCTTGGCGCCCCCCGCCCGGCTCCGCGGCCCACTCCCCGAGCGTGACCTTAGGGGGCGGGCGCGGGCGCACTGGGGCTGGGGGCCCGGAGGCCGCGGTGGGGGCGGGATGCCGGGGAAGCCGCTCGGCGCGGGCCCCCTCCCCCTACCCGCCGCTCCTCCGAGCTCCCCGGTCCCCGGAGGGCAGAGCCTCAGCGCCCGACCCCCTCCCACGGCCGGGCGGGGGACGTCCCCGAGGCGCGGGGCTCGAGCCGTGCTTTGTGCGCGGCACCCCCCAGCCTCCGGCGCGGCTCCCCCACAACCTCCGGCGCGGCGCGGGGCTGGGGTGGGAGGCCTCCGCGCCCGCCTTCCCCACCCCCGACCCCAGACTGCGGCGGCGGCAGCCGAGGCCCAAGCGCAGTCGGGGGCTGGGCGGGTGCGGGGGCTGCGGCCGTAGCTACCCCTGGGGACCAGGCAGAGGCAAATGTGGAGAGGGCCCCCGGCCATTTACCGGGGTGGGGGCCCCCGGCTCCTTGCATTGCTCTGCCCAGGGCGGGGGAGGGAACCTGGCTGAGGGAGGGCGCTATAAATATCTGCAAATAGTGAGTTCTGGAACCGGGAGTGGGGAGGGGAGTGCGCCTGGGTGTGTGTATGGTGGGGTTCCTGAGCTGGGGTGCAGCAGGAAGGGATGCCGCGCGGCCAGACCTAGTGGTCTGAGGTCGGATGACCCCCAGCCCCGGAAGATGCCCCTGAAGGCCCCTGATGGGGTGTGGGCAGACACACTACCCCAGTGGGATTCCTCCCTGGTTCCCCACTTCATTCCTGGGACACACCAGTCCAGATTCGCCTTGATGGGGGAGTTGTGAGCACTGGCGTGTCGTTTGGGGAGGGGGAGCAGTTATGAAAGATCCAGACATGGAGCCCAGCAGAAGGATGGAGGGGAGAGCCCCCACCCCCAGGAGCTGCAGCTCTGAGGGGGTTTTCAGTCTAAGGAGTGCTAAGGGGAGCCGCTCTGGGTCCTAGGAAGGTTTGAAAGAGGGGTCCCAGCCCAGGAGGAAGAGAGAGGTTACTGGAAGAGATGACGACAGGAAGCTGCCAGAGATCTCTGGGTAGAGAAAGGTGGGAAGGGCGTTGTGGGCCAAGGGAATGGCATGAGCAAAGGCTCAGAGGTGTGAGTGTCTGGCGTGTGTTGAGAGGTGGCAGTGGGAACAGTCAGGCACTGTGGGTGCCCCCTGGAAGAAGTGAGATGAAAACGGGGCAGAGGCTGGGCAGGGAGGCCAGGTGGAGGTGAGGTGGGAGGGCACAGCAGGGAGCTGGCACTTGGTCCTGAGGACGGCAGGGAGCCAAGACCTGGCTGGGGGGATGCCGCTGGCTCAGACCCATTCTAAGGGTCTGCCTGGTGCCCTTGGTGTGGTCAGGGCTACTTGAGGCACACTGGTGATTCCTTTTTCTTTTCTTTTCTTTTCTTTTTTTTTTTTTTTTTTTGAGATGGAGCCTCACTCTGTCGCCCAGGCTGGAGTGCAGTGGTGCCATCCTGGCTCACTGCAACCTCTACCTCCTGGGTTCAAGCAATTGTCCCACCTCGGCCTCCCGAGTAGCTGGGACCACAGGTGCCCGACACCACACCCGGCTAATTTTTGTATTTTTAGTAGAGATGGGGTTTCACCAGGTTGGCCAGGCTGGTCTCGAACTCCTGACCTCAAGTGATCCACCCACCTTGGCCTCCTAAAGTGCTGGGATTACAGGCGTGAGCCACCTCGCCCAACCCTGATGATTTCTTTTTCTGTAGTAACTGGACCACCTCAGGAAGTCAGCTTTCTGAGCCTCGGTTTCCACATCTGTGAAATGGGGAGGTTTTGTTTTTGTTTTTGTTTTGAGACAGGGTCTCACTCTGTGATCCAAGCTGGAGTGCAGTGGTGTGATCATAGGTCACAGCAGCCCCAACCTCCTGGGCTCAAGGGATCCTTCTGCCCCAACCTCCTGGGTAGCTAGGACTACAGGCGTGAGCCAACACACCCTGCTAATTTTTTAAAAAGTTTTTAATAGAGATGAGGTTTTGCTATGTTGGCCAGGCTGGTCTTGAACTCCTGGGCTCAAGTGATCCTCCTGCCTCTATGTCCCAAAGTGCTCGGATTCCAGGTGTGATCAAATGGGGGAGAATTTTGAATGGAATGAGTTGCAGAGAGGGTTGAATGAGAGGATGCACACAGGGTGCCTGGCACCTGAGCAGCACTCAAGAGATCGCTGGCTGCGGTATTATTACCTGGAAAACGAGGATGCCGATGCCAGCTGGCGGGCCAGGCCAGCTTCACTGGGCAGCGGCCATGAGAATCACGAGAGGGCTGGGCTGGACGTGAACGGCAGAGAGCTGAGGGTGGGGGAACTGCGTGGTCCTCATGCAATTCTGGGAAGACTACATAAGCAGTGAGGAGTGGCCAGAGGCAGGGTGGTCTGCAAAGACAGCCCCTCTTGGCCTCATGGGCACCCACCCGCCCAGCCAAGTCATTCAGGGTATCCTGCTGTGCTCCCCAAGAGCCAGAGCCCCTTTGCTCCCCAGAGTGCAGTGATGCAGCCCCTCATCTTAGCCATCTCCAAGCCCTTCATGTGGGGACCAGGTCTTGGAACACAGTGTCCTCAGGTAGGGGTAATAATTTACTGTGCTGGACAGAGAGGACATAGGCCTTGCCCTGAGGAGATTAGAATCCATTGGGGAGCAGATACCCCTGGCACCGATGCTCCACCTAGCCCTGTGCTGGCTGCTTGGGGGCAAGGAAAGAGTCACTAAAAGTAGGGATTCCAGATCTAGTGGCCCGGTTCAAATCCCGGCCCTGCCTCTCTCACTGTGTGACTGTGGGCTGGTGACTCTGCATCTCTGTGCCTCAGTTTTCTTGTGTCTAAAATGGCGCTGAGGCGAGGCGTGGTGGCCCATGCCTGTAATCCCAACAGTTTGGGAGGCCGAGGTGGGTGGATCACCTGAGGTCAGGAGTTCAAGACCAGCCTGGCCAACATGGTGAAACCCCATCTGTACTAAAAATACAAAAATTAGCTGGGCATGGTGGCAGGCACCTATAATTCCAGCTACTTGGGAGGCTGAGGCGAGAGAATCGCTTGAACCTGGAGGCAGAGGCTACAGTGAGTTGAGATTGCGCCACTGCACTCCAGCCTGGGCAACAGAGTGAGACTCCATCTCAAAAATAAATAGATAAATAAATAAAATGGGGGTGGGGTGCACTGTTACTATTTGAACAGCTTGGCATAGTTTCCAGTGGCCATTTACTGCTCCCTTCCAGAACGAGTCTCCCGATTCACCCCTGCCTCCTTGGAGACTACACCACCTGCCCTTCGAGATGTGTTGTTTACGTGTCCCTGATGTCTTCCTTTTCTGACTGAGTCCCCCTGCCCAGGGACCTGCCTTTCCAGATCCATTGCTCCAACCGGGGGCAATAGTAGGCTGGCAACTGGCTCTCTGGGAAACAAACCCCTGATGAGTTGGCCGATCGCTGTGCTGTAAATCCTCCCCATATGGCTGATTTTAAGCCACCCATGGCCTAACAAGAGTGTCATAATGGGAGCTGGTACGTGCCAGCTTTAGTCCCCAGGCATTCAGCGGGTGCTTAATAGATGATGGTTGAATGAGGAGGAAAGGATGCAGAGAGTGTTGGTCAGCTAGATTTGGGAGCTGCGGGCGATACTGTAGGTGAGAAGGGCTTTCAGGGGGAGGCATGGGAGGGCTGGAGGTGAGGGGCCACCCTGCACCAGCCCTGGGGTGAGGCTTGAGGGAACGGAGAGCTTCTGGTGTCCTCCCCGTCCTGAGACCCTTTGCACCCCTGACCCTGACGCACACTTGCACTAACCCCTCCTTCGAGGGGCTCCTCTCCACCTTGGCCTGGCCTTGGGGTTCTGCACAGAATGGGCCCCAAGCTTAAGCCAATGAGAGCTCAGAGATGTGGCCCAAGCAGGTCCCAAACCTCATGTTCCATTCCCTTGCTGTGCTGTTCCCTCGACTTGAATTCCTCTTCCATTCACTGTCCCCTGTAACTCTGTTGTCCATCAAAAGCTTCCTCATGACCCCCTTCCTCTGTGACACCAGCCCCACAACCCAAGTCAGACAGACCCATCTCCCCTTCTGCTCTTCCCCCGATGCTACAGCCCCTCCCATGTACACGTTCCTGCCTATAAAAATATCAATAGCCAGCATGTGTTGTGTTCCTATGGCAGCCAGTGACAGAGGTTCCAGGATAGTCCCCTCTACAGATGGGGAAATTGAGGTGCAGTCTCTTGTTCACACTGACCCACTCTTTTTTTTTTTTCTTTTGAGAAGAGTCTCACTCTGTCACCAGGCTGGAGTGCAGTGGCATGATCTCGGCTCACTGCAACCTCTGACTCCCTGGTTCAAGTGATTCTCCTCCCTCAGCCTCCCGAGCAGCTGGGAGTATAGGCACGTGCCACCATGCCCAGCTAATTTTTGTATTTTTAGTAGAGATGGGGTTTCACCATGTGGGCCAGATGTTCTCAAGCTCCTGACCTTGTGATCCGCCTGCCTCGGCCTCCCAAAGTGCTGGGATTACAGGCCTGAGCCACCACACCCAGCCTGCACTGACCCACTCTTTACATCTTAGCTGCAGCATCTCTGGCTCAGGGAAGCCCACATGCTTCCTGGTGTTCTTGCTGTCAGCTCCCAGAGTATCACGCCGGTGTCTTTGGCGTGTTTGTTACGTGTTCCTGATATACTTTCAGCGACACAGGTACTGAGGAGGCCCTCAGTTAAATGTGCAGATGGATGGATGAATGGATGAATGAATGAAAGAATGAATGAATGAGTGAATGAATAATTCTCAGCCCAGGTGAGCAGCCTTGCTGTCCTGCTTATTACTCCTTCTCCATCCCTGATGGAAGGGACTGACCCTCCAGAGGGCAGCCTCACACTACAGAGGGAGGGTACAGGGACCTGCTTGGGAGGGGCTATTGTCCCCACCGCCAGGAAGGGGACAGTGAGGCTTCGGGAAGGGGCGGAGCTGCCCATGGGCTGGAAGCAGGCCAGGAACCCCCTCTCACAGCAGGGAGCTGACAAGGGGACCCACGGCCTTGCCCATAAGTCAGGAAGTTAACCGACTTGTCACGTACTTCTCCTTGGGCTGCCTGAAGTGGAATTCCCCCTTTTGGCTCACTTATTTTCATCTTTTCTATAAAAATAAAATTGAAACAATGGAAATCATTCACACACCTAATTACCGTATTGTTTATGAACTTATTTGGCTCAAAACTTTGGTTCTTACCGAAGTGGGAATCCCTTGAGAGGGGTGGGTGAGGGCCAGGCCAGGGAGACAGACCTGTGCACGTGCCAGGACCTCAGAGCCTGCTCTCCGGCTGCCCTCTCTGGGCAGGCCAGGAACTTCCCAGAAGGAACAGCCCAGAGACAGGGTTCTAAGTGAGGGAGGCCGGCCCGAGTGGGTTCTGGGACTCTGGCTGGCAGGCCTGGTGGTGGATGGCTCCCATGGTTGTCCTCCCCACCTTGGCCTCCGGGTCATCATAATTTGCTGCTCTTTATCAAGCACTTCCTATGTGCTGGGCCCAGGGCCAACCAACCACTTTCTATGCATTCTCCCAGAGATGTCTCTAACTTGCTGAGAGGCAAGCACTATTATCATCCCTGTTTGGCACTTTGAGGGTACCCAGAGTTGGGGGTCCACAGCTGGGAAGTGGCAGGGCTGGGATTGTGTCCAGCCTATAGGACCCTCAGAGAGCAGCCTCCCTCGGTCACCCAGACCTGTTCCTTCTCTCCCGTGGGCTCCCAGCAGGGCCTGTTCCCTGAGGCTTGGAGCCCTGAGACAGCCATCACTTAGCCTCTTGGCCTCCAGGCTTCCCCTTCAAGGCCCTCCTTCTGCCACTGTCCTGGGCCCTGTCTCTGGAACGCCTGCTCAATGTCACCTGGGCGGCCTGCGTAAAGTACCTGTTTGCCAGACCCTAGCCAGCCCTGCTGAGTGAGCATCTCACAACGGGAGGGCTGGAAGCCCACAGTTTAAAAAATACTGACTTGGACTCCCAAAGTAATCCTAGTACTTTGGGAGGCTGAGGCAGGAGGATTCATTGAGTCCAGGAGTCCGAGACCAGCCTGGGCAACATAGTGGGACCCTGTCTCTACAAAAAATTAAAAAAAAAATTAGGCAGGTATGGTGGCAAACGCCTATAGCCTCATCTACTTGGAAGGTTGAGGGGGAAGATCACTTGAGCCCAGGAGGTCAAGGCTGCAGTGAGCTGAGATCGCACCACCACTCTCCAGCCTGAGCGACAGAGCAAGACCATATCTCAAAAATTAAAAAAAAATAAAAAATGCTGCCCTGAGGATACAGAGGCCTGTGCATTCCAAGAGCCAGTTCACAGCTCCCTGGCATCTGTAGTGGCTACTAGATTTCCCAATCCCCAACCCTTGTAACCCAGATCCTGTGACCGAGCCCCCGCCTGTGTTCGTAGCCTGGGCCCCACCAGCTCTTCATACACCGCGCTCACCCCTGCCCCACCGCCCCCGCCATGCTGTCATCCTAGCACTTGCTGCCTCTGCCTCTTCCTGGAAGCAAGTCCCAGGCAGGGCATGATGCCCAGAGCTTGCCTAATGCACTGGGCAAATCTCTCGTGGTGAGTCCTCATCTTGCTACCTGGGGCCTGGCACATGGTTGTGGCAAATTGTGGTGGGTGAGTGATGGTGGCTGCCACAGGAGAGGGGCACAGGGAGAGCTGCAGGTGACTGGGGATGGGTTGGGCCCCCGGGCTGGCACCGGGCATGCACTAGGGCCTGGCTCTGTGCCTGGCACGTAGAAGGCATTTGATGCATATTTCTTGTCTTTTTTTTTTTTGAGACGGAGTTTCACTGTGTCACCCAGGCTGGAGTGCAGTGGCGCGATCTCAGCTCACTGCAACCTCTGCCTCCTGGGTTCAAACGATTCTCCTGCCTCAGCCTTCCCAGGTAGCTGGGATTATAGACGCCCACCACCACACCCAGCTAATTTTTGTATTTTTAGTAGAGACGGGGTTTCATCATGTTGGCCAGGCTGGTCTCCAACTCCTGACCTCAAGTGATCCACCTGCCTCCGCCTCCCAAAGTGCTGAGATTACAGGTGTGAGCCTCTGAGCCTGGCCTGATACATATTTATTTTTTTTTCTTTTTGAGACAGAGTCTTGCTCTGTTGCCCAGGCTGGAGTGCAGTGGCATGATCTCGGCTCACTGTAAGCTCTGCCTCCCAGGTTCACGCCATTCTCCTACCTCAGCCTCCCAAGTAGCTGGGACTACAGGCGCCTGCCACCACACCTGGCTAATTTTTTTTTTCGTATTTTTAGTAGAGACGGGGTTTCACCATGTTAGCCAGCATGGTCTCGATCTCCTGACCTCGTGATCTGCCTGCCTCGGCCTCCCAAAGTGCTGGGATTACAGCCATGAGCCACCACGCCCGGCCTCTGTCAGGCTTTATCTTTCTCCACTCCAGGACCAGAGCTCAGTCCTGAGCCCGGAGCACTTTGCTCTCCCCAGCTCCTGCTCATCTACGCTGGCCTCTGACCTGGTTCCTGCTGAGAAATGCTCTGAACTGGGGGCAGGGGAAGAGGGAGGGGTGCAGTCCCACACGGGCCTGGTGTCTCCTCCTTCACACCACACAGGGGATCCTCAGCTCTCTGAGGCACTCTGGGTAAGTTTCCCAGGGCCCCAGACGTTAAGGTTCCCTCTGCAAAAATGGGTGGGTTCAGCTGGCCACGTGGCCTCTCTGGGCTGATACCCTGGGCTCAGCTACACCCCTTGGAAGGTTTTCCCTTGGGATATGGGCACAAGTGAAAAACAGAGCCATACCCTCCAACTCACTGTGGGCATTCAGTGAAACCATGTGTGTAAGACGCTTTGTTAATTGTAGAACGCTGCACAAACTCATCAGGTCCCTCACCCGTCAGGCAGGCTCTACTGCAGACACTAGACACGATCGAACCACTTCCCCTGCTTAGCACTCAATTTCCATATAGTGAAATGAGGTTTATTTTGGCACCGTGGCCCATGGTTCCTGAGATATGAAAATGAAATCATGCAAAAAAACTCCAGCACTTTGGGAGGCCGAGGGGGGTGGATCACCAGAGGTCAGGTGTTCAAGACCAGCCTGGTTAACATGGTGAAGCCCCGTCTCTACTAAAAATACAAAAATTAGCCGGGCATGGTGGCGGGTGCCTGTAATCTCAGCTACTCGGGAGGCTGAGGCAGGAGAGTCACTTGAACCTGGGCGGCAGAAGTTGCAGTGAGCTGAGATTGTGCCACTGCACTCCAACCTGGGTGACAGAGTGAGACTCCGTCTTAAAAAAAAAAAAAAAAAGAAAAGAAAAAAGCCTGATAGAGCAAAATGCGCACTGCCCGAAGGTGACAGAAACCCATGTTGATGTTGGTTCCAGCAAAAGGTGCATGGGGAAGAGAAAGGCCTGCGAGGAAGGCCCAGTCAGAAGCCAGCCAGGCCCAGGGGTGGCAGGATGGTGGGGACACTGCCCTGCTTCTTTCTCTGTGCTTTCCTGATGTTCTAGAATGGATGAGAAACCTTTAAACCAGAAAAATGCAGTTGTATTCTAACAGCGGGAAGAAAAGGAGCCCCGGAGACAGCCGGCTCCTGCTTGGTCTGATTCTGGGGCCACCGCTTGCGGGCAGTGACCGGCTGTGGGGTCTCACCGTGGGGCTTGCCTAGCACCAGGCACTTCTACCAGAGCAAGTGGATCTGCGGCAGGAGGCCTGTGTTGCTCTAATTCCTGGAAATTGGGTCATGGGAGCCCAGGCCTGGAGCTCCTGGAATGCAGTGCTCTGAGAATTTTGTCCAAACACCTCTGACCTCCTTCCTCCGGGGCTGGTCCAGCCTCTTTCTTCCCCCGCGTCCCCCATGCTCCAGCCTCTTGGGCAATTGTCATACTCCGTATGTGAGCCTCACCTTCCTACTTCCCGGCCTTTGCTGATACTGGTCCCCTGCCCTCCTGAAGAGCCTGCCCCTTCCAGCCCAGCTGCTGCCAGAGCCCCCTCTCCTTAGGAAGCCCCTCCTGCCCCTCCCAGACAGAGGTGCCCGCAGGGCAGGAGCCAGGGCTGCTTGTTTCACCTCCATGCTGAAGCCCAGCGGGCGTGGTCATCCCTGTTGGCTGATGTTGTTACTGACCCCGGCCTCTAAGTGCTTTTCCCACTATCCTCCTACACACGGGTCAAGTTCTGCCTAGTGGTAGCGTTATTTGTCATTGCATCTGAGCCTTGATCCTGGGTGGGGTCAGTTTCTGTTTCTCTCCCAGCTTCTGACTCTGTACCCAGTACACTTTGTGCCCGGTACAGAGCACTCATCTGTCCATCCGTTCTTTCAGCAATTACTCCCTAAGTGCCTATTGTGCGCCGGTGACTGAGCTAGGTGGCAGGGGCACAGCTCTGCTGACATCAGGGTGGGCGGCTTGCAGTTTGCTTGCATGTGTTTTGTGCATGCTACATGTGTATGCACACAGCATGAACATCTCCATCACATATAAACTAGCGTCTCTTAGGCTGCGCAGTCCTCTAGGCACCTTGTGCATTCCTGGTTAATTCAGCGAGTGTTGACAGAGTGCCCACCAAGCAGGTGCCAGGCCCTGACATGAAGTCTTTGCCCTTGTGAAGCACCTGTCTTGTGGAGCCATTGCAGTGAGAGCTGGTGCAGAGGGTGAAGGGCAGGGGGTTGGGGCAGCATCCTGGAGAGATGGGAAAGGGGTGGGGAAGGGAATTTCTGCCTGGCTGGGGTGTGCTTTGGGATCCCCTCTGCGGCCCTGGGGGCATCCCAGGCCTAGGAAAGCTGGACTGGGCCTTCTCGCTTTGGGAGTGCAGGCAGCCCCATCTCTTTGGTTCCGCTGCTCTCAAGAGCCCCAAAGAGTGATGAGGCTAAGAAGGTAGGAGTGGGCAGGAGCCCTGCTGCTGGGCACCGCGAAGAGAATACGAAGTACAGTGTCCCAAAGAGGAGACACATGGACACGACACGGGACCTGTGATGGAGAGCTAGCTTGCTTGCTTCCTTCTTTTTTCTTTTCTTTTCTTTTCGTTTCGTTTCGTTTTGTTTCATTTCGTTTCTTTTCTTTCAGACAGAGTCTGGATCTGTTTCGTTTTGTTTCGTTTCGTTTCGTTTCTTTCAGATGGAGTCTGGATCTGTCGCCCAGGCTAGAGTGCAATGGCAATCTCGGCTCAGTCTCAAAAAAAAAAAAAAAAAAAAGAGGTAGAACCTTCAGATGCAGACAGAGAACCTAGAATCTGAAACTTAGAGGAGGAAACCTGGAGCAGCAAAGCTAGAATGTGGGTCTTCCAGAACATGGAGCTCGGAGGCCGCCACCCTCACCTTGATGAGCAGCAGTGGGCACATTGGCAGCTCTGCTGAGCTGGGCTGGGATGAGGACCCCCTCATAGCCTCCTAGGTTCCTGACCCTGGGCACATCCCCTCTCCAAGCAGAGGTGGACAGAGAGTAATTGGGAGAGGAAAAGAGACAGGGTGCCTTGTTCCAGCTGAGGGCGGGCTCCCTGGGTGCCCAGAGCCCCAGCCAGCTGTGTGCTTGCTCTGTCAGGACCACCCCCAGCAGGAAGCTAACTGATGCTCAGGTTCCCAGATCCCAGGGGCAACGCTGCCACCCTCCTGCCCAGGAGCTGCAGGCTGCAGGCAGGTGTGGCCTTGTCACCTCCCCAGGTCCCCACGGTGGCAGAGCCACATTCAAGCCCATTCCCTCACTCAGCAGCGCACCTGCAGCACCAGGGCATGAGGCAGTGAACACACAGCCGTGAGCTGTGGTTCAGACGCTGGCAGGGAGGATCCTAACTACTGAGCCGCTCTTCCTTTCCCACCGTCTTCCCATAGCTCCTCCTGGCCATGAAGGCTCCAGTCATTTCCTGTATCTCCCCTCTGCCACCGCTATCCCATTGGAAGGGGCCCTTAGGATTCACGTAGCTAAGCTGCCTCATTGGGGTGTGACAAGCCCAAGTTGGCAAAGCAGGCAGGACTAGGACCATGGGCCACTTGTGTGAGCCCCAGACAGGCCTGAGAGCCCTGCAGCATTGACTGGAAGGTGCGGGTGTGTGGATTTGGCGTGGTCATTTATTCATTCAACAAACTCAGGGTGAGCACCTTTTTTGTGTGGGGCTCAGTGCTTGAGGCTGGGGACCCAGGGGCATCAGACAGCACAGCCCTTGTGTGGGACAAGGGGTTCTGGGGAGTAGGCTGGGGTCAGGGAGGCCTGGAGAAGTGCAGCTCAGCCGAATCCTCCAGGAACAGGCACGGAGATTGAAGGGTGAGATTACACAGAAACTTCTGTGCCTCCTTGAGGGACTTGGACTTTCTCCTGAGGGCAGCGGTTCCAAGCTGGGAGGGGCAGCATCAGATGTGGCTTTCGCTTGGCTCATGGGGGCCGGGTTGGGGGCCCATTGAGGAAGCTGCTGCCATTCCGGTGAGCGGTAGGCTTGGGGTTGGGAGATTTGGGAAGTGCGGGCAGTGGGACTGACTGCCTTGGTGGTGTGGGGAGGGGCCCAGAAGGGGGCAGGTGGGTGGGGAGGGGCCCAGATTTGGGAAGTGCGGGCAGTGGGACGGACAAGCCTTGGTGATGGGTGGGGAGGGGCCCAGAAGGGGGAGTGTTGGGAACGTCATCGGAGCGTCAGTCCCTTGGTGCCAGGCTTGAGTCACAGGTTACTAGCTCAGGTTGTTGGGACAGCGATTTGAGTTTCACCTCGTTTGCCACAGAGGGTCTCAGGCCAGAAAGCCAGGCCTGGTGTGACCCAAAGCCCATGCCCACTGCCCTCCTTGCTGCCCAGCCCAGATCATTCCTGCCAGGTCTGCACCTCGCTGTCCCTCACTCCGTCTGGCACTGGGCCACCTGAGCATGCAAGTGTGCCCACCACCTGCTGCCCTGTACACATGGGTAGGTGCCGGGGGAACAGCATCCGCTCCCCACTGCCTAGGACTCTTGGACCAGACCTCCACCTGCCACCTGGTGCATGAGAGCCTCTGCCAGCCAACAACCCCTCCACTGCCACCCGGGGCACAATGCCTGGGACAAAGTCCCCAATGCTAGAGAAGACCCCAAAGGATGGGGAAGGGCGGGGAGCACCCTCCCTTCCATTTCCCCGTACCCCCGCTCCGCTCAGCCCGCCAGGCTGGAGATAGAGCTGAGGCTGTGTACTGAAGTGGCCCTTTGTACGTTGTCACCAGAGGATGGCGAGCCTGGGCGGGAGGGGCTGGCACTGCCGGGGCTGCAGGGCAGGGCGGCGCTGAACTCAGCAGAGCAGGGGCTTTCTCTGGGGCCACAGGGCAGGGGAGGAGCGCCTGTCAGGTGTGGGAACTTGCAGGCTGGGCCTGCACCCCCAAACCGGAGGATATTTGTCCCTCCAAGTCTGTTGCTGCTTCTCATCTGGGCTCCTGTGTCTTTGGACTGTTCCATGTCATCCAGCAGCTGTCCCTGCAGTGCATGCTCCAGGGCTGACTTTGTCCTGGGGGGTGGGGAACAGTGGCGACCGAGGCCTGTGGTGACCCTGCTCTCCTGTGGCCTCGCCAGCAGGGTGAGGGCGGGGCAGACGTAAACAACAAAGTGGGATCGCCTCTGCAGGGATGAGCGCTGGGGGGACAGCCTGGAGAGAGGGCTTGCGGGCGGGGGCAGCACTTCAGCCAGCTGCTCAGGGGCCCCTGTCTGACGAGTGGCATCAGAGCATGCAGGGACCTGAGGAAGGGCGTTCCAGGCGGAGGGATCAGCCAGTGCGAGGACCCTGGAATGGGGCCATGCCTGAAGAGTGTAGGAGACAGGAAGGTGGGGAGTGTGGCTGGAGCCTGGGGGACAAGGGAGGCAAGGTCAGCAGAAACGCAGGCATCAGATGGCCAGGGTCCATGGCACGCAGAGGAGTTGGGGTTTTAATTCTTAGTGTGACAGGGCCATGGGAGGGCTTGAGCAGGGAGATGTGGCCTGATGGGGAATTTGCGGTGACTCTGGCTGCTGCAGAGGCAGGAGGGAAGCTAGTGAGGACCTCGGGGTGGCAGAGGAGGCAGAGAGAGGTCCATCCTGGGAGCATTTGGGGGAACGGGGCCTGCAGGCTTTCCTGCCCCTCTGCCGGGCATGTGGTGAGGCCGCACCCAGCTCAGAGGACTGGCCTGTGTCAAGACTCTGGATGTTATCCGTTTTAATCCCCTCGGGGTTGGGATGGCCTCACATTGCTGATAGAGGCACCGAGGCCCAGGGTATTCAGTGACCTGCCCAAGATCACGGAGGAGGGTTTGGAAAGGGCAGGATTTGAATCCAGCCCCTTTTGAGTCTAGACTCCAGAGAGCTATGGCCCCAAAGCAGCCCTCGCCCCACGCTGACTCCTGAGAGATTGGGGGTGGGCACCCAGGACAGCCCAGGGTCCAGGAGAGCCCTCTCACAGAGGCAGAAGCACTCAGCCCAGCCCCCTCCTGCCCGGCTTTTCCTGGGCCTCCTTTGTTATCTGACGATGGCCACCCCCACTCAGACCAAAGGCTCTGGCTGCCCCTCTGCCTGGGAGGCACCACATCTCTGGGAGCCCTGGGGGTGGGGGCAGGGGCATTCTGACCTTGGAAGCCAGGGCAGGGCAGAGCTGGCTCCTTCCCTTCTCTTGTCCAGATGGTCTGGGGCAGTTTGTTCGGGCCTGTAAGGCTGAGTGGGCTGGGAGGTGGGTAGGGAGCTGAAAGCCCGAAGTATGGGGGTCTCGAGGATTTATCCCATTGGCCTCAGTGGGTCCCGTAAGCACGGAAGCTCTTAAGCCTTTGCGGAGGGGCTGGCAACAGGGGCCTATTGATGAATTAGAAGAAGCTGTGTTCCTTCCTTCCTCTAACCTGAAGCTTTGTTAATAATTAATCATCTGCCCAATTAATAATTACAGGCTTGAGCAGCCCCTTCCCACTGCCCTCACCCCACTCCAACCTCCTCTCCGTTCCTCCTTCCTTCGCCCTCCCAGCCCCCACTCCTACCCCCGCCCTTCCGGCCATCAGTCCTTGCCGGCCTTCCTCTGCAGAGATGGCAAGGCCCTGTGCCCTTGGGAGTCCCCCTGTCCCCCACACCACACAGGGCATCGGTTCTATTCTTCCCATGAGGGCCTTTCGGCAGCCCTCCAGGGCAGGTGCCACACAATCTGACACACAGAGACACGAGGCACAGGGGCAGAGGGGCAGAGCGACACGGTACTCATTCACTCATTCTTTCACTGGATGCTATTGCACTGTTCTCTGTGGTCAGCCACCACCCTGAGCAAGACAAGCAAACAGGAAATTCCTCTCCAGGCTTAGGGGATAGCGTGGGGGAACTCCTGAGCAGGCTGGGCTGAGGGCAGCCCCCCAGGGAAGGCAAGGGCTAGGAAGAGGGAGGAGTCCCTAGAGGGCGAGGTATTGGAGGGTGGGGCTTTTTGTATAAAGCTCCCCGGCAGCAGGAATGCTCAAAGCTCTGGGCTCAGCCTCCTTCCAGGGTAGGGTGTGATTTCTGTCTTCACCCTCAAGAGGGGTGTTCTGCACACTGAGGAATGAATGCCTTGCTAAGGGTGGACCCTTGGGCTTGGAGCCAGCAGTACAATAGCTGTCTGGCCGTCTCCTGTGGGCAGAATCCAGCCTCTGCCCCCACTCCCAGAGAGACCCAACTCCCTCCAAAAGGCTATGGACTCCTGAGCCCCCTTGCAGGAGAGGCAGTGTGGGTTCAGGCTCCCTGACCCCCGCCCTGTCCCTGCCCGGTACTTTGTCAGAGACTCGGGGTCCCGCCGTGCCGAGAGTGTATTTCTGAGCTCTTCCATGCATATAGTGTTCCTTGGTTCCCTATCCTCGTCCCACTGAGAATGTCCAGTAGCCCCTCTGGGAGTCGGGGTGCAGTTCTCGGGAACCCTCCCACACAGAGAGGGAGCAAGGCGAGGCTCACAAGAGATGGACCTGCTTTTTACTGAGCGCTTGGCCCTGACAGGCTCTCCACCTGTAAAACCACAGTGTCCCTACCTCCTCAAGCACCTGGCACCTAGGAGTGGCTCTGGGAGGGTGGGGCTGCCCCTCACTGCTGCCTGGTTACCTGTTTCACAAAGGAGGAGACTGAGGCTGGAGAGGTGAGGTGACCTAGCTGGAAAGAGGTGGAGCCAGGAAACCAGCCCAGATGGAGGGCAGGGCCAGCATCTGGCGGGACAAGGTTAGTTCCTCCTGCAGTCATCTAACTGACACCTGGGCTCAGCCTCTAGGGAGGAAACTGCTGCCATAGAGCCTTGAAAGCCAGGCAGAGGGGACTAGACACTGTGCCTCAAGGCAGGTATGGGCCGGTGAGGGAAGGAGGCGGCAATGGCTGGGAGGGGCCCAGGCAGGGGTCGGGCAGCTGCAATGCGGGCTGGAGTCTTGGGGAGTGTGGGCCACAGGGAAGGGTTGGATGCATGTCACTCACAGGGAGGGCCAGGGCTTGTCAGTTTGACTCACTGAACTTCGGTTTTCTCCTCTGTGAAATAGCAGTGGGAGGCGGATGTCCACACGAGATTAGAGAACAGCTAAGATACTGAGCACAGCCCCGTCAGAGGGCGGCTCTCGGGGAGGCCTCAGATGTGCTGTCCTCTCATTCCCCTCCTTAGTCCTGTGTGTGCTGCTACCACAGAATACCTGAGACTGGGTGGTCTGTAAACAGCAGAACTTTCTCACGGATCTGGAGGCTGGGAAGTCCAGGGTCGAGGAGCTAGCATATGGCGAGGGCCCTCATGCTGCGTCATCCCATGGCAGAAGGGCAGAAGTATCCACACATGGAGACGGGCAGGGCTGACCGCATGCAGTTATCAGGAACACGATAACTAACCCACTTTGAGCCCATGCTGTTATCAGGAACAATAACTAACCCACTCCTACAATAGCAGCATAAATTCCTCCATGAGGGTGGAGCCCTCACGGCCTAATCACCTCTTAAAGTCCACACCTCAACACCACTGCACTGGGGATTAAATTTCCTACATGTGAACGTTGGGGGACACATTTTTCAGACTATAGCACCCCCTACATGATTACAGGCTGGCAAGGGGAAGCTGTGGACACAGGGGCTTGGGGATCCCTGGGCCTGTGGCCAGGCCAGGCTAGCTGGAGGCCAGGATCAGGCAGACAGCAGCAAACAAACTCCCCAAGGAGGTGGTGCAGGTGGCATGGGACCCCTCGCTTGCTTGTCTCCAAGTTCCGGGTGATCGGGGCTAGGGGAAAATAATGGGGGTGGGGGGATGGAAGTTAAGGGGAGGAGGGGGGATGGATGAGGAGGGCAGCCTGGATGGAGGTGTGTGGGCAGGGGGCAGATGGATGTGGAGTGCCAGCTCCAGGGTAGATCAGGGCAAGGTTCTGCAGTGTGGGTCAGGATCCAGGGCCTCCGGAGCCTCCTGGAGTCTGGGCCTCACCTTGGAGTTTTCCTGACTTTTTGGACCTTGAGCCTCCTTTAAGCTGCAGGAGACCCAGACACGGCGCACTGTCCAGGGTGACCCGTTCCTGTTGGAGTTGGGTAGTGGTGGGAAGGGCTGCCCTGGGTACCCTTGGCCTTGCAGGGAACTCTGGGCTCTGGGAAACATAATTTCAGCCTGGCCTTGCAGTGTGCCACCGGGGTGCTCACATGGTTTCAGGCTGGTGAGGGGCTTAGGAGGTTGGCAGGATGGGCAGATGCAGCTTTCCTGGGCAGCGAATCCGATCATCTACCAGAGCTGGAGAGCCCTGTGACCTGAAAATGGCAGGCCCATGGGGTCCTGATGGCAGTGGGGGTGAGAGGGACCCTTGCCTTGGGCAAGGCTGAAGGCAGCAGCCTGGACTTTGCCCCTGAAACTCTGAGAAGCCCCAAGGCCGCAGGTGGGTGTGGACTCTGCTGCTGTCACTTGCCAGCTGCGAGTTTGAGGCCCTGTGTGCCTGTGGGGGTGGAATGAAGCGAGGCCAGTAGTGCTACAGTCTTCACATCACCCCCAACCCTCTCACAGCCCCAAGCACCTTCCCTGCACACTGGCCCAGCCCTCACGGGCTCCCACTGCCTCCTGGCTCTGCACACAGCAGGTCTGTGGTCATGTGTGGCCCTGCAGAGGGGACCCTTTTCCTCTCCCTGAGAGATAAAGAGCCCTGTGCCTGAAATGCCACCAGCAGTACTCATTCCTCTGGCTAATCCCAAACATTCACTGAATATTTGCTCTGGGTGCTTCGGGCAGGAGCCACTGCTCACTTCTGGCCTGGCCTGTTCCCCCAGGCCAAGTTTACATCTCTCCATTCCAGGCTTTGTGTGTAAGAGGCAGTCAGAGCCCTCGGGCCCTCCTGAAATGTGCATATGCACCACTAGCCCCGGCTGGGACATCCGCCCTCTGCTCCCTGATAAGGTCCCTCTCTGCCTGGACTGGGGACTGAGGATCCGAGATGGAAAAGCCCCAGCCCAGCGCCCCTGCCTTCCTGGAGTCAGAGAGGCCTGGGTTCTGCTTGTGGTGCGGCCTTCACCAATCACCCCCTCCTCAGGGCCTCCATCTCCCTGCTGGTGTGGAGTGAGGGATGAATTCACAGCAGGGCTTGCCAGGCTTTTTTTTTTTTTTTTTTTTTTAACTGTAGAAGCTTTCCTTCCAACAAAATCTTGCGAGGAGCTCAGTGTCTGAAATTGAAAAGCTGGGAGCATCTTCTTGATTGTGTTTTTTGGGGGCGAGTCCCTGGGCTTTGTTTTCTCTCCCCCTTCACTCCACCTCTCTCTCAGGTCCTGGGGCACCTGGAGGGGAGTTCCAGGGACCTGGCTGGGAAAGAGCTGTCCTCAGTGCCCATGGGACCAGTCCATGGGATGTGTCTGTACATCTGTGTATCGGGCCCTGAGGCCCACCTTTAGCCCACCTCCCCTCCCGAGGTCTCCTTCTGCCAATCACCTGCCTAATGCCCCTGCACCCTGGTGTCAGGCAGCCCCCCAGAGCTGCATCCCTCCCTCCTGTAGTTAACCAATGCTCTATGAGCCTCTCTCAGCCAAGACCTTGGCATCAGCTCACCACTGCCCCGCCCCTGGCCCTCCCCTTCATCACGGGCCGTCTCTCAGGCTTGGCGCCCTGGGATGCTCCCTTGCTCCAGCTCTGTGACTGTCCCCATGAGGGTCCTCCCTCAGTGCAGCCCCATCTCTCCAGCGGTGCTGGCACGATGGACCCGGTTGACTCCCTGCCTCCTGCCCTCTCCGTTCAGTCTAAACTGCACAGTCTAACGTAGGAACCACTAGAGCATGCAGCTATTAAAATTCAAATTAAATTAAGCTGGGTATGGTGGTGTGAGACTTGTCCCAACTACTCACGAGGCTGAGATGGGAGGATTGCTTGAGTCCAGGAATTCACATACAGCCTGGGTAACATAGGTCTCGTCTCTAAAAAACAAAAACAAAAACATTATGGAATGAGCCTCTGGGGATGAGGAGCTGATGTCCTGAATGGACCAGTGACCAGTGCAGGAGGGGTGGAGTCCTAGCAGGGGTAGATCCCAGCTTTGGGAACCAACTTTCCCAGGCACTTGCCGGCCACTCCGTGGGAAAGTCCTCAGGCAGCCTGCAGGGAGCTGGGATCAGCTGATGGGGATGGGTTTGGAGGGGAGAGAGTGGTGCACAGGGACTGGAGGTGGGGGAGGGGTGGGGTTGCCATGGAAAGGGCTCTTGGGATGGGTCTTGGGCTGAGCCTTTGGCAAGGCCTCCACCCTGGAGCTGAGCCAGCAGAGAGTGGGGCTGACTCCATGAGGCCCAGACTCTCGTGGGTATTCTGGTGGCCTGGGCACCCTGTCTTTCCTGAACCCTGCCTGCCTAATCTAAGAACTGCTCCCCTTGTAGCTCTGTCTCTCCTCTGTTGGCCTAGTTTCTTCATCCATGGGTGGGCACAGCAGAAGCTGTCTCACCTGCTCCATGGTGAACGGGATTTGCAAGGATTTGACTCTGGCCATCCAGGGAAGATGGAGTCTTTGACCAGGCCTGGCCCCTGAAGCAGACTTCTTCCTTCTGAGCCTGCTGGGGAAGCAGAATTCCTCGATGCTGGGTGTCATGGTCTACCAGGCCCTCCCTCGCCCAGGCCACTTGTGTTGAGCCTGGAGCAGAACCCCCAGATCTGTAGTCCGCCTGTCAGCTTGGGGAGTCTCCGTTTCCGTCTGTTTCATTCCCATCAGCTGTGTGTGGCTGAGCAAGTCACTTAACCTCTTGAGGCCTCCATGTCCTCATCTGCAAAATGGAGACACACATATCTGCGTCCCCGATGACCACCAGTAGCTGGGATGATACGTCGACTGCAGAGTGACCACTTTGTGTAGGCGTCCCTGTGGATGGTTGTCAGTCAAAGGAGTGAGTCAGATGATGAGAGGGGAGGACAGCAGAGCAGCAGTTGTTTCTTCAGTCTCGCCGGGACTCCAGGATCGGCCATGTTCTGCAGCCACCGCCTCTACCTGTCTCCCCATGTGGGATCCTGAAACCTCAAGCTGCATTTAGTTTCAGAGTCCGGGGAGGTGCTCACTGTCTTCTGACTCCTGAGATGCCGACTCCCTCTGCCATACCCCAGGGAAGGAACCAGTAGCAGAAGCTCCAGGGAAACTGATGAAGGTCAACAGAAGGAAGAACTTCTAGCAGCCCAAAGGGATTGGAATGGGCGGCCCGTGGGAGTGGACATGCAGAGGCACTGGCCTGGGGTGAAGCCTTGGACCAAATTCTTACTTGCAGGCCCTCTGGACCCAGGAGAGGAGTCTGCAGGCCTCGGCTGGGCCGGATTCCGCAGATTCTGGCCTAGGTCCTGAATGCCTGGTGAGTTACTGAGAAAGGCCCTACAGGCTGAGGGTGCCAGTCAGGGTGAAGCAGCCCCGCAATTGGCCCACCTCCTTTTGTACCTTAACAAAGGTGTCTTTGTTACCTTTCTTAAAGGAAATAAAGCCGGTCAGGAGCAAGGCCTGGCATATTCAGGGGGTCATCTGTATTTGGTCGTCCAGCGGGAAACCCAAATGGAAGGAAAGAAAAAAAAAAAAAACCATGCATTTATAGAACCTCTGCCAATGGCCAGGCTCCATGCAGAATGCTTTGACACCGTGGCTCAGCCAGGTCTCCCACAGGACTGCAAAACAGAGGGTGACATCTTTCTTTTAGATCGGAGAAGACTGAGGACCAGAGAAGCTAAGTAACTTGCCAAAGGGCACACAGCAAGTAAGTCATGGCACTGGGATTCAAACCAAATCCTCCAGACTTCCAGTAACAGTGGAGCCGGCGTGTCCTGAGCATCTGTTGTGTGCTTAGGCATGGTCCCTAGCTTTTTGCGGGGATTAACTCACTCAACTCTCACAACAACCCTGTGAGACAGAAACGGTTATACCTCCGTATCGTGGAGGGGGAAACTGAGGCACGGGGAGGCAGAGTGACTTGCCAAGGCCACAAGCAGTGTTCGGATCTGGCCATTGTGGCCACTGGCCTACCTTGTGCCCCAGGAGCTGCTGTACATGGCAGGGATTGCTGCAAAGATGTGCCTCCTGCCTTCTTTTTGGAGGTGGCAGAGCCCTTAGGTCACATGGGGCAGGACCAGGCCGGGTGGAAGGTGAGCACAGGGAGACGGGCTTCAGCGCGAAGCCCTTTCGTACAGTTGAACTAACTCCTGGAGAGGTAGTGCGGGTCCACCCCAAGGTGTACCAGGGCTGGGGGCAGTGGATGGGCTACTTCCTGCCCAGAAGTAGAGACTGAGGTTGTTTCTGGCATCCTCCAAAATGCCCCTCATGGACATTACAGGGATGCCCTGAGTGCCCACTGGGTGTTGGGCCTGCTTTACTGCTGGACATGTGACAGCTGGCCCCTTCTCCCAGTTGGAGGAGTGCCCAGTGGCTGTCCCCCAGCTGAAGACGCCAGACATCAGGTGTTGAGGGGCAGGCGGAGAAGGGGCCAGAGGGTGGTGGACAGGGGAACCGGCTGTTAAGACATGAGCCGTCTGAACCACGGAGGTGGGTGGCAGGGGCCAGGGTGAGGCCAGCCAAGGGCACCCTGGGGACTGAGCTAGGACTCTGGCCAGCACGGGCAAGCTCAGGACCACGGAGAGCTCCACAGGAGCCGCCCTTCACCAAGCGACAGCTGTCAGTGTGAGTCTGCACCTGGGAGGCTGCTACCTGCCTGGCCAGCTCCCACCATCACAGCCAGTGGCCTCCAGAGAGCACCTCCCTTCTCCCTGGCCAGAAGCCCCTGGCTGGGCTCCACCTGAGTCCTGACTATGAGGTCATGGCTGGGTCATGGAGTTTGGGCTCATCAGCTTCCCTCCCTCACAGCCCGTCAGGCTTCCAAGCAGAGCTAGAGAAAAATGGCACAAGAAGTGGGAAGAGGGAGGGAAAGAAGGAAATCTGTCCAGCTCAGACCCTCCAGGCCATGGCCACTGCCTGAGGCCTGCCTGCTGCCATCCTGGGTCAGCCTCAGCCTCCCTCTTCCAGGATCACCTGGCTGCCAGGAAGCACCTGGCCCATGCTCTACCACCTATCCCAACAGACCCAGGACCGGCCAGAGGCGGTGGCCCACGCTTGCAATCCCAACACTGGGGGGCCGAGGTATCACTTGAGCCCAGGAGGTCGAGACCAGCTTGGCAATGTAGGGAGACCTCCTCTCTACAAAAAAATGTTTAAAAAATCAGCCGAGTGGTGGCACACACCTGTAGTCCCAGCTACTTAGGAGGCTGAGGTGGGAGGATCACTTGAACCCAGGAGTTTGTGGCTGCAGTGAACCTTGACCACCCCACTGTACTCCAGCCTGCCTGGGTAACAAAGAAAGACAAAACCCTGTCTAAAAAAATTTAAAAAGTCACAGGCCCCTGGGGCTGGGCACAACTTACGGGGTGTCTGGCAGCGGGGTGGGGGTGGAGCCTCAAGCCCCCCTTTTCTTGGAGTCTCAGGAGGCGTGGCTTCCCAGCCCCTGGCCCCTCCCCACAGCAGGTTTAGGTTTTGCTCCCTGTTGCCCTGAGATAGGACAGCACCCACCTAGGCTTAGGCCCTGCCAGGGACTCACCTCCAAGCCTCTGCTTCTGGTGTGTCCCCACCCAAAGGCTCACTCTTTCTCTTCTCTGCCAGGCTGGGGAATAATAATAGAAGAGCTAGCACTTATCATTGAGTGCTTACTGTGTGCTAGGCATCTCATCGATGGGAAAACAGAGGTACAGAAAAGTGCTTAACCTGCACAAGGCCACACAGATAGGAGTGGCAGAGCTGGGATTTGAACTGGGGAGTCCGAGCACATGGAAGTGATGGTGAGGGCATTGTGGAGGCCCAGGGCAGTGCGGGGTGATCTCATTGAGCACCTGCTGTGTACATTCCCTGCTCTAGGGAGCTTATATGCCAGCTGGGAAGACAGACATCTAGGGGAAAATGAGCCTAGTGTTGACTGGGGCTGGGGCCGTGCATAGTTCTCTCTGATTCTTACTTGAAATAAGCAGGGCAGAGATAATGATACCCATTTTATACATGGAGGAGTTGAGGCTGAGAGAGGTCAGGTGACCTGCTCTGTTCATAGTGACTATAGGAACATTGATGATGATGAGGAGCTGGGGGAGGTTGGGAGAGTTCGGGATGGGCTCTGGCTTGGGGCAGAGGCAGGTGCTTTGGCTCCAGGGAGGCTATCTTGGCACAGAGCAGGCATCTGAGAAATACTAGGTGAATTTTAACGAACTGAGTAAGAGCCAGAGTATGGCATTTGTGCTAACAGAGATTAGCCTTGGTGGTGGGAAGGAGCTGGAGAGGGGTTTTGTCCTCAGAGAGCTGCCTGCCTGGGTCACAGAGGGCGCCCAGCCCAGGGAAGGCCCTAAGCCCTCGCTCAGTTAACCTTATTCCCCAGGTAGGTCCTAACCACAGTGACCCTCCTGGCTTCCTGAGCTGCTGGAGGACCTCAAGCCACGTACATCCAGGGAAGTAGGTGGGAGTGGGACAGTGGGCTGGACGATGTCCCCCACAGTGCTTTGAGGCCACAGGGGGACCACAGACAAAGCATATCCCACCCCGCCCATCCCTCAGGTGAAGCTTCTAGACAGCATGCTGCAGAGAGGACCTGAGGTTTGGATCTAGAGACAAAGGTTAGCCCAGGACCTGCTGCTAGCCAGTGTTTGACCTTGGCCATGTCCTTCACGCCCAGCCTCACTGTTGGTGTCTGCAGGAGGAGAAGTAGTGGTTAGGGCTAGGCCCTGCAGAGACAGATGCTGGCTGCAAGCCCCAGGTCTGCCAGATAGGGCCAGCCTCCTCCACCCCAGTCAAGGGCTGGTCCATTCTTCCAGTGCCTGGGGCCACCCAGTGTGCTGCCTTGCTCACATCCAGCTCTTCAGCAAATCCAGCAGAATCTGAGCACACTCTACACCCTACAACCTGGTGGAAGCCACCCTGACTCACCTGGGCAGTTCAGTGTGGCCTCCTGGCTTCCCCTGCCCTGCCCTTGAAGTGCCCATTCATTCTCAGCAGAGCAGCCAAAGTGAGCCATTCACACCAAGGTCAGGCCATGGCCTCCCTTCTCTGAATCCTCCAGTGAAAGCCACACTTCGAACCATGCCTCCAGGCCCTGTGATCTGGGTTTGTTCCCTGCCCCCCATGTCCCCTCACTTGCTCCGTCCCACCCGCCTTGCTGTTCTTCACTGGCGCACATACACTCCTGCCAGGGCACTGGTTGTGCCTTCTGCCTGGAACATTCTTCCCTGGCGCCCTCTCCTGCGTGGAGTCTGCTCACGTCGCCTCCTCGGTGAGCCTGCCCTGCCCACTCCATTCATCACTGGACATAATGACGCACTCGCTCCTGCCCGTTACCCGCTTTGTCTTTCTCCAGAGCACAGCCTCTTTGGGCGCGCAGTTTTCTGAGCTGACTAGTGTGTTTGTAGTTTACGCAGGCTCCCTACCCTGTTGGGTGCTGAGCAGGTTCCCTGAGGGCAGGGATTTTGGTCCGTCCTGTCTCCCCATGTTCCCAGTACCCACCGAGGTGCCTGGCACACGGGGCTCTGGCAAAATCGTTGCTGAGTGAATGAGTGACGTGGGTTGGGTGAGCACCCTGTGGCATGTTGTATGGATCAAATGCCCCAGGGCTGCACCATCCACTGGGTTGTCTTCACTGGTCACAGGTGGACTCCTCAGGGGCTCTGTCACTCTACTTGGGTTGAACTTGGCAGCTGGAAGGGGCTCAGGACAGCTTTACCACTGGATACAACCCCGTGATTGACCCTATAGGATCCAGTATGATCCTTCTATTGTGCAATGCTGTGCAAGCGACATCATCTCCCTGGCCTCGGTTTCCTTATACAAGGGTACCTGCTTCGTGTTGGGAGGATTCAGTACAGTCACGTGTGTAACAAGCTTAGGACAGTGTCTGGCATGTCAGCCTCAGTGATAGTTTTACTGTTACACCTGATGGTTTGTCAATGCTTTGTTATTTTTGCTTTTGAGATAAGAGTCTCACTCCCCTGCCCAGGCTGGAGTGCAGAATTGCGATCTCTCAGCTCACTGCAGCCTTGACCTGCAGGGCTCAAGCAGTCTTCCCACCTCAGCTTCCCAAGTAGCTAGAACTACAGGCACATAGTAGTTCTGCATGCCTGGCACTGCTAGAAAGTAGGCACTGCTAATTTTTTTTTTTTTTTTTTTTGTAGAGACGGGGTTTAGCCATGTTGCCCAAGCTGGTCTTGAACTCCCGGACTCAAGCAATCTGCCCACCTTGGCCTCCCAAAGTGCAGAGATTCCAGAGGCATGAGCCACTGTGCCCAGCTTTGATGAAGCTTTGTAATGGAAGCTGAAATGCCACCAACTGGGGCCCAGTTTGGTTCCATGGCTTTAGCCCACAGCTGGGCCACCTGCACTACAGAGGGATCTGGTGGTCTCAGCTGTCATGAGGGAGAGAGGCACTGGCTTGAGAACCAGAACTTACGTTCAAGTCCTGACTCAGCCACCTCCTTAATGATGTCCTTTGGGGAAAGTCTTGCCATCTTTCTGAGTCTCGTTTTCTCCATCTGTTAAAACAGGGCAGTTTAAATAACCTACCAGAGTGCCTGTGAGATTTAAATGAGACCCTGAGTGCCAGTGCTTATTTATTCCATTTTATTTATATGCTGTCTCAATAAAAAAATGAAAAGACAAAAAGGAATTGAGCTGAAAAGGATTGAAACTATGCGGGCAGCTGCAAGTGAAGGAGTCCAAGAAAATGCTGTCTGTGAGGTGCTGTTGACATGCTCTGGCTGACCACTGTGTGCTTCTGAGCCTCCTAGCAGCCTGAGTGATGAGGGAAACATGCCCAGATCCTTGATTCTCAGCAGCAACCCAGACTGAGGCCTTATTAAGGGGCCCTGTCCTGAAGGCTCCAGTGACTGAGAGGGGAGCTCCCAAGCACTGGTGAGTCCGTGCTCAGAAGGGCACAGCTGGCTATGAGTAACTAGATCCTGAAAGCCAGCCAAGGGGCAGCTGGGTCAATCTGACCTCAGCAGGTCCACGGAGGCCCTTTACGCCAAGCAGGCTGTTTCCTTGCCTCTCTGAGTTCCTCTTACCTTGCTTTGCTAAAGCCTTTGTTCATGCTGCCAGGGGATTTAGAGTCTGAATGGCAGCCCCAGGCCATGCCTGCCACATAGCTTACACCAGTTGTGTAACTTAGAGTGTCCCCCTCAGAGGCAGGTCCCAAGTACAGAAAAATAGCCCACTAAGGCTAGGCACAGTGGCCCACACCTGTAATCCCAGCACTCTGGGAGGCCAAGGCGGGCAGATCACCTGAGGTCAGGAGTTCGAGACGAGCCTGACCAACATGGTGAAACCCCACCTCTACTAAAGATACAAAATTAGCCGGTGTAGTGGTGCATGTCTGTAGTCCCAGCTACTCAGGAGGCTAAGGCGGGAGAATTGCTTGAGGCAGAGGTTGTGGTGAGCTGAGATCGCACCATTGCACTCCAGCCTGGGCAACAAGAGCAAAACTCCGTCTCAAAAAAATTAAAAAATTAAAAAAAAAAAGAAAAGAAAAATAGCCCACCAGAAGGATCCAGGCTGCCTTTCCAAGTCCTGAAACCCCAAGAGTAGGTTGCTCTGGAAGCTTCCGCCATGCTAACCCCGGCTGCAGTATTGCCTTGTGTCTGGTCCTGGCCACAGCACTCCTAGCCCCTTTTGCTCACCCAGCTGGTCCAGCCCAACTGGTCTCACTTTGCCAGACAAGGGCTGGAATCCAAAATGGAGAATGAAGTGCAGAAGACCCACTTCAAAATGTTATCAAGGAGCAGCCCCTCCTTCCAAACTCCAGTGGCGAACAGCCCCAGCTCTGCCCTGGGACATTTAGCAGAGGTCAGGCCCCTACCCCAGATTGTTCTACCTGCCCGCAGTCAGCTGTGCCCACTCCGTGTGGACAGCTCCAGGGGGGCAGGCGTTTACTGGAGGAGGGATATCTGAGCTCGAATGGGGCAAACGCTGCCCTGATTGTCGGGATCAGCAGCTCCACTGCTTCTTACCAGCCTGCTCAGGACTCCTCGCAAGCTGAGGTCATGAGGGGCACCTGGTGCAGGAGCCCAGCTGCCCGGTTCACACTCCAGCTCTGTTGTGACTTTGGGCAGGTCCCTGAAGGCCCCTAGGTCCTGGTTTCCTCCTCTATAAAATGAAAGAGTTGGAGGAGATGGTCCTTAAAATTTCTAGATCAATCGTGTTGTGATTCTGTGCCTTACGACCATGTGGCTTGTAGAAAATTAAACTGCGGGCATCCAGCCTTGAGCATTGAAGGGAACAAGAGCTTATTGAGCATGCTGCATGCCAGGAACTCTGTGCCCATTTCACAGATGGAGAAACTAAGGTTCAGAATGATTAGGAGCCTTGTTTTTTTTTGTTTGTTTGTTTGTTGTTTTTTGAGACGGAGTCTCACTCTGTTGCCCAGGTTGGAGTACAGTGGTGCGATCTCGGCTCACTGCAACCCCCACGTCCCTGGTTCAAGCGATTCTCCTGCCTCAGCCTCCCTAGTAGCTGGGATTACAGGTGCCCACCACCATGACTAGCTAATTTTTGTATTTTTAGTAGTGACAGGGTTTCACAATGTTGGCCAGGCTGGTCTCAAACTCCTGACCTCTGGTGATCCACCTGCCTCAGCTTCCCAAAGTGCTGGGATTACAGGCGTGAGCCACCACGCCTAACCCAAATTCCTATCTTTCCACCCTACCTTGCTGTCCTTAAAAAGTAGGGAGGCTGGCCATGGTGGTTCATGCCTGTAATCCCAGCACTTTCAGAAGCTGAGGCGGGCAGATCACTTGAGGTCAGGAGTTCAAGGCCAGCCTGGCCAACGTAGTGAAACCACATCTGCACTAAAAATACAAAAGTTATCAGGGCATGGTGGCACACGCCTGTAATTCCAGCTACTTGGGAGGCTGAGGCAAGAGAATTGCTTGAACCTGGTAGATGGAAGTTGCAGCGAGCCAGGATCTAGCCACTGCACTTCAGCCTGGGTGACAGAGTGAGACCCTGTCTCAAAAAAAAAGTGAGGGGGAGAGCATGACCCAGAGAAAGAATCAAAAATAAAGAGAAGCCACAGATGGGAACATTTTAAGAATATCTAGGTGGGACAGTGCCAGATGCCAAAGGCAAGGTTTCTGTCTCAGCCTTTTCTGTGACTCAGTGGGTTCCCCCCGGACAGGTCACTGGTCTCACTTGGCCCCACCCAGCATCTTCACTGGTCAAATGGATGTAAACTCCTGGCTCGCCTGCCCACCTGCCTAGACTCAAGGGTGAAATGAGCTGGATGGCTACGGTCGGAGGTGCTCTGTGGCTGCACGGCTCATTCATAAAACGAGGGATCCAAATCCAGCATGGGGTTTGGCTGATGGTGACATTCTGATGTCCGTTTCCTAGTTGTGACAAATGTACCATGGTGGTATAAACTGGGAGCAACAGGGTGAAGTGTGTGAGGAAGCCTCTGTGCTGTCTTTGCACCTTTTCTGATAATCTACAAATATTCTAAAATTAAAAGTTTATTTAGGCCAGGCATGGTGGCTCATGCCTGTAATCTCAGCACTTTGGGAGGTCGAGGTGGGCGGATCACCTGAGGTCAGGAGTTCGAGACCTGCCTAGCCAACATGGCGAAACCCCATCTCTACTACAAATACAAAAATTAGCTGGGTGTGGTGGTGTGTGCCTGTAATCCCAGCTACTTGGGAGGCTGAGGTGAGAATTCCTTGAACCTGGGAGGCAGGGGCTGCAGTGAGCAGAGATCGCACCACTGCACTTCAGCCTGGGCGACAGAGCAAGACTCTGTCTTAAAAACAAACAAACAAACAAAAACACACAAAAAAAATTTAAATTGGAGAATGAGAATATACAAGCATCTCCATTCCACAGCCATAAACTGATTGATAAATTAAACTGTATAAATGAATAGCAAATGGTTACATCATGAGTCATGAATACAGAGTGATTTATTCACAATAGCCATGTAATATGTGGGATTTAAAAGGAACTGGTACATTTATTTCTACTGATACCAAAATCTTTTAAATCTATCATTGATTGAGGAAAACAACTTGGTTAGACTTAGTGTCCAATATGGTAGTATTTATGAAAAATATTAAATCAAGAATAGAAAAATTGCATATAAAGCCAGAGATAGACCTCAAATTTTTTTTTTTTTTTTTTTAGATGGAGTCTTGCTCTTGTCACCCAGGTTCTGGAGTGCAATGGCGTGATCATGGCTCACTGCAACTTCCGCCCCCTGGGTTCAAGTAATTCTCCTGCCTCAGCCGGTATAGCTGGGATTATAGGCATGCGCCACTACACTCAGCTAACTTTTGTATTTTTAGTAGAGACAGGGTTTCACCATGTTGGCCAGGCTGGTCTCGAACTCCTGACCTTGTGATCTGCCCACCTCGGCCTCCCAAAGTGCTGGGATTATAGGCGTGAGCCACTGCACTGGCCGACCTCAAATTTTTATGCCTGGAGATTAGTAAAGGGCATGGAATAATGAAGGGGAACTTTTATTTTATTTTGTTTTTGAGATAGGGTCTCAGTCTGTTGTCCAGGCTGGGGCGCAGTGGTGCAATCATGGCTCACTGCAGCCTCAACCTCGAGGTCTCAAGTGATCCTCCCACCTCAGCCTCCTAAGTAGCTGGGACCACAAGCACATGGCACCACACCTGGCTAATTTTTAAATTTTCTGTAGAGATGGGGTCTCACTATGTTGTCCAAGCTGGTCTCAAACTCCTGGGCTCAAGTGATCCTCCTGCCTCAGCCTCTGAAGGTGTTGGGATTACAGGCGTGAGCCACCACGCCTGGCCTAATTTTATTCATTAAATATGTTAGAATTAAGTGTTTTCCCTTGAGACCTGTGAGTTTTTTCAGTGAAAAAATATTCAAAAGGTTTGTCAGTATGTCCATAAAAAAGAAGATAGGAGGGGAGGGACAGGACCCAGGAGGGCAGCCTACAGCCTGCTCTCCCCGTTCTGTCCTGGGGCGGAGTCTGTACTGCGAGTTGAGCTTTTCCCAAGGCGCATGTTACTCCTGGAGCCAAGCCTAGCAGTGCAGCCGCACAGTCAGGGTGGGGTGGGCCAGGCGGAGAAGCAGGCTGCAGAGGGGGCAGGGTGGTGGCCTGGGGATCTCAGGGAAGGGCTATGGGAGCACGGCGGTGTCCTCAGTGCTGGGGCTTTCAGGGGCCTTGGTACCGCGAGTTGACTCTTGGGGGCAGGAGGTCACTCCATGCAGGGGCAGCAGGTGCTGGCCACCACATTGTCCAGCAAGGTGGCAGCAGAGGCCTCCTAGGTCCCCTTCCTAGGAAAGGAGCCTGGGCTGCCCTGATGAGTCTCCTGTCTCTCTCTCTCCCGCAGGATGAAGATGAGACGCTACAAGCTCTTTCTCATGTTCTGTATGGCCGGCCTGTGCCTCATCTCCTTCCTGCACTTCTTCAAGACCCTGTCCTATGTCACCTTCCCCCGAGAACTGGCCTCCCTCAGCCCTAACCTGGTGTCCAGCTTTTTCTGGAACAATGCCCCGGTCACGCCCCAGGCCAGCCCCGAGCCAGGAGGCCCTGACCTGCTGCGTACCCCACTCTACTCCCACTCGCCCCTGCTGCAGCCGCTGCCGCCCAGCAAGGCGGCCGAGGAGCTCCACCGGGTGGACTTGGTGCTGCCCGAGGACACCACCGAGTATTTCGTGCGCACCAAGGCCGGCGGCGTCTGCTTCAAACCCGGCACCAAGATGCTGGAGAGGCCGCCCCCGGGACGGCCGGAGGAGAAGCCTGAGGGGGCCAACGGCTCCTCGGCCCGGCGGCCACCCCGGTACCTCCTGAGCGCCCGGGAGCGCACGGGGGGCCGAGGCGCCCGGCGCAAGTGGGTGGAGTGCGTGTGCCTGCCCGGCTGGCACGGACCCAGCTGCGGCGTGCCCACTGTGGTGCAGTACTCCAACCTGCCCACCAAGGAGCGGCTGGTGCCCAGGGAGGTGCCGCGCCGCGTCATCAACGCCATCAACGTCAACCACGAGTTCGACCTGCTGGACGTGCGCTTCCACGAGCTGGGCGACGTGGTGGACGCCTTTGTGGTGTGCGAGTCCAACTTCACGGCTTATGGGGAGCCGCGGCCGCTCAAGTTCCGGGAGATGCTGACCAATGGCACCTTCGAGTACATCCGCCACAAGGTGCTCTATGTCTTCCTGGACCACTTCCCGCCCGGCGGCCGGCAGGACGGCTGGATCGCCGACGACTACCTGCGCACCTTCCTCACCCAGGACGGCGTCTCGCGGCTGCGCAACCTGCGGCCCGACGACGTCTTCATCATTGACGATGCGGACGAGATCCCGGCCCGTGACGGCGTCCTTTTCCTCAAGCTCTACGATGGCTGGACCGAGCCCTTCGCCTTCCACATGCGCAAGTCGCTCTACGGCTTCTTCTGGAAGCAGCCGGGCACCCTGGAGGTGGTGTCAGGCTGCACGGTGGACATGCTGCAGGCAGTGTATGGGCTGGACGGCATCCGCCTGCGCCGCCGCCAGTACTACACCATGCCCAACTTCAGACAGTATGAGAACCGCACCGGCCACATCCTGGTGCAGTGGTCGCTGGGCAGCCCCCTGCACTTCGCCGGCTGGCACTGCTCCTGGTGCTTCACGCCCGAGGGCATCTACTTCAAGCTCGTGTCCGCCCAGAATGGCGACTTCCCACGCTGGGGTGACTACGAGGACAAGCGGGACCTGAACTACATCCGCGGCCTGATCCGCACCGGGGGCTGGTTCGACGGCACGCAGCAGGAGTACCCGCCTGCAGACCCCAGCGAGCACATGTATGCGCCCAAGTACCTGCTGAAGAACTACGACCGGTTCCACTACCTGCTGGACAACCCCTACCAGGAGCCCAGGAGCACGGCGGCGGGCGGGTGGCGCCACAGGGGTCCCGAGGGAAGGCCGCCCGCCCGGGGCAAACTGGACGAGGCGGAAGTCTAGAGCTGCATGATCTGATAGGGTTTGTGACAGGGCGGGGGTGGCGGCGGCCCCTAGCGCTATCTCCCTGCCTCCTGCCGGCTCCTTGGTTCTTGAGGGGACCAGGAGTGGGTGGGGAGTGGGGGTGGGGGTAGGGTTTCCCTACTGAAGCCCTTGTGAATCAAGGGTCAGGCCTTTGAGCTCAGAAAATATCCCTCCTGTTGGGAGAGGGCGCAGGCCGTGACGTCTGGGTGGCCCTTATGACTGCCAAGACTGCTGTGGCCAGGAGGTGCCACTGGAGTGTGCGTGGTGGTCCCTGGGTAGCGGGGGAGGGTAGGCAGGATTGGGGAAGAGAGCCTGCAGGATCTCACCAGGCAGCCTCTGGGGGGTGGCCAGGCCGGGAAAAAGCCCACCATTTGGCATCCCTGGGCCTTGGGCTCCGTGTGGGAGACCGGCCTGCCAGGAGGACCCAGGGCTCTGTAAGTAGATGCATTTGGGTCCAGGAGGAAGCGTGGACACCTCGTAGGGAAGAGATGAAAAAGCCACATCCTACCAAGAGGAGGTGCTGAGGGATGCTTTGCAGTGTAGTCAGAAGTGCTGGGCCAGATGGAGACAGAACTCCACCCCCTGCCGCAAAGGACAGGACCTGGCTGCCCTGGGATGCTGGTGCCTGAGTCTGTCTCTGTGCACCCCTCAGGCTGTCGTGAGCCAACACAGGGGCCTGGAGAACCCTGAGGAGCTTTCCTTTTGGTTCTAAACCCGGCGTTGACGTTCCTTCTCCCTTTCACATTGCTGTCTTGTGGACTGTGCACTCAGTCCTTGCAAGGCCAAGAGTCCAGTTGTAGGTGTGGCCTTGAGGGGGAAGTGGGGAGGAGAAGACTGACATGAGTCCTCTGCACGGATCCGTCTCTCCCTCCCCATCACCCCTTCCTTCTGACACCCAGTCCCAGCTGTCCACTGTCCCAGGTGCAGTCACTGTTGTGCCCTTCCTTGGGGCAGGCTGGCTGGGGGCCAGAAAGGGGCCATGAGGCTGTCTTGGGCCCAAAAAGGGACAATAAGGCCAGTTGTATGCTTCCTGTTCCTCATAGCTTGCCTTGGTGGGGATGTCTTTGTTGGAGTTGATTCTGAGCTGCTGTGATTAGGAGACCCTGAAATACAGTGGTTTAAGCAAGATGGAAGCTTGTTTCTAATTAGTCTAGATTGAGATGGCCCAGAGCTGGTAGGGCAGCTCTGCGTTTCTTCATACGCACCTTCCAATTCTGGGTACACAGCGGCTGCTCCAGCGCCCACCCTCCTGTGTGCATCCAAGCCTGGGGGAAGCAGAAATAGACAAGAGGGCACACCCACTTTTTGCTAAAGGCATGAGCCAGAATTGGCAGGCTCACCTCTGCTGGCCTCTCATTGGCTGGGACTCAGTCACATGGCCACAAGCAGCTGCTAGGGAACCTGGGAAGTGTAGTCTTCAGCGGGGCCGCCATGTGCCTGGCCTCACCTTGGGAGTTATCTTATTGATGGAGGAGAAGAGAATGGATATGGGGGACCAGTAGCATCTCTGGGAGAGGGGGAGGGAGCAGCAATAACTCAGTCGTCGGATCCAGCTCTCATTGTCAGAGTTTCCGGAACAGCTTGCTCCTGTTTCCCTCACTGTGCAGCCCAGGGCTGGGGGCAGTGAGGAGCTTGCAGCTCTGTGGGAAGGGGAAACACCCCCTCCCCTCGGCCCCTCAGACGCTACCCAATGATGCCGGTTTGCAGAGTTGGCCTGTGGAATGGCTCATGTTTGTGCGTGTGTGTGTGTATATTTATGGGCATGGGTGCATGCTTGGTGTGTATTTGTACATGTCTGTATTGCTGTGTCCCTGTAAATACATGCTTGTGTATGGATGGAAGAGGCCAGGCCCAGGCCTGGCCTCTTCCTCGGGCCTGTGGCCACACCTCCTGCAGCTCCCCAAAATGACTGAGGCAGAAAGCCCTTGGGGAGCCTAGAAAGCAAAGCTAAAGGGGATGCAGGGTCTGTCTGTCTGTCTGTCTTTCAGTCTGAGGAATGAGAATCCTGACCTGAGGGCTGTGCAGCTGAGAGCCCACTACCTCCCCAGCCCCTCTCGGCCCCAGCCGCATCATCCCACCTGTCCCCTCCCCCCCACCTCCAGTGGGGCTTTCTCCAGATGTCTTATGGTTGGGGGTTTCCTGATGGGCCAGGAGAGGAGGGCATCTTCTTGCGACAGCACTGTCTGGGTTAAGTGCCCAGTGAGGGCATGGTGTGGGGAGCTGGCCTCAGAGGAGCCGCTGGTGGGCAAGCGTGAAGTGGGCTGAGGGGCTCTGAGCCACTTTGCTCCCATCTAGGGGACTGCCCCCCATGGAACTCCTTTGAAGTCACAGCAGCCTTCCTTTCTGTTTGCTCTTGGGGCTGAGAGGTGGCTCAAACACTCGGGGTCCCTATGGCTCTGGGTCAATCTAGGCCAGGCTGCACCCCATGGACAGGGAGTCTCAGGGCTCCTGATCATGCCCAGGCCCTGGCCTGGGGCCTCCCTCCTTGGCAGCTTTCCCACCCCCACGCCCCTGGCATCCTCAGTTGCTATGGGATGCCCCTCCAGGGCACCAGCTCAGGGCTAAGCGAAGGAAGATAGGAGCAGCTCAGAGCTGCCAGGCTCTGCCTTCCTCACAGACCTGGTGGGGCAGGTCCTGTTCACAGCAGCAGGAGTGAAGGCCTGGCCATCGGTGGAGAGGGCAGCTGTCAGAGGGCTGGGGGCCAGGGCACAGGATTGAAGAGTTTCACATATCATCACAGCATACACTGGGAATTTGGTGGGGGCAGAAGAACCCAGGGCCACTCCCTCAATATGAAGGGAAACCAAGCTGAATGTGACCACCGGCACACTGCTGCCATGTCCCATGTCCACCTTTCTCCCCGGGAATAACTGGCCCTGAGACCCCTAGACCCAAGGAGGCCTGTCCATGCCAAGCATCCGGGAAGCATGGCTGGCCTTATCCACCCATGGGTCACGTCGGTTCCCAGGGGCAGCATGGGAGATCTTTGGGGGCAACAGGGAGAGTCTGGGTGGGGAGACGGGACTTGTCCAAGCAGAAGGCAGGACCCTGGGAAATGCATAATGTAAGGACATCAATAATAGTATTATTTTTTTTGTAAGGGAAAATCAATATGTACATTCTGAAATCATTTTCTCTGTAAATGGTTGGATTTCATTTCACCCTTAAAGGGATGCTTAAAGGAGAAGATAATATTAATAATAAAAACAGCTACAAAGTCTGAATTGTGTGCATGTGTGGCCGGTTTGTGGGTGCTCTGGGGCAGGGAGGGGTGGGAACAGGTGGCTCTGGTCTTGCTAAAGACACCCTTACTTCTGGATCCATGGGGTGCAAGAACTTCCCAAGGACTGGATGGCCAGTGGGGAGAGGGGGCTGCAGGGAGCACCTTCACTTAGGGATGACGTGTCCCCCAGCCGCAGGTGGAAGCAGCTGGGAAGTGGAGGATGCTGGGCTGAGGTCTGGTGGAAGGAAGCAGAAGTGAACCAGGCTCCTAGGACCAGGGGCACCCACCCTCCTGCAGGTGGGCAGGGACCCTTTTGGGGATCTGGATGAAGGCTTTGGTGCCTCTGCAGAGAGGGGGTGGTTCTACAATTCTGCTCTGGGGCATCAAAATAAGTGCTCCTGCCTCAGTAGTTTTTCCTGTCAGGTTCTAAATGCCTCATCCAAGGTCACAGCCTTGTAGATTCTGGACCTGGACTCTCAGCACCGGACTCTCTGGACTCCCAGGAGCAGGTATCTCCCTCCCATGTAGCCAACCTTGAACTTGTGCTTGGACAGCACCTGGAGCCTTGGGATGTCAGGGCTTCCAAGGAGCTTCCTCTGGGCCGGGTGGGCACTGGAGTTGTCCTGGGGGTCCCCTGTGTGTGTCCTAAAGACAGTCTCAGGCGGTGGGAACAGACACTTTTTTTTTTTTTTGAGACAGAGTCTCACTCTGTTGCCCAGGCTAGAGCGCAGTGGCGCGATCTCAGCTCCTGCAATCTCCACCTCCTGGGTTCAAGCGATTCTCCTGTCTCCAAGCGATTCTCCTGTGTCAGCCTCCTGAGTAGCTGGGATTACAGGCATGTGCCACCAGGCCTGGCTAATTTCTCTATGTTTAGTAGAGACGGGGTTTCACCATGTTGGTCAGGCTGGTCTCGAACTCCTGACCTCGTGATCCGCCCACCTCAGCCTCCCAGAGTGCTGGGATTACAGGCGTGAGCCACCGCGCCCGGCTGAACAGACACCTTTTGAGCTCTGCCATGGTCCCCTGTTGGGTGGCTGTGCAACCTCCATGTTAGATGGAGAGACGGAGGCCCAGAGATGGAAGGAGGTGTGACCACAGTCCTGGTGGCCAAAGCAAGGGCTCATGTTTTCTGACCACTCGCAAAGTGTCACGCATGCATCAGTCTGACACCTGCGGGCTGGGACTGCTTGGACTTCTGGCCACACTCACAAAGCCCAGAAAGGTACCTGCTGCAGGTACTTGGAGTGGGGATGGGGTGAGGGTTGAATTCCACAGGGTTGAGGAAGTGGAGAAGATGTAGACACCCTACCTAGCCAGAAGAGGGCATTATTGACCCACATGCCGTTTAAGATCAAGTTAACAACCCTCAAATCATGTCCTATGGTGAATCATCATCATCATCATCATCATCATCATCATCATCAGTATTTACAGACATTATTGATTAAGTGCCTATTTTGTGCCAAACTCTGAGCTAAAAGACATCCCTCCCCATTATACCCATTTTCCACGTCTGTAAAAGGACCCCACAGCACCTGTGAAGTCTGCTGCTAAAAATGAACCACCTGGATCGAATCCCAAGGAAACAGTACACAAACCGGAACTGAGAGACAATCTGCAACAGACTAGCTTCTCTCATATGAATGCATTTCTTGCAATTCTGTTTATCTGAAGTGTTTGCAGAAAAGCCCAACCCCGCATCAGTTTCACCAACCACTTTCCAAATTCCTATCCTGGAATTTGGATGGCCAAGAGCTTCTAGAGGCAAAACATCAACAGTGACTCAAATGTTTGTCATGGTGGCCTCCACATGTAGCCTGGTTTTCCCACTCATCCCAGCTGACCAACGTGTGTGAGCCCAGCTGAGACCAGAAAAACTGCCTAGTCAAGTCCAGCCTAAATACTGATCCAGTCTCATGAGCCCAATTGCTGCTAAGTTTCTTGGTTTCTTACACAGCTTAATTGTGGCCATAGATAACTGGTACAGTTTGCTTTCATTTAATGACAACCTAAACTAGTGAGGCAAACTAGAAAAACCAACCCAAACCAGTGAGGCAGGCAAGGAATTTACTGGTTTACTAATGGTAAAGTTCAGGGGTAATGTCGGCTTCGGGTACAGTCACATTGTCATCCAGCTCTCTTGTGGCTGAGCACAGCTCCACTTCCTAACTTGCATTGTCCCAAGTCTCAGACAGGTTTACCCCTCATGCCTGCAAGACGGCTGCAGCAGCTTCAGGCTTCACCATCTCAGCTTTACGCTCAGCACAACAGAAATAGAGCTCCTCTCTCTCAGAGTCCTGGGTGTGGATCTCACTGACTTGATTTAGGTCACGTGAATATCCCTGAATGCATCAGTGAGACTGGAGGGGCTTGGGATGGAATCTGCCAATTCACGTAGATCAATCAGAGCCCTGTGTCTACTGGCTGAGGAAAAGGGAAGGTGGTTCTCCAAAAGAAATCTGGGGCCCAGATGGTACCTTTGGCACAGCCTCAGCTGCCTCCAACAGGCCTTTCACCAGCCACCAGCCCTTGGTCACCTCCCTCTCCTGGGTCCTCATCTGTAACACAGGACCGTCATAGGACAGACCTCCAGCGGTGATTGTGAGGATGCTCAGAGCTTGGAGCAGAGCCTGGAGCATGGTGAGAGCTCCATGAGCGTGAGCACTCAGCATCGTGGCCCCATTTGCACCTTCCATCTCCTTGCATGTGATGCGTGGGTCATGCCTCCTTTCCTGGGTCTGCTTCCCTTAGCCTCTGTGACTCATCTGTCTCGTGGCTCTCCTCTTCCTCCTCCCTCTATGACATTTCTTCCTGGTTGTCTTCCTGGTTCCTTTTTCCCCACGCACCCCTTCAATAAGGGGGCTCCCCAGGGCTTGGCCCTGGATCCACTCTCTACCTGCAGTTCTCAGTGCTTACCAACGTGGAGCTGGATCCATCTCTCCAGGGAGTCCTCTTTCCTAAGGACCCAGCCCATGAAGCCCGCTGCCTGCTGCACGAAGCCCCCAGGTGTCAATGTCACCTCAAATACCATGTGGCCTAAATGGAACTCGGCTTCCTATAAAAATCTGAGCCCATAAATTCCTTTGTTTGTTTGTTTGTTTGTTTGAGATGGAGTCTCACTCTGTCACCCAGGCTGGAGTGCAGCGGCATGATCTTGGCTCATTGCAACCTCTGCCTCCCGGGTTCAAGTGATTCTCCTGCCTCAGCCTCCTAAGTAGTTGGGATTACAGGTGCCCGCTACCAAGCCCGGCTAATTTGTGTATTTTTAGTAGAGACGGGGTTTTACCATGTTGGCCAGGCTGGTCTTGAACTCCTGACCTCAGGTGATCCACCCACCATGGCCTCCCAAAGTGCTGCGATTACAGTTGTGAGCCACCCTGCCCAGCCAAATTCCTTTTTTAAAAAGACACCACCAGAGGGCAGCAGGTATTCTCTGGCCCAAACTTCCTCCTCTGCAAGGCCTTGCCTACAGGGTAGGTTGCCCCCCAGTTATTGGCCCAACCTGGCCCAGACTTGGCACTGCTATTAACTGTCACATGGGACCCCCTATGGTGTAATTAGAACCTGCTACCTGTCCTGCCAGGCTGCCTTCTGAAGACCCAGCATGCCTCACAGCAGGCCCTGGTTAGAGCACTGGGCCTTCTAGAAGGCCACACGGGACAAGGCCAGGCCCTCATCCACATGAGTGTCCACAAAGTATTCAAAGGTAACAACCTAAACCGGGCTCGGTGGATCATGCCTGTAATCCCAGCACTTTGGGAGGTCGAGGTTGGCGGATCACCTGAGGCCAGGAGTTCGAGACCAGCCTGCACAACATGGTGAAACCCTGTCTCTACTAAAAATACAAAAATTAGCTGGGCGTGGTGGTGGGCGCCTGTAATCCCAGCTAGTCGGGAGGCTGAGGCAGGAGAATTGCTTGAACCCGGGAGGTGGAGGTTGTAGTGAGCTGAGATCATGCCATTGTACTCCAGCCTGGGCAACAGACTGAGATCCTGTCTCAAAAAACAAGAACAACAACAACAACAACAGCAAGACGAGACACATTTTTCTGCTTTCTAGGAGCTCAAAAGTGTTTGAGAGTAGGCGGTGTTTCCCAGGCTGGGCACCGCTGACACCGCAGGCCAGTTCATTCCTTGCTATGAGGCTGTCCTGTACAATGTAGGGCGCTGAAGCAGCGTCCCTGGCCTCCAGCCACTCGATACCAGTGGAACCCACCTCTGCAAATGTGACAACCAAAAAATGTTTCCAGACGTTACTAAATATTGCCTGGAGTGCAAACTCACTGGAGGAAGAAGCAGACGGTTGTGGAGCCCTGAGCATGTACAAGGCCAGCACTTTGCATACATTGCCTCATGGAATCCTCTGGGGGCGCTGCCGGCACTCACTGGAGTGTCAGCTTTTCTCCCACGGAACTGAGTGATATTCAGAGCTGGGCCCTTCCATTTTCCAGCCTGCGAAGACTAAAGGGGGGATCCCAGGATTTAGGGAGATTAAGGGCATGAATTGCTCAAAGGCATGCAGCTCCTAACCAGGATTTAGGACCAGGGGCTCCAATACCCTTCTCATTGTGCTGCATTGTCTCCTAGTGGGAGGGCCAGGCACAGCTGTGACTGGCATCTCACTTGCTTTTCTTTCTTTCCTTTTTTTTTTGAATCTCACGCTATCACACAGGCTGGAGTGCAGTGGCACGATCTCGGCTCACTGCAACCTCTGCCTCCTGGGTTCAAGCGATTCTCCTGCCTCAGCCTCCTGAGTAGCTGGGATTACAGGTGCACCCCACCACGCCCGGCTAATTTTTGTATTTTTTAGTAGAGATGGGGTTTCTCCCTGTTGGTCATGCTGGTCTTGAACTCCTGACCTCGTGATCCGCCCACCTCGGCCTCCCAAAGTGCTGGGATTACAGGTGTGAGTCACCGTGCCCGGCCTCTTTTTTCCTTTTCTTTCTTTCTTTCTTTTTTTTTTTTTTTGAGACAGAGTTTTGCTCTTGTTGCCAAGACTGGAGTGCAATGGTACGATCTCGGCTCACCGCAACCTCACCTCCTGGGTTCAAATGATACTCTTGCCTCAGTCTTCCAAGTAGCTGGGATTACAGGCATGTGCCACCACGCCTGGCTAATTTTGTATTTTTAGTAGAGATGGGGTTTCGCCATGTTGGCCAGGCTGGTCTCTAACTCATGACCTCAAGTGGATCTGCCCACCTCAGCCTCCCAAAGTGCTGGGATTACAGGTGTGAGGCACCTTGCCCGGCTTCATCTTTCTTCTTTTGCGCTTCCACTTGTATATTTGCTTCTTCCTCCACTTAGCTCTCGTGGCACAGAGGTTTCCAAGAAGATGGTGCCAAGACCGAGAGACTCTTCCAGTCTTGACCAATGAATTCTCCATGAGGGCTGACACCAGCCCATATGGGCCTTTGTACTCATTGGCAAGGGCATCCCTTCCTCCAGACATTTTACTTCCATTTACTGGAAAACTGCCATCGTGCACTGATTTCGTTAGAATGATAAACTGCCTTCTGCCAAAGAAATGTCGTAAGAAACATACAGTTCTACAAGGTCTTGATGTGAAAGGTGCCCCTTAGATGTGGTACCTTTGTGCAGTGTGTGACATGAACAACTACGCCCAGCAGCCCTGCCTTGCCTCACATCCTAGCTCTGATTCTATCACTACCCCCAACTTTTTTTTTTTTTTTTTGAGTCAGAGTCTTGCTCTGCTGCCCAGGCTGGAGTGCAGTGGCGTGATCACGGCTCACTGCAACCTCTGCCTCCTGGGTTCAAGCAGTTCTCATGCCTCAGCCTCCTGAGTAGCTGGGATTACAGGCATGCACCCCCACGCCCAGCTAATTTTTGTATTTTTAGTAGAGACGGGGTTTCACCATGTTGGCCACACTGGTCTCGAACTCCTGTCCTCAAGTGATCTGCCTGCCTTAGCCTCCCAAAGTGCTGGGGTTACAGGCATGAGCCACTGCGCCCAGCCACTACACCCCAACTTTAAAATAGTCTATGGCTCCCCATCACAGCAGTGCCAAGTCAAAATTCTGCTATAGTTTCAGGGAGCCCCTGTTATCCTATCCTACTACTTTGTCCCATCCCCTTGGACTGCAGTAGACATCTAATTCAAAGGCAGCCAATCCACCTGCAAGAGGGCGTTCGGTGAGCAAGCTTACATTCCCTTTGTCCCTTTCAACACCACCTGGCACAATGTGGGCAGTGGAGATTTTACAGGTGAATGGGGGACCGGCCCTTCTGCCTGGGGATATCAGGTTCTTGTCTGGTGAATACAGGAATAATGACATCTGATGACAGCAAACCCCATTAAGAGGGAGGAGGCTCTCTCTTTGACAGTAATTTCCAAGTCGCTGGCTGGCTGACTTCCCAGAGCTTTCCTGATCTGGCTACAGGAACCAGGAACTCCTGATTCCTCTGTTCCTCCATCAGCCTGGAGTAACCCCTGGGAGGGGGTGGGGAGGAGGGGGTGGGCTGGACTGAGCTTTCTGCCTTATCATCCAGTAGCAATTTCCCTCTAATTCCCTCTAAGCATTTACACAGGGTCTCAATTTTATAAGGCATCCTACTGGGCAAAGCAAAGGGAACGAGACTGGTAAGACACAGGCTCCTCTGCCCTTTTGCTGGGAAGCCTGGGCTGTCCCTCCCTGCTCCCCCTGCAGCTAAGGGGCACCTGGCCTCTCTCACTGTCCCCTGTCTCCTCTGTGACATCACGCCATTGAGGGCTCCCTCTCTCTGCGTTTTTCAACTTCTCTCCCTCTTCTGGCTGCCCCCTCCCTGCATCAAGGCTAGAATAAATACCAGCCAACCCCTAAACAAACCCAGATGCAACACATACAATTGGCTTTTGTCCCCTGTAGCTGTCCTTTCATCTTCTCTTTCCCTTTCCAGCAAAATCACTGTCTCCATTTTTTCTTTTCTTTCTTTCTTTTTTTTTTGAGACAGAGTCTCACTCTGTTGCCCAGGCTGGAGTGCAGTGGCATGATCTCGGCTCACTGCAACCTCCGCCTCCTGAGTTCAAGTGATTCTCCTGCCTCAGCCTCCCAAGTAGCTGGGACTACAGGCGCCTGCCATCATGCCTGGCTAATTTTTCTATTTTTAGTAGAGATGGGGTTTCATCATGTTGGCCAGGCTGGTCTCAAACTCCTGACCCCAGGTGATCCGCCCACCTCAGCCTCCCAAAGTGCTGGGATTACAGGCGTGAGCCACCACACCCAGCCTCCAATGACATTTTATAATTAGCCACCCCTCACCTCATGCATCAGGCCTCACATGCCCTCTCTGATTAATCTTCAACAGCCTGATAAGCTAGTCCTTTCTCACCATCTCCAATACACAGGTGGAGGGACTAAGGCTCACGAAGCCCAACGCACTTGCCCTGCACTCACCACCAACCCACCTTTCAAATGAGACAGGCTTGATCACCCTGACCCAGGTGAAATGGTCCATCCCTCCTGTCTTTCCACAAAACGTTCATTCATTCAACAATTACACCCATTCACTACTATATGTGAGTCACTGTTCTGGGTAAGCGAGTGCTCCCCTCTCTCCCTCCAGCCATGATCACCATTAAGAGGCTGATGCCATCATCTGGATGTGAAATCAGGGGGGTTACTGTTAAACCTGCAATATCTGGCCGGGCGTGGTGGCTCACACCTGTAATCCCAGCACTTTGGGAGGCCAAGGCGGGTGGATCACGAGGTCAAGAGACCGAGACCACCCTGATCAATATGGTGAAGCCCCGTCTCTACTAAAAATACAAAAATTAGCCGGGCATGGTGGTGTGCGCCTGTAGTCCCAGCTACTCGGGAGGCTGAGGCAGGAGAATCACTTGAACCCGGGAGGCAGAGGCTGCAGTGAGCCAAGATCGCGCCACTGCACTCCAGCCTAAAGACAGAGCGAGACTCCATCTCAAAACAAACAAACAAACAAACAAACAAACACCCTGCAATATCAATCCAAGAGATCCTGGAATGCCTCTTGCCCTGTGAAACCTGGCAGAGCCCTGAGGTTTGGGTCAGTGCCCCCTGCCGTGGGTCTCTGGCCTACAAAGGCACCATGGGTACGTACATGTAAGTGCTAGATACCACCTCACTGCCCACACTCCATTGCCACGGAAGCATCGGGGGCAGGGAGAGGCCTTGTCAGTCTAAGTAAAGATAAGACCCTGAAGAGCAAGTGGATCTAGAGGGGCTGATCCGAAGGGGAGACCCCTCCAAATGACCTCCCTCTGTCCCTCCCTCCGAAAAATAACATTCCATAGAACAAGAAAGTCAGGAGAGATATGAAGAGGTCATCTGGTATGCCGATGGAAATGCCACCAATTATATTTATTTGGGTCACAAAATTCTTTAAAAAGCAAATTAGGGCAGCCTGAAAGAGTGGAAAGAACACACATTTCAGAGTAAGACAGACTTGGCTTCCACTGAAAGCTTCTTTCCTTCTTAGCTCAGTGTCTTAGAAACTACTATGCCTCTCTCCATCTTGGTTTTCTTTTCTTTTCTTTTTCTTTTTTTTGAGACCGAGTCTTGTTCTGTCGCCCAGGCTGGAGTACAGTAGCGTGATCTTGGCTCACTGCAACCTCTGCCTCCCAGGCTCAAGCAATTCTCCTGCCTCAGCCTCCCAAGTAACTGGGATTACAGGTACAATGCCACCACTCCCGGCTAATTTTTGTATTTTTAGTAGAGATGGGGTTTCACCATGTTGGTCAGGCTGGTCTCGAACTCCTGACCTCAAGTAGATCCGCCCACCTCAGCCTCCCAAAGTGCTGGGATTACAGACGTGAGCCACCGTGCCCAGCCCTGCAACAGACTCTTGATTGGTCTCCCTGCCTCAGCCCTGGTTCCATTCCGTTATTCTCAAGCCAGACAGATCCCATTGAAAGGGAAGTCAGATCCCAGCACTTCTTGGCTCTGAACCCTGCTGTGGTTCCTTTGCACCCGCCATCTCCCTCCCAGTTCTGGTAAGGGCCTCCCCTCTGGCCTCTTTCCCAGCTCCTGCTCACTCAGCTGCGAAAGCACTGGCTTTCTCCCTGTGGCTCCTAGACCACGCTGAGCTTAAAGGCTTACCTGGGGGGAGGCCTGAAATGCTCTTCCCTGCAATGTTCTTCTCCTGGTTCTCGTCCTTTTATCAGATAGCCTGACTATTCTGCAATTGCCCACCCCTCTACTGGTAGATATTACCTTTTAATCCTCACCACAGCCCCAAGGCTGGGTGAGGTTAGGAAACTTGGCAGAGGGCAGCTGTCCCTAAGTGGTGGAACTGGAACTAGGAGCCAGCGGTGGCCCCGGTGGCCCCGGACTCCAAAGCCCCAGGCCCTGGGCTTGGCAGAGCCAGGCATGGAGGGAGGCAGTTGGGGGAGGGAGCTTCCATAGAGACACGGCCTCCGTCCTCAAATCTAGTGAGAGACAGAGAAGCAAATGGATAAATTACAGTGCCTGGCATATGGTAGGCGCCAAGAAATACGTTTTGTTGTTGAACAGATTATGAGGCGTAAGATGTGCAGACATTTCCGTGGGGCCCAAAGAAGGCACGTGAGTGTGTTAGAGGGAGGCGAGGAAGGGGCTGGGAGAGATTTCCCAGTGAAGGGGGGCATTTGAGGTAGACTTTGAAGGAAGGGTAGGAGTTTGCCAGAAGCCATGGGGCCTGGGGAGTAGGAACAGCATGGAGGGATGAAAAGAAGGCGATCTGAGAAAATGGGTTTTGAGGAGCTCTGAATATTAGTGTTAGAATTCCCTCAGGTACCCCAGGGCCCCAGCCAGAGATCAGCATATACAGTACAGGAGGCTGGCCAGGTACCCCGACAGGCTAAGGGGTTGCCAGCAGGTGAGGGGCCTACCCGGTGCGGCAGCCTTGTTGGACAGCGAGGCTACCTCCTGCCCTCTGAACTTCTGCCAGCATCGGGACCACCCCGGTACCCACAGCCGGACCCGGACACCGGAGTCCTCTGGGGGCGGGGCGCGAGTGGCCTCTGCAGGCCAGTCCCTTGGTGAGGTCACACACGGAGGCGGGGCTCAGGATTGGGGGGCGGAATCATGCGCAGGGGGCGGGGCCCGAGAGAGAGCTTGGAGAAGACCGGAAGTCCCTCCGCCTCCACTCGCCCTCGTGCTCCCTTCAGCCCCTTCGCAGCTCCGTGCGCAAGGTCGTGTCCCGGAAGTGAAGGGGCCATGTTGATGGGTGACCCGGGGAGAGGTACCCGGCCAGAGGCGAGTCCTGCGGAGTGGTAGCGCGCACGGCCTGCGGGTGAGTGAGAGAAGGAATGAGGGCCGCCGGCGGCTGGGCGGCGGGGAGGTTGCAGCGCCTCCTCTCAGGCTGCTGCCGGCGCCTCGCATGCGGCCCGGAGTCAGGATACCAGCATGCAGCCGGGGGTCTCGCCCCATCCCGCCCTGGACTTTCCCCTGGGAGACCCCTCGGCTGCCCCGCCCCGCCCCAACCTCGGAGACCTCCAGTGCCCCGAAGCAGGCCTGCCCTGGCCTCTGGGCCTCCGCACCCCGGCCCGGCCCCCACGGTTGGTGAAGTGCAGACTGGCTGGGGCTCAGCCGCCCAGTCGCCCAGCGACCTTGTAGTTACAGCCCTCGCCGTGACAGTCGCCTTTTACAGCATCAAACACTTCTGTTGATTTTCTGCATCGGGAGGTCCTTAGGGCCGAGGGATCTCTTAAACAGTTGAGGAAAAATGGGCAGGGATGGTGGCTTGCTCAAGCTTGCGCAGGAAGTTAGCAAGGCCGGAGGCTAAGGGCTCGCGGACTTTGGGCCCAAAGTCCAATCTTTTTTTCCAGCCAAATACTTCCCCCACTTGGTGTCATTTCTTTATTTCTGAAACGGAGGTGATCATTTCTTCCACATAGGGACGTTGTGAAATTCTCTCCGTTACGCATAATTTTGAGCCCCTTGTATGTGCCAAGCGCTGTGCTGGGAAAGTTCGTGGAGCACCCAGAAGTGCTGTACACACGGTCCGGCTCCAGCAAAGGGTAACTCATTCCAGAGGCAGGCAGAGTTGGGGTCAGGAGTGCAGCCCTCCCCTTGACAGCTGTGGGCCCGCGGGCAAGTTACTTCCCTCTGGGAGATTGTTTCCTCCACTTAAAATGGGGTAATGTTGACCCCTAGGGTAGCTGACAGAATGAGTTGTTATGTGAGACATGCTTCGAACATTGCACGTTGTATATAGTGCAATATAATGCAATAAGCATTTACTGTTACTAAGAACCCTGACCACCTTCTAGATTCTTAATTTAAATGTGGTCATGGGCAACAAAGCACTTTACAGATATGCTTGTGTAAGGGTTTATTGTTACTGAAGGAAGGCAGTGGCAGTTTATACTTAAATGTAATTATTTATTGAGCATTTACAAACCTGGCTAGGTGCTACTAATAATATCTGCTGTTGATAGAGTGCTTCGTGTGTGCCAAGTGCTGTTCTAAACATATTCACATACATTAAACTCATTTAGTGCTTATGCCAACCGTATGGGCAAAATATGATTTTTATCCTCACTTCACAGATGAGGAACTGAGACAGTCACAGAGAGGTTAGGAGACTTGCCCACGGTCATGCAGCTCGTAAGTGCTGGTGCCAGGATTCAAGTATGGCTGAGTGCTTGTCTTCAACCCTCCTAGATCACCCCCTGTGGTGAAGTTCTATTACCGTTCATTACGTGCACAGTTCTCAAAATAATCCTATGTGGTAGGTACTATTGCCATAATATCCTAATCTCCATTTTATAAGTGAGGAAGCTGGTGCTCAGCGGGGGTTCAGTCCTTTGCCCAAAGTCATATGGCAAGTAAGTGGCAGGGCCAGGATTTGAGCCCTGGTGAACCACAACCTGTATGTTTCCAGAATGGGCATCCAGAGGCTGGGGTCTCTAGTTCTAGTCTTGCCATTAAGTCATACGGTGACCTGGAGCGGGGGGTCTCTGGAACTTGGATTAAAAAGCCCTCACATAGTCTCTACAGGTCCTTTTGTTATTAATTCTGATACTAGGCTTGTATGTCTTTCCTTCTGTTTATAGTGTGACACCCAGCCCCTGCCAGTCCCCCATGGCCCCGTGGAGCCGAGAGGCGGTGCTGAGTCTCTATCGGGCTCTGTTGCGCCAGGGCCGACAGCTTCGCTACACTGATCGAGACTTCTACTTTGCCTCCATCCGCCGTGAATTCCGAAAAAATCAGAAGCTAGAGGACGCTGAGGCCCGGGAGAGGCAGCTGGAGAAGGGCCTGGTCTTTCTCAACGGCAAATTGGGGAGGATCATTTAGGATCCTCCAAGGGAAAGAGGACAAAGGTGCCTTCTGTAGACACTCCTGCTCTCTTCCATCCCCATCTTACAGATGTATTAAGAAGCCTCAGGTACGTAGGCCCTCGTTCCTGTAGGTTTCCTTATTTTTTGTTGCAAGGGACCGAGAAAAGGATCAAAGTCATCCTTTTAGTCATTAGAAATCAGTGCAGAGCCAGGTGCACTGGTGTGCACCTATAGTCCCAACTCTGCAGGAGGCTGAGGCAGGAGGATGGCTTCAGCCCAGGAGGTTGAGGCTGCAGTGAGGTATGATTGCACCACTGCACTCCAGGCTGGGTGACAGAATGAGACCCTGTCTCTGGGGTGGGGGGGAAAAAAGAGGACATTTGAGGTCTGCCTCAAATGAGAAATAGAGGTTTACCAGCAGCAGGGCAGGAATAAGCAAATGCCTGGAGTGGGAACTGCAATTTTCTTTTTTAAGAGACAGGGTTGGCCCGGTGCGGTGGCTCACGCCTGTAATCCCACCACTTTAGGAGGCCAAGGCAGGAGGATCACAAGGTCAGGAGTTCGAGACCAGCCTGGTCAGCATGGTGAAACCCTGTCTCTACCAAAAATACAAAAAATTAGGCGGGCATGGTGGCGCATGCCTTAAGTCCCAGCTACTCAGGAGGCTGAGGCAGGAGAATTGCTTGAACCCGGCACGTGGAGGTTGCAGTGAACCAAGATCGCGCCACTGCACTCCAGCCTGGGTGACAGAGTGACACTCCGTCTCCAAAAAAAAAAGAGACGGGGTCTCGCTCTCGCCCAACCTGGAGTACAGTGGCATGATCATAGCTCTCTGGAACCTTGAATGCCTGGCCTCAAGCAGTCCTCCCTTCTCAGCCTCCTGAGTAGCTGGGACGCCAGGCATGTACCAATGTGCTCAGCTAATTTTTTATTTATTTATTTTTTTTGTAGAGACGGTCTTGCTATGTTGCCCAGGCTGCTTTCAAACTCTTAGCCTCAAGCGATCCTCCCACCCTTGCCTCCCAAAGCTTTGGGATTATAGGTTCAAACAGCTCTGCCTGTCCAGAAACTGCACTTTGTAGTCTGGAAACTTAAGTCTGATGTGGCCAGCATGGTACCCCTGTAAGGCAAATAGCCAGAGTTGAGGCTGGGCCTGGTCTGGAAGGACGTTGACTCCAAGTTGAGATTGTAATGTATATCTTCTTATGTGGGGACCATCACAGCTCTGTAAACAGAGGAATGACATAGCCACATTTGTATCGTAGAGGGAGCATACCAGTGGCAGTGTGAAGAATAAATTGATGAGAGATACTAGAGGCAGTGGATGTAGCCAGATCAGATTGAGGGACCGAGGGGTGGGGGTGGCCACATATAAACACAGTGTGTACAGCAGTGGGACTTGGTGATCAGTTGGCTGAGGCAGGAGGAGGAGAGAGAAAGATGAAGAGTAACTGGGTGTAAGGCCTGCCAGCTGGGTGGAGGGTGCTGCTTTTAACTGGGGGAGGGAAAGTAGGAAGAGAGCCTTATGTAATGACTTTTGGTTCTTCTCAGCCACTTAGGATTGGCATATCTGCCTTTGGCAGTACAGGGCCAGGGGTGGGGTGATGCCCATGGGAGCCTGTCTGCACAGGGAGGGTTGGCTAGCGGATCTAGGAGGGAATTAGGGCGTTCCTTGAAATCTTTGTGTTCCTAATATATTTTGGCTGTGAGTTGGGCTACACGCTGCTATCACTACCCCCTCAAAAAAACCAAGAAACAAAACGCCGTAGAGTTAATACTTCATTCCCACAACATATACTCCCTATGCATCAAACACTGCACACCCTGGGGATGCAGCAGTGAATGAGCCCAAATGTCCCCCAGAAGCATATGGTCTGGGGGTTAATGGAGTGGAGATGGGAACAAGGTGTGGAGCAAGTACCTAGGACCCCTGTAGATTAGTTCTCCGCACCGCGTGATCTCAGGGTTCAAATCTTGGTCACATACTTTACTGACACAGTGACCTTGGGTCAGTTACAGAAACTACTCAGTTTCTTCATCCTTTAAATTTGGGATAATATTACTGATCTCATGGGATTGTTGTTGTGAGGATTGAGGGAATTAATAATAAGTGTAAAATTGCCAGCACATAATACACACTCAATATCTGCTACCTAGTCTCGTACATACTCAAGCAAGATAGGTTTATAAAAAGGCCTATGGCTTTTTCAATTAAAATAAGTTGGAACTTTCACACTTCTGTGCTGTCATCCTAGGAAGCCGCAAGGCCTCCATTATTCATCATCCTTAACTATATTAGGGTGATGAGCATTTCTGTTCCCATTTTTGTATCTAGCGAGACAGGTTAAATAACTTGCCTGAAATATTGGCAGAGCTGAAATTCTCCATCCCTAGTTCTGCCCACCAGGTCTGTGTTCCTTCTTTGTTTTTTATTTTAACCATCTTAACCATTTTAAAGTGTACAGTTCAGTAGTAGTAAGTATATTCACATTGTTGGGTAACAGAGCCCCAGAACCCTTTTCATCTGGCACATCTGAAACTCTGTACCCATTAAGCAATGGGGTTCCTTCATGACAGTCCCGATTGGAGGTGGAGTTCTTACCTGCTAGTAGGCTGTAAGCTTATGCAGCAGAACCTGAGTGGAGAGCGTGTCATGGAGAAGCAGTTTAAACTGGAACAAGTTGAATTAACTTTTCAAGTAAGGTCCGTGTCTGTCTGTTGAGCTTGTGGATGCCGTCTTCTGTTCCAGGTCACCAGGTCTGTGATGTCAGTCCGTCCTTGGATGGTGGGCGGGGGGTGCCTATTGCACTACAGTAGGAAAAGCCTTTTTTTCTTGAGATGGAGTCTTGCTCTGTCACCCAGGCTGGAGTGCAGTGGGTGCAATCTTGGCTCACTGCAACCTCTGCCTCCCGACTTCAAGCGATTCTCCTGCCTCGGCCTCCCGAGTAGCTGGGACTACAGGCGCCTGCCACCACACCTGGCTAATTTTTTGTGTTTTTAGTAGAGACAGAGGTTCACCGTGTTAGCCAGGATGGTCTCGATCTCCTGACCTCGTGATCTGCCCACCTTGGCCTCCCAAAGTGTTGGGATTACAGGCGTGAGCCACCGTACCCGGCCGAAAAGGCTTAACAAGCTGGCCCAACTTAATAGTTTTGATCTCAGCTGTTGGCTCACGCCTGTAATCCCAGCACTTTGAGAGGCCAGGGTGGGCAGATCACCTGAAGTCAGGAGTTCGAGACCAGCCTGGCCAACATGGTGAAACCCTGTCTCTACTGAAAATACAAAAAATTAGCAGGGTGTGGTGGCTCATGCCTGTAATCCCAGCTACTAGGGAGGCTGAAGCAGGAGAATCACTTGAACCTGGGAGGTGGAGGTTGCAGTGAGCCGGGATTGCCCCACTATACTCCAGCCTGGGTGACAGAGTGATACTCAGTCTCAAAAAAAAAGAAAAAATAGTTTTGATCTCAAGTCCAAGATGGCATCACTGCGAATTTTCAAGGCCGTTTTAGAGCAGTCTCAAAAGGTGCACTGTCACTCAGAGGACAGTCTGGGTTGCTGACTGACTTCTGGAAGCTGACCTTTGTCCTGTGGATGGAAATCTTAAAAGACTAGAGGAGAACTCATTTGTGGAGCACTTTTACAGTTTATAGACCATCCACTGCAATACAGTTTATACCGTTCACATACAGGATTGCAGTGAATGGTTTTTCCTCACTACAACCCTGTGATTTGGTCCCACGCGGGGACCATTATCCCCTTTTCGTAGCTGAGGTGTTAAGTAACTCATTTGAGGTCACCCAGCTAATAAGTCAGGGCTCAAGGCAAGTTCTGTATCTCAGGATTTCTGACTCTAAAACCCACGCTCTGTTCTGTCATCTGTAGCACCACCTTGCTCTCACCAGTCATCAGAAGGGCACCAAGGACTAAAATGGTCCAGGGAGGCTGCTTCTGCCCTGAGTGAGGAGGTGCCCTTCTGGCCCTGCTGCATCACACTCAAGGATCATTTAGAGGGCACATGTGTCCAGTGGCTCTCCCTATTGTAAATATTTCAGTAAAGAGTTAAAACAAGAGACATTGTTATGTGTGGGGAAATGTATAGTGTTCTGCTTTTCTCCTGATTGGGTTATCTTGCCTCTGCTAAGTTTGGTTTGTCCCGTCTCTATCTCAGTGGCCACTGGAGAGAGGGTGTCTGCTGTTCTTCCCTGATTCCACCTGTAAATACAAACGTTATCTCTTCTCCCTGGCTTTGCTCTGTGCATTTGAGGTGGGAATGTACTCGGTTTGGCGAAATAGTCTTTCATGTCCCTAAACCTGAAGCCTCTATTGACTGTAAATGGTAGAGAAAAGGAAAGTACCCCCAAGGTGTGAACTCTAGTTAGGGAAAAAAATATTTTTGGGCTTGACAGTGACTCTTAGTTAACTCAATTACTGGAATAATAGAGTCAGAAATATTTCTTTGTTTTTCAGGGAGGTAGAGGCAGGAGCGTAAGATGTGGAAGCTAGAAATATCCACTTGTAACACGGTATTAGAAGGAATGTTATTTTACATGGAAGATAATCCTCAGTGATCCTTTTTTTTTTTTCTTCAAGACGGAGTCTTGCTCTGTCACCCAGGCTGGAGTGCAATGGTGATTCTCCTGCCTTGGCCTCCCGAGTAGCTGGGATTACAGGCATGCACCATCATGCCTGGCTAATTTTTTGTATTTTTAGTAGAGATGGGGTTTCACTATGTTGGCCAGGCTGGTCTTGAACTTCCGACCTCGTGATCCACCCACCTTGGCCTCCCAAAGTGCTGGGATTACAGGTGTGAGCCACCGCGCCCGGCTGATCCTGTCTCTTGATGTCCTCCCATTCTGGGACGCTAAATGGTATCCGACTTTGTTTTCCCTTATGTCATTCCTGGTGTGAAGGACACGGGATATTATAGAGGAGAGTGGCAGCATGCTGAGTGGTATTCCGATCTGAATCACACTGTCATCCTTTATCCGGCTCAGGCCCAGGGTTCTAACTCCACAGGAATGGGCTTATCTGGGGACTGCTGCTGCTGCAGTCAGGAAGACTCCACTGTAGTCGGGAGCAGCACTGGCCTGAGCACTGCACTGGAGGCCAGCCTCTTCGCTGTGGTGCCCAAGTACTTCTTTCAGGTGAACACATTTTTAGTTCCTCTTCCAGGTGTAATCGAGCAGATGGGTGTTTTGTTTTCCAGTTAGCAGTCGAGTCTGCAGTGTCCTTTGTGTTTTTTATCTCCCGGTATACCAGTCTCACCTAAGCTTTTATAGTCCCCGCTGCGCACTTCTCTCAAGAAACAAAGCATTTGTCAAGTAGGAGGGTCCATGGAGGGACCTTTCTCACATATGGACGTGTAGTTTCAGTTCCGTGTGCAGGATGTTTGGTACATGTTGTTTTGTGTTTTGTTTGCAGAAAGTAGATAGAATAAGGGCCGATTTGATTTGGGTAAGGGTGAGCATGGTACAGTAGAAAAAGCGTCATACAAGGAGTGGGGAGTCCTGAGTTCTGGAGATGACTGTGTCGTTTTGTTTTCGTTTTTGAGACGGAGTTTAGCTCTTGTTACCCAGGCTAGAGTGCAATCGTGTGATCTCGGCTCACTGCAACCTCCGCCTTCCGGGTTCAAGGGATTCTCCTGTCTCAGCCTCCTGAGAAGCTGGGATTACAGGCATGCGCTGTCACATCTGGCTAATTTTATATTTTTAGTAGTGACGGGGTTTCTCCATGTTGGCCAGGCTTGTCTTGAACTCCTGATCTCAGGTGATCCGCCTGCCTCGGCCTCCCAAAGTGCTGGGATTACAGGCGTGAGTCACCGTGCCCGGCCCATTTTGTTTTTTTATTTTTATTTTTAAGAGATGGGGTCTCACTCTGTCACTGAGGCTAGAGTGCAGTGGCGTGATCATAGCTCACTGTAGCCTCAAACTCCTGGGCTCAAGCATTCCTCCTGCCTCAGCCTCCTAAGTAGATAGGACTACAGGCATGTGCCACCATGCTCAATTTATTTTTATCTTTTACTTTTGGAGATGGGGGTCTTGCCATGTTGCTCAGGTTGGTCTTGAACTTCTGGCCACAAGCGATCTTCCCACCTCAGCCTCCCGGGTAGCTAGGATTATAGGCATGAGCCACTGCGCCTGTACCATTTCTTTTCTCTGAGACCTGACACATCACCTCCCTATGTTGAGAACCTCTGTGTGAGGTGATGTGATGGCATTAGATGAGCTCCAAGGTCCCGCTCAGATCTAACCTTCCACAAAGTAGTGGCCAAAGGACGAAGAAATGACCTGCATTATAACCCCTGTGATGGGGTAGAGAGACCTGCTTTATAACCTCTGTGAAGGGGTAGAGAGACCTGCATTATAACCCCTGTGAAGGGGTAGAGACCTGCATTATAACCCCTGTGAAGGGGTAGAGACCTGCTTTATAACCCCTGTGAAGGGGTAGAGACCTGCATTATAACCCCTGTGAAGGGGTAGAGACCTGCATTATAACATTGTGAAGGGGTAGAGACCTGCATTTTAACATTGTAAAGGGGCAGAGAGAGGGCTGTTTTGCATGGTGGGGTACTTCATTGTAATACAAAAAAGGACTGACACTGAGCTTAATGCTTTCTTAATCTCACTAGCTTGGGGAAAGTTTTCCTACAATACCCAAGATCAGCCCCTCCTCCTTGCATCCTGATCTATCATGGGACATTGTAGCTCCCTCCAGACCCTAAAGCATGCAGTGCTGGAGGCAAGAAGATTTGGGTTGCTGGAACTCACAGAGTACCCTGTACTTGTTGGGGTTTGGCTTGTTAGGGGAGGGAGGTTCTTGGGGTCCCAGTACTTATGGCCGTGTTCTGTCTTCATTCTCAGATGAGCAATGGCAGGCGCTGGTGAGCGCAAAGGCAAGAAGGATGACAATGGCATTGGCACGGCCATTGACTTTGTGCTCTCCAATGCCCGGCTGGTGCTGGGGGTGGGTGGAGCGGCCATGCTGGGCATCGCCACGCTGGCAGTTAAGCGGGTAAGTGCATGCAGCCAGGGCTGGGGGTGGAATGTAGTGGTATGGTCATAAGATGTAATGTTTTATAGAAAGAAAATGTCGAAGCGTTCTAGGAGGAAATGATCGCAATGATAAGTGAAAAAAACAGGTTTCAAAAGTATGTATAGAGTGATCGTCATTACATGCATCTAGAAAGAAACATACCAGATATTACAAACAGTTTTCTCTGGGTCATGACGTGGATTATCTATGTCTTATATCATGTAGTCTTCCCTGAGATTTTCTGCGTGGAGCAAAGTATTCTATAATCTAAAATAAAAACAAAATTACTAAAAGAACTTACTAGGACAGAGCTTCTGGGGAGGAAGTAAATTGGAAGGAAATAGGGAAAGAGGGCAGGTTTATGTCCTGTGTCCTCTCTGCTATTTCAGATGTACGATCGGGCGATCAGTGCCCCTACCAGCCCCACCCGCCTGAGCCATTCGGGGAAAAGGAGCTGGGAAGAACCCAACTGGATGGGCTCCCCACGACTGCTGAACAGGGACATGAAGACGGGCCTGAGCCGGTCCTTGCAGACCCTTCCCACAGACTCCTCCACCTTCGACACAGGTGAGAAGGGCTGCTGCCCCTCCTGGGACCTCTCTGGACTTTCAGTACCACTCCTGCACTCAGCAGATGTTTCCTGAGCACATCTGTGCCAGGCACTGTGCCAGCACTTGCCCTCCATGCCAGGCCCTTCTTTCTGGGGCTGAGGCAGCTGTGGACTGAGCAGGCATGGGCAGAGCTCACGTGCCTCTCTCTCTTGCCTTGGCAGATACATTCTGCCCGCCCCGGCCCAAGCCAGTGGCCAGGAAGGGCCAGGTAGACTTGAAGAAGTCACGACTCCGCATGTCCCTGCAGGAGAAACTTCTTACTTACTACCGGAACCGGGCAGCCATCCCTGCTGGAGAGCAGGCTCGGGCCAAGCAAGCTGCTGTGGACATATGTGCCGAGCTCCGGAGCTTCCTGCGGGCCAAGTTGCCTGACATGCCGCTTCGGGACATGTACTTGAGTGGCAGCCTCTACGATGACCTGCAGGTAACAAGGTGGTTCTCATGGTGGGTGGGGTTTGAGTGCTGAGCACCATAGTGTTGTTGGCACAGATCAGTGTCCCAGGCTTGCCAGAAAGACTGAGGTCTTACAGCTTCCGAATCCTGTGTACCTCAGCAGCATTTGGAGATCCATGCTTGTTATTCTTTTTTTTTTTTGAGACGGAGTCTCACTCTGTCGCCCAGGCTGGAGTGCAGTGGTGCGATCTCGACTCACTGCAAGCTCTGCCTCCTGGGTTCAAGCGATTCTCCTGCCTCAGCCTTCCGAGTAGCTGGGATTACAGGTGTGTGCCACCACTCCTGGCTAATTTTTTTGTATTTTTAGTAGAGACGGGGTTTTGCCATGCCGGTCAGGCTGGTCTCGAATTCCTGACCTCAGGTGATCCACCCACCTCGGCCTCCCAAAATGCTGGGATTACAGGCGTGAGCCTGGCCTGTTATTCTTTATTCTTGTGTCTTTAATCGTTTCTCATGTTTTAGTCCTACTTACAACTTCTAGGAAGCTATAAGAGGCCTCCTCCTTCCTATATTCTTGTGCCCATCTCTCCTTTCTAGTTTTCTCACTCTGTGTAGATTGCATGGTGACATGAAAGAATTTTTTTTTTTTTTTTTTGAGATGGAGTCTTGTTCTGTTGCCCAGGCTGGAGTGCAGTGGCACGATCTTGGCTCACTGCAACCTCCGCCTCCTGGGTTCAAGCAATTCTCCTGTCTCAGCCTCCTGAGTAGCTGGGATTACAGGCACACGCCACAATGCCTGGCTAATTTTTTTGTATTTTTAGTAGGGGATGGGGTTTCACCATGTTGGCCAGGCTGGTCTTGAACTCCTGACCTCAAGTGAGCCAGCCGCCTCAGCTTCCCACAGTGCTGAGATTACAGGCATGGGCCACTGCGCCCGGCCTAGAGTTCCCATTCTTGCTGGGGGGGAATGTAAGATGGTGGGAACCGTCTTAGAGGAAGCATGTCTTTTGAACAGAGTAAACCCTCAAAACCCTTTAAATTCTGCCCTGACAGGTGGTGACAGCTGACCACATCCAACTCATTGTGCCCCTTGTGCTGGAGCAGAACCTGTGGTCATGTATTCCTGGTGAAGACACCATCATGAATGTCCCTGGCTTCTTCCTGGTGCGTCGTGAGAATCCAGAGTACTTTCCTCGTGGGAGCAGTTACTGGGACCGCTGTGTAGTAGGGGGCTACCTCTCTCCAAAGACAGTCGCAGATACATTTGAGAAGGTAGTGGCTGGCTCCATCAATTGGCCAGCCATAGGGTCCCTCTTGGACTATGTGATCCGCCCGGCCCCACCCCCAGAAGCCCTCACACTGGAGGTGCAGTATGAGCGTGACAAACATCTCTTCATTGACTTCCTGCCATCAGTGACCCTCGGTGACACAGTCTTGGTGGCCAAACCACACCGGCTAGCCCAGTATGACAACCTGTGGCGGCTGAGCCTGCGTCCCGCGGAGACGGCACGCCTGCGGGCTCTGGACCAGGCTGACTCGGGCTGCCGATCTCTGTGCCTCAAGATCCTCAAGGCCATATGCAAGTCCACCCCGGCTCTGGGCCACCTCACTGCCAGCCAGCTAACCAATGTCATCCTCCACTTGGCCCAGGAGGAGGCTGACTGGTCTCCGGATATGCTGGCCGACCGTTTCCTGCAGGCCTTGAGGGGACTTATCAGCTACTTAGAGGCTGGAGTCCTGCCCAGTGCCCTAAACCCCAAGGTGAACTTATTTGCAGAGCTCACCCCTGAAGAAATAGACGAATTAGGATACACTCTGTATTGCTCATTGTCTGAGCCAGAGGTGCTGCTGCAGACGTAGGGCAGGTGAAGGCCAAAGCGGGTGTTGGTGGTCAGGCCCTGGATTCTCCGTTAGATACACTTGGCTACCTAGTTGGTGCCTCACAGGGTTCCTGCTGCCTGGTGTCTTGCTGATCATCACCCTGGTCACTTCATGCTGATTAGAATGACATCTCTTTCGTCTCCTATTTTGTTACCCAACTCTTCCTATTTTTGTTACCAATCACTGTGCTCTCTGCCGCCCCCTGGCTCCAGGCTAATTTTTCTGGAATGAATTGAGAAGGTGGCGTGCTGGCCTGAGCTGATGGACCACTTGGTGTTTTGCGTTTTGGCCCATGTTTGCTGCCTCTATCTGGTCTGCCTTGCCCGTTTGCCTGTTCCTATTCAGTGTCTTTTCTATTTTTTCCTCTCTCGTTCATGCCTTCTGTTTTGCTCTTGTCCCTGGAGCATATCTGCCTAATTAAGATGTTGCCTTTTAGTTGAATGCCACTGAAGAGCTGTGATAGCATGTTTCAAAGCTGAACTCTACAGAGCGAGTGCTGAGACAGTATTTAGGGTTTCTGGGAGTGAGGCTGGTAGAAGAGTTGGCCTTTGACCACGGTTCCTGGAGTAGAAGTCCATCCTCCCCCCAACCTCCTGACCCATTCATAAATGCTGAGAATGTCTCTCATGGGAACACTGTTAATGACCCACACAGGATAAGCTGAATGCAAAGTTATTTGCAGGTTGAATTTCTTGGTGGCTATTAGCAGAAGTGCAGAGTAGGGAACCAGAGCTGGTTAAGGGCCTAGTGAAGGGTTTGTGTGCCCAGTGTCTGCTCGTCATCTGTGGCTGCAGGGGTCAGACAGACAAGGATGGGGACTGCCAGGGCACCACTTCATCATGAATGCTGGTTTTCACACCTTTTCCTTATTTTATTGCCAATCAGGACAAGGCCTTGAAGGAACGCAGCCTTAGACATCAGGTGAGGATGATGGAGGTAGACAGTCGACTGAATGTCAGCTGGAAAATCCAGTCACTAGTTGGGGTTTGGTGGCCATGTTTTCTACCCAGACAGGCCCTGCTTTTCTAGGATGTGGCCTTAGAGCAAGAACAGACCCAACAGCCAGCCCTTCATCCTCCAGCGTCTGCCATAGGAATGTGAGAGGGGTGTTTGCTGAGCGCTCCGGGCACGGCCAGAGGGCAAGTGAGCATGCACGGACCTCTTCCCCCTGTCCTGTTTCTCACCCAGCACCTGGGGAGATCGGTGCTACCAAGGAAGAGAGCACACAGATAAGACAGAGGGGAGGAGGTGGGCATTTCCTACATTCCTCCTTGTTTGCCGCTGCTGAGATTGCAGTATTTATTGCAATGTAAATGTATCCTGAAGGTGGGGAGGAATGTTTAATCTACCATGTCCGTGTGTCATCTTGGTTTGTGTTTTTCCCTGTTTGTAGCAAGACTCTGATGATAATTCTGTTTCTCATCTGCCCATTCAGTATTTTGTTTTCCTTCCGTCAAGTTGTCTTATTTTTTCAATGACTACCTCTCCATCATTGAGGTTCTGGTGAAGCTCTCTGCAGCTGTCTCATTCCTTCCCAACGATAGTAACAGGAAATGACTCTTTAGCATCGATACCTCAACATCAATTTAGGGTAGAGATTCCTGCCCCTCTTTTGTCACAGATTAGGAAATTGAGAACTAGGGTTAACCTTGACTATATTTAGAGGTCTTTTTGCCTCTTTTCCCCTTAACAAGGATTTCTTATGGTGGTTTCAGTTTCATTTGCATAAAGGTATTGAGAGGGAACAAAAAACATAAAGCTGAGAATCTTGAGAGAGCTCATCTACCCTGTCTGTTGGTCAGACTCAAATGAGAGTTAAAAAAAAAAAAAAAAATCTGTATGCCTGAGTACCATCCTGGATGAATCTAGAAGGTATGGGGTAGAGCTTGACAGGGTTCCTGTGTACCCACTGGGTATCCGTTAGAGGTAAGGGAGAGGAGAGGATTGATAGAGTGTTGCAAAAGTATAGATTATTCATTGAGATAAAGGATTTGGTTTCCCTGCCATGAGTATTAAAAAAATTTAAGTTTTCCCAAGCTTGCATCTCTGACCAAATTTCACATAAAACATTGGAAGGAGGCTGGGTGCGGTGGCTCATGCTTGTAATCCCAGCACTGGGAAGCTAAGGCGGGTGGATCACTTGAGGTCAGGAGTTCGAGACCAGCCTGGCCAACATGGTGAAACCCCGTCTCCACGAAAAAGATAAAAATAAGCTGGGCGTGGTGGCAGGCGCCTATAATCCCAGCTACTCGGGAGGCTGAGGCAGGAGAATAACTTAAACCCGGGAGGCGGAGGTTACAGTGAGCTGAGATCGTGCCACTGCACTCCAGCCTGGGTGACAGAGTGAGACCCTATTTCAAAAAAATAAAAATTGGAAGAAGAGCTTAAAAAAGATAAGATTTTAAAGAGTCCCAAGTTATTTAAGTTGAGTGTAATTGTCATTTAAGGAAGGCAAATGAGTTTATCATCCTTCTTAAAGAGCATCTCTTTTAACTGTTGGACAAAACCATAACTTTGTCATTTTACAAGGAAGAACCTCTTAAGAAGTCCTCAGAACCAGAAGCAATGTGAACTCTCAGCGCTGGTCCTGGTGGGTTTGCTGACCATGACTGGGCAAGCCGTTCTTTTTGCTGCCATCTTCCTCATCATAAAGTGTGGAACATAGGCAATTGCTTTGAGATTCTTGGATAGAAGAGGACAACATTCTGCACCTGCCCCCTTTTTTAAATCTTTGGGGAAAGATGAGTAACTTTCCCCACTACTCTGCCTTCCTGTTCAGTAACTCTTACTTTTGCCTGAAGTAACAGCATCTTCTACTTCTCCATCTAGAGATTTTTGTGTGTGTGCCATCAAGGTTAGCAAACTTTATACGTAGCCTAACACTTAAAAAATGCACTCATTATCTTAAACCTAATAAATTCCAGAGTTTATTTTGGTTCTCCTCTGTTGCCCTTCCTAAAAAATGAGCTGAAGATGACAGTATTTTTCTTTACATGCTTGGTTATGACTTTTAAAGTTTTATTTAAATAAATGTTGAAGCTCAAGTTTAAAGAAGCGTTGCAGAGGCCCACGGTCTCCTGGGTCCCGGCCACCTGTCCATATTCCACATTTGCTGACTGTGCTCCCTGCACTCCACTCAAGTTGAGAGTTCAAATAGTCTTGAAGGGGAATCAGCTTCAGGATGGAAGGACCCAGGAGAGGCCCCGAGGTGGGAGGGTTCTGTAAATACAGACTACTGCGAGTGTCCAGAGCTCTCTGCCATGATACTTCCTTGGGACTGACTTGGCTGAGAACGTGTTCTGTCAGAGGATTTGTTAGAACTCTGCCCTTTTGTCTGAAACTCAAGGCCAAGGAGAATGATAGGAGACTTAGGACAGAGCTGACCCTTGCACCAGGCTGGGAGGCTGCAGCCCTTTTAGATGCCACTTACTGTAAGTGGCCAGAATACCAGAGAGGTGGGTTCCATGGTCAAATGCACAGTAGGTGTTTACCTTTACATTTGGATCACCTTGTAGTCTTTAAATTCTTGGTCCCTGAGGCCAAGTCCACAACTTGCCTTCTAGTCACTTGCCTGCCCGCAGTGGTGGTGGATGTGTTAGCTGGTAGATTTGGAATCAGTCACCAGTCTTTCTGTACTGTCTTGGTTAGCTCTATATAAGTAGGGGCAGCTTAGCCCTGAGGCCCAGAGACCTGCTGTCCTTTTTCTCCTTGAGGGAGGAAATAAAACTGCGGAATACAATGTCCTTCCATAGCATGGGAAGAAGAAAATAAACATCTCCTTTCCAACAGCTGTGACTTGTGTGTGTCGTATAGAACATTTTCCTGTGGGAGTGGTACTGGGTCTCCATTTTCAGCTAGGGGAACCTTTGAAGTGTTTGAGCTAGGTCTCTATAAAAGAATGGATGGGACAGGCTGCCATGGGAGTCATTCTTTTATGACCTTTTCAGTGTCAAAATTGGGGCAGTGTTACTTTAATACTCAACCATTTGCACAGTCATCTGTCAGGAGGTACTGTCTATAGCAAAAGGAGAACACGTCCTGTGGGTCCCTAGTTCTGCCTTTGGAAGACATGGCTAATGGCTCAGGTATTCTTACTGCCTTTGCATGGAAAGGCTAGAAAACTCCTGTATTTTTTTTTTTTTTAAAGACAGGGTCTTGCTCTGTTGCCCAGGCTGAGTTGCAGTGTTGTGATCACAGCTCACTGCAGCTTGGAATTCCTGGGCTCAAGCAATCCTCCCACCTCGGCTTGAGTAGGTGGGGCTACAGGCTGGAGCCACTGCTCCTGGCGCCAACTTCTGTATATCTCAACACTCACGATTCCCCAAGGAGAAAGAAAAAACATACTTTTATTCCAGCATCCAGTATGCCTTGTGTATACCAGTTTTAAAGTTGTTGGTTTCATCTCATTAAATAATAATGAAGAGTCCTCTGAGGCAGCAGGAGGATGTGATGGAGAGTGGCAGAAGTCAGGGTCAGGAGACCTGAGTTCTATGAACAGTGGCAGCAACAGCAACCATTATTGGGCGCTTACATGTACCAGGCAGGCACTGTGCTAAGTGCTTTACATGTATGATCTCACTTCATGAGGCAAGGATACTCATCAGTAGTCTCATTTTACAAATGAGGAAACTGAGGCTCAGAGAGTATAAGTCATTTAGCCAAAATGTCCCAGCCAGGATTCTTTTGGATGCGCTCCCCAAAATCTGTCTTCTAACTCCTACCCCATACTCCCTCCACTGGGAGCCTTGTGACTTTGAGCAAGAAGCTTCATCCCATTGGGCCTCGGTTTACCATTGGAAAGGATTTGTGGGCGAGGTTGAATGAGCGCAGCAGATGGCCTGTGGTTATTTAGAGCAGTGCTTCCCTGGTTGTTTGATATCACAGCGCTCATACTTGTGTGGCCCAGTGAAATGGAGGCGGAAACTCAAAGTTTCCACCTTCACAGGGCCTGACTGGAAGGGGCTGAAGGATGATGGGGAGGTTTCTTGTATTCTTAAAACAGACTACCCCTTCCCAACGCACAACCCCCAGTAAGTGGCCGTGGGTTCCCAAGCGCCTCTCCTCCCTGGGCCATGGGCGTGACTGCTGAAAAGCGGGTTAGGCCGGGGAGTTCAGAATCCGGAGTGAATCCGAACTACCCCAGGGAGACGGCAGCGAAGAAAATCTTGTTCTTAGGAGAACGCAATCTTCGGACACCAGAAGTTCCTCTATGATGCTATTCTGTGGCAGCCTTGCACTTGAGCCGGATGAAAATTGTAAAAACCCAGGTTGGGCGACAGGACGGCGCGTCTTCCCGGCTCCTTTCCAGAGTTTAGGAGGAGCCATGCAGACTCAGCCGGCCTTTGGGGGTAGGTGGACAGGCCCGGCGCGCCCTCTCGAGGCCCCTTCAACCTCCCGGGGGCAGCAGCGCCGTGTCGGCTATGAATGGGGCCTCTGGAAAACTCAGGCTTGGAACAGGTAACCCCCCGGTTTCCGCAGGCCACAAATCACCACCCGCAACCGAAGGACGCGCAGGCTGGGAGCGGCGGCGGGGCCACCAGTGCGGACCTCCACTGAGGGCGGCGGGATCCGACCGCAAGGGCTGGTCCCTGAGGCCACTAAGGGGTGCGCTGGGCTAAGGCCGCCTGGGGGCAGGAGCCAGCGCGATCGTGGCGGGCCAGCAGGCGGGGCTGGCTGAGGACTAGCAGCGACCCGAGACCCCAACCCTTCCCACGCGGACCCCGGGATCCCTCTCCCAGCAGCCGCCCATCTAGGGCCCTGAGCCAATAAGAGCTCGAGATATATATGATTCACCGGGCCTGGGCCAATCACCTTGACGCGCGCTCTTCGCCAGCACCTCGCGCGATAACCTGGCGTCCTCGGCCTTCACAATAAAAACTCTTCGCCGGAAAACGACCTTTCCCCGCCCACTGCGCTGACACCGGAAGCGAGGCGTGTCTGGGAGATCACTCCGCGCTCCGGCGGCGAAGGAAAGAACGGACTCTGATCATAGAAGCCTAGTAAAGTAGTACACCTCTCTCCTTTCGTGAGGCCATAAGAACAAACTCCTTTTCTCGTCACAGCTACGCCCTGGGCATAAACGGTTGGGGCGTCAAAGGGAGGGAGGGAAGGGAGCGGGCGGGAGGAGACGGTCACGTGGTCGCGGCGGAAGGATGCGTCTGTGCTGCGTCCCCATAGAGACGAAGTCTATAAAGGGCCGGCGGGCGGCCACGGCAGCCATTTCTACTTTGCCCGCCCACAGATGTAGTTTTCTCTGCGCGTGTGCGTTTTCCCTCCTCCCCGCCCTCAGGGTCCACGGCCACCATGGCGTATTAGGGGCAGCAGTGCCTGCGGCAGCATTGGCCTTTGCAGCGGCGGCAGCAGCACCAGGCTCTGCAGCGGCAACCCCCAGCGGCTTAAGCCATGGCGTGAGTACCGGGGCGGGTCGTCCAGCTGTGCTCCTGGGGCCGGCGCGGGTTTTGGATTGGTGGGGTGCGGCCTGGGGCCAGGGCGGTGCCGCCAAGGGGGAAGCGATTTAACGAGCGCCCGGGACGCGTGGTCTTTGCTTGGGTGTCCCCGAGACGCTCGCGTGCCTGGGATCGGGAAAGCGTAGTCGGGTGCCCGGACTGCTTCCCCAGGAGCCCTACAGCCCTCGGACCCCGAGCCCCGCAAGGGTCCCAGGGGTCTTGGCTGTTGCCCCACGAAACGTGGCAGGAACCAAGATGGCGGCGGCAGGGCGGCGGCGCGGGCGTGAGTCAAGGGCGGGCGGTGGGCGGGGCGCGGCCGCCCTGGCCGTATTTGGACGTGGGGACGGAGCGCTTTCCTCTTGGCGGCCGGTGGAAGAATCCCCTGGTCTCCGTGAGCGTCCATTTTGTGGAACCTGAGTTGCAAGCAGGGAGGGGCAAATACAACTGCCCTGTTCCCGATTCTCTAGATGGCCGATCTAGAGAAGTCCCGCCTCATAAGTGGAAGGATGAAATTCTCAGAACAGCTAACCTCTAATGGGAGTTGGCTTCTGATTCTCATTCAGGCTTCTCACGGCATTCAGCAGCAGCGTTGCTGTAACCGACAAAGACACCTTCGAATTAAGCACATTCCTCGATTCCAGCAAAGCACCGCAACATGACCGAAATGAGCTTCCTGAGCAGCGAGGTGTTGGTGGGGGACTTGATGTCCCCCTTCGACCAGTCGGGTTTGGGGGCTGAAGAAAGCCTAGGTCTCTTAGATGATTACCTGGAGGTGGCCAAGCACTTCAAACCTCATGGGTTCTCCAGCGACAAGGCTAAGGCGGGCTCCTCCGAATGGCTGGCTGTGGATGGGTTGGTCAGTCCCTCCAACAACAGCAAGGGTGAGTGGGCCACCACCACATCGTCCTGGTGGGATCTAGGGTTAGGGGCCTCCTACCTTTGTATCTGACTCACTTGGCCCCATCACTCAAATGTTTTGCAGAGGATGCCTTCTCCGGGACAGATTGGATGTTGGAGAAAATGGATTTGAAGGAGTTCGACTTGGATGCCCTGTTGGGTATAGATGACCTGGAAACCATGCCAGATGACCTTCTGACCACGTTGGATGACACTTGTGATCTCTTTGCCCCCCTAGTCCAGGAGACTAATAAGCAGCCCCCCCAGACGGTGAACCCAATTGGCCATCTCCCAGAAAGTTTAACAAAACCCGACCAGGTTGCCCCCTTCACCTTCTTACAACCTCTTCCCCTTTCCCCAGGGGTCCTGTCCTCCACTCCAGATCATTCCTTTAGTTTAGAGCTGGGCAGTGAAGTGGATATCACTGAAGGAGATAGGAAGCCAGACTACACTGCTTACGTTGCCATGATCCCTCAGTGCATAAAGGAGGAAGACACCCCTTCAGATAATGATAGTGGCATCTGTATGAGCCCAGAGTCCTATCTGGGGTCTCCTCAGCACAGCCCCTCTACCAGGGGCTCTCCAAATAGGAGCCTCCCATCTCCAGGTGTTCTCTGTGGGTCTGCCCGTCCCAAACCTTACGATCCTCCTGGAGAGAAGATGGTAGCAGCAAAAGTAAAGGGTGAGAAACTGGATAAGAAGCTGAAAAAAATGGAGCAAAACAAGACAGCAGCCACTAGGTACCGCCAGAAGAAGAGGGCGGAGCAGGAGGCTCTTACTGGTGAGTGCAAAGAGCTGGAAAAGAAGAACGAGGCTCTAAAAGAGAGGGCGGATTCCCTGGCCAAGGAGATCCAGTACCTGAAAGATTTGATAGAAGAGGTCCGCAAGGCAAGGGGGAAGAAAAGGGTCCCCTAGTTGAGGATAGTCAGGAGCGTCAATGTGCTTGTACATAGAGTGCTGTAGCTGTGTGTTCCAATAAATTATTTTGTAGGGAAAGTACTTGTGCGTTTGAATTCCTTTCCTGGCAAAGTAACCGAGTGAAGCGCCACCCACCCACCCCAAGCTGGTCTTAACATTTCCTGTGAGATCTGGGGGAGGAGGCAGTCCAAGGCTGAAGATCGGTTCCCAGAGTGGGATTTGCTCATCCCTGCTCGGTGTAGGCCACGATGGCTGATTCATGGGGCCCTGGAGCCGTATAGTTGGCCATTTATAGTAAGCTGGGTCCTTTGCCCAGAGCTGAGTGCTGGTTGTGTAGGGGGAGGAGGCTGGAGATCTCTGGGAGATTCAGAGGGAGGGACAGCCTGGGCCTCCACCTGTTTATTCAAGAGGGCTTCATGCCAACAGCTGTCGCATAAAACCCTGAATAAGGTTGCACGGTCTTTGAGATAGCACACAAGATTAGGTTTCACTTGTTACCTGAACAGTTCTGCAGAAGCCTCATCCTGAAGAAAGAAATGGCTCCTTTTGGGAATTGATGCTGAAACAGGACAGGAGCTGAGGGTTGGCCTCCGTTTCTCCTTACGGGGTGGAAGGATGACAGCCTGCGCAGGTTCTGGCTAGAGCTGGGCACAAAGGCAGGCAACAGTTCCTGTGAAGGCTGTTGTGCCTGCTGCTATCTAAACTAGGAGGCCTGACGGCCTCGGGACATGTTAGGATGGATCAGTGCTTAGAAGCCACACCTCACTGCAGCTTCGGACTTCTGGCGGGGCGACTTCGCCTTTCCAGGCAGGCGATGTCTTTTGTCCTGTGTTGCGGATGAATGCTTGAATGCAAAGATCAGCGCAGCCCGGGTAGGTCTGCCCTTCCTCTTGTGTCCTTCGGGATTAGCCTCGTTTTCCGTCTGTGGAAGGTGGTGTAGACCGGGTGTGCCTGGGGAATGGCTGGGAGGAGAGTGAGAGTGAGTGCAGCCCAGGCACTGCTGTAACTGAGCACAGCACATGTGTTCTTTCACCCAGTCCCCGCAGCACACCCGTGAGGCAGACGCCACACCCAGGAGGAATTTTTTTTTTTTGAGATGGAGTCTGGCTCTGTCGCCCAGGCTGGAGTGCAGTGGCGCGATCGCGGCTCACTGCAAGCTCCGCTTCCCGGGTTCACGCCATTCTCCTGCCTCAGCCTGCCGGGTAGCTGGGACTACAGGCGCCTGCCACCACGCCCAGCTAATTATTTTTGTATTTTTAGTAGAGAGGGGGTTTCACCGTGTTAGCCAGGATGGTCTTGATCTCCATCTCCTGACTTCGTGATCCGCCCGCCTCGGCCTCCCAAAGTGCTGGGATTACAGGCGTGAGCCACCGCCACCGCGCCCGGCCTTTTTTTTTTTTTTTTTTTTTTTTTTTGAGACAGGGTCTCTCCGTTGTCCAGGCTAGAGTGCAATGGTGCATTCTCGGGTCACCACAACCTCCACCTCCCGGATTCCAACGATTCTCCTGCCTCCGCCTCCTGAGTAGCTGGGATTACAGACGCCCGCCACCACGCCCAGCTCACCTAGGAGGATTTTGAGCAAAGAGGTAGAGCTGGGATTTGAACCCAGGACGGCTCCAGTCTGGGCTCTTCATTTTGCCTCTTGAGCTGGAAACAAATGGCCCGTAACGACCTGCATGGTGGGGCCCACGTGACCTTTCTGGTGCCCAGCATAGACTGTCACCTGAGAGCCAACTGTTGATGGAATGCATGCAGCTGGTTGTGGAGAAGTGGCCCGAGGCACCACTGGGAGTGGGCATCACACATGGGTCTTGGACCTGGTGCTCTTTGAGGTCTTTCCTGTTGAGATTCTAGAATTCTCCAAAGGCCATGGGCCTCCATCCACATCCAGGTACTAAATAGGTGTTAGGGTGTGGCCAGGAGCATCAGAGTCATCCAGTGCCAGTGGGGGTCGGCCCTCATTTGGCAGACGAGAAACTGAGGCACCAAGAAGGGCAGTGCAGGCCAGTGGTGTGGAGCCAGGATGCTGGGGCTGTGCCCTTCCCAGGCCCCTGCAGCTAAGTCCTCCCACACCCAGAAGGCACCAGCTCAGGTCACAGTGGATTTGCCCTTCTCCCTGACCTCACCTCCTCCCCTCACTGTGCTCCCGGCCTCTCTCCATCTGTCTGCCAAGCTTGGTCCTGCCTCAGAGCCTTGCACTTGCTGTTTTTTTGTAACTTTTTTCTCCATTGAGTTTATCTGTATACAGATGAACTTTCTGTTCTCCATTCCCTAACTACAATATAAGCTCACTCTATGGCAGCAGGTATTTTGCTGTCTTGTTCATTCCCGTATTTCCAGGACTTACAGCAGTGCCTGGGAAATAGCAAAAATGACTGCAGCGAAAATGTTCAAAGAGCTCTGAGGTTCTAGGCGCCTTCCAGTGATGAGCTCAGAGTCCTCCTGAGAGGCTGTGAGGAGGGTCTTATGACTGTAACCCTCTTACTGATGCAGCTAAGACCCAGACTTAGGCACCCCCTTGGGAAGTCTGGCCTATGGGTGGACACTGGCCCATGGGCAGGTGGTATAGGCAGTGATAGTGGCCTGGACAGACCGGCTGGATTTGGCTAGGCAGATATCTGTTCCGGAGAGCCCAGCACAATAAGGGGTACGGGAAGAGGGGGCAGAGATGAAGTTGATGTCTGGCCACCACCCTGCATGTGGCAACTTGTGGCCCCTGCCAGGCCTTGGCCAGCCCAGCCTAGGCTGACCAGGTCAGAGGTGGAGCTGGGCTTTACCCAGTGACCAGGGGCCCGGGGCTGGGGGATAGGAAGGGACCTCACAGGCGGGAGCAGACAGCACTCAGCATTTTCTCCTGCTTTGTGTCTGGGACAAGGCTGTAGGTTGTGGAGAGCAGAGAACGACCTTCATCTTTTCTACAACTAGTCCTGAGTGGGTGCCTGCTCTGCACTACACTGTCTGGGTGCTGGCTACAGCAGTGAGCCAAATAGATAAACATCCCTGCCCTCATGGAGCTTTGCTTCTGGTAAAGGAGACAGGTGGACCCTAAAAAGAAGAAAGAGGTGACGTGTCACATTCAGATGTGACACAGCAGCTGGGTAGGGCTTGGACATGCTGGGCATGCTCCTTAAGACTGGTGCTTAGGGAGTTGCAGGGGTCAGCCCGGCAGGGGACTGGGCTGGGATTGGCAAGGAGAGGCGGCCAGGATATGGGTGTGAAGAGAGGGAACCCCCCCGCTGCCAAACAAGAGAAAGGATGGAGGGCCCATTTCCTGAGATGGGGAAAACCATGGGAAGAGCATGATTTTATTTCAAAGAGGCCAGGGAGAAATAAAAAGTCCCTGGCTTTGGGAGGCCAAGGCAGGTGGATCACAAGGTCAGGAGTTCAAGAACAGCCTGCCCAATATGGTGAAACCCCTATCTCTACTAAAAAATTAGCTGGGCATGGCGGCACGTGCCTGTAATCCCAGCTACTCGGGAGGCTGAGGCAGGAGAATCGTTTGAACCCAGGAGGCAGAGGTTGCAGTGAGCCAAGATCACGCCACTGCACTCCAACCTGAGTGACAGAGTAAGACTCCCATCTCAAAAAAAAAAAAGAAAAAAGAAAAAGCCCTTGCAGTGACACTCAAGTGCCAACCACCCTTGCCCAGGTGCCCCATGAGGTGGGGTGGGGGCTCTCAGCCTAGTTGGGAAACGGAAGGTGGATGCTTAGACCAAGTAGAAAGTGGCAGCTTCAGAAGAGAGAGCAGGGCCTCCCAGCTGGGCTTTGAGGGGTGGGGAGAGTTGTGGACAGAGAATGAGAACACCCCATGAAAGTCAGCCGGGCAGGCTGGGCGCGGTGGCTCACGCCTGTAATCCCAGCACTTTTGGAGGCCGAGGTGGGCGGATCACGAGGTCAGGAGATCGAGACCATCCTGGCTAACATGGTGAAACCCCGTCTCTACTAAAAATACAAAAAAAATTAGGTGTGGTGGTGGGTGCCTGTGGTCCCAGCTACTCAGGAGGCTGAGGCAGGAGAATGGCTTGAACCCAGGAGGCGGAGCTTGCAGTGAGCTGAGATGGCGCCACTGCACTCCAGCCTGGGGGACAGAGCGAAACTCCGTCTCAAAAAAAAAAAAAAAAAAAAAAAAGTCAGCCTGGCAGGAAAGAATGGGGCACACACCAAGTGCCACAGTCCCACTGCCTGTGGCGGAGGCCTTTGCCCAGGCTAAGCTCTGAGCCTGCAGCTGGGCCTCAGCAGAGTCCCATGTTGCAGTCCTGGCCCACTCCTGCCTGGCCCCCTTGGCCAACTCCTCTAGTAGCAAAGAGGGCCAGAGAGTGTGGGGGCTTGAGCAGCCCATCCCACTGTGGAAGACACAGGAAGCCATGGCTGGGGCCCTCCTCTGGGTCATGGGGTGGCTTCCTCAAACCCTGCTTCCCCAAACCACCTGTGACGCTTCCGGTGCTTTCATACCCATCCATGATGTCTAGACTGAGGGAGGCCTCCTGCTTTGTCCTGTCGGCCCTGGGTTGAAGTGACAACTCAGTGTCCTCTTTTTTTGAGACAGGGTCTTGCTGTCACCCAGGCTGAGGTGCAGTAACGCCATCTTGGCTCACTGCAGCCTCTGCCTCTCGGGTCCCAGTGATCTTCCCACCCCAGCCCTTTTCCCCACAAGCAGCTGGGACCATGAGTGCACACCACCATGCCCAGCTAATTATTGTATTTTTTTTGTAGAGATGGAATTTTGCCATGTTGGCCAGGCTGGTCTTGAATTCCTGACCTCAGGTGATCCACCTGCCTCAGCCTCCCACAGTGCTGGGATTACATGTGTGAACCACTATGTCTGGCCTCAGTGTCCTCTTATTTGGGCCCTGTTGGTCACCAGGTCCTGGCCATCACAGCACCTCTTCGGCCCCCCATGGGGACAAACCCTCTCTCCTCCAGTGCTACCCCAGTCACCCCAGCTCCCTGCTGCCTTCCAGACAGCTGCACCAGAACTGCTCAGGGTGACAGTTAAAAGGCAGACTCCTCAGTGTCCTGTCCTTGACCCACTGGACCAGAGTGCCAGCAGTAAACACAAATGACTGTCACCCAGAGGGGCATGGACAGGCACCCAATAGTGTTATTTGGCATTAAGTGTAAGATTTATGGGGAAGCTCACAAGTGGGGAAGCAGCAGGACCCTGGCTCCCATCCTCCTCGTGGGACAGTGCCTGTCACTCTGCACTCTACACAGGGAGGGAGCAGGAAGAACACCTGGGCGATTATGTAACAGTGGGCGTGTTCTTGTTAGAAAGGGGCCCTGGGCCTATGGTCAGCCTGTTCTTCCAGGCGCTAGAGGCTGAGTTGGCTTTTTGTTAAGCCGCTTAAAATATTAAGGCCACTAGTCTCCACGGATATCCAAGTTTCTCTGCCCAGTGGGGTCATTACAGCCCAGCAGGCAGGAAGAGGCCCTGGTCTCTAAGGTTTGGGGTCACAGCACACTCCCTCCCCATCCCCCTGCTGATGGAGGTCGCCTGGAGACAGGACCTGACTCCAGCTCTGCCCCCGGAAGATGTGTGGCCCCCTCATGTCCTCATTTAGGATGGAACACGGTTAAAGACCAGGAACAGACCACCCAGGGCAGTGGGGGAGCAAGTGCTGTTACAAATAACAGGCCCGAAGGCAATGTCGTCAGGGAACCCAGGGAGCCAGATGTCACTCCCATCAAACCCAGCCTCAGGGGACTGCCAGGCTCTCGACCAGCAGCAATGGGAGTCACCACAGCAAAGGAGCCCTTAGGCTATGGTGGGGAGGAGAGAGTTTAGGAGACAAAAGCAGCTGCCTGAAGGCTTCCCAGGTCCCTTCCCCTCAGGCCCCCTGATGAAAGACTCCTGGGCTCTCACTTCTCACCTCTCCTCCGCTGGCCCTGCCTCCGCTTCCGCCTCCTGTCTTCACTCACACAGTCATTCAGTGCCTGCCTGTCCTTCACCTCCTGATCCCACCCCATGCCTGCTGGAAGGGTCCCGCCTGCCTCCCCTCGCCTCCATCCTTCAGCTCAGGCACACCTGAGTGTGAAACCGTTTCTTCAGGTTACCTCCTGAGTCCTCTCTACTGTCCCCTCCCCACTATGACAGGCATTTGACCCCACCTGGCTGCTCACCAGAGCATGAGCCAGAAAAGGAACACACCGGGTGAAATGCTCCGCTCATGGCGGACTCCACGCTCCCCGGGCGCAGGCGGAAGTAGCAACACTCCCACTGCCGGACCCAGCCACCTGCACTGGAACTGCTCCCAGCAGCTATTTTTGCCTCAAGAGTCACCTTTTCAGCTGTGGTGGCCATCCCCAGAGGAGGGAGGCGCCCCTGGCAGCAGAGGTGGGTGTTCTGATGGCTGCCTGCCGGGGCTGGACTGGAGGACTTGTGACCCGGAGCTCAGAAGCACGCTGGGAGATGGGGAAGGCAGCGTGGCGCTTTGGTGCCACAGGAGATGGGAGACACCCTGTGGGGCAGACCAGCAGCAAACACAGCTCTTGGGTTCACATTTATTGTAACTTGGAAGCCCACCCTTCTTCCTACTCCTGGAGCTGTCGTCCCCAAGGGCTCAGGAATTAGCCTTGCTCCACAGCAAACAGCCCAGAGGCCCCACCTGGGCAAAAGCAAACAAAACAGATACGTTCCTTTCCGGCAGGTGCAGATGCTCTGCCCAGGCCTGCGGAAGCCAGCTCCGGTCTGTGTGTAAATCCTCCCCAGGACTTCCGGCCCACCAGCTCCATTCCAGCCTCCACTCGGCTCAGCTCCGCGGCTTCCTCGAGCCAGGCTGGTCCTGCATCGCCATCTGCTGGCCGCGCGGCACGGCCGGTTCCTGGAGCCAGCAGGAGTCGGAGGCTGCAGGGCTTGAAGGCCTCTTCACCGTGCCCTCCAGGGAGCCTAGCTGCCGAAGTATTCCTGCTGGAACTTCTGGAAGTCTTCCTCGGTGAACACGGTGCCCTCAGCCTTCTTCTTCTTGGTCTTGGCCACAGGCCGGTCACAGGCCTTGCGGCCCCGGTTCTGGCGCAAAATCTGGCGAGGGTGCGGGACCGAGGGCCCATCATTTCAAGAGCAGAGGAGGCCCGCAAAGGTCACAGGGGAGTTCGGCGCAGGGCAGGGCTGGCCCAGCCTCCCACCCTATGCTCAGGGCTGAGACCGCCATGGGTCCCTAGGGGAACAGCCTCGGCTCTCACCTCCCAGGTCCCTTCCTATAGTACCCTCGACCAACCTGCTGGCTCACAGACTCAGCCACGGTGCTTCTCGTCCTGGTCAGAAACTTCAGGTTTACTCTGAGGTGGTCTCGACACTCTCGCTTCCGGTACTCGTCTGTGGGTAGCAGGCAGGGAGCACCATTTCAGATTCACTCCCCCTGGAACCATTCTCAGTCCCTGGCCCATGGCCCTGCCAAAGACCTCATCGTTCCCTTCCCAGGTTATTACAGCGGCTGGGCTCTTCTCCATCAAATGCATTCTCCACACAGGTCCTGCTGAAAGCCCCAGGCTCTTGGCCCCCACCCCCATTTTCCAACAATTATGTCCTGAATACTACTCACCAAGGGAGCTACTCTGGAGCTTTCGCTTCAGTGAGAGATGAAGGACAAAGGACCCAGTATTTTAGAAGCGCAAACATTTCATGGAGAAAAACAAAAGAGGAAACAGAAAAGGGGAATTCCAGGGGTGGAGGGTGCAATTTCAAATAGGAGGGAATGAGAAGGTCTCACTGAAATGACTCGAAGAGAGCTGTGGATATCCGGGGAAAGAGCATTTGTCTAGGTAGAGGGAACACCCAGTGCAAAGGCCCTGAAGCAGAAATGTGTCAAATGTGTTTGAAAAACACAAAACAGCTGGAATGGCTGGGTGCGGTGGCTCACACCTGTAATCTCAGCACTTTGGGAGGCCGAGGCAGGCAGGTCACCTGAGGTCAGGAGTTCGAGATCAGCGTGGCCAACATGGTGAAACCCCGTCTGTATTAAAAATAACGAAAATTAGCTGGGTGTGGTGGTGGGCACCTGTAATCCCAGCTACTCGGGAGGCTGAGGCAGGAGCATCGTTTGAACTCGGGAGGCTAGAGGTTGGAGTGAGATGAGACTGCACCACTGTACTCCAGCCTGGGTGACAAAGCAAGACTCCATCTCAAAAAAAAAAAAAACAAACCAAAAACAACAACAAAAACAGCTGGAGTAGGGGGAGTGGGTAGCAGGAAGAGACCAAGTTTGGCTGGGGGTGGGGGTAGGTCATATAGCCCTTGTCAGGCACCCTAAGACCGCCACCTTTTAGTGACTACAATGAGAGCCACCCAGAGGAAAAACAAGGAATGACTTCTGATTTTACACGATCACTTTGGTTGCTGTTGAGAACAAGATTACGGGGGGAGGGGCATGTGGAAGGCAGGAGACCGGCTAGGCTTCTGCAATAATTCAGGCAAGAGACGATGCAGCTTGGAGCAAAGTGGCAGCTGCAGAGGTGTTCTTTCCATTGGCTGCGAGGCTTGCCATTCCTCTCACTCAGCATCTATGTGCCAAAACCTGTGGTGGACACCAAGGCTGCGGACAAGCCCAAGGAGGTGTGTGCCTTTAGGAGCTTCCATCCAACAGGGGAGGTGGGTGAGCACCCAGGACACGACAGTGAGACAAGGGCTGGGACAGATGGGAATGACCTCTGGCACTCCACACTCCTGCTTCATGGCAAGTATCGCTGGGGCTCAAACCTGTCTCACTTTCCTGCCTCCAGACTTTGGCTTAAGTTGTATTTCCTCCTTGGAATTCATAATTCTTTTAACAAATACTTTAACATCTTTTATGCATTAGACTCTAGGGATTCAGACACAGTAAGAGCTTGCCACGTCCTGACACATGTCAAAATATCACCATCTTGCCTACACCAGCCCCTCCGAAAGTCTTTATGTCTATTAAGTGACACTACGTCCCCCAAGAAACTAGGCTCCACCTTCACAGCCAATTCACCACTAAAACCCCTCTAAAGGCTGAAATTCTCTGCTGCCCCCTCTTTAACATATTTTCCACCTGCACAATTCTCTTGTTATCTCTGCTGCTATAGCCACTGCCCAGGCCACAGCATGTCCTATTTCAATGGAGTAGGTAATAGCAGCACTCTGGAGACACAATGCCCGGGCAGCCACAATGCCTGTACCACCTGGGCAGGTGCCTTTTTCTGAATCTGTAAAACGGGGGTGATAGTAGTATCGACCTCAAAGGGCTGCTGTAAGGATCAAACGAGCTTACATTTGTACAGCACTTAGAATCAGCACCTGGTACAGAGTGTTAGTGAATGTGTTTAAATGCTCCATCTTTGATCCTCATTCACTAGGTCACCTTTACCAGCCTTTATTTTTTCAAATTCTCAAAGGCAACAACCTCCTTTCTGACTCAGGACCTTTGCACATACTATTCTTCCTAGAATATTCTCCTACTTTTCACCTAGCTCACTCTTATACATCCTTCAGCTCTCGGCTGAAATGTCGCTTCCTCAGAGAAGGCTGACTTGGCCTAAGTCCCCATCAGAGTACCGTAGTCTTTTAATTCATAGGCTTCAATGCACTTAGCAATGACACACTGGGTTTGATATTCTTTGATGCTTCTCTCCCCACTAGGGCCGTAGTCCACGAGGACCAGGACGGTGGCGTGTTCTGTCACCTTCGTATGTCCAGGGCCCCGCTCCGCGCCTGGCACACAGTAGGTCTAGCAATACCGGGCGAACGCTTCAAGCCCTGCCTCAAGCGCCACCTCCTCTGGGGCGCAGGTCCCAGCACCGGAGGCAGCACTTTCAGCCCCTTCCCGAACTTACCCAGTGCCGACTTGGGCACCTTTCCCTTGGCCGAGTTCCGCAGTTTCTGGGCCTGAATTGCCTTCGTCTTCCGGGGCCGTTTCACCGGAGCCCCTCTCGGCTTGGCCTGACCTGGAGGGTCCCGGGGGGCTGTAGGGGAAGAGAGAGGAAGAGACCCAGGTCAGAGGGCGCGCAGCGTTCCCATGCCACTGGGGCTAAGCCCGGCCTGGATTGTTTTCCATCCAGGGCTCCCGCCCGCAGCCACTACCATCCTCCTGCCCGCGCCGGACGTCCCCTGGCCAGCCCTCCTCACCCTCGGACGCCGCCAGCAGCTCCAGGCCCCGCCGCAGCAGGGCGGCGGACATGGCGGCGCTTGGCTCCGCCCACGAGCCTCACACTACTTCCGACCTGGCAGTCCCTGTCGTCTCGGCGGAAACCCGAGCCCGAACAGAGGGATCCGGAGGGGGATGGGCGGAAGTGCCCATCTTTCTTAGGACGCATGCGTTAGGGGTTTACACTTGAGCGGAAGAAGGGGCGGAAACTGGAGGCGGGTCCAAGGCGCAGAAAGACACATGTGTTACTCAATCCCAATCTACCTGGCTCCTGGCGCTCAGTCCCCTCCTTCCCCGGAAGCCGTCCGCAACCTGCTCCGCCGGGTTGGCCAATCCTCTCGGGTCTCGTGGCTCCGTGGCGGGCTAGGATGGGGACAGGGCGGAGTGTTTTTCATATACTTCAACCAGCACTAGGTATCGCACAGGTTGAGTGCAGCATGAGAATCCAGTTGTCTTCCCTTAAGCCAGACATTAAAGACATATCTTTGTTTTGAAAACTACAATTATTTCTCATAAAATACGTTGTTTATGTTACCAAGCAATGGGTTTATTGTCATTTTAAGTGAATTAATGAATATGTAAAATTTTTGTTTTAGTTTCTAGTATGGCAAATATCAGTTGCCTACATACAAAAGTTCTTTGGGATCCTGAATTTTTTAAAATTTATTTTATTTAATTAAATTAATTTTTTTTTTGAGACGGAATCTCGCTCTGTCGCCCAGGCTGGAGTGCAGCGATCTCGGCTCACTGCAACTTCCGCCTCCCGGGTTCAAGCGATTCTTTTGCCTTAGCCTCCCGAGTAACTGAGATTACAGACGCCCGCCACCACGGCCGGCTAATTTTCTTTTTAAAAAATTTTTAGTAGAGACGGGGTTTTGCCATGTTGGCCAGGCTGGTCTTGAACTCCGGACCTCAAGTGATCCGCCCACCTCAGCCTCCCAAAGTGCTGGGATTACAGGAGTGAGGGGATTCTGAAGTTTTAAATGTAAGAAGCTTCTTAGACCAAAACATTTGAGCCCCTCTGGCCTAGAAGTGACACTGCTTACCTGGGGGAGGAGCCCTGGGCTTGTTCGCTGCTCCATCTGCAGCTGGCAGCCCAGCACCTGGCATGGAGAAGACACGCAATAAGTGAACGGTGAATCAGAAGGGACCACTGGGTTCACTCAGCCGGGTTCTGAGGGCCTTCTGTGTACTTGACACCACAGAGTGTGGGACCTGGAGTTCGTCCTCCGGGATAGACCACACCGTTTAAGCTCCATCGGCTAGAGAGTAATAATAACAACCAACACAAACTCAAGCATTTGTGCTGTTCTACGTGCTTTACATTTGTTAACTTGTTTATCCCCCCTACCCTTCCAGGTAGGAATTGTCTTTTGCATTTTACAGACGAGGAAACAAACACAGAGAGGCGAAGGTCACACGGGTGGAGTCAGGGGTGGGAGTTAAGACTGGCAGCCTGGCCGCAGGATTTGTGGGGGCGCTCCTGTCCCAGCCACCAGGGAGAGCAGTGCTGTGGTGCTGGGTGGGGCCTGTCAAGCCATGGGGTCAGGTAGGCCCCTGGAGGGTGAGGAGGAGCTGACCATGTATGGGCAGCGGGGATTGTTCTAGGCGGAGACCGCTGTAGCGAGGACCTATCCCCTGTGACACACGAGTGGCCCTTCAGGATGCCATGCTGGGCTGGAGGGTCGCAAAGGCCTCAGACTCCATGATTTTGTCCTAAGGGGAGTGTGGGGCCTGGAACCCAGTGACTGTTCAGACATATGCCTCCTTCCTGCTTCTAACATAGCCGGATTGTTGTCTTACTTATTATGTGTATTGCGTATTGTCTGTTTCCCCGCCCATACCCCACTGTAAGCTCCGCAAGGCAGGGATCTTTGTTTTGTTCATTGTTATATCCCTAGCGCCTGGAACAGTGCTTGGCATACGGTAAGAGTTCAGAAACGCACGAAATGAGTGGATGAGAGCTGAGTTTGGGACGCCAGTGAGCCGCTGGGTTGAGGCCCAGGAGGTCGTGGGATGTGCAGCGAGTCAGCCTCTCAGGAGGGCAAAGGACCAAGCTCTGTCCTCCTCCCGATCTAGGCTGAATCAGCCCACGGTCCCCCGGGTGGAGGAGTTTTCTGCCAACGTGCCAGGTGGACCCCTGCAGCGTCCGCAGCCCAGCCGGGCACGGGCGGGACGGCAGGCCAGGCGCTGCCCCAGCCTCCCGCGGAGTTATCAGCACATCCGCGGGGCCGGGCGCATTTCTGCCAATAGGTGGCGCCGCAGGACAGCTTTCTCACGCGGCGAGACTCCAAGGCCTCAGCTGCGCCCACCCGGGCTAGGTGGGGGTGGGGGTCCGGACGTCCTTCTGCCTCGGCTGGCTCCTTGCAGCCAGCACCGTGTGGCCCCGGCTTCCTGCTGTCCCGCACCCCCTCCCACTCTCACCCTGGCCTGGAGGAGTGGCTGGGGAAGCTGAGGCAGAGCCACCAGGCTGGGCTGCCCAGGGCGGGGGGCGAGGTCCCTTCCTGAAAAGTGTGCAAATGACAGCTGGGAGCTGTGTGACCCCAGCAATCCCTTAACAAAGAGTGCCTCAGTTTCCTCATTGGTTGGATGGGGCTTGGCAGGGCAGCATCCCCCTTCTAGGAGAGGTGTGAGAACCGGTGGATCAATACCGTGCCGTGTGGGCCGGGCCTGGGTGGGTCTGCGCCCAGGGACTGCGTGTAGAGGGTGCTACAGCGCTGCCATGCTACCTGCTCCCTCTGGGCAAGACGGGATGGGCAGGGGCAGCCACTGTTGGGCCCAAGCAGATCACCCCACAGCCCGCATTTGGGCACCTGCGACCTGCCAGTCTTGACGTTGGCCCTGATGGGTCAAGCTGGGGGAGGGGGAGGGGGGTTGGGCAGCTGCTTCCTGTCTCCCTGTGGGAGGGCGGGTCATGAGGTCTCCCAGGCTAGTTCCCCACCTGGCATGACCCTGGATGAGCGGCTTCACTGCTCTGAGCCTGTTTCCACACTGGGTCCCTGCCTGCCCCTGATCCCCGCACTGAGGCTTTTGGCCACACAGAGGAACCATCGCCATAAAGGGCCCTTCGGCCCCCATGCCCTATGTCTCCTCCCAGGCTCCGTGAAACAGCTTAACTACCCTGGGCCTGGGAGGCTGAGAGGCAGGTGGCTTTCTGCAGGGCTGTGCAGCCCTTCAAGAACAGAGTCAGGACTCAAGCCCAGGTCTCCGGGTCCTAAGCAAGAGTATGTGTGTGGCCCCCAGGGACCAGTGGCCCCCTGGAGAGGGGACCGTAGGGTCTCTGGGAGGTGAGCAGTTCTGGAGAGGGTGTCCTGGTGGTCTGGGGCTGGCACAGATGCCCCGGTTTCCACAAGGCCTCGGCTCACACAGCTGTGTGTCCACAGGCAAGCCGCCCTCCCTCCCCTAGCCCATTTCCTCTTCCGAGGTTTTGGGGGCTTTAGAGAGTATTGTCCAGTCCTCCATACAGGGCCGAGGCGGGAGGCGCCCGGAGCTCCTGGCTCCTGTGGTATGAAGGGAGCACTTGCTCCAGAGCCAGGCTGTACATCCTGGCTTTTCCACTTACTAGCTGTGTGACTTTGGGCAAGTCCCACAACCTCTCTGTGCCTCGGTTTCTTCGTTTATGAGTTGACTATGATAATAATCCCTACCTCATAAGGCTGCTGTGAGGATCGAGGGTTGAGCATTTGGAATTCCGTTGGACGCAGAATAAGCACTCTAGTTTGTGAATCAGTGATTGCTCTGTGGACAGCAGTGTGCCGGTGGGACCTGGGCCCCCATCTGTGGGTGTGACCTGCACTTGTATGTCGCCTCTGGATTTCCACACTCTTGTGCTCACACACGGTTAGGTTGGAGGCCACAGGGAGTAACACCTGACAGCCTGGAGTCGCTGATTCCCGTTCAGACGCCGCCTTTGCCGCTTAGCAGATGTGTGACCTGGGCACCTACCTCACCTTTCTGAGCTTCGAGGGGGCGCTTGGGGTCTGTTGGAGGTGCAGTGAGGTGGCATGAAATGTGCTCAGCACCAGGCCTGGCATTTATTCATCTGTGCAGTCAATAAATACCTGCTGATACCACTGACGGAGCAGCCAATAGGAGAAAAACCAGCCAGCATTTGCTGAGCGTGAACCAGGAGCTGCTCCACGTGCAGGAGGCGGGCATTGGGGTGAATGAAGGGCTCCGTTGGGCCTGGCGGTGCCCACATGCTCGTGTTACACTCTCAGCAAGTGTGAGTCTCTGTCGTCCAGGGTCTGCAGGGTTCAGGGTGGCACCCACCAGTCCCAGGGACAGCAGCCCCCTCAGGGCATCCAGGCAGAGGCCAAGTGGCTTCTTTCCAATCATGTGAATGGTGAAATAGTGGCATGCCTGATTTTAAGGGTATAATGAAGACACAGAAGAAGCTACTGGAAATTATCCATGGAGATATGGGGTCAGCCAGTAACCCCCGGGTGGGGGTCAAAGGTGGGGTCTTTTTAATGTCTCCACCCTGACCAGCCAAAGATGCGGCTCTGCCATTAAGCTACTGTGTGAAGTTTTTTTTTTTTGTTTTTTTTTGTTTTTATTTTTTTTTTTTTGGAGAGCAAGTCTTGCTCTGTCCCCCAGGCTGCAGGGCAGTGGCGCGATCTTGGCTCACTACAACCTCCTTCTCCTGGGTTCAAGCGATTCTTCTGTCTCAGCCTCCCGAGTAGCTAGGATTACAGAGGCCCGCCGGTGTGCCTGGCTAATTTTTGTATTTTCAGTCGAGACAGGGTTTCACCATGTTGGCCAGGCTGGTCTCGAACTCCTGACCTTAGGTGATCTGCCTGCCTTGGCCTCCCAAAGTGTTGGGATTGCAGGCATGAGCCACCAGTGCCTGGCCTGCTGTGTGATCTTGGGTACATTCCTCCCAGTCCCTGGAGAAAGATGGGGCGGAGTCCCCAGTCCTGCCAGGTCCCCAGGGCCACTGAGATGTTAAGAGGTTACAGGAAGAGGAAAGGGTGAGCTTGGAAGACTGAGGGGAGAACTTGGGGGCCCCTTAGCAAGCAAGCACCCCTTCCTCAAGCCAACTTGTACCCAAAGACCTTACCAGTAGGTTGGGGTCAGATGGGAGGTCCTTAGGCAGAGCGGATGTCACCTGGCTCTGGGAACTTGACCTCGCTGTAAGATCTAGAATAAGTCCCTCCTCTATTCTGGGCTTTGCTATCCCCATCTGGGCAGTAGGGACAGACATAGCACTTTGTCGCAGAGAAAATATCCCTATAGGGCTTTGGGAGAGGAGGGCGTGGGGAGTGGGTGGTTCTGGGGCCTCAAGATCTCTGTGGTGGGGGTTCTGGCTCCCAAGGGGCTAGAATGGGGTTGGGGAGAGTTCTGTCCCTTCTAATCTCCGTCCTTTAATTCTAATTATGTCTCCATTAAAATGCAAATTTCCAACCAATACCCTTGGAAGGGAGGCCCTGTTGTCATAGCAACTGGCGTCTGTGGGGTGGTTGGGGAGAGGAGCAAGTCTCCATCTTCTGATCCTTCCAGACCAAGCTGGGGCCTGCCCAGAAGCCCCTTTCCTCCCCAGCTCAGAACTCTGAGCATCTCATCCACAGCTTGGGGGGCTCCTGCCCTGAGGCCATGTCTTCAGGGAAAGGGAGCTGGGTAACCATGCACAAATCATTTCTCCTTCTTGGCCTCAGTATCCCTATCTGTGAATTGGAGATAACAAGTCCTCTCTTGCACGCCCGTCCTGGGGATTCAGTGAATTAATGTATGAGCCATCAGGGAAGGGAGTCTGCCTTCCAATGAGGTTCCCGGGAACTCCCTGAAGCCAAGGCCTGGAGGCCTGGACCGCTCCCTGTGTGGGGTCAAGGCTGTCTCCTGCCTTCAAGTCCTACTCCCTGCTCCATCTGTGGACAAGGAGCCAAAAAGATGGTGTAGGACGTACCTTTAAGGCCTATGTAGACTCATTTCTTCAGGCTGAAGCTTCCATCCTGCTAATCATGTAACCATTTAACTTTATGCTGTTCTTTCCTTGCAAGTTGGATATGGATACCTAGAAAATGGGGAGGGGGTCTTTCTTCTCCCAGCGGATCTGAAAACAAGGGAGGATAAAGAGAAGAAATTTTAAGAAGGGAAAAGACAGCTGGCAAAAGAAGCAGCAAGAGGTGAATATGTGAGGCCTTTTTGCCTCTGCTGGTAGGAAGCTCAGGTTGGAAATTATTATTCAATTGTCCTAAGTGTAATTTATTACATGACTGTATTATATCCCTATATTATTCAGCTCTAATAAACGTTCATGTCAACTTTCTAGTACATCTAGCTCATGCCTATTCCCTAGTGGTTTCTGATCTTTTATTTCACTTAAAAAATCCTCTTTAGAAATAGCTGAGAGTATAAATTATAAATTAGCAATTATGACAGAGAGAGAGAGAAAGAGAGAGCATGCACAGCTGTTCTGTGCAGACCTTTCAGCCCCTAGGCTTCCATGATTGTGGCCTTATACTAAGTGCCAGGAGGGGAAGGATATACGCGGTCTTGTTCTGTTGCCCAGGCTGGAGTACAGTGGTGCGATCTAGGCTCACTGCACCTTCTGCCTCCTGGGCTCAAGCAATCCTCCTGCCTCAGCCTCTGGAGCAGCTGGGACTACAGGTATGCACCACCACACCTGAATAATTTTTTTTTTTTTTTAGTTGGAGTCTTGCTCTGTTGCCCAGGCTGGAGTGCAGTGGCATGATCTTGGCTCACTGCAACCTCTGCCTCCTGGGTTCAAGTGATTCTTCTGCCTCAGCCTCCAGAGTAGCTGGGACTACAGGTGCGCGCCACCACGCCTGGCTAATTTTTGTATTTTTAGTAGAGATGGGGTTTCACCATATTGGCCAGGCTGGTCTTGAACTCCTGACCTCGTGATCTGCCTGCCTTGGCCTCCCAAAGTGCTGGGATTACAGATGTGAGCCACCTTGTCTGACCCACACACGGCTCATTTTTGTATTTTTTGTAGAGGTGGGGTTTCACTGTGTCATCCAGGCTGGTCTTGAACTCTTGGCCTCAAGTGATCCACTGCCTTGGCCTCCCAAAGTGCTGGGATTACAGCTGTGAGCCATCACACCCAGCCCAATTTTGCATTCTTAACATTGAGCTGGTGAGAATGCATCCCATCAAGAACAAAGGTGAGCCCCTGCCTCTAAAAAAATTAAAAAAAAACCCCAACTATTGTTGTATTAAAGTTCTGAGATTTTAGAATTTTGATAGCATAGCCTAACATGTACTGACTAATACATCTTCCAGTTCCCCTCGTGACAGTCCCCCTTGATCCCTCTGGGAAGCCAGGCTGGGGCTCTGGCATGGTCTGTATCACAGGAGGGGTACAGAGGCACAATGAGGAGCAACAGGCTTTGCCACAGTTTCAAAGTCACATGCTCACTCAGTCTTCCAAACCATTCCCCCTGTGGGCTCAGCCTTCGAGAACACAAAGGACTAAGAAGCCTGCGCCTCAGCCTCTCCACTTCCCTGGCCAGGAGCTGAGCCTTCTTCCAGGCCCTGGGGTTTCCTCAGCCACAGAGGAATCCACACCTGGGGATCATGAGGTCGCTGGGAGGTGGACTTAGAGAAGAATGAGTGTTGGGGCTTGGGCTCCCTACCGTGTACTAGGTGCCAGCCTAGGACAGTCCGCCCCTCTGGGCCCCCTTGGCCAGCAGAGAGAAGGTGCAAAAGTGTGCTCCTGTTCACCCTGCATGGTAGAGCTGAGCGTGCAGGGAACAGGGCCTGAGGAGGTCAGGGGGACTTCCCTGAACCCCAGAGCTCTTGGGTAGGTGTGTTCGGAGGGCTGCATCTGTGTGAGGTGCCCTGGACCAGGAGGCAGGATGTGGCCAGAAGGGAACTGTAGGAGCTCAGAGGAGAAAAGAGAAAAGAGTTGAACACTGGACCAACAAACTCCACGAAGACCCCCAACAGGGGGCCAGTTCAGTCCATTCCAGCCCGTGGTATCCAACCCAGGAGATGCTCCCTGAGTCTCCATTTTCTGTCCCTCAGGGCTGGGCTTTGGAGACACAGAAAAGAGTGGTGCTGTCCCTGCAGAGAGACCCTGCCTTGGTGTGATAAGGGCTGGTGGTGCCAGAGTTGGAAAGGAGGGGAGGCAGGGAAGGAAACCAGCTGGGGGCCTGAACACCAGGCAAAGCATTGTTACCCTGAGGGCAGCACTGGCTATGTAATATGTGGAGCCCACAGCAAAATAAAAAGGCAGGGCTTGGCCGGGAGAGTGGCTCATGCCTGTAATCCCAGCCCTTTGGGAGGCCGAGGCAGGCAGATCACTTGAAGTCAGGAGTTTGAGACCAGCCTGGCGAACATGGTGAAACCCTGTCTGTACTAAAATATACAAAAATTAGCCAGGTGTGGTGGCAGGCACCTGTGATTCCAGCTACTCGGGAGGCTGAGGCAGGAGAATTGCTTGAACCTGGGAGGCAGACCTTGCAGCGAACTGAGATCACGCCATTGCACTCCAGCCTGGGTGACAGAGTGAGACTCCATCTAAAAAAGAAGGGCGGGGCCCCTTGTTAGAAAATTGTTAAACATTTCGAGGTGGCCACAGCAGAGCATTAGCCAAGCATGAGGCCCTTCTGAGGGTGGGGCCTTGTGTGACACTGTGTGTGGCTCTCTCTGTGAAGGAACCCTGCTCACAGGCACACAGAGCTTTGGAAGAGTTTTGGCTTCGGCATTTTCTTTTTCTGTTTTTTTTTTTTTTTTTTCTTTTTTTGAGACAGAGTCTCACTAGTAGCTGGGACTACAGGTGCACACCACCACGCCTGGCTAATCTTTTGATTTTTTTTTTTTTTTGAGACGGAGTCTTGCTCTTTCGCCCAGACTGGAGTGAAGCGGCACGATCTCGGCTCACTGCAACCTCTATGCCCCGGGCTCAAGCGATTCTCCTGCCTCAGCCTTCCGAATAGCTGGAATTACAGGCGCCTGTCTCCACACCTGGCTAATTTTTGTATTTTTTTTCAGTAGAGACGGGGTTTCGCCATCTTGGCCAGGCTGGTCTGCAACTCCTGACCTCAGGTGGTCCACTCGCCTAGGCTTCCCAGAGTGCTGGGATTATAGGCATGAGACACTGTGCCTGGCCTTGATTTTTTGTAGAGATGAGATCTTACTGTGTTGCTCAGGCTGGTCTCGAACTCCTGCCTTCAAGTGATCCTCTGCCTTGGCCTCCCAAAATGTTGGGATTATGCAAGTGAGCCACTGCGCTTGGCAGCTTGGGCATTGTCTAAGACATCCCACCCTCCGCCCCCAGTTAGCATGGTGGCTTCTAGCAGGGACTCTGGAGGCAGATGGCCTGGTTCAGATTCTGTCTATGACCAGAGGCCAGAGACTTACCCTGCCTCTGCCTCAGTTTCCTCATCTATGAAATGAAAAGAATAATCACACCCACCTCAAAATGTGGCCAGGAGGGTGGGGTGAGAAACCGCCAGCCAGGCAGGGCAGTAATTACTCCACAGGTGGCAGCCATTGACACAGCCCTTGACGCCCCCCAGCCCCCACCCAAACTCACAGCTTACTTCTTCATCTTGCTTCTTGTCTGTCTTTCCCCACAGAACGTAAGCACCTGGGGCTTCGGTCTGTCTTGTTCCTCTGCTGTGGCTGGAGCCCCCAGTGGTGCCTGGTAGATGCATGACACCTACTATGTGCCAGATGCCATTGTTGAATGAATGAATAAGTGTCAAACCATTTGTTTAGGTTAAAAAAAATCTGTTGAGTGCTACTATGTGCCAGGGGCCGTTTGGAATGTGGAGGAGGTGGGGTGTCATTCTGTTGCCCAGACTGGAGTGCAGTGGTGCAAACACAACTCACTGCAGCCTTGATTTCCTGGGCTCAAATGATCCTCTCACCTCAGCATCCCTAGTAGCTGGGGCCACAGGTGCATGCCACCATGCCCGGCTAATTAAAACTTTTTTTTTTGTAGAAACAGGGTCTCATCATGTTCTCTAGGCTGGTCTCAAACTCCTGGCTTCAAGCAATCCTCCCACCTTGGCCTCCTAAACTGCTGAGACTGCAGGTGTGAGCCACCCAATACATCACTTTGAGAGGCCGAGGTGGGAGGATTGCTTGAACTTGGGAGTTCGAGGTTGCAGTGAGCCATGATCACGCCACTGCACTCCAGCCTGGGCAACAGAGAAAGACTCTATCTTAAAAAAAAAAAACAATCCCGCCAGGCTCACACAGGCAGTGGCTCACGCCTGTAATCCCGGCACTTTGGGAAGCTGAGGTGGGCAGATCACGAGGTCAGGAGTTCAAGACCAGCCCGGCCAACATGGTGAAACCGCATCTCTATTAAAAACACAAAAATTAGCCAGGCATGGTGGCATGCGTCTGTAATCCCAGCTACTCAGGGGGCTGAGGCACGAGAATCGCTTGAACCCAGGAGGCAGAGCCTGCAGTGAGCCAAGATCGTGCCATTGAACTCCAACTTGGGTGATAGGGCGAGACTCCATCTAAAAACAAAAACCAAAAAACACAAAAAAACAAAAAACCCCAAAACAAAAGTTAAGTCAGATAAAGTGCCTGCCAAGAGAAGACCTCAAGAAACGCTCACCAGGATTATGATCATACGGCCATCTGCAACCAATTCCCCGGCTGCGTGCGCGAGCCCTGTGTGCTTTCCAGTACCACGTGGGGGCGTTCTCCTCTGTCCCTTACTTTCTCTACCCCCTGCCTCCCCGACCCAAAGCTCAAGTCTGAAGGGGGATTTCTTGCAGGGAAGCAGTGGTATACAGAGTTCTGCAGGAAAATGAGAGCTTCTAGTCTCTCCTTCTCCCTTCTGTGAAACAGGAGAGGAAATCCTCCCTCCCTCTTGGGAATTACTGAGTGTTTCTCAGACTCCAGCTGAGTCTCCAGTCCCTAGTTCCTCAGAGACCCAGATGAATTAAAGTTGTAAGTAAATTAGGAATCGTTCATTATTTGATGGCTGGGATCCTTTGGCAGGTGGAGTGGTGGAGGAGGGGAGGTGGGGCCATCTTCCTGCTGGGCTCAAAGATTCTCTCCGGAGAGGTGTGTTTGGCCCAGGCCAGCCCAGGGGCCTAAGAGAGAGAGCCGGCCCCCACTCCTCCTGCTCAGAAAGATCCTTCCCACAGTCTCAGATACCACTGTCTTCCTGGACAATCTTGCAAGAGGCCTTTTCTCTCTCAGCCTTAGTTTTCTCATCTGCAAAATGGTACCAAGGGTGGGGGGGAAGATTCTATTCAATTGTCTTTAAGGTTGATTTAGGCAGTAAGTTTCTTTTTCTTTTCTTTCCTTTTTTTTTTTTTGAGATGGAGTTTCGCTCTTGTTGCCCAGGCTAGAGTGCAATGGCGCAATCTCGGCTCATTGCAACCTCCGCCTCCCAGGTTTAAGGGATTCTCCTGCCTCAGCCTCCTGAGTAGCTGAGATTACAGGAATGAGCCACCACCTCAGCTAATTTTGTATGTTTAGTAGAGACGGGGTTGGTCAGACTGGTCTTGAACTCCCGACCTCCGGTGATCCACCCGCCTTGGCCTCCCAAAGTGCTGGGATTATAGGCATGAGCCACCGTGCTCGGCCTTCTTTTCTTTTCTTTTCTTTTTTTCTTTTTTTTTTTTTCTTGAGACAGAGTCTCGCTCTGTTGTCCAGGCTGGAGTGCAATGATGTGATCTCGGCTCACTGCAACCTCTGCCTCCTGGGTTCAAGCGATTCTCCAGCCTCAGCCACCCAAGTAGCTGGGACTACAGACGCACACCACCATGCCCAGATTTTTTTTTTTTTTTTTTTTTTTTTTTTTTGAGATGGAGTCTCACTCGCCCAGGCTGGAGTGCAGTGGCGCGATCTCAGCTCACTGCAACCTCCGCCTCCCAGGTTCAAGCAATTCTCCTGCCTCAGCCTTCTGAGTAGCTGGGATTACAGGTGCGCACCACCACGCCCAGCTAATTTTTGTATTGTTAGTAGAGATGGGGTTTCACCATATTGGTCAGGCTGATCTCAAACTCCTGACCTCGTGATCCACCCGCCTCTGCCTCCCAAAGTTTTGGGATTACAGACGTGAGCCACCGCGTCCGGCCTGCCCAGCTAATTTTTATATTTTTAGTACAGATAAGGTTTTGCCATGTTGGCCAGGCTGGTCTTGAACTCCTGACCTCAGATGATCTCCCCACCATAGCCTCTCAAAGTGTTGAGATTACAGGCGTGAGCTATTGTGCCCACGTCCTTCCAGGCTCAAGTGATCTTCCCACCTCAGCCTCCTGAGTAGCTGGGACCACAGGCGTTTGCCACTATGCTCAGCTATAGGCAATACGTTTATATCCATAAACTTGGACATCTCTTCTTCTGTAATACCTGCGATACTGTTTTTGTTCGAGGAACCAATTTGTACCCCCACCCTAACCCTAGGATATTCAGCCAAGTATTTTTCTCATATAGAAGGACAGATAACTAAGTGAATCGGTATGGCAGGCTCTGTGCTAGCTGCTGGGGGTGCTGCAATGAGTTATGGTATTTCCTGCCTTCCAGAAGCTCCCTCTCCAGTGGGGGACACTGGGGAGCTGGGCCTCGAAGGAGAAAGGAGGGCACTCCAGGTTGGGGGGAGCAGCATGTGCAGAGGCCTGGAGGCATGAGTCAGTGAGGGATAGGGAAAGTGTAACTGACCTCTGAGGAGCAGGTGTGTGCCAGCCAACGAGGCCCCTTTGTCTGACCAGGGGAAGGGAAGGTTAGTGCTCCTCTCCCTCCCCAGAGGAAAACAAAATTTTAGAGACTGTCAGAAATGTGATGGAGCTGTCAGGAGAACATGAAACAGCCACGTACCCTGGGAAACGGAAGTCACAGCTCTGTTTGTTCTGTGACAGTGTGAAAACTCACAACCTTTTCATCGAGATGGGTAACGAAAACATGAGAAAACTGGAAGTGCTTTGGTTTGGCTCAGCTGAGGACATTACTCCAAGCCCGCCCAGGCTCTCCCCTCCGGCCTGGATTCGTTTCTGTGTCAACACTCGCCCAGCCTTGCACAGCCGGGCACACGGGCGTCTCCCTCTGCAGTGGTTCCCCGACTTGTCGGCCATCTTCGCTGGTGGTGTTTTCCTTGGTCACTGTGGTTATTTGAAAGCGATGTCAAAGCAAACACTGCTCTCTCTCCCTGAAAACCCCTGGCAGGAGCTGCCTTTCTCACCGTCCCTGTCCTTCGTCTCCTCCTGTCCCTTCCTTCCTGCCGCAGCCTCTTCCCTCAATCCTACTGAACTCCTTCCTGGGAGAGGTTAGGGCGGGAATCGCCACCTTCCAGGGCACGGAGAGGCGAAGCGGAATTCAGCACCACGGACAGCAGCCCGGCGCGCAGTTGGCGTGCGGTTGGCTCAGGAAGTTATTCTGTAGGTTTTGTAGGTTTATGACCCGCTGTTGGGTAGCAAAAGGCCTTGAACGCTGACTCAGGAGGTCGGGGTGCAGGGAGCTGGATCGGGGGTGCTGATGATGTCGGAGGAGCTCCTTGTGGATCTGGAGATAATTTTCCTATAAAATTCCCTCTCTCCTTTGTTTCCAAGACCCTTGACCACACTTGCACCTTCCCCTACCACCTCTCCCTCCACAGTTAATAATAACATACATGTGTCTGTGTGTACTCGACAGGGAATGCGAACGTATTTGCGTGAATCTGTACCTTGGTGTAATAGTGTATTTAATACAAGTAGTATCTGGGTGTACGTGTGAGGATGTTTGTGGGATTTGTGGGTCTGTGTGAACGTGTCAGTCTCTGTGTCTGTGTGTGTGTGCACATGTGGGGCTGCGAGTGTCTCCGTGGATTTCTTCTCCTTTAGGGGAGGGCAGCTCTGTGCCTGGGAAGTGAACGCTGTGGGTTAAGCATCGAAGACCACCCTCCCCACCAGTTTTCTCTGGAGGGTCAGGATGCAGGGGGATCCCTAGACTCAGGGATCGAGAGATTATTTGCCAATGGTATTCACTCCCTCCTTTGTTTCCAAGACCCTTGACCACCCCTCCACCTACCCCAACAAGTTTGAGTGCATGCATGTGCACACATACACACACATACACACTTCCACTTTTTCTGTGGTCTGCAAGCCTTGGCTCTTGTTTTTTCTCCCTTCACACCCCACTCTCCCCTCTCCAGCCCCTTGTCATGGGTCCTCAGCCCCACTACCCCAGGCCTTCATTCCCTTCTTCTGGGGGAGTGTCTGGCCTGGCAGCCACAGGAGACTGGCGTGGTTCATCTTATACTTGCCTGCTGTGTGACCTTGGGCAATCATCGCCCCCTTCCACTTGATTTCCTGGCTTCAGAAAGGGGCTCTTTGGACCATGTTATTTCTAAGCTCAGAGCCCAACCCCATGGTCAGCTCCTAGCACTGACTCCCTAGTGGGAAGAACTGTGGGCCAGGTTAGGATGTGTGCCAATGGCTGCAGGAGAGCACAGGCAGCACCCTGTGGGCATGGAGAGGGAGAGGAGGCAGGGGCTCTGAGTGTGTGTAGAGGGGAGGGGAGGCGAGGGTGGGAGGAAGAACACAGGAGCTGCTGGACCAGAACAGAAGAACCCCTTGCCTGTATATTTAGCTCATCGAGGAATATAAACAGAAACCTGGAGCTGGCTCAATGCTCCCCCCGAAGTGTGAGTCATCACTGCTGCTGCAGCTAAAGTTAGGCTCCAATCACAGGCTCCCTTCTCCTCTCACTCCTCTTCATCCTTCTTGGTTCCCTTATTGCCTCCTTATCTCTTTATCTCATTCTCCTCATCTCTCCCCTCTCCTCTCCTGTCTTTCTCCCCCAATTTTTCACCTCTTTGATGCTCTAAACTCATCCCCTCCCCATCAGTCAGTTCCCTCCTCTTCCCTCTCCTTTGATTTTTTTCTATCTTCCTCCTCTCTCTCTCTTTTCCCTCTGTCTCTAGTACCAATGTCTTTCCCTCTTCTCGAGTGCATTTGGGAAAGGATCTATTTGTGCTTGTGTTTGTGTGAGGGTGAACTTAATAATAATAACATGATGTGTCTGTGTGTACTTGAGAGGGAGTGTGAATGTATTTGTGTGATTTTGTATCTTGGTGTGAGAGTGTATTTAACAAAAGTGGTATCTGTTTGGGTGTACACGTGAGGGTGTTTGTGGGTCTGTGTGAATGTGTCAGTGTGTGTATCTGTGTGTGCACACGTGGGAGTGTGAGATTGTGTGTCAATGTCTCCATGTGTTTATTCTCCCTTGGGGGGAGGGCAGCTGCATGCCTGGGAAGTGAATACTCTGAGTTAAACATCAGAGACCACCCCCAAGTTTGCTCTGGGGGGTCAGGGTGCAAGGGGACCCCCAGACCTCTGCAGGCTGAGATTGAGGTGGTTGCAGGCTCTGGGCTTATCTGGACCTAGCTGGGCAAGGGGAGTGGGGTGGGCATGGGCTTGGCTTTCAGGCCCTGCCCTGTAACTTTCTGCTGTGTGACCTTGGTCCAGTTTCTTGGTTTCTCTGATTCCTGCTCTGCATGTGCCAGAGGTGTGTGATGAACCTGCTCCCCTCTGCAGGCTGGGGCCTGGTGGGGGCAGTCAGGGAATTCACAGGCATGGGGGAGTAGTGAGGACACGCTAGTCACCGGATATCCTGAGGACTCTTGTTCAAGTCTGTGCCTCATAGGGGTTGGCTCATCTGCTTCCCAAATGTCTATTTATAATTTATGCCGACTTTCAAATGGAATTGGAGGCTGGGCCCCCCACTGGAAGGGCCCCCCTCATCTGAATCCGTGGATGGCCATGCCCACATTCAGGGTACATCTTCAAAGACACTCCCTGCAGGGAGCTCCCCCTCGGAGAGTGTGCATCTGCCTCCTCCATCCCTCCCTAACATCCCCCACCATGGCCTGCCTCTGCCCTCCATGAAGGGATTCCTGGAAAGGTTTTATGAAAGGGAGAGAGTGTGTGAGAGTGTGTGAGAGATGAGAGATGGACGGGAGGAGCTGAGAGAGGCGCCTGGTGGCGGGCAGGACAGCTGGAGCCCCAGGCTCTGCTCAGCCAGCCTGGAGAAATATCTGGGTCCTCAGCTGGGTAGGTGGGTGCAGATGTCAGGGCCCTTTGTTTCAGGAACCAAGGAACCTGCACAGCCTTTTTGCTCCAGAGTGACACCTTTCTCCCAGTCTATTCTATATAGCAATGAGGGCAAGCTTTTTAGGATTTTTTTTCTTTTTTTAGAGATGGGGTCTCACTCTGTTGCCAGGATGGAGTGCAGTGTCGTGATCATAGCTCACTGCAGCCTCGAACTCCTGGGATCAAGCTATCCTCTTGTTTCAGCCTCCTGAGTATATATCTGACACATGGCACTTAGTACAGGCACATGCCACCATGCCCAGCTAATTTTGAGATAGAGTCTCGGTCTTGTTGTCCAGGCTGGAGTGCAGTGGCATGATCTTGGCTCACTGCAACCTCTGCCTCCTGGGTTGAAGCAATTCTCCTACCTCAGCCTCCTGAGTAGCTGGGATTACAGGCGCCCGCCGCCATACCTGGCTAATTTTTGTACTTTTTAGTGAGACGGGGTTTTGCCATGTTGGCCAGGCTGGTCTTGAACTCCTGACCTCAGGTTATCCACCCGCGTTAGCCTCCCAAAGTGCTGGGATTACAGGCGTGAGCCACCGCTTCCGACCGCCTGGCTAATTTTTTTTTTTTTTTTAAGACAGAACCTCGCTCTGTTGCCAGGCTGGAGTGCAGTGGTGCAATCTTGGCTTACTGCAACCTCTGACTCCCTGGTTCAAGAGATTCTCCTGTCTCAGCCTCCCAAGTAGCTGGGATTACAGGCACACATCACCATGCCCAGCTGATTTTTGTATTTTTAGTAGAAACAGGGTTTCACCATCTTGGCCAGGATGGTCTCGATTTCCTGATCTTGTGATCTGCCTGCCTCAGCCTCCCAAAGTGTTGGGATTACAGGCGTGAGCCACCTTGCCCGGCCATGCCTGGCTAATTTTAAAAATGATTTTGTAGAGATAGGGTCTCACCATCTTGCCCAGGCTGATCTTGAACACCTGGGCACAAGTGATGCTCCTGTTTTGGCCTCCCAAAGTTCTGGGACTACAGGCATGAGCCACTGTGCCTGGCTGCTTTTTAGGATTTGAGTCACACCATGTCCCTGACCACCTCATTTAAAATGACAAGACTCCCCCTACCCCATCCTTACTCCCCACCCACCACATCTGCTTTAATTTGCTCTACAGGCAGATCAGAATCTGAGGTACTATATATTTTACTTATTTATCTTCTGACTTCCCCACTAAAATATAAGCTCCAAGAGGACCAGGACTTTGTTTTGCTCACTGCTGTACCTCCAGGGCCCAAACTGGGCCTGGCACATGGTGGGAGCTTGGGGGTAGCTGCTGAAGAGGCAAAGCTGCCCCATCACAGCCTCCTGTGTGTGAGGATCACTGCCCATTCATTCCTTCAGCAAACCTGCTGGCACTCCCTCTATGCCCAGCTCTGGTCTCTACAAACGGGTCCTGCTTTGTAGGGCTCCCAGTCTGGCTGGGGTGGCACAGAGGGGGGCCATGGAGACAGGGCAGGAGTTTGGAGGGAAGGACCACTGATTCTGCCTGGGGTTGCCCTGGAGGAGTCAGGCCTGAGGGAGGCAAAGGCACTCTCTATGTGGCAACATCTCATGATAGCTTTTTCTAACCCCATAAGACCACAGCCGAACTGAGGGCAGGGCTGGTGAATATTCTCCAAAACCCACATATGGCGAAGGCACAGAACTGGCCTCAGCTGGCAAACTGGACTGAATAATCCTTTCCAGGAGGTTCTGGTTTTAACAATGATCAAAACCTTGCAAGAAAGCACTGTAGCCCTGACGGTGGAATTCAAGTGCCACGGGAGGCTGAGGCTGCCTCTTCTGCCTCTGGGCAAAGCTTGCCTGCTCCCTCAAATGCCCATCCTAAGCCATCAGGGCTTGAAAGACCACAGGGCAGGGCCCAGGCTTACAGTAATGACCTGGCCAACTACAGCGCCTCCAGCCTGAGACCCACTCCCACCACACAGGCCTCATGGTCTCTCCTTGATGGCGACATTGAGGGTGTTTGCCTGGAAGCCTGACTGCCCGGGTGCCGGGACTTTGTCCAGCTGAGGATAAAAGGGATAGTTGCCTGCTCTATTATTCTATCTCCAAGCAGCAGGAGTGGCAGAAAGGAAGAGTGTGAGGGCACACGTGCGTGAGAGATGTACATACACACACACAGCGGGGAGACGGGAGAGCAAGAGACAGACAGGAAGAGTTAGGGAGACAGAGAGACAGAGGGGCATGGAGAGAGCCAGAGAAAGGGTAAGACAGAGAAACGCCAAGGAGGAAGGGAGCCAGGCAAGGGAAACAGGAAGCAGGAGAGAGACGCCCAAAGAGACAGAGACAGAGGTGGACAGAAGCCAGCAGGGGCAGAGGGTCCCCACCCCCTGCACCTCAAGGTGATTTTTCCTCTTTTCATCGTCCACTCTCCTCTCTGGCTCCGTCGCTCCTAAGCTGGGCTTTCCGGTCCCTCTTCCACCTCTTCCCCAGTGTCATTTTCTTTTCTTTCTTTCTTTCTTTTTTTTTTTTTTTTGAGATAGTCTTGCTCTGTCGCCCAGGCTAGAGTGCAATGGCATGATCTCAGCTTACTGCAACCTAGGTTGCCGCCTCCTGGGTTCAAGAGATTCTCCTGCCTCAGCCTCCCGAGTAGCTGGGATTACAGGCGCCTGCCACCCTGCCTGACTAATTTTTGTATTTTTAGTAGAGGCGGGGTTTCACCAAGCTGGCCAGGCTGGTCTCGAACTCCTGACCTCAGATGATCCACCTGCCTCAGCCTCCCAAAGTGCTGGGATTACAGGGGTGAGCCACTGCGCCCAGACCCCCATGTCTTTTTTAACCTGATGCTCTCCGGGCCTTTGCTCCTGCTGTCCCTTGGCTTGAGATGCCCTTCCTCCAATACTTGGCTAGGAAAACTCAGATCTGCCCACTGCCTGTTGTCCCTTCTAGGCCTTCACTGTCTCTCCCTTTGTGGAGCCTTCTTTGGCCCTCCTGGTCTGACCCCAGAAAATATCGTTTCCTCCTGGGGGCTCCCAGCTCCTTTCTTCCGAGCTTAAATCCAGGTTGTCCAGATGTGGCTTCTCCCCACAGGGCTGGGGTTCATCTGTTTCTGTATACCTGACACGTGGCACTTAGTAGGTGGTCAATAAACATCACTGAGTGATGGCCTGGCGTGTAACTGTTGTCACACCAGCTCTCTTGAACTCAATTTCTTTCTTTTTTCCTTTTTTGACATGGAGTCTCGCTCTATTGCCCAGGCTGGAGTATAGTGGCGCGATCTTGGCTCACTGCAAACTCTGCCTCCTGGGCTCAAGCAATTCTCCTGCCTCAGCCTCCCGAGTAGCTAGGATTACAGGCGCATGCTGCCACGCCCGGCTAATTTCTGTATTGTTAGTAGAGACTGGATTCTCTGAGCCCTGTCCAGGAAGCTCCTCAGGCATCAGCTACCTGTTTTGGTTGAGAGTCAGGGACCTCCGACCTGGCAGGAACTTGAGGTTCCTGGGGTCTGTCCCCAGCTATGCTCTGCCCCCACTCCAGGCTTTTGTCCTGGGCAGATAGATAGGCTTTTGTCCTGGGCAGAGATAGATTCTCTCTCTCTCTCTCTCACACACACACACATGCGCACACACATGCACTCTGGCATAGAATCCTGTTTATGCTACTTATTAGCTGTGTGACTCTGGGCAATTTACTTAATTTCTCCGGATTCTGGTTCTCCCGAGTGTAAGTGGAGCTGCATGATCCCTGTCACCTAGGACTGCTGGGGGTTAAGTGGGCTGATAGAAGAAGTGGACACCTGCAGCCGGGCCCAGGGGCTCCCTGCTTCTCAGCTACATAAGCCAGCTCCACCCCCACACTTCCTGCCCAGATTCCTAGGGATGCAGCAATCTTGGGGGGCTGCCAGTGTTCTCCTGGACCCCTCTGGCTTTGACCTTTTGCTTCTGCTGGCTTAGTGCAGTTGGGGATGGACTGGGTGACATGCCCAGGGCTGTTCTTGTTCATGTCAGCACTGAGGGGGAGCTCGGCTCCTTTCTTGATATCCACACACTGAGTACCCCTGTGGGTCCAGCAGATGTTCCTGGGGACTTGGCAGGGGAGGGACACTGACACTGCAGCCATGCAAACCACTTCAAATCGAAGTCCCCCCGCTTCTGGGGGATCCCCCCAGGTGCGTCCCCCTCTGCGTGTCCCTGGTCTCCTCCATCTTGCAATCTCTTCTCTCCTCTCCCTTCCCTCTCCACTCTTTTCTCTCTGGACCTTCTGATTCTTCTCTCTTTATGTTGCAGAACAATCCAGCCACTACCTTCCAGACTGGGCTCTGGGTCCATCTTGGCCTCTTCAAACCCATCAAGGTGCCCACAGGTGCTGGGGTTCAGCCTGCCCCATCACATATGGGAAGCCCAGCGTCTGGCCCATCCTCCCTAGGGTCTCATTCCAAATCTCCTCCCTGTTTTACCCACAGTCAGCACTTCCAGAATTTTCCATCTCGTAATGTCCTCCAGCCATGGCACAGGCCTGGTACGCAGAGGTGATTAACAGATGCTTTTGGACTGTTGAAGCTTGCATTCTGCCATTGGTTTTCTCCTATCATGGTGGACTGCTCCCAGGCCAGGGACATTTGGGGCCCAGTGCTCCTGTTTCGGCCTGGTTCTTAGGTGTTCAGGCCACATCACTGCTTGCAGCGTGATTGGGATTCTGGGGCCTGAGCAGGGCTGGTGAGAGAGGCCCCTCTCCATGTCCCAGAGGAATGTGCTCCACCGGGGGGTGGCCTATGGAGGGAGGGTAACTCAGGCCAGTTCCCTTCCTCCTTTAGTAGGTGGAGCCACTCTGTCAGTTTGGAATCCTGGAAACCTGGAATCTTAGAGCTTTTGAGTCTTAGAACATAGGATCCTAGTTAAGAGCACAGACCCCCTGAATTGGAATCCCAGCTCTGCCATTTATTAGCTGTGTGACTTTGAGCAAGTTACCTAACCTCTCTGTGCCAATGTTTTCTCACCTGTAAAATGGTAGCAATGATTTTACAAGATTTTTTTCTTTTCTCTTTCTTTCTTTCTTTTTTTTTTTTTTTTTTTTTGAGATAGAGTCTCGCTCTGTCACCCAGAGTGCTGGAGTGCAGTGGCATGATCTCGGCTCACCGCAACCTCTGCCTCCTGGGTTCAAGTGATTCTCCTGCCTCAGCCTCCTGAGTAGCTGGGACTACAGGTGCATGCCACAATGCCTGGCTAGTTTTTGTATTTTTTAGTAGAGATGGGGTTTTGCTATGTTGGCCAGGCTGGTTTTGAACTCCTGACCTCAAGTGATCCACCCACCTGGGCCTCCCAAAGTGCTGGGGTTACAGGCGTGAGCCACTGCGCCTGGCCCGATTTTACAAGATTATGGTAAGAATTAAGGGGGTTAATTTTTGTCAAGTGCTTAGACCAGGGCCTGGCACAGATAAAGGATCTGTGAGCATCTGAGAAATAAATCAGTGTGAATTCTGAGCATACTGGAATCTTTGTCCCTGTGCTATTAAGATCTTTAGGCCTGGAAGGGACCTCATTTCATGTCATAGGGCAGGAATTCTGCCCCAGTTTCCTTCAGCCCAGCTTGTTTATTTGTCCCCATGGACAGATGATCCCTTTCTATCCAGCCACTACAATTGCAAGAAAGTTCTGGGGGGCGGAGGTGAGCCTGGGCCCAGCAGCTGCTGCAGCAGCAAGGAAGAGCCTGGTTGGGCTTTGTCCCTGGAAGAGGGCAGGGGATTCCGGGTCTAGGGAGGTGGTAGGGAGCCTGGTTCATTTGTCAGGGGGGTGCATTAGGGGGCTCCAGGCTGGGGTCTACCTCGTCCACCCTCTGGTAGTGGCCTGGCAGCCCTACTCCCAGGACATGGTAGGACCAACAAATATGTGTGGCTGATGCAGCCTTCTGCAATTACCAGGCACAACATAAATAGCAGTAATGAATGGATGAAGCTCCTGCAGTCAGCCAGGGCCCTCAGGAGGGACCTCCCCAGTCTTGCTTCTTGCTAAGACATGGAGTGGTACTTTCAGCCCCAGTAGGTTTCAGGGTCATCCCTCAAATCCACATAACTCACTCCCTATCCTGGGTGGATCGTGGGATGGGCAGAATAGTGACAGAGATAGAGTGGACAACTACGTTTTTTTTGTTGTTTTTTTTTTTTTTGAGATGGAGTCTTGCTCTGTCACCAAGGCTGGAGTGCAGTGGCATGATCTCAGCTCACTGCAACCTCCGCCTCCTGGGTTCAAGCGATTCTCCTGCCTCAGCCTCCCGAGTAGCTGGCACTACAGGCGTTTGCCACCACACCCAGCTAATTTTTGTAGTTTTAGTAGAGACAGGGCTTCACCATGTTGGCCAGGCTGGTCTTGAACTCCTGACCTCAGATGATCCACCCACCTCAGCCTCCCAAAGTGCTGGGATTACAAGTGTGAGCCACCATGCCTGGCCTAGGGTTTTAGTTGAAACATAAAGCATGGGCCAGGCACGGTGGCTCACACCTGTAATCCCAACATTTCGGGAGGCTGAGGTGGGCAGATCGCTCGAGCCCAGGAGTTCGAGACCAGCCTGGGCAACATGGTGAAACCCCGTCTCTACAAAAAGTACAAAAAATTAGCTAGGTGTGGTGGTGTGTGCCTGTGTTCCCAGCTACTCAGAGGCTGAGGTGGGAGGATCACTGGAGCCTGGGAAGTTGAGGCTGCAATGAGCTGATATTGAGCCACTACACTCCAGCCTGGGCAACAGAGTGAGATCTTGTCTCAAAAAAAAAAAAAAAAAAAAAAAAGAAACATAAGGTTAGATATAAAACAGGACTTTCTGCTAGTATAGATGCTTGAAGGAGGCTGAGGTGGGAGTGTTAGTCCTGTCAAGACAAGGAAGGGACCCAGATCACGAAGGGTAGCAGATTTCTGCTCAAATCTGTAAAAGAGCTTTGAATGATCAGAAATACCCAGAGAGCAGAGGAGCTGCCCCAGGAGGTGGTGAGATCTACATCACCTCAGGTGTACAAGCAGGGACAGGGTGGCCACTTCGGAAGACTATAGCTGAAGGGACCCAGACCTGAGAATTCACCGTCTGGTGGCTTCTCGAGGTCCTGTCCAGTCTTCTGAACTTTGCTTTATGAAAATGTCCCTGGAGGAGAATGGGAAGAAGTTGGTGGTGGTTGGTATCTTCTCCCCATCATGCCGCCTGATTTCTTTCACCCTCCAGGCCTGCGGCTTTCTAGCTGTGCATTCAGCTGCTCGGGGCATGGAGTGCCTGCCATGCTACCTTGTTCCTGCCTCCATGCCTTCTCCCTCCTTGATGCCATTTCTCTACCCACCTTCTCTCTTCTTATCTCGATCCTGTACAAGCTTTCAAGGCTCAGTTCAAGTCTCTCGCCTTTGATGAGGCTTCCCTGAAGACTCCTGATCTGAAGCCCACTCTGATCTGATGTAAATCCGTCCCACCTGCAGGGCTGTCTGGCTTGCTGAATTCACACCTGTAAGACACCTCTCAGCCCGTGTGTGCTTAGACGACCTTGCCTTGGAGTCTGGAGACAAAGGCTTGTTTTGTCTCCTTAGACTAAAAGCTAGAAAGGGATGAATATTTGTTGGACACCTATTATGTGTTAGACACTGTGCTAAGCCCTTTAAAGATGGTTTGCATCCTGCAAAGTGTGAAACCTTATCGCCATTTCACAGATGAGGCACCTGAGACTCAGAGATGTTAACGGGCTTTGCTTCCCATCCTCAGTCAGGAAGCAGCAGAGCTGGGATCAAACCTGAGTGTACCTTTCTCTAAAGCTGTGACTATCTGCCAGCATCGGAGGGGTGGGGGGGCTCAGGGCAGCCCTCAGCAACCCCCTGGTGCCCCTCACCACACATTCTCCAAAGAGGTGGAGAGGGTTACGCTGGGCAGCCCAGTGTGACAACATCTGGGCAGGGGTTGGGAGCACTGGACTCGTACTGGGGGCTGCTGCTTCCCAGCGGAGTAACCTTGACCAGGCAGCTCATCTCTGGCCTCAGTTTCTTCATCGGTAAAATGGGGGCAAAAGGGTGGAACTCCAGGCAGTTTAAAGAAGTGCCTAGCACACAGCAGGTGTTCACTAAATGCTTCCTGAGTTGTGAGGCAGTGAGTAGACCATTTGGCCTGCATTGGGGAGAGTCTTGGTGCTTTTAATTTGTTTGGCTGGATGCAAATGAACAAATAAAAGGGGGTTATAACCTTGAACACTCCCTCTCCCCAATCCACAGCCCTTGGGTGAGAGAGGAAGGGAGACAGGCCTCAGGAGCGTGGGATTGGGGGAACTGGTGTGACAGGGTCCTGGAAAGTGGTGAGAATGAAGCCTTTGCAGCCGGATAGAGGCATCTGTTTCACCTGGGGGCCCTCTGAGAAGCCTTCCTGGAGGAGGTGGCCTTTCAGCCAAGCCTAGAGGGTGGGAAGAAGCAGGGTTGTGAATGAGAAGTGTGGAGGCAGCCTGGGCGGTTGAGCGACCTTTAGAGCTGGGTTCTAGCTCAGCTCTACCGTTTAAGAGCTGGGGTCTTAGGTGGGTGACCCCTCACCGGGGCAGTGGGGTGAACACCCCCGATCTGGATCTCAGAGAGGAGACAGGGTGGAACGTGGCAGAGCAGGCACCTGGGACCCGGGGGTGGTCAGTAATGCCCCCCACCCACCTCTTTTTACTCATGACGCAGCCCCCATGCTGAGGGGTCAGGACCCCACCCCAGGCAAGAACCTGGATTTTAAGGAGCTGGCCGCGGGCTGGGGGCTTCCTACCCTCTGGGAAGGGGTGGGAGCTCACCAGCCGCCGCCGTCAGTCTGTCTGTCGCCTCCACGCCTCCCCCCTCCAGCGTCCCGCGCCTGCAGCTTTCCCCGAAGACATTTGGTGTCAGTATAAGGACGGCTTTTCCTCGCACGCAGCGCGGCTCGGTCTCGCCGCCGCCGCACGTCCCCGCACCGCCAGGCGCTCGGGCTCCTCCGCAGCCCCCGCCGCGCGCAGACCCCGCGCTTCGAGCCCTGAGCCGGAGGCGCGAGCAGAGCCGAGGCAGGCGAGAGACCGGCCTCAGCCCCGCGCTCCCCGCCGCGCTGGTCTCTCCCGGGCACTTGCCCCGCTGCTCGGTCCCCGCAGCACCCGCGCCCCCGCCCCGGCCCGGAGCGCCGCGCTCCCGCCCGCCGCCCGCCCAGAGCCTCGCCGTCCCTCCAGCCCGCCGCCTCCTCCTCCTCCCGCCATGGCCCGGGCCCCCGGGCCCGCCGCCCCCCGCCCGCCGCCCCCCGCGCCCCGGGGGCTCAGCTGATCCTGAATTGGCGGGGGGTCGGCTGGCGGGGCTGGGGGTCCCTCTCGATCGCCGGCTTCGGGTGGGGACGCGTTGTCCCCGCGTCTCTAACCTGGACGACCCCCCGCGGCCGGGCCACGTCCATGCCAAGGTAGGTGGGGGCTGGGTGGGTGGGGGGAAGGAAGGGAGGGCTTCGCTTCGATGCCAGTTTCTTGGCGCGTTGGCTTCTCTCTTCACTGGGGCATTTATTTATTTATTTCTGGGGATCGATCCTCCCCACCCGCGCGTACCCGTCAGGTGAGCCCCCCATCCCGCGCCTTCGGGGCCATGCCTTGGGAGGAAGGACAGGAAACTTTGACCGGTCCTCTCTCCAAGGCCACGAAAGTTCTCTCGGTGCCAATACTGAAGCCAGCTGAGCCAGCGCTGCAGAAATTTATTCAACAAGTCAGGCTGCCGGCCGGGGCCCGGGTTGTCCGCGCGTCCGGCCGCCCCTCCGCGGCTGCGGCTCTGCGGGCAGCTGGGCCAGAGCTGGTGCCCGTGTCCGGCGGGCTGAGCTGGGAGCGCTGGCCTGGGAGCGCGGCAGCGGGGGCCACTGGATGGGGGAATCCCGGGCAGGGTTTAACTTTCCCGGAGGCGGGGGTGGCGGAGACCCCCCCTTTGGCTGGCACCCCAGCGGGGCGGAGGCCTCGCTGCATGAAGCCAGGCCAGGGTCGGAGCCGGGGCTGTAGGGGTGAAAGGGACCCTCGGCCGGCTGGAGGTGTTATGTAATGAGTGCTTATGATGATTGGGTGCTAATTGCCTACTGGGTGGTGTTGTGGGGGAGCTGTGGGGGACTACGGGGCTTGGCAGTGGTGGGGAGGCCTCTTTTGGGGGAAGTCATGGTGCCTGGGGGAGGGGGCTGTGGTGGGGCCCAGGCTGAGGCCTCAGTCAGCCCCTCTGCTAGTGTCTTTCTGCCTTGTCAGGGCCCTGGGGGCTCCTGACCTGAGGATGAGATTGGGGTCTGAGAAGACCTCTGAGCTATATTCTTGTCCTGAGGGTCTGTATCCTGGGTCCAGGTGTGTGTGTGTGTGTGTGTGTGTGTGTGTGTGAGAGAGACAGAGAGAGAGAATGAGCGAGCGCTGGAGTGGGCCTGCGTGTCTGGCGTGTGTGGTGTGCCGGGGTCTGATCACCATGCGAGGAGAGTCCTCGCTGGAGCACTCAGATTGGCCCAGGCAGTGGCCAGTTCGTCCTCTGTCTCTCACTGCCTGGAGGATTCGCCCCGCAGACGCTGGCACCACCTCGGGGCTAGGACGCTGTGTGAACAGGGGTGTGGATCTGTGGCCCAGCCCCAGGGGAAGGGTTTGGCCCATGGTGTGGGCCTACCTCCCTGCACCCCGTCCTCAGACCCTGCTGGCACCTGGTCACCTCTTGAATCTGTGGCTCCTCTTAGCCCTAAGGACTCGCTTCCGGAACTCTTGTCCACTCTTCAGGACAAACTTTCTGTTCAGGCTTCAGGATCCAGGGCTGGGCTGGGGACTGAGCTGGGGTCTAGAGACCTCCCTGTTACCTTCCCACCTCCGCCGTCAACGCAGAGACAGAGGGAGGGGACACCAGTGGGTGATAGGTCAGGACAGGACAGGGTGACACTGAGCAGAGACCAGGTCTGGGGCCTCAGCAGGGGGAGGAAGAGGAAAAGAAAGAATGTGCCTGGAGGCTGTTGAGCTGGCCTGGCACCAAACCCATGAATCTGCCCACAACCCCAGAGGGCCTGGTCACCACACCGTGCCCTCCACGCTCTCTTCCTAGCTGTGCAGAGCTGCTGTGCCTGCCCCACAATGGGAGGCTTGGGGAAGGGGCTGCTGGCCTGGCTGGAGGCCCCTTCCCCTTCCTTTGACCAAAGTTCTCTGCCCGCTTCTTCCGCATTCCTTCCTCCTCACCCTGCATGCCCCTCCCCTCCCCTTGCCCCCATTCCAAGACCTCCTGAGAAAGCTGGGGCTGAGAGGGCATCTTCCAGGCCCACCAGGGGGCGCCAGGCTGTCCGCAGGTCCCTGCGGCCTCCCCTTGACCTTGAGTGGTCAGGTAGGGGTGGAGGGTGCCGTGAGAACCCCATCCTCTCTCACCCTCTCTCTGCTCCAGACATCTTCCTGAGTCCATAGCCAAGCTGGGAGCAGTTTTGGGGACTGCAGCCTCTCTGTGGTTCTGGACCCAGTTCCCCGCCCTGAGCCCACAGGGGTCACCACCTCCAACTCCCCTCCCCCAGTCTCCTTCATCATGGCCCCCTTTGTGGCCCTCTCTGCCACCTTCACCCCACACCCCAAGTGTGGCTGCTCTGGGCCTCAGCCCCAAGGAAGGGGCTCTCAGGCCAGTCAGTTTCTGGGCACCACTCTGTCCCTCCCCCACGCTGGCAGGGCTCCCGCCACCCCGCAGTTCCTAGCGCTTTCCAAGGTAGCCAAACAGGCTCCTATGTGGCTCCTTGATCCGTGGCTGTCTCCACTTTGGCAGCTGCCTTCTTCTCTTGATTCCTCAGCCCCCCAGCTCCTGGTGTCAAAAACTGTCTGGAAAGAGGGGATGCTGGGCTGGGCATGGGGGTCTAGAGAGACCCCTCTGGGCTGCAGGGAGAGCAGGGCGCTCTCCCCTCCATCCCTTCTCCTCTGCAGCCAGCTCTTCCCCTGCTGCTGCTCCTCTTCCTCGCCTGTCCTCCTGTCCCCACTTCTCCTTTCCAACCCCTTCCCTACCTCCTGTTCTTTGCCGCAGAATGTTTTCTTCCCATATGTTCCTAGGACATGCCCCAGCCTTAATGCCCTCAGTCTACTCTTGTGCCCCTGGCATCCCAGGTCTGGCCTGGGGGCTCAAAGAGCCCAGGGTGCTGTGTGCCCTGCACACTGTGGGTGTATGGTCTGTGGATCTCTGGGAGTGTGAGTGTGCAGGTCTGTGGGTCTGTGGGTCCAGGCATCTGTGGATCTGTGGGTGTGTCTGTGAATCTGTGGATGGTGGATCCATGGGTCCGTGGATCTGTGGATCCTGATATCCAGGAAGATGTGGGTTGAGTCTGTCCCCCACCATGGCTGCCAGTCTACAGAGGGAAGAAAACAAATTGGATTTTCCGATTTCCTTTTCTCTCTTTCTCTCTAATATTTATTCTTCATGTACTGTGTTCTAAGGCCTGTTCTGGTCACTGGGGGACACAGCAGTGAACGGAAGGGAACAGACAAAACCTGCCCTTTTGGAGCTGCTGTGCCTGTGAGAGGATCTGGCCTCCCCTGCCAGGTGCTTTGTGGGGACATGGCCACGAGTCCTGGTTTCCACTCGTGCTCTCAGATTGGAGAACCCAGACCGTATTGATAGATGAGGGGTGCAGATCACAGAGGATTTAGCATGGCATATTTGGACACCTTTGCAAAACAGCTGGGTGCTTTTGGGGCTCCTTGAGCAGGAGAGGACGAGAAGGACGTGGTATCTTGAGGGTGGAGGTTCTGTGGAGGCTGTGGGCTCTTCAGGGCCAGGTTCAATGCAGACCTGGCCCTGCCTCCCAGAACTTTTCCCTTCATCTCTGAGGTCTGCCTCTGCCCACTGCCCCCTTCTCCTGGACTCTGGCCAGAGAGGTCTGGCTAATGGTGCATGTAGAGAGGAGCATTAGGGTCTTGCTGCCTGCCCTACCCTGTTGAGCAGCGGGGGCTGCATCCAGCCCTCTGTTGTTCTAGGGTCTTAGGCCCCTTTTGGGAGGGGCCTAAGCTCTGTCCCAGCTGGGGTAGAGGTGAGCAAGTCCACAACCATGGCAAGAGGATCAGGTGACCTAGCATCAACAGAAGCATCCGCTTCTTATAAAACTGGGATAATACCTTTCACCTGAAAGGATTTTTGTGCGGCTCAGACATGTTTCTGCAGCACCTAGCATGGGGCCTCGTACAATGAAGCTGTCTTTTCTTTCATGAAGTTGCTTTCCAAATGTTTTTCCCCATTTTCTATCTGGTTTTCAAGGCAGAAAAGGCATCGTCTTCTGCATTTTATACAAAAGGAAATGAAGCTTGGGGAGACCATGTGATGTGGGGAGGGCAGAGCTGGTCCTTGAGTCCTGGGACTCCTGATCCAGTGCTCTTCCTGCTGGCCACCCCTCCCTCCCATCAGGGGCCATGTTCACCCTGATTTGCTCGCTGAAGTAAGACCCAAGGCCCTAATTACTGCAGAGTGAGTAAAAACTGATCAGCAGAAGCGCCTGCTGGGAGATGTTCAAACACACTGATGGTGGTTCCGACACAGCCTCGCTTGCTGCACTTGTCATAAGACCGAGAGCCGGCTGAAAACAAACAAATGGCAATGCCTGGTGACAGACACGTGGGCAGGTGCAGGGGTGGGGGGGCTGGTAGGCTGCAACCTCTTGTCCACAGTCTGGCCTGGACAACCCTTATCTGGTGACCTGGAGCTGGACTGCTCAGATCCAAACCCCAGCTCTTTTACTAAGTAGCTTTTGACCTTGGGAAGATCCTTTAACCTTCCAGTGCCTCGGTTTCCTCACCTATAAGGTGGACAGAGCAAAAGCACTTCTCAAAAGCTTACTCTGTGCCTGGCATATAGTAAGTATTCACAGATAATGTTGGCTTTGATTCTTGTTGGCCATCACGGGAGGGGTTGCTGACCGAGAACCCACTCAATAGGCTGCGGAGCTGGGAGGGCTAGCTGTTCATTTTTGTGACAGGTCTGAGGTGAATGACTACAAGATGTGGGCAGGCCCAGCTGACCAGACCAGAGCAAGTTTTGTGACGGGTCATGCAATTGGGGGCACCGCACTTCAGCCTTTCCTCTTTAGGCTGAGGATCTCTGGCTTGGCTCAGCTTCTCTGAAGAAGATCTGAGGGGATCAGTGGACCACATGCCCCACAGGTGCTGCAGTAGGACTGGGTTGCCAGCTGGGCCCTGATGCTCCCAGTCCGCATCAAGAAAGGCCAGAATCAGGCAGGTAACCTGTCTGTTGTGCTCTGGGTGGCTTGGTGCATATCCAGTCCTGCCCATGCAGAGGAAAGGGCACAGACTTGAGTGTGACTGCGGAGGGGGTCCCAGGGAGGCATATGATGTGGAAATTGTCACCCAAGGAATGGTTGAGGGAGCTGGTGACAAGAGGCCTGGGGCAGATGAGGCTCAGGGGTGGGCGGGCTGTCGTCATGCATCTGCAGGGCTGTCATGCGGAAGAGGGAGCAGATAGAGGGTTCCAGGGGCTCTGGGACGCCGGCTGGAAGATTCTGGAAGGCAGGCTTCCTGCAGTCTCACAAAGGCTTTTCTGTAGATCACCAGATGCAGGCTCTGCATTGGTTTGTATGTGTGAGTGGCTGTTGTGTCTATGTGTGTGCGACTATGTGTATGCGTCTGTGTATTCTGTGTGTGCATATGTGTCAGTGTGAGTGTATGTGATCTGTGTGATTGTGTGCATATCTATGTGTCTGGGTAAGTGTGTGATTGTGTGTATGTGTGTCTGTGTGAGTTATGTGTGTGCCTGTAAATGGGTGTTTTGTGTGTTTATGTGTGTGTGTAATTGCGTGTATGTATGCCTGTGAGTATATGTCTTTGTGATTGTATGTTATGTGTGTGTGATTGTGTGTGTCTGTGTATTCTTTGTGTGCATGCATGTCTGTGTGTGTCAGTGTGAGTGTATGTTATGTGAGTGTATTTGTGTGATTACATATGTATGTGTCTGTGATTGTGTATGTATGTGTCTGTGAGTGTGTGAGTGTGTATGTGTGTATGTCTGTGTGAGTGTGTGTATGGGAGTGTGTGCGTCTGCATGAGTGGGTGCTGGTGTATCTATGTACCGTGTGTGGTTGTGTGTCTGTGTGCGTGTTATGTGTGTATGTCTGTGTGTGATTGTGTGTCTGTGTGTGTTTCTGTGTGAATGGGTACTGGTGTATCTATGTGCCATGTGTGGTTGTGTGTCTATGTGAATGTGTGTTGTGTGCTAATGTGTGTGTGATTGTGTGTCTGTGTGTGTCTGTGTGTTATGTGTCTATGTCTGTGTGTGTAATTGTGTGTCTGTGTATGCCTGTGTGTGATTGTGTGTCTGTGTGTCTGTGTGAGTGCACGCTGGTGTACCCATGTGCCATGTGTGATTGTGTGTCTGTGTGTGTGTTGATGTGTGTTATGTGTGTAACTGTGTGATTGTGTTTCTGTGTATGTCTGTGTGTGTGATTGTGTGTCTGTGAGTGTGTGTGTCTGTGTGAGTGCATGCTGGCGTACCCATGTGCCACGTGTGTGATTGTGTGTGTGTCTGTGTGAGTTTGTGTTATGTGCATATGTCTGCATGTGTGTGATTGTGTTTCTGTGTGTTATGTATGTGTGTGTAATCGTGTGTCTGTGTATGTGATTATGTGTCTGTGTGTCTGTATGAGTGCATGCTGGTGTACCCATGTGCCATGTGTGTGATTGTGTGTGAGTGTGTGTCTATGTGTGTGTTATGTGTGTGCATATGTCTGTGTGTGTGTGAGGTTGTGTCTGCAAGTGTGTGTTATCTGTGTATGTCTGTGTGTGATTGTGTGTGAGTGTGGTATGGAGCATGTGAGTGTGGGTGTGTGAGTGTGACTGTGTGATTTTTGTGCTTGTGAGTGTGTATGGTGACGGATTAGGTCACCTTCCGGGTCTCATTCTTTTCAGAGATCCCCTGTTTGAAGACCTGGAAACAATGAGAGTTTAAAACCAGACACTGTTTCTGGGACCCCTGGGGTTCGGGAGTCTGGAACTCCATGGCTGAGGATACTAACAAGGATGGGAAACTGGCGAGGGTCTCACTGTGCACCTGCCTAGTGCTCAGTGGTGCTACCCTAGCTTGTCGGCACAGCAGCCCTGCCATGGTGCGGTCGTCTCCTCATTTTATAGACAGGGTAGCTGTGGGCACCTGCCAGGCTGAGTTGTGTGCCAAGGTGGATTGGTGTCGGGACCTGAATACAGGTCTCAGCTTCCACTGCCCGTGATTTGAAACCCACACTATGGATTCAGGGTGACTGTAGTTAATATTTTGGGCCTCTAAAGTTCTGGGTGATTCTAAGATAGTCTGAAATTCCTGGATTCTAGTATTTCCTGAACGAATTTGTTGCTTGTTCTTCTAGCAGTGTGTGGTTATTGACAAAAGGATAAACAAAGTTGCCTCCCTGTATGAAAACACACATGTGCACACACACACATACACATGCACACACACACATGAGGCGACCAGGGCAGGCCTCAGGTCTTCCTCCACCAGGGCTCTGAGCTCTGAAGATACAGGACATCCTGACACTGCACTCCCAGGGCTCTAGAGTGCTGGCTGGAAGATTCTGGGAGGCAGATTTCCCCACTGCCTTGGGAAGACTTGGGCAACTTGCTTGGGCATCTTGGCTGGACCAGCAGCTGTATTGCCACTGTCTGATGCCTCAGCTTGGGGAGGCCTGGTTCCAGGGCACCATTCCCATCCCAGGTTGGTGCCTGGAATGGTTCAGTGCTTGGGCTCGGGAGTAAGCAGACCAGAACTGGGACACTAACTGCCCGGTACCAGCTGGCTGACTATGGTCATGGCTGTTCCCCTGTCTCCCTCTCCATGAAGTAAGAATGAGAATGGTCTGTATGCCATGGAGTTGTGGTAAAAATGGACACAGATGATGCATAGGGAACCTGTTGGCCATTGCTTGATGGGGTCATGGTGGTGATAGTGGTGATGATGGTGATGGTGCTGGTGATGATGGAAGTGATGGTGTTAGTGATGGCGATGGTGGTGATGATGATGGTGTTGGTGGTGGTGGTGATGATGTTGGTGTTAGTGATGGCGATGGTGGTGATGATGATGGTGTTGGTGGTGGTGGTGATGATGTTGGTGTTGGTGATGGTGATGGTGATGATGATGCTGTTGGTGGTGGTGGTGATGATGTTGGCGTTAGTGATGGTGGTGGTGATGGTGTTGATGGTCATTGTGGTGGTAAGGGTAATGGTGATAGTGATGATGGTGGTGATGGTGATGACGGTGATGATGGTTTTGGTTATGGTGATGGTGGCGGTGGTGGTAATGGTGGAGATGGTGATGGTGATGGTGGTGGTGGTGATGATGATCATGGTGGTGAGGACAATGATGGTGATATTGATGATGGTGATGGTGATGATGGTGGTGATGATGGTGTTGGTGATGGTGGTGGTGGTGATGGTGATGGCGATGGTGATGGTGGTGGTGATGGTGATGATGGTGTTGATGGTGATGATGGTGTTGGTGGTGGTGATGGTGGTGGTGGTGATGGTGGTGATGGTGGTGGTGATGGTGGTGGTGGTGGTGATGATGGTGTTGGTATTGGTGATGGTGGTGGTGATGGTGGGGGTGGTGATAATGATAATGATGGTGCTGGTGTTGGTGATGGTGGTGGTGGTGATGGCAGAGAATGGGCTGGGGTAGCAGCCCCTGGGGATGACACAGCTGGACCAGTGCATGCTCAGCCATCCACCAGAGTGCCTCCCCATTTACATCATTTTGCTTCTATTTTTTTTTTGAGATGGAGTCTTGCTCTGTCACCCAGGCTGGAGTGCAGTGGTGCAATCGTGGCTCACGGCAACCTCTGCCTCCTGGGTTCAAGGGATTCTTCTGTCTCAGCCTCCTGAGTAGCTGTGACTACAGGTGTGCGCCATCATGCCTGGCTTATTTTTGTGTTTTTAGTAGAGATGGGGTTTCACCATGTTGGCCAGGCTGGTCTCCAACTCCTGACCTCAGATGATCTACTCGCATCGGCCTCCCAAAATGCTGGGATTACAGGCGTGAGATACCACACCTGGCAGCCCATCATGTTGCTTCTTAACAAGAGCCTGCTGAAGCAGGCTGGAGGAGGGCTGAGCTTTACAGAGAAAAACTGAGGCTCTAAGAAGCTGACGGAGTCAGGAATGGGGGTCTGTGTTCCAGACACAGCAGGCTTCTGCTCCTATCCCTGCTCTTGGAGGCCAGCCTAATTGCCACACTGCTGCTTGGTGGGCTACTCAGGGGAAGGAGCATCAGGGTTAGGTCCTGGGAGCACCTAGAAGAAGGGGACTCAGGGATGTGGAGGCAGCTCAGACTCTGGCACCTGATGGACCTGAGTTTGAATCCACCAATGCTGTCACCTAAAGCAAGTCCTTTAGTCTCTGTGACTGCGGACAGATTGGAGCCCAGGGAGGCCCAGCTGCCAGTCCCCTCAGGGCTTCCAGCCATGGGCACACAGGCACCTGCGATAGGAGCTAGGCCACAGACACAGGAAAGAGAGATATCTGGACTGGACTTGGGGGCTTTGGGAGTGGGGAGTGGGTCAGGGAGTAGTGGCCTGGGAAGCTGCTAAGGAACAGGTCAGAGGGAGATGGTCTGGGTGGTCACTGGGAACAGGTCAGAGGGTGGAGGCTGGGTGGTCACTGGAAGCATGTCCGAGGGTGGAGGCTGGGTGGTCACTGGAACAGGTCAGAGGGTGGAGGCTGGGTGGCCGCTGGGAGCAGGTCAGAGGGTGGAGGCTGGGTGGACACTGGGGAGAGAGTTGAGGGTGGTGGCCTTAGGGGTGTGGTTTCTGGGAGCACCACAGTGAGGGGAGAGGTGTGAGCACAGAGGGCAGCACAGTGTGGCGGCATTAAACAAGCCAAGAGAGGCAACAAGCAAGTCAGTGCAAGCGACGTAGCCCAGAGGCAGGAAGTGGGTAGTTTTGTGCAGTCCCGGAGGCCGGGGGAGCTCTTTCCACCTGTGTGGTTTCAGGAAGGACTTCGGTAATGCTGGGGCGAGGGTTGCAGGTGGGCCACTGCAGTTGCTGCGAGACCAGGTGCTTTACCTCGAGAATAAATCTCAATCCACCGCCTTCTCCCTGTCTTCACCAGCAGCCAAGGGCAGGCCAGCCCAGCTCCTCCCAGCCCTTCCTGCTCCACCCCTTCCCCTTCATCCACTCTCCCTTCAGCCCCTGGAGAGATGGCTTAGAAACAGACCAGAGCACACCACTCCCCTGCCTAAAACCCACCTGTGGCTTCTACTGAACTTGGGATAAAACCCACGCTCCTCTGTGTTCTCCCCCAGGGCCCTGCTGAACTCTTTGGTTTCATCCGCCTCCCTGCCCGAGGCTCGGCCTCGCTTGTGTTCCTTAAATGCACCGAGCGGGCCCCATTCTCCTGGCCTTCGCACGTGCTCTTCCTCCTGTGCTCTTCCAGCAGATCAGTCAGGGCTGCGGCCTCCCGCGTCTTGGTTTTCACTTAAACATCTCTTCCTTTAGAGAGGGCAAGATGATTGTCTCCACTCCCACCTTTCCCCTTGTTTATTTACTTCCCAGCACTTTTTATTCACTGAGTCAACAAATATCGATTGAGCACCTAGTATGCTCCAGGCACCATTCCAGGTGCTGGGGATACAGCAGTGAGGGGATACACCTCCCTTACAGGCTTCTCTTAGGCTGGGGAGACAGACACCAAATCATGGAGATATAAAGACATAAATTATGCACCGTGTTTGATGGTGATAAGAGTTGTGGAAAAGCAGAAAGAGAGAAATTAATTGATCGGTGTGTCTCTCTCCTCTGCGGAAGTGTGGGCTGAATGGGGGCTGGTGCTGAGTCTGGCTCGTGCCCCAGCATAGCCCGAAGCCCACACAGTGCCCACACATAGTAGGTGCTCATTGGGCAAATGAATGAATCAGTAGGGCCTGGGAGAACAGGGCCTGGGCGGAAGGAGAAGGTGCCCCAGTGAGAGGGAAGAGCGGGAGCAGGGCCTAGGACCTGAGGAGGTCCAATCTGGCCAGAGCAAATGGCCAGGGGAGGGAGTGGTGGGCTCCGAGGCTGGCACGGTGGTGGGCAGAGCTGGAACCACCCTAGGGAGGGTGCGTTTCAGCCCAGGAGGTTGACACGTGGCAGGCCAAGGTGCCTGGGAGCTTATGTAAGGCCCGTGGCTGTTTTTCTGGAATCAAGAGCAAAGCCCTGAGCTCAGGAGAAAACTCCGCCTCCCTGACCAGCCAGGGGAAGTGGCAGGAGGTGCCAACCCCTGCCCGTTGCCCCCGGGAGCCAGAGAAATGTCCAAATGCATCAGCTCCGGGTGGCTTGGTCGACAGCCCAGCAGCAGCTGGGTGGGCACCAGGGACGTGGACCCCATCTCTCAATCCCACGGCTCAGACTGGCCCTGTAGGGGTTCTAGGATCCCAGGGACCCCAGTGGACAAAGTTTTAGGGACTAGTACCCTTTGGGGTGAGGTGGTGAGGGGCAGGCCCTGGGAGTGGCTGTCCGTCCCATCTTGCCATTGACTGGTTGCGGAGGCTCTCGGCCAGCGAGGGCACCATCAGTTGTCATGAAGCCCGCCTGGGGGTCTGGTGCTGGGATTCTGGCCTCTCAACACCACCTAGTGCTTCACTTGGCTGGGTGCATAGCCTTGACAACCCGCTTTGTTCTCTTGGCCTCAGTTTCTTCACCTGCCAAATGGGCATAATAGTCCTCCTGAGGTTGTTGTGAGCATCAGACAAGGCCAGGGAGTAGAAGTGCTTTGAGTTGGAGTCGGAGCCAGCAAGATGATTTGCATCACCTAGAACAAAATGAAAATGTGGGACCTCTTGATAAGCAATTAAGAATTTCATGTTGGTGACAGAAGAATTCTAAAGCAAGTTCAGGGCCCTTCTGAGCACGGGGCCCTGTGCAGCTGCCTGAGCCACAGACCCAGGAAGCGGGCTCTGACCGGAATTCTTTTTTTTTTTTTTTTTTGGTGACAGAGTCTTGCTCTGTTGCCCAGGCTGGAATGCAGTGGTGTGATCTTGGCTCACTGCAACCTCCACCTCCCGGGTTCAAGTGATTCTCATGCCTCAGCTTCCCGAGTAGCTGAGATTACAGCGTGTGCCACCACACCCAGCTAATTTTTGTATTTTTAGTACAGATGAGGTCTCACTATGTTGGCCAGGTTGGCCTCAAACTCCTGACCTCAGGTGATCCACCCACCTTGGCCTCCCAAAGTGCTGGGATTACAGGTGTGAGTCACGTGCCTGGCCTTTGACTGGAATTCTATTTCTGCTGTTACTCTGCTACATGTCTGTCCTGTCCCTTCTCTGGGCCTCGGTTTCTTCATCTGTAAGGCAAGGAGGTTAGACTCTAAGATTCCTGGGTTCTCAGCCTTGTAAGGCAGTGGCTGGGAGGTCCCTGGGTCAAGGGCTCAGCTGTAGGTCTCAGCTCAGGGGTTACTTCCTCAGGGAAGCCAACTGTGATTCCCTCCTGGCTTGCCAGCGTTCCCCCAGTCTCTGATTCTGCAGCACCCCAACATTGCCTTTGTAACCTGCATTGTCCTGGCAATAATGTCTGTCTTTACAATCACCTCTTTTTTCTTGCAAGTTTTCTTTACCTTTGATGGTGCAATAAATACATAGCTCTAGTCTTGTAAAAAAGTTAAGATCCCTTCCTTCCTTCCTTCCTTCCTTCCTTCCTTCCTTCCTTTCTTCCCTCCCTCCCTCCCTCTCTCCCTCTCTCCCTCCCTTCCGTCTTTCTTTTCTGTCTATAATTACTTAAACATTTTTTCTCTTAAATAATGAAAGATTTCAAATACAGAAAATTGCCAATAGACAAAAAAAAAAGAGTTAATATCACAATTATATTCTAAGAAGGCTTTATTCTCCCCACTATCTTCGTTTGCCAAAACTGAGGCTCAGCCAGGGTGAGCAGACTTGCCCCATGATCACCCAGCTTGGAAGCAGATTCCAAGTTGGGTGCAGCTGGGCCCTCAGCTGTTTCGTAATCCTCATGCAAGAGTGAGGGTGAGGGGCCTGTGGGGCTCAGGTGGGGCTGTCAGAGCTGCATCCGTCCACTTATTGGTGGAGAGGCAGGTTGGGGAGCATGTACCAGGCCTGTCCCCACCACGTGCCACCCTCTCTGTCTTCCCCAGGGCTCCCAGCTCAGTGTGGACATGGCTGAGAGCGCCTCCCCGCCCTCCTCATCTGCAGCAGCCCCAGCCGCTGAGCCAGGAGTCACCACGGAGCAGCCCGGACCCCGGAGCCCCCCATCCTCCCCGCCAGGCCTGGAGGAGCCTCTGGATGGAGCTGATCCTCATGTCCCACACCCAGACCTGGCGCCTATTGCCTTCTTCTGCCTGCGACAGACCACCAGCCCCCGGAACTGGTGCATCAAGATGGTGTGCAACCCATATCCTCCGCAGCCTCGGCTGATCGGGGCCCTGCAGGGGCTGAAGGGTGGGGGGCTGGATTGAGTCCTGCTGCTCACACCTTGCTCCGGCTGGGAGACCTGAGGTCTGCGGTGAGGCCACTGGGCCTTGGTGGTGGTGAGCGAGCTCAGAGGGTGGGTCTGGGGAGACCTCAAATGGATGAGGACCTGGTGTTCTGCTGATGTGAAGGTTCTGGAAGTTGCTGGTGGCTGTGGGGTCAGTCCAGTGGCTGGCTGGCTCAGAAAGTCCTTGAGTGTGGGCCCCAGACCTGTGCTGGGCTGGGAATGCAGATCAGTCAGACTCTGGAGCCACCTGATGGGCCGTGACCATACAGAGGATGGGAGCCGTGATCAGGAACTGTGGGCGTGGGCAGCGGGGCAGCCGATCCCAACACACAGGGCAGGACTCATTCTCCTTACTGTGCCTCCGAGCAGCCTCTTCCCAGGCCTCCTGCCTCCACTTGCTGCCTCCAGTGGGCTCATGTTCCCCCTGCTTAAGACTGTCATGATTTGCTATGGTCCTGGAGGTGCAGAGCAAAGTCCTAATCCAACCCATCAGGGCCTGTGTGTTCCACCCAGCCTCACTTCCCACCACTTGGCTTCCCCCCTGTGCTCTTCTGAGCCTCAGGGTCCTCTCACTGGCTCTTCCCCCTGTCTGAAAAGCTTTTCCCTTCCCCCTGGACCTGGCCAAATCCTTTGCTACATCCTTAAAATCCCAGCTTAAGCATCACCTCCTCAGGGAAGCCCTCTGGGATTCCTCCTCTGCTTCATATCTAACTGTCACATCTAACTGTGGAATTCTGAATCTAACATTTGCCTCCCCTGGGGTACTGTCAGATGACTGGGATGGGGACCCTAGCACCTGGCACAGTGCTTGGCACATCGTGGGTGCTCTGGCAGTGTTTGCTGGGTGTACATGGGCAATGCCAGAGCTGACTCCTCAATAAGGAAGAGCGTTGGTTGGGTAGAGAGGGTAGTGGGAGGCAGGAGGAGGGCATGGCAGGAGCGAAGCCTGGAGAAGGGAGGAGTTGCAGGCAGTGTTGGAGCCCTGAGGGGCAGAGAGGAGTGAGGTGAGGCTGCAGGTGTGGCGGGAGCCCTGCAGGGCCTTGGAGGCTGCATGAGGGATGGGACTGTGCTCCAAGGGCAGGATTTGAAGCAGGGTCTGGAGAGATCTGTGCTCTGGAAGGACTGTGTGGCACTGGCTTGCAGGGTGAAGTGGGGGCTGGGGACCACTGAGGAGGAGGCTTGGGGACCCAAGCCATGGTGGCCTTGTGGTTTGAGGGTCCCACCAAAAAATGCCCATATGTGGCTCGAGGTTCTGGTGCTTGTGGCCACACAGGGCAGGGTGCGGGGAGCTGGTGGGTCAGGTGCAGGCCTGAGTCCTGCCCTGGAATCCAGGGATGCCAGATGCAGGCTGGGATGTTGAGACTGGCTGCAGGACTGCCAGGCTTCCCTTCTGTAGGGGGCTGAGGTGATCGTGGGCCCTGGATCCCCCTAACTTTTGGAAACCAGCGGGTCTCTGCTGGAGTGGGATGCAGAACTGGGTGTTCCTTGCTGGGTGGGGGCTAAGAGCCTCCCTGCTCCTTCTGGGGGACGGCTCACAGCGTCTCAGGCTTGGTGAGAGGGTCTGCTCGGTAATTAGTTCACCCAGCACTCACTGACATCTGCCCTGGGACACTGAGGACAAAGAGGCAGAGCTGGTGTCTGTCCCAGGGAGTGCCCGGGGAAGAGGGAAGCAGGGACCACCCATTTGGCTAGTTTTTTTTTTTAGATGGAGTCTCGCTCTGTCACCCAGGCTGGAGTGCAGTGGCGCGATCTCGGCTCACTGCAACCTCCGCCTCCCAGGTTCAAGCAATTCTCCTGCCTCAGCCTCCCGAGTAGCTGGGACTACAGGCACCCACCGCCATGCCCTACTAATTTTTGTATTTTTAGTAGAGATGGGGTTTCACCATGTTGGTCAGGCTGGTCTCGAACTCCTGACTCGTGAACCGCCTGCCTCGGCCTCCCAAAGTGCTGGGATTACAGGTGTGAGCCACTGTGCCCAGCCTACGTGGCTAGTTTTAATACAAAGCACTGGGGAAACCTCAGGGGCTTGTGGCATGTGAACAGAGGAGTGCCAGGCCTGAGAAGGGGGCGGCCGCAGGAATTTTGGGCCTTTAGGAAGAGAAAGGCTGGTAGGAGGACCAGGGGGACAATTTCACAATGTCTCAGGGGCCTTTCCTGGGTGAGATGACAAGAGTTGATTCTGGCTCTGTCACTTGGGTGCTGTGTGACCATGAGTAAGTCACTTTGCTTCTTTGAACCTTAGGGGGTCTGGATGGGCAATACTGCTCTGGGCTGGAGGCAGGGGCATGGCTCAGAGGACTTGGCCTGGGAGTCTGACCCAGCTGCGTCTCTGATGGGCTCTGGCTGGGCTGGCTGGGGTGCTGCCCACGTGTCACGGAGAGGCCCCTAGATGGGGGTGGTCAAGTCCTGTCTGCCATGTGTGTGACCCTGGGCAGTCTCCTCTCTCTGAGCCTCAGCACCTCCACCTAAAAAGGAGACGGCAGACGAATCACCCCTTCCAGCCCTGGGAGCCCAGGGTGTTAGCCACACACGCCATGGGGGCTGCCTTGATCTCAGGCACCCTGACGCCTGACCACTGAGTGAGCCAGCCCCTGGGAACCCACCCAGTTTTCCATATTTCTGGCCTGTTGGGCAAACAGAGTCCTTGGGGCCACTGTCTCCTTGGTTTTCACCACCCCTCTCACCTCCATCCTCAGGTCATGTGGGTTGTGGCCTGGGGTTGGAGACAACAGTGGGGCTGGCCCAGGAGGGAGAGGAGTACTGGTTTCGGGAGGAGCTGGGCCTGCCTCTTGTCTGTCTTGGAGAGAGCCCTGGGTCCAAGGGGTGGGGCAGAAAGCAGCCCCCCTCCATCAGGAGGGACTTTTCAGTCCCGGGAGCTGCGCAGAGCGAGGGTTCCCCCGGCATCCCCATGGCCAGGGCTGCTGAGGCTGGACTGGGATAGAGGTGGTTCAGGTCTCGGCCTTAACTGGTGGGATACGGACTCTCTTCAGGCCAGAGATGTGGCGACTCAAAAGCACAGCAACTTTAAAGGTGTCAGCTCTGGGACACTCAGACTGAAAACTTCTGCGACAGTCTAAGGGTTCAAAGTTAAGATTTAAGGCTCAGCGACACTGAAATTCTAAGCTTCTGTCATTCAAAGGCTGCAAAATTCTGTGTTTCAAAGAGTGTGTGAGCCTAAGACTTGGTGGCTGTGATGCTGTGTGCCTACGAGTTGGAGGATTCTGGACCCGGTGGCTGCAGCCGCTGCTGGCCTGAGAGTTCATAGCTGAATTGGGTCAGGTGGGAGAGGGGCCAAGGAGGGTTCCACAAACAGAGACCCAGGAGACGTGGCTGTCCATAGGGCTGTCCCCTGGAGCAGAGACTCAGTCGTGGGGAGCTCAGGGTGGGCTTTAGGGGCTTGGGATGGGGTGCGTGTGTGGGTGGGGCAGGGGCTGAAGCCTCTAGGATTCTTTCCTGGCTGGAAACTTCACTCCCTCTTGTGCTCTGTGGGAGGGGGCCTGGGGCAGTGCTTAAGCTTGTACTCCTCAATGGGACACCATTGGCATTTGGGGGTTGACGGTGCTTTGTAGTCTTGTCTGTCTTGCATATTCAATAGTAGTAGTGTCCTTCAATCATTGTGACTACCATAAATGACCTTTCACATGTCTAGACCCTGCAAAGGGCGACTCTTTCCCCCACTGAGAACCCAAAGGGGTGGTGGGTGCGTAGCATCAGAGTCAGGCTGGTGGGAGCTGCTGTCATGATGGCCAGGCCCGGGAAGGGGAGGGCAGCATGGGAGGGTCCCCCAGACAGCCTGTCCTGAGCTCATGTCCTGGTGCTGAGGGGCCCTGGCCCAGAGCCAGCTGCTCTTTGAAGCCTGGTGCTCCCTGACTCAGCTCCTCTTCCAGCCCGGAGCTAGGCCCTGAGTCACCGCCTGACTCACTGGAGAGCCAGCAGGCTGCTGGGACCCTTGTGGAGCCTGCAAGGTGGGGTGGGAAAGGGCCACTCGCCCATATGTCAGCACCGCTCCCTGCCTGGCCTGGGCCGTGGGCATGGGCTGTCAGCTGCAGATGCAGCTGCAAGGCCTCTGGATTCGAAATGTCAGGGGATACATTGTGCTACTTGAATCACGGGGAGGTGGCGTGTGGCACCGTGGAAAGCGCTGGGCACCTGAATCACACAGACCCAGAGGCTGGTTCTGTCTCTTGCTGTGTGACCATGGGTCAGTTTCTTAACATTTCCGAGCCCCAGTTTCCCCACCTGTCAAACACGGGTGGTAATACCCACTCCACAGGGTTGATTGCACTGAGGACAGAGCAGGACAGTGTGACAGTGGAGTTTGGGAACTGGAAAAGCCACCATATGTGTGGTTATCACTCTGATTACCTGTGCCTGAACCCTGAACAGGGCCCTCACGTACTGCTGAGTCAACACTCTGCTTGCTGTAGATTCAATTAGACATTGGGGACAGGTCTTTAGATAGAACATAACACCTTCAGAGGACATTGTTTCCAAGGAACATCAGACCCAATCTCTGTTAACTTAGGTGGATTTGAGCTTGTTCTGCTGCTAGTGGCCATGCCCCCCATCAGTGCAGACATTGCTAATCGAGCCTGCCGGCATTCTCCAGCAGGGCACCTCTGGCAGCTATGGGGAGCCATCAGCCTGAAACCTATTATTATTTTCCACCCTAGATTAGACTTTCAGAGCCTTTCTTTCTTTTCTTTCATTTTTTTTTTTTGAGACAGAGTCTCTCTCTGTCACCCAGGATGGAGTGCAATGGCATGATCTTGGCTCACTGCAACCTCTGCCTCCTGGGTTCAAGTGATTCTCCCACCTCAGCCTCCTGAGTAGCTGGAATTACAGAAGCGCACCACCATGCCGGGCTAATTTTGAATTTTTAATAAGAGATGGGGTTTCACCATTTCAGCCAGGCTGGTCTTGAACTCCTGACCTCAAGTGATCTGCCCGCCTCGGCCTCCCAAAGTGCTGGGATTACAGGGGTGAGCCAATGTGCCTGGCCTTCAGAGCCTTTCTTAGGAGCATAGCTGGCTGCATATGAGTGAAGGGCCAGAGTGGGTTGCACTCACTTCCTTTTCCCCCTCTCTGAGCCTCAGTTTTCTTATCTCTTTAATGGGTTGATTAAAGATGATTAGCGATGGTTCCTGTAAAGCACCCAGCGGTGTGTCCAGCACAAAAATGTGCAGGATGAGAGCTGATGCTGATTGCTGAAAGCATTTTGTCAGCTTTAACCCTCATAACCACCCGTGGGGATAGGGGCTCTCATAGCCCCATTTTACAGATGAGGAAAGTGAAGCTCAAAGAGGTTGAGTCACTTTTATCCAGGGTTGCACAGCCAGGCTGTGGCGGAGCTGGCATCAAAACCCCGATTTCTGTGCCTCCCCAGTCCTGGCTTTTATTCAGGACAACATTGCCACCTGCAGAGTCTGGAGAAACACCAGGTTCTCCACACTCCACCAGGGCAGAGAGGAGCTTCCCGTTTCCAGGCAGTGGGGCAGTGGCGCTTCTGCTGTGGTGGGAAGCAGTGATGCATAGTGCGGAAGCCAGTCGGCTGTGAAGGCCGCCTCTCTGCTCGGGAAAGGGGAGGGCGCCAGCCTGCGGGGAGGCAGGAGAGGCCAGCTGCCCAATAACCCTTTGCGCCCTCGTCTCCCTGTCTGTGGGATGGGGAAAGTTGGGCACCAGGTCTGGAAGGGGCTGTCCAGGGCACCCATTTCCCGGCCGCCCTCCTCGTGGGTGGGCCCCCGCCTCTGTGCCTTCGTGTTCCTGGTTCTCTCCTGACCGCGCCTTGCCCCTCTGCCGACTTCTGTCTGCTTCTGCTCCCCTGTCTGGCTCCAGCTCTCTGCCTGCCAGTGCTGGGGTCTGGATGTCTGTGCTTCTTCTTCTTCTTCTTTTTTTTTGAGACCAAGTCTCGCACTGTCGCCCAGGCTGGAGTGCAGTGGTGCGATCTCGGCTCACTGCAACCTTCGCCTCCCAGTTTCAAGTTATTCTCCTGCCTCAGCCTCCTGAGTAGCTGGGATTACAGGCACTCACCACCACACCCAGCTAATTTTTGTGTTTTTAGTAGAGACGTGGTTTCACCAGCCTCCTGAGTAGCTGGAATTACAGAAGCGCACCACCATGCCGGGCTAATTTTTGAATTTTTAATAAGAGACGGGGTTTCACCATTTTAGCCAGGCTGGTCTTGAACTCCTGACTTCAGGTAATCTGCGCAGCTCGGCCTCCCAAAGTGCTGGGATTACAGGCGGGAGCCACTGCGTCCAGCCAATGTCTGTGCTTCTAAGCGGCCATCTGGTTCTGCCCATGCACCTGGTGGAGACCCCTGCCTCTCGCATCCACTGGTTTCATCTGGCACTGGGCAAGAAGAGGCCAGGGCGCCCGGTCTCCTCATGGCCCCTCGAAGCCCAGTCTTGTGCTGCGCGTGACGAGGGTTGAGGCTGTCGAAGGAGGGGATGGCTCGTGTTCATCCATTGTTCTCCCAGTCATTAGTACATCCACCGAGCATTTCCTGAGTGTGAGCTGTGAACCTGGACTGCGCGGAGCACAGCTCTGGTCTTTTTGTACAGGAGGAAAACTGCTCTGGCTGTGCAGCCAGGAGACCCGTCGAGAGGCGCCTGTGGGACGATGGCGAGAAACGACGGTGGACCAGCGTGCCGGCTGAGGGCCTGGAGAGGGGGCTTGGTGCAGCCCTGGCTCCTTTAGGGTTGGCGTTAGGAGATGGAGACTCAGAGGTGACCCCAGGGTCGGTGGCTTGGTTGCCAGGTGAAGGAAGATCTGCTCCTGGCTTCTTAGACCAGTGGCCTTGGCCAAGTTCCTTGCCCTTGCTGAGCGTCTGTTTGCTCATCTGTGAAATGGGGGCCACAGTGACCCCCAGTTGGGGATATTAAGGGGGATCCAATGAGAATTCTGGGGCAAGCATGGACAAACTAAGTGCTGAGTGGCAGCTGTGTGTACACTGGAGCTGACGGAGTCGCTGACAGGGTCCTGAGCCTGCAATGGGCGGAGACGCCTAGGGCTTGGCCAGGGTGGGAAATTGTTGGCTCCTGGAGGTGGGAGGGCGGGAAGGTGGGGAGTGGGGCCTGGAGAGCTGTAAGTGTGTTGGGAGAGGAATGGCGCCATCTCTGCAGAAGACCTCCTCCCATCGCCTGCTGTCCCTGCCCTGGTCACTTAGCCCCTGCCCCTGCCTCTGAGCAGGCCACCTCTCAGTTCTGCTCCAGACAGGGCCTCAGGCCTCTGGATAAAGGCCTCTGGGACTCTCTGGGAGCTCTGAACTATTAGGAAGTCCTCCCTTAATCTAATCTCCATCCTCCCTGCCCCCAGTCCTTTCTGGTGGGGCTACTGGGAGTGTCTGGGGTTGGGTTCTTCCATCTCTTCTTGTCTACACAGGCAGCTCCTGGGACCTTGCCCCACGTGACGACTGGTACCACCCTCCCTCCTCCTCCCCTGCTCTGCAGAGAGAGCACTGGGCCAGGTACCCAAAACCGTGTGACCTTGGCAGTCACCTCTCCCCTGGGCTCCCCCTCTCCTCCCCAGTTCGCCTTCCTCCTTGGGGGTTTGTCTGCTGTCAAGTGCTGTGTACCCGGAGGGGCTGCTGTCCCAGCCCTGCTCCACTGCTCCCTGCCTCCCTTCATTTGTGTGCTGATTCTTTCCTCACTCCCCGTAGCTCCTGGGAATCGGCTAACTGAGCCTGGACTCGAGGTCTCCACCATCTGCCTATTATCCTCCAGCCCTATTCTTCCCGTTCTTTCCCTTGGGGTCCAGTGCTCTGTTTTGAAGCCCCAGCCAGCTGCTGAGGCTTCCCAGCCTTTCCCCTCCTCTGCCTTTGCTCCTGCTGGGCACCACCTGTGATGCCCTTCCCCATCGCCGTGGTTCTCAACCCCACCAGCCCCACAAGCCCAACTTCCAGGCACCATCGGCAGGAAGTCTTCCCTTTTCCTCACTAGCCTCCTCAGCCCTACGTGGGCCCTGCCCTTCTGTCCTCCCAGTAGTTGTTTGCTGCTAGCTTTGTCCCCTGCACTGGGCTATGACACCCTGGAAGACAGGGCTTACGCCTCTGACGTTACCATGTCTCCAATGCCCAGCACAGGCCTGGCGCTGCCAAGCTTCAGGCACTCTCCAGTTCACAGAGCTCTTCCCCACCTACCATGACCCATCAGACTCTCTGAGCACTCCTAAGAGGGTACAGGGCAGCGAGTGCCAACTCTCCAACCATGGCTGGGGAGACTGAGGCCCGGGAAGGGAGCATGCCATGCCTAGGGCCACACACTGAGTCATCAGCAAAGCCAGAGAAGGCAAGCTCAGGACCCAGACTGTCAGGTAAGAGCCATCCCTACCCTAGCCCGCTTATGGCTGGCTGTATCTGTCTGTTTGCATTGCTGTGTAAGAATACCCGAGGGTGGGTAGTTTATAAAGAAGAGAGGTTTATTTGGCTCATGGTTCTGCAGGCTGTACAAGAAGTGTGATGCCAGCATCTGTTTCTGGTCAGGACCTCAGGAAGCTTTTACTCATGGTGGAAGGGCAAAGGGGAGAAGGTGTGTTGCATGGAGAGAGAGGGAGTGGTGCAAGGCTCTTTCAAGCTCTTTTTTTTTTTTTTTGAGACAGAGTTTCGCTCTTGTCACCCAGGCTGGAGTGCCATGGCGCGATCTCTGCTCACTGCAACCTCTGCCTTCCAGATTCAAGCGATTCTCCTGCCTCAGCCTCCTGAGTAGCTGGGATTACAGGCGCCCACCACCATGCCTGGCTAAGTTTTTTGTATTTTTAGTAGAGATGGGGTTTTGCCATGTTGGGCAAGCTGGTCTGGAACTTCTGACCTCAAGCGATCCACCAGCCTCGGCCTCCCAAAGTGCTGGGATTACAGGTCTGAGCCACCATGCCCAGCCTCTTTTAAGCTCTTTTAAACAACCAGCTCTTACATGAACTAATAGAGAACTCACTTGTTATCCAGGGGAGGACACTGAGCCCCTCAGGAGAGATCCACCCCATGACCCAAACACCTCCCTCTAGGCTCCACCTCCAGCATTGGGGATCATGTTTCACAGGAGATTTGGAGGAGACACACATCAAAGCCATATCTCTGGGGAAGGGGCTCTTTAGAGGGGGAGGTGTCCCTTCCGCCTTCAGTCCTGGCCTAATGGGCTGTCCAGACGGGAGGCCAGCATTACTGGAAGCAGCAACACATGTCTGGGAAATTGTCCGTTTCCCTCCAACTGCTGTGGAGAAAGTTGTTTTTCTCAGAAATAAAAGTCAGCCTCAGGCACCATTCCCAGGGATGCTCAGCCGGGCCAGAGCGGAGGCTGCACTTTCACTGACCAGCAGGGTGGGCCCAGCAGGCATTGGAGGAGCCTGACCCCCAGGGCAACCTCAGGTACCCTGGCATGGAGGTTTTCGTGTAAAGAGAACTGCAAGGCTGTCCCTGATCCAACCTGGGGGCACTGGTGAAGCCTGCCTAGGGGAGGGGCTATTCAGCCTGGGTCTTGCTGTATAAATAGGAATTTTCCAGAACAGTTCAGGGAGGGTTTTCCAGGCAGAGGGAACACGGTAGGGCACAGGGAGGGGTTTAGTGAGGCTGGAACCATGTGGGGCAGGGGCTGGATGGCAGGGTGTCAAATGCCAGGTTAGAGCTTACACTTGGTCTTGTGGGCCACGGGTGGGTGTCTAGCAGGGGTGGGACTTGGGCAAATTCACTTATTAGAATGGTGACTCCCAAAGCAGACTGGAGGATGCTTGAGGGAAAGACTGAGGCATAGAAACCAGGTAAGAGGCCCCTACAATGGATACCGATGGATGGATTGATCACCCATTCATTCGACAAGTGTTGGAGCCCAGCTATGTGTTGGACACTGGTCTGGGCTTGAGTGGAGGCGCCCCCAGGCCTGTTCAGCCATGTCATGTGGGACCGCAGTACACCAGGCCTGGGCACCCGGTGGTGACCCTAAGGAGTCCCCAGCCTGATGGAGGAGGCAGAGCCACACCCGAATCACACTCTTGTGAAGGAAAGTGGAGCCTAGGCTGGGTAGAGGGAACCTCTGGGGGGCATGAGTGACAGGAGAACAGGGCAGCCAGCTTGTTCTGAGTGGGGATGCCACAGGAGCCTCCTCCCATGAAGAAGGAAGCCTCAGAGCTAGGGCAGGAGAGAGCGGGAGGGGAGAAGTGGGGAGGCAGAGAAGTGGGATGGGGCATGGCCTCCTGGCTGAGGAAGCAGCCTGATCAAGGGCTCAGAGCTGAGTTTAGGGTCACCAGGTTGCTAATAGCCTGGTGTGTGGGCTGGGAGAGGATGTGCATGAGGATGGAAGGACATTTGGGGTCCAGATTCTGGAGGGCAGAACGGAAGACTGCGAGGGGAGGCACCGGTGTGGATGAGGGGCCTTTTGTATGCTGGGTGCCGTTCCTGCTCCCAGCAGCTGAGCCGGCCCTGAGTCACCCGTTTGACAGAGAGGCGAAGTGCCTGTCCTGGGCCACCCAGCCTGGTGGGGGCTTGGATGGGAGACCTGATGGGATGGGAAGTCTCATAATTGAAGGAGAACTAGAAAGCAAGCTGGCCGGCTGTTGAAGGGCCAGCCCCTGCCAGGGAATTTAAGACATGATTGGATTTTTACTGGTCCATCCTACCTGGGCTTCTGCCCTGCTGCCTCCCTCAAACTGCCTCATGGTCCCATTGAGAGACAAATAGCCTCATTTATTTTCCTTGGAGAGAAATCAATAAGTCTTTTTAATCAGCCAGGATGTCTTCTGCTAATCTGTCTCCAGCTCTCCTGTAGGACCACCTTTCACATTTCTATCCTCATCTGCCGAGTGGAGCCATGCTTTGCTCTCTAGTCTTCCTCTTCTTCCCCAAGTTCAAATCCTGACACCGGTGCTTATCCTGTGTGATGCTGAGCAAGCTATCTGGCCTCTCTGAGTGCACTTCCAAGCAGGAGGAGAAGGCTTGGTTGGCTGAGATGTGCTGTGCGAATGTGAAGGCTTGTTGTGCAGAGCCGTGGGAAGAGGGCCGAGGTGGAGGTGGACAGAGCAGGGGGTGCTGAGGACTATACCTGGCTTTTCCCAGTGGAGCAGTGGGGGAGGCTCCCAGCCCCACACACATGTCACAGTGAAAGGATGATTATGGATTGACTCTCCCCAAGGTACAGTTTGGGCTTCACCAAGTACAAGCTTGACCTCAGGCAAGTAACCCCTCCTCTCTGGGTCTCAGTTTCCTTATCCATAAAATTGGGGTGGGGTGGGCTATATCAGTGGTTTTCAATCGGGGTGACTTTGCCTGCCAGGGGACACTTCATAATGTCTGGAGATGGTTTTGGTTGCTCCAACGTGGGGAGGATGTGCTACTGGTTTCTAGTGGGTAAAGGCCAAGTACACTACAGTGCACAGGATAGAGGATAGAGTCCCACAGCAAAGAATTATCCAGCCCCAGTGACAAAGAATTATTCAGTGGCACTCAGTCTGAAAAACCCAGCCCAGGCAGTCTCTGAGATCTCTTGAAGCTCTGAAAGTGTAGAACAGTATGGAGTCGAGGGCCTTGGAGGGAGGGCACCAAGACTGAGAGTGGGGATCCCTGAAGGAGGAGGAGGAGATGGTACAGTCACATAGACTTGGATTAGAACCCTGGAGCTAACATTTACTGAAATGTCACATTCCCAACTACCTTCCCATACTCCCACTCACCCATCTTCCCCCATACACCCCCCCACCCATCTTTCCCCCATACACCCACCCACCCATCTTTCCCCCATACACTCACTCACCCATCTTTACTCCCCACCCACCCTTCTTTGCTTCATCACTCCATCCGTTCATCCAACCATCCATCTATCCATCCATCCATCCATTAATCTATCTAACCATCCATTCATCCATCTAACCATCCATCCATCCAAGCATCCAACTATCCATCCATCCAACAATCCATCCATCCCTCCATCCATCCACCCACCCATCCATCCATCTGTCTTTCCATCCAAGCACCCAACCATCCATCCATCCATCCATCCATCCATCCATCCATCCATCCATCCATCCAACAATCCGTCCATTCATCCATCCAACTGTCCATCCATGCATGCATCCATCTCTCCATCCATCCATCCAGCCATCCATGCATGCATCCATCTCTCCATCCATCCATCTATCCAACAATCCATCCATCCATCCATCCAACAATCCATCCATCCATCCATCCATTCATTCATCAATCCAACTGTCCATCCATTCACCCTTCCAACCCTCCAACCACTCATCCATTCAACCAACCATACATTCATCTATCCAACCATCCATCCATCCAGCCAACCATCCAACCATCTATCCATCCATCCATCCATCCATCCATCCATCCATTCATCCACCCATTTAGCCATCCATCCATCTATCCATCCATCCACCCGCCCACCCATCCATCCAGCCATTCATCCATTTACCTATCTTTCCATCTCTTCATGCATTCGTCTGCTTATCCACCCATCCCTCCACTCAACCTTTACATTCATGCATTTATCCACACATCTTCCTAACAATTACTTATTTAATCAACATTGACCCCACTACCCAAAACCCTATTTACACAACCATCAATCCATCCACTCATCTATCCATTCATTTGTTTGGCAGATGCTTGTTGATTATCCTTCCACATTTCTCATCCATTCTACTGTCTGCTGAATGCCCAGAAAAAACCCATATTGGGCACGATCACTCATCCTTTGAACCACTCACAAGGCCTTTTGTATCTGGCTTATTCTCCTCACCTTCTGCTGGACTATGAGCTCCTTGAAGATGGGTTCCATGTTCCAAGAGTGCCTGTTTCTTCCCTAGACCTTGGCCACTGGCCCTGCACATAGTAGGTGTGCAGCACAGCTTTTGATGAAGTGCATCCTGGCAGGCAAGGTTGGAGGTAGAGGTTGTATGGCCTGAGATGAGGCTGGAGGGAGACCAAGAGTGCTGTCACAGAGGGCCTTGTATGCCAAGCCAAGGACTTTGGAAAGAAGGCAGTGGGGAGCCACAGAAGGCTTTTGGTTTTGAAAGGGCTCTCTGGCTGCCATGGAGGTGGGGGATGTATCAGAGGATATGAGGCTACAGGAGAAGGCTGTTCAGGAAGGAGAGAATGCAGCCTGCCTGGGGCAATGGGGCATTGAGGAGTGGGCAGAAAGGAAGGGTTTAGGTGGTGAAATGGACAGATCTCCGAGATAGATGTGGGGCGAGGGGAAGGGAGGTTCCAGAGAGTTCTAGTCTGGAAAACTTCCAGGACTGGTGATGGGGGTGCATCCTTCATGGAGGTGGGACATGCTGGGGGAGAATTTAGTGGTCTGGGAAGAATATGATACATCTCTTCTGGACGTGATGAATCTGAGGTTCCCAGAGACTTCCCAGCACTATATCTGGGAGGCCTGGTGCTCAGCAGTCAGGGTTCCTGGGGCTGGGACAGACTTGGGACCTGCTCAGCCATAGTCATTTAGGCTGTGGAAGTGGATATGGAGTCCAGGAGAGGAGATGGGAGACCAGAGGGCTGGGGGCTGGAGGAGCCCAGCATTTAAGTGACAGAACCACAAAGTGGGAGGAAGACAAGTCTAGGGGCTTGTGGCATCTCCTGGAGCCCAAGGGGAAGAGAGTTTCTAGAGCAGGGGTCTGAACCTGGGGTTCATGAGCTTGCATGGGCACAAGTTGCATATTTGTTTTGACTGACCCCTGACTGAAGTTTAGCATTTCTTTCTGTTATGGATGGAGGAAACAAACCACACTGGTATTATTAGCAACTTCTGTGGCTGTCACCCATAGCAATCACCAATATTTCCATGTCACATCATGGTCCTTGTAGAGCTCTGAGAATATCATCACGGCCATCACTTTGAGGCAGTGTCACTTAGCGTCCAGCCCAGCACTGGAGCTTGCTACTTACTGTGTTGATAACAAATAATATATGTTTCTTTATCAAAAATTTGTTTTAAAAATATTTTGATAACTACTTTAACATAACTACCTTCCTTTCTAGTTCTATGCTTTTTATTTTTATTTCTTTTTGAGATAGAGTTTCGCTTTTGTTGCTCAGGCTGGAGCGCAGTGGTGCAATCTCGGCTCACCGCAACCTCTGCCTCCTGGGTTCAAGCGATTCTCCTGCCTCAGCCTCACAAGTAGCTGGGATTACAGGCATGTGCCACTGTGCCCGGATAATTTTTTTTTGCATTTTAGTAGAGACAGGGTTTCACCATGTTGGTCAGGCTGGTCTTGAACTCCTGACCTCAGGTGATCCACCCGCCTTGGCCTCCCAAAGTGCTGGGATTACAAGTGTGAGCCACTGGGCCCGGGCTTTTTTTCTTTCTTTCTTTCTTTCTTTTTTTTTTTTTTTTTTTTTGAGACTGAGTCTCCCTCTGTCACCCAGGCTGGAGTGCAGTGGCGCGATCTTGGCTCACTGCAGCCTCTTCCTCCCGATTTTAAGCGATTCTCCTGCCTCAGCCTTCCAAGTAGCTGGGATTACAGGTCTGAGCCACCACGCCCAGATAAATTTTGTATTTAGTAGAGATGGAGTTTCACCACGTTGACCAGGCTGGTCTTGAACTGCTAGCCTCGAGTGATCTGCCCACCTCGGCCTCCCAAAGTGCTGGGTGAGATTATAGGCGTGAGCTACCATGCCCAGCTGTAAACTTAAAAAAAAAAAAAAAAAAACTTTTAAAGTTTTTTTTTTTTTTTTTTTTGCAATGCGGTCTCACTATGCTGCCCAGGCTGGCTTTGAACTTCTGGGCTCAAGTGATCCACCAGCCTCAGCCTCCCCAGTAGCTGGGGCTATAGTGCACCACTGCACCTGGTTTACTAATCCTACACTTCAATATTTAAAAAAATGCATTTGACCTGGCGCGGTGGCTCACGCCTGTAATCCCAGCACTTTGGAGGCCGAGGTGGGTGGATCACGAGGTCAGGAGATTGAGACTCTCCTGGCCAACATGGTGAAACCCCGTCTCTACTAAAAATACAAAAATTAGCCAGGCATGGTGGCATGTGCCTGTAATCCCAGCTACTCAGGGGGCTGAGGCAGGAGAATCGCTTGAACCAGGGAGTCAGAAGTTGCAGTGAGCCGAGATCGTGCCATTGTACTCTAGTCTGGCGACAGAGCAAGACTCCATCTCAAAAAAAAATAGCATTTAAAAACTTTATTCTGGCTGGGTGTTGTGGCTTATGCTTGTAATTCCAGCACTTGGGGAGGCCAAGGTGGGTGAATCACTTGAGGTCAGGAGTTCCAGACCAGCCTGGCCAACATATAATGAAACCCCTTCTCTACTAAAAATACAAAAATTAGCTGGACATGGTGGCACATGCCTGTAGTCCCAGACACTTGGGAAGTGGAGGCAGGAGAATCACTTGAACCTGGGAGGTGGAGGTTGCAGTGAGCCAAGATAGTGCTACTGCAATCCAGCCTGGGTGACAGAATTAGACTCCGTCTCTAAAATAAATAAATAAATAAATAAATAAATAAAAACTTTATTCTGAAAAGGGGCTTGTGGCACAGAAAAGGTTAAGAACCCCTGTTCTAGAAGAGGAGTCAGTCATGCCCAGTGCTGCTGGCACATGCGAGTGAGAATGCCTGCTGCATCTGTGTGCACACGTGTATAAGGGGTGCAGGTGCATGAGAGGCAGCAGCTCTCCTTGGGAATGCACACATGAACACAGACGTGTGTTCAGGGGCAGGCAGGGGAGACACGCGGCAGAGGACAGGTCCCCAGGGAGGCTGGAGAAGAATGTAATCCACACTGGTCGAGCCCTCACCCTCTCAGTTCAATGGCTGCTTGGGAGAAGGGAGGCATCAGAGGCACGGTGAGGTCCCAGAGGAGGCATCTGCAGCCCCTGCCCAGGAGTCAAGGAAGCCTTCCTGCCTGCATACTTTCTGTGTGGTTGGGCTCCCGAGGCTGGATCAGCCCACAGACAGTGGGACCCTGGCCCCCAGGGACCTGCCTGGCCCTTCTCTTCAGCTGTGATGGAAGCAGCTGTGTCTGGCAAATCTCTTCGGCTGGAGCATCCTTCCTGTGGACCTTCCACCTTGGCTTCTCATCCCAGCTGGCAGCCTCTGTTTCCTGCCATTGCCTCCCCTACTCTGCTGTCTGCACTGGGTACTGAAGCTTGCTAGGTATTTGGGAATCAGAGACTTTGGCCAAATACAATGAGTTCTTATACAACGGGGATTCCAAGAAGTGGGGCTGGCGTAGGAACAAGGAAGGGCTCACTCCCTTGCCCCCTCCTGAAAAGGATCTCAATGCACTGAGATGGCATAGCTTATAAGCAGAACCAATCATGCCATTTGTCATGTGGGGAGTTCCTTGTCGCTGGAGGCATGTAAGCGGAGGGAGGCCTGGGACCATCTGCCTGGCAGGTCTCTTCATTTTATGGAGCAGCTTTCTGTCTCAGCTCAATCACTGTGTCATCTCGGGCAAGTGCTGTCTTCTCTGGGCCTTCATTTTCATGGCCATAAAGTGGGGTGTAATAATGTCTGCCATGCCTGTCTCCCGAGGCAGCTGTGGCCACAGGTGGAATGAGGTTTAAAGGAGAATTAGAAGACAGGAGGGTATGAGGTTCAAATCCTGGCTCTGTCCCTCACTGACTGTGTCCTTGGGCAAGGCTAAGGAACAGAGATGATGCCCATTCCTGCAGGTTGTTGTAAAGGTTCCTGTGGGGTTTGGCAATAGCAGGTGCCCTAGCAGGTGCCTGTGGTTTATTTTATTTTATTTGATTTATAATTATTATTATTTTTTGAGACAGAGTCTTGCTCTGTCACCCAGGCTGGAGTGCAATGGTGTGATCTCGGCTCACTGCAACCTCTGCCTCCTGGGTTCAAGCAGTTCTCCTGCCTCAGCTTCTGGAGTAGCTGGGACTACAGGCATGTGCCACCATGCCTGGATAATTTTTCTATTTTTAGTAGAGACAGGGTTTCACCATATTGGCCAGGCTGGTCTTGAATTCCTGGCCTCATGTGATCTGCCTGCCTTGGCCTCCCAAAGTGCTGGGATTACAGGTAAGACACTGTGCTGGCTGATTGTGGATTTTTAATAGTTGCATTTTTGTTTTTCCTTAAAGCAGTTGCTCTTCATTTTTTTTTTTTTTTTTTTTTTGAGACAAAGTCTTGCTCTGTCACCCAGGCTGGAGTGCAGTGGCACCGTCATAACTCACTGCAGCCTTGAACTTCTGGGCTTAAGTGATCCTCCTGCCTCAGCCTTCTAAGTAACTGGGACCACAGGTACATGCCGGCAAACTCAGCTGTTCCATTTTTTATTGAGGTTAAATGTACAAGTTGAGCTCACAAATCCTAATGTGCAGTTCAAGGCGTTTTCTTTCTTTCTTTCTTTCTTTTTTTTTTTTTTTTTTGAGGCAGAGTCTCACTCTGTCGCCCAGGCTGGAGTGCAGTGGCGTGATCTCGGCTCACTGCAAGCTCCACCTTCTGAGTTCACGCCATTCTCCTGCCTCAGCCTCCCGAGTAGCTGGGACTACAGGCGCCCACCACCACGCCCGGCTTATTTTTTGTATTTTTAGTAGAGATGGGGTTTCACCGCGTTAGCCAAGATGGTCTCGATCTCCTGACCTCGTGATCCGCCTGCCTCAGCCTCCCAAAGTGCTGGGATTACAGGCGTGAGCCACTGCGCCCGGCCTTCAAGGCATTTTCATATAAGTCCTCTCCTGGGGCCACCACTCAGGTCAAGAAGAACATCTCCAGTCCTGGAAGCTTCCCTGTCCCCCACCTGCCTTGGGTACTCCCCAACGTTACTGCTCTTCTGACCTTCTTCACTGTAGATTGGCTTCTCCTGGCTCTTAACTTCATGTAATTGGAGTTACGCGTTGTTTGCTCTGCTGCGTCTGGCTTCTGTTTCCCAGCAGAGATCCCTCCATGCTGTTGTGTGTTTCAGTTGCCTGTCCTTTTCATGGCTAAGTAGTACTCCATGCGGGCTTCTCATGCATGGCACTGGTGACATTTTGAGCTGGATGATTCTTTGTTGTGGGGCTGTCCTGTACGTTGTAGGGTGTTTTAGCTGCATTCCTGGTCTCTACCCACTAGATGCCGGTGTCCTATCCCCTCAAGTGTGACAACCAAAAATGTCTCCAGACACGGCCAAATGTCCCTTGGGGGACAAAATCATCCCTGGTTGAAAACCACCACCCTACCCCATTCTTCTGTTGATGAACACCTAGGTTGTCCCAGGTTGGGGCTGTTACCGATAACACAGACGTGCCTGTTCTGGGACGTGGCTTTTTGTGGGGTGTGTGAGCATTTCTCCTGGGTATGCACCCAGGAGTGGCCCCGCTGGGTCCTAGCGTGGGCATATGTTTGGTTTTAGTAGAAGCTGCTGAGCAGCCTTCCAGAGTGGTTGCTGCCTGTTTATTATTCATTGAATAAACGAATGAACGAATGAATGTGTGAATGAGTGTCCTCCCAAAACCCCAGGCTCTGAAACAGCTGATGTTCAAATTGGTGGCCACTGTTGCTCGAACACATGCTACACCGTCACACATCACGGGTGGTCCTGGAACAGGGATGCACACGGGCACCTTCCAGGAAGGAGCTGAGCCTGGTTCATCTCAGCACCCTGAGGCACAGGCCACGTATACAGCAGGTGGTCCTTGGATGCTTGTAGGCCTGGCCTCAGAGGAGCATGGAGCTGGCCCAAGAACTGGGATCTGGAACCTCAGGCCTGGAGGGCCTGAGGCCTGAGCTCCCCCTCCTTTGGGTTCACTGGGGACCAGCAGGGGAGGGACACTCGGTGTAGGTGCTGGTCCACCTTCCCTACCTCCCCGATCCAGGAGGATGGAGCCCCCAGCCCCTTTTCTCCACCTGATTTATTTAGACAACTGAAACGCACCCTGGGAAGTGGATCAGATTTTAGATTTGACAAAAATAAAAACAAACTTGGCCACCCCCGCCAAACCCAGCACTCCCGCCCCCACCAGCCTCCCAGAGCCCCCCGAATCACAGAAACTGAGTGTCGCCTGGGCCTGCAGAAGGAGGGTGGTGGTCGCCATGGTAACCATGCAGGCCTCTGGCTCGGCTCCTGGAGAGGAGGCTGCCCTGCAGGGCCTGCCCGGGCGCCGGGCACTGCCCCTCCACACGGTTGCTCTTCTAGCTGGGAACTGGCAGGTTTGAGGGAGCCCCAGCATAGTGGCTTCCCTGGTGACCCTGTCCCCTTAGTCCACATCCTGACCTTCTCAGGCCTTGGTGGCTAGGGTGTGGTGTGGTTATGATCTGGCTTAGCTGGGTTTTGATCCTCCTGGCTGGGGGACCTTGAGGCAAACATGCCCTTGCTGGCTTCCCCTCCCCTTCTTCCTGCAGGTAGAGCTTTCCTTCTGAACCACAGCAGGGGCTGGAGCATCTCTCTTCCTGACCCCACTGCATACAACACAGGCCTGGGTCCCCAGCAGGGACACAGCCAGACGGGCTGCCGGCTGGGCTCACCACTGACCCAGCCTCCGCTTCCCTCTGCCTGGCTGGGAGCCTCAGAGAGAGACGATGTGGGTGGGGAGGAAAGAGCAAATATTCCATTAAACCCATCTCAGTTGGGGGTCCCTCACATCGCAGACACTGAACCAGGTGATGGCAGGATGTGTGGATGAGAACATGGGATTTGCAGCCAGTGAGAGGCAGTGCAGATCCTGCCCCTGCCACATACCATGGGAGTGACCCTGGAACCACCTCCTGTGGCCTTAGTTTCCTTTCCTGTGAAGTGGGGATAACGGTAGTATCAGCCAGTTTGGGAGAACTCTGCTGATGTTGCAGGGTGACCCTGCTCATTGCTAGGCCTGAATTGGTTGACAGATTCTTTTTGATTTTTATTTTTTGAGATAGGATCTCGCTCTGTCGCTCAGGCTGGAGTGAAGTGGCTTGATCTTGGCTCACAGCGACCTTCAGCTCCTGGGCTTAAGTGATCCTCCCATCTCAACCTTCTAAGTAGCAGACTACAGGCGCGCACCACCACAGCTGGCTAATTAAAAAATTTTTTTTTTTTTTTGCAGATATGAGGTCTCACTATGTTGCCCAGGCTGGTCTCAAACTCCTGGGTCAAGTGATCCTCCTGCCTTGCCCTCCCAAAGTGCTGGGATTACAGATGTGAGCCACTGCATCTGGCCTGGATTCTTTTTTTTTTTTTTTTCTGAGACGGAGTTTCACTCTCGTTGCCCAGGCTGGAGTGCAATGGCGCGATCTCAGCTCACTGCAACCTCCTCACCTCCCGGGTTCAAGCGATCCTCCTGCCTCAGCCTCCTGAGTAGCTGGGATTACAGATGCCCGCCACCACGCCCAGTTAATTTTTGTATTTTTAGTAGAGACGGGGTTTCACCATGTTGGCCAGGCTGGTCTTGAACTCCTGACCTCAAGTGATCTGCTCACCCCGGCCTCCCAAAGTGCTGGGATTACAGATGTGAGCCACGGCACCCGGCCTGGCCTGGATTCTTTACAAAAGGCTGTGGGCGAAGATTCAGTATGCTGCAGGACAGATATCTATCACAGGGGCTGTACTAGCATCTCTTCTTTTCTTTTCTTTTTTTTTGTTTTTGAGATGGAGTTTCACTCTGTCACCCACGCTGGAGTGCAGTGGTGCAATCTCAGCTCACTGAAACCTCCACCTCCCGGGTTCAAGCGATTCTTCCACCTCAACCTCCCAAGTAGCTGGGATTACAGGCGCCTGCCACCATGCCCAGCTAATTTTTTGTATTTTTAGTAGAGACAGGGTTTCACTGTGTTGGCCGGGCTGGTCTTGAACTCCTGACCTCAGGTGATCTGCCCGCCTTGGCCCCCCAAAGTGCTGGGATCACAGGCATAAGCCACCGCGCTTGGCCATGCATGCTGTTTGATTTGGAGGCTCCTTGGCAAACAGACACTCAGGGGCACTGAAGAAGTGTTCGCGATTGTCACCATTATTACCACCGGCAGGCTGGCGCCTGGCACACAACAGGCACACAATATAAGCACATTCATTCCCCCTGCTCAGCTCTGAGACCCCAGTTCTGAAGACTTTGAGAGGTGTGGTGCGGGGACGTGGGTAGGAAGTGGGGCTGAGGGCCCAGGCTGTGCTGAGGCGCTGGGGGGCTCTGCAGCAGCACCCAAAGACCCTGAGTGATTTTCTCCCCGAGGCCTGTGTGCTTGGGACGGCTTTGCCTGCCAAGGAAACTCGATTGATTGCATCACCATTGATCTGTTTCTCCATCTGTGTTCCTCAAAGGCGCTCAGGGCTGCCCGTCAGGGATCTAACCAGCTTAAAGTGATGGTACTGTGGCTGTGCCGAGTGTGTGGGGAAACGCGGAGGGTTTCCGTGTGAGTTTGAAAAATCGACTGTGGCTTGGGGACCCCCGTGGGTGGTGAGTCTGTTGTCTAAGTGTCACTTCAGCTCTGGGCTTGCTGTGGAGCTGGGACAGATTTCTGCCCCTGTTTTCCATCAGTGCAATGAGGGATTGGAGCCGTTGCTCTCTAACGACGCTGGCAGGGCTGCTCTGTGGCAAAGGTCACCCCGACTGCAGTGAGGGCCTGAGGGGTGAAGTAGGCGAGGCAGCTGGGCCTTGGATGCCCGTCGCAGGGCTTCAAGCCTCGCTGTGAGAGGCAGTTGGGAGCCATTGAAGACGTCCTGCCGTCGTGGCACTAGCACTCCAGCCCTGCCCCCTCTGTCACCCAGAAATCCTGTGCTCCCCCTTGGGTCTCCAGCTTCCCTCAGGTTGTCCCCGAACCTCACGGCTTCGCTTGCCTGTGTTCTCAGAGAGTTCCTCAACACTTGTGACTCATGGTGGAAGCATGAGGCGTCAGGCCAGGCTGCAGAGTGGCTCAAGCCGGAGACCTTGACTCCCCCCGCCACCCTCCTACCCCACACTGCACTGTCTGGTTTAACTTCAAGGAGGGCTGGTGCTTTTGATCCCTGAGCCAGTGGGGAGTGTGTCAGGAACCGCGGGCAGTGATGCCAGTTCTGGCCTGACTTCTAAGCCTCCTGGGCTCTTGGAAGGGGCCCAAGCTTTGCCATCTGGGATTTCCCCGGGCACCTCTGGGCAAGGGCTGAGACCATCCATTGCTGAATTTCTGAAGCTGAGCAGCCCAGGGATGAAAGCCACTCCATCTGCCTCCTGCGGGGACCCAGTGCAGTGGGCGAGTTAGATGGGCCACAGAGGCAGTGCTGTGCAGCGGCCACCAGCACTGCTGTGAATCAGACAATCTGGGCTGCTCGGGGACTGGGTGACCTTGTGTGAGTGGTGTCAGCTCTCCAGGCTTGTTCCTTTTCCATCCCCAGGGGATTGTGAGAGCTGAGGTCATGTCCCTAGGGTGTCTGGTACACAGTCGTCAGAGGTACTGCCAAATTCATCACTGTGGTACGTGCTAGCCAGGGCAGGTGGGAGTGCTTCTGGAGAGGAGGCTGAGCCACCACCTTGTGAGGGGCAAGAGGCACATCCGGGGAAGCTTCAAGAAGAGGTGACCTGCGAACTGGGCTCTGAAACAGTCTGCCTGCTGGAGAGGTGGAGGAAAGGGAAAGTGTAGGCAGAAGGCGTGTTTGGAGAAAGCGAGTGCTGAGGCCAGTGAGTGATAAGACTGCAAGGATTCACTGAGGCGAGAGTCTACCTTGCGTACCAGGCTTGGGAGGGTGATGGGGAGCCATGGGAGGTTCTTGAGCAGGAGAGAGGCATCTGGAGAGTGTGTTTCAGGCAGATTAGCCTGGCAGTGGCAAAACAGCTTGGAGGCAGGAAAAGCCTCCAGCCTGAGGTTTTGTGTCTCAGCTCTGCTCTTTTCCAGCTGGTGACCTTGGGCCAATCTGTTTCCCTTTTGTGTCTTGGTTTCCTTATTTGTAAATGGGGCTTATAAAAGAGCTGTGAGGATTAAATGAGATAACATTTGGAAAATGTTCAAGTTGTGTTGGGCACACAGCAAGTGCCTGGTTATCGTGTGGGGCAGATTGGAGGGGCAGAGACCAGAGCTGGGGGATACCGAGGATGCTGGGTCAGGGTCCTGGGGAGACACACTGAAGATGGGCTGAGAGGCCTCAGGGGAGGGAGGAGAGCCATGGGCAGAGACAGGCCGTACTTCACAGAGGAGAGCGCTGGCCTTGGAGTCCAGCAGGCCTGGTGTGAATCTCTGTGCCAGTAATTCCTAGCTGTGAAACCCAGGAGAGGCCCCTGATTTCCCCATGTCTCAGCCTTCCTTATCTGTAAAATGGGCCTGCTGACCTCCACTGCTCAGGGCCTTGTTGAGGAGGCAGCAGGGGCACCGGGCTCCTGGGAGACGCCACTAAGTGCACTTTGAGCCTGAAACTGGCAGGAGGGGCAGAGGGAGCAGAGGATGGGGCTGGAAGGAGAGAGCGCACGACAGGAAGAGGGGAAAGGCGAGGGGGATGGGGGATGTTCTTTGGTAATTAGAATGTTCGAACTTCAAAAAAGTTAATTAATGATGAAGCTGCTGCTGGAGCCAGGCTCAGGCTCGAAGGGGGCCCTGGCAGCGACTGAAATTAATTACAGGCTATGGCGGGAGAGTGGCAGTGGGGTGAGGGGACGGGAAGGAGCAGGGCTGGGGCCAGGAGGAGCTGAGAAGAGGCCACGAGTAGGCAGCATCCCAAAGTGGGCAGGGCTGGGGATGGGAGGGAGGCTGTTGCCATGGAAACCAGGTCACCTCTCCCACTCCTCTCTGGGTGGGGTCCTGCTGAGGGTTTGGCTGGTGTGGCTACATCCCAGCTAAGGGCAAGGGCTTTGAAATGGAGGGGTGAGGGGTTTGCTTGGAGACACTCCTGAGTCCCCGGATGTTGGAGTGGGCAGGGCCCCTAGAGATTTACAGTAGCACCCCCCCTTACCCACAAGGGACACATTCCAAGACCCCCAGTGGATGCCTGAAGCCACAAATAGCACTGAACCCTATATTTACTATGTTTTTTTCCTATACCTGCATACCTGGATAAAGTTTAATTTATAAATCAGGCATTGTAAGAGATGAGTAGCAACCAATAATAAAATAGAACAATCACGCCAGGCGCGGTGGCTCATGCCTATAATCCCAGCACTTTGGGAGGCCGAGGCAGGCGGATCACAAAGTCAGGAGATCGAGACCATCTTGGCCAACATGGTGAAACCCTATCTCTACTAAAATACAAAAAAATTAGCCGGGCGTGGTGGCGGGCGCCTGTAGTCCCAGCTGCTCAGGAGGTTGAGGCAAGGGAATTGCCTGAACCTGGGAGACGGAGGTTGCAGTGAGCCGAGATCACGCCACTGCACTTCAGCCTGGCGACAGAGCAAGACTCCGTCTCAAAATAAATAAATAAATAAACAAAAATAAAAAATAAAATAAAATAAAACAATTAGGCCAGGCACAATGGCTCATGCCTGTAATCCCAGCACTTTGGGAGGCCGAGGCGGGTGGATCACCTGAGGTCAGGAGTTCAAGACCAGCCTGGCCAACACGGTGAAAACCCGTCTCTACTAAAAATACAAAAAATTAGCCGGGCATAGTGGCAGGCGCCTGTAATCCCAGCTACTTGGGAGGCTGAGGCAGGAGAAACACTTGAACCCAGGAGGCAGAGGTTGCAGTGAGCTGGGATCTTGCCATTGCACTCCAGCCTGGGCAATAAAAGTGAAACTCCATCTCAAAAAAAAAAAAAAATTAGAATCACGTACGATAATCAAAGTTATATGAATGTGGTCATGCGGTCTCCCTCTTTCTCTCTCTCAGAATCTCTTATTGTACCGCACTCATACCTAATTTTGGGCCACAGTGGACCATGGGTAACTGACACGGCAGATAATGAGGGACAACTGTATTTATTCATCCGACAGATGTTCATTGAACACCTACTAGATGTTAGGCCGTGAGTGTAAAGTCCCTGTCCCCTTTGGAATGTAGATTAGAGCAGTGGCAGAGACAATGAGCATGTCAGCAAGACAGTGGCAGGGCGTGAAGAGGGCGTGCGGCAGCTGGGGGTGATGAGGTTGGGTGGAGACTTCTCAGAGGAGGTGAACATGATGCTAGAAGCTCAGCCCTTGAAGTGGGAACAGCACATGCAAAGGCCCTGAGGTGGAGTGTCCTGATGTCACTCACTGTGTGTCTGAGGAGCGGCAGGAGCCAGTGAGGTCAGAGCAGAGTGAGCCAGGGCAGGGCGGAGAGAGATGGGGGAGCAGGGTGGAGAGAGATGGGGGGGCAGGGCGGAGGGAGATGGGGGGGCAGGGCGGAGAGAGATGGCGGAGAGAGATGGGGGAGCAGGGTGGAGGGAGATGGGGGGCAGGGCGGAGGGAGATGGGCAGGGCGGAGGGAGATGGGGGAGCAGGACGGAGGGAGATGGGGGGCAGGGCGGAGGGAGATGGGGGAGCAGGGCGGAGAGAGATGGGGGAGCAGGGCGGAGAGAGATGGGGGAGCAGGGCGGAGAGAGATGGGGGGGCAGGGCGGAGGGAGATGGGGGGGCAGGGCGGAGGGAGATCGGGGGGCAGGGCGGAGAGAGATGGGGGAGCAGGATGGAGAGAGATGGGGGGCAGGGTGGAGAGAGATGGGGGGGCAGGGCAGAGGGAGATGGGGTATTAGGGCCCAGGGAGATGGGGTGTCAGAGTGGGGCCCTGCAGGCCAGGCAAGGGCTTCAAAGTTTGTGCTGAGAGAGCCCAGGAGCAGGGGCAGGGTTTTGTGCTGGGGAGGGAGGTGGTCTTGCTGATGTTTTTAACTGCCCACTGCTGCTGCAGGAAGGGTGGTTTGGAGGGGCCAGGGCAGACCCAGGGGGCCGATGGGGAGGCTCCTGGTCATCCGGTGGAGGACCTCTAGGTTCAGAGACAAGGAGGGGCTTGCCGAAGACCGCAGAGCCAGTCAGTGCTGGGACGAGTTCAAATGCAGGTCTCCTGGCTTCGTGGTCTTGTTTGCTGCTTTTACTGCATGAGAGCCCCTTTCTGTCTCCTGACACTCAGTTTCTGGGGGAGGAAAGGGGGTTGCATAGGTGGGGTGTGGTGAGTTCCATCAGCATCTCTCCTCTTACAGAAGGAGAACCTACTCCCGACTCCAGTCATTGCCTGTTAAGTTCAGTCAGGCTGCATGGTCTGGAAGTTCACCTGGGTGTCTGACTTCATCATACTATGTGTGGCTCAAGTCCATTTCATCCTGGACTGCCTCTTTTCAAGTAGGCACAGATTTTCGAAGGCCCCAGGACTCAGTCAACTGGAGATCCCGTTGGGGAGATCTGAGCAGGCTTCGGATTTCTTACTGGTATGACAGGCGGGGGCTGGAAGTGACACAGCCCTGAGCTCCTTGAGGCCTGACCTCCCTGGTCCTGTGACTGGGAGGATAGACAGTGGCGGGACTGGACACTGCGGGCTGTGTTCTAAGGATGGGTAGGAGTTGGCCTGGGAGGGAGGGAGGAGGGCATTCATGGAGGGGCTCTCAGCAGTGGTGAGGAGAGCAGCCTGGCCAGGTGCAGGAGGGGAGCCCATTCACCCCAGCTGCAAGCTGTGCCCAGAGGCCCTGCCCAAGGCCAGGTTCATGGCCAGCTCTGGATTCCCTCCGCAGCAGGAGACTTTCTGCCTGTCCAGGACTGAGGGGCCCAGCCCCACCCCATGTGGTGCAGGCCAGGGCTGGGCTTGGTGCGGGTGTTTTGGAGTTAGGTGATGAGCCCTACCTGAGCCCTAACCCTGGCAGTGGGCAAGGAGAGAAGGACGGGGCCATCCAGCCAATCTCAGCCCCACTGGAGGGCCCTCTGCGGGCTCCAGACCCAGACCTTGGCAGAGACGGAGGGAACATGGGTCAGGGGAGGGAAAGGTGGTCAGAGAAGGGAGGCAGTGACAGTCAGAGGGTGGTAGTTGGGGTGGAGAGGCTGGGACAGCCCAGAGTTCCCTGACAGCCAGGCTTCCGGGAACCTCTCCCTTCCCTGGGCCTGAGGGGAGCTCTCAGGCTGGGGCAAGGAGTGGGGTCCTGCAGCTGGGGGCCTGGTGGGTTTGGCGCATATGGCCATGTCTGTTGTGATGGGGGCAGACTGGCACCACGGGCTTTGAGCTGTTTCAGGGATGGCACCCAGAGGGAGAAGAATGAGGAATGGGGTGTATGCCTGTGTGTGTGGTGGGTTGCGGGTATTACACTCTAGGGTGCACCCCAGCCCCCACGGGCGATCCCACCTGCTGCTTTGTCCTTGACTTGGTGTGCACGTGGTTTGAATGTGTCAGCATGCTGGTGATCCTGCTGAACTGCGTGACACTTGGCATGTACCAGCCGTGCGACGACATGGACTGCCTGTCCGACCGCTGCAAGATCCTGCAGGTGAGCCGGCCGCCCCGCCCCGCCCCGCCCTGCCCTCATCCTCCAGGACCCGGCCTATGCCCCGCCCACTCCACACCCCCGCCCCATGTCCTGGCCTTGCCCCGCCCACTCCATGCCCCGCCCCGCTCCGTGCCCTTCCCCATCCTGCGCTGCACTACCAAGCGCTGCCGCACTCAGCCACCACCAGCCGCACTCACTTGGCTGACCCTTCCTCACTCCCACCTGGTCTTACCTATTACCCTTCGGATCCTCTCTTCCCTTTATCTCTCCTCTCCACCTTGAAGCCTCTACCTTAGTCCAGGCCTCAATCTTCTCCTACCCGGGTGCCCCCACCAGCCTTCTCCTGCACCCGCCACATGCACACCTGCAAAGAACAGTGACCCCGACTCTCCTCTGCCTACAACCTGCACTTCGTCCCCCGTGCTCTTGGACTAGAGGCCAAGTTCACACCCTGCCCTAGATGCCCTTTAGGAGCGGGCCTCTGGTTTTACATTCTGTTATCTCCTGAGGTCCTGGGGTGGGGCTTGACCTTTGGTACCTGACATAACCCTGTGCAGAGCATGTATACGGGTAGCACAGATGTTAGGGTTGTACCCATTTTACAGATGTGGAAACACTCGGTGCAACTCCCTGGGAAAGCCAGATTCCTCCCGGGAGGCATTGCTTTCTGCCTCTTGGGTTTTTTTTTTTTTTTTTTTTTTTTGAGACAGAGTCTCACTGTGTCGCCCCAGGCTGGAGTGCAGTGGCGCGATCTCGGTTCACTGCAAGCTCCACCTCCCGGGTTCATGCCATTCTCCCACCTCAGCCTCCTGAGCAGCTGGGACTACAGGCGCCCGCCACCACGCCTGGCTAATTTTTTGTATTTTTAGTAGAGACGGGGTTTCACCATGTTAGCCAGGATGGTCTCAATCTCCTGACCTCGTGATCTGCCTGCCTCGGCCTCCCAAAGTGCTGGGATTACAGGCGTGAGCCACTGTGCCCAGCCTCTGCCTCTTGGGTTTCTATAGGACTCAGTAGCTCCCAGGCAGCACTGGGCCAGAGTCTCCCCGGGCACTTGGTAAAAATCCAGACCCCTGGCCGGGCGCGGTGGCTCATGCCTGTAATCCCAGCACTTTGGGAGGCCGAGGCGGGCGGATCACGAGGTCAGGAGATCGAGACCATCCCGGCTAAAATGGTGAAACCCCGTCTCTACTAAAAATACAAAAAATTAGCCGGGCGTAGTGGCGGGCGCCTGTAGTCCCAGCTACTTGGGAGGCTGAGGCAGGAGAATGGCGTGAACCCGGGAGGCGGAGCTTGCAGTGAGCCGAGATCCCGCCACTGCACTCCAGCCTGGGCGACAGAGCGAGACTCCGTCTCAAAAAAAAAAAAAAAAAAAAAAAAAAAAAATCCAGACCCCTGACCCCATCTCAGACCTGCTGAAGCAGAATTTCTGGGTGGGTCTGGGGTCCGAGTGGGTAACAAGCTCCTCAGCAGCCCCGGGCCCCAGGCCTGGTTAGCCTCATGGTGAGTTCACCGAACAAGCACCTCTGTGTCCTCACCACTGGCCTAGCCCTGGCACACAGTAGGTATGTGGCACCTGTTTGTTGAATTGAGTTGGCTGCAGCCCTCACTAATCCTGGAAACAGGAATTCCACCCAGTCCCCGCCCTCAGGAAGCATAATCTCATAGCCTCCTTTGTGGGCAGAGAAAGGCAACACTGAGGCCTGTGCCTGGGGGCTACTTTGAGACAGCTGCTTCCATGGGGGCTTTGGGGTGAGACCCACCGGAGTTTCAATCCTGGTTCTGCCACTTATCTGCTGTGTGACCTGTGGGGCAAGTTGCTTAACCTCTCTGAGTCTCTGTTTCCTCATCTGTAAAATGGGACTACCCATGGGGTCCTTGGGAGAATTAGGAGAGAGAATGGGGGTCAAGTGTGTAGCCAGTGCTTGGTAATTATTAGGGAGAATATGGGACGGCCCCTCACCCCACCCCCACCTGGGGCTCTTCTATCTGTTCCCAGGCTTAGGGAACAGATAGAACGGGCTGTATGACCTTGGGCAAACTCATTCCCGTCTCTGGGCCACAGTCTCCTCATCTATGAAATGACTGCATTGGACTGGGATCACTGAGGTTCTCCTCCTGCCCAGGAGGAGTTTCCGGGTGTTTCCCAGGCCCCTTGCATCCATGTGGTGTCCCCACCTCACACTGTGGCTGCAACCCCTGGGCCCTGCTCTGCAACCTCACCCTGTCCCTTGCTTCCCTCCTCCTGCCCCTGCAGGTCTTTGATGACTTCATCTTTATCTTCTTTGCCATGGAGATGGTGCTCAAGATGGTGGCCCTGGGGATTTTTGGCAAGAAGTGCTACCTCGGGGACACATGGAACCGCCTGGATTTCTTCATCGTCATGGCAGGGTAGGTAGCGCCCGCCAGGCAGGTCCTAGCCTCTGGTGCACACCAGGCATAATTGAGAGAATCCAGGGCTTCTTGCTGATGGCGATGAAGGGGAATCACGGTGATGCGTGGGACCCTCCTGGACCCCTGGGCTGGGAGGAATGATGGACAGACAGACATTCTTTCCTCCCTTCCTAAGTTGTGCGTCCTCCAGCACTGCCAGCGGATACTGGGTGAGTTTATGCTAATTAATGATACGACCTTGAGAGAGCCACTGACGCTCTCTAAGCTTTCATTTCCTCATCTGAAAAGGGGAATAATAATAGTAGCTGCGTCAAAATGAGCACCCAATAAATGCTAGCTGTTAGGATTGCTATCCTGGATCTCTCATCACGCCAGAGACCGAGCACAGACTCAAGCACTGTCTGACTCCAGACTGTGGTTATTTCTACCGAGACACAAGCTGCCGTCAGGGACAGGCCTGGTTACAGCTGAGCCCATCTGGAGCGTCTGTGACCCTGCTCTGGGTCTTGTGCCTGCTTTCCTGGGTCAAACCCATCCATGCATTCATCCATCAACCAGGGACTGAACAACTTGCTCCCCAGTGTTGGCGCCGCCCTAGCTGCTGGGGGCAAGGAGGAGAGCAAGCCAGACACAGGCCTTGTCCTTCCTACTCCTGTCTCGGGGAGGCACCCACCTGCTACGCCAGTGGGCGTGCCTTCACACACGGGGACCAGGGCGCTGGGCAAAGCATGTGGTTTGCTGAGAGCATTTAACACAGCAGCCCGACTGAGCCAAGCTGGGGACTTGGGGGCTTGAGGGCTTCCTGAGGAGGTGACACGGGAGAGCTGAAGGATGAGGAGACATTAACCATGCCCAAGAGTGGGTCATTATTAGGGCAGAGGAGAGAGAAAAAGGCTGGAGGCTGTACGTGTGTGTGTGAGAGAGGGTGTGTGAGTGTGTGTGTCAGTGTATGTGTGTATGTGTGTGACCTCGTGTGTAGAATGCTATTGAGGAGGTGTGACCTTTTTGATTCAGTAGACGCATGGCTGAGACGGACAGTCAGGGTGTGAGAATCCCATCAGGTATCTGCTAAATTCCACAGATGTGTTCTGAAGTGAGGTGATTCGTTTCACTAGGGTTTTAAAAAAGTTACACCTCTTCTAAGCTTGCTTGCTCTCTCGCTTTCTCTCCTTCCTTCCTTCCCTCCCTCCCTCCCTCCCTCCTTCCTTCCTTCCTTCCTTCTCTCTCTTTCTTTCACCCTCCCTCCCTCCCTCCCTCCCTCCTTCCTTCCTTCCTGCCTTCCTTCCTTCCTTCCTTCTCTCTCTCTTTCTTTCACCCTCCCTCCCTTCCTTCCTTCCTTCCTTCCCTCCTTCCTTCCTTCCCTCCTTCCTTCCTTCTCTCTCTCTTTCTTTCGCCCTCCCTCCCTCCCTCCCTTCCTTCCTTCCTTCTTTTTTTGAGATGGGGTCTCACTCTGTACCTAGGTTGGAGTGTGGTGATGCAGTCACCACACACTGCAGCCTTGACTTCCTAGGCTCAAAGGATCCTCCCACCTCAGCCTCCTGAGTAGCTGGGACTGCAGGCATGTGCTACCAACCCTGGCTAATTTTTCTTTTCTTTTCTATAGAGACAGGGTCTCACTATGTTGCCCAGGCTGGTCTTGAACTCCTGGGTTCAAGCTTTCCTCCCACCTCAGCCTCCCAAAGTGCTGGGATTACAGGTGTGAGCCACCGCACCTGGCCTCTAAGCATCTTCTCTCAATCACTGTATTCAGTTTTACAAACACATTGTCAACAGTCACTGAGACCTGTACGGAAGCTACTCTGGTTTCCTGTGGTTTCCTGAGCACTGTATCCTCCTCTTAGTCACGTTCTTCGTTTTCATTCTTATTCTGGTTTGGCTGGAGAACATCTTTAAGTAGTTTTTTTTTAAAAGAAAAGGTGTTTGGATAGTGTCATTTTTCAATCTTGCCTGTCCAAACATATATTCCTTTGATCTTTGAGTGTGGACCGTTATTTGTGCTATTGTAGAGTCAGAACACTGCACACATCCTGCCATTCAAACCTACACTATAGTATTGCAGGTGAGTCCAGTACAGATCTGGTTCCTCTTTCTCGGAAGATGACCTTCTTTTTCCTGACTAGAAGCTTGTGGGCTTTTCTCTTTACCTTCACAATCAGACCTTTCTCTAGGGCAGGTCTAAGGGGGACCTTAGAGAACTCAAGACTGGTGCTTTTGGCCAGGTGCAGTGGCTCACCCCTGTAATCCCAGCATTGTGGGAGGCCGAGGCAAGAGGATTCCTTGAGCCTAGGAGTTTGAGACCAGCCTGGGCAACATAGTGAGACCCCATCTCTACAAAAAATAAAAAATTAGCCAGGTGTTTGTGGTGCACTCCTGTAGTCCCAGCTACTCAGGAGGCTGAGGCTGGAGGCTGGGCTCCTTGAGCCCAGGAGGTTGAGGCTGCAGTGAGCAGTGATCGTGCCATTGCACTCTAGTCTTCAACAAAGCAAGACCCTGTCAAAAAAAAAAAAAAAGATTCATGCTTTCCATCATCTCAGAAGAAAGTTCTTCCATCTCTTCTTTGACTATGGCCCATTATTCTCTGCTGTCTCCTTCTGGAATTCATGTTATATAGATGTTTCTGTCCTCTATCTTTTGTCCATGCCTTTCCCCTTTTCTTTCACAGATTTTGCTTGTAATATGAGAGAAATCTTTGACTTGGGCTTCTGAATCACAAGTGGGCTTTTCAGCAATGTCCTTTCCCCTATTTACTGCCCCTATGGAATAATTCATTTCCTCAGTGTCTTTTTAATTCACAAGAACACTTCTTGTTTTTGGATTTCTTGTTTTTCAGAGTACCTTGTGCCTGTTCTTGTTTTATGGATGCCTGCTCTTGTTTTATGGATGCCTGCTCTTGTTTTATGGATGCCTGCTCTTGTTTTATAAATACAATATTCACCTGAATCTCCTTATATACTAATTAGGCTTCTTAAAAGTCTTTTCACGATTCTGGAAGTAACCCTGTACCAAAGTATAATTTCTGAAAAGGTAAAAAAAGTGACCCTTACACAAATCTTAGAATGAATGTATACGGCAGATTTATCCAGCTCGTTAAGGAGTAGGGACTCAGCAGATGGTAATCAGCAGAATTAGGAAAACAGACATCGGAGAAAGAATGTAGGAAGAAAGTGAGATTAGAGTCAAAACTGGTTAATAACCTACAGGGTAATAAACCATAACCTTTGGAGTTATCTTTTGGGCAGAAATCACATACATCTCTGCCAGATAAAAATCTACAAGTTAAAATGTAATTTCATAGCATCCAGACCTTTAGTGAACAGGAAATTGTGAAGCAAACAAAGGTATTTTCTCCCTGGATAATGAAATAATCTTTAAATGGCCTGTTAAATTATGCTTCAAAATGACATTGCGAGAAATAGTGCCCTCCTTTTGCCGTATTTCCAAGTTCTAGGGTAATTTTTCCTAACTCTTGTTTCAGGGAAGTCATTTGTTCTGCTGGCTCCACAGACTGACTCCCATGGGCACCCCCACGCTGCCCTTTTGACTTGAAGCATTCTGTATTGCTTAGCGATTCTTTCCTGTCTGCTCATATTTATAAATAAAGACGATGAGGCTCTAAGCTGAGCAGGGTGAAGAGCTGCCTAGCTTCAGCATTGTGGTGAGCTCTCAGTTTGACATTTTCTCTTGGTCCTCGAGATGGGGGCTGGATGAGGCGAGGTCTGCAGGCCAGCATCCTTGGGAGATCAGGGAGGGCTGGGCATGGGGCTGACATGCGATGTGTGCGGTCACACAGGGCCCCACGCTTGGGTCCATACTCTGCTGTCACTATTTTGAAATTCTTAATCATTTATGAACAAGGGGCCCTGCATCTTCAGTTTGCACCAAGTCCCACAATGATGTAGGTGGTCCTGGCTGAGGGATAGATGCAAAGGAGACTTTTTTTTGAGGCAGTTTCATTCTGTCACCCAGGCTGGAGTGCAGTGGTGCGATCACAGCTTACTGCAGCCTCGCCCTCCCTGGACTCAGGTGATCCTCCCACTTCAGCCTCCCAAGTAGCTGGGACTACAGGCACATGCCCCATGCCCGGCTAATTTTTTTTTTTTTTACTTTTTAATTTTTTTGTAGAGACAAGCTCTCACTATGTGACCTCCTGGGTTCAAGTGATCCTCCCACCTTGGCCTCTTGAAGCGCTGGGATACAGGTGTGAGCCACCACGCTCAGCTGACTTTTTTGCTGGAGTCATGAGCACTCTCACTGCCCAGCTATGTGCTGGATTTGGGAACTCAGGTGAACAGGACCACCCCGTGCTCAAGGTCGTTCCCATCCTTTGTGCCCAGGGGTGGCGTGGGTGGAGAGGACAGGATGGGGAGTCACAACCCTGGCTCCAGAGCCCAGCCCTCCGGTCCCCCTCCCACCCAAGACCCATCCCCAGAGCTGCCCACCCACCCCCCAAATCCCACCCAGGCCTGGTGCTATAAATGTTCTGTTCCCCGAGTAACCGGCCTATTTGCTCCCTTCCTCTACCTCCCCTTCCCCAAATTAATTACTAGCTCTTTCTTCAAGCTGTGGAGGCAGACATAGCACCTCCGAGTTAGAAGGTTCCTTAGAGGTCACGGCCTTCATCTCCACATCTGGTGTAACCCTCATGGCAGGTGTGTCTGAGACTGGGGCCTGCCTCTGTTCCCAGGCTGCCCCTGCAGGGAGCACAGTGCCTCACCAGGCGGCTGGTCTCAAACTAGGACATCCAAATGCACTAGAAAGCTCTTTCTTTCACGGAGCTGAAACTGATCTTCCTGTGGCTCCCACCGGATGGTACCATTCATTCATTCATTCATTCATTCACTAAATCGACCTTTATTGAGCATCTACTACATGCCAGGCCTTGTGCAGAGCAGTGGGGGCATGAAGATGAACAAGACAGGCCCTTTGTGATTTCACGTAACTTTCAGTTTGGAAAACAGAAATAAAACACATCACCACAACTAAAGTCTAAATTGGGATCCATGCTGTTGTCAGGAAGCATAGAGAGCCATCAGGTCATGGAATGGGGTCCTGCTTTTGATTGGGGGGTGTCACTGTATGTCACACTGAGGGACAGACCTGGGGTAGGTAAGAGCTGGCCAGGCAGAGAGCTGGGGGAAAGGGAGTTTCAGGCAGCGGGGAAGCATGCAGGAGGCCTGAGGGGGTGCATGAGGAAGGGAAAGGTGAGTGACAGGGGATGCTGGAGCCCAGGGTTTCTGGGGGGTGGGTGCTAAGACATGAGGCCAGAGAAGGGCAAGGGCTTCATTGCACAGGCAAGGTCCAGAGGCTGCAGGGATGGTATCACTGACAAACTCATAGCCGTCCTTCAGAAGTTGGGGGGTGGTTCCTGTCCTCCTCAAGTCTCCCCTTCCAGATGAAATGTCCCCAGCCTTCCCACCATTTGTCAAAGGACAGCGTTCATCCCTTATCTGCTGGACTCGCTTCAGGCTGTCTCTGTCCCTGGCAGGAGAACGGGATCCCACCCTCCCAATGATGGCTTATGGGGTAGAGAGAATGGGCTGCCCTCGCCTCAGTGAAGTGTGGGATTGCGGTGGCCTGGGGAGTGGCCATGCTCCCTTTTGCCGTCAGGTCATGTTCACTCTCCAAACCAGGTCTCTCCCACCCTGGAACTAAAAGTTGGTGATTTTTAAAACCCACGTGAAAAACTTTGCACTTACTGCTGTTGAGTTCATCTCACCGTGGCCTCTTGGAGTCCTGAGGCAGCCGCTCATTCCATGCACTTCCTGCACTCGCACAGCTCAGGATAGTGAGTCCTGTGGCACCGCACTAGACTCTTCCAGTGTGTGACAAAGACCCCGTCATCATCTCTATTTGTGTTTGGTTGAACCCAACTCTTTTATTTATTATTCTTTTTTGAGACAGGGTCTCTTTCTGTTGCCCAGGCTGGAGTGCAGTGGCGCCATCTCGGCTCACTACAACCTCAGCTTCCTAGGTTCAAGCAATTCTCATGCCTCAGCCTCCCGAGTAGCTGGGATTACAGGCATGCGCCGCCATGCCGGCTAAGTTTTGTATTTTTAGTAGAGACGGGGTTTCACCATGTTGGCCAGATTGGTCTTGAACTCCTGACCTCAAGTGATCCACCCTCCTCGGCCTCCCGAAGTGCTGGGATTACAGGCATGAGTCACTATGTCTGGCCAATCCCAACTCTTTGTCTTATCATTTAAGCTACACTTTTCTGCCTCTGTCCATTAGGAGGTCATGAACTATTCAATCACATTCTTGCTGAACTTGAGACGTTCTTTATCTGTGTATCTCCCTTGGTGCATCATGCTGGTAATTCTATCTCCTCCCCCAACCAGAAACAAAATGGCCATTGCCACCTGTGGGGAGGGGCCTGGGCACTTCTGTTAAAAGTTCCCCAAGAATTCTGATGTCTGGTCTCTGGGGGTGAGCCAGGGGTGGAGGGTGAGGCTACTGGGATCTCTCCAGAATGAGGTTTGCCAAGGACATGGCTGATGTGGGCCCTGTCTTGGATGAGTACAGAGAACAGGAGGCGCCTTACATCTGAAAGACTTCGCAAGCTTCTGACTGTGTGGAGAATGGAACAGCTGAGGGCAGGGTGTGCATAGATCAGGAATGCGAACTGCCCCACTCCCCAAACACATGCACATCCTTTCACCCCTTCTCAATGTTCCTCCAACGTCAGGGAGCAGCAGGATCACTGGGGCATGTGTTTAAAAGCAGATTTCTGGCCTTAGCTCAGGGATCCACTGCCAGCAGGCAGGCAGAGCTTAGAAATCTGCATTGTAACCAAACGCCCAGGTGGCCCTGATGTGGTCTGTGGGCCACTGGTGGAGAAATTACAGCTCATTCGACTGTCACAGCAGCCTCTAATCAGGAGGACTGAAAGGTACAGGTCATGATTCCCAGTCTGGGAACCGCAGGAAGGGGAAGAGAGATAGGGAGGGCTCCATCTCTGCATCTGTGTCCAGGATTTGAATAATTTTCATGACAGGTAGAAGTACTTTGTGAACAGAACAGTGGGAACTCTATGTAAGAAGTTCTGTGATTGGCCAGGCACTGTGGCTCATGCCTATAATCCCAGCACTTTGGGAGGCTGAGGCAGGCAGATCACCTGAGGTCAGGAGTTTGAGACCAGCCTGGCAAACATGATGAAACCCCATGTCTACTAAAAATACAAAAATTAGTCCGGGTGCGGTGGCTCACACCTGTAATCCCAGCACTTTGGGGTGCCAAGGCGGGGGGGGGTCACCTGAGGTCAGGAGTTCGAGACCAACATGGTGAAACCCTGTCTCTACTAAAAATACAAAAAAATTAGCTGGGCGTGGTGGCAGACACCTGTAATCCCAGCGGGAGGCTGAGGCAGGAGAACTGCTTGAACCCAGGAGGCGGAGGTTGCCATGAGCCCAGATCGTGCCACTGCACTCCAGCCTGGGCAATGAGAGTGAAACTCCATCTCCAAAAAAAAAAAAAAAAAAAAAATACAAATACAAATTCAAAAATTAGCCAGGCGCAGTGGCGCACACCTGTAGTCCCAGCTGTTTGGGCGGCAGGAGAATAGCTTGAACCGGGTGGTAGAGAGGTTGCAGTGAGCCAAGATTGCACTCCTACACTCCAGCCTGGGAGACAGAGTCTCAGTCTCTAAAAAAGAACTTCTGTGATCACCCAGTCCAGTGGTGTGTGTCAATTGTTCCAGCTACTCAGGAGGCTGAGGTGGGAGGATATCTTGAGCCCAGGAGTTAGAGATCGGTCTGGGCAACATAGCGAGAGCCCATTTCTTTAAAACATTTTTTAAAAAAGAATTTCTATGATCATTAATAGTATTAATAAAGTAATATTAGTAACTTAGCACCTTGGCTAGAGGGTGAGAAGGAGAGGCTGGGTTAGGACTTGTATCCTGGGCTGAGTGCAGTGGCTCTTGCCTGTAATCCCAGCACTTTGGCAGGCCGAGGTGGATGGATCGCTTGAGCTCAGAAGGTTGAGACCAGCCTGGGCAACATGGTGAAACCACAGCTAAAAAAAAAAAAAATGTGTGTGTCTGTAGTCCCAGCTACTCAGGAGGCTGAGGTGGGAGGATTGCTTGAGGCTGGGAGGCGGAGGTTGCAGTGAGCCAAGATTGCGCCACTACACTGCAGCCTGGGTGACAGAGTGAGATCCTGTCTCAAAAAAAAAGAAAAGAGAAAAAAAAAATTTATTGTACCCTGGAAACATGGTCTCTGGAATGCTGGGAACAGCTTCTCCACCCTGACTCTTACAGACTCTTGGGAAACAAAAAGCCACTAAGAATTGTTCCTCAGCTCTGGGCTAGGGCTTTCTAGAAAGATCAGGCAGGTATGTCCCTGCTGAGGTTGCTGGCTGAGAGTTCCTTTTTTCCAAAGTGCCCCATCAGTGGGACTTCAAAAGGCAAAGGTAATTTAATTCTCTGATGCCTCCAGGAGTGTGATAAGAATAAGGACGCTGACTGCTGAGTGCTCACACCGTGCATCATCCTGTTGAATGGTCAGACAAGCCCTGTGAGGGCTGTGGTCAGTTCCACCTCACAGATGAGGCAGTGACAGGAGTAACTTGCCTGAGGTCACAGGCTGGTAAGGGGCAGAGTCAGGAGTTGAACCCAGGGAGCTTAGCTCCACCAGCTCCACCAGGATTGGGTCCTGGTTCAGTGTGACTGCTGGGTGTATTTGTCAGGGATGCATTTGGCTGCAAGTAATAGAAAACCCAACCAACTGTGGCTCAGGCAAATCCTGAATCCGTGTTTTTCTGACATAACACAAAGTTCTGGTTACTGGTGATAGTTCTGCAGTGTGGGGGCTGACATCCTTGTGATTTTCCAGGCCTTTCTTTCATGGTCACAAGGCAGCCGGTGAAGCCGTGGGTGTCATGTCTGAATTAAAGACAGGAAAGAAGGGTGAAGAGTGACAGGGCATGTCCACTTGGATCAGGAAAATGAGATTTTCTTTCCGGGATCCTTCCCTTCCCTAGTGCATTTGGCCAGAACTGGGTCTGATGGACACCTGAGTGGCAGCAAGGCTAGGAAAGCAGAAAGCATCATTGAACTTGGCTAAATCAAACAAGAGTTGTTCCTTGGGTTCAGGCAAGATCACAAGAGAGAGAACGCCCATCATGGGGGCACTCCGAGTCAGCCACATTCCTCTCCTTGAGCCTCAGTTTCTTCACCCACCCTCTGCCAAAGCCGTGGCTCTACCATGTCTCCAAGCCCTGGTTAGAGCTTCTGGAGCTCTGCCTGTGCTGACTGGGCAGGGGCAGGGCTCTGTTGAGATCTCTAACGTCAATACCAACCTAGGCAAGCTCCACAGAGCCCAGTGCCTGTCAGCAGATCCTGCTGTGGTCATGGGAATCAGAAGGCAATCACTTGGATGCCCAGAAGCCTTTGGAGCTGGCCTTCCTGCACAACTCTGTGTGCACTATTGGTGGGTAAGGGAAGCCCTCCGAATGTCTTGAAGCCCAGGGGACCCTTCTGGTTTTGTCATTGACTTTACACTCTGATCTATCCTGGACTTACAGGTCTGTCTGCCCTGCGGCTGTGGATGCTCAGATGCACTGGGTGCTCTGAGGGCAGGACCAAGGCTAGTCATCATCCTGAAGTCCCCAGAGCCGTGGAGGCATCATTACATGTTTGTTTCCTGTCTGTTGCACCCAGGCACGAAAGAGCTGGGGAGAGGATATCTGGAGCCATTTTCTTTAAGCTGAGCTGCCGTTGGGTGGGCGTGGACTGGGGAAGGTTCCAATAGGAACCTTAGTGTGTTTTTCTCATTTGCATATGGGATGGGATGGGAGAGAGGGTGATGGTCACTGTGGAGGCTCGTTTCCATGGAAACAGGATGGTAGCTGCCATGTGTGATGTTGGGGGAAGTCACCAGAGATTCTCTGGCCACAGGCTGAGGTGCCTGACACGGGTCAATCATGAATCGGGAAGGACTATCTCTGTTACGTGGGACAGAAACCCTGAATCTGGTTTAAGGGAGTCAACTGTTTCCTCTACTGAAAAGCCAAGAGGTCTCCAGCTTCAGGGCCCGCTTGCTCTAGAATCCTGAAAGATGTCTCTAGATGGTGTGTGCTCCTATCCCACAGCTCTGCTAGTCTGTGCTGACTTCCCTCCCTGGAGCTTTCACGGTGGCAGGGTGGTGGCAGGCAGCTCGGGGCTCAGTGCCGACTCCCTCCAGTTCAGACACACCTTTCCTTTCCTAGCAGTTCCAATCAGTCCTGGGAACTGAGCCTCTTTGGCCTGGATTGGCTGGTGTGGGGCATGTGCTCATCCCTAAGCCAATCACTGAGGGTAGGGTGGGCAGAGCTCCTATAGGCCAGACGGAGGTGAAGGCTCACCCCTGGCAGGATGTGTCAGCTGTGCCCCTATCACGTGGCTGAGGGTGGGGAGGCTGGTCAGGGAGGCTGGAAAGGGATGCTGGACAGGGAGGATCCCAGGCCAGGCCTTGTTACTCCTGGAGTTCACAAGGGCGCCCTGGCTGGTGGAAACCAAGCCGTTTAGGTGGCCTACCATGAACTATCATTAACTGACTGAGTTGGGCTTTTTTACACCCATGATGGTGTTACATCCTGACAATCCCCAGAAATTAGTATTGTTAACACCATTTTGCAGATGAGAAAATGGAGTGTCAGAGAGATTGGTAGCCTGCCTCAGGACACACTCAGCCTTTATGGATCAGATCTGGGATTGCTCAGGTCTGGCTGCCCCCAGGGCTCGTGCTCACCCATGACATGAAGGGGTTGTACATTTCCAGAGGCTGAAATATAAGCCGTTGATTTGCCTCACTAGCCCTCAGAAAGCAGTGAGGTGAGTCCCCTGAGAGGAACATTTCCCCCAGGCTCTGGTTAGAGCCAAAAGCATCTCTGCACCACACAGAGCCCACTCTCTGGTTCCCAGCAGCCATTCTCACCTGCCGTGCTGCCAAGACTACTCTGGAGTAATGGAGCTAAGTTTCACGGGAGGCAGACATCATGAGGCATACACTAAAATTATTCATTGTTTATCTGAAGCTCAGATTTAACTGGGAAGCTTCTATTTATCTGGCAACTCTACCCAGAAATAAACCACTGGAGTAAAGTAACCCAAATGGAGGCTTGGAGAGAGAAGGTCCAGGTCTTCTGCCACTGAGGTTCCCAGAGCTGCCCTGGTTCCCACCTGCCTGGGTTCTGTCTTTGCAGCCCATCCCTCAGCTTTGTGGCCAACCCAGCATTCTTCCCCCAAATCCCCCCTGTACTCTGAGCTTGGCCTGAGTTGGTTTCAGAGCGTCAGTCAACTGGGCTTAATAACCTCTGTTCTTTGGCCTCATAGGTTTGTGTGAGGAACTGCGAGTGTTGCTGTTGTTTGAATGTGTCTCCCATAGTTCATGTGTTGGCAACCTAATGCCAAGTGCAACAGAGTTGAGAGGTGGGACCTTTAAGAAGTGACCAGGTCATGAGGACTCAGCCCTCGTGGATGGATTAATGCCATTATTGTGGGAGTGGGATGGTTATCGTGGGAGTGGGTTCCTGATGAGAGGGATGAGTTTGGCCCCTTCCCTGTCTCACACACACTTTCTTGCCCTTCTGCCACGTGATGACACAGCAAGAAAGTCCTCGCCAGATGCAGCTCCTTGATGTTGGACTTCCCAGCCTCCAGAATCGTAAACCAAATTAATTTCTTTTTTAAAAATAAATCATCCAGTCTTTCTGCTTCTGTTATAGCAGCAGAAAATGGACTAAGACAGGTATCTTAGTCTGTTTGGGGTGCTCTAACAAAATACCATAAACCGGGTGCCTCATAAACAACAGAAATCTAGTTCTCACAGTTCTGGAGGTTGGGAAGTCCAAGATCAAGGTGCTGGCAGATTCAATGTCTGGTGGGGGCCACTTCCTCATAGATGAGTCTTCTCATTGAGTCCTCACTTGAGTCCTCACGTGAAGGGGCAGATGAGTTTCCCTTTGCCTGTTTTAAAAAGGTGCTAATCTCATTCTTGAGGGCCCTGCCTTCATGATCTAATCACCTCCCCAAAGGCCCTAATACCATCACCTTGGGGGATAGAATTTCAATGTATGAATTTTAAGTGGATATAAATATTCAGACCATAGCAATGGGTGAAATGACCCATAAATCATGAGGTGCTGGCCACAGTCAAGGGTTAATGTCATTACTCCCAAATCCTCTCTATTATTTCCTTCCTCCTTCTCTCCCTCCTTCCCTCCATCCCTCCACAGAACACCTACTGTGTGCTAGGTCCCCGGATATTGGCAATGGCTGGTGGTCTAGTTACCAACCAACACAAGCCTGAGTCATCACAGAGCTGCCTCCTGACAGATGATCTGTGATTTCCAGCATCTCAGCTTCCCTTCCATTAGCTACATCTTAAATCACATTTTAAGAAAGCCCCCGTGGGCCCCTTGTGAAGATTGAGGAAACACCCTATTTTTATCAGCCACACACAGAAATCATCTCCTGGGCGGGGTATTTCCTGGAAAGATGTTAAATCTCAGTCATTTCTTGTGGCTTCTTGTCAGCTCCAAGCTTTTTTTTTCTTTCTTCTTTTTTTCTGATCTTGTCCCTCAAATTATTTGTTTGACAAACTCACACAGGGAATCCACCTCTAAGTCAGAACCTGGGCTGGGCACTGGGGACCCAGCAGGGGCTCTGAGCCAACCCCTGCTCTGAGGAACAGGGACAGGTGCCCAGAGGTGCCCTCATAGAGGATCAGTGGGACACCAGGCAGAAGAGCTCATCTCTGCCTGGGGGTGGGGTCTGGAGAGGGCCTCATGTGATTCGTGGGCGCGTGTGAGCTGAGGTAACAGTTGAGGCTGCGATACAATAATAGCTCACATTTCTTGGCTGTTCCTTGTGTGAGGCCCTGTTCTGAGTACTGGATCTGTATATGAACATGTTTCAGGTCAGTGACTTGCCCAAAGTCACATGGGACACAAGCAGCGAGCTGGGATTGGAACCCAGCTCTGTACTCTGACCATCGGGTAGCACTGCCTTGGAGGATGCTGGCCCTGGTCCTAGTGCTGTGGTGGGCGCTGTGCCTTCCACCTACCTGGTCAGCAGAGGGTAACGCTCCCGAGCCGGAGGCGCTGGCCTGCTCCGGCCTTGCCGGTGACTGATGCAGTGGGAGAGGGGGCAGGTCACACAGAGCTCCTGGGTCCCTTGGTACCTGTCTGTGGGACATGGATCCCTTCTTTTTTTTTTTTTGAGACAGAGTTTTGTTCTTGTCACCCAGGCTGGAGTGCAGTGGCGCAATCTCAGCTCACTGCAACCTCCGCCTCCTGGGTTCAAGCGATTCTCTTCCCTCAGCCTCTTGAGTAGCTGGGATTACAGGCGTGCGCCACCATGCCCAGCTAATTTTTTTTTATTTTTGTATTTTTAGTAGAGACAGGGTTTTGCCATGTTAGCCAGGCTGGTCTTGAACTCGTGACTTCAGGTGATCCACCTGCCTTGGCCTCCCAAAGTACTGGGCTTACAGGCATGAGCCACCATGCTGGGCCTGACATGGGCCCCTTCTGTCTCAGTTTCTTCATCTGCAGTGGGTGCTGTAATCCAGCTGAGAGAGGAGTACTTGAGGGAAGGGGTATGAAGCTTGCGGCAGGTAGCGAGTGCTCAGATAACCTTTCTAAACCAACCGGGACCCTGAGTTCCAGTTGACAGAAACACAGTACAAGCAGGACCTAGAACCCAAAAGGAAGGCACTGGCTCAAGTAACCGGGGAGAGCAGAGGGTAGGTCAGGGATCTGGGCTCAGCTGGAGGGAGGTCCTCCAAGCATGTGGTCAGGAGCCCGCCTCTCTCCAGCTCTTGCTTCAGCCTTCCTTTGTGTTGGCAAAATTCTCAGGCCACCACAGAGCCAAGGTGGCCTCCGGGTTTGCAGGCTGCTGCTTAGCCAGGGAGAAGGGCTCTTCCCTGCAGTCCTGGCTTAAGGGCTGGGCTGCCTTTGTGGCTCACCTGGGATCACGTGCCTATCCTGAACCAACCATGGTGGCCCAGCTGGGGGCATGGGATCCTCTGGTGGACCAGGCCTGGGTCTCTGGACCTCTGCTAGGAGCCAGGAGCCAGGGAGGGAGGCTCTTCAAGGAATAAGGTCGGAGTAGAGGGTGCTGGGAAGAAATGGTGTCCACCCTCCCTGCCCTCCTTTGCATGGCCCCTCTACCAGTCTGACCACACGGGAGCCCCTCTCCCCAGAAGACAGCCACCTCCTCCTGGGGCGACTTCAGGATGGAAGTGCTCTCTTTAAAGCAACATTACTTACCTAATTAAGCGCTTAGGAGCTGGCAGGAGGTAGTGGGGAGGTTTTGTTGATTTCTTTTTTAGACTTTTAGCACTGAAGTTGCGTGAGAAAGTAACTGTGTAATTAGGAATTAATTTCTCACTCCTGTAAGCGATGTCTTATTTGGGGCCTGAGGGGAGTCAGCCCACAAGGCGGCCCTTCCTTACCTTCTCTTTTTGGAATGTGGGCAGGAAGTCCCAGCTGTCTTGGCTGTCACTGGGGTGGAAAGAGGAGAAGGGGAGGGAGATAGCTTCCTCCATCCCAGGTGGCCCTCAGCAAAAATTGAGACGTGGTGCTTATGCCTGACATGGCACCTAGGGTGAGCAGACACTCGGGGGAGATGGACGGAGGCCACATTATGGAGACCCTTGAAGGTCTCTTTGTTCTGAAGGCAATGGGGAGTCACTGAGGGTTTTAAGTGGGAGTGACACAGCTAGGTCTGAGTTTAGGAGATTTCTGCTGACTGAGGAAGGGCTGTAGGGGAGGAAGCAAGGGGCAGGAGGGCAATTGGGAGGCTTGTGCCACTGTCGGGACAGAGGGAGGGTGATCCGGGCTAGGACAGGGAGAGTGGAACTGTCAGCAAGCTATCCCAGGTTGGGCCAATTGGTGCATTGAGTCATTGTCAAGACAGTGAGGTTCCCAGGACACAGACTTAAACCCACAATTCCTCCCTCCCAACTAAGTGCTCTTCCCTCTTCCCTCCTCTCTCCCCATCCTTGTCCTGTGTCCTCCTTTCTATCCTCTTCTGCTCAGAGAAGAATGAGAACTACACGATTCTTCACTGTGCAGCTACTATGTTTCTTCTTCACTGAATGCATTTATATGCTCTTATTCCCCCAGGCAGGAGATGCGGCCACCGCAGAATACCCGCAAATGGTTCATGAAGTGGAGAAGTGAGAGTTAGGACCCAGGAGAAACATTTAAGCAAATGGATTCCCTGGAAGGATCTACAGTGTCAAGATCTTTCATGCTGCTAAGAACTCAGTAATATCACATTTCCTTTTTTGACTTGGTTGCCAGGAAGCTCAGAGCTAAGATCTTGACACCAGATTCTACAGGAACGTTTTCTTGGGGGAGCTTTTCACCGGGGTCTGAGGGCTGCACCTGGTGGATTCTCAGGGGAATTTGGGGAATGTTTGCCGCAGACATAGACTGCAGGTGTGTTCCCGTGCTGAAGACCCAGAGGGTCATGTATGGCGTGAAGGAAAGGGGCTGGGCCAATGTGTTGCTCCAGGCCTGCCCTATTTGGACCAGCTCAGAGTGTTTGGGAGCTTCAAATGCACTGCCAGGCAGCGGCTGTTTCTGTTCCCCTCCAAGATGGGGGCGGATGGCGGGGAGGTTGCCCAAGTCTGTAGCCGAGAGCACACGTGTCTGATCAGCCTCCTGTGGCAAGGCTGGGGTCTGGGAGGTGTTCAGATCCTAAAGTTACTAACTGGGTCATCGTGGGCCCCCCCTTTGACATCCAGTCACAACTTGTATCTCATTGAGGACCCTGGGATCAGTCTCTTCCTGCCACCCCTTGTTGTAGAGAAACACAAAGTGTAAGAAAACACTCTTTGTCGGCTGGGCACGGTGGCTCACGCCTGTAATCCCAGCACTTTGGGAGGCCAAAGTGGGTGGATCATCTGAGGTTGGGAGTTCGAGACCAGCCTGACCAACATGGAGAAACTCCATCTCTACTAAAAATACAAAATTAGCTGGGCATGGTGGTGCATGCCTGTAATCCCAGCTACTCAGGAGGCTGAGGCAGGAGAATCGCTTGAACCCGGGAGGCGTAGGTTGTGGTGAGCTAAGATAGTGCCATTGCACTCCAGCCTGGGCAACAAGAGTGAAACTCTGTCTCAAAAAAAAAAAAAAAAAAAAAAAGAAAAGAAAAAGAAAACACTCTTTGTCATCAAGGGGCTGAGTTGTGCACGAGGGCAGTCTTGTCCCCCAGCCTATCCTGGGGCAGGGGCCATGGTTGGTGTCCTCACTTAACTGAGAGCCAATAGTCCTAGACTGGGTGGGGAAGGTGGAGCCTGGTGGCCGTGTAGGGGAGGGGAGTTAGGGACCAGCAGGGGGTTGTCCCAAGGGCTCCCTCAATGAGCCAGTCATGGATGTGGCTTGCTCTGGTCCGGGGTGGAATGGAGGGAGGCTGTGGCAGGAGAGAATAATGGGCCCGCGCTCAAATGAGTGGAGATTGAAATGGGTTCCCACAGGTAAAGAGAACAGTGCCCGGCACCCAGTAGGGTCTCAAACAGCCTTGCTTTTCTGTCTACCCATCCATCTTTCAGGCATCTGTTTATTTTCATGGCGAGGCTTCATGGGGACGGGAACAAGTCCTTGATGAGCGCCTGCCAGAGCTGGGCAGGTGTGCCCTCTGGGCTCTGGGAAGGCAGCACGTGGGTGGGTTCAGTCTGGTGTGGGCTGGGAGCCCCCATCTCCAGCTCACCCAGCAAAGCATGAACTGAGCCTGAGGGGGTTCCCAGCTCTCCCTAGGGACTGACTCCCCCCACCCCGCCCCCCACAGGATCTGGAGAACCAAGGCAGGAGAAAGAGAGGCTGCGTCTGTGGGGGTGGGGCATGGTGGGGAGGGCTGGCTGGAGCTGGGCCTGGCTGCCTGCGATGGGACTCGGCAGTCCTGGGCCCCGCGGGTGCCAGCGCCTGTTTGTGTGCCTGTGTGTGCCACCCCCGCAGCCCCTCCATCACACGTGTCTCCCGGCTGCCTGGAGAGCTCTTTCTACAAAATGTGAAAATGACAGTTGGGCTCACCCACGCGCAGAATCCTCATGCAGTCCCGCTCCCTCGCTGCCCCTTCCAGGTCACCATCGGCCCTCACCCTCTCTGCCTAGCTGCTGCCCCCCGCCCACCGCACCCCTCCTTTCCCGGCCCCTCCCCCAACCCCCTCTTCCCTCCTCCTGCTCCTTCCCTTGGCCCCCTCCTCCCTCCCTGCTCTCTGCCAGCTCCCCCCTCCCTCTTTCCTCCCTCCCCCTCAGGTCCCCAAGGTCTCTGTCTCTAGCTCTAGGTCTCTGTCACTTTTTTGGGTCACTCCCCCTCATCTGAATTTATGCTTGAGTAGGAGTGTGCATGTATGAGGATGTCCAAGAAGGGAGTGAGTGTGTGTGTGCAGGTGTGCAGTTGTGTGTGTATTTGTGCTTGTGTATGCGGGTGTGTGGTTGTTTGCATGTGTGTGACTCTGTGTGCAGGTGTGTGACTGGGTGTGTGGGTATGTGGTTGTGTGTATGTGTGACTTTTTTTGGAGGTGTGTGACTGTGTGTGTGGGTATGTGGTTGTGTACGTGTGTGTGACTGTGATGGTGTGTGACTGTGTGCAGGTGTGTGGTTGTGTGCCTGTGTGTGTGTGTGCAAGTGTGTGACTGTGTGTGTGACTGTGTGTGCAGGTGTGTGATTATGTGCGTGTGTGTGATTGTGCAGGTGTGTGTTTGTGGGTGTGTGGTTGTGTGCGTGTGTGACTGTGTGCATGGGTGTGACTGTGGGTGTGTGGTTGTGTGCATGTACGTGACTCTGTGTATGCAGGTGTGTGACTGTGCGTGTGTGCACACAGGTATGGAAGTGTGTGTGCATGCGCTCCAGCGGGTGGGGGATGGATGGTGGTGGCATTTCAGGGAACGAATGGAGCTTTCACTCAATGACTCTTCAAGCAGCGGGAGGGGGTGGCAGCTTCACAACAGTCGGACAGGTTTGTGCAGCATGTAGGAAAAGCCTTCATTTCCTACTGACAGTGGTGACATGGGTGGTGACAGGTGGAGCTGGCAGCAGTGCTGAAGTCCTGGGGTGGGAGGTGCCAGGGGAAGGGTCTGGTGATGGGGGGCAGGGGGGGTCATCCTGGAAATGCAGGCCGGGCCCATCTCCCAGTCGCCCTCAAATGAGGTTTGCTGTGCTTCCACCGTGAAGGGACCTCAGAGGTCTGCCTCTTGAGGGAGATCTGGGAAGACTTCCTGAAGGAGGCAAACTGCCTCCAAAGAGCTGCAGGGCTAGTTGAGCATGGAAGGGATGTGGGGTGTGGAGCCGTTTGGTGCAGGAGATGTTCCTCCCACTTTCAGAGGCTGCTGTGGAAGCTGGGGCTGACATGGGCCACGGGCCAGGAGGATGCGCTGGGGCAGGAGCCACCTGGCACAGCGCTGGGCACACAGTGGGAGCCCAACATCTGTGCTCCCTTCATGCTCTAAGCCCTTGCCCACATCTGTCACCGGCGCCATTTACAGAGGAGGAGACAAGGGCCACCAACCCCAGGCCACATGTTGGCCAGGTGTAGCTGGAGATCCGACTGCTGTCTTTACTTGCCCTGTCCAGGCAGTAGTGCGCAGGTGGCTGGAGAATGCTGTGGCCCGGGCCCTGGCCCCAGCTGGCCTCCAGCACCATCCCTCACTCTCTCTCCTTTCTCTGCAGGATGGTCGAGTACTCCCTGGACCTTCAGAACATCAACCTGTCAGCCATCCGCACCGTGCGCGTCCTGAGGCCCCTCAAAGCCATCAACCGCGTGCCCAGTGAGTCAGCCCCGCCCTGTCCACACATTCCTGGCTGATCCATCCCTGGCCAACCCATCCCTGGCCTACCTAGCCAATGCCCACCCCCCCACCCTGCTTCGTTCACTTGGAGAAGACTGATTAGGGCCCGGGTGTGCTCAGGGATCCTGCGGTGTCTATCTAGACAGATGTGCCCTGCTCCCATAGAGCTCATGGGCCTGAAGACACTGGCAGGTGGTCCCAATGCTTCTGAGTCCCAGGAGAGTCTGGAGAGCATGCTGGGGAGTCTGGCTTTTCAGGGACGAAGAGTTTATGGGAGAGTGGTCTTCATAGGATGTCAAGGCAAGCACCCATAGGAAAAGAAGTTGCTTAGTTTGAAGGAGGACGTCGTAGAGCATTTCACTGGGGCAATGAAACCTGACTCCCTCACTTGTGCTGACTGACTTAGAAGTCGAGCTCTGTCATTCACCCACCACAGATCGATGTACCTACTCACCCATATGCCTAGCCACCGGTTCATCCATCCACCCGTCCACCTATCCACCTGTCCATCCATCCATCCATCCGTCCGTCCGTCCATCCATCCATCCATCCATCCATCTACCTGTCCACCCATCCACCTGTCTATCCATCCATCCATCCATCCATCCATCCATCCATCCATCCACCCACCCACCCATCCACCCACCCACCTGTCCACCCACCCACCTGTCCATCCATCTACCTGTCCACCCATCCACCTGTCCATCCATCCACCCACCCATCCATCCACCCACCCATCCATCCATCCATCCACTCATCCATCCATTCACCCACCCGTCCATCCATCTACCTGTCCACCCATCCACCTGTCCATCCATCCATCCATCCATCCATCCATCCATCCATCCATACGTACATACATACATCTGCTCATCTTTCTAGCCATCTTTCCATTTGTCCATTCATTCATCTGTATAGTCAGCCAGACATCCACCTGTCCATCCACTCATCCACCCATCCACCTGTCCATCCATCCATCTGTCCACCCACACATCCATCCACCTGCCCACCCACCTAGTATTAAGAGAGGTTATCTTGCAACCATAAGCCCTGTAGAGTTTTCATGTCCATGACCTGTTTTGAGCCTTACAGTCATTCTGAGGGAGGTGAGCTGTTGCCATTTTACAGATGAAAAAACTAAGACTTGGAGACACGAGGTTACCTGCCCAGGGACGCACTGCCAGTGAGTAGCAAAGGCTGGAGTCAGTTAGGTCTTCTGACTCCTCACTGCTCTCTTCTAGGAATGGGGTGAAGACTGGGGAAAGAGAGGATGAGGGCCCTGCCTGCCTTCCTGGTTTTTTTTTGTTGTTGTTGTTTGTTTGTTTGTTTGTTTGTTTTTTTTGAGACACAGCCCGTAGCTCTGTTGCCCAGACTGGAGTCCAGTGGTGTGAACTTGGCTCACTGCAACTTCTGCCTCCCAGGTTCAAGCAATTCTCCTCCTGTCTCACCCTCATGAGTAGCTGGGACTACAGGCATGTGCCACCATGCCTGGCTAATTTTTGTATTTTTAGTAGGGATGAGGTTTCACCATATTGGTCAGGCTGGTCTCGAACTCCTGACCTCAGGTGATCCACCCACCTTGGCTTCCCAAAGTGCTAGGATTACAGGCATGAGCCACTGCACCTGGCTGCCTGGGGCTTTTATACGCATTTACCCACTTCCTATGGTCCAGGAACTTGACATCTGATGGCTCAACAACCTGTGGGAGGCTCAGAGAAGTTAAGTGACTCACACAAAGTCACACAGCAATTCAGCGGCAGAGCTGGAATCTGAACAGAGTTCTGTCTGTCCTCAGCCCAGTTTATTTCCTGGCTGTGTCTGACCCCTTGCTTCTCTTCCCTGCCTGAGCTTCTGTTTCCCCATCTGCCAAAGAGTACAGGTCTCCTGGCACCTGCTCCCCCTCCACAGGTAGTGCTGTCCCCATTCCTTTATTCCTAGCCCTGGGGCCTTGGGGCTCTGTCACCCACCCCACCCAGCCAACCTCTGTGGTCCATCCATCCTGAGCGCCCTGTGGGGCTGGCCTGACCCCGGGCTTGCAGAATGCATCAGTCAGTCTGGGCAGGCCTGGCGGGGCAGGAGAGGCCATGCTTCAGAATATCTGTGGAGCAAGGTGACCAGGAGGGTGGCAGAGCTTTCTGAGCCTGGAGGGTGGCCCAATCCTGCTTTGTTCTGAGAGGGACTGGCTTGGCTTGGGTAGGGCACAGAGGGGGCCTGGGGGCTGGGGTCTCAAGGTCACAATACGATAGAAAACGCTGGGGGTCCTCAGTGCTACTGTGAGGGTCTTGGGGAAGGGTTTGGGAGGCGAGGTAGGGCAAGTGAGTAGTGGGAACCAAAGCTGTGCGGGAGGGGGAGGGGGAGTTCAGCTCTACCAGCCTGGCCCCTTCCCACTGCCCTAGGGAGACCCCCTTGGGCACAGGGAGGGGACATGCGGAGAGGCCATTTTAGGGCCAGCTTCTCTCTGTCCTCATCCCCTCCAATCCCAGAGGGCTCCTTGAAGATCACCTAGTTCAAAACCATCTTTCCCACATTTAACAAATGAGGAAACTAAGGTCCAGAGAGGGTCGTGGCTAGTCCAGGGTCACACAGCAATTCAGTGTGACCAAACAGCAGTTCAGGAAGGACCAAGCCAAACCAGCACACCTTCCCCAACAGTGTGTGATTTTCTCCCATGTGCCCCACCTGACTTTACTGGGAAATGAGCCAAAAGGTGGCCTCCGTACACTCAGCACCCAGAACTCTGCCTGGCGGACAGAAGGCGCGCCAAAGACACGTGTGAAATGGACACAGCAGGTGTACTGAGCTGTGTACTGTGCCAGGACCACAGAGCTATACATGCTCCTGTGCCGGGCATGAGGAGGCAGGGAGAATGGGGCTGGGGGTCGGGAGGCCTCCGGGAGAAGGGGATGTCTGAGTTGAGACCCAGGGGAGGATGGGGATTGAGTAGGTGGAGGGGGAGGGCTGGGCGGCAGTAGCGGGGGTTCAGGGAGTGTAAAGGGCTTGGGGAGGGAGCTGCAGGAGCTGGGGGTTACAGGCTGGGTGGACCAAGGGGTGGGGCATGAGGCTGGAGAGGACAGGGCCTGGGCATGGACCATGTGCCTGAGGGCAGTGGGAGCATAGGAAGAGGTTAGCAAGTGGTTGCTTTAGAAACACCCCTGGCCAGAGTGCGGTGTGGGGGGGGCGGTGGGGGGGGCAGTGGGGGTGAGCTGGACATGGGACTGCTCCTGGAACAGGTGTGAGCGAATGGCCGGTACTGGGCAGGGGTGGGGGTGGGATGCAGAGCAGCAAGTGGGTGGGAGAGGGACTGCTGGGCCCAGTCCAGGTCCTCCTTGAGTGTCTGGTGTGGGCACCTGGGTGGGCGGGAGGGACCTCAGCTCTCAGGGGCCAGCACAGAGGGCCACGTCGCTCCTGGCTCCCACCCACAGTGCTGCTTGTTTCTGTCCTGGGGGACGGCGGGGGCTGCCCTCAGCAGGCAGCTGCCATGGGACCATGGTCACACTCCAGGCCACGGAGCCCACAGGCACCGCCACCTTCCAGAGGTGTGTGCACGTTGCAGAGGGTCGCACACAAGGGATGTTTGTACGTGATCTTGATCTGAACCTCTTGTCCGGTCTAGGGTCTGCCCAGCAGGGGGCAGCACTGTGATGGGACCGCTGAGGCTGCAGGCGGGCTTAGGGGCATGGGACGGGACACGGGCGGAGGCCTCGCTCTTGCCAGGCGGGCTTCTCTACATCTGTGTGAGGGTGTGTGTGGGTGTGAGGGTGTGTGTGGGTGTGAGGGTGTGTGTCCACCAGAGAACACGTGTGAGGACGTGTGTGCACGAGTGTGTGTGCAATGAAGGGTGTGCACAGGTGAGTATGTGCCTGTGAGGTGCGTGTGCACATGTAAGTACATGGGAGAGTGTGTGTGCATGTGACAATGTGTGCATCTGAGGATGTGTGTGCACAAGTGAGCAAATGTGAAAGCCTGCACACGTGAATGGGCACATGTAAGGGTGTGTACATGTGAGAGTGCGTGCCTATGAAAGTGTGTGTGTTGTGAGGGTGTGTGCTGTGTCTGCCTGGGAGGGTGTCTGTGTATGCCTATGAATATGTTCATGCCTGAGCATATGTGTGCTTGTGTGTGTGTGCCTGTGAGGGTGTGTGTGCCTGTGAGAGTGTTTGCTGTGATGTGTGTGTGCCTGTGAGGGTGTGTGTGCCTGTGTGTGTGTGTGCCTGTGTGTGTATGTGTGCTGCGAGGGGGTATGCCTGTGAGGGGTGTGTGGCTGTGAGGGTGTGTGTGCTGTGAGGAGGTGTGTTATGAAAGTATGCGTGCCTGTGAACATGCGTGTGTCTATGAGCCTATGTGTGCCTGTGGGGGTGTGTATGTCTGTGAAAGGGTGTGTACGTGTCAAGAGTGTGTGTGTGCCTCTGAGCGTGTGTGCGTCCATAAAGGGGTGTGCCTGTGAGGGTGTGTGTGTGTGAAGTGTGTGTGTGCGCCTGTGAGGGTGTATGTGTGACGTGTTTGTGTGTGTGCCTGTGAGGGTGTGTGTGAAAGGGTGTGTATGTGTCAAGGGTGTGTGTGCGCCTCTGAACGTGCGTGTGTCCATGAAGGGGTGTGCCTGTGAGGGTATGTGTGTGAAGTGCATGTGTGTGCCTGTGAGGGTGTGTTTGTGAGAGCGCGTGTGTGAAGAGTGTGTATGTCTCTGTGAGGGTGTGTGTATGAAGAGTGTGTGTGTAGCGAGCATGTGTGTGCCTGTGAGGGTGTGTGTGTGTGAAGAGCGTGCGTGCGCCTTGCACGTGTGTGTGGGCGCCTGTGCCTCTCCCTCCAGGTCCTCTTTGCTCCTCCTGGTTCCTCTCCTGCTGTGTGGGGAGTTCATTAAGCTGCTCCCCGGAGGTGGAGGACACTCCCGGTCCCCAGCACCAGCCTGCCCTGGCCTCTGGGAAGGCAGGGATTGACCCTGTGCCCAACATCCCCCTGCGCTCCAATTACAGAGGAGCTCCGAGCGGGCTCCGAGCCTTTCCTCAGGGTCTCCTCCTGCTAGTGGCCACCGCTGGGCAGTTGGGGGAGTGTCGGCTTCCCGCCCCTGAGCCTGATTCCGCTTCTCAGAGGACAGCCTGGTTCTCTCAGAACCAGCACTGGGGAGTTACTGGGAGCACTGGCCCTCCAGCAGCTGGTGTTCCCCTGGAAGGGCCCTGCAGATACTCACAGGCGATTCTGCGGGAGCCGCAGGCTGTTGGAGCACGTGGGGCTTAAAGTCCATTGGTCTAACCCTCATTTCGCGGGACAGACAGTTTTGTCCTCAGGTGCCAGGTCCCCTGCCCAGAGCCACCAGGGGATTAGTGACTTGAGGTGGGGAAGGGGTGGCTCAGGCTCTCAGAAGTGCTTCCTAGAGAGATTTCATAGTTGCCTGGTTTTTTTATTTTCTTTTTTTTAAAATATGATTTTCCTGCAGACATTTCTCCTACTTATGGTTTGAGCTGCTTCTGCCCTGGGACACAGTCTTTTTTTTTTTTTTTTTTGAGACAGCATCTAGCCCTGTCACCCAGGCTGGAGTGCAGTGGCATGATCTTGGCTCACTGCAACCTCCACCTCCCGGTTCAAGAGATTCTCCTGCCTCAGTCTCCCGAGTAGCTGGGATTACAGGTGCCCACCACCACGTCCAGCTAATTTTTGTATTTTTAGTAGAGACGGGGTTTCACTGTGTTGGCCAGGCTGGTCTCCAACTCCTGACCTTGTGATCCACCCGTCTCGGTCTCCCAAAGTGCTGGGATTACAAGCGTGAGCCACCGTGCCCAGCCGGGACACAGTCTTTTCAACAGTAGCCCGTAGCTTTTAGTCTCATTTCTAGAGGGCAAGCTAGAGAGCTGGTGATGGGCGCAGTCAAATGACGGGTTATTAATTGCAAAGCCATGAGGAGTGGGCTGGTTGCCTGCGGTTTAAAAATACAGCAAAGGCTGCAAAGCTCCAGCATGAACAACCAGGAAGATGCAAGTGTGGGTCAGAGAATAAAAGTTCTGGTCTTAGCTCTGCCATATGCCTGCTGTGTGACCTGAGAAGTCCCTTGGCATCTCTGGGCCTCGGTTTCCCTACTCGTACAAACAAAGCAGGAGGATAAACTGGATTAAATACGTGGCTCTCAACTTTGTCCAGGATGAGCGGGGGACATGGACATCATGGTGCTGCTTACAGAATCGTATAAAATACATGTCTCTCCACCCCACCCCTGCAGGTCCTTGTTCAGGCCACTCAGCCTCTGATGGATAAAGAGAGGAAGACAGCAGAGAGGTGGTTGGGGAGGGAGGAAGGAAGCGCCAAATTAGGAGTTGGGAGTCTGGGTTCTGGTTCCTCTCTGTGTGACCTTTCCTAAGTCACCGCCTCTCTCTGGGCCTTGGCAAGATGGGGCTGAATTATCTCTAAATGTGCCCCCGCCCCACCCCACCCCCAGCCTGTACATCTCTCAAGGCACTGCCTTGCTTCCTTAAGCATACTGCCTGAGTCATTTACATATGAAAAGTGCTGTTTTCTCCAGTAAGAAACGAGGGCAGTCACTGCCAAGGCCTGGCCAGAGAGGTGATAGTTCCCCCGACCCAGGCTGTGGCGCAGGGGCGAGGCAGACCCTGGGGAGCTCAGGGGCAGCCCTGAGCCCGAGCTCACAGTCCCTGACAATGCTGTGGGGAAGGCTGCCATCCCCTCGGCTGCACAACCAGCTGGAGGTTTGCTCTGTGCTGTCAGGCCAGGTTCTGGTCCCAGGGCCTCCACCCACTGGCTGTGGGACCCTGAGTAAGCCACGTGCCTCTCCGTGCCTCTATTTCCCCAGCTCTCAAGAGAAGTTAATAATACCCATGTCCATCTGGTTAGGAAGGCTGAAATGCCACCGTGGGTGTAGAGAGCTGCGTGCACAGCCTCGTGTGCCTACGCGATCCGCAGGTGCTGCTGCTAGATAAGGTGCTGGGAGTAGTGAGGGTGGACGTAGAGTGTCAGGGACGTCTTCTCAGGGGCTGGTTTTGGAAGACACTCATCAGCTGAGGGTTGGAGAGGGTGTGCCTGGCAGATAGATTGGCATGTGCAAAGGTGGAGTGGAGGTGTCATCCTGGGCTGGGCATCGTGTGGGTGGGCAGGGGACTGCGTGGCGGGAAAAGGAGAGGGTTGTTCACATCTTCTAGGGAGTTAATTATAATCATAAGTGGCTAAAGTTTTTTTTTTTCTTTGAGACGGAGTCTTGCTCTGTTGCCAGGCTGGAGTGCAGTGGCGTGATCTCGGCTCACTGCAACCTCCGCCTCCTGGGTTCAAGCGATTCTCCTGCCTCAGCCTCCTGAGTAGCTGGGACTACAGGCGTGTGCCACCACACCCAGCTAATTTTTGTATTTTTAGTAGAGACGGGGTTTCACCATGTTGGCCAGGATGGTCTTGATCTCTGGACCTTGAGATCCGCCTGATAAGTGGCTAAAGTTTATCAAGTGCTTGTGACAAGCTCATCACAGTGCTTTACATGGGCAGTGTCATTTCATCTTCACTACAGCTTTAGGAAGTTAGTGGCATTGTGACACCTACTTTCTAGATGGGGAAGCAGGCAGAGGGGTTGACTAGTCTGCCCAAGACCACACAGCTGGCTGGGGACAGAGCTAGGGTTTGAACCCGTGTTCACCTGACCCTACAGCTTTTCACTCTGTGTCAGTATCTCCTTTCCGTTCTTTTAGCGTGTAGGCGCCAGACACCCACTCCCGTCCCCAGTGTCTGCAGGACATCAGGAAACACCCCTGCCCACTTCCAGGGTCAAAGGAGAGAGGTCCCGTGGGCTGCAGTGACACCTCGAGGCCCTCTCTCCTTCCATCTCCCCCCTCAGCCTGGTCTGCTCCAGACCTCTGAGTGCCTTTCACTGTTGGGGTGCACAGGTCTCGTGGTGCTGATCCCCTTTCGGGCTGAAGCCACGAGGCAGGCGGGGGGCCAGGGCAGAGGAGGGAGAGCATCAGCCGCACAGTCTGCAGGATCCTGTGCAGACGCCCCTGTGGACAGCGCCCCGAACGGCACACACATCTCTGAAAGGGGGCCGGGCAGGATGGCACTGTGGTTAGTGCACAGCGGGTGCCAACCCTCACGCCCCAGGCCAAGCCCTTTCCTGCCCAGGTGCCTGCCCAACCAGGGTCATGGTCAGGCCAGCCCTGCTGAAGAGGGGCGAGGAAGGCCTCAGGATTCCTTCTTGGAAGGGCCTTGGGGGGCATTTGTTGGACAGTTCTGAGAGATGCACCTTGAAATAGTTGGCGTGGAAGTGTCGGCATTTTCGCCTGAAGCATGTGTTTACTCTCGGCTTGGGGAGAGCAGAAGGAAAGCTACTGGGCTGTCAGCCCCCACCAGGCCACACCTTGGACTTCAGGGCTGTCTGTTTTAGGCACCCACAAGGGGCTCCCACTTCATCCTGAGGGAGAAAGGCCTGACAGCCCCCATGGGGAAGGAAGAGAGGGAAGGAGGGAGAGAAATGGGGAGATGAAATGAGGGGGGCCAGTTTCCCCAGGGCTGCTCCCTTCCTGGAAGAGGTGGGGCTGGGTGGGTGGGAGAACATCTGGCCAGAGCATCTGGCGAGCGCTGGATTTGGGAACAGGAAAGAGCAGCCTGGACCCTGCAGGGAGAAGTGCTTGGGGGTGGGGCAGGGCAAAGGCAGTGCCTCCCTCTCCCCCTCCCTCAGGTCGAGTTCTGCATTCTGTTCTACAAATCCGGAGGGAGGGAGTGTCCTGGACAGGCCACCAGATCAAAGGACTGGGCCACTGTGTGGATTAACTGACTCATGGATCGATTCCATCATTCATCCAAAGTAAAATCCACCGGGGGTTCTCTGGGCGAGACCCTGGCCAGATGTGGGGCCAAGATCAGGCACAGCCCCTTCCCCAAAGGCTGACAGCTGCAGGCCAGTGGGACGCCTGATCTGATCGGGGCAGGGGCTGATGGGAAAGGGTGCCTACCTGGTCTAGGAGGAGGCTTCCCAGAGGAGGGGGTGGTAGGACACTTGAAGGATGCCTAGGAGTGGTTTGGGGCACAGCAGGTGGGGGGACCTTCAGTGAGACAGCCGGGCCAGCCCCCGAGGGTGTGAGCGCAGCCAGCTCTGGGAGGGACCTGAGGCCTCTCCTGGGATGGGGGAAGTGAGCTGCTGGCTGGCTGAGGTTGGCTTCCTTTCTCAGCAGTGGGCACCAAGGCCCTCCACCAGCCCACAGGCCCCTCCCTGGCTGGGCCTTGGGCCGGCAGCTGTGACCCCGGCAAGCTGGCTGTCTGCTGCCTGGCCAGGCCTCTTGGTGCCCACTGTGCTCCTGATTAGTTGGCGCCGGCAATGGCAGGAGCAGCAGACGGCCTCTCCCAGCCGCCCAGCCCCTTTACTGACCTGGCCAGTCCAGGGAGAGTGGCCCCCAGTGGCCAGGCCACAGCCTCGGCTCCCCTCGCCCCGACTCCACTCTTCTGGGCCACGGGCTGTGCCCTGGCAGAGGCTGGCACGCGTCTGGCAATTTCTACTTGAGCTGGCCTGGCTGGACTGATCTGGGCTGACAGCTCCCCTCTGCCAAGAACACCCCAAACCTCCAGGGGTGATGCCTGTCAGGAAGTGCTTCCTGTTCTTCCTGCCACCTCCTCTCAGGTGTCCCCACTGCCACTGAGGGGCTGCCTCTGCCTGGCTGCTGCCCAGGTTCTCTCAAGCAGAGGCTCTAGCCTAGGGGTCCCCAAAAAGGGTGAGCAGCTCCATCCACTTGCCCGCTGCCATCTGCCACCACCAAGCCCCTAGCTTTCAGTGCTGTCTAGAGACCGTCCTCACCCTGGTGCTCCACATGACGCTCCCGGGCCAGACTGTTCTCCCCTGAACTCCAGACCCCAAGATCTGGCAAAGCGACTCCATGGGGATGTACCCCGGCCATCCCAAGCTCCACATCTCCAGATGGAGCCCCACCCCCGCTGAAGGCCGCTCTGTGGCTCCAGGCCCCAAACCTTGGAGTCGTCCCCAACTGCCCTCTTCCTCCTACATCCATATCCCATCCCTCTGCTTGGCCTCCAAAATACCTCCAGAATCCACCATGTTCCCCACTCCACTGCCATCATTATCTGGGCCCAGCCCCACCATCTTCCGGTTTATCACAATGATGAATGTATGACGGCCAGGCAGGGCCAGGCAGGACGGAGAGGAGCAGGGGGACGGAAGGCCCAATCATCAGGCCGTGAGGGTGGTGGAGAGGGCCCAGTGTCTGGCCTGGGCCATCTCAACAGTGAGGGCACAGAGCAGGGAACCACAGCTCTCCTGGGCCCCACACTCAGCGCTCCGGTTTCTGTCCCACGTGAGACCCCCGGGAGGCAGCGACCACACAGCTGTGGAGCCCACAGGCCTGACCCCCTTTCAGAGATGTGTATGCCGTTCGGGGCGCTGTCCACAGGGGCGTCTGCACAGGATCCTGCAGACTGTGCGGCTGATGCTCTCTCTCCTCTGCCCTGGCCCCCCGCGATCCATTCTCCACCCAGCAGCCCAGCAATCCTCTCACCCCTTCCCCAGATCACGTCTCCCTTCTGCTCCATGACCCTTTGGAGAAGCTCAAGTCTTCCAGCCCCCTGGCCCTGTCTCCTCCCCAGCCTCATCCCTGCTCAGCTTCCCCCCAGCCGCATGGTCTCCTTGCTGTGGCTGTGGCTGTGCTTGACTCCCTCCCGCCTCTAGGCCTTTGTCCAGGCTGCCTCCGACTTGAGGGCTGTCCCCCAGACAGCGACAGCCCCTCAGCTGACTCTGCCACCCCTTCCCTGTCTCTGCTCAGCATCATCCTGCCTTTCCTGGCCCCCTATTTAATGTTCACCCGACCCCAGGCCAAACCCCCAACCCTTTCTCCCTTCTCTGTTTTGTTTTCATAGCACTTTTCACCCAACGAACGAGGACGTGACCTTGTGTATCACCCATGTGGTTTATTTATTATTTATTTATTGCCTGCTTTTCCCTACCGTACCTGGGATGTGAGCCTCACGAGGACAGGGAACTCTGTTTTGGTTTTTCACAACTCATGTATCCCTAGAGCCTAGCACAGTGCCCGGCACGGAGCCAGCCCTCATTCAGTACTTGCTGAGTGGCTCCATTCACTCGCCCACCGCTCCTTTACTCATTCAAGCTGTCGGCCTTCAAGGGACTGCTTTGTGCCCGGTCCTGGTCTGGATGGGAGAACACAGAGCAGCCGCCTTGGCCTTGGGCGCAGAGCATGCCTGGTTTCCAGCGGGGAGGAGGAGGCAGAGCCGGGAACTGGCACAGGCTATGATGGAGGGCGGGTGGGCAGCAGTAACTCATGGCAGAGACACCAGACAAGGCGACCGCTCAGCTGAGATCCCCAAAAAGGAGGTGAGGGATGGCCCTCCAAGCATGTGCAAGGGCACGGAGGCAGCCCCGAAAGTGGGCTTTCCAGCACTGGAAGTGGATCTTTCTGGCTGGGTGCAGCACAGCAGTTCCGGGATCCTATGGCAGGGTGGAGGAGGTGTCGTGGGTGGGGGCAGAGTGTGTGCAGGGCTGGGGAGTGGGGATGCTGGGAGCTGCCAGTCAGGCTGGTGCCGCAGGTTCAGGTGTGGCAGGGAGGATGGAGGGAGGTGGGGCCAGACTCGGGAGGAGTCTGTGAGCAGGGGCCAGGAAGGTGGGGGATAAGGATTTGCACTTTCCCATGGGGCGTATGGGCTGTTGGAGGCTTCTGACTTCAGGGAATCTTCCGTCAGAGGTGTCCTGGCCCCGTGGTATTCCTGAAGGGCTGGCTGGACAGGAGCCACTGTCCCCTCTGTAGATGAGGCCACTGGGGCCCAGAGAAGGCAAGCTTTGCCTCAAGGCCACCCTACTGGGACTGGGACCAGATCTCATGTCCTGGGTCTGTGCTCTGGGCGCTCACCGGGCTGGGGGCTGCATCAGGTGTCCTGAGGACTCCAGGGTCCTCTTCCCCTTTTTAGCTGGGGAGCCAGGGCCCTCAATCACACTCATGGGGCTGCCTGTAGCCTGTCCCCATCATGGCCCATCTGGCTCTTGCTCCAGGCAGAAGGCCTGAAAAGGTGCACTAAGAACACAGAACCAGGTAAGCCCATCCTGACAGTGACTGAGCGCCTTGGGGCAATGAGAGGCAGGAGGGCTTCGTGACTAACTGGGGGTGAGAATCAGGGAGGACTGCCTGGAGGAGGAGGGTTTGGCCGGGGGAAGGTGTGGTGGGAGATGAAGTAGAAAGGATGGTTTGAGGCAGATGGTGACTTGCAGGCAGCCTCTCCGCTCTTTCTCTCTGTCTTCTGTCTCTCTTTCTGTCACTCCTGGTTTCACTTTCTCCTCTGTCTGCTTTTCTCTCTTCTCTCCTTGCCTCCACCTCCTGTGCCAGTCTCCAGAGGCACTGAGGGCAGAGTGTAACTGGCCAACCTGTCTTGGCTAATTACTTGACTGTGGGCATGAAAGGAAGATTAGCCATAGTCTCTTGGGGTCCTCCCTGAATCCCTAATCCTGTGGCCCCTCTTCCCTGGCAAGGAAGGGATAAAGTAGTTCTAAGTCCTTAATTAGCTAATTATGCCAGGGCTCTGTGGCCCTGGGACTCCCTGGGCCCCAGGGAGGGCTGTGAAGTGCGCTGGGGCCCAGCTGGGCAGAGTGAGGCGGGTCGGGGAGGAGGGACGGGGCTGCCATTCAGGGAAGCCAGCCGGATAGGTTTGCAGGAGCCTTTTGGAATTTCAATATCCCAGAGAACAAGGGAGATGTAATTAATTGAGCGACAAAGGCCGGCCCGAGGGAGAAGCAGGAGCGGGAATGAAGCAGCCAGGCTGGGACCGTGTGGAGCTGCCTTCTCCAGGCCCTTCTCATCCAGCCTCTTCTCCAGCTGCTACCGGCCCTCTGTGCTTGCCTCCTGCCCCTGTCCTGGCCTCGGGGCTCGCCCATTCTTTTTTGAAGCTCAGAGCTGATCGAGGGTTCTGCTTGCTTAGAAATATGCCAGCAGACCTCCTTGCCCAGCCACCCAGCACAGAGCCCCACACTCCTCAGAGCCCCCTGCAACCGCCTTCAGGAATAGTGCCTTTGCCCATGCCAGTCCCTCTGCTGGCCAAGGCTTCGCATCCTGGAGTCCAGCTCAGCAAATGTGCCCGGAGCGGCCCCACTCCCCAGACACAGTCCTTTGGCTCAACACTTGGTCCCCTGTCCCCTTGCTGCCAGGCTGTGAGCTCTGTGTGTGTGTGGGGGGAGGGTTGGGGGGGTAAAAAATGGGTCTTGTTTGTCTTTGGATTCCCCATGTGCCCAACGCCATGCCTGGCATGCAGCTGGCATTTACTATGTGTTTCATGAATGAATGAGTGAGTGAATGAATGAATGAATGAATGAACGATGGGGCACCAGAAAGGCCTGCAGTTGGCCTACTTGAGTCAGGGAATCCATTTGGATGGATTATGAGGGCACCCATTCTATTTCTCCCTTCCCTCTGCTGTACACGCCTCGCTTCCCTGCTTGGGGGTGTAGGGTGGTGGGGAGCTGAGCCTCACCCTGGCCTGCTCTCGGTGGGGTGAAGCAGCCTGCAGGCAAGCTCCACTGTCTTTCCTGAGAGGAGGCTGACCTAGTTTTGTGGAGAGGGAAGATGGGGTGGGCCTTAATTATTGATTGGAAATCACTGCACACAGAGTTTGTGACGCAAATTCCAAATAATTATCCTCATTAATAAGCACCTCAGGCTCACCCCTAGCATACACAACCATCTGGACAGGGCCACTGTTCTACTTGTCACCATCCTTCCATCTTCCTCTCTCCAATCTTCCACTCCCTCCCCATGACTTATCACATCATTCATTCATGAGTAGTCATTGAACAAATGTTAGGTGAGCCTGTCTTCTGGGCCAGGACCTGCTGGGTTCTGGGAATACTGAGGTGACTTAGACAAGGGCCCTGCCCCCAGAACCTTATAGCCTAGTGGAAGAGATAGGAAAGTAAACAGACAACTATACATTAGGGCTAGAATAAGACGAGATATTGATATGGATGGAACCTCCTAGGTTGTGCAGTATACAACCTGCACAACTGTACGTGGCAGCCTAGGCTAGGTCAGAGGTGCTGAGATTGCCCAGAGCAGAAGAGAGAAGGATGAACTCTACCTGGGATGATGTAAGAGTCTGGAAGCCTTCACAGAAAGAGCTTTCACAGGGCTGCGGTGGCTGAATAGGGATTTGCCAGGCAGAAGAGAGGAGCAAGGGTGTTCTAGGAAGAGGGAACAGCAGGGATAAAAGCATGGAGGTGTGAAATCTCACAGTATGTTTAGGGAACTTCAAATAATTTGGCACTGCAAGGCAGTAGACTGCAAATTGAGAGAGGTATGAAACTAGAGAGGTGGGCAGTATGGACTCTACAGGATCTTAGGGGGAGGGTGTGTACTCAAAGGTGCCCCACCAGCTCTTCACCTTCTTTGGGGCCATGGACTCCTGTGTGGGCCTTCTCTGTAGAGCCCGTTAGCAGGCGCTTGGCTCTTCTGAAGTTGGCTCTGGGGGCTCTGCCTGGTTCCATCATGCAGTGGGAGTGGTAGTTCTGGCTGGTACTGCTGTGTCCTGACATGGTCAAGGGGAACAGTGACTGTCTCAGAGACAAAGGGTATTCAGGACACATTCATTGGGCACGTACTACAACCACTCTGCAGGTGCTGGGCATACTAAGGTGAACCAGCCTCAGTCCCAAGGCCTCTGGGACAAGGGGGTTGTGAAAAGACAGCTAGACTTTGTGTCAAGACACCTGGTTTAAATCTAGACCCTGCTGCTTCTGAGCTGTGTGACCTACGGCAAGCAGTTTCAGTTCTTTGAGTCTCCAGTTGCCTTCTCTATAAAATAGAAATAAGAGTACCAACCTCACAGAGTTGTTGTGAAGACTGAAGATCACATTTGTGCAAGTACGCAGAAGAACACTTGGTACATAAAAGGTGCTGCATAAATGCTTGCTTGTTCATTCACAATCTAGTGTAAGTGGAGCAGGGCCCAGAGCCATTTCCATGGCTTTTTCGGTGGAGGGGCAGATAAAAAGGAGAGGGTGTATCTGGCAGCCACTGAACAGGATGGGAACAGCAAGGAGCCCCTGATAATGCATCCCCCTCCCCCTCCCTGTTTCTCTAACCTTGCTCTCACTCTTTCGTCTCTGGGACCTCTGCTCCCTGTCTGACCATCCCTCCACCTTTTCCCCTCCCAGGTATGCGGATCCTGGTGAACCTGCTCCTGGACACACTGCCCATGCTGGGGAATGTCCTGCTGCTCTGCTTCTTTGTCTTCTTCATCTTTGGCATCATAGGTGTGCAGCTCTGGGCGGGCCTGCTGCGTAACCGCTGCTTCCTGGAGGAGAACTTCACCATGTGAGTTCATCCCCTGCCACCCATGCAGCTCCGGGGACTCTTACTAAGACACAGTTTTAACCTTCTGGGTCATTGGGAATCAGGACCAATGGGGTAGAAGCAGCAAAAAAAGAGAGGTCAGGTAGGAGGGGAAAGGGAAGTTAAGACACAAGCAGAAGTGATGCCCAGGAGGAAAAAGAAGACAGAAAACCTGAAGAGCAGGCACAGAACTTGGCTCTCCGCCCACAGCACATTCATTCCCCTTGGTGGCTGAGTCATCCAGGAAGGGTGAGCTCCCATTTGGCCGCTTGTGTATGAAAGCAGGGGGCGAGACATTCCTCCGAGAGAGGATTATTGACACACAAATCAAGCTCTGGATCTTGGAGGAGCTGGGCTTAGTTGTCTGAAAAATTGGACACCTATAGAACCCGTGCTTCCGTAGTGGTGGGGGATAAGTGTGCACACACATGTACCTGCGTGTATGTGTTTGGATGTGAATATGCATTCATTTCAGATATGCATGGCGTGCACCGACTAAGTGCCAGGCCCCAGGGAGTCAGAAATAGGAGAGCATCTTCATCCATGTTCTCACTTCCCTTTGTTGAGCCTGTGCTCGGGGCTCAGGATGCGGCAGAAGGGGGGGGGTCCCTGCCCCCTGCCCTTGAGAAGCGCAGGGCTGGGAGCCGATCCCAAACACCTCTAGTGAGTGCCTCTCAGTCTGTTAATCATGGACCGAGGTGACTGTAGGAAGCGTGGGGACGTGGGGACACTGTACAGGTGAGGGCTAGTTTCTCCCTCCCGGCCTGGTTGGGGAGAGGGTAGCAGAGCTGGAGGGTGAAAGTTGGGTAGGAACTGGCCCATCCACCCATCGCTGTGGGGGAACAGTAGGGTACCTGGGTAGACCACAGCAGGGGCACCTTGGTGGGTAAAGGCCCCAAGTGGGGATTCAGGAAGGGGGTCTACACTTGTGCCCATCCCCAGAAGAGGCAGGTCCTGAGGCAGGGCCTGGGGCAGTGGGGCTGGGGAGAGGCAGCTGCTTCGAAGTCAGGGTAGTGTGAGCTCCGCCCCTCTGTCCCACAGGGCTCTTTCCCTGGATCCTTCTGTGGCCAGCCCCTTCTTATTATGTGGGCTCAGCCCACCTGACACCTCCTCCTAGAGGCCTTCCCTCGCCCTCCCTCACCACCCCAGCCCCAAGCTCGCCATCACACAGCCCTGCTGGGTTTTCTTCTTGACTCATCTCTCTGAAATCATCTCCTGTCGGTTCATCCGAGGTCTCTGGAGGCCCCTGAAATGTGAGTTCTCTACCACAGCAGGGGCACCTGGGGCTTAACTCCTCCCAGGCCTAGAGCAGGGCTTGGCACAGGTGCTCCCAACTAATTGTTGAAGGAATAAGTGAGTAAGTGGATGTGTGAGTGCATTTACCACCCAGAGGCAGGCTGGGAGCGAGAACCAGTTCTTCCTAGGCCTGGCGTGTTGGAGACTCTGCGTCCCGTTCCCTGATGTCTCCTCCTCTGTGGTCTTCCCCAGGCCCCATGAGATGGCCCCAGCCCTGTCTCGGCTGCAAAAGGAGAGTTGGAGGGAGGATGCTGAGGATGTGCTTGGGCTGTGTTAAAGAGGAACCTTATCTGGTCCACCCCCATCCCCGCCCCAGGAAGGGAATAATAAATACAAGGAAATGTCCCTGGAGAAAGAACGCCCTAAGGGAAGATGCTGGGTGATTGCCACGCCTCCCTCTGAGCTCCTGGCTTCATTCTCTTAGGGTGGGTGTTATTAACTCACATGCCCTATTGGGCTGGGGGATGGTCGGTGTTGCGTGAAAAAGGAGATGAGTAAAGTTCACGCACGTCTGGTGGAGAGCAAGGCCAGGGTCATCCCAGGCCTGTGACTCCTGTAGAAATAAGGGAGGCTTAGACCTTAACTCACAAGGCTTGTTTAGGGCAGGGAGCAGAGAAGTTGGTAACCAGGGTTCACAAAGAGGCAGCAAGATCTCTTCTGGGTGATCAGAAAGCTGGAATTTGAGAAGATCCTAGCTAGGATCTTGGGGAACCAGGCAGTTGGGCAGGGGAATTCCTCAAAGTCCTCTTTTCGGGCTCTCCCCAGCCGGGCTGTTGCCTGGAAGCCTCTAGCTCCTGGCACAGTGGGCCCTGTGAGATGGACAGAGCTCCGTCGTCAGGGCGGAGAAGGGCCCTTCCTGGGGCGTAACACGCACAGGTGGGAGATGGGGCCACTGAAAGCCTCAGCCCAACCTGTCACTATGCAGATGGGGACTGAGGCCTAGATGGGAAGGGACTCACCCAGGGCCAACAGCAAGGCTTCCAGCAAGCATCCAGCCTCTCCCTGGCTGTGTGGGTGTCAGGACACTGTCATTCCACAAACACTCACCGACCCCTTCCAGGGGCCAGGGCCTATGCTGGGCCCTGGGGATGCAGAGACCCTTTATCTTGGCCACTGCCCTCTGTACTGTCTCACTGGGGAACTGCATGTGTTGAAAATTAGGCCTCAGGATGCTCTGGGCTTGGCAGAGTGGGGCCTGGAAGCCCAGAGCGGGTACAAGACCAGCCAGGGTGGGGACCAATGGGGCTTCTCGCTTCACAGAGGACCAGTGGGACTTCTTGCTTCTCAGAGGATGTGAACTTGAGCTGAACCTAAAAGATTCAAGAAAAATGTCTCCAGGCAGATGGGGGGACAGGGAGTAGGTGGGGAGGGTACTCTTGATCGAGGCAACCCCACTGCTGCGGTGTGGCGTGTGGGTTAGAAATCGGAGCCCCAGCCTGGCGTTCAGGGTCAAATCCTGCCTCTGTCACTTGGCAGCACTCCTGTGTATTTACCCAAAAAAGGGATGGCTTATATATACCCAAAGATGTGTACAAGAATATTTATGAGTCATAAGAGCCAAAAAACCAGAAACAACCCCAAACCATTGGCAGAATGAATAAATAAGTGGCAGTGTACTCACTCAGCGGAATACTCACAGACATGAAAAAGAAGGAATTACATTTTGCTCTCTTAACGGTGTCTTTTGATGAATGAATCTCTTAGTTGTAATGAAGTCCAGTTTATCAATCATTTTTTTAGCATTGTTTTTTGTGTCCTGTTTAAGAAATCTTTTCTAAAGGTTGTGAAAATATCTTCCAGTGCTTTCTTTTAGGAACTTACTTTTTTAAAAAGAAAAATCCTTTACATGTAGGTCTGACGTCCAAATCTAGCTTTGTGTATGGTTTGTAGATGGAGTCAAGATTTTTTTTTTTTAGGTGAAATCTCACTCTATCGCCTAGGCTGGAGTGCAGTGGCATGATCTCAGCTCACTGCCACCTCCGCCTCCCAGGTTCAAGTGATTCTCCTGCCTCAGCCTCCTGAGTAGCTGGGATTACAGACGCATGCCACCACGCTATTAAATGGCTAATTTTTGTATTGTTAGTAGAGATGGGGTTTTGCCATGTTGGCCAAGCTGGTCTCGAACTCCTGACCTCAAGCGATCCACCCACCTCGGCCTCCCAAAGTGCTGGGATTACAGGCGTGAGCCACTGCGCCTGGCCCCAGTTGGGGTCAAGATTTATTGATTTATTTTTAGTGGATAGTCAACTGTCCCAGGACCAGTGGTGGAAAAGTCTGTCCTTTCTCCACTGAATTGCAGGGGTGCCTGTATGAGACTCAGGTGACCATATGTATTTGGGTTGGATGTGTACATTTTGATTATTGATGGATGTGCCAAATTGCCCTCTAAGAAGGTTGTACCAATGTATACTCCCACAACAGTGTATGTGAGTGTCTGTTTACACTTATTCTTTCCCATGCTGAATATTACCAACCATGAAATGTTTGCCATTTGGGTAGGTGTAAAATGATCTCATTATTTTTTGTTTGCATTTGGTTATTTTGTTCCATTGGTGAGTGTTTCTTCCTATATATTGGCCATTTTTTATTTCTTCTGTGAATTTTTCTGTTCTTATCTTTTGTCTTTTTTTTCCCCCTAGTGGGTTATTTTTCCTTTTCCTTATTAAGTTATGGGAGATTTTCATATGCTTTAGATCAGCAGTCCCCAACCTTTTTGGCACCAGGGACCAGTTTCGTGGAAGATAATTTTTCCATGGACCAGAGCAAGGGGATGGTTTTGGGATGAAACTGTTCCACCTCAGATCATCAGGCAATAGATTCTCATAAGGAGTGCACAACCTAGATCTCTTGAGTGTGAAGTTCACAATAGGGTTCGTGCTCCTATGAGAATCTAATGCTACCACTGATCTGACAGAAGGTGGAGCTCAGGCAGTAATGCTCCCTTGCTGGACACTCACCTCCTGCTGTGTGGCCCCGGGGTTTGGGGACCCCTGCTTTAGATAGTTACCTCTTATCTCCTTTGTATGTTGCGAATACTTAATCCCATTCAACAGCAAACTATGGCCTGTTTTGGTAAATAAAGTTTTATTGAAACAGCTATCCCCACTTGTTTATCTATTTCCTATAACTGTTTGCAGATTACAATGGCAAAGTTGAGTCATTGGGACAGAGGCCATGTGCTCTGCAGAAAAATATTTGCTAATACAGGCCATTACACAAAAAGTTTGCCTACCTCTGCTTTATCCCAATTTGTTGCTTGTCTTTTTACTTTGTATATTTTGTCTCAGTGAAATTTTACATTAGTATGTAGTCAATCTGGTCGAACTTTTCCTTTACAAAACTTGGATTTTTTGTCTTAGCCAGGATGGTTATACCTATCCTGAGTTAACAAAAAATATTCCATATTTTCTTATAACGTTTTTGTGGTGATGTTCATTGCATTTATGCTTTTTAATCCACTGGAAGTTTACTGTTTTTAGTTTTATAATATATCTTACTTAATCTAATATATTCAAATATTATTTTTAGTGTGCAATCAATATAACAATTAAAAATGAGATGATTTATATGTCTATTTTTGGATACCAGGTCTTCAAAAAGTTTATTTTTGTGTATGGTGTGAGGTTGGGATCCAACTATTATTTCCCAAATAGATAGCAACTATCCTAACACCACTTACTGATGGGTCCCTCCTTTCTCTGCAGGTCTGAAAAGCCATCTCTGTGATATACTAAGTTCTCCTTTGTACATGGGTTTGTCTTTGTGCTCTATGGCATTCCATTAACCTTTCTGTTCCTGTCACAGTGCTACACTGTATTAACAATCATAGTTGTACAGTATTTTGCTCTCTTATAGATCTGGTTTCTGTTTATCTCTCTCCTTTTTAAAGCTTGTCTTGACTATTTTCCCATCCAAATAAATCCTAGAACCATCTGGGCAGGCTCCACGGCCAAAATGTTGGGATTTTTGATTAGGATTGCAATGAAGCATAGATTAACCCTTCTGGATGGTCATAGTAGGGATTGTTGTCTGTTTTATAGATGAGGAAATCAAAGTCCAGAGAAGGGCAGCCCGGCTCGGTGGCTCACACCTGTAATCCCAGCACTTTGGGAGGCTGAGGTGGGTGGATCACCTGAGGTCAGGAGTTTGAGAACAGGCTGACCAATATGGTGAAACCCCATCTCTACTAAAAAAACAAAAATTAGCTAGGTATGGTGGTGTGCACCTATAGTCCTATCTACTCAGGAGGCTGAGACAGGAGAATTGCTTGAACCCAGGAGGTGGAGGTTGCAGTGAGCCAAGATCTCACCACTGCACTCCAGCCTGGGTGACAGAGTGAGACTCGGTCTAAAAAAGAAAAAAAAGAAACGAAGTCTAGAGAGAGGAAGTGATCAGCCCAGGATCACTTACATGGAAGTGGGTGGAGCAGATGGAGGATCTACCTGTCATCTGCTAGATCGGTAAAAGCCAGTGCTTGTTTACTGACCACCTGCTCTGTCTGTGCGAACCCAACAGTGTGTGTGGCCTGGGGATGCTGAGATGTCCAGACTCCCGAGGGAGTTGAGGGCATCTCCCCCAGGAGCCATAATGAAGGTGTGTGCAAGGCACAGTGAGGCTCCCCAGAGAAGGGGACCACAGTGGGCCAGTGGGGGTTTTCATGGCCATAACAGAGGTGGGGAAGGGTGACCAAGGCAGGGGAACAGCATGTGCCAAGGCCTGGAGGCAGTGACAAGGCCATCCTGCTATGCTGCATGGCCTCTCCCTTCCTGATCCTCCTGACAGTGACCCCTCCCCTTTCCCTCTTTTACCCACCCTCGCCTGTGGACAGACAAGGGGATGTGGCCTTGCCCCCATACTACCAGCCGGAGGAGGATGATGAGATGCCCTTCATCTGCTCCCTGTCGGGCGACAATGGGATAATGGGCTGCCATGAGATCCCCCCGCTCAAGGAGCAGGGCCGTGAGTGCTGCCTGTCCAAGGACGACGTCTACGACTTTGGGGCGGGGCGCCAGGACCTCAATGCCAGCGGCCTCTGTGTCAACTGGAACCGTTACTACAATGTGTGCCGCACGGGCAGCGCCAACCCCCACAAGGGTGCCATCAACTTTGACAACATCGGTTATGCTTGGATTGTCATCTTCCAGGTGAGGCCATTCAGGCCTGGGGCCAGCCTGGTCCTAGAGTGGGCAGCTCTGCCTGGTGGGCAGGGCTCTGTGCTAGGCATTTGCCAGCCCTCATCTCACTGAAACCTGCCCAGCTTGCTGGCAGAATAGGCATTATCATGCCCATTTTATAGACAGAGAACCCAAGGTTCAAAGAAAGGAAGCAAGCTAATTGACCACAGATGATGTGACTATTAAATGGCAAAAATAGGCTCTTAACCCAGCTCTGGGTGTCCCCAAAGCCTGAGCTCTTTGCAGAGCCTCAGGCTGCCTTGGGCCCTATGGATCCCAGCAGGGAGGGCTGTTCAGAGAGGAGAGGCAGGATTCAAGCTCTGTTGGAGGGATTGGCTGACCAAGGCCAGGATCATGGGGTAGGAGGACATTCCTGGTGGGGACAGCCTGAGCAAAATTCTGGTACAGGGAGTGCCAAGTAGCTCATCTGGAGTCAGAAAGAAATGTGTCTCGCCTTGTCACCCAGTGCACATAATGCACACAGGTTCACAAAGCAGCACTAGCCTCATGGCGTGCAAAGGGCTTGTTGCGTGGCCCCACTGCACTGACTGTCAGCCTATACTCTGCAGAGGATGGGCTGGGATATGTGTAGGGAAAGAACTAGGGCAGTGGACCTTGGCCAGTATTGCTTGGCCTCTCTGTGCCTCAGTTTTCCCATCTTTAAAATGGGGTAATAACAGCCCCCCTCACCTTGGGTCATTGTTAAGAATAAAGCAGATGGCACGCTCAGGGCAGCCAGCCCTGTGTACAGAGTGCTGGGTAGAGGTTACCTTTCTGCTGTCCTCAGAAAGAAGGGGCAGGAGCAGACAGAGGGGGAGCTGAGAAGTCCCTGAGGGGGCAGCGGGAGGGCTGAACTCTGCTGCCTCCGCTGCCCTGCGCTGCCTCTGCTGCCCTGTGCTGCCCTCTGCTGCCCTGGGCACTTTGCCCTGGGGAGCATCAGGGTCATTTGTTCAGAGATGCAGGGTGTGAGGTGACGGCAACAGCTGTGTTTTGGAACCCTCTGCCCAGGAGGGTGGGTGGCCGCTCAGGGGGTCCCACTCTGTGCATTTGCCAGAAGCCAACAAGGACCCAGGGTTTGTCTTTCTCAAGGCTGCTCCATCCCCCAGTCTGGGAAGGAGTTGGGGTGGGGTGGGGGGTGACAAAGTCACACCAGCCTCATTGCGGTGTGCACTCCCAGGCTCCACCGAGCTGCACCCCAGCTCTGCCAGGTGGGCTCCCCACATACAGAAGAAGCGGCTGAGACTCAAAGAGGGTGGGTGGCCCAGCTGATAAGCTGGAGCAGGGGCAGGCTCCCTGCTTTTCCAGCCCTCCCGCTGGTGTGGTAGACTGGAGGGACCAAGGTTCAAGTCCTGGCACGTCCCCTTCCTGGCTGTGTGACAGTGGGCAAGTGCTTTCCCCTCACTGAGCCTCAGTTTCCTCACCTGTATAATGTGATGTGCCTTGTCCAGCCCCTGTGAGACAGACTCGAGGCAGCATGTGTGATGCGTTCTGGCACACAGTGGGGCCTCTGTCTGGGGCACTGCCTGGGCTACGGGCTTTCTGATGGGCCAGTCCTCTCGGCTCTCTCTCCTCTGCGCGCTGCAGGTGATCACTCTGGAAGGCTGGGTGGAGATCATGTACTACGTGATGGATGCTCACTCCTTCTACAACTTCATCTACTTCATCCTGCTTATCATAGTAAGTGTCAGGGAGCCTGGGCTCCTAGGTGTGCTCAGAACCCATGGACCAGGGGACCTGAGGAGGGAGGGTCTTTGGGAGTCCCTAGGGAGCCCCTCAGAGCCAGGACAGCCGGGATGAGGGAGCAGGAAGGGCTGTTTCTCAGCACCACCGGGCAGCAGATGATTGAAGGGGCTCATCAGGGGCGGCTGTCGGGAGCATCCAACACCTTCGATTGCTGTCATTTCTCATGTGTGGGCACTTACTTCCCCACCGATGCTCTGCTCCTGTTTCTCTGCCTCGTGTCTCTGGGCTACATTCTTTGCATGACCTGAGTCCAAGGAGCAGCCTCAGACTGGAAGCTTCAGAAGGGCTCCAGCTCATTCCTGTTTTCCTGGACGGAGAAGACAAGATGCCCGGAGACTGAGCAGGGTTTGGAGGGAGGTCGCCTGATAGTGACCCGGTGGAGCTCCCTGGAATTCTCAGAGGGACTCCCATCTCTTGGGCAGCCCTGCCTTGTTGGGGTAACCTGGAGATGGAGGTGGGCTCACCCTCCTCTTCCTGGCCAGCCCCTCTTGCCTGCACCCCCATATGGTCTTCCCAGAGTGAGCTCATCCACCTCGTCATGCCTGACTGCAGCTTCAGCACAGCACAGTCCCCAAAATGTCAAGGTGATTCATTCCCAGGAGTCGCTGCTGAATCCCTGCTGCTGCGAGGTTGGGTTCTCTGGCTTCCTGGTGGTGGGAGAGGGCACGCTTGGCCCTCCAGGGCAGTGCCCCATCCTGGGCTGGCAGGACCTTGACCTGGGGCCCCAGAACAGACCAGCAGGTGACCTGAGACACCTGCTGTTGTCTAAGCTCCAGTGCTTTCTTGGGGAGGCTGGGGCCTTGGACCTATAGAAGATGCCCCAGGTAAAAGGAGAGGGGCCAGATTTTATTCAGCATTGCCATCCATGGCCTTGCATATTCACTCACCAGAACATTCAGGAAACCCACACTGCACCAGGCCCTGAGCCAAGTGCTAGGAACAGAGCAGTGAGTAAGGCCCAGCCCCTGTCCTCGAGGAGCTCACAGGCTCGTGGGGAAGATGGGCTGACAGCAGTCTGACCATACAGCACCTTAGGTGCCATGATAGAAGGGAGCCCAGAGAAGGCTCCCGATCCAGCCTGGAGGAGGGATGGGGAGGTGGGAGGCTTCCTGGAGGAGGTGATGCCAGAATTGAGCCTTAAAGACTCAGGGAGGTGAGCAGGGAAAGAGCCTCTTGGGCAGGGGTGGCTCACAGAGCCCCTGAAGCTGGCCAGGATCCTGCAGTGTGGGAGCCACAAGCCCCTGGGGTTGCAAGAGGAGTCTCCAGTTCCCGGGAGGGGCTGGAGGATGCTCCATCTGCTCTCGCTGTGGGGTTAAGGGTGGCTAAGGGTACAGTTGGGGTAAAGCACGATGCTCCCCGAGCTCATTGTGAAATGGGGGACAGTGACAGCACCTTGCTCCTGGGCTCTCAGGAGGGTTAGGTGAGACAGAGCCTGAAGCCTGCATGTCCTTGGCACACAGTGAGTACTCAGTACATGTGCCCTGCTACTATTATTGCTGCTATTATTGGGTCTCAGGTGGCCCTGTCACAGGACGATGAGTGCTGGCGAGAGGCTGAAAGGGCTGAGTTTTTTCAGACACTGGGAAGGGTCCAGAGAGCAAAGTCAGGACAAATGCACTGCTATGTCACCTGCAGGGTCACCTCCTGTGAGGACCCTGAACCCCAGAAAGGTGAGGGGTCCTTGGCCTTCAAGCCCAGGCCCTAGTGCTCCTTCTTTAAATTTTCTTTCTTTTTTTTTTTTTTAATTTTAGAGACAAGGTCTGGCTCTGTTGCCCAGGCTGGAGTGCTGTGGTGCAATCATAGCTCGCTGCAGCCTTGATCTCCTGGGCTCAAGCGATCATCCCCCCTCAGCTTCCTGAGTAGCTGGGACTATAGGCATGCACCACCATGCCTGGCTAATGTTTAAATTTTTTTTTGAGACAGTGTCTTGCTATATTTGCCAGGCTGGTCTCAAACTCCTGGACTCAAGTGATCCTCCTGCCTTGGCTTCCCAAAGCACTGGGATTACAGGCATGAGCCGCAGCCCCCGGCCCCCAGTGCTTTTTTTTAAGACGGAGTCTTGCTCTTGTTGCCCAGCCTGGAGTGCAATGGCCTGATCTTGGCTCACTGCAACCTCTGCCTTCCGGGTTCAAGTGATTCTCCTACCTCAGCTTCCTGAGTAGCTGGGATTACAGGCATGCACCACCATGCCCGGCTAATTTTTGTATTTTTAGTAGAGACAGGATTTCATGATGTTGGCCAGGCTGGTCTCGAACTCCTGACTTCAAGTGATCCACCCACTTCAGCCTCCCAAAGTGCTGGGATTACAGGCATGAGCCACCGCACCTGGCTTCCTTCTGACTAAAAAAGTTCTTGGCTCATCAGGTTTGAGCCTCCTATTTTACAGATGGGGAAGTGGAGGCCAGGAGGGGATGGAGGCCCACCCGGGTCGCCCAGGGCAGCAGCTGCAGAGGCAGGGGCGGGTAGGAGCCTGACAAGCGTGTGGTCCCAGAGGGCAGGGCCCAGCTGTCTCTTCCTGTGACTCTCACACAGGCCTGGTGCAGGGAGGCTCCCCAGGAAATGCTTGTGGACAAGGTGACTGAGACAAGGATGGGATGCCATCTTCTTACCCGAGAGGCAGGGGATTTTCCCAGAGTCCTCTGGGCCAGCAACCCTCCCAGACTCTAGCTCCTCAGTCATCACTGATGAGGCTGCAGCCATGGAGAACCTCCTGGCGGGCACCTCCAAGGGGGATGAAAGCTATCTGCTCAGGCTGGCCGGCAGCCAAGTTCACTCCCAGGCTCAGCAAATGCTGGGGAGGGGGCTGCGCCCTGAAAGCCTGGAAACTGGAGAGGAGCCCCACTCGTGGAGCCCTCGGGCCACAAGGAGATGGGATCCCCAATGCCAACCAGGGCAGCCTCTCCCCCTTCATTTCATGCAAGCACAGATAAAGCCACATGAAAACCCCAAGGCAGCTTCTCTTTTCTCATCTGGGGTCCCAGCTGAGGCCAGATTCTGGTCAGAGAGAAGGCAGGGCTGGGCAAGGACTCAGGGCCTGGGAAGCCCACGACGGGCTGTGGCCTCCCTCTCTGGGCTCAGTGCAGATGTCCCAGGCGGATGGGGGCTAGGCCAGGGCCTAGGGGTCTGAGGGGAGCTGGGCTTTGAAGCAGATTCCGGTCGGGCCCAGGGAGCTGCCTGGGCCGTCGCTTTCTCCTGGAGCGAGGCCTCAGCGATCTTTTCCTGTCCCCATCTGTGTCTGTGCCTGTGTCTCTCTGGGCCCCTCCACCTCCCCTGCCCTTTTCTTTCCCTGTTTCCACTCGTCCCCTGCATCTCCCCTCCCTTGCATCTGTCTTTTCTGAGCCCGTCTTACTCTCTTTGTCATCGCGTCTCTGTACCTCACTGTCTCTTTCTACCTGCCCTTGCTCTGGCCTCTGTGTCTCCGGTTGGTCCCTGCCCCTCCTCCTTGCTTCATTTCTGCCTCTGTACCGCCATCTCCATCTCCATCTCCCCATCTCCCTCTGCCTCCCTCTCCCCATGTCTCCCTGCTGTCCCCACTCCATGACTCTGCCTCTCTCACCCTTCTGTCCCCTCCATCCCTGTCCCTGTCCCTGTCCTCTCCTCCCGTTGGTCACAGGTGGGCTCCTTCTTCATGATCAACCTGTGCCTCGTTGTCATAGCGACCCAGTTCTCGGAGACCAAGCAACGGGAGCACCGGCTGATGCTGGAGCAGCGGCAGCGCTACCTGTCCTCCAGCACGGTGGCCAGCTACGCCGAGCCTGGCGACTGCTACGAGGAGATCTTCCAGTATGTCTGCCACATCCTGCGCAAGGCCAAGCGCCGCGCCCTGGGCCTCTACCAGGCCCTGCAGAGCCGGCGCCAGGCCCTGGGCCCGGAGGCCCCGGCCCCCGCCAAACCTGGGCCCCACGCCAAGGAGCCCCGGCACTACCGTAAGTGGCCCTGCATCCGACGCGGCACTCAGGCACTTCGTGCCAAGTGTCACTCCTTTCCAGCACGTCCAGCAGGCCCAGCAGCCTCCAAATTCCAGGTCTTCACTTCATGCTCAAGTGTTTCCTTCACAGCCCCCAGGGACCTCTGTCCCCACCTCTGCCTGCCCTCTCCTGGCACCTGTCAGAGCCTGCGCTGGGCCGGGCCTGGGGCTGAGGGAACTCAGCCTTTGCCCTGGAGGAACTCGATCCCTGTGTATGTGTGGAGATAGCAGATCGGCCTCGGAGGAAGCCACACTTGAGAGGAAAGAACAAGTGTCTCTCCTCAGTCTCGGAAAGCTAAAATTCTTCCCCCCCACTGCAGCCACATCACTCCCTTCTCTGGGTTCCTGCTGCTGTCCCCTGCTTTCCAGCACACCTGAGCAATGACCCTGGGTACCTGACACAAAGGGGCTGTGGGCCTGCCCCTCAAAGCTGTGGCATGTTGGGGACTCATGCCACCCTGTGCTCTGTGCTTGTCGTGGGGCTGTGAGAGTTACACTTTTGTTTTTTGTTGTTGTTGTTAAGACAGGGTCACCCAGGGAGTACAGTGACACAAACACAGCTTACTGCAACCTCAAACTCCTAGGCTTAAGCCATCCTCCTGCCTCAGCCTTCGGAGTAGCTGGGACTACAGGCATGCACCACCATGCCCGGCTAATTTTTTAATTTTTTTTTGTAAAGACGGGTCTCCCTATGTTGCCCAGGCTGGTCTCAAACTCCTGGGCTCACGTGATCCTCCCGCCTTGGCCTCCCAAAGTGCTAGGATTATAGGCATGAGCCACCGCCCCTGGCCAAGTTTATGCTTTTAGGCTTGGAAGGGGCTGCCCTGTTGGTTGCCTCATCTGTTCCAGGAAACGGTCCTGAGAAGGGAGAAGATAGTAATATTATCTCCACTTTTCAGATGGGAAGACTAAGGGTCAGGGAGATGAAGGGAGACATCTCGGAAGCCGGCATTGCCAGACTTTGCATGGGCCTGCCTCCCCTGGAAATGATCACTCGGGAAGAGGCAAGCCAGGGCCACGGGAGGTGGGCCCTGCCCCCAGCCCCAATACCACTTCTCCCAGTTGGTGCTGAGAAGGAAGTCGGCAGGCATGGGGACGGCGCTTGAGCAGCCGCGACCCTCTGCAGGCCTGTCTCCCTCTATAAAGTGAGGACAGGGGCCCCCAGCACGTGGCCGTCCACGGCGGGAGTCAGCCACCCCAGGCCCTGCTCTGGAAAGCCCTGTCCTTCCAGCTCTCACAGTCTGGGAATCGATTCTTGGGAGGCAAGCAGAAGAATGCACGCTCAGAGCTGCCGCCCACCCGTCCTCGGGTGCCAGCCATCCAGGCGTGGGCTCGGAGGAGGCCCCAGGTGGCCCGTGGGCAGGCCCGGCATGCGGACACAGGAGCTGGGGCCGGGCAAGGCTGGCACTGGTGTTGCTGGAGGACGTGGGGGAGAAGTGTTCACTCCAACGGGCTTCCTGCGGCCGCCCAGCCCCCTCTCCTGGCACTCTTGCCCCCTTGCCCCTGGGCCTCCCCTCTGCCCTGGAAAACGAGAGTTGGCTGTCGCCCCACGTCCAGGTGGGAGCAGTGAGCCGGCGCTGGGAAGGGCTTTGGGCCTGTCCTCCGGGGTGAGATGGGACTGACCCCTGGGTTCCTGGCTGCCCGCCCTGACTCCAGAGGTGTGAATGAGCCAGGGGTGCTTATTCAGGGCTTGGGAGGCATCTGGAGGCAAGTGTGGAAATGAAGGGTAGGCGTGACATGCTTTTCTTTCCCTTTCATGTTACTTTTTTGGCTTACACAAGCAAAATGTGTTTATTCTAGGAATATATAGGAAAACACAAAGAAGGCATTAAACCAAGCAGAGAGAGGCCTCTCTGACACCTCTTTGAGATGGTTCACAGATCACAGAACTCAGTCCAGGGCCAGCCCAGGCGTCTCCTGTGATTCCGGGGCAGCAAAGGGATGAAGTTCCCTCTTCCCAGGGGCCCTTCCTGCCCGCTGCCCCCACCTCCACCCCTTGCGTGGAGGGAAGTCCCAGGGGCTTCTGGAGTGAGGGTCTGCCCTTGCCCCAGGGCTCCATGCCTCCTCCCCTCCCTGGGAAGCAAACCTCACCCCTTCCCCGCTCCCCACCTGCTGTATAGGCAGGAGACTTGAGAACACCAAGTCCACCATGGCCTTCTCTGACGGGGGCTGCCCCCACATTGGCCTGACTCTTTCAGAATCACATCTAGTTCCCAAGCTGCACGACTGGGGCTCTGGGTCTGTTCCATGCTGACCCAGGGCCTAGGCCAGGAGGGATGGCCGGTCAGCACGGATGCGCGCCCTGCACCGTGCTGGGCCCATCATGTGCCTTAAGGGAGAGAATCCTCCTACAGCCTGCATGGTGGGCGTTCCTGCCCCAACTTCTACAACAGGGGCAGACAAAGCTCAGAGAGCTGCAGCCGCTTCCCCAGGCACCCCTGACCGCCTTTCCAGGCTGGGTCGGCTGGTTCCAGGCAGACCTGTGGGCCTGGGAGCCAAGCGCACTCAGGGATGTGTCCCAGGGTGGATTGGGCCTGGTGTGGGCAACGACTCTATGCCCCTCTCATTTGCTTTTCAGAGCTGTGCCCGCAACATAGCCCCCTGGATGCGACGCCCCACACCCTGGTGCAGCCCATCCCCGCCACGCTGGCTTCCGATCCCGCCAGCTGCCCTTGCTGCCAGCATGAGGACGGCCGGCGGCCCTCGGGCCTGGGCAGCACCGACTCGGGCCAGGAGGGCTCGGGCTCCGGGAGCTCCGCTGGTGGCGAGGACGAGGCGGATGGGGACGGGGCCCGGAGCAGCGAGGACGGAGCCTCCTCAGAACTGGGGAAGGAGGAGGAGGAGGAGGAGCAGGCGGATGGGGCGGTCTGGCTGTGCGGGGATGTGTGGCGGGAGACGCGAGCCAAGCTGCGCGGCATCGTGGACAGCAAGTACTTCAACCGGGGCATCATGATGGCCATCCTGGTCAACACCGTCAGCATGGGCATCGAGCACCACGAGCAGGCCAGTGCAGCGCAGCCGGGCCGGGCCTGCGGGAGAGGTGTGAGGGCCCCAGGACCCTGCCCAGGCCTGGGCAGCCCCATCCATCTGCCTGGGTTTGTGTGTCTGTCCACCTAGAAGTGCCGGGCTGAGCTGGGTCCAGTTCATCCATGTGACCTTACTGCCCAGCCAGGGCCGAGCTCAGAGGAAGGAAGGGCTTGGGTGTCTGCCGAATGAATGATGAGTGAACGAGTGAAGCTGGCTAGGACTGGGCCTCTCCGGGGCTCTTTTCCTCCTAAGCTGCTCAGCCTGGATACCAAGGCAACCACAGCGCATCCCCTGCCAGTCCCTGCAAATCTGACTTCTATTCACCTCTCCACCTGAGCCCTTCTGTTTTCTTCTTTAAAAAAAAAAAAAAAATTTAAAAAACAGATAGAGTCAGAGTTTTGCTCTGCTGCCCAGGCTGGAGTGCAGTGGCACGATCAAGCGATCCTCCCTCTTCAGCCTCCCAAGTAGCTGGGACTACAGGGAGGTGCCACCAAGCCTGGCCACCTGGGCCCTTCTGTCCATTCCCCCCCAAACAGCTGGGGTGATTCTTCCAGAGGGCCAGTCTTGTTGGGCTCTTCCCTGCCTCAAAACTTCTGTTGCTCCTCATTGCCCTCAGGACAAAATCCAGACCTTTGCATGACCCTCAAGGCCCCTTGTCTCTGTCACAACGTCCCTTCACCAGGCCAGGGTGTCCTGTCCCATCCAGTGACTCCACCCCATACAGCCCCATGGCGCTGAGGGCGAGTGGCCCTGTGGTTGTCCTGTGTGTCCTCTCTGCATGTCCCTCCTGTGGGCTGGGAGCAGGGAGGACAGGAGGAGTGGGCGCTGAGCTGAACAGTGTGCTCCAGGCCCCTGGGCCATCACAGGGCTGGTGGGCCCCAGGGGGACAGTACATAGGGGAGGGGACAGCTTCTGGGAGATGGTGGGAGCTGGGGGAGGATGTGTGTGTGAGGAGAGCAGGGCCTCTGTGGGGACACGGGAGGGAGGGGCAGTGGGGTTAGCAAGGATGCCTCAGTCCACAGGCCCCACCTGGGGTTGACAGCCTGGGTGGCAGGTCTGGTCCTGCCCCATTTGGAAAAACACCATTTTCTGGCTCCTGCCATCCACCAGCCCCTGGATGGGGTGACTCCCTGAACCCACTCCCCAGCTCTGCGAAGGTTCCCACCTAGCAGCTGGTGACCCTGAGGTCCAACGGCGGGGAAGTCACTGGCCCGAGGTCCCGCCGCCAGCTGGGGGCCAGGTTCGAACCAACTTCTTTCTGTGGCAAGACTGACGCCCCGGGAGGGCTTGGGATTTCGACATTCTGTTTGCTGCCCTGCGGCCCTCCTTCTGTGGAGGCCCTGCATGCCGCACCCCATGGGGCCGCACACGCACCTCCCTCTTCGTTAGCTCACCAAGCACAGGCTCCATTCAATTTACTTAAATGGGGCTCCCGGGGCTGCCATGACACTCTGTTCAGAGCTGCTCATTTGCCAGCCATTCCAGCTTAATTAAAAAGGTCTCTGGGGAGGGCTAGCGAGAGGGCTCTCTGCAGGGGGAGAGCTGGTGAGACAGGGCCCCCAGGACCCCCTTGCTTAGAGTTCAGCCTCTGGTCAGTGCCTGACCCAGGCCTGCAGGGGAGCAGCATTCCTGCAGAAAGCCCCACAGGGAATGAGTGCTGTGGGGCTCGCTCCAGTCTCCAAGTGGGGCAGCATCGAGGGGGCCTGCACAGCCCTGCTACCCTCGAGCCCCGGCACTGTCCTTGCCAGGGGCTTGCTGGAGCCAGCTGGTGAGGGCCAATTTCCAAACACTCAGGAATTTTGCAAGCCAGTGATGAAAGAGTTGGGAGCTTGAAATTGGCCGTGGAGGGAGTATTTACACCATGGAAATTGGCAGATGTTCCACATCAGGGCTGTTTGCAGAGGGCTCTTTGCCAGGGTCCAGCTGGTCCCTGCCTTTTCACCCACCCCATCCATGTCAACACCACGGCCAGGGCAGGTCCAGCCTCAGGCCAGGCCACGGTCCCTGCCCAAGCCTCCTCAGGATCTGCCTCTCCCTCCTTCTGTCACATCTGTCTGATCAAGCTTTCCAACCTCGGATCTGGTGGAGCCTTTTTTTTTTTTGAGATGGAGTCTCACTCTGTTGTCCAGGCTGGAGTGCATTGGTGTGATCTGGGCTCACTGCAACCTCCCCCTCCCAGGTTCAAGCAATTCTCCAGGCGTGTGCCACCACTCCCAGCTAATTTTTAGTAGAGACGGGGTTTCGCCATGTTGGCCAGGCTGGTCTTGAACTCCTGACCTCAGGTGATCTGCCTGTCTCACCCTCCCAAAGTGCTGGGATTACAGGCATGAGCCACCGTGCCCAGCCAGGTGGAGCCTCTTCTGGGAGCAGCAGGCTTCACGTGGCTTCCTGACCAGGCTAAGAGATGAGAGAGGCTGTTCCCACTGTGCGTCTCCTGCCTGGTCACAGGGCCCACCTGATTTCCTCATCTACTAAGCAGATGTCTTTCCCTCACAGGGACAGGCCACCATTTACTGAGCACCTACTGCAGGCCAGGCCCTGTGCCAGCATGGTGCCAGTGAGTCCAGCCACCCTCAAGGCAGGTATTATTACCTCGCCCCTCTTGTACCCTTGGAAGGCCACTGCTCAGAGAGCAAATAGATCACATAACGTTTGGGTTTCAATCCTGGTTCTGGCCTGGCTTGGTGGCTCATGCCTGTAATCCCAGCACTTTGGGAGGCTGTGGCGAGAGGATCACTTGAGCCCAGCAGTTCAAGACCAGCCTGGGCAACAGAGTGGGACCCCGTCTCTGCAAAAAATAAACAAATTAACCAAGTGTGGTGGTGCATGTCTGTAGTCCCAGCTTCTCAGGAGGCTGAGGTGGGAGGTTTGCTTGAACCCAGGAATTTGAGGCTGCAGTGATTGGTGATTGTGCCACTGTATTCCAGCCTGGACAACAGAGCAAGATCATGTGTCAAAACAAACAAAAAATTCCAAATCAGCCAAACAAACCAATCCTGGTTCTGCTATTGACTGGCAGGGTGGCCGGGAGTGCATCACTTGGCTTCCTCACCTGGCACCCCCCATCTGTAAATGGGTACACGGATCCCCCCACACGGTGGCTAAGAGGGCTGACTGCATTGTGGGTGCACGGAGCCCCCCACACGGTGGCTAAGAGGGCTGACTGCATTGTGGGTGCACGGAGCCCCCCACACAGTGGCTAAGAGGGCTGACTGCATTGAGAACCTGGCGCTTAGTAGGTGCTCACTGATGAGTCACTGCTTCAGAGTCTTGTCTGAGCTCACACCACCACCCCTGGGTGCATTTACCATCCTCTGTCTGGAGCCTCAAAAAATTAAAGTAAGAGGGGGAGGATGAGTCTCTGAAATGTCCCTTATAAAGCAGCTCCAGGGGCAGCCATGGTCTCCTGGGCTCTGCGCAGGGCCTGACTATGGGCCCGCTGGTATTTTTGCTCCGCTCGCTCGGCTCCCAGACACTGCTCTGCGGGAAATGATCCGCCCCCATGTTTATTTTGAGCAGCCCTGTCTGAGGTGGCGCTCGCAGAGAGAGGTGGCCCAGGGCTTCCAAGGGGGGTGCAGGGAGAGAAGGAGAGGAGGAGAGGGTGGGTGAACTCCCTCAGCCCTTCTCCTGCAGGGGAGGCAGCATGGGGGGCCTTGCCCCATACCCCATCCTGGCTGGCAGGGAGCTCTGTGACACTGAGGGGCAGGAGGCGAGGGTGTGACATCTGTGAAGTGGGGCAGAGTGACCTCAGGCCTGGTCACAGGGTGCTTGAATGACAGGTTAGATTGCAGTTGCTCAAGCCTTTAGGGTGACCACTGCTGCTGAAATCTTGGGGGCATTACCCAGAGAACAGCTTGCTCATCCAGGTTCCTCATGGCAGCAGATGCTGTTTCTTGCAGGGCCTGGCCTAGAAGGAGGGGATGGGTGAGGTAGGGTGTAGGCCAGGCAGGGGCCTGTGTGTGACTCACGAAGTGGTGAAATGGGGCTGAAATTCCCACCCCCTGGGTAGCCCAGGCTGTGTGACGGGCAGGTGGGACAGGTCAGCTGGGGTGGCCAGGCTTCTCCAGGGAGGCCTGATTCCTTCATCATCACCGCCATCACTGCATCACAGCTCTTCCTGGTGTGATCCTCTGGCAGTCTTGTGGGGCAGGCTGGGGGAGCATCTAATCACCACCAGGCAGATGGGGAAACTGAGGCTCAGTGAAGTAGATGGCTTGCCCAAGGTGCCAGGGTGAGCAGCGACAGAGCCGGGCTCCCGGAGATTGAGGTCAGCTGTGGACAGTTGAACTGGAGGAAGGCATTGCTCCTAGGAGCAGTGTCTGTTCAGCTTCTCTCTCCTGCACACACCCATGCAGGCCCTGACTCCCCCTGAGCTGGGCAGGGCTGCCCTGCAGCTTTATCATGTCCTGGAGCTGGAGGCTAACCACCAAGTTGGAGAACAAAAAACAGAGGGTTGGGGCGCATGGGCAGCAGGGCAGGGTGCGGGGAGCCTCCTGGGTAGGGCTGACCCCAGGCCAGGGCATAGTTACTGGCCCCAGCTCCCAGAGGACTGCATTCAAGGCCTCTGAATCAGTGGCTGGATCAAAGCTGGCTTTATTCTTCCTTCAGCAGCCCCTTACGTGTCAAGTCACTGCCAATCCAGGTCTGGGGTGACTCTGGGAAGTGAAGAATGGGGTGGCTTAGTGGCTGACATTCCAGCTCTATAGGGGCCCAAGGGAGAGAAACACCAACATGGACAGCAGTCATGGAAGGCTTCCTGGAGGTGATGGCACTGGGGACGGATCCCGAAGGATGACTAGGAGTTCATCAGCGAGACAGAGGGACAGGGACCAGGAGCATAGGTATCCCCCAAAAGGACCCTGAGTCCTCAAGAAGGATGTGTACAAGGGGCAGGGCAGACAGTGCAGGAGGCCAGGAGGGCTGTTCATTCAGGAGGACCTTGGAGCTGGTTTTATCCTTAGGGCAATGGGGAGCCCGGAAAGGCTTGCAAGCAAATGACACATTTGTGCTGAACTGGGGCCTCATCAGAAAAGGGGGGCAGGTGAAGGCACCTGGGCCATGGAGGTGGGGATGTGGCCAGAGGGAGAAGACCTAGGGTTGAGATCTGACTTCAACACAGCCTGGCCATGACCCTGGGCAGTCAGTTCCCTTTGAGTCTCAGGCTCCCTGTCTGTAAAATGGTGATAATACAGGGCTTGAGATTGAGAGGAGATAATGCATGGGGCGTGCTCAGCACACCCGGCCCATGGGAGGGGCCTAATCAACGCTAGCTGCCATTATTATGATGGGGATGGTGCTGGGCTGGAGGGCTTCCCGGGGGGCAGCTGACCTCTGCACACCCTTATCTACCCCTACAGAAATGGCAGAGGCTGGGCAGCCTGGTGTCACCCAAACCCGCATCAGGCAGGGACTTGCAGGCTCCCACTGCTGCCCCCTACCTCCTGCCTCTGGCTGAACTTGGTGTTTTCAGCCCTTCAGCATGTCTGCCTTCACTGGGTGGTCTTTGCCACCTCCAGCGAGCTTTCTGCCATCTGTCTGTCTGTCCTGCTGTCTGTCTGCCTGCTCTTTTTGTGTCTCTTTCTGGCCGTACCTATGGTTCCCATGGTGTCACTGCTTCGTTGTCCTGGTCCTTCTTCACATCCGTGTCCCTGCTTTCCTGTCTCCATGTCTCCATCTCTCCATGCCCCACCTTTGCCCCTCACTCCCTTGTCTCTATCTGTCTGTCTGTCTGTCTCTGCCCATCTCCGCCCCTCCCTCTCCATGTCCCCTCCTCCTTGGGCTCCCACTTGCTGTGTCTATATTCGTCTGTGTGTCTCTGTCCCGGAGAAATGCTTTCATGAGTGATGGATGGTCCATTAGAAAAAGATTAACAGGTGTGCTGAATGGAGGAACATCTGTTGTGAGGGAGGAGGAGGCGCGGGGTGACCTTTTGGATGGCAGTGGCTCCCTGCATCCCTGGTAGGAGTGTGTGCGTGGCGCGCGCGGCTGGAGCCAGCTGATCATCATCACGGAGTGTCAGCGCCTACAGCTTTCATCTCCGCGGACATCGCTTACTGGGCTGGCAAATTGCTGGCTCTGAGCAGCATCTGGACCCTGGCTCAGTCCTCCCCACCGAGGGTCCCTCTCAGGGTCCTACTCCTCTTTTGGGACGACTTCTTGAGTCAGATGTAATTACAGATGGAAATGGGCCTTCTCCTTTCATCTGGGCTTGAGAGGAGCTGGCAGTTTTATTAGCTTTCCCAGGCATCAGGCTGGAAGCTGGCGCTTGGGTTGTTATTTTTTTTTTCCATCCTCCTTTTAACCCACATGGAGTCGGAGTCAGGTCCTTGCGGCTCCCCGTTGCTGATGGAGGGGCTCCTGCTCTCGGTCCTCTGCTCTCCCACCTCCCAGCCAGCTGGGTCCTCCACCTGCACACCCTTCTCTGCTCCCTGGCGCCAGCTCTCTCTTAGCTTTTAGGTCTCTGCTGAGATGTCGCTGCCTCCTGACCCCACTAGCACCGCTCCCCTAGCCACCCCCCACTTTCCTGGCGTCAGCACACACTGGCTTGGTTTGTTAACTTGGTTTACTGGGCTTTGGCCCCAGAGCACGAGCTTCTCAAAGGCAGGGACGGTGCCCTGACTCCCTCACCACTGCCCACCCTGGTAGCTCGAGCCCAGCACATCATGTCATTCAAATTTGTGGTAGCCATGCAGGAATGAATGAATGAATGAATGAATGAATGAATTTGGCTGCAGTCCCCATGTGGTGTAACGGGAGAGCAGTTTGGAGTCCAGCTTGGTTCAGTGCCCTGCCTTTGCCCTGCCACATCCTTGCTAGGTGGCTCTGAACAAGTCATTCCCCCTCCCAGTTTCCCTAGCCTCAGTCTCCTCATCTGTAAAACGGAGAGGCTAACTTGTGTTGGGCGTCAAATCAGGTCTCAACGACAGTGCTTCCTTTCTCTGTGATTCAGGCAGGGATGACCTGGCACCACAGTGAGCACACACCAGACACTTCATCAGTCCCAGGGGAGCCGTGGCAGGGAGAGAAGGGGCTGGGCCTCGTAGGAGCCTTAGAGGAGAGGCTTGGATGAATTGGTTCCTCACTCGACCCCGTGGTTTTATGGATAAGGAAACTAAACTCCAGAGGAGGGGGGAAGCAACTTTCCCAGGACCACACAGCCACTTAATGTCCAAACCAAACCCGGACCCCTCCAACTTCCCCCACTGCCCCCAGTCGTGGCCTCTAGTGTGGCCTGCTTTGAACACTGGGGTTCTTTGAACAATGCCATTTGCAGGATATCAGTTAAAAACCAGGGGTAAACAGCTCTGGGAGCAGAGGGAGGCTCCACAGCTGTTGGGGGAGGGAGCTAGTCTCCCTCTGACCAACTAGTGGCTTTGGGCAGGTCCTCTAACCTCCCTGGGTCTGAATGTCCTCCTCCGAGAGCTGCTGGGAGTGCTAAGAGCCACCACGGGTGCTCTGTGTGCAGGACTGTGCCTGGCATGCAGCAGGTACATTGTGTCCACCGTCCTTTCATGGGGCACGATGTCCCCAGCCACCCTTGGTCCTGAGACGGCCATTGCTGGGAAGGGGAGAGAAAAGTTCTGCATGGGCGGGGGTTAAGGGCAGGAGTCTTGGAGCCAGGCTGCCTGGGTTCAAATCCTGGCCACACCACTTGTTAGCTCTGTGGCCTCAGGCAAGGGACTGGCGTCCTGTGAACCCGTGTCCTTGCCTGTCTGCAGACGGGTTCTTGTGAGGGGCTAAGTGAAGTGATGGCTGTAAAATGCATAGAACGGTTCCCGGCACGTGGTAAGTGCTCACTAAATGGGTTAGTGACGTCTAGCGACGCCTGTCCTGCTTTCCTGTCTTGCTCTGCATCTTAGCCGTGTGACCTCAGGCTGGCCTCCAAGCCTCTTTTTCCTCATCCGTAAAATGCGTATCAGAACACTTCCCTGGTAGTGTGCTACAAGCCTCATTTCCAAATTTGTGGAAGGTCAGCGCTGTGGGGTCCCCCAACCCTCACCATCTCAGCAGACCTCTCACGACCCCAAGGTAGCAGAGTTGAGAGGGGCCCTCGGGGCCTTGTGCATGGGGCAGTGGGGAGACGGAGGTATGGTGAGGACACCGACCTGCCAGGGTCACACAGCCAGGGTGGGTGTCCAGAGGGGATCCACAGCTGCCCTCTGGCCTGACCGGGTCTCCATTCCCCACCCCAATGCCCCACAGCCGGAGGAGCTGACCAACATCCTGGAGATCTGCAATGTGGTCTTCACCAGCATGTTTGCCCTGGAGATGATCCTGAAGCTGGCTGCATTTGGGCTCTTCGACTACCTGCGTAACCCCTACAACATCTTCGACAGCATCATTGTCATCATCAGGTACCCCTCCCCCAACCCACCCGGCAGCAGAGTGCCTCGGGGGGACATTTACTGCAAAGACCCCAGCCAGCATATAAAGGACATAAGATGGCTGTGGAAACCCGTTGCACTGAAACAATTATCGAAATAGTCAAACATTTGTGATTTAGCAACATATTTCTGTCAAGTTAAACAGCATGATCTAGCAGCGCGTCTGTGACTGCTATCATTCCGAGGAAGGGATGGGCATAAATCATATTGGGAAACAACTGCATCGGCTGTCACGTGACGTGAAGACACCAGTTACTTTGATTGCCACAAAGCCATAGGTACTGCTAATTCTCTGTGGCTTCCTGTTTACATTCATAACCAAAAGACACGTTAAATCTCAAAAAGAGGACAGTGATATCCATGGACCTCCGGATTCTAGCCAGAGACTTCTTGTGGGGGTGGTGGTGGTCCATGGACTCCAAGTGAAGAGCCCCTGATTAGCTTGTGGCGTGGAGCAGCATCCAACATATTTGTCAGATGGATGGATGAATGGAAGCTCTGTCTCTCTGTTTTCCCTTCTCCCTCTGTCTTCCTCTCCCCCTGGCCTCCTACTGCTGCCTCCTACCTGTACCCTGGGCCTGCCCTGCGGGACCGCAGCATCTGGGAGATTGTGGGGCAGGCGGACGGTGGGCTGTCGGTGCTGCGGACCTTCCGGCTGCTGCGCGTGCTGAAACTGGTGCGCTTCATGCCTGCCCTGCGGCGCCAGCTCGTGGTGCTCATGAAGACCATGGACAACGTGGCCACCTTCTGCATGCTGCTCATGCTCTTCATCTTCATCTTCAGGTGAGCCTGCCCTGCTGGGGGCCATACCTCAGCACCTGCTGGGGCTGTGGGCGGGAGCCTGGGGGATGTGGTCCACTGTGCTTCTCTGGACAAAGCCACCTGGACCTGGGTGTGAAGCCTGACACTGTTCCTCAGTCCCCTGTGGCTTTCAGCAAGCATGAACCCCTAAGCCTCAGTGTTCATCTCTGTAAAATGGGACCAACGCTGCCCCGCCTCCCCCTGCCCTGCATTTTACTGAGTTGACTGAGAATGAAACAAGGTGAGTAGGCAGTTTGGTGCATGTGAGTCCGATGAGCCTCTTCCATCCTTTCCCCAGCATCCTTGGGATGCATATTTTTGGCTGCAAGTTCAGCCTCCGCACGGACACTGGAGACACGGTGCCCGACAGGAAGAACTTCGACTCCCTGCTGTGGGCCATCGTCACTGTGTTCCAGGTGAGTGGCCGCTGCGTGTTCATGTTTGCTGGGGAAGCGATGGGACAGTAGGCCTGGGAGGGGCGGGGCTGACAACTCCCATGCCTCCTTGTAGAGCCTAGCCCTGGACTAGGGGTACCCCAGGGCTAACTGTGTCTCCCCAACAGATCCTCACCCAGGAGGACTGGAACGTCGTTCTCTACAATGGCATGGCCTCCACTTCTCCCTGGGCCTCCCTCTACTTTGTCGCCCTCATGACCTTCGGCAACTATGTGCTCTTCAACCTGCTGGTGGCCATCCTGGTGGAGGGCTTCCAGGCGGAGGTGACTGTGGTCTTGGCAGAGGAAGCACCCCCACAGGGTCTGCGAAAGACTGGGCGAGGGAGAGGTGGCCTGGATGGGGGAGGGCTGCAATTCAAACTTCTAGCAGGCAACCTATCCCTAAAGGAGGGGGTTGCTGATGAGGTGGTGAGCTCTTCATCATAGGAAGCATGCAAATGGAGACTGCGTCTGCCATCCCTGCTCCCCCCCAGGGATGTAGGACTAGGCTTCTCCATCTCTGAGATTCGAAATCCCCCAAGATTAGGGACTCTGGGCCCTGCTCCCTCCGTTCTCTGAGGCTCTGGGGATACTTGCAGTCAGGCAGATGTAGGGTTGTGACCTAGGTTCTTGTTAGCATCTCATTTCCCTTTTCCAAACCTCAGTTTTCCCATTTGCAAAATGGCGGTGGAAACACCCATAGAAAAATTCTAGAGGGAGCTGGGAAGGGAGGAGCTGGACTGACCTGCATTCTAACGTGACGGATGCTCTCCCAGGGTGACGCCAATCGCTCCTACTCGGACGAGGACCAGAGCTCATCCAACATAGAAGAGTTTGATAAGCTCCAGGAAGGCCTGGACAGCAGCGGAGGTAAACAGGCCCTCGCTTGTCACCTAGAGAGCCCAGAGCCTTCTCCACAGATCCAGGTGGGCAGAGGGTACAGCGTCTGACTCCACCTCAAGCCCAGGCTCAGGGACTGCTACTTATCTATGGTTTGTTGTTTACGTTCATAATTGGAAAAAATGTGAAATCTCAAAAAGAGGTCAGTGACATCCATGGACCCCTGGGATTCTAGGCACAGGGGTAGCCGCAGCCCACCACATCCCTCCACATACCAGGGCCCCTTGGTTAGAGCCTTGGGGCCTTAGGTCAAGGTGTAGGTTCTGGTCCTGCCTGGCACTACTGGGCATCTTGGAACAAGCATCCTCCAACCCTAGCCCAGTGTCTTTCTCGGTAACTGGGGCGGACAGTCCCTGCCTTGTTTCCCATAGTGGGCATGGGAGTGAGGTGTCAGGCTGGTTCTGAGCACAGAAGGCAAGGGGTCCACACATACCTAAATAAAGCTAAGAGCCCTGCAGGTGGGGCGAAGGGGAGGCACTGTGATGGGGTGCAACCAGGAAGACTTCCTGGTAGAGGAAGCCTCCTTAGAAAAGCTCTCCATTTCTGCTCCTTCCTTGTTTGTCTGTCTCGTGGCTCCCTTGCTGTTGTTCTGTCCTGTCTGCCATCTGTCCCTCCCTCTGTCTCCATCTCACTCCTCCAGATCCCAAGCTCTGCCCAATCCCCATGACCCCCAATGGGCACCTGGACCCCAGTCTCCCACTGGGTGGGCACCTAGGTCCTGCTGGGGCTGCGGGACCTGCCCCCCGACTCTCACTGCAGCCGGACCCCATGCTGGTGGCCCTGGGCTCCCGAAAGAGCAGTGTCATGTCTCTAGGGAGGATGAGCTATGACCAGCGCTCCCTGGTGAGTCCTTGTGGGGAGCTCTGGACGGGCGCTTCCTGCTGGGGTGTGTGTGGAGGGGCCCTGAAGAGAGGTACCTGCCAGTCTAGCCTCAGACTCTGGTGCCCAGCCAAAGTCAGGCAGGGGCCATGTCTGTTGCATTCCTGGGTGCCCAGTGCCAGAGTGGGACCTGGCAATAAGGAACGAATGAAGGCCTAGTGCCAGTGGGGTCTGGTGCAGAGAATTGGATTTTCATCTCAGCAACAATGTGTAGGGTAAAAAGAGCTGGGCTTTGGAGTCAGGCAGACTGCAGCTTGAATCCACCTTCTGCCACTTCCAAGCTGTGTGACCAGGAGCAAATTACTGCCCTTCTCTGAGCCTCAGTTTCCTTACCTGCAAAATGGGAAGATGGCCCTAACTTGCTGTACCTTCCTCAAGGGAAGTGAGGTGGCAGGAGGGGATGTAACCTCCGGGTGGATGTGCCCCCATGTCCCTGTGGATGTGGATGGAGTGAGGTGGGACAGGGAGAGGAGCTCTAGGGTCAAGCCCATTCCATCACCCGCTGGCCAGGTGGGTGGTCTTAGAGCCACAGCGGGGGTGCAGGCTGCCTTTGGGCACCTGGTGCCCCAGCCGTGGGTGTGCCTGTGGGGCGCTGACCCGAACGGGAACTCCTTCCAGTCCAGCTCCCGGAGCTCCTACTACGGGCCATGGGGCCGCAGCGCGGCCTGGGCCAGCCGTCGCTCCAGCTGGAACAGCCTCAAGCACAAGCCGCCGTCGGCGGAGCATGAGTCCCTGCTCTCTGCGGAGCGCGGCGGCGGCGCCCGGGTCTGCGAGGTTGCCGCGGACGAGGGGCCGCCGCGGGCCGCACCCCTGCACACCCCACACGCCCACCACATTCATCACGGGCCCCATCTGGCGCACCGCCACCGCCACCACCGCCGGACGCTGTCCCTCGACAACAGGGACTCGGTGGACCTGGCCGAGCTGGTGCCCGCGGTGGGCGCCCACCCCCGGGCCGCCTGGAGGGCGGCAGGCCCGGCCCCCGGGCATGAGGACTGCAATGGCAGGATGCCCAGCATCGCCAAAGACGTCTTCACCAAGATGGGCGACCGCGGGGATCGCGGGGAGGATGAGGAGGAAATCGACTACGTGAGTGGGGGCGGGGCCGAAGGGGACCTGGTGCGGTGGGATAGGACAGAAGTGGGTGCGGCCCCAGGAGGCGGGGCCCGAGCGGGCGGGCCCACGGGGGGCGTGGCCGGGGCGTGGCCGGAGCGGCTAGGGCTTCAGGTGTGAGGCAGGAGGGGTGGGGCCAGAACTGCCCACACCTGAGCTGGGCCGGCTCCTGGGAGAGAAGCCCTCCCTGGCTGCCCCCGGGGGGCAGAGAGTTCGGAGGTGACCCTGCGACCCCAGTTGGCGCGATGGCCGCATGGGCGGAGACCGGCAACCCTGCGCATCGCTGACCCCCGGCGCTCCGTCCTCCTCTTGCTAGACCCTGTGCTTCCGCGTCCGCAAGATGATCGACGTCTATAAGCCCGACTGGTGCGAGGTCCGCGAAGACTGGTCTGTCTACCTCTTCTCTCCCGAGAACAGGTGGGCAGGGCCAGGCCTGGGGTGAGGGTTAGAGTAGGGGTAACGTGGGAGGGACGGATCTCTGCCAAGCCAGGCAAGGCCATTGGTGGCGCTCTCCCAGACCACAGCGGACCCTCCCGGCCCAGAGGTGGGGGTCTCCAGGGGAGAGTGCAGCCTCCTGAGGGCTGCTGGGTGAAGATGGATTTGGGGAGTGGGATTGGCTGGAGGAGGTCAGGGAAGAGTCTCAGCCTTGGCTTCCAAGATCCCTGGGGATCAGGGTTCCCTCTGGGGCTAGGCGAGGACTTTAGGCAAGACGGATGTTGGTGGCCAGGCTCTCCTGGGCTCTCCTCTAGTCTAGGCCATCCCTGTGCTGGGCACCAGGTTGAACCATTCTCAAGTAGCCTGTATGGCTTGCATCTGAGGGGACATCAGAAGGCTTCCTGGAGGAGGAGGCCTTTGTGCTGGGCTCTGGAGGCAGGTGGCATTCCAGTAGGCACATCAGGGGCTGTGAAGAGGAGGAGCCTGGTGCAGGGGCAGGGAGCAGCCTGAGGGAAGGCCTGGGGCAGAAGCAGAGGGTACTAGGCAGCGTGGTATCCTCCTGACAGGCTCAGGGATCTGGGCTGGGTAAGCCTCGAGTGCCAGGGAAAGGTGGGTGACCTCGTGGTGTGGGTGTATGGTCAGAGGAGGCAGCGCCAGGTGGGCACCCTGAGCAGGTGTAGAGTCGGCACCTGGCCAGAGGAGAGGATAGGGGTTGCTTCCTCGAGGCCAGCGTGGTCTGCACTGCTGCCTGGGCCCTCTGCCTTCCTTCTGGCCAGGGTGGGAGGCAGCTGACGCTCAGGCAGCCCCCGCCCACCCTGCCCAGGTTCCGGGTCCTGTGTCAGACCATTATTGCCCACAAACTCTTCGACTACGTCGTCCTGGCCTTCATCTTTCTCAACTGCATCACCATCGCCCTGGAGCGGCCTCAGATCGAGGCCGGCAGCACCGTGAGTGGCTGTAGCCTTTGGGCAGGGCAGGCGCCAGGCCAAGGGACAGCTCGCCAGGGCTGAGCAGGGCAGGGAGACCTCACCGAGGTGGGGAGGCAGGACAGGAAGTTTGCCTTTGGGGCGGGGAAAGCCTCCGTGAACTGAGAGGTGGCAGCCTCTCCTCTACGAACCTTGGCCAAAGCAGCGGCTGGCCAGTGGCCGGGCAGCTCTGGGAGCCCCTGAGCCTATGGTATCTCCCGATGCTTTCAGGAACGCATCTTTCTCACCGTGTCCAACTACATCTTCACGGCCATCTTCGTGGGCGAGATGACATTGAAGGTAGCTCCCGGTTTCACCCGGGACCCCTGCTAGCCCCAGCTCGGGCCCCTGGCCCTGGGTCAGCCCCTGCCTCAGCTTGTCACTCGCCTGCCATCGGCTTCATTTCACTCGTAGCCCCATGGCCCACCCCTCTGGGTGCCAGCCCCGGGGCTGGGCTCCCGCGACCCAGAGGGGGTCAGCCCCGTCCCCATTCACAGGAGTCACAAACCCACCAGACAGATGGGTGCAGGGAACACTGAGTGTGATGGAGGCACCTGCTAGAGGTGTGGGGCGCAGGGGAAGCATCCCGTCTGGGGCGCTTCCCAGGGCGGGCAGTTTTCAATTGGATTTGCCAGAGGCACCGGGAACCTAACAGGGCGGCCTGCTGGGCCCTGACCCTGCCCTGTCCCCTCCCATCAACCGCCCTCAGAGGGCGGCCTGAACCCTCCCCTTCCCTTCGGCCCCGCCACTTGCAGGACCCCGCCCCCTCCCCGAAGCCGATCAGGCCTCGCCCCGCCCCCTTGCATAGAGCCCGGTTGGCCCCGCCCACCTGCCCGCCCCTCCCGCGGCAGCCTGACCCCGGCCCCACCCCCGCCCCAGGTAGTCTCGCTGGGCCTGTACTTCGGCGAGCAGGCGTACCTACGCAGCAGCTGGAACGTGCTGGATGGCTTTCTTGTCTTCGTGTCCATCATCGACATCGTGGTGTCCCTGGCCTCAGCCGGGGGAGCCAAGATCTTGGGGGTCCTCCGAGTCTTGCGGCTCCTGCGCACCCTACGCCCCCTGCGGTGAGGACCCCTCCTGGGCGGATGGGGGAAAGTGTCATGCACTGTACCGAGAAGCCACGGGTCGAATTGGGCCCTCACTCCGCCCTCCCCGCCCGCCCACTCGGTCCTCCAATAGTGAGTGCCAAACACCCTGAGCTGTTCCCGGGGGAGGGGTCTGCAGACCCTGGGGGTGGGGTATGCTGGAAGAGCAGGGCTGAAGCTGGACCCCAGTATTGCTGCCCACTCTGCGTGTCCCTGAGTGGCTCGTTGCCATCTCTGGGTATCAGTCCCTAGACCAGGGTGTGGTGTGGACCCCGAGGAGCTGGGCACAGTGAGGGGTGAGGGCACGTACCCTGCTGCTGCTGTAGATCTGAGGCCTGGGTGCAGCTTGCCTCCTGCTCTGCCCGTGTCTGGGCTGCCTGGCCACTTTCTCTGCATTCCTGGAGACTGTCCTCATGCCCCAGGGTGTTCAGCCCTGGTGAGCCCTGGGGACTCATGCCCTGGGATACTCAGCCCTGGTGACTCTGGGCTGAGTAGGGGCTGCCTCCTGGCCTGGCCAAGGGATTATGTGTGCCTGGCCTCTCCCTGCCGTCAGTGTCATCAGCCGGGCGCCGGGCCTGAAGCTGGTGGTGGAGACACTCATCTCCTCCCTCAAGCCCATCGGCAACATCGTGCTCATCTGCTGTGCCTTCTTCATCATCTTTGGCATCCTGGGAGTGCAGGTGAGGGGTGCCCAGTCTGGGCAGGGACTGGGCTCTGTGACTGGGGAAAAGGAAGTCTCAGACAGCCAGGGGAGAGACTCCACATTCCAACCTCATGCGCCTTGCCAGCTGTGGGCTTCTCCTCCAGGGAGGGAGACAGACATGGGCCCAGATGACTGAGCACAAGACAGTCTGAGTAAACGCGATCGAGAGGCGAGTTCCTCTCTGACTTGCAACCCTCACCTGTGAGAGCACCAACCTCACCCCCTTTCCCCAGCTCTTCAAGGGCAAGTTCTACCACTGTCTGGGCGTGGACACCCGCAACATCACCAACCGCTCGGACTGCATGGCCGCCAACTACCGCTGGGTCCATCACAAATACAACTTCGACAACCTGGGCCAGGTGAGCACCACCGTCCTAGCCCTGATCAGACCCTCCCCTCTCTTGGATGCCAGTGGCTCTGGGAATCACAGACCTGGCTTGTCTTGCACTGCCAGGACTGACACTGACTTCTCCTCTCCAAGCCTCAGTTTCCTCTTCTGCAAAATGGGTAAGGGTAGCACTCACCTCTCAGGTGGGATGAGGCTTAGAGAGTCTGTGTGCAGAGTGCCCAGCAAATGCCTGCACTTAGTAGGTGCTTTGTGAACATTGGTTCTTGGCTCCCACCCCCGACCCAGGGACCCCTGACAGGAGTTTTAGAATCAAGCAGTCCTGGAGGTGAATCCAGCTCTGCCACCTTCTGTAGGTGTGGCCTCCCTGAGCCTCAGTTTCCTCATCTATGAAATGGGAATGTTATAGCCTGCCAGGCAGGCTGCGGTCGAGATGAAAGGATATCAAGCCCTTGGCCCGGGGTGGTACTCTCTCCCCTCACCCACCGCTGCTCTCTGCTCTGTCGGCAGGCAGACCCCTGCCTGGTGTCTGCTTTCCCCTTGGTCTCCTCTCCTGAGGGCCTGCCAGGTGTGACCCATCTGGGCAGTGCCCCAGGTGAGGGCCCTTGGCTGGCTGCCTCCCCTTCCCTGCTCTCATTTCTCGAGGGCCTGCCCAGGAGGCCAGGTATGTCCAGACGTAGGCGTGCCTTGCCCCAGGGCACACAGGGAGGAGCAGGCTCCAGGCCCTCGTCCCCCACTGGCTGATGGGCAGCCTCCAGCTAGATCCCACTGGAGGGCTTGCCCCACAATGGCACCTGGGAGGGGAGCCACAGGGCCTTGGAGGGGTAGTGAGTGCCCAGGGAAAGGGTGTCAGGAACCAGGACAGTCACTACCCCTGCCCTCCTGGGGAAAAGATGTCTTAGGAAGTTGAGGGGGAACCAGCCAGCGGCCTTTTGTGCCCGTGCTCCTGACCCCCTTCACCTATGGGCCCCGCCCCAGTGCCAGCTCCGCCCCTTTGGAGCATTTCTGGGTCTGCCTGGCTCTCCTGGAACCCTGCGTGGGGTGTTCTCTGTACTCGGAGCCACCTGGAGGGTTCCAACCTGGCCTGCAGCCTCTGACTCCTCAGTGGCCCTTACCAGCCGTGTGCCCTCAGACACGTGCCAGACCCTCTGTTCCAGTGTCCTCATTTGTCAACAGGGACAGTGATGGCAGGTCCTTGGAATGTAGGAGCCTCCTGTGCCCTTGGCAGGGGGTCTTCCTCTGCTTTCCCTGCTCCTGGGTCTGAACACTTTCTGGATACCTTTGGCACCATTCCCACCTGGGAAGGGAAGAGGAAGGGGTCTGTGCTCTGGATGGTGGGAAGGAGGGGCCAGTGCAGGGCCAGAGACTCATTCCAGAACCCCATGCCCTGGCCCACAGTGGCAGGAGCGCAGAGGGGGGTGAGACCACCTCTGCCCTGGGGAGAGGGCTTCCTGAGTAGGACATGTAACCTCCGGGCAGTTTCAGATGAAATGGGACCCTTTGTGAACCTACTAACTACTGGTGCAAAGATGGCACAGGAGGCTGTGCTCAAGTTCAGTTCAGAAAACCTTTACTGAGCACCTGCTGTGTGCAAGGTTCTGTGCTGGGTGCTGCAGAACCAGATGTGAACTCACTTAAGGGACATGAGGATGCTGATCTGCCATCTCTGTGGGAGCCTTGGGTGGCTGTGTTCTGGGAACCACCTCCTTTTCAAAACCAGGGAGAGGAGTTATTACCATTTTACAGATGAGGAAATGGGCCCATAGACATCAAGGAACTTGCCCCAAATCACATAGCCAGTGAGTGGCACAGCCTGGGCTCTGACCCAGGGCTCCTGACTCCTCTCACGAGCTCCTGTTTTCAGATGCTGGGGCAAGCGTGTCTTACCCACTGGAGTAAGGATGGCAGGGACCGTCTGGTTGAGCCTCAGCTGGCCCTCCCAGCACACCTGCCAGAAAAGTATTTGTTAGCTCCATTCTGTGGGTGAGGGGACAGGAGTTCATGAATTTTTTTTTGCCCAAGATCACACAGCTGGATAATTTCAGAGCTGAGACCAAAACCCAGGACCGTGGGTCCAGCACTTTTTCTTCTATAACAGTAACTACAAGAGTATGTGGCAGGCACATAGTAGGTCCTTAGGAAAGTTTGTTGGACGAGGGCACAGCTCTGCCACACAGAGAAGACCTCTTTGTCCCTCTGCCTCCCAAGGGCAGAAGAATAGAGAGCTGAGGAGGGGTGGCTGCAGCTGGAGTCACTCACAGTCCTCACCCCTGCATTCCGCCTCCCCATGTCTCCCAGGCTCTGATGTCCCTCTTTGTCCTGGCATCCAAGGATGGTTGGGTGAACATCATGTACAATGGACTGGATGCTGTTGCTGTGGACCAGCAGGTGGGTGTAGCTGGGACCAGGCCAAGCCTTGATGCAGGGAGGAACATGGTGTCCTTGGGGCCCAGTGGTTTGAATTTGAAACTGGTGCCAATGAGTTCCACAGCCCCAGTGTCTCCCCACTGTCAGCACAGCCCACTCCTCACATCCTGGCCTGAATCTTCACCATTACAGTCCCTCCTCGGGTAGCGTAAGTCGTCGTTCCATTTGCTTTGGCAAACCCCCCCACTTTGTGTGAAGAGGCATCTGAGCTGCACCCTGCCTGGAAGGGTGCAGAGCCTGGTGGGTAGAGAACCAAGTGCAGGCAGAGAAGAGGGGCTGAGCCAGCTGGTAGAGGAACAGAGTGTGAGAGAGTGATGTGTTTAGGGAATTGGGAGTTGGGAGCCAGGAGTAGAAAGTGAGAGAGGCATGAGGTGGGGAGAGGAGGCAGGTAGTGTTAGGTGGTCTGCAAGCCCCCGGGTGTGCCATGACAAGGGGCAAAAGTTTATTCTGAGGGCAGAGAGAGCCGGTGAGGGACTTACAGCAAGAGTGGTGTCCCTGCTTGTCAGGTCTGCTTGTCAGTGCAGCTTCCTGAGGGCTGCTGGGTGAAGATGGATTTGGGGAGGGGGATTGGGTGGAGGAAGTCAGGGAGGAGACTCAGCCTTGGCTTCTGAGACCCCTGAGTAGCAGGGGTCCCTCTGGGGCTAGGCGGGGACTTTAGGCAAGACGTGTGGCTGACCAAGGTTGGCTGTGTCCAGACTGAGGGGGTCACTGGGAGAAGAAACAGAAAGATTCTCTAGCTCAAGACAGGGCCCACTCAGTGGTGGAAGCAGGGCTGTGTGCAACTCCCAGGCTGGTAATGGACCTCTGGCTCTTGGCTTCATGGGTCCCACCCAGTAAGGCTCTGGAGCTGGACGTGGGGGTGGCAGTATTGTGTGGGAGGAATGCGAACACTTGGACGCATCTTTCTCTATTTCCTTGTCTGCTCTGTCTCCTCACCCCCACCAGTGCATGCATGCACATGCGTACATGGATTCCACCAAGGAATCTGTGCATCCAAGTTCTCCCCTCTGCTGGCCGCCTTGTTTTCTGCCTTATTTCTGGATGGGCGAATAAGTGGCTGGTGGGTGGATGGATGGGTGGATGCATGGATGGGTGAATGGATGGATGGGTGGATGGATGAATGGATGGGTGGGTGGATGGATGGGTGGGTAGATAAATGAATGGGTGGCTGGCTGGCTGGCTGGTGGGTAGATGGATGGGTGGATGCATAGATGGGTGAATGGATAGATGGGTGGATGAGTGGATGGATGGGTGGGTGGATGGATGGATGGATGGGTGGTGGATGGATGGGTGGGTGAGTGGGAGGATAGGTGGATGGATGGATGGATGCATGCATAGGTGAATGAATGGATAGGTCAATGAGAGGAAGAAGACAGATGTTTCCAGGAGGCAGCCACTGAGCAGGGAAGGAGAGGTGGCTTTCTTGGCTGAGGACGATATTGTGCCATGCCCAGGGTATTTACTTCTTACCTGCTGCCTCATTTAGACCTCACAGCCACCTTCCTGGAGGCAGGCTCAACACATGCCCACTCCATGGAGGCTCAGCCAGGATGGGCACCTCCCCATGGCCCTGTAGGGCCCAATCAGCCTCCTCAGCCCTTTCTGACTCCCCTGCAGCCTGTGACCAACCACAACCCCTGGATGCTGCTGTACTTCATCTCCTTCCTGCTCATCGTCAGCTTCTTTGTGCTCAACATGTTTGTGGGTGTCGTGGTGGAGAACTTCCACAAGTGCCGGCAGCACCAGGAGGCTGAAGAGGCACGGCGGCGTGAGGAGAAGCGGCTGCGGCGCCTGGAGAAGAAGCGCCGGAGTGAGTGGGTGCCTGTGGAGGGCGTGGGCCACCCAGCTCTAAGCCCTTCTGCCTGGGCCTGACCCCAGCCTCCTGAGCCTTTGGAGCTGGAAGGGAACAAAAGATACAGCCCCTGTGCCCAGGGCTCAGCCACTTCTCCCAGCATCTTCCTGTCCAGGGGATCTGAGCCCCATCAGTGTCCATCCAGAGTCCAATGGCTGACACCACTGCCAACCTGAGTGAGGCTGTTGGGGGTTCAGCCCAGGCATAGGGCAAAGGCAGACCCTGGGTGCCCTGGGCCATGGGAAACCTGCCCTCCCAGCAGGCAGGCCCAGAGCTCCTGCCACAAGCTCATTTGGGGTAGATGGAGAGAATGAATGTCCTGCCTTCTTTGTCACCCTTCTCCACAGTTTCTCTCATGGTGCTTTGGCTGGGTGGAGGAGATCTAACACTGATCCCAGGGCCTGGGGTGGATCAACATCTTCCTCTTTGCCCCCTCCCTTTCCTCCACCTTTCTGTCCTTTGTGCTCTGTGCCCTTTCCCTTGACCCCAACCCTCTGTGGTCTTTGCCACTCCCCCTGCACCACCTGCAGAGGCCCAGCGGCTGCCCTACTATGCCACCTATTGTCACACCCGGCTGCTCATCCACTCCATGTGCACCAGCCACTACCTGGACATCTTCATCACCTTCATCATCTGCCTCAACGTGGTCACCATGTCCCTGGAGCACTACAATCAGCCCACGGTGAGCCCTGGTCTGCCTCCCAGCCCAAGGTTACAAGGTGAGGGTGGGGTCTCAGCAGGACCCCACCCCAGGGATAGGGTGGGGAAGGGGTTAGCTGATAGCAGGATGTGAGCAGCCCCTCCATGCTGGGCTCTATGCTGGGCACTGCAGTGGGAGGAGGTGCCGGACAAGCTTGCCCTCAGGAAGCTCAGAGTCTGGAAGGGAACGGTCAGAGGGAAGGTGGGTCAGGGAGGCAGGATTTGGACCGTGGCTTGCACATGGGTGGCAATGACTGTGATGTGTTAAATATTGACTCTTTGCAAGGCACGCTACATATATGAACTCTTTAATCCTCGCAGCAATCCTAAGGCTGGCAGGGGGAATCCTTTGTCTGGATTTTATAGGTGAAGAGCCTGAGGCTTAGAGAGGTTAAATATGCTGCCCAAATTACTCAGCCATAGGTAGTGGAACCAGGTCTGGAACTTAGATTTGCATTCAAAGCCTACCATGTAGCCTCCTTTACTACCTGGGTATATGGAGACGAGGCAAAAGGGTGGAAGGACCATTTCAGGCAAACACTGGGGGTGGGTGAGGATGACCATTTCCCAGCTTGTTGCAGACCAGGTATGTGAGGGGCATGTGAGGAGCAAGTGCATTCTAAAAACCCTGATGGAGTTGGAGGGGAAGAAGAGGGAAGCAGAGCCGCCAGGTGTGAAATTAATACCTTATTTCAAATGATGGGAGAGGAATATTATGAATGCAGAAAAAAGAAAGATAACCATTGGCAGAATGAAACAATAATTATACAACTTCCAAATTAACAGGAAAAATGGAATATTAATAGCTTACATTTACCAAGTATTATTCTGTTTCCAGCACCGAACTATCAGCTCATTTAATTTGCATACCAGCTTTCTAAGATGAAATGACTTACTCAAGATCATAAGGTGAATATGGAGTGAGCACTAAGCCAGGATTCAAATGTAGGCAGTCTGGCTCAGTAGCTCTTCATTAATACCCTATATTGCCTCCAAAGGTACCAACTCGACCAGATACACATAAATAAGAAAAAGGGAACAGAAGGAATAGCAGCATAAAATAAATAGTACACACTAAGATGGAAAGAATAAAAGCAGCATATAAATAATTACACTAAAAGTAAATGGACTAAATTCTCTCCTTAAAAGGCAGAGACTTTCTGAGTGGAGGAAGGTTGTGGAGCAGGTCATGTGCCCTGGATCATGCTTCTCTTTGTTCCTCCATAGTCCCTGGAGACAGCCCTCAAGTACTGCAACTATATGTTCACCACTGTCTTTGTGCTGGAGGCTGTGCTGAAGCTGGTGGCATTTGGTCTGAGGCGCTTCTTCAAGGACCGGTGAGTGGCCAGGCTGGATTAGGGCAGTAATAGGGTAGACTGCAGGATGAAGAAGCAGTCCTGACCCTTAGGGAAGTCTGGAGCAGCCTGAAGAGGGGAACCAGTAAGCATCTAGGCACGGATGGACAGGCACCCCAGCTGCTGCTTATAGCTCTGAACAGGAAATAATTATGGTATCATCTGATGGGCGTAGGGCATTCTACCTGGCCCTTCTTGGCTCATCTTTGGTACGTTGTCTCTACCCTATGGGCAGAGCAGGGTCTGCCTCATGCTAATACTCCTTTTTGAAGGGAATAGTGAGGCTCAAAGAAGTTGATGGACTAGCCTAAGGCCAGACAGAGAGAGCAGCCAGCTCAAGATTAGACTTGGAAGTCATAGTCCATGCCTCCTCTCCTGCAGGAGGCCAGAGATATTTATTTAGCCTGATCAGCCCCTTGCTTGACGGAGTGATGGCTATGGGGAGCAGAGAGGGGCCTGGACCCAGTGGCGTTAGGAGGGGCTAGTAAGGGAGGGCAGCCACACAGCCTAATGGGCCACAATAGAAGGGTCAGGACCTGGGAGGCTCCCCCCACTAAGGTGTGTCTGAACCAGAGGGATCCTCCTCATGCCCACTCCTGCCCTCCCATGCACGGCTGAGCAGATGGAACCAGCTGGACCTGGCCATTGTGCTACTGTCAGTCATGGGCATCACCCTGGAGGAGATCGAGATCAATGCGGCCCTGCCCATCAATCCCACCATCATCCGCATCATGAGGGTTCTGCGCATTGCCCGAGGTGAGGGGCAAGGGGTGGGACAGGGAACGGGGACAAGCAGGGGCGGGATGAGACTCCTCATTGCCTGATGAGAACACACAGGAGTGGGGTGGGGAGGGGTGGGGGCAGGAGTTTGCAGGCATGGTGGGCTCCTTGCTGAACAGGGGTGAGAAGGAGCTGGGAGGCACACAGCCAACACACACGCATGCACCCTCTGTGTGCACACACCTCCCCCAACACACAGGCAACTTTGCATAGCACACATGGACACACACTCCCACTTCCTTATGACGCCATGACCCATGGGGTCCAGTCTCAGAGTGTGATGCAAGGAACCCAGTCCAACTGGGAAGATGTGAAACACCTCCAGTTCCTCGCTGGCATTTCTCAAACACAGTGACTGGGACGCACGGTCTTCAGAGATCCTTCTCCCTCCCCTCAAGGTAGTTCGTACACTTCTTTTAAAAGCCTCCTGCCTCAGGGCGAGCCCAGGTGCCTCTTGCTCTTCTGCCTGCCAGAAACTCAGCGAGTGATGCCAGAGTCCTCTTTATCGAGAGGGGAAGAGAAGAGATGTGGCCACTCACGCTGGTCCTTTGTGCCCGTGACAGTTCATGGCCCACCCATTCACACACTTCATAGACCTCAGTTTCCATGAGTATGCCCCGTCCTCGGGGGCTTTTCTACAGTGACACCCACGCCTTGTGTCCACATGTTTTTGTGCATGCCCCACTCACCCTGTGGCTGCACCCACATTCTTGTAATGTGGTATCTGAGAGCCAGACTCTGCTTGCACGTGCCTTCATGTTCTCTTCTCCCAAGTTTACACACGTGCACACATGCGTGCACACACACGTCCCCACCGGCCTGGGGCTGAGTGGGCAGGGCTGGGTCTCGCCCGCAGTGCTGAAGCTGTTGAAGATGGCCACAGGAATGCGGGCCCTGCTGGACACGGTGGTGCAAGCTTTGCCCCAGGTAAGAGCCACTCTTTCTGGCAGCCCTCCTAGGGGTCATTGGTGTCAGGCTGGGCCCTGGGGCATGAAGGCCCTGATTTCCCTTCTCCTCACATCTGCCAGAGCCAGGGCAGATGCTGTCTCTGGGGATGCATTTTGAGCCAGGGGCTGAGAGGCAGGAAGGGTCCCTTTATGCCTCTTTCTTCCAGTTTCACCATGTGGTTGCCAGTGCCACTCTGTGTCCAGCCCTGTGCACGCACTGAGGGTCCACATTGTGCCCTTGGTTGCCCCCAGGCTGGTGGAGGGAGATGGATACTTCAGGGAGATGTGGGGAGGGACCTCCAGCATGCTCCAGAGAGAGAGAAGAGTGCCAGACACTCCCTGGGGAGATCAGGGAAGGCAGCCTAGGAAAGGGGACCTTTGAGCTTGACTTCCAAGGGTGGCTTGGCAGAAGGAGGTGGCAGTGTGGATGGAGAAGTTCCGAGATGGCATTCCAGGAGGGGCAGCATGAGACCCTGACCCAGGTGGGGATCTGAGAAGTTAGGGAAGTTGCTCTACCCGCACCCTGCGGTTAGTGAAAGGGGAGATGTGATCAGGGCCACAGAGGGCATCTTTTTCATCCTCCCGAGAATTCTGCAATCCCAGTCCTTCCCTCCCCCGCTGTCTTGACTGCTTGAGGCTCCCCTTCCCCCTCCCCTCAGGGTGGCCTCTGCTCTCAGCTGAGCCTCAGGCACATTTATTCATTATGACTCAACGAGTCATCAGGAAGTTTAGGTGCCTTAAAATACAAGGCACAGATACTGCACATTAAAAATGAGGATACAAGATTAATGGCCCAGGGAAGGTGGAAGCAGAGCTAATTCTTTCGGGGACCGGGGCTAAGGACATGGGTGAGTTCTGTTCCTGAATTTGGTGTGAGCTTCCCAGCAGCCTTGGTATAAAGGGAAAGTGGCATGGTCTGGATGGAAAGCAAGGGCATTCATTCAGAGACGTGGTTTTTCCTAACACTAAACCCCTTCAGGGGACTTTGTCCCATGGGAGATGGGGGTGATGCTGGGCTGCAGGCTGTGCCGACAGGAAGTAGATTGGAGCCCCGGCTTGGGCCATAATGCTTGAGAGCAAAGCCTGGGCCCTGGGCATGCGACTTAGCTTTTCGTGCCTCAGTTTCCTTGCCTGTGAAATGAGGATGGTGGTGAAGCATCGCTCCCTCAAGCGCTTATTTCAAAGGGCGGCGGTGAGGTGTCAGATGGTTAAAGCTTATGAAGCACTTAAGAGGTCTGGTTCATGAGAAGTGCCATTTAAGAGGCTGCTAGGGGTGGGGATGGTGAGTGTGTGGCTCGGCCTCCCTGGCCTCCTTGCTCCCTCTCCCCTTCCCCATGCTCTGACCCCTGGGCGGTTCTATCATGACTCCCAAATCCAGTGTGGAGCTGGCATGGGGCACGGCACATGGAGATGTTCAGGACATCCCAGCCTCCAGCAGGAGACCCAAGGTAGTCATTACAAGTGCATTAGCACTTGAGAAGAAGCACGTGCCAAGTGCCACTGGCCGTGAAATGGTGCTTACCCCTCAAAATCCATTTGCTGTTGCTCATGTTGTTGTATGGACATTGGCCATTTCCTCGATTCTACGTAAAGTGCTAGGAAAATGAAACTTCAGCCTCTTCCCACCAGTCTCTGCCCCAAGAAGAGGGAGGAGGCATCAGAGAAGGCTTCTCAGGGGAGGTGACCCATGGACTGGGCTTTGAGGGGTGGGGAGGAGGCATTTTACAGGCAAAGATAGAGGGTCCTCCCTGCAGAGGGAAAATAATATGCCAAGGCACTGTGGGGCTGTTTTCTGTGTGGCTGGAGTGTGTGGGATTGGAAGATCAGGCTGGGAGGGGGGTCCCTGGGGGCCAGGTCACAGCACACCTTCAGTGCTAGGGCAGCAGAATTGGGCTTTATCTTGCAGGCAGCAGGTGCCACAGGAGGGTTCTAGACAAGGAAGGCTGCAGCCGAGCTGCCTTTGAGAAGGTGGCTCTGCTGGCTGGGAGGAGAATGGATTGGAGGGAGAGGCTGGAGGCAGGGAAGCTGGTGAGGAGGCTGCTGCAACCCTGCCGGCTCTGAGATGCTGACAGCAGGGAGGGGACAGATAGAAAAGCTGACGGCAATCCTGGTTAAGAGATGCTGCCCCCGCCGGCCTGTGCAGGGCACAAAGCTGAATTCCTAGAGCCGCGACCACGCCAGATCCTTCTCAGCGGTCAGGGCCTTACAGTTGGCCTCACGGGTGCTCAGTAAGTGCTTGTTTTATTAATGAAGGGAACATCATTTAATTAGTCAGACACTAGCAGTGTAGAACGGCTGGCCAGGAAACCCTGCTCTGGAGTGGAGCGGAGAAACTCGAGGAGTGGTGATTAATGGGGTTTACTTTTCAGCAGTTAACGTGAACGTTTTCTGAGGGTTCTAAGGCCTTCTGAGGGTTCTAAGAGATATTTCATTTCTAGGGCAAGAATGTGTTTTAGCCTTATCTTATCCATAGCATGAGTTAAAGGTGGTCTCCAATGCATGGATAGATTTGAACTAGGTTTGGAATCTGGGACGCTTTCTCCCACAGGAGCTGTGGGATGGGGGTGGCTGGGTTTGCAGAGGCTTCTGGGGCCCACGGGCCTGCGTGATTCCTGCCTTCCCTCCTCTCTATGGCCAGGCCTCATGCTGGCCCAAGGAGGCAAATCTGACCTCATGCAGCTGTGTTCCTGCTCTTGAAGATTTCCCAGACCAGCAGATGACAGTGACAGGGATAAGTGCATTTCGGTGGTTTCGTAGAGGAGCTAGTGTTAGAGCTGAGACCTCCTGCCTTCTCCCTTCCCTTCGTTCATCCATCCATTCAACCTTGGTAGCCACTCAAGGCGTGTAGCATAGATTGTGTGCATGGACCCTGGGGCCAGCCTGCTGGGTTTGGACCCTTGTCCTACCAGTTACTAGCTGTGCGACTCTGGACAAGTGATGTCACCTCTCAGTCTGTCTCCTTCTTCTTCTGAAGAATGGGGATAAAAGATAGTTCGTGGATTATTGTGAGGAGGAAGTGAGCTCATGAACCTTAAGTGCTGGAAATGGGACAGCTTGTGGTAAAGGTGGCACAAGTGTTTTCTTGTTATTCTGAGCCCTGTGCTGGACCCAGCCTGCCCTCCAGGTCCTGTAGGGGTGGCAGACGTGGACACACAGCCTGGGGGAATGTTACAGCTGCTCTGACCCACAGGCTGCCCAACCCCACTGCCCCAGCCTCCACCCTTCCCAGGCCTGGTGCGCCCCCACCCGCTCCCCAGCCCCACCCGGCCTCACCTGTCCTCCCGCAGGTGGGCAACCTGGGCCTCCTCTTCATGCTGCTCTTCTTCATCTATGCTGCTCTCGGGGTGGAGCTCTTTGGGAAGCTGGGTGAGTGACTCCCAGAGCAGGCCCGTGGTGGGGGTGCAGCAGGGCTGCAGGAGGAACTGGGGGGGCGGGGGAGGCCTGAGACCCCTGAGCCCGTCACATCAGGGTCTTTGTATTGGGGAGATGCCTACAGCAGGGCCCTCAGCTGTCTGGTCTCCCAGGAAAACTGCCCTCCCTACCCCGGTGTTGGTGCCTGTCCTGAGCCAGCGCCACCCCAGCAAGTGGAGAGGCCAGGGCAGGGGAAAGAGCAACAGAGCGCTCGCTGAGCTCCGCCCTGCACCGGGATGGCTCCAGAAAGCAGGGTTCCCCGAGGGGCTGGCCCTCACCCCATTTCACCCTCTTTCTCAGAAACCCATTCTTCGGCGGGGAGCAGAGCCAGACTCACCCAAACCTGAGCCCCAGCTCATGTGCCATCTCCCCGAGCCTCAGTTTATCTGTGGGCTGGGCACAGTCTGCAGGCCCCTCCTAGGGTGTGATGAGGGTTCTGAGGCGAGGCGGGAGGCACCAGGTCAGGGTGAGCCCCGCAGGCACTCCGCCATCGGGCAGGGCTGACCTCCTCCCCGCTTCCAGTCTGCAACGACGAGAACCCGTGCGAGGGCATGAGCCGGCATGCCACCTTCGAGAACTTCGGCATGGCCTTCCTCACACTCTTCCAGGTCTCCACGGGTGACAACTGGAACGGGATCATGAAGGTACTCCTGGGCGGGCTGGGGTGGAGAAATCAGCCAGGTGCTGGGACAGTGAGGATGCTGGTCCTGCTGCTCAGGGCTCTGCCCACCCAGGGCCCCACCACACATGGGAGGGGCATGCAGGGCACGGAGGAGTGGAGGGGCCTGCCCAGGACCAGCACAGTGGGGAGAGCTGAGCCAGAACAGGCCCCCTGTCTACACTGCCTCATCCCCCAGTGTTGCCTGGGATCAGGGCTCAGATTCTAGGGTAGACAACTCCACCCAGTTCCGGAGGGGACCTGGGGCCCAGGCAGGCCTGAAGGCCAGGGCCAGGCCCCCTAGTGATTTCCACGCTGACCAGGTCACCCGGCAGAGGCTCCCTGGCCTGGGCTGCAACCCGGGCTGGGCTGGGAAGGGCAGGGAGGGGCTCCCAGAGGACAGGGGTAAGGCCTCGGTTCCGGGGCCCTAGGGTGGAGAGGGCAGAGGTAGGCCTGTTCTGCCTCCCACCCCCACCCTGCAGAGCCCCCAGTGCCCCCAGCAAGGGGGCAGGAAGCCAGGGTGCTGGGAGAGGCGGCCAATCTCCTCAGCCCAGGGCGGGAAGGTGATGGAGTCTTCTTGGGCTTTGTGGTTGGGGGTTGAGCTGAAAAACCAGAAAGGAAGGACAGGGAGGCCCTGGTCACGAATGCACCCTACTCCCCAGGGGCCCCTGAAGGAAGCCCCAGATGCCCCTTCTCAGGCCTGACTGTCCCGGGGAAGCAGGCCAGCTGTGGGGAGGGTGACATGGGCAGGAGCAAGAGAGGAGGAGAGGGCGCTGGGCCATCCGTCTGTCCATGCGGGGACTTAGCTGAAGCTGAGGCAGGCAGATGCCGCAACAAGGCAGAGTGGGGCAGGGCAGCCCGGGGCCATCTCGGGGGTTGAATCTCGGTCTTGCTGCCTCCGAGCGTGGCCCTGGGCTGGCCTCTGCCTCCAGCAGCCTCTGGGATGTCTCCGTCCTCATCCTCACCGCCCTCCCTGCCACGCAGGACACGCTGCGGGACTGCACCCACGACGAGCGCAGCTGCCTGAGCAGCCTGCAGTTTGTGTCGCCGCTGTACTTCGTGAGCTTCGTGCTCACCGCGCAGTTCGTGCTCATCAACGTGGTGGTGGCTGTGCTCATGAAGCACCTGGACGACAGCAACAAGGAGGCGCAGGAGGACGCCGAGATGGATGCCGAGCTCGAGCTGGAGATGGCCCATGGCCTGGGCCCTGGCCCGAGGCTGCCTACCGGCTCCCCGGGCGCCCCTGGCCGAGGGCCGGGAGGGGCGGGCGGCGGGGGCGACACCGAGGGCGGCTTGTGCCGGCGCTGCTACTCGCCTGCCCAGGTGGGCAGGGGCTGGAGAGGTGTGAGGGTCGCCAGAGGGGGGGCACCGCAGGGCCAGATGGGCAGCAGGGCCAGGGAGGCCTTGCACAGAGACCTCTGTCTTTCTGGGCCCCACCCTGCTCAGCTCCATAGAAGGGGTGACCCTGTGATGAGGGGGTCGGTCCCAGGCCATGGGCGCAGAGAACCAACCGGGAGGGCAGCTGTGTCCTGCCCACCCCACAGCCCCGGGACCCGGCTGATAATCCCGCCTGTCCCCACCCCGTCCCCGTCCGCCTAGGAGAACCTGTGGCTGGACAGCGTCTCTTTAATCATCAAGGACTCCTTGGAGGGGGAGCTGACCATCATCGACAACCTGTCGGGCTCCATCTTCCACCACTACTCCTCGCCTGCCGGCTGCAAGAAGTGTCACCACGACAAGCAAGAGGTAATGGCAGCCCGGGAGGCCTGGCCCCTTGTGGCAGGGGCAGCACGAAACCTGGTGGGGGGCCTGTCCGAGGGCAGAGCCTGGCTCTGGGCTGTAGAGACCAGGCTGGGTCAACGTGGGCACACGTAGCTTCCATGGCTGGGGCAGATTGGCTCCCTGAGTCAGGGCCAGGTGTGGGCCTGTGGTGTGGTGGCCACAGCTGCCGACCCCAGCACCATGCCGCACACAGTAGGTGCTTGGGTAGGGCAGCTGCCCCACCTTGTGTGCTGCAGGTGCCAGGCAGGGAGCCTGTGTGTCACTTGCAGGACAGCTTGCCCTTTCTGTGACATGAGGGGTCATCTGCCCGCTCTTCCCCCAAGGCATCATCCTGGCACTCAACCTCCTCCAGGTGCCCTGTCCTGGCCTCCACCTCAGGGCTTAGGCCCACCCAGCTCAGGGGTTCCCATGGGCCTGCCTCCAGAGCAGGCGCAGTTAGCCCCCTCCCCTCTCCCCAGCAGTGTGGGCCCCTGAGCTCTCCCTGGGGTGTTCCAGCCCCCAGAGTGGCCCCAGCCTCAGGTGGCTGCAGGGCAGGTCCCCAGGAACCATCAGCAGGAGCTGGAGGACTGGGCTGCCCCACATCCCTGCCCTGTGGTGGCTGCAGATTCTCCGGTGTCTCTGGGCCCCGCAGTGTCCCCTGCCTGTGACACGCTGTGCAGGTCATCCACATGGGGCCATAGATGAGTCAAGTCCAGCCCAGTCTTGACGGGCACTTGGTCTGGGGGCAAGCAGACAGCTGTGGAGTTCACAGCCCACGGCAACTCACCTGCCCTCAGGTCCAGGTAGCAAGATGGGCCACTCAGAGCTGGCTTCCACTGGAGGTGGCCACTGTGTCACCATCGCATGTCACCCAGGCTGGGCCCCTGCACAGGATGGACACATCATCCGTGTCCAGCAGGTGTCTGGACCTTTCTGACCACTGCTCGGCCTCTCTTCAGAGCCTCAGGCCTGTGGCTGCACGCCCCAGGACCCAGGTCTGCCCATCCCAAACCTGGGTGACCCGAGGCCACCCCCTCTTCCTGCAGGTGCAGCTGGCTGAGACGGAGGCCTTCTCCCTGAACTCAGACAGGTCCTCGTCCATCCTGCTGGGTGACGACCTGAGTCTCGAGGACCCCACAGCCTGCCCACCTGGCCGCAAAGACAGCAAGGTCAGCTCCCCTGGGGACTCCTGAGCAGGCGGGTCTGTCCTTGAAACCTGGCCCCTGCCCACCCAGGCAGGACCCCCCTGTCTTTCCAGTCTACCATGTAAACGGCACCCACTGTGCTAGGCCTTCATCTCCTGTTGGACAGATGAGGGCAGTAGGGCTCAGAGAGGTGGAGTGATTTGCCTGAGGTCACACAGCCACAAGCCCAGCCAGCACTCCAACCCGGCACCCAGCAGTACTGGCTGCTTCTTGTTGCTTTGAGTATTTTCTGGTCCATTCCACGGGGGGTCATCCCTGGCCGGCGGGGCTGTGAGGCTGAAGCGAACGGGGGAGTCATGTCAGGCACAAGCACCTGCTATGTGCGGGGGCGGTCGCGTCAGGCACAAGCACCTACTATGTGCAGGCGCTCTGCCCGTGCCACCTGTTTGTCTGCCGCACGGCTCTGTGCAGCAGGGATGATTTGTTCCCACTTCACATGTGAGGAAATGGTTCCAAGAAGTGGGGCGATGCTCACATCACACAGCCAGGAATGACAGAGCAGGAAGCCACCCCAGGGGGTCAGTCTGAGGAGGCCTGCAGGCCAGGAGGGGGCTCTTGCTGATCCTGCAGTCTTAGGGGGTGAGATCTCAAGACCTGGGCTCCTGATCTCAAGGTCAAGGTGGTCCTGCCCTGCTGGGGGTGGGGGGTGTAAGGGACAGCTGGGGGATACCCTGGGCTTGGTACCTCTGCCCCCTAGGCTGGCCCTCCATCAGCTCAGAGTAGGCTGTGGGGCCAGTTCCTCCTGTCCCTTCCATGTCATTTTGGTCCCCTCCCTGATTGGTAACAGTTGCTGCAGCTCCCCGCACCCCTACACTGCTCTCCTACAAAGGATATCAGGATGCACAGTTTCTGGGACTCAGCTGGACTTGGGCAGGGTGCAGTCTTTTGTGCCAGACTCAGCAAGTCATTGGAGGTCGGGGTGGCACGAGTTCATCTGCCTTGGAGGGGGCATTAAGGCGGCTCTTCTGGGAAGGGGTCACTCTGGGCTGCAGGGCTGAGGAATGTGGGGGCCAGGGAATGCCTAGGAAGGTAGGCGTTACTCTCCTTGGATGCAGAAACAGGCTCAGCAAAGGGAAGGGACCCACCCAAGGTCATGCTCATGGGACACTCGTGTGGCCACTCAGCCTGTCTTCTGATGCCTTCGCCAGCCTTGACCTGGCTTCTTCGCTGGGCCAGGGTCTGTACCAGGGGAAGTCACTAACTGCCTGGGGCATCCAGTGGGCATTCGGAGGTGGATTCCTTTCACGGGATTTTGGAAGATGGTCAGGTAGAGGAGGTGAGAGGAAGGTCAGACTAGACATGAGGGTAGCCTAGTTAAGCAAGGGGCCGTGGAGCAGGTCATGAGGTACCCTTCATGAGCTGTCCCCCTTCCCAGTCCTGCCCCATCCTACCTCCCTTTCCTTGCAGGGTGAGCTGGACCCACCTGAGCCCATGCGTGTGGGAGACCTGGGCGAATGCTTCTTCCCCTTGTCCTCTACGGCCGTCTCGCCGGATCCAGAGAACTTCCTGTGTGAGATGGAGGAGATCCCATTCAACCCTGTCCGGTCCTGGCTGAAACATGACAGCAGTCAAGGTGAGGGGTGGGAGCCCTGCCAGCTCCCCACAGCCCTCATCTTGGGCATCTGCTTCAGAGGGAGATGGCTGAGTTTTTTCCTTAGTATTTTTACCCAGATTATTATATTTAGTCCAGAAAGAACCAGATGGATATCTGACAATGAGAGATAGACTCTCAGGCCTGATATAACAATGATAAAAGATCAAGAGCCAAATAGTACAAAAAGATGAGGTAATTATAACAAAAACCTAAGCATCTAAAGGAAGCTTCATGCTGAGCTTCCTAGGAGCCATGGTGAAAAGGGAAAGAGGTGGGTACACACGGCTCTCATCAAGCAGAAGGAAAGCTGCCAGATTATTGTGGTGTTTTTCTAGAGCTGAATTTGAGAGGTGTGTAGCCCACAGATCTTCATATACACGGGGATGTTAAACATAGGAAAGCCTGGTGTCTTCAATAGCCGTTTTGTGAATTCCTGATACTTATCCTTCAGCCCTACCTGCAGTGTTCTGTTTATGCTTTGGGCCTGTGGCTGGGCTCTGGGCACAGGGCCAGGGGACTAAGCTGGCCTGCCATCATGGGCTCATCTTTGTTGTGGTCCTCATGGAGGGTGGCAGGAACCTGGTTTCGCATCACTGGCTGTGGAGGGAGGCAGAGAGATGAGGAGCCCAGCAGAAGAGGGATGCCCAAGACTCTGAGCCCACCCCAAGTACCCTTCAGGGACGCCTCCCAGGAGCCAGGGGTGGGGTGACTTTCCTGGGCACCCTCCTGAGAGCTGATGGGCTCTCAGCTGGCCAGGGTGGCTGAGGTGCCAAGATCCCAGACTTCCCAAACCAGAATTCAGGGCACAGGGCTGACCCGAGAGCCATTCCGGTGGAATGCAATCTCATTCCCTTTAGCCAACCATTTATTTACGTTTTCCTTAAATGGTAAGATGGTATGGCATAGGAACCCCAGCCAGGACATTCAGACTGTCCAGCCGTCTTGGGTACATTTTTCCATTATCTCACCCTCAACCTGCAAGGTGTGGAGGGGACTGTGGGCAGAGGCTGCTGCTACCCCCCACGCCCCCCACACCCAGACCTGCCCCAGCCTTCAGACCCCCCACCCCCATCCTTGCCCCTCACCATGTGCAGCCAACCAGGCCAGACTGACCTGCCATCCAGTGTAGCGCCTGACCCGGGGCTGGGACGCCCCAACCCACCTGCTGTCCCACAGTAGCCCCCAGGCCTGGCCAGGCCCCATGGTGGGGTCAGGACCTGGAGGTGACTGATCCTAGTGAGCACCTACTATGTACTTGGTACTGAGCTGGGAGCTTCCAGCTGTTTCTTCTCCTTATGCCCCTCAAGATGGCATCTTGTTCCCTTTTACAGAGGAAGAGAGCTAGGCTTGAGCCCGCGTCTGCTTGCCTCCAAAAGCTGTGTCTTTGCCCAGGGCCCCCGCCCCCTGGAATCAAAAGGGCTGCTTCAGGATTTCTCTCTTGCTCTCACAATGGGGAAACGAAGGCTTAGAGAGGGGGGACTTGTCCACAGTCTCACAGTCAGTTTATTAGGTGGCCCCTCACTGCTGGCCCAGTGAGATTGGTGCTCAATGCCACCTTCCAGGGGCTGCCCCCTGGCCTGAGCGTGCTCCCTCAGCTCTGTCTTCTCCTTTCCCAGCAGCACCCCCAAGTCCCTTCTCCCCGGATGCCTCCAGCCCTCTCCTGCCCATGCCAGCCGAGTTCTTCCACCCTGCAGTGTCTGCCAGCCAGAAAGGCCCAGAAAAGGGCACTGGCACTGGAACCCTCCCCAAGATTGCGCTGCAGGGCTCCTGGGCATCTCTGCGGTCACCAAGGGTCAACTGTACCCTCCTCCGGCAGGTACCGACACCTCCCAGGCCCTAGAGCACTGGTCTGTGGGCAAGGGGCAGGATCTAAGCCAGGCCTGGAAGTCCAAGGGACTGGGAGGGGAAGGACCCAACCAAAGGCCGAGGGCACCACCGTGCAAGGGGGTTTGGGAACGCTGGGGTGACGCTGAGACTGGAGGGGGAGGTGGCACTGGGGCGGATGGAGTGGGCGGGGCTGGGTCCTGGGGACAGCAGAGTGTGGGGAGGACCCCAAGGCGGGTCTGGAAGAGGCCTGTGATCCCTAGCTTGAGGGGAGGGGAGGAGAGGAGGAGGAGTACTGGAGGTTTTGCAGGGTGGCGGGGTGCTGGCAGTGGGGAGGACACCCTGGGTGCTCTGGGTGGGTGTGAGTGGGGGCTTGATTACTAGGAATGGAGGTGGGAGGGCGGGTCTGGTGGATGAGAAGCCTCGGGCTGCAGGGTCCCCCGTACTGGATTGGCCAGGGCCACAGCCCTCCTACCCACGGGCACACAGAGGTCTGAAGCACTGAGGGCTCCGCTGTGGGGGTGGGGAAATGGGGCCGGGCCGGCTCCCACAGTGAGTGCAGTTGATTCACTGGGTGACTGTCTGACCCGTCACACCAGGCTGTGTGCTCTGGCGGGCAGGACACAAACTCCCTGCCTGCCGGGCTCACTGTTTAGTGCTGAGAGTGAGCTGCCTGGGTGCAGGAGGGATGATAACCAAAATAAATGTCTGCAGAGTAAAGTCTACTCCATGGTGGACAGGCAGGGAGAACAGCTCCTGGGGAGGGGCTGCAGGTGGGGGGCCCCGGGGTTGGGAGGTGGGGGGCTCTGGGGCTGGGAGGTGGGGGGCCCACGGGGCCGGGAGGTGGGGGCCAGGGGCCGGAGCAAGTGGGAGGGACCGGAACCAGTGGGAGCAGCCAAGGCTGGGGCCGCGTCAGACCATGGGGGGTGCGGTGGGGGTGCCACGTGCCCTGGGGGAGGGCGGTGGGCCCAGGGCTTCCCCTTGGAGTGAGCCTGGAGCCTTCTGTGACGGGCAGGGCCGGGTCTGACCTGGGTTTGAGGCGGATGCTAGCTCCTCTCGGGGGACCTCTCGGGGCAGGTGAAGGCCCTGCGGTGACGCCGCCTAAGCTGGACGTGCGGAGGGGAGAAGCCCTGCTCCGAAGGGAGCTCCTTGGATGGGGTCTGCCTGCTGCCTGCTGTGCGGGGGAGGGCGGCGTCCAGGTTGCTGGGGTGGGGGCCGACACAGGCGGCCTCCACGGCTCCCACCTCCCCCCAGGCCACCGGGAGCGACACGTCGCTGGACGCCAGCCCCAGCAGCTCCGCGGGCAGCCTGCAGACCACGCTCGAGGACAGCCTGACCCTGAGCGACAGCCCCCGGCGTGCCCTGGGGCCGCCCGCGCCTGCTCCAGGACCCCGGGCCGGCCTGTCCCCCGCCGCTCGCCGCCGCCTGAGCCTGCGCGGCCGGGGCCTCTTCAGCCTGCGGGGGCTGCGGGCGCATCAGCGCAGCCACAGCAGCGGGGGCTCCACCAGCCCGGGCTGCACCCACCACGACTCCATGGACCCCTCGGACGAGGAGGGCCGCGGTGGCGCGGGCGGCGGGGGCGCGGGCAGCGAGCACTCGGAGACCCTCAGCAGCCTCTCGCTCACCTCCCTCTTCTGCCCGCCGCCCCCGCCGCCAGCCCCCGGCCTCACGCCCGCCAGGAAGTTCAGCAGCACCAGCAGCCTGGCCGCCCCCGGCCGCCCCCACGCCGCCGCCCTGGCCCACGGCCTGGCCCGGAGCCCCTCGTGGGCCGCGGACCGCAGCAAGGACCCCCCCGGCCGGGCACCGCTGCCCATGGGCCTGGGCCCCTTGGCGCCCCCGCCGCAACCGCTCCCCGGAGAGCTGGAGCCGGGAGACGCCGCCAGCAAGAGGAAGAGATGAGGGTCGCAGGGGCCCCCGGCCGCCCACCGCCCGCCCCGTCTCACCTTCTTTACCTCAGGAGCCAGGAGCAGACAGCAATACTTCGTCCACACCTGGGATCGCGCAGGGCCCGCAGGGCACAGGCGCCCGACAGCCGGGCTGAGCGGAGTCTGGGTTAGCCAGGCCTGCGTGGCCCATGGTGGCCCTTCCAGTGCATATACATACATATATATATATATATGCATATATATATATATATATATATATATGTGTATACACACACACATAGACAGACATATATATATATATTTATTTTTTTTACTGAGAGCTTATGACTTCCAGAAAGTGCTAAAGGTGGGAGGTGGGCCAGGGCCTGGACGGGGCTTTTGTCTGATGCTCTGGGATTCTGGCCAGACCCACCCCAGGGCACATGTCCTGCGGGGGCGTCCCAGCTGTGTTTTTTGATGTCTCCTCCCTGGTTAAGAGTAGCTTGGAGAGGACCCTCAGGCCTCTGAGGGCACCAGGCCCTGGAGAAGAGGTGCAATTCAGGGTGTGTGTGTGTTTTTTTTCCTTTAAAGAAGAAACGCTGCTAAGATCCCACGTGGCTCCCACGTGTCGGGGTGTCTGTCCTGTCATCCTGACTGTCTCGTTATTGTGAAGTCTTTCGTAGACACCCCAGAGCACACACATCCCCTTAGTCCACCGGTTAGATGTCTCTCTTTAGAAAAATCAGGGGTGAGTAGCTGTGTTTCCTTAGGCCTGGGGTAGGGGATGGAGAGCAGCTCCAAGGCTGAGCTGGGGCTCTGGCCCCAGGTGAGGTCCCCAGCTCCTGAGCACTTCTGAGGGGGTGGGTTCCACCCCCAGGAGGGCGGGGGTGGGTGGAGCAGGAGTGGAGGCAGCCTGCAGAGGAAGGGTGCGGGAGACTGAGCCGGCAGTGGCTTGCTTGGAGGGGCTAGGGTACCCGCCTGGTCTCGGCTGGCTCCAGCTGCCCTGCAGGTGCCCCTGGGCTCAGGTAGTTAGTTGTTCAGCCACTAATGCCTTTTATCCCCCATATGGGCGCTGAGCTGTGGCTGTTCCTGGACACTGTGCTGTCCCCGTCCTGAGCAACTATGCCCCCGCCCCAGTAGGTTCAAGGCAAAGCAGCTCTGACCGAATTCTAGGCAGGGGTGGGGGCACCTGCCTGGGCCCTGGGTCCAGCCGCATCCCCATGCCCAGCCTTTCGCGTCACCTGGAGGCCACATCTTCCCACCCCACCTGCCAGCCCCTGTCTCTCCTCCCCGCTGCCCCTAACTGCAGCTCAGCTTTCACTATAGCAGTGCTTCCCAAACGGGTTCTAGACTTGGGTGTTTGATTTGAAGAGTTACGCATTTATTTCACTATTTATTGGGAAAAAAATGCATTGAACCCGTGATTTCACAGACATTTTGCTTAGGTCAAGGCTACTTTTTAAAAAGGGAGTGACTTTCATGAAGTCAGTTTGAAGAAGGAGGTTGGGAGCATGTTGGTGGCAGTGATCTGGAGAGGCTGCAGGGGCCACGAGTTTGCAGATGCTGTACTTCAGCAATAACCTTGCCTTTGCTAAGACCCCCTCCGAGGGCTTCAGGGGGGCCTGCCAAGGGGGGGCCTTGTTCTTGTTCCCAAACTCTGACTTGGAAGAACTCAGCTTGTGGCCGGGCTGGTGAGGGTGTGGGGTGCGCCCTTCCCTTTTGGGCTGAGGGAGAGGGGGCCGGGAGGGGTTGTCAAGCCCACCCGGGAAACTGAGCCCTGGAGAGGGGAAGCAGCCAGCCCAGGATGCTTCAGGGCCCTGGCAGCAAAGAAGCTGGGGTGGTGTGGAGGGCCCTACTCCACACCCTAGAGCTGTGATGCTGAGCAAGGTGCCTGTGGCGGAAGGAACTGCCCAGTCCTCCCTGGGGGCAGGTAGACCTGTGGGGATGGCTCGGTCCAAGCCCAACACTGCCCGCTCCAGAGAGCCTCAGCCCTGCCTCCCTTTCCACAGAGGTGGTTTTATGTGGAACGAGGTACCTTGTCTGGGGAAGAAGTGGAGCTGGGCAGGCTTGACTGCTCCTGGCTGACCCTGAGCTCTCGCAGTTGGAGGGAAGCAGACAGACTTGACTTTTTGCAAGTCCGCGTGTTGCTGGAGGGACACGTGTATTGGAGCCCAGAAGAGGGGCTGTGTGGCCTGGGAATACCATGTGGAAGGTTGGGCTTCAAGTTAACAGGATCAGACACCAGTCAAGCAGCCTCAGGTCATCTTGCGACTCCACTGAGCAGCCTTTCCTGTTGTCACATGGGTTCAGAGCAGCTGAGCAGGGAACACGTCCTAGGCAGGTCTGACGTGAAACCTCCCCTTACCCTGAACCGTGTGACTCTGCAAGCAGACACCTCGAGGCAGGTGTTCTAGGCAAAGGGATGGGCATGAGCGAAGGCTCCAGGGTCCACAGAGCAGGGAGTGTGGAGAAGGTGGAAGAGCTGAGCTCAGAGGCAGAGAAGCTCCTTGCAGGGAGCACTGGGAGATGGCCTGGCCCGTCCCAGGCTCCTGGAGGCCCCACCTGCCGATCCCAGGCACTTGACCTTGTTCCTGTGGGTGACAGAGATGAGAACCAGGGAAGCTGTGATCCACTGGCCAGGACAAGTCAACATGGGTGAGGGTTGGGCAAAGGGCCCTTCCTTCCTCCCCAACCCTGTGGTCTGGGGCCATGGCCTCAGGCTTGTGTCTATCACAAAAGCACAAACTTGCCCTAACCCACATGGGCCTGGCTGTGGGGAAAGTGGGGACCCAGGTCCCTGAGCTGTCTGCTGGGCTCCGTAGAGCGGTGGTGGGCAGGCACCTTGGCATCTGTGCAGAGACGGCCCAGTCTGGCCAAATCCTCTTCCTCTCCCCTGCTCTACCTTCTCCGGCACCAGGCAGCCCCTTAAAGGAGGACAAAGTGTGTAAAGCCCGTCTGCTGTCTTCCCCCAAATCCTCAGCTCAGAGCCTTCCGCTTCCAGGGCCAACCCCAGCCCCGTTTGCTGCGTTGTGTAAGGGCTTGGGGTCTTAGAAGCTGCTCTTTAGCCCAGATACACATACTCTTTTTTGTCTTTGTGCAATAATCAGTGTTCCTGGCAGAGCCTGGGCCAAGCTGCAGCCTACTGAGGAGGCAGAGGCCACCTCCTCCAGAAAGCCCTCGGCCTGGGCCGCCGCCGTGACTCTAGCACTCTCAGTCGCTGTACAGTTTCTATGGTGTGAATGAACTTCCCTCCTAGTTGCTGATGGCGCTGGTACCTGCTGGCCCATGGCCCGGGTGTAGAGAAACCAAGCGGCAGCCACCACCAGTGTTGTTTTGAATAAAAGCCCAGAAGCCTATTTAAGAATTTCTCCGTGTGTCTCTGCTGTTCTTTCCCCAGCGGGGTGGGTGTCAAGCTGAGGCTTCTCTCAAGGGAGGGGTGGCAGTGTCTCCTCCCCCATTTTCAGGCATGGGGCCTGGGGCGTCGGGGACCTAGAACAATGCTCATGGCAGGGTGCTCTCATGGCCGCTGGGTGGCTGGGGGCCTGTGGAGCTGGGGAGGAGGCAGGCCTGGTTCCCATACTCTGCTGCTGTGGCTGAGTTGCTGGACCCGGGCGAGAGGGTCACGTGGGAAGAATAATCTGTTCACCGTTTGGCACTGTCTATTTCTTTTTCTTTCTTTTTTTTTTTTTTGAGACGGAGTCTCGCTCTGTTGCCCAGGCTCGAGTGCAGTGGCAAGATCTCAGCTCACTGCAAGGATCAAGCGATTCTCCCGCTTCAGCCTCCTGAGTAGCTGGGATTACAGGCGCCTGCTATCATGCCTGGCTAAGTTTTGTATTTTTAGTAGAGACAGGGTTTTGCCACATTGGCCAGCTGGTCTCGAACTCTTGACCTCAGGTGATCCACCCGCCTCGGGTGCTGGGATTACAGGCATGAACCACCATGCCCAGCCTGCACTGTTTCTTGAGTAAGTCCCCATCAGATTGCGCTGACCCAAGGACAGGGACTGTGTTTACTCCTCCCACCCGGAGCCTGGTGCAGGTTGAGATTCAGCAAATGTCAGCTCCGTGGCTGTGTTTTGGAAGCAGAAGGGATTTCAAAGACCAACTAACACCTTATCTTATTTTTCCACTTGAGGAAACAGGCCTGGAATGGCAGCAGGGTGTGGTCTGGGCCACACAGCGAGGCAGAGGCTAGGGGTGACGGGCACCTGCATGCCACCTCCACAGCCAGAGGCTCGGCCCCTGGGGAGGAGAACCCTGATTTGTCATCCTCTCTCTTCCCCGTTAATAATGGGATTAAAAGCAAGTTGCTGCCAAGGAGAGAGACTGGCTTTAAAAAAAAAAAATAACACAAGAACATTTTAAGAGAATGAAAAACTTCAGCCATCAGCACTTTTTATTTAGACCCGAATTCATGAATTTTAACCAAATAAACACAGGCATGTTAGGTATTAATATATGTAAGATTATGCAAAACCACTATTATGGCTATAATGAAAATTAGATTCTGACTCTTGTTGTGCTCCAGGAGGGAGGCATCCTCCGGTTTCTAGCGCAGTGACCTCCGATTGCTGTCACCATGGTAACAGGCTGCCGTGGGAATCTGTGGAGGAGGAGGCTGGTCCTGTCGGGAGGGGTGGGGGTAGGGCCAGGCCGGGCTGGTGCGGATCTGCCGGCCCACATCTGCACAGAGCTAGGGGCGTTTCGTCCCCTGGGCAGAGGCCAGCCTGAGCCTCAGAGGAGAGGGGGCCGGTCATCAGCAGGAGGGGAATGGTGGGGCAGAAACAGCAGTTGCACGGGGCCCCGCCCCACTCACCCTCATCTTCCTGTTCCCCTCAGGCTGCCCCTCCAGGGAGGCATCTGTGTCATCTTCAGTAAATCATGGCTGCACACCCACGCGCGCCCAGCCTCTGCTAGGTGCTGGGGACACAGTGGTGATGGGTCCCTGTGCTCACGGAGCCCGCACCTCAGAGTGGGAGAAAGATTCCAGACAGACAGGCACACAGCTGGGCCGTTTCAGAGCCTGCAAGTGCCAAGAAGGCAGCAGAGCCGGTGGAGTGACCGTGACCGGGGCTGGGGGTGGGGGTCTTCCTGGCTGGGTGGTCCGGGAGGACTGGCTGGGGATTCCTGAAGAACCAGAGGGGAGAGCCTTGCTGAGGCAGTGACCACCGGCTTTCCAGATGAGAGGCAGGAGTCTCAGAGGGCAGCGTCCAGATGAGACCCAGGGCACCTGGCTACATGAGAACATTGAACACGCCAGGAACACGTTTACAGTGTGAACAGGTCCCATGCGGTATTTGGGACATAGTCACACTAAAAAGTTATTTGTTGCTTATCTGAAATTCAGATTTAACTGACTGTCCTTATTCTTCTTTGTGAAGTTGGCAAGCCTGTCAGAGAGTGGGGGGTGACTTCCCTGGGCCATGAGGGGCCGTGCCCTGCCTGATCGCCTGCCCGGCACCCCTGCCCGATGGCCTGCCTGGCACCCCTGCCCTGTCCTCCTGGGATGCTGCTTTTGGGTTGCCCGCCCACTTTGCCCCTTCAATCCCTTCTCACTGGGAGCCTGGTGAAGGAGAAACACCAGCTGACCCCACCTCTGCAGCTCAGTTCAGTGGTTCCATGGCTCCCGGGACCTGCCCGATGCCTGCAGGGCTCTGGGCGTTCCAGTCCTCACCCACTGCCCAGCGTGGCTTCATGGACCAGCCATGCTGACCTGCCCTGCTCTGCCCTTCTCCCACCTCTGCTGGGCTCTTCACCCTTCAAGCCCCCACTTAGGCGTCACTGTCTCGAGAAACTTCCCTGTCACTCCAGGCTGTTCCCACCCTCTGACTCTCAGCTCCTCCCTGAAAAAAATTAGCCTTTTAAGAAACTGTGGTGAAGTATACACAAATGACGTAAAATTTACCATTTTAATTCTTATTAAGTGTAGAGTTCAGTGGCATTAGGAATGTTCCTAGACACTTCTCAAAAGAAAACTTATGAAAAAAACCTCATCATCAGTGGTCATTAAAGAAATGCAAATCAAAACCACAATGAGATACCATCTCATGCCAGTCAGAATGGCGATCATTAAAAAGTCAGGAAACAACAGATGCTGGTGAGGCTGTGGAGAAATAGGAACACTTTTACACTGATGGTGGGAGTACAAATTAGTTCAACCATTGTGGAATCCAGTGTGGCGATGCCTCAAGGATCTAGAACCAGAAATACCATTTGACCCAGCAATCCCATTACTGGGTATATACCCAGAGGATTATAAATCATTCTACTGTAAAGACACGTGCACTTATATGTTTACTGCAGCACTATTTACAATAGCAAAGACTTGGAACCAACCCAAATGCCCATCAGTGATAGACTGGATAAAGAAAATGTGGCACATATACACCATGGAATACTATGAAGCCATATAAAAGAATAAGTTCATGTCCTTTGCAGGGACGTGGATGAAGCCATAAAAAAGAATAAGTTCATGTCCTTTGCAGGGACATGGATGAAGCTGGAAACCATCATTCTCAGCAAACAAACACAGGAACAGAAAACCAAACACTGCATGTTCTCACTCATAAGTGGGAGTTGAGCAGTGAGAACACATGGACACAGGGAGTGGGACATCACATACTGGGGCCTGTCAAGGGGGTGGGGTCCAAGGGGAGGGAGAGCATTAGGACAGATACCTAATGTATGCGGGGCTTAAAATTTAGATAACGGGTTGATGGGTGCAGCAAACCATCACGGCACGTGTATACCTATGTAACAAGCCTGCACGTTCTGCACATGTATCCCAGAAGTTAAAAAAAGAGAATGTTCCTAATGTTCTGTGATCATCACCACCGCCCATCCCCAGAACTCTCCATCTTGCAAAACCAAAACCCTTGGTACGCATTAAACACGAACTCCCATTCTCCAGTCCCCGGCAGCCACCGTGCCACTGTCTCCATGAGTGTGACCATGCCAGGAACCACGAGTGTGAGTGGAGTCACACGGTATTTGTCCTTTTATGACTGCTTATTTCACTTAGCACGAGGTTCTCGAGGTTCTTGAGGTTCTCGAGGTTCACGCATGCTGTGGCGCGTGTCGGACTTTTCTCCCTTCTTCAGGTGCAGTGGGATTCCCGTCACGTGTCTACACCGCACTGGGTTTGGATCCACCCGTTGAGAGGCCCTTGGTTGCTTCCACATTTTGGCTACTGTGAGGAGTGCTGCTGTGACCCTGGGCGTGCCAATGGCTCCCGAGTCCCTGCGTTCACCTCTGTTGGGTGCGTCCCCAGCGGTGGTGTTGCTGGGTCAGGAGGTTAAAGTGTCTGAGGAGCTGCCGTGCTGTCTCCAGGGCGGCAGGCTCCCCATTCCCACCTCGGTGATTCATTTCTTTGTGAGGCTGGATTCACCCTTGGATGGGTGATGTGCAGTGGGGTTTTTGCCTCCTGTTTCTTCCTCTTTCCATCTCCCCTCCTCTCTTTCTGGCGCACTCTTGCTGTGTGGTCCTCGAGCCACCCTGATCTTTGTTTCCAGAAGCCCAAAGGAGAACTTGGAGAGTGCGGAAAAGAGAGGAGGGAGTTTGCAGCGAGGAGGAGGAGAGAGGGTCTGGGGCCCAAGAGGAGTGGCTGTGGGGGCTCTGCCTGGGCAGAGCGGTCCCCAGGGCCACTTGTGGTCTGGAAGAAGCCAGGGCCACTGGCACGAGGGGTGCACATCTTAGGCCACAGGGCTCGGCTACAGGGCCCTGTACAGTGCCCTGGCACAGTGCAAGGAGGCACAGCCTGGAGGGGCAGACTGAGGAAGAGCCGGGCTGATGGATGGGGGCAGAGAGGTGGCCGGGCCTCTCTGAGCTCCTGGGCTGGGAGGCGCCCTGCCCTGCTGAAGGGTCTGCTGCACCCACTCCCCAGCTGGACGGGGCCCAGGCCCCTCCTGAGCAGGGACCTGCCAGGCCATACGCAGCTCCCACCACCCTGCCTGCAGCTCACGGGCTGGGGCCCGGCCTTCCTCATCTCCAGGGCTGGCCCTGAACTCCAGGAAGAGGCTTCTGTGCCTCCTCGGACATGCCTGGAGGCCGTGGGGAGGGACGGGCTCCTGCAGGCACTGACTTCTTCCTTCACTGTCCCCAGCCCTTAGCCTTCCCTGCCTCTGTCCGCACCCATCCCTACCTCTCTCTCCCTGTCTCATTCTCTGCCTCTTCCTGTCTTTCTGTCTCTGCCTCTCGCTTTGTTTGTCTCTTTGTCTGTCTCACTCTCTCCCTCCCTTTATTCCTCCCCCTCTCTCTTTCCCTCCCTCAATCTTTCTGTCTCTTCCTCCCGCTCCCATCCTCTCTCTCTGTCTCTTCCTCCTTTTTTCTGTCTGTCTCTCATCTATCTCTCTATGTTCATCCCTTCCTCTGTCTCTGTGTCTCCCTCCCTCTCTCTGTCTCTCCCTCTCTGCCTCTCTGCGCAGACTTTGCATGCCTCCTGTCCATTTCCTCTCTGAGAGGGAGGGGCTTGCCCATCTCAGGAGGAGAGCCAGATTCCTGGTCCTATCCTCACCTCCTGCATCCCCTGCGAAGGTGGGCGCACTCAGGACAGGGCTGCAGTCCCACTGTCAGCCCCTGAGTGATTGTGGCCCAGGGTCACCCTCAATGGGCAGATAGGGACTATGTGCGGCACCGGGTCTGATGCTGAACTCAGGGCTCAGGGGCTTCTCTCCGCTCCCCAGGGCACCCCCTCTACATGTTCTCAACATGGGGTGTCCCCATCAACATGGGGTGTCCCCACAAAGCACATGTTCCTGGGAGGCTTGGAGAGGCAAAAGTCAGGACCTCTGGGCTTCGGTTGGCTGCAGGTCAGGGTGCAGGCCGCCTGCAACCACAGGGAGGGGGCGTGTTTCCAGGCAGCCACGCAGAGGGACATGGGCACAGGTCTGTCACTGCGGCCCCCTCCTGCAGCCAGGTGGGCATTTGGAGGGAGCCCCAGGAGTGCTGTTCGCAGCTGTGACGGGCAGGCCATGGGCGTCTCAGGAACACGCCAAGTGAGAGGCGCTCCACCCAAGCCAGAGCACTGCAAGGGACAGCTGCTCAGACGGGTCTCAATGGTGGCTGCTCTGTCCCTGCTCTGGGTATGACCCCTCCTGGGCGTGTGAGCAGGACCTGGTCACCCACTTCCTGCTAATGAGTAGAATATGGCATAAGTGGTGGGATGCTGCCTCCAAGAGTGGATGACAGAAAGATGCTGGCTCCTGTCTTGCTCCATGTGGGAGCTGCCCTGTGGAAGCCCACGAGCCGAGGAACCGAAGATGCCACCCTCTGGCCAACACCCAGCAAGGAGCGGAGACCCTCAGTCTACAGCCCTCAAGGGACAGAGCCTCCATCCAGCCAGCCCCGGCCCATGTGTGGATGGCAGCATTGGAGAGACTCCACACCAGAGAGGCCCCGTCAAGCTGCGTCCTGGTTCCCAGCCACAGAAACTGTGAAATAATAAATGTTGTTGTTTTAAGCTGCTAATTTGGGGTAATTTGTTTCACAGGCATAAACTAATACAAGTACACGCCGTACTGTGCTATGAAATCATGCCCTATATTATATGGAATTCTAGAACAGAAAAAATCAATCTATGGTGGGAAAAAGCCCTCAGAACGGTGGTTGCCTCCTGGGAGTAGGGGCAGGGTTGACTGAGGAGAGGCACGAAGAAGCTTCATGCTGGGATGATGGTGAGTGATGTCCATCTTGATGGGGTTTGGGTTACACAGGGGTATGCATTTGTCAACATCCAGAAAGTGTCTTTCAAGATTTGCAGATTTCCTTGTATGTAAATGTTACATGAGAAATAATAAACACTGCAGCATTTGGAGGAAGTGTGCTGATGTCTTCCATTTTCTTTGAAATGCATTGAAAAATAAGATGTATTGCTGAGTGGAGAGCGGGATGGCTGGATGGATATATGATAAAGCAAGTATTATTCTACATAAATGGTAGAATTCTAAGTGATGGGCATAAGAATGATCACTAAACATTTTTTTTTTTTTGAGTTGGAGTCTTACTCTGTCACCCAGGATGGAGTGCAGTGGCGCTATCTCGGCTCACTGCAAGCTCCGACCCCGGGTTCACATCATTCTCCTTCCTCAGCCTCCTGAGTAGCTGGGACTACAGGCGCCTGCCACCACACCTGGCTAATTTTTATTTTTATCTTTTGGATTTTTAGTAGAAATGGGGTTTCACCATGTTAGCCAGGATGGTCTCGATCTCCTGACCTTGTGATCCGCCCGCCTTGGCCTCCCAAAGTGTTGGGATTACAGGCATGAGCCAGCATGCCCGGCCCACTAAACACTTTTTCTCAATTTTGTTGTGTGTCTAAACATTTCATAAAACACCAGGAAAAATCATTTATTTCACAAATGTTCACAGCATGCTTAATGGCAAAAATAAGAATAATGAAATGGCTCTGTGGTCTGAGTAGTAATTCTAATCAAGGTTTCTTACATGCTAGGCATCTGAGGAGGCTTCTTAATGTGTTCTTCCATCCTGATCACGACCCACAAGGAAGCAGTGATGGTTCTTAATTTACAGATGGGGAAACTGAGGCACAGGGCATTCACTGCATAGAGGTCATGCAAGAAGGACGTGGCAGAGCTGAGATGTCTCCAGGTCCAGGTGCTCTGAATGATTGAGCTGTGTTAACCTACGGATTGCCATTTCCACCTGTGCCTCAATTTCCCAGTGTCTCAGAGATACAAATTGCTATGTGGGTGAAGTCAGGTGACAGCGGTTCACTCTGCCCAGCTGTGCTATAGCGCCGGTGCACAGCAGGTGCAGTGGCCGGAGGAAGGGCAGGCGCTGTCCCCTCCTGGCTGTGTCTTCCCTTTGAGGCTGGCCTCCTCTGGGTGTGGGGCTCAGCCACCTGGCTGGGAGGTTTCCCTGGGGGCCTCACTCATGAGGTCCAGTCTGTGTCACATCCAGAAGTGACTTGGTGAAAAGATGCACCACTTCACAGCAGCCCTGGGCTGTGGCTCCAGGCTGTCCCTTTGCAAAGAAGGAGGTGGTTCAGGCCCCCACAGCCCTGGCCTGCGAGGAAAGCCTCAGAGCCCATCTCTGGGAGTATCCACGGGGCTCAGGAAACTGCCTCCCTAAGTCTCCCAGCCCTTGTAATGTGCATTGTAATCCCACGCTTTGCACAGTGGAGAGATGGAGGAAAGGACTCAGAGAATAGCACAGGGCTGTCTTGCCCCTGGGCCTTGGCCCATGCTGCTCCTGGTACTGGGGTCACCTCTGTGACCACCACTCCCGCTCTCCTTGCACCCCCGAATGGTGTTAGGTGTCACAGGTTCTATATCCACATGAGCTTCTCCAGGCGGGGACAAAGCCAGATTCTCCTTTAAATCCCCTCTCTGGCTGGGGGCCTGGCACAGTGAAGATGGAGGAAGGAGCCCGAAGCAGGGCCTGGGGAGAGACACAGGGTGCAGGGGTGGGTGCCTGGGCTTCACCGCCCTTCACCCGCATGCCAGCCTGCTGAAGCGGTGTTCTCCTTCCTGCTTCTGCGAATGAGGAATGGAGGCTGGGGGAGGTGAAGCAACCTCTCCAGGGACCCCACCCACAGGGCATCACCAGGACTAGCCCTGACCGGTGGACTCTGACGCCCACGCTCTTTCTGGCTAGAGCCACAGGTTTTAAGGATGTAAGGGAAAATAAACCACTCTTTGCAGACCTCTGTGGGCTTCTGGGAGTCCTTAACAGCTGATTAATGGACAGGCCGTGCTCTCAGCTTCCCACTGCTCTTTGATCCTAAAACCCAGGGGCTCTGCTCTGAAATGGGGTGACCGAAGGGGACGGTGCAGAGGAGCAATTTTTCTCTGCCCTGCAGTGTAGCGACTAAAATAGATCCTCATCAGGTCACAGGGCTGGCCCAGGCTGCAGGAAGCGCGGGAGGTGGACAGGGAGGCTGTGGGTTGCACCCAGGCCCTGGGGCCTCCTCCTGCAGTGATGGGGGCAATGGGTGGCTCTGGGTGTGACCCCAGCTCCGGCCTCCTTTTTCATCTGGGATTTATGTCCTGTGGTGCATGGGGTGGAGGGGAGGAGGAGCAGATGGGCTTCTGAGTGGCACTTTCTTTCTCAAGAACCTCCCGGTCACTGTGGATAAACACTGAACAGGTGCAGTCCAGGAGCTCTCCGTTTCCCAAGGCAGCATGGAAGGTAGGGGAAACCTCCCCCATCACCTCCTCCATCACTCCCCATCACCTCCCCTTCATCACCTGTCCCATCACTCCCCATCACCTCCCCTTCACCTCCCCATCACCTCCTCCTTTACCTCCCCTTCATCACCCCCCCATCACTCCCCATCATCTCCCCTTCACCTCCCCTTCACCTCCCCATCACCTCCCCATCACCGCCTCCTTTGCCTCCCCTTCATCACCTCTCCCATCACTCCTCATCACCTCCCCATCACCTCCTCCTTCACCTCCCCATCACCTCCTCCTTCACTTCCCTTCACCTCCCCATCACCTCCCCTTCACCTTCCCTTCACCTCCCCATCACCTCCTCCTTCACCTCCCCATCACCTCCTCCTTCACCTCCCCATCACTGCCTCCTTCACCTCCCCATCACCTCCTCCTTCACCTCCCCTTCACCTCCCCATCACCTCCTCCTTCACCTCCCCATCACCTCCTCCTTCACCTCCCCATCACCTCCTCCTCCTTCACTTGCTGTCACCTCCTCATCACTCCCCATCACCTTCCCCATCACTCTCTATCACCTCCCCGATCACCTGCCCATCACTCCTCATCACCTCCTCCTTCACCTCCCCATCATTCCCCATCACCTCCTCCTTCACCTCCCCATCACCTCTTCCTTCTTCACTCACCGTCACGACCTCCCCATCACTCCCCATCACCTCCCCCATCACCTCCCCATCACTCCCCATCACCTCGCCCATCACATCCGCCCGCCTTAGCCTCCCAAAGTGCTGGGATTACAGGTGTGAGCCACCGCGCCCGGCCTCTAAGGCAGGATTTCTATGTCACAGTCTCTGGGTGGGATTCTATGTTCTTTGGAAAGCCTCTGTTTTTCCTCTGAAGGCCTTCAGCAGATTGGATGAGGCCCACCCAGGTGACGAGGGGTAATTGCTTTTACTCACAGTTAACTGATTGTAGGTGTTAGTCATAGCCACAAAATACCTCCACAGAAACATCTAGATTTGCATTTGGCTGAGCAACCGGGCACCGTAGCCCAGCCAGCCTGACACATAAATCAGAGGGTACGGCTGGGTTCAAACCCTGGCTCCAGCCCGTGTGAGTGGTGGCCCATCTGCCGCACCTGAGCCTTGGCAGCCGGCAGGCTGGTGGCACTTCTCCTGGCGGGCTGCTGAGAGGAGCAGAGAAGGCTGCGTGCATTGGGTTCCCAGCTGGGAGTCCTGACACCCGTCCTCTGGCCTGCTGTGTCACTGCAGAGCCTGTTGTGGGAATGTTGCCAGCCGCAGGAAGCCAGTCCTCATCCCTGGGAGAAGAGCTTCTTTGTAGTCATTAGAGCTCTGATGGCTTCTTGATGACATGTTTGCACAGTGGGTGGCCTGAGGACTCCAGTGACTGCAGGCAAGGTGTCATCGATGGCTTTGGAGATGAAATTTCTAGTCCTGCTAGCCCTGGGTCCGTCCCATCTCTGGAGTGTGCACTGTCTCCTGCCAGGTAAGGCTGGGCTGCTCCTAGAGTCCCACCTGTTCCAGCCCAGGGGAGGCCGCCTGCTGCTCTGACTCCAGTGCTATTGACCATGTGGTCCCCGCACAGGCATAGTCCTCCCCCAGGCCCTGGAGCCTTGGCCTGAATGTGCTGTTGCCTGAGTAACACGGCCCCTGTCCTCAGACGCGCTGTGGCCATTGTCCTCTTGTCCCTGGGCCGCCTTTGTGTGTGCCTGTGTCCCCGACTACCTAGGAATTCCTGGAGAGCAGGACCACAGCTGCGTTGTCTGGAGCTCGGTGGCCAGTGTGGGGCCTTGCCTAGAGCTTTGCCTTGGTGGGAAGAAGCGGCGGAATCTTTCTCAGCACCAGTGTCCCATTTGCAGTGCCAGGGGCCACTTGGGCTCTGTAACCCGCCGTCCCACCTTCTGAGAGCCAGGCCAGATAAACATCCTGACGTCCCTACGCCAGACAGCGATTCTGCATGTGACACTAAGCTGTGGGATCACAAAGAGAGGCTTTGATTCTGGCAAATGGTGGGCCCGTGGACTGTGCTGTCCCACCAGCTGACACACCCTTGGTCCCAGGGGTTTTCGTCCTGCTTGTTAACCCCTGACATGGCAGGCAGCTCTCCTGTGAACAGTGATGAGGGACACAAGCACACCCATCTCATGGCTCTGCCATCGTCACCCTAAGGCTTCTAAGGCCACTGAAGAAGGGGAAGGGCATGGAGCATTGTGTGGGAGGGTTTTATGGGCCAGGCTCAGGAATGGTGCCCACCACTCCCACCCACATCCCACTGGACAGAACGCAGACACGTGGCCGTGCTCAGTGCAGGGGAGTCTGGCTCTGCGGTCCAGCTGTGAGCCCAGAGGAAGAAGAAATGGTTTGGTAAAGCAGTGAGACCTGTTCTGCTACAGTCAGACTTTCTGGGGCGGGGGTGGGGTAGGAGGGCTTCTGCTACAAAACCCCTAAAAATCCAGGACAAGTTGCCACAAACTTCTTTATTCAACGCACAGCTAAGTTTGCAAGGGAGTAAGGAAAATTTCTGAGAGCCAGAAATGAAGAGGAAACTGATGCCAGACAGGAAGCAAACGCTGACTTCTGGATGCCCTGAGGCGTTTTGCCCACATCTGGGGCCTGGGACCTTGTGCAGGGAACAGAAGACACTACATCTTGAGCTGAGAAAAGGTTGGGAGTGGCACGTAAGACTCTTATCTCAAGCTGGAGTCCTCAAAGGCTGTACCTTCAGTGTAAGGGCTCTAAAACAACAAACTTCTAGCAAATAAAAATGACAATGATATTCATTTGTCCTGGCCTCTGCAATCAATGTGGATAAAAGGATTCCTTCCTAAGAATGTGTCAGTTTAGGCTGCGGATCGCTCGGGATCGGGTTCAAATTTTTGGAGTGGTCCAGAAACCCCAAGCCAAGAAATTAACCTAAAGAGGTGTTGGGTTGGTGGACCTGGGCACACGGCCAGAGCAAGCCCTCATCAGGGTCCTACCGGGTCCCTACAGAACACTGCCAGGCCCACAGCCTCAAACTGCAAAACCTAGGAGAGAACATTCCACAGTGAGTCGCAGTTGAAAGAAGCCATACATGTAAAACTAGATCAAAAGATTTGACGTTTGAATGATCAGAAATAGAATAAAAATAAGTTTAAAAATCCTAGGCCGGGAACAGTGGCTCATGCCTGTAATCCCAGCACTTTGGGAGGCTGAGGCGGGCAGATCACCTGAGGTCAGGAGTTCAAGACCAGCCTGGCCAACATGGCAAAACCCCATCTCCACTAATAATACAAAAAATTAGCTGGACATGGTGGCGCCTGCCTATAATACCAGCTACTTGGGAGGCTGAGGCAGGAGAGTCACTTGAATCCAGGAAGCAGAGGTTGTGGTGAGCTAAGATCGTGCCATTGCACTCCAACCTGGGCAACAGAGTGAGACTCCATCTCTAAAGACATTTAAAATATGGAGAGCATAGACAAGGAAAAACAGACTACAAAAGTGTTCAGGGAGATATGAAAAAAAGAGTCAAACAGAACTTCTTGAAATGCAAAATGTAATAAGTGAAATGAGAAACTCAGTGCATTGGCTGAACAGCAAATAGACCCAGTGCAGGAAGGAATCAGCGGACTAGAAGATGGAGCTGAGGCAACCGCCAGAAGGTACAACGCAGGACAGAACTTGCGAGGTGGAAGCTCAGAGGGAAGGTCAGAGCGAGAAGTGAGAATGCTCATCCGCTCGCAGCTCCAGAAAGCGCTAAGAGGGAGAGGGGCGAGACTTGCTGTTCAAAGAGATAATGGCTGAGGATTTTCCAGAATTGTTAAAAGACACGAATTTCAGTTCAGAGAACATGATAAAGCATGAGCAAGGGATTAAACAAAAACTCCATGCTTGGACCCAACACAGTGATATACAATAGCAAAGAGACGGTTTCAAAAGAAGCTGCTGAGGAGACTAATTACCTACAAATGCATGGCAACTAGGTGGCAGACCAACTTCCTGACCGCACTAATAGAGACCACAGGCCTGGAAAACAACGTCACCAAACACTAGTATGAACAGGTTAAATAACTGCCCACCTCGCATTTGTACTGAGTAAAAATATCTTTCAAGAACAAGATGTCGGCATCTTCGGACAATCCCAAGTGAGCTTGGAGCCTCCCTTGAGCCATTTCTAAAGGAAAATATTTCCAGAAGGAAGGTCCCAAGAGGCAAGAGTGAGAGGGCAAAGAAATGGTCAACTGTGCGGGAGAAGCTGAACACACATTCACTTCCTAGAACAATTGTCCTAATGCCTAATTTGGGGGATAAAAGAGACTGAGCGTCCATCAGGATACTAGCGTTTCCCATGATGCTGATGTTGATGCTTTCCGGAAAAATACTAAATACCAGATTCTTCTAGAACTGTTTTCTGCTTTGCCAGTGCTCCGAGTACACACTTTGTCCACCTATGAGCCCCTTGACCACAGTGCAGAGAACACTGTCAGGCCGCAAACTCTTGGCCGAAGGAGAGAATTCCCTGGATGCTGGTTCCCTTGGGACCCAGTCTCCCATGCCCCAGCCTAGTGGGTCTCCCCAGAAACACCTGGTCACTTAAGACTTGGGTGCTGGGCCCTGCCCAGGAGTGGCTGATCCCTGCTGAGAATCAGCGTTTCTACAAGCTCCCAGGTGCTGGTCCCAGACCAGTCTGAGAAGCGCTGCTGTAGCTGATGACCCCCTCGTCTCCTCAGCCTGTTGCAGGGTTAACACCCCTCCTCCAGGAAGCCTTCTGGCAGAAACACCTCAGCAGGCAAGCTCTGCGTCTCTATCATGGTCTGCTAAGAACGCAGCAGATGCAGAATCAGTTGCAGCTGAATGACTGGCTGTGTGAATCTTTTTTTTTTTTTTTTTTTGAGATGGAGTTTCACTCTTGTTGCCCAGGCTGGAGTGCAATGGTGCGATCTCAGTTCACTGCAACCTCCGCCTCCTGGATTCAAACGATTCTTAAAGGGCACGTCTGGCTGGGGATCTTCGGGCGGCGTTAGAGGCTAAGGATACCTCTAGGCCCTCTCCCCCACCAGGAAACACACACACCCCCCCACATACCCACACACACACCCCCCACACCCACACCCCCCACACCCACACCCACAGCCCCACCCCCGACACACACACTCTTTTCTCTTCACTGGAGCTTCCACCTAGGTCCACACAGCCTTTTACCAGCCTTCCTGAGTGCCCACTGCACCAGGCCAGGTGCTGGACTCTGGTTCATCCTCCTGCCCATTGCTCTGGATAAGTGGGGGCTAAAGCCCAGGAGCGTTTTGTAAAGATGGGATCACGGGCCCTGGGGTGCTTCCGCTACCCCCCAAGCCCTTCAGACCCCACTGGCCCCTTTCTGCTCTCCATACCCTAAGGGAAGGCTATGTCCTGACAAGTCCTCGCGCCTCCTCTTGCTAAAGCTGACAGTCGCCTGCCAGGGGGATTAACTGGAACGCCACGGGCAATTGATCCCAACAAGCTTAAGATGTCCCGTTCCAGGAGAAGGCCCTGCTGACAGGGGAGGCAGCTGCTGAGGCTGCTGGCAGGGATCCTGCAAGAGCAGCTGTGAGCCCTCAGCCTGTCCTGGGGGACAGGCCCTGGGAGGGGAGGGGAGAAGGACAGTGCTGGGTGTATTGGGGTCATGGCTGCCCCCGCCAGGAGGGAGCTGGGGGTCCTGGGGCTGCCCCAAGAGGTGCCAGAGGATTCAGGAATTCGGTGGGGGCGGGCAGTGGAGGCGCCCGGGGGTACTCAGGTGGCTGATTTATGAGGCCAGATTAAGAAGACTGATGGCCTGTCCCTTAGCCAAGAAATGAGTCCTGTTGCAAACCGTTGAAGGGCACAAAGGTGGAGGAGGGAGAGGCTTTGTAGACAGTGGTTTGGGAGTAATGAGGAATAATGGGCTGAAACAGAGCCGGATAGCAGGAAAGCTGGCTTGGCTGTGAAGTCTGCATGAGCTGGAAGCCAGCGCTGGCAGCGAGGGATAGGGCCGTGATCTTGAATCATGGGGAACCTGACTGGACCAGGCGTGGGAGGCAGAATGGGATTTGGCCCAAGACTATTCGTCTGCAGCCACCTTGGGCTATGCGGTCACCCTGCTGTCCCTGGACTGCCTAACTCAGGTGGGTCAGAAGTTGGCCTATGTTCCCACTCTAGTGGGGCACCTGCAGGCTGCCTGTGGGTCCGGAGTGGCCAGGAGGGGTTGGGGCCCCAAAGAGTGACTGGCTGGAGGAGGAAAGCTGCAGGTGTGGCCTGGGCCCTGGGCTCCAGGCAGGCTGAGACCCCATTGCACAGTGGGGCACCTGAGGCCACAGTGTGCAGGGCAGGGATGCCAACGCCACAAGGGCCAGTTCCAGAGCCCAGCTTTCTGTTTAGGATCTTCTTTTTTTTTTTTTTTTTTTTTTTGAGACAAAGTCTCGCTCTGTGGCCCAGGCTGGAGTGCAGCGCGATCTCGGTGCACTGCAACCTCCACCTCCCAGGTTCAAGCAATTCTCCTGCCTCAGCCTCCTGAGTAGCTGGGACTATAGGCATGTGCCACCACACCCGGCTAATTTTTGTATTTTTAGTAGAGACAGGGTTTCAGCATGTTGGCCAGGATGGTCTCGATCTCCTGACCTCATGATCCGCCCGCCTCGGCCTCCCAAAGTGCTGGGATTACAGGCATGAGCCACTGCGCTTGGCCTGTTTAGGATTCTTGAAGCAAATCCCATTTCTGTTCAGGAGCCGCAAAGTAAATTTCGAGAGGAGCTCCGCTTCCTGCCTGGCAAAGGACCTATGGGGAAAGTTCTGGAAGACCAGGAAGGCTGGCCTCACCACTTCCCCATGCTCATGAAAGCATTTTGTGAGCTCCCTGAGACATGTTCCGGGATCCGAAGCCCCCCTGGGGAAGTGTGCTGCGTCTTGGGCCTTGTCCACAGGAGCGTGAGTGGGACGTTTGAAATTTCCTAAACTGATGACCAGGCTTCACGCCGCTCAAGTCCGCCACAGCCTGCAGAGGCCACCCCCAGGCAGGGCCCATCCATCTGTGCCCACGCAAGCTCCTGTGCTGGATGAAGCTGCCCCGTGACTCAGGTTCTGACTCAGCGCCAGCTAGGTGGGCATAGGCCATGCTGGCCAGGGTACTCTTCCTGGAGGTGTGGGTGCCCCGGGAGTGTGGGCATGGCCCCAGGGGGCAGCTCTGGGCAGCATGGCTTTCCTGGGCACCTACTTGGACTCTTGTGGCCTGGGAGGCAGGAAGCGTTTCTCCCTGTTTTGCAGGTGAGAAGGTGGATGCTGGAAAAGTCCATGCCTTGCTCAAGGCCACACGGTTGCCAGGTGGGTTTGAACGAGGTTTATCTGACTCCAGGGCCCTTGCTCTGACCCAGTCCATCCTGCCGCTCCCCAGACGTCTGCAGGGCGGGTGAACCTCTCTAGGAAGAGGGTTGAGATGGCCGTGCTGTGTGTGCAGACCCTGCCTGGCTCAGACAGGCTCTGTCCTTAGTTACGTGACCTTGAATGAACGGTGTCACCACCCCCAGCCTCTCCCAGAAAAAGGGGCAGGAGCTGTTACCCACTTTGGTGGTGGTGGGAGGCAGGTGAGTAGGGAGCCAAGCCTATAAAACTGAGTCAGCTCAGCCCTGTGCAGGTGCCGGTGTCCGTCCCCTGCCTTCTGAGGGCCAGTGCGTGCTGCTTCCCTGGGCCCTGCGGAGGCCCCTGCACTGTCAACGGGGATGATGTCCCCTCCTCATGCAAAACAGCTCTCCCAGGGTAGGCCCTGATGGGCCACGCACACTGGCCACATCCTGCTCTGATCTGCGTCTTCTGGGACAGCTCAGTGTGGCCATCTTGGACCTGGTGGTCCACCAGGTCCTGCAGCCGGAGCCTGTCCCTCCCCACCCCGCCTTGGGGCACTCTGCTTTGCAGCAGCCTTGCTGTGGTGTCTCTCCCTTCCCGCTGGCAGACAGCAGTGTTTCGGGCACACAAAGGATTCATCTGTAGGGTTCTTATTTCCCCATGAAACTCGGTGCTTGACAGACAGGAGTGGCATCTCTGTGCAGCCATAGACAAAAGTGAGAGCGTCCTCCCCGCCCCCACACAGCAGACCCCGCCCTGGACTCCTGGGGTGACGCTCAGCAGACCGGGGCTTAAATTCGGCTTCACAGCTCATGAGCAGTCACACTCCGTGTAGATTTGTATTCAGGGAAGGCTTTGGGGAAAAGTAATAAAAAATCGGGGGAGGGAGCAGCTCAACACGCCCAAGTAAGATTTCTCATTAGTTTGAAAGATGGACAAGGAACCTGCTCTTTAATGAAGAAAATGGATTGTGCCCTGACTAAGTAGTCTGGAACTTGGAGACGGCGCTGCGGCTCTGGTTCTGACCTTCACAGACGTCTCAGAATACACCCAGCTTCAAACCCAGCGAGGACCTGCCCAGTTTGGGGTGACTTTAAGATTCTCATCTGGCAGGGCGCGGTGGTTCGTGCCTGTAATGCCAGCACTTGGGAAGGCCGAGGGGGGCGGGTCTCTTGAGCCTAACGGTTCGAGACCAGCCCAGGCAACATGGCGAAACTCTGTCTCTACAAAAAAATACCAAAGTCAGCCCAGTGTCGTGGCATGTGCCTGTAATCCCAGCTACTCAGGGAGCTGAGGCGGGAGGATCGCTTGAGCCCAGGAGGTTGAGGCTGTAGTGAGCCATGATTGCGCTACTGCACTCCAGCCTGGGCAACAGAGTGAGACCTTGTCTCAAAAATAAAGAAAAACGAAAAAGAAAAATTCTCATCAGGCCAAGCCCCTGGCCCTCCCAGGCTCACCAAAGCCTGAGAGGAGGAGAGGATGCTGGTTGGAGGGGCCGTGTCTGCTCTAGGGCTGCGGCATTGGGCTGTGACTCTGTTTCTCCAGGCCTCAGTGTCACTGTTGGCTGGTGATTGCCTTCCCACTGCAGAGCAGCTCCAGGATGCTCAGTGAGAGCCGGGCAAGCTCCCCCTGCAGCATCTTGCCTTCCTGCCCTGGCGACACCTCACCTGGTCATCTGGTGAGAGAGGCTGTCTGCTCAGCGGAGTCACTGACTGAGCCCAGGGGCCTGGCTTTCCACACTCAGCGAGGCTTCAGGCCAGGGGTGGATGCAGTCACTGCAGATGGGCCCAGGCACCCCCTGCTCAGGCTTCACCTGCAGTTTTAACTGGAGGTGATGAGTGTCTCTACATGGGCCCCATAGAGTTGGACCATGTTGAATGAGGCCTGTGTAATCCAGCTCTGGGATGGGCCGAGCCATTTCTCAGCCCAGATGCAACTTCTTCCTGGAGAAAGACCTTGAAACACCTAATAAACAAGGTCCAAACACAGGAAATACAGCTCAGATCCTTCCACGCACAGCTTCTGCGGTGACACCAGCCACATAAAAATGATAAAGGCCATTTATCCTCTGTCTTTGGAACATAAAAGCAGGTTCTTAGGACTGCAGCTATAATATGTTAATGGAATTTCTGTTCGGGAGCTGGCAACAGCACCCTGCCTTCCAGAAGCAAGGCCTCCGGGGACAGCCTGTAGCTCTCATTAAAGAAGATTCCACATGCTCTTAGATTAATGGCCAGCTTTAACAGCTGTGGGGCCTCTTCCTCCCCTGGGCTCTGAGTGTGATGGTGTGATGGTGGCCCTGGTCGCCTCCTGAGGCCTCTTGCCTTGACTGTTTCTTTTCTTTTTTTTTTTTTTTTTTTTTTTTGAAGATGGAGTCTCGCTCTGTGGCCCAGGCTGGAGTGCAGTGGCAAGATCTCGGTTCACTATAACCTCCACCTCCCAGATTCAAGCAATTCTCCTCCCTCACCCTCCCTAGTAGCTAGGATTAGAGGCGAGCACCACCACGCCTGGCTAATTTTTGTACTTTTAGTAGAGATGGGGTTTCATCATGATGGCCAGGCTGGTCTTGAACTCCTAAACTCAAGTAATCTGCCGGCCTAGGCCTCCCAAAGTGCTGGGATTACAGGCATGAGCCACTGCGCCTGACCGCCCTTGACTGTTTTATTACCACTCATTGCCACTTGTAGGCTGAGGCTCAAAGTTCAAATCCAGAGAACTTTGCCTCCTAAATGTCTCTGCTGACAAGATCACTGTCCTGAGTCGGCCCTCGCCCCCACGGGTCCCCCCTCACCCTACCCTCCGCCCCACACCCCGGATCCATGTTCAGTGTGAATGAGTCCAGCCCCAGCCACTCACCTTTGGTGGCCCCAGAGCTTTCCGAAGGAGGCTCCTGCTCCTTCACACCGGCCGCCCCCACCCGCTCTTTCCAGCTTCTCTCAAAAGGGGATTTGGATCCTAATCCTGAAAGACACAATTCCAAATGCCATAATCCTGAATGTCAAAATCCCAAAAGGTCAAAATCCCTGAAGATCAAAATCCCTAAAGTCTAAATCCCGATTGTCTAAAATCCTTAAATTCTAAAATCCCGAAAATCACAGTCACAGGCTATTGCATCGTGTTAGGCAGAACTATGACCTTGCTATTGTCTTTATTTGGAAATTAAGTGTGGCTTCAGGACATGCGTACGGGTGCCAGGTTGACAAGGGTAGATTTGTGGATGAATTTTAGGCGTCCTCTTGCCCGGAGGAAGGACCGGGTGAAGGACTGTGTTGGGTGTGTTTGTGAGGGGTCTCCAGGGGAGACCCGTGTGTGGGTCTGAGTAGGCTGGGTGGAATGCTCTGTCCTCAGTGTTGGCGGGCACCATCCAAGCAGCCAGCGGGTGGGAGAGAACAAATGCCGAAGGCGAATCTCCGAGAGCCGGGACAGCCTTTCCTTCTGCTGCCTTCGACATCAGAATGCCAGGCTCTTAACCTTTAGACTCCAGGACTTAACCAGCATCCCCCCGCCCCGGGGCCTTGAGGCTTTTGGCCTCAGCCTGAGATATAGATCATCGGCTTTCCTGGTTTTCAACACAGAAACATTGAATCCTCCTCAATAGATGAAGAAATGTCCTTTATGTACATCTGCATTTGTGAAATAAAATCTTTCGAGATCTCAGCTATTTGGGTGCCTGCACACGCCGTGACGACCCATTGTGGCTTTTGGTCAATTTCATCAAAAGGCTTAGGTTGTCCGTCATGTAATATTTCAGATGACCACAGTTATGAAGCTGAGTGCACACACTCCCTTGGTGATGTGCGTGTACCTTGTCCCTTTTTGACTCACTTTATGAATACGGTTTGTCTGCTTATAATTGTTATACTCGGTGATGTGCATGTATACTTTCCCTATTTCTTTATGAATAAGCTTTGCCTGCTCATAATTTTTGCACCTCGGTGACCATCATTAGCATACCTGGGTGTTTCTGCTTGCAAAAATATGTATGGTGTTATTGCCTGTTTTATGGTGTAAACTGGCCTGTGAAGTGTTCTGTTGTGCTTTTATATGTTTCTTAAATAAATCTTTTAAAATTGTAAATAAACATCTTTTAAAGACTTTTAAATTATTTTTTCCAGAAGTGATAGCTTTGGGATTTCAACATTCAGGATGAAGGTGTCCAGAATTAAGTCTTTTGGGATGATAACTGGCTCCCCTCTAAATGCCATGCTGGCTACAGCTCTGGGTCTCATGCTGTCCTCCACCCCACACCCCGGCGGCCCGAATGTCCTTCCCCTCCCAACCTCCTGTGTTTTGCCAAATAATTCCTATGAGTCTTAGAAGGACTTCTAATTTTTAAGATGCTCCAGTGGCATTGCCTTCTGCAGGAAGCCCTCCCCGAGCTGCAAAACCCTCTCCGCTCTCACTGCACTAGGTAATGCCACCGCCTGTCTGGGACTTGTCTGTCCCCAGTGTCCCATCTCCTCCAGAACACTAGCTCTGTCCCAAATTGCAGCCCATGAGATTGCCCGAATCTGCCGCTCCCGGGAACCCTGCTGTAGATCAGAAACTTCCACTCAGATGGAGCCCCCAAAACAGAGGAGAAGCTTGCCCAGAACCAGCAGGGTCCTGAAGCTGGATCCTGAAGGAAGGCGGCCAGCCTCCGGGCACCCAGGTTACATGCCCCTCAGCTGCCAGCACCCGCTCTGCTCTCTCTCTCCTTGGAGAACAGGTGCCCTGCCCTGAGGGCATGGAGGTGCCACCTGGGATTTCTGCTCCGGGGCAAAGAGCTCTGAGGCCAAAGCTGCTCAGCCAGCTGCCTTTTCTCCCAGATTCTGCTCAGGCACAGCTGCCCTCACCGTGTCTTTGGTGAAAGTTGTCAGGGTAAAAATGGAGTCACTTGTGTTTAAAACCCTGACAAACAGAGCCAGAGAAGGCTACAAAGGGAGGGTTCTCGTGCATGAATGCCTGATACCAAGAACTATCATAAAAGTCTCTTTAAAAACCACCACTTTGCACAAAGGCCATTGCAACCTTACACAGAAAACCGCTCCTGGAGGACATCGGCCCAGCAGCTGCCTGTCCAGCCTTGGATTGGTGCCACCCTTGTTCCTGATTCTAGCAGCCAAGGATACTTATCTTAAAATGATGACCTAATCCTCTTCATTTTCCTTTAAAAACCTTTGCCTTCCTTGACCTCCCTGGACGCACATGCAGTTTACCACGGCACACATATTTCCACGTAGCGCCCGTTCCCAAATGAACCTCATTTTTTGTAGAAAGCCTCTTCCAGTTTGTTAGGTTGACACGTCACATCCACGGCAGGGAGCCATGCAGCTCTTAGGGTCCCCGTGCTCTCAGCTCACTCACTGCAGACTCGCAACATTTTACTTTTCATTGCATGTTCTCACTGGGAGGACCTGGGGTGGACCCCAGTGGCGTCAGGATTGGATCCATCTGGAAATCCCTCAGGTGCTTGGACAAGTGGGTCCCCGATTCTAGGAGCCTAAGAAGAGGACCTGGCAAGGACCCAGATGGTCCTCGTCAAGATGAGGACGGGGCCGCCTGTGCCTTGAAACCTGCCTGGCAAGAAGTGTCCCTGCTCGTCAGGGGGTGGGGGGAGCGGGGCGAGGGTGGGAAATGTCTTGCTAGGAGAGAGTTTTTTATTCTTTAACTTATATAAGCTGTGGCCACAGTGCGCTCCTTCGAGACGCAGTGTTCCCTGTGCCCATACTGCAGGAGCCTCAGAAGGACAATAAACTTCCTGCTCATTCTGGAACAGGCTGGTTTCCATCGTGTCTTCCTCATTACCCCATAGCCTCAAGGGCCCAGCAAGGCTCTGTGTGCAGCAGAAAAGGTGCTTACAGCCCCCGCCTTACAGGCTCAGGGGGCATCCAGGCTCAGGTGTTATGGGTGGCATCGGGCTGCCCAGCCTGCTTCTTTCCAGACCCTGGTATTGGCCTTGCTTATATGTTTTTACATTCCTTCCATTCCTCAGAAATGCTACTGGTGCGAATCAAACCTTTCTGTGAAGCAAGAAACAGAGGGATTTAGGATTCAAGCCTAGGTCAGGCAGGCTGAGCATAGCTTTGATAGCAGTGGAGGGGCTGGAAGTGGAGGTGATGGAGGTGGAGATGACAGCAGTGGGGATGATGGAAGTGGAGGTGACAGCAGTGGAGGTGATGGAAATGGAGGGGACAGTGGTGGTGACAGCAGTGGAGGTGACGGAGGTGGAGGTGACAGTGGTGGAGGTCACAGCAGTGGAGGGGTTGGAAGTGGAGGTGACAGGGTGGGGGTGATAGCAGTGGAGGTGACAGTGGTGGGGGTGATGGAAGTGGAGGTGACAGTGGTGGGGGTGATGGAAGTGGAGGTGACAGTGGTGGGGGTGATGGAAGTGGAGGGGACAGCAGTGGGGATGATGGAAGTGGAGGTGACAGTGGTGGAGGTGATGGAAGTGGAGGTGACAGTGGTGGAGGTGATGGAAGTGGAGGTGAGAGTAGTGGTTGTGAAGAAAGTGGAGGTGATGGAAGTGGAGGTGTTGAAGTCAAGCATATGATGTTAGAAGCAGCTGCAGTGCAAAGAGGGCACATGGTGGTGCCTCCTCATGGGTCTGAGATGGGATTCACGGGGATGACATGCCCAGCCTAGCACCTGGCACAGGCAAGTGCCCGGTCAGTGCCCACTGGCTGCTGCTCTGAGCCTCCCTTTTTCCAGCCACATGCTGGGTGCAGAGGATGCAGAAGGGGATGAACCTGGCTTCCTTCCCTGAAGACTCTCCCCAGCTGAGGATGGAAGCTCTCAGGGTTTGTTGGATGGGAAGGAGCAAATCCCTCTCGAGCCCGTTTAAATAAGGTGAGTTTGAATCAGGCTCTAGGGGGATCTCCCAACACTTAATTGCAGTTAGGGAGGGTCTCTCCTGGTCCCTTTCTGTCTGCCAGCTCCATCCTCCACACTACAGGCAGGCTTCCCTGACAAGGCCCTTTTGGCTGTCCCATAGCTTTGTCGTGTGTGGGGCCCTACAGCTTCTCTTACCTCCGCCTCTGCAACTCCCAAGCCCAGCACTGCCTGCCTGACACTCAGCTGCTCCGATTTCCCAGGACAGGAGTCCAATTAGTCCTGGTCTGATCAGTGGTGGACAGGGGGCGGTCTCCTGGAGGGAGGGAGCACACCCTTGTCACTGGCTGTAGAACAAAGTCTCTTTGGAAGGTGCCCATGTGCGTCTCTATCACAGATGAAAAGCTGTATAAGCTATTCACCCACTGCAGCGGGAGCCCAGAGGAGGGGGGAGAGGCCCTGCTTGGGGTGATCCCAGGAGATTTCACAGAAGAGGAAGATTCAGCCCCAGGCTGCAGGCTTCTGAAGGCTGGGCTAGGTCTTGTGTGAATCCCCAGCACCTGGGGCCTGGCCCAGGGGAGATGATGAATGAATGAATGAGTGAGTGAATGAATGACAGTCAAAACATGAATGGGCTTGGCTGTGAGGCCGGCATTGGAGGTGGGCAGGGACAGGCAGGACCAGTGCAGGACACCCCGCAGAGTGTCGGGCTGAGCTAGTATGCGGCACCCAGGGAGGCCTTGTGACCTTCGACCCAGCAATTCCACCTTTAGGAGGGTATTCCGCGGAATGACTATTTACTACGGCGCGGAAGCAGACTGACGTTCCATCAAAAAGGGATCCAGACACTCTGCACCGGGGAGCATTCACACAGTGGAATTCCAGGAAGCCTTTAGAGAGAATCAAGTCCATCTGATAAAAGAAGGTCTGCAAGCTGCTTGGCTAAACAGCAGGTACAGGATCAGCTGTGTAAAACACAAATCGGGAATGGGATGGGGCGGGGCGGGTGGGCTGGGTCCTTCCCTGCGTGCAGAAGGGACAGCCATGGCTGTCTGAGGGGAAGAGGTGGGGCTGGAGATGGAGACCAACTTATCATCGAGCCTCCTGCTTTTGCCCTTTTTATTTCTGTCTCAGTTTTAAAAGTATGACTAAAAATAGAAAATAATAACACGAAACTTATTTAGCACCTTTCCAGCGGAAGGAGCAAGCTGCTTGCTAAAAATGTGATCAATCTTTCAAAAGTGTTCCCCAAACATAGAGGAAGGAGGACCCTGGTTTAGAGCAGGGCCGAGGCTGGCTCTGGGGGAGGTGAGGGGCTGGATCCACAGGTGGGAGGGCGGTCCTGGCTGATGCCACCGGAAGAGACTTGGGGCAGGGGCTGAGGGAGGGCAACAGACGGACCAGGCTGAGTCTGGGCCTGGGAGAGCCAGACAGGGTCATGGCCACAGGGGTTCAGCTGAGGCCTGGGTTCCCCAGTCCAGGGCACTGCAACAGAAATCATTGCAGGTTCACGCGGCAGCCAGAATATAGCAGCATAAAGGCTGTGAGTGCTGCAGTGTGTGGCATAGCCCTGGCTTACCTGGCTTGGTGCGAGACCCTTTCCACTGACTCTCACCGACACCTCTAAAGATCATGCGCCATGAGCACGGTGATGATCCCATCTTACAGACAAGGAAGCTCAGGTTCAAGCAAGTCCAGGTGATCCAGCCGGTAGTAGCAGAGGGTACAGTAGTAGACAGTCCCTGTCTGCGCTATTCTTCAGGGTGGCTGAGAGCCCCAGACTCACTGTGGATACCAGTGAGGCTTCTGGGGCCACAAGCCCTCACCGGCACCTCTGTGACTGAGCAGCGCAGAGCAGGCCGTCCCTGATGCCCACTCAGGCCTGCTTAGTGGGGTCTGTGTCCTGCTCAGCCTGAGCCTAAGGGAATGCCCTGTACACCTGGGAGGTGGTGGCGCTGTAGAAAGATGTATTGTTTCCTCTAAAGGTGTCTTTGCCAGGGAGAGGCATGGGGCATTGTGCATTCGATTACTGCACGCCCTTGAGAAGGGAGGTGTCCAGAGGAAACAAGGATGGAGGGGTGGCACTGGGTCTGGCTGTTCTCTCTGTATTTCTGTGAAATACTGACCCCGACCTGAGCTGGGCCCGCGGGAAGCATGGACATTTCCCCACCTGTCCGGTAGATGAGGTCACAGAAGTGGGCTTAGAAAGGGTGTAGCCGAGAGGCTGGGGGCTGCACTCCTCAGCTGGGCATTTAGGGGTGGGCTCAGCTGTTCAGAGACCACCCCTTCCCTGCTGTGGAAGAGGAGCAGTGCGTACACTGGCAGGACTGGATTCATTTCAAAGAACTTCGTAAATTCGTGACGTTTATTTAATTTTGAGGCAGGGTCTTGCTCTGCTGCCCAGGCTGGACTGCAGTGGTGCGATCATGGCTCACTGCAGCTTTGAACTCCTGGACTCCAGCAGTTCTACCGCCCCAGCCTCCCAAATAGCTGGGACTACAGGTGAGCACTGTCACGACTGGCTAAATCTCTTATTTTTATTTTTAAAATTTTCTATAGAGATGGGGTTCTCACTCTGTTGCCCAGGCTTGTCTCACACTCCTGGTCTCATGTGATATTCTTGCCTCGGCCTCCCAAAGTGCGAGGATAATAGGAGTGAGCCACTGTGCCTGGCAGCTTTTTAGGATTTGAGGCCGACCATGTCCCTGACCAGAATTCATGATTTTTAATAAAAGTAGCTGCGAAGCATGAGCCGCGATCGCGCCACTGCACTCTAGCCTGGGTGACAGAGCAAGACTCCGTCTCAAAATAAAATAAAATAAAAGTAGCTGCAAAGCAGTATAAACCTGAGTGCAGCTTATTCTTCAGGGCCTTTGCGAGTTTCTGTCCAAGCGCTGCGGGGCTGTCCCCTTCCTTCGGCTGTCCCCCCACCCCCCATCCCTGCCCCAGTGACGCTGCCACGTGCTTGAGCAGGAGCGGTCAACCTTCATACTCCTTTGCTGGGGGGGCTTGGTTGGATTGAATGTATTCAGTGAAGAGTTCTGGAGTTGCTACTGTGTTTTCGTACACCCTAAAACTGCCTGGTGTTTTATAAACCCAATCTCTTAATCCAAACCCAAACGGGGGTCACTGTCTCCATTTTACAGACGAGGAAGAAGAGGTGGCTTGCCCACGGTCTCACAGCAGGCAGGGGCCCAGCTGGGACGCTGCCCCAGACCTGCCACTTCCTGGCCCTGGAGCAGTCTCAGCGGCAGCTCGCGAGGGGCCCGGATGCTGGGGACACAGCTGGCTCTCTCCTCGCTCTGCCTTGTCTTGAGCTTGTCCCAAGTCTTGGGAGTCCCCGGGGCTGATACAGACAGTGATGGACCTGGTGGAGTCTTTCACGTCAGACCCTGGCACACCAGCCTCTCCATGCTCCCGACCCATGTCCTGGCGCTTCCTGCCCCCCCGCCAGGGCCCGTGCAGACCTCTACTGCAGACCCCAGCCTGCCCTCCCGAGAGCCTCCCAACTCCTAGACAAAATAAGCAGGTTCAGATTCCAGGCCTGAAACTTCTAGCTGGGTGAACCTGGGAAAGTTTCTTCCCCACTCCGAGCCTCGGTTTCCTCACTTGTCGAATGTGGGTAACTCTCCTTGTTACTGTTCTGACTCCTGCAGTTCCCCCCTCTTGGCTGGAAATTAGAGCTGGGCAGCCACGGAGGCAGCCAAGGCCGACAACGGCCTGTGCCTCACCTGACTTCTGGCAGATGCGTGACCACCCTTCCGGTCCTCAGTTGTCACCAAGTCCTTCCCCTGCCTGATCCTACCAGATGCCAAGCCCTGAAGGTACCACATCCGCACCGCTGCTGCCACATCCCACCTCACTCTGGGCCCGTCCATCATGCCACCCCTGGCCCGGGGCCTCACCTGCGCTTTTGAATAAATGGATGTGAGTGAATGAATGTGATCATAGAGGCTGGCCTGGCTATCAGCCATGTTGGGGACTCTTCGTGGGTCTCTGGACTGACTTCAGGATTCAGAATCAGGCAGGGGCAGCGTCTTGGTGGGACAGCCTTGTTCAACAGTCAACTCAGTTTTCGCGCAGGGTCTTTCTAAAGGCCGTTGTCTAGGGCTGGAGGGCGGGGGAGGCCTCGGACAGCCGGAACTCAGGAATTGGAACTCAGGAGCTGGTATTTCCTGGGTCTTCACTTTAAGGAAGATGTGAGCTGCTAGGAGCTGGGGACTGAGCTGGGCAGTGAGCTAGGAAGAAGGAAGGGACTTCCTGGAAGACAGACAGACAAATACACGCACACACATGCACACACTGTCTTTTCTGTTTAATAGAGGTATATAATATGTGCAGCAAGCAGTGTGAAGTGCAAAGCGAACAAATCTCAAATACACAGCCTGATTAACTTTTCCATATGCGCACACCCTTGTTCAAGATACGGAATAGCCTCCCAGAAAGAAGGCCTCCTCTTGCCCCTCCCAGTCAATCCCAGCCCCTTCCCCAGAGGTAGCCACGTTTTGGTCTCTCTCACCGTATACTAGTTTTGCCTATTCTTGAACTTTGTATGCAGCAAATCACACAATGCAGCCTTTTGTGCCTGGCTTCTTTCACTCAGTGCAGTGTCTGCGAGAGTCAGCCGTGCCGTCATGTGGATCAATAGCTCATTTCTCTATCTCTGAGGAGCTCTTCATTGTGCGGGTGTAACACTGCTCACCCTTCCTCCTGTCGGTGGGCATCTGGCTTGTTTCCATTCTTTGTCGACTTTGAATACAGCTGCTCTGAGCATTCTTGCACTTGTCTTTGGTTGGATATGTGGACTCTTTTCTCTTAGGTAGACACCCAGTGGTGCAATTGCTAAGTTATAGGATAGGCCGGTCAGATTAACCATTGGTGCACTGGTTTAACCACCGGCTCTTTGAGGAGAATGTGGTGTTGACCAGCTTCCCTGGAGTAAAGAATCCTACCATGGCCAGTCTCGAGCTGCCGAGGCGAAGTCACTGCACCCAGGTAAATTCCATCGGACCCTGGAGTCCACATGAGCTGGCTCAAGAACACCTCTGGGCAGCTTTTCCTTAGGAGCGTGTTCAAATAGAACAGGGCCTGGGAACAGGATTATTCCTCCAATAAATGAATGTGAGTGAGTGAATGGGATCACAGGGGCCGGCCTGGCTATCAGCCATGCTGTGGACCTCTTGGGGGCCTCTGGAATGACTTTAGGATTCAGAATCAGGCAGGGGCGGCATCTTGGCGGGACAGCCTTGGTCAACCGCAGAGATTGGGCTGTGTGGCGAAACATGGGTCCATTCTTGAGGGCACCCTTGATGCTTATATTTACTTGACAACGGTGTCATCCCAGCATACTCTCTGGGCTAAAGGGCAAGTGTCCACCTCTCACCAGCAGTAAAAGGGGACCGTGGGCTGGGCACAGTGGCTTACGCCTGTAATCCCAGCACTTTGGGAGGCTGAGGCGGGTGGATCACCTGAGGTCAGCAGTTTGAGACCAGCCTAGCCAACATGGTGAAACCCTGTCTCTACTAAAAAAACAAAAATTAGCTGGGCGCAGTGGCGGGTGCCTGTCATCCCAGCTAGTTGGGAGGCTAAGGAGGTTGCAGTGAGCCGAGATTGCACCATTGTACTCCAGCTGGGCGACAAGAGCAAAACTCTGTCTCAAAAAACAAAAACGAAACCAAAAATGGGGGACCGTGTATCTTTGAGGGCAGCGTGCCCATGGTGGCTGGGATCAGCCAGCCACTCCCAAGGTGAACTGTGGAGGAGAGGTGCCCCACCCCTGCCAGCAGTGTCTCTTTGCTGCCAACTTGGACGGTCTTATTAAGGAAACTTGTAATTTCTGTATCAAAACCAAGGCTCAGAGAGCTTAAGGTCACACAGCCAGCAAGAGGGAGCCAAGCTGGATGCTACCTCTGAAGATTGGTGCTTGGAAAGGAAATCTCTAGCATCAGAAGTGTAAGCCTTTAGTGATGGTGTAAACGATACCTTGAAGCTCGTTTGGAAGACCGAGACCAGGCCAGACAGGTCTTTCTGCTTCATTCAAGAGCCCCCAGTTCCAGCCGGGCACCATGGCTCAGCCTGTAATCCCAGCACTTTGGGAGGCCGAGGTGGGAGGATAGTTGAGACCAGGAGTTTGAGACCAGCCTGGGCAGCAGCATGGTGAAACCCTGTCTCTACTAAAAATACAAAAATTAGCTGGGCCTGATGGGGCATGCCTGTGGTCCCAGCTACTTGAGACGCTGGGGTGGGAGGATCACCCGAGCCTGGGAGGTCTAGACTGTAGTGGACTGTGATTGTGCCACTGCTCTCCAGCCTGGGTGACAGAGACTCTGTCTCAAAAAAAGGGCCCGTCAGTTCCTCACTGTGGTATTTTACAGGCAGTGAGAAGTCAGCCTTCTATCACCAGAGTGCGTGGAGCCTCTCCAGTCCAGGCACACTGCGGCTGTAACGAATCTGCCACTCTGAGGGCCTGCAGCCACCAAGGGCATGGCTGTTCCCAAGAAGCGCTCCGTGTTGATCTTCATCTCTGCTCACACTCCCTGCCCAGGGCGGGATGGATTCAGCATTCCTAGGGCTGCCTGGGCCGCTGCCCCAACTCCATCTCTCTTCCCTATTCCCCTGGGTCTGCCCAGCAGGCACTGACACACCCCTTGCCTCTCCTCAGTACAGACATTTCCTGGAGCCCCCTTACCTATAGGAGAAAGTTCAAATGCCCAGGCTTGTTGGTGGTCCTCCTGGGCCTTGTAGAAGGTGGCACCTGCCTGCTTCCCAGAACAGCCCCTGCAGTCACTAACTTCCTACCCAAAAGTGGCCAAGGACAGAGCACAGGGTGGGCCACATTCTGGGGCCTTGGTCCCTGAGGAGGGGTCCTCAAGACCACCATGGTGGCAGCAGTAGAAGGAGCCCAAATCTGGGCCTTGTGAGCCCCCTGCCCTGAAGCTGGACTTCTAGATTGGTTTCACTTTTCTTCTTCCATCCCACCTCCTCGTGCCACATCCTCTAGCCATGTGGCGGTGAAGTGTGTGATGGGGATGGTGTGATGGGGAGGGTGGGGGCAGCTCCCCTCCCTTGTGGGTTGCTGTGAAGAGTGGAGATGCTGGATGGGGCTCCTGGCAGGGCGCTCCACCTACTGACTGGCAGGTGGCCCCATCCCCCAGTCGGTGCCCGGCCACCAATGGCTCTGTCACTTCCCTGGTTTGCTCTGCCCCCGGCAGGTTTGGTTCCGTTCCAGCGTAGACATAGTCTAATCTGGGTCGGTTTGCATCACCAGTGGCCTTAAATGCAAATACGAGATTTCCTTCTTTACCTTTTCAATCATTTTGATTTTATCTTATAGAAAAGACCGAAAGGCATAGCCTTAGTGGTTCACTGTGGTTGGAGGGGACTGGGATTGGGGTGGAGTTTTTTCCTGTCTCTTTCTATGGGTTCTTTTGAAACCAGATTCTCTCTCCACCCTGACCTTATCTGAGCCCCTGCTGGAAGCCTCTGACTAATGGATGTAAGTGGGGAGTGAAAGAAAATGGACAAGCAAACATTAGCCTGAACAAAGGCTAAGTTCTGTTTTTAACATTTGAGACGGGGGTGTCATGGGACGGGGGCTGGAAGGACCAGGGCTCTAGTGAGAGGCCATGGGTCTGAGCCCTGCTGTTTTACCCGGCATGTGGCCCAGGACAGCCCCTTAGCTTCTCAGAGACTTGGTCCCTCCCATATGAACTGGGGTAATTGCGTTTACCTCCAAACCTTGTTGGGGATCAAATGAAATAATGTGTGGAGAAAACACCTTCTAAAGGGGAAAACCAGTGTTTCACTAATAGCCATTGAGGATCTTTCCCCATTTAAAATATATGTGAGATATCCATATGACAGAATAGCATTCAGCATTAAAAAGGAGGGACATTCTGACACATCCCACGACCTTGGATGGACCTTGAGGATGTAATGCCTGTCACGGAAAGACAAATACTGGGAAATACAGACAAATAAAGACAAATACACGGAATACAAATACTCACTTAGATGAGGGGGTCTAGAGTGTCAAAGTCATACAGACAAGAAGTAGATGGGGTTACCAGGGGCTGGGCCAGGGGGAACAGAGAGTTAGTGTTTCACGGGTGCAGACTTTCAGTGGGGGAGGATGAGAAGGTTCTGCAGAGGGGTAGTGATGATGGCTGCATATCAATGGGAATGGACTTACTACCACAGAACTGCATGCTCACAACTGGTCACGACGGTAAATTCTATGTGAGGTATATTTTACCACAATAAAAAAATGTGTGACAGCCACTTTGGGAATGGAAAATGCAGGGATGGAAACATACACCTCATTCCAAAAAAAAAAAAATAAGTCTGTGTGTATGTGGATTTCCTTTATATAGATGACAAGTGAAATGCAGGGAAAAGAGAGGAAACAGAAGGGAAGGTGCCAGCCTGCAAGGCTGGGGTTTTTATAGCCTCCGAGTCAGTGTCCTTCACATTGGAGAAAGGCTGATATTGCCTGTAACATTTTTAAAGGTCAAAACCAACTGGAACTTCAGCCCCATGCCTAAATGCATGAAAATAGCAAATTTAAAAATTAATTACAAGGGCTCTCCTGCTGACACCTGGGTGCCAGCTCTGTTGGTGCAGAGCCAAGAGGGACAGTCACTCTCAAAGATGCCACTGTTCTCAGGAAGCCCTTTCACTGTCTGCTTCTATTCTCGGGAGCCAGCTAAGCTCTGCTTTATGCCATTGTCCCTGGGCAACAATACGTTTTGAAATGAAAAATGTTCTAATTGGATACAAAGGAGACACTTTCCAGATTCCAAGCCCAGACGGGAATAAAGACTACTTAGAGGGCAGAAGGAAGAACAATTCAGCCAGGATGCTCAGGGAACCCTAAATCATCTTCAAACTTCCTGAGCTGTATGCTAACCTCTGAGACTCCGTGGCACAGGAGAGTAGCCAGCCCCGGACCCCGGGGGCGGAGCACTTAGGGAATGCCTGCCATAGAGAAGGCTTTGCACTTGTCCTCTGACTGAAGTTCCCCCACCGCCCTGTGCGTGGTTACCAGCCCCTCTGTTTTTCAGATGAGCAATGCAATACTCCCAAAGGCTAAGATAGCTTGCCCTAGGTCAAGGTCATCAGCCTTAACAGTTAGAGCCTATGTGGCTTCAATCCTTGCTCTGCCTATGGTAAAGTCCTTTCCAACTTATTATAGTGCCAGCCTTTAGTCTAAGGAGCAAAAGACCTAGATTCTGTTCCAAGCTTGTGTCTAGGAGGCCTTGGGTTAAGCACTGACTCATTTTGAAAGTGGTGATAATTTCTGTACCCATGAGTATGGCTGGGTTTTGCTGCAGTAACACACATTCATGCTATACCCACTGCTGGCTAACTGGGGACCCTGCTCTGGGGGTCCTCCTTCTGGGACCTGGGCCACACCAGGGCAGGCAACAAGTGACTTGTAGCGGAAAGGCTTCAGCCGTATCCTTTAAGTGACATGGCCATGCCTAACTTCCAGGGGGTGGGGAGCACCATTTCGCCTTGTCCCTGGGAGAAAGAGAACCAGGCACTCGTGCCTACGATGGGAGTTTCCCAGCTTGCTTCACTGGGTTGTTAGGATGGAGAGGGAATTGTGTATGATGTGCCTTGTGAGATATCAAGCCCTCTGCAGATGTAAATTACACACACGAAACACAAATGTAAATTACAAACATAAACCATGAATGTCTCATCATTGTTGTTGTCACTCCCATCTTCAACACCATTCCAAGAATCAGCCGTGGCCGTCGGACGCATCCCCTTCCTGTCAGGACAAAAGACCCGGAGCAGACCCGCACTGTGGCTGTGCGGGCTGCACTGGGTTCCTGGTGCGCTGATTGTCTTTCCATTTTTCCTTCCTCTGCCAAGGTTTCTATCATTATCCAATCCCAAAGCCACAGAAGCACCAGAATTTTAGTAGACTTGGGCCCTAGAGCCTGATAGCAAGCCATCATGGTGCACAGCTACAGATGGAACGTGCTGGGTCTTTAAACTGTGACATGAACACTGTGGTTTTTATACCATTCCACGGGCCTCATCGCCCTGCAGGGTGGTTGGGAGGTTTCTGGGAACACATTCAAGGGTGGGGTGCCCATTTGATTGTTTCTGTTTTGCTGTCCCTGGCCCTGTGCCAAAGCTATACCATAGGTTGGCTACCATGGCTTAAAAAAACATCTCTGAGAAAGATCCTGACAATCTCTAACAGGGTCTAAATGTCTGGCATTGAGGTTTATGCTTCCAAAAGTCTTTCTTTTCTCTTTCCCTCAACCTCATTCCCCTTCCCTCAGCAACTCCATCTTTCTTTTGAGATGGAGTCTCACTCTGTGGCCCAGGCTGGAGTGCAGTGGCACGATCTCGGCTCTCTGCAACCTCTGCCTCCCAGGTTCAAGTGATTCTCTTGCCTTAGCCTCCCGAGTAGCTGGGACCACAGGCACGCATCACCATGCCCAGCTAATTTTTGTATTTTCAGTAGAGACAGGGTTTCATCATGTTGGCCAGGCTGGTCTCAAATGCCTGACCTCAAATGACCCACCTGCTTCGGCCTCCCAAAGTGCTGGGATTACAGGTGTGAGCCACCGTGCCTGGCATCCTTCTCCTTTCTGATGACCTTGTCTCATCTTCCTCATGCTCCCCTCCACCCCACCCACCTGACACACACACACACACACACACACACACACACCCCTTAAGCTCTAGCTTCCTTCTCTCTGCATCTCTTCTCTGATAGGACGTGTAGATAATGAAGTTTCAGGAAGACACCCTTGGCTTCAGACAGACCCGAGTTCAATTCCTGATGCTCACTCTCGCTGGCTGGGTGATCTTGGGCCACTCCTAACCTCCCTGCACCTAGTTTCCTCACCATAGCTGGGGAAGGCAGCACTTTACAGGTTCACAAATGGGCCAGGGGTGACCGTGCCCGCCTTCTGCCTCCTGCCCTCCCTCTCCTCTCCCGCTGGTAACCCTGGCTCAGGGCCTGCACCTGCCTGCCCTGGACTCTCCCAGCCCCCATGTGATGATGGAGCCCACCTGGGCCCGGCGTTGGGAGGCCTCACTCCAGTCTCCAGTCTTCAGGGCTCCAGGCCTGCCCTTCCGAATCCAGCTGAGCAGGAGGAAGACGGCTGCGGCTGAAGCCTAAAGGTCGAGGTGGAGACTTGGGAGGTGGTGGGGCTTTGGCAAATGGGCAGCCCAGGAGCAGTGTGGGTGGGACAAAGGGATCTCCAAAGCCCAGAAAGAACAGCTGCATCTGCCTAAAGAGAAGTCAGGGTAAGAATGAGAATTCCTTTATTATCACTTCTGACAATTTGGACTGGACTTCTTATCTGTGACTCTATTCAGAGGCTGGACCACGTGGGTCCATGACTCATGGAACTGAATCTCCTCTGTATGGTGCCTCCCACAGTGTAGGTGCTTGGGAAACCCTAGTTCTGTCCCAAGTCCCCTGCCTGCTTGGATTCTCTGTTGCTTTCATGGCTTGGACCCACCTCCACATGGCCATAAGAGCAGCCCCTCGGGAGGGCTCTGGGCTGGGTGCACCCTCACTCCAGGTGTACCCTCACTCCAGGCTCACCCTCCAGCCATGCGGCTCTGCAGTCTCTGGCCCCCTTCCAGCCCTGGTGGAATCATTTGGCATTCTTGACCTGGTGCTTGGGCCAGCCTTGCAGCCTCTGCAGGGAGCCATTTCTGGCCACCGTAGGCCTGTCTCTCCCTCACCTCACCCAGCCTGCTCCCATCACTCCCTTTCCCAGAAGAGGCAGGAGAACAAGGGAATTAGGGTAACCAACGGTTAAGGCAGAAGCAAAAGAACAACAGGTGCAGCCAGTTCTAGGCAAGATTGGGCAGCACACAGGCCACACCCTCCCTCCTGTCATAACAAGGCAGAAGTTTCCACCTCAGCCTCTGATTGGCTGCAAGCGAAGTCTCCACTTCACCCTCTGATTGGTTGCAGGCCAATCCTTCATAGGGTGTAACCAATTGGAGGACTCTAAAGGGCACCTAGGGGTGTTACCAAACATTTGCGACTTAATAAAACCCTAATAGTGGCTCTTGAGCCGCTTGCTCCAGCCTGCTCCTGCTCTGTGGGTTGTACTTTTGGGCTTTGATACATCTGTGCCTTCCTTACTCTGTTCTTTTGTTGCATTGTTTGTGTGTTTTGTTCAATTCTTTGTTCAACATGCCAAGAACCTGGACAACTCACAGCCAAGACCTTCCATCTGGTAACAAGAGAACTCGGGCAGGAAGGACTGTGCCCCACCCCACCTGAGGCTTGAGACACTTCCTAATGTTCCTGCTGGGCCCTGGCCCTGCTTGGCCCCAACTCCTTGTCCCCTCAGCTCTGCTTTCGCCGTCTCCAGGACATGGGATGCTAACAGAGGCCGTGGGTGAGGAGGAGCTCCTGAGCCAGGAAGGTGGCTGGCTTCACCGTCACCGGCCTGGTCCTCTGCGGAACAGACCTCAGAAGCGGACCCTCTTGAAGGCATGTTTGGAATAGGCCGATTCCTTTTGGGGTGGATGCTAATTCCTCCCAGTTTTGCTGGGGAGGGCCTGGCAGGCAAACTTCCATGCCTCCTTTGACCCAGAGCTGTTCTCCACCCACTAGCCAGTCAGGGGAAAGATCACCTGTAGGTCTCCACCTTCCTACAGCAGGCCTACATCTTCCTGCCTATTTCCCAACACCTCCCTGCAGAATCACAGAAATGGCAGAGTTGGAAGGGCCCACAGAGGGTCTGAGCCCACCCCTCACAGGCCCTCATGTACAGCAGGGTCCCTTCGCTCATGCCAAGCCAGGGCCAGCGTCTAGGTCTTTGGACTCCCAGCTAAAAGACAGAGGCTTCCTCCTGTCTCCCCACCACCTGTCTCTGCACAAGTGGCTCAGGGACTTGCTCTGAAGTGAGCCCGAATAGCAGACATGACTCAGCTGTAAGCTATAGTGACGGCTCCCTGCCCTTCCCGCCAGCCCCCTTAAGCCTCACGCTGAGACTGCCATCCTGGCTCTCAACAGTCCAGCCAGATCCACTTGTCCTTCAAGTGGGCACTGAATGCGTCTCCTTGCAGAACAGGTGTCTTCAAACCTCCCAGAGCTTTAAACACAAGGATCTTGCAGACTGAGGAAGGAGGGATGCTCACACCAGGAGAGGCAGCAGGGCCCTGCAGGACCCTGAGTCACACCTCCAGGTTTGGCTTTCTGTGGCATGCGTTCACTGGTGTATTTAAATCACTCTCTCCTTCTCTTCTGCAGGCAGGTATCACTGAAGTATGCATATGGAGTTAGGTGTGCTTATGACGTGACTCAACTGTGTGTGGGTAGCAAGATCCATGTCCTCAAAGTGAAGGTCACCCTGAAACCCAGCCAAGGTCAGCACCTGCCATGGTTTGGAGGCAGAGCTGAAGGCAATCAGTGTATAATGGATGGAATTAGTTGTAGCCCATTCCACACTGTGATTTGGAGAGAGCTTATTTGTAAAAGAGGCTTTTTCTCTAGGTTGTTAGAAAGCAGCCACTGTGCAATGTAATATAAAAACAGCTGTAATTTTGGAAATTGTAACATGTCACCAAGTGATGCTGATGTCATGGAGTGAGAGAAGTTTCTAGGAGACAGGGAATTCAGAAGGAGAATGAGAAGGAGAGAATGGGTCAGAGCTTCAGAAGCCCCCTCTAGGGGATGGGCAGCTCTGTCTCTGGTGTGGCCATTGTCCCACCCTGATGGAATTCTTTCCCCAGCAGGTGTTTCCCAGATCTTTGGGATGCTCCAGGCACTGCGCTAGGTTCTGGTGACCTTGTCCTTAAAGGATTTATGTGCTAGAAAGGACAGCAAGAGACTAGAAAAGGGATGAAGTTCCCTGCCTGCTTCTCTGACGTCCTTCTGTGTGGCTCTGCCATGTGCTCGGGACTCCCCTGCCTAAGTGACTTTCTTAAACTCCTCCTGGTCTCCGACGTCCTTCTTTGTGGCTCTGCCATGTGCTCGGGACACCCCTGCCTGAGTGGCCTTCCTAAACTCGTCCTGGCCTCAGGGCCTTTGCACGCAGGATCCCCTTTCTGCCCAGGATGTTGTTACCTTTTATCTTTTCAAGACTGGCTCCTCATCATGCAGATCTCAGCTCAAAGTTACCTATCTGGGGGAGTCTTTCTTGATTAGTCTTTATTTTTTTGAGACAGGGTCTCACTCTGTTGCCCAGGCTGCAGTGCAGTGGCATGATCACGATTCACTGCAGCCTTGACCTCCCGTCCTCAGGTGATCCTCCTGCCTCAGCCTCCTGAGTATCTGGGACTATAGGCATGTACCACCAGGCCTGGATAATTTTTGTATTTTTTTTTTGTAAAGATAGGGTTTCTCCATGTTGCCCAGGCTGGGCTCAAACCCCTGAGCTCAAGCAATCCGTCTGCCTTGGCTCCCAAAGTGCTGGGATTACAGGCATGAGCCACTGTGCCTGGCTAGATTAGTTTTACTCCCTACCCTGTTTCTTATTAATTCTGTTTCATTTTCTTGACAGCTCTTACCACTCTCTGAAGTTCTTAGCTGTCTGTTGTCTGTTTCCCACTAACTGGAACGTGAGGTCCATGAGAATAGAGATCTTGCTTGTCTTGTTCTCTATTAGATCCTAAAAGCTAGCCTAGAATAGCCTAGAATAGTTCCTGGCACAGAGCAGGTGTGCAGTAAATATTTGTTGATGAATAAAGTTCCACAAATGTCTATTGAGCACCCACTCTATGCCAGCCCCTGTGCTGGGCACTAGGAAATTGTAAGTCAATTTACAATGTACTGTGCTGCCGGCCATATTTCATTTAATCTTTGTAAGTGCCTCATTAAGAGGGAACTGATATTCTTTCCATTTTGTGAACTAGAAAATGGAGACCAGCAGTATCAATAACCTGTGACTGTAGTTTATATTGCCAATTATTTTCTGCCCCAGTGACAGCAGGCTCGGCCACATGGCTCACTTTGGCCAAGAAAATAGGAGAGAAGCAACACTTGCAAGAAGTTGTAAAAGTTGTCGTGCGGTCCCGCCGGTGTTCTTTCTCCTCTGCCATGAGAACGTGGCCACTCCTTCAGCCCGGATCCCGGAAAGATGGAGATGTGTGAGTCAGAGCCTCATCCGACAGCAGCTGATGTTTACCCCGAGTGAGAAACAAACCGTGAGTGCTCTAAGCCGCTGGGGACCGGGCTTGCTCCCACACCATAACTTCGCAAAAGCTGATGGAACGCATTGGCTTAAGGATTTTAAGAAGGGCATGCTTTCTGGGGGGCACATCTGTGGTTAGCTAGAGATGCCTTAAAGAGGTGGGAAGATGCCAGGCAGCAGTTCATAGTCCCTAAAACACTCACGTATTGTCCTGCTGAACTGGTGCCCCCCAGGTTTTCAGTCTGCCCGGCCCCCGCCGCCACCCCCCGCCACCACCCCCCGCCGCCCCAGTCTCCTCTTCCCATGGCTTTTGGCTTTTCTCGCTGGTCTCCCGTGCTCTTCCTGACTTTATCCTGTGCTCACCACTAGAGCAGGCATGTGGGAAAATCACTTGACCTTCAAACCTCAGTTTCCCCATCTGTAAGAGGGAGGCTGACAATACCTGTCTGGATTATATTTAGGATTAAGTGAGTTAACATGGGGAAGTGCTTAGCCCTCCACGGTGTGCACTGAATGGATGACTAAATAAACAAATGAATAGATCCTGGAGAGTCTGGAGCTAGAAGCTTCCCTGGCCCATGAAGCGGTCTTTGGGTCTGGGCTATTCCAATCCACACTCTTTGGGCTTGAGCCCCTCCAGAAAGGCTGATAAAGTGAGCGTTTCTGAACCTACAAAAGTGAGGTGGCGGTGACCCCAGCAAAGGGCAGCCCTCCCAACAAGCATCATTTTGAAGCAGGTGACAGCCTCATCTGCCCTGAGGTGGGGGTTGGGAGGTGAGAGTCTGTTAGAGCCCCCGACCAGAGGGACGCCGCCCTGGCACAGCTGTTCTCTTCTGAGTGCTACTCCTTGGGAGGCAGGCTCCTGGAGCAGGGCAATTGATTTCTGTATGGCAGACACAAAGGCCCACGCAAGGTGGGACCTGGAGAGATGCTGCGACAGTCAGTCAGTTCCAGGCTGGGGTTTGGCCTATATCCTTTTCAAAGAAGGCAGCACATCAGCGACTTGGTACCCTTGGTGTATGCCAAAAAGCCAGGCACCGAAAGATGCTCCTCCTTGTCAATTAACGGAACCGCGAATTCAGCTGGAGGAGCATACACGTGCTGCGGAATCATCGAACAGTGTCAGGTCAACCTAAAATCCCAGGACTATGCAAGACGTGGGAATCATGGAGATGAGAGAAGGAGACTAATAATTTTTGAGCATCTTCTATGTCCAGGGCATCTTGTAAGCATGATTTCCTTTAATTCTCACAATAACCAGGCAAGGTGGGTATGATGACTTTCCGAGGCAGTCGAAGGAACAGAGGCCTGGAAAGGCTGAGTACGGTCTAGGGCCGCAGAGCCAGGAAGGGTCAGGGCCTGGGCTCAAACCAGGACGATCTGATCCCAGGAACTGTGCCTTCCAGAAGCAGGTGCCTCCCACACCTGTGTGTAGTTTCCTCATGGTGACAAGGCCACACAGAAGGGCTGGCCTTGGGTTACACCGAGTTCTGCTGGGATCAGAACTGGGCCAAGCCCAGTGAGTTCCCGGGGGAGGTGCCTGCTTTTGTTGAAGTGTGTGTTCACATCTGAGTAGAGGAGAGGCTGCCTGTGGGAAAAGGGTTACAGGTCAAACTGTGTTCCTCAGAAAAGATATGCTGGAGTCCCAACCCCAGGTGCCTCTGCATGTGACCTTATTTGGAAACAGGGTCTTTATAAGGGTAATAAAATGAAGATGTGGCCATGGGGTGAGCCCTAAGTCAATCTCCTCGTGCTGTTATCAAAGGGAAATTTGGAGGCAGAGACTGCCACGTGCTTAGGGAATGATGTGGAGAGGCACCGGGAGAAGGCTGCGGCCAGGCAGAGGACAGGCCAAGGCACGCCACGGACTGCCGCCACCAGGAGAGTGGCAACAGAAAGGGGGCCTGTGCTGCATTCTCCCTGACGCCCTCAGAGGGAACTGAGCCTTCTGATGCCTGTATCCCAGGCTCCCAGAACTGGGAGACCATCAGCTTCTGGTATTTTAAGTCACCCAGTCTGTGGCTCCCTGTTAGGGCAGCCCCAGGGAACTAGTACAGGGGACATCGTGGTGCACTTGGTTCCCCTCTGCTGTTGGAACCCCTCATCTTGGTTCCCAGTGACGACAGCCCTCTTCCTCTGCAAAATCAGGGCCCTGTAGCAAACAGAACAGCTCAGCTTCTGGCCGAGGGCTTTGGTGATGTTTCTGGTAACACCAGTATTCGCACCGGAAGTCGCCCCCCGTCCCCCGCCTCTGCCCCCAAAGAGCTGTGGTAAAGATCGTGTTCTTATCGTATCACATTGTAAGTGCCGCTGTGTTGCCCAGGGTATAGATGAACACTCCGCAAGGCCTGGAGACCTGGGCATTCCTCCCGCAGAGAAATCACGGGAAAGACACGTGCTCACTCCCAACCCTGTCCCACTCCCAGGGTTATTTACAAACTCTTTAACATTTGCAATTTTAAGGAATTAATTGATTGTCTATTAATATTGAAGCATCTGTGTTTATTTTTCCATGTGGTAATGATCACATGCTAAGAACGTGGCAAACACCGCTATGCTCTAATGGTAAACAGCGGAACAGCATCACCACAGACCGCAGCAGATTGGTCGCTGAAATTCACCCTCTTACCGACTGTCATTTAGGCATCTAGACGAAATCAGTGATAACCACCCTCCTGCTTCAGCTCATCTGCAGACTCTGAGGGGTCCTGGTTTTGTGTAACATCATTTCCAATAACTTTGACCTTCTTAGAGGAAGAAGCCAAGATTAATGAGCCACATGAAAACACTAATTTCTATATATTAGAGATGATGAAATATGTCGATGGCTTAAACAAAGCTAATCTATGAGATTAAGAATATAGAGGCTGGGCGCGGTGGCTCACGCCTGTAATCTTAGCACTTTGGGAGGCTGAGGCGGGCAGACCACAAGGTCAGGAGATCGAGACCATACTGGCTAACATGGTGAAACCCCGTCTCTACCAAAAAATACAAAAAAATTAGCCAGGCGTGGTGGCAGGCACCTGTAGTCCCAGCTACTCGGGAGGCTGAGGCAGGAGAATGGCCTGAACCCAGAAGGCGGAGCTTGCAGTGAGCCGAGATCACGCCACTGCACTCCATGCTGGGTAACAGAGCGAGACTCCGTCTCAAAAAAAAAAAAAATATATATGTGTATATATATATATATATATATATATATATATATATATATATGTGACAATTTTAAGGGCAGGGACTCCATGTTGAGTTGTTGGCAGCTGACTGAATCCTGATGCTTCCCTGTGCTAGGGGAGGGGGCTGGGGGCCGTATAACCAGCGGGAGAGGATGCCTCCTGTTATGGACTGAATGTGTCCCTCCCAAATTCAGATGTCAAAACTCTAACCTATAATGTGATGACATTAGGAGGTGGGGCCTTTGGGGGGTAATTAGGTCACGAGGGTGGGGCCCTCATGTGGGATTAGTGCCTTTATAAAGGAGACCCCAGAAAGCTCTCTCACCCTCTTTCCTGCCTCATGACGCTATAATGAGAAGTTTTCTAGAACTGTGAGGGCTACGTTTCTCTTGTCTGCAAGTCACCCAGCCAATGGCCTTTTGTTACAGCAGCGCAAATGACTAAGACATGGCTCGCATCAGAAATCTTGAGGGAGGCACCAGCCCACTGCTCAGAGCTGTGTGACCTCAAGCTAGTGACCCAGCCTCTCTGAGTCCTCCATTCCTCCTCTGCCTAGCTCTCCAGGGGGCAATGAGGCCAAACAGAGATGTGGTAAGTGCTTTGCCGACTGTAGAGTGCTCCACAAGTGTCAGGAAGCACAAGGCCCAGGGGACTTGGCCAGACTGAGCAGTGGACACCTTCTGAGGCAAACAACCAGTGTATCCCGCTAACTTGTGGGTTCACTTTTTCCTCCCAGAGCTTCCTACAGTAAAACAAAGCAGAGAGCCACAGGCCCCTGGATGACACTTGGCAGCCACCCCCACCCCCGCCAAGCAGCAGGTAAGAGCTGTGGGACCCCTTGTTCCTAAGCCACACACTATTCCTGTCCTTGACGGGGACCATGGCTAGTTAAGGCGATAATTGCAGCCATCCTTATCAATACAGCAATGACAATTTAGAGGCAGAGGTGGCAGAAACACACTCAGTAGTGGTCCCCACAGACAAGTGAGTACACCGGCACCCATCTGTTGAGCTGCAGACAAATTCCCCTGGGAAGGACAAGACGTGGTCAGGAGCAGAGCTCAGTGGAAAGGCCACCCCCTCTGCTGGGCAGCCTTTGTGGAGAGGGTTCGGAAAGCCCATCCCCCTGCAGGTCTCACAGCTTCTGGTGGCTCCTATTTACTTTGGGGCACACACGAGGATCTGATGGACAGGGCTGGAGGTGCAGCTCCTGTGCCTCTCTGTAAGGGTCCCTCCCTCGTGTACATATGAACACACGAGAGTTGTGGCTAAATGGATCCTTGACAGCCCCAGGGGGGACAATGAAGCAGTGAGCCTGCTGGGCCTGCCCCCTGGAGACCATGCCTCCCTGCCTGCCAGGAAGACCAACCTCCTGCCCCTGCCTGCTTCTGTCATCCTCCAATCAGCTTCTCAGTGAGGTCCCATCGGTCCCTTCTCCAAAGGCTTTCCGGCTGCCAGCCGATGCTGTCTGCAGTGGGTCTGCTACTGACTTACCATTCTGACCTTGTGAAATGGAGAGAAGCTCTCGGCGCTGCTGGTCCCCAGGAGTTAGATCTGTTCTCCTGTGAGATCGGCTAAACCTGGCCTTCTTACTGGCGCGGGGTGACGGGCTTGTTTTCCTCTTTTGCTGGTTCTCTTTATCCTTGGAATTGGTGCTTTTCACATTGTGTTTACCCTCACATTTGGCTTAATCCAGTGAGGTGCTGTTTCTCATTTTCCCCCCCGACTTTTGGCTTTGGGGAGGTGGCGAGGGCGTGCACAGGTGGAACAGAACAGGTTTTATGTGAACAGAAGCTGCTCCTTTGGGGTTGGTGGCCCTCCCGGCCACTCCCCTACACAATGCGTGTGGAGGGAAAGCAGACGCCCATCGGCAGCACAGGGATGATGAAACTAACCGCTAAAGAGACACTACTAAGTGCCCCCACTTTATTTTTCAAAAGTATGGACATATTATTGCTTTATGTCCCTGAATTCATATTTTTTTCTTTAGTCTCTGTTGGCTATTTCTGGGTTGCTCTGTGTGATTTTCAGGAGCATATTACATACTCCAGAGACAGAGACCCCATTGTAGTAAACGAAAATTCTCCCCCAGGGTGAAACAGTGACAACAGTCCCCAATTAAAATCAAAGTGTGTGGGGGCTCCATGACATTCTCAAGGTTTGATTAGGTGAGAAAGAGAAATTGGGACAGGCTCTTCATCTCCAAACCAGCTCTAAAAATGTTCTACTCCTGTCCCAGCCTCTGCTAATTTGGGTCTTGAAATGAAAGGGGCAGGGAAGGGATTGGGAAGTGTGGGTGGAGGCAGACAACTCTTCAGAAATGGGAGGCACCAAAAGAAGATCCAGAGGGTCTGGGGTGCGGCTGCAGCCCAGCAGCTCCTGGCAGTGGGACTGGGGCAGCCTGAGAGCAGGATGAGACTGAGGGGCAGGGGTGGAAAGGCAGAAGCAAGGGATGGCCCGGCTGGACCTGTTCCCCTTCTTCCCATCTGCCTGGCCCAGCCAATGGCACCAACTGTGAGGCAGTGTGTAGCTCTAAGCAAGACCATGGTTCAAGGTCTGGCTTTGACCCTGACTACTGCCTGTGTGGCCCTGGACAAGTTCCTTAGCTCATTTTAGTCTCTGTTTTCTCATATACAATGTGACGATCTAACCTTCCCGGTAGGGTTGTTAAGAGGATTAAAACATGCTCGTGACATTGTTAGTGTTTGTTAAGTGTCAACTACTATTATTATTATTAAACCGGAATTCTGGAGCTCATCCCTATTTAGAGATAGAGTCTCACTATGTTGTCCAGGGTGGCCTTGAACTCCTGGGCTCAAGCAATCCTCCTGCTTCAGTCTCATGAGTAGCTAAAACTACAGGCCCCACTGCACCTGGCTTCAACCCCATTTTTAACATTTATTTTATTTTTAAGGTTTTCTTTTTTTTTTCTTTTACCTTAAGTTCTGAGATACATGTGCAGAATGTGCAGGCTTGTTACGTAGGTATACATGTGCCATGATGCTTTGCTGCACCTATCAACCTGTATTTTAGGTTTTAAGCCCCGCATGCATTAGGTGTTTGTTCTAATGCTCTCCCTCCCCTTGTCCCCTCCCCACCCCCCAACAGGCCCCAGTGTGTGATGTTCCCCTCCCTGTGTCCATGTGTTCTCATTGTTCAACTCCCACTTATGAGTGAGAGCATGTGGTGTTTGGTTTTCTGTTCCTGTGTTAGTTTGCTGAGAATGATGGCTTCCAGCTTCATCCATGTCCTTGCAAAGGACATGATCTCATTCTTTTTTATGGCTGCATAATATTCCATGGTGTACATGTGCCACAGTTTCTTTATCCAGTGTATAATTGACAGGCATTTGGGTTGGTTCCAAGTCTTTGCTACTGTAAATAGTGCTGCAATAAACATACGTGTGCATGTGTCTTTATAGTAGAATAATTTATAATCCTTTGGGTATATACCCAGTAATGGGATTGCTGGGTCAAATGGTATTTCTGGTTCTAGATCCTTGAGGAATCGCCACACTGTCTTCCCCAATGGTTGAAGTAATTTACACTCCCAGCAACAGTGTAAAAGCATTTCTATTTCTCCACAGCCTCGCCAGCATCTGTTGTATCCTGACTTTTTAATAATCGCCATTCTGGCTGGCATGAGATGGTATCTCATCGTGGTTTTGATTTGCATTTCTCTAATGACCAGTGATGATAGGCTTTTTTCATATGTTTGTTGGCTGCATAAATGTCTTCTTTTGAGACGTGTCTGTTCATATCCTTCGCCTACTTTTTGATGGGCCAACCCCCATTTTTAACTAATCTCTGAGTCCTGGAACTTTTTCCACTTCTCTTATGTCTGTCAACTTTTTCCCATCTCTCCTTTCTCACCCTTCTGCCTCTAGCTTACGTCAAGCCACGGCCTTGGCTTGCTGGTTGCTCGAGGGAGGTCTGTTTGGTGGTGAGACGTCAAGAGCATTGCCAGCAGTAATATGCAGCATGGTGGCAAAGGACTAGAAGTAGAAAGGAGTGAGGTCATTATTTGCCTAAACTAGGGTGACAGCCGGGTGAGTGGTACAGAGCGGGCAGGAATGAGACCCAGAGAAGACAGAACAGACCAACAGGGCCCAGGAACTGGATGTTGGGGAGAGAGGAAGAGGAAAGACCCAAGTGGCGTCTGGAGCTACTGGTGCCATTACCAGAAAGAGAAAAGCAGAGGAGAGGCTGGGAAGATGATGAGCTCATGATTTGTTGTGGGGTTCAAAACAGAAAATGTGTGCAAAAGTGCTTTGATATCTACAAATTGCTACACAAATGCAAGTGATTATTTCATGACATTTAGATAACATGATAATCTTATTAATGATAATCCTGGCAACGATACATGCTTTAGGGACTGATATAGCTATTAGGCACATTCTGTTAGGAATTGAACAAAATAATTCATCTGTCCAAAGTAGTACACGTATAATCCAGAAATAGAATCCAAGATTCTCATCCAACCCTGCCATCCATTTGTTCAATCCCTTTGAACCTATATGTGAAAAATTCTTCCAGTGTGTGCTCTCTCATGCCCTGTTTTGGCTAAGAGGGTGGGCTATCTGAATCTGAATCCCAGCTTTGCCACTTAGTAGCTGGGTGACCTTAGGCAAGTTGCTTAGACTCTCTGTGCCTGAATTTCCTTTAAAGGCGCATTATACCTATAAAGTACGTATAATAAAATAAAATAGGTATAATAATAGTCCCTACCTCAAAGGATTGTGGTGGGGACTGAGTGAGTTAATACATGTAAAGTACTTTTAAAATAACTCATGGCACATAGCATGCACCCAGGAGTCTCCTAATCGTCCTCCCTGTCCTGCCTTGGCCTCTGCAGTCCGTTCTCAACACAAGAGCCAGTAGGAGCCTTTGAAACACTCCACAGAGCACATCACGCTTCTGCTCAAAAGCTCCAATATGCCCTTTCCCGCAGGGTGGGACCATAGGCCTTATGGTGGCCTAGAAGCCTCATCCCCTTACCCCTCTGCCATCCTCTCCTGCCACATCCCATTCCACACATGCTGGCCGCCTGCCAGTCTGTGAATCTCTCAGCCATAAGCCAGCTAGCTGTACCCCCGACCTGGAAGACACATCCCAGAGATCCTTATGGCAAACTCTTTACCTTCTTCGGTCTTCGCCCAAGTGTTACCAAACCGTAAGCCTCTTCCAGTCGCCCAGCCCCTTCTATCCCTTCCCGGCTCTGGTATCTTCATGGCACATGTTTGTTGCTAATAATATGCTACATAACTCACTTATTTATTGTGTTTACTGTGGATTTTCTCTCTCCGGTCCGTGAGAATGCAAGCTCCACAAGGGCAGGGCTTTAAAAAAGTATCTTATTAACGAATGCCTCTTAAGCACCTAGAGCAGAGGCTGCATTCAGTAATATTAGTGAAATTGAAGAGATGTTTGTTTCTAATAGTAAGAATATCTCCAAGCTGTTTCTAATAGTAAGAATATCTCCAAGCTGTTCATCCATCCTTGGGAACTCAGAAAGCATCTCCCACAGACACCATCCCTGGATGGCAGTCTGGCCTGCCTGCGGCAGGCGTGGATGGATGTGCTCAGGTCTCACCTTTGCTAGACCTGCCGGTCCCTCCTCCTGGAATGGCCTTTCTGTTCATCTTTGTAAGTCCATGTCTTTTATTTTGAAGGGGTAGATTTTCCAGGCTACCAATAGCTTAGACTTCTAAGTCTGTCCAAGAGGCTTTTGCTAAATCAATTAGAATGCTTTCTAAATCCCAAATATTCTATAGGGGGACTCATCTTACTAGATTCAGAACTAGAACAATCTTTATGAATAATAACCTGTGAGATGACCCAAAATGTAAAAACGAAGTAGACTTTTCATATATTGTCACCTCAGCAGCAATATAGACTGATGATTTGCTAATTTTAATTGACGGTTGATTTAATCAGTGATAGTGAATAATAAAAAATGCTCATCTTATCAACAGACAAGCTGATATATACTGCTCAACATTGCTTTTACCACCTTTATGATGTGCTGAAAGCTTTTCAGTTAAATAAATGAACCATGATATAAGAACAGAAATGTGAAGGAAATATAATTTATCCGATTTCTGACTGTGCAACTGTTTAAGAACTCTATGCAGACCCAACAGGATATTGGACCAAAAAACGTACAGGCAGTATTTTAATGATTTAGCTTGACCATGTGGCATCTGCCATACATAATGCAATAATACTCCTTTATCTTTGCCCTCTGTGATTCAAGTTCTAGGATGTCTCCTCCTCCATGCTATAGGAGTTCTGTGTTTACAAGAAAGATGTAGTATACAGTATAGGGGACAAGTTCTCAACTGCAGCCCTAGTGAACACGTAGACGGTGGTATGTTATAATGGAATTTTACTGTTTGAATAGCTGCAAATGCCTGAAGCCATAATTCTGCAATAATTACCATATCTTTGAGAACTTTCTGCACCATCAGTGAGAAAACAGAATTCAAAATTACCAAACAAAATCATCTTGAAAACCTAGTTTCTTCTGAGCCAATTTTCTCTTTTCTAAGCCTGCCTGCTGATAAAAGGTGGCACATATCTTCTGGCTTAACAATAATATGCTTGGCCTCCTTAAATTACTTGGTGTTCTGCAAGAAATAAAAATCTCTCAAATCTACACACTAAACCCTTTTATCACATCTCAGAATCTACTCTATTAAAAATAAAGTAAAACCTAGAAAACCAGTCCCCAGTATATTGAATATGTAACTGATTCACCCAGTTGTTCTCAGTATTCCCTTTCTCTTTAAAATGAAAGCACACAAAAGGAGGGACTCCTTGTATATTCAGGGCAAACCATTGTCACAATGAACTCATTTGGAATGGATTTTGGAAGCTCTTCAGTCTCCAGATTTCTATGACACTCTATTTTTCAATACGATCCATTTACTTGTCACTCAGTCTTTTTCTTTTATTCAGTCTGCACTGGTCACCTAACCATCACCTACTGTGTCACTGCATAAAATCTGAAACTGCAGTGATTCAAATTTCTGACCCACCACTAGTTTTGTACATCCTGTATTCAAGCTCATCAAGTTCTCTCTTGCCCCCAGCTTTTGAACATGCTGTCCTCTCTGCCTAGAAAGCCCTCTCTCCCCTAACTCATTTTGCTGGACTGACTCCTAGTTATCCTTCAGGATTCTATTTGGACTTCATTTCCTCCACGCAGCATCCCCTGAGGCCCTAATCGGAGCTGGTTGTCCCGCTTTATCAGGCTCTGCCACACCACGCTGTGCTCAAATTTATAGGACCTAAATATTGACAGTAACTACCCACTTAGCTGTCTGTGTCTCCACTGAACTAGCTCCGAAGGCAGTAAGCACACCCATCCATCCTGCTCACTATGGTGTCCTCAGTGTCTAGCAAACTGCCTACTCATCATAGGTGCTTAATACATATTTAAAGAATGAACACACCAGTAATTTGACAGTAAGCAAACTGTAAAATATTTTTATAACCGCCTTATAAAGTAGGATCCTCAAGTGCCAAAGTACTTAAGAGAATAACATCTAATGAAGTATTTTTAACCTAAGATAATTACCAAGTCAATCAGAATACAGCCACTCTTAATTTAAGCCAACTTTGTTCTCTTCATTTAATGGAATTGGCTAAATAGAGGCTCAAATAAGTGCTTGTTAATTATACTAATTAACAAATGTTTGCATGGTTGCATTAAAATATATGAGCTCTCTAAAACCTAGTTAAAATCTGAGGTTACCATGTGCATGTAGTGAGCTCAGAGTAAGTAAGGTAGTTTCTTAAAGGGATAGTTGTTGCTGCCTCAGTTATTTGTGGGGTTTCTCTGAGTATTCAAGACACCCAATGCTGCAACTTTTGGTTAGGGGGATGGGGAGGGAGGAATGCTTATCTCTGGAGGCTTTTTCCCTTCTCCATTCTTAGCAATGTACAGCTAAGAAATTTTACAGCCAGTACAAAAAGGGGATGCTGTATCCCAGTAGTAACTCCCTAGGAATCCACTGGCAGATTTCCCAGATGTATGAAGAAAGCCCATGGAAGATGTCTTCATATTTAATTCTTATTTTATTTTATAAAGAAGTTTATTTGCATTCCCTTTTGTATTCTCAGGGCCTGGTACGAGCCTTACAATAGTAGGTACTCAGACAGGCACCTGATAGGTAAATGATCGCAGAAGCCACCTTTCCCTAAAGGCATTTGCTGAGTCCAACAAATTCCAACTTCCATTTTGATGGTGAAAGAACAGAAATCACCTTCATAAAAGGTGGGAAGTCTAACACGAGATGCTCCTTACAATAAAGGGAAATCTAATAGCTATGCAGTGAGAATGAATTGGAGATAAACCAACTCTTATGAGGAATTTAAGTCTGGGATTAACCTAGGTATTCTAGAGAACTTTAAGCCGTGACCTAAATTGACTTAACCTATGTGGGAGTACACTAGGCACTTGGCAGAAATAAAAAGCAGGTTCTCGTATTATTCATACAAATAATTTTCCAAGTATCATGACCAGCTCATAGTCAAAGATAATCAGGCACACAAGGAAATGCAACACCATGAGCACAAACCAGCAGAGATATCAAATTAACAAAAACTAAGATCTAAACTAACTTTTGCTGTTATTAGTTTATCCATATGCATGAAAATTAGGAAATGTACCTCTCTACTTCTTCATAATAGGAATTAGAATATATTTGGAGCCAAAAGACAGTGAAAATACTGTATACCAAAACTCATGGTAAAATGGTACAGCCACTCTGGAAAATAGTTTGGCAGTTCTTCAGCAAGGTAAACATAATTACCATATGACTCAGCAATTCTACTTCTAGGTATATGCCCAACAGAAGTGAAACACATTCACACAGATGTTCACAGCACCATTATTCACAATAGCCAAATAGTGTAAACAACCCAAATGTCCACCAACTGATGAATGGATAAACAAAACGTGGTATATCCATACAATGGATATTACTCAGCCACAAAAAGAATGTAAGCTACATGCTAAAACATGAATGAACCTCAAAAAAGTATGCTACGAAGTCAAACACAAAAAGCTATATTATATAATTCCATTTGTATGAAATAGCCAAAATAAGCAGGTTCATGGAAACAGACAGTAAATGAGTGGTTGCTGGGGCTTGGAGGAGGGGGGTGTGGGGAGCAGCTGCTAATGGGGATGAGGTACCTTTTTGTGATGACCTAAATGTTCTGGAATTAGATAATGGTGATGGCTGTGCAACCTTGTGAATACAGTAGAAATCACTGAATTATATACCTTAAAAAGGTAAATTTTATGGTATGTGAATTATATTTCAACTTTAAAGGCTTTGTGGGATGCAGCTATACATTTAAGCTATTTAATCTTAAATACATATATTAAATGATTATTACTAGTTTGCTGGTAAGAATACTCTCTAGTTTACTTAATATTCTTTATTTTTCTTTTTTTGGACAGGGTTTTACTCTGTCTCCCAGGCTGGAGTGCAGTGGTGCGATCACAGCTCACTGCCACCTCCATCTCTCAGGCCCAAACAATCCTCCCATCTCAGCCTCCTGAGTAGCTGGGACCACAGGCACATGCCACCATGCCCGGCTAAATTTTCTATTTTTTGTAGAGACACAGTCTAGCTATGTTGCCCAGGCTGGTCTCGAACTCCTAGGCTCAAGTGACCCTCCCACCTCGGCCTTTCAAAGTGCTGGGATTACAGGCATGAACCACCGTGCCCGGCCTAATATTCTTACCAGTAAGAATTCTATACTAGTTTGGTTACTATTCTTAATAGTAAAGATATACTTGAAAATATCTGCAATAAACATTGACTTATAAAACTGTAGCAAATTTTAAAAGAACCAAGTAGAATTCTAGAAATAAAAAATCTAATAACCTAATTAAAATCTGAGGGATGATTTGACAATGGACTAGACATAGCTGAAGAGAGAAATGATTAACTGGAAGGTAAGTTGGATAATAATTACCCTTGATCATGTAATTAGTATGTTCACCATAAGTGTTGTGAAGTGTCAAAATGTCTGCAACTTACCTTCACAAAGTTCAGTAAAACATGTCTCTCTATTGATATAATGCATATATAAACATGTTTAGCAACAGAGGGAGATAAGGTGAACATGGCAAAATGTTAACAACTGGTGAATCTATGTAAAGGGCATATATTCAATGTACAACTGTATACTCTTGGTTTCCAAACACAACGCGCTATTGTTTAATTCTACCTGGGTGATGGCTTGTTCTCAGTTTCCTTCATTGGCTCTTCAACTTTTCCTTAATCTCTTTGTTATAATCGCCTAGGACTCAGGCCTTCAACTTCTCTCCATGATCATGCTTAGCCTGTTGGTCATTTCATTTCATCTCATAGTTTTAAATAACCACCAAATCCTAACTGCCTGCCTCCATTCCAATCTAGACTCCCTCACAGACTTGGCTTTCACATCCAGGTGCCTACTTGGCTATCTAACAGATAATTGAAATTAACATATCAAAAATTGAATGTCTCTAAATTTTCTTTACCTATAGCCTTCCTCATCTCAGTTGATGGCAAGGTCATCTTGAATTTCTGTTGCTTGGTCCAATACTTTGAGTTTGTCATTGACTCTTCTTTCTCTTATAAATATTTTGTCCAATCCATTAGTGAATCCCTGAACTAATAACTTCTCACTCACCCTCACTATGCCCACCCTGCTTTGAGCCATCATAAGCTCTCATCTGGATATCTGCCACAGCCTGCTAATTGGCTTCCCTGCCTCACCCCATGTTCTTGTACCAGTTCCCCTGCCAAAGCAAGAGCAATCATTTAGAATCAAAGTTGCCGGGCGCAGTGGCTCACACCTGTAATCCTACCACTTTGGGAGGCAGAGGCGGGTGGATCATGAGGCCAAGGGATCAAGACCATCCTGCCCAACATGGTGAAACTACTAAAAATACAAAAATTAGCCGGGCGTGGTGGCGGGCACCTGTAATGCAGCTACTTGGGAGGCTGAGGCAGGAGAATTGCTTCAACCCGGGAGGCTGAGGCAGGAGAATTGCTTCAACCCGGGAGGCAGAGGTTGCAGCAAGCCAAGATCGCACCATTGCACTCCAGCCTGGGCGACAAAGCAAGACTCCATCTCAAAAAAAAAAAAAAAAAAAAAAAAAAAAAAAAGAATCAAAGGTCACATATCATTTTATATCCTAAACCCCTATCCTAATTTTTATTTTCACAGAGTAGAAGCCAAAATCTCTAACAATTTTTTTTTTTTTTTTGAGATGGATTCTCACTCTGTTGCCCAGTGGCTGGAGTGCAGTGGCACAATCTTGGCTCACTGCAAGCTCCACCTCCAGAGTTCAAGCGATTCTCTGCCTCAGCCTCCCGAGTAGCTGGGATTACAGGTGCCCGCCACCATGCCCGGCTAATTTTTTTTTGTATTTTTAGTAGAGACGGGATTTCACCATCTTGCCCAGGCTGGTCTTGAACTCCTGACCTCGTGATCCACCTGCCTCGGCCTCCCAAAGTGCTGGGATTACAGATGTAAGCTGCCACACCAGGTCTCTCTAACAGTGGTTTTTAAGAACCTATGTCATCTGTCATCTTTGCTCCATGACCTTGAACTCCGTCTACTCTCCCCTTTGCTCACTTCACTCCAGCCACACCAGCTTTCTTGCCATTCTTCAACCACGCCAAATTCCTCCAGCTTTAAGGTCTTTTCACTGACAATTCCTTTATCACTTAATCCAGTCTGCATGATGAAAACCAGTTTCAATTTGTCTGGGAGCAGGACCCTGGCATTAGTATATTTTTAAAATGTTTCGTATGTCTTCAAAATAATCAGGATTATTTTAGCCTCGAGTTGGTAATTGTTGAAACTGAGTGATGGGCACATGGAGCCCATTACACGATTCTCTCAGACAAATATAAAACAAAAGAAAAGCTTCTGTGGTGATTCCAGTGTGCAGCAGGGTTGGGAATCACTGGCCTGTAATCCCCAAACCGGACTGTTTTGCCCATAAATAACAGACATTTCTATTTGAAAGGCTGTCTTAATGAATTAAAAAGATACACAGAAGATGAAAAATATCAAATTTATTTTCTGAAGTAGAATAAAAGGATGCATTTGAATTCACCTTGCAATATACATTGACAGTAAAAACATTTGCCCCATGTCCTTCTTGTTTCCATTTAACTCCTAACACTAGCATCTGGAAGAAAGAAAAGATTTCTGGCCCTTGGTTGCAGAACCTAAAACTTGCAAAAGAATGTGTGAAATGTATACCCCCAAACTCAATCCTCCTAGGTCACCTCAGAGGCTTGTTAACAAGCTCCATACAGTTGAAAGATAAAGAGCTTCTTCCTGCCTCCTTATCCAAAAGCTCTTGAATAGTCATTTGCAGTTTGAGGTCTTACCACAATTTTCACTAATGCTTAACCCATTTGAGGTACAGAGCATGAAAGAATGAAATTCTCTTCTGTTTCAAATGAACTAATATCTAAATCTGAAATTATCAAAGGTGACATCTTTCCCTTTTAAAAAATAAACCACCCAAATGAAAGTATTAGTTTGAAAGATACTTGCTAATAAACCTGACAAGGAAAAATTAAACCATCCCCTTTTTTGCCATAATAATATGAATTTATACAATGCTAACGTAAGTCTTGGGGAAGTGGAACCACACGAGTTCTATCAAAAATAGATATTGTGATGATTAGATCTGATCTGAGCTCCCCTCAGAAGACTGGGGGACCTGGGAAGACTGGCTTATTTGTGAACTATTCAGACTCATGCTCATCAAGATGTTATTGATGACATTAAGTTCTTGGATCACTGTGCTCAGATCTTCATGTAATCTAGCGATCGCACGTTTTACCTCCCTTAAAAGAACACTAATGGAATTCTTTGCTTCAGGTTCCTGGGGGAAGTCTTTGGTTGACTGAAAACCAGAACAGGACAGAGGGATGAACTGGTCTACATTTTGGGTGGAAAACTCCCCCCAGTGACTACTAGAAATGTGACTTATATTCTTTTTAGCAGAATCAGAGTTATTTGGAAGAATTCCCAGTAGATTGAGGCTATCATTTTCCTCTACATCAGAAGACACTGGGCCCCTAGAAGCAAAGGAGTGATGCAGCTTGGCTGTCTTATCTTCATCTTTAAAGGAGGTAGAAGACAACTGTTGATGGGACAGAGTCCAGAAGGAAGGTCCGGCCAGAATTGGTGATAAGAGATGAGCTGACTTCTCTGGAGAGGCTAAATCAGGAGATGACATGGATAAAGGAGAAAAGGAAGATGCTCCCTCAGAAGCAGTTGAAACTAAAATGTGTAAATGAGAGAAAAAAGATTTATGCAACATACAAATGAGAGTAATAGCTAAAATAATTTTATAATGTAAAAGCCTATCTGGAAGGGCTCAACATAAATAAACTGCTTAGAATTTTAAATGTTAACTATTCATAATAAGCTTAAAAAAACCCAAAGCAGGAAACTAAGAAAATCTACAGATGTATTATATATCAATAATACCATGGAAATGAAACTAAAATAGAATTATCAATATTCATCTTGACTCATCTTGACTCAAACCCTGCCCAACATATTTTTACACTAAACTTAATCAGAGAGAGTAGAAAAGTATTAAACCCCATTCTACTGACTGCCAGCATTTTAAGTTGGTATTTAAAGTAGAAAGTGAGAAACCTGTAACAGATTCCTTCAACTTTTTAATTTTTTTTCCTGTAGAGATTATTATGGCAAAATGAACTACCAACTACAAGTACCCAAAAGTTAGTGAAATAAATATTTTTCTGTCTATAGTGAAATATAATCAAGACTGAAGTCCAACACATCTGAAATCTAGAATACTTTAGCACACGTATATAATCATTTTTTTTCTCACCAAGAAACTAAGTGAAGTAAAAAGCATTCTAAGCCTTTTTTTCCATAAAATTACATATTTGGGAAAGTTTTTACTTCCTTTCTGGCAAAATCATATTAAATCTCCCACACTTTATTCTAAATCATTTCCCAAACTTTTCTGAGAAACACTGTGTTCCTTCAGATGTTAGAAGATGTTTTGTAAAAACAGGCTTCATAGTCAATACACCTGGGCAGTTGCATACTGTGCCTCCCAAAAGGAGATTAACAGTGTCCATCAGTGCATTTAAAGTTCTGAGAAATCTTCGGTAATTTATTCAAGTGTCTTCCAAGCTTTCTTAAACATGGAACTTTTTTCTCTTCTTCCTGGAATATCTATTTACATTCACTTATGATATGTGATACAAATTGGTGGAATCCAGTTCTAAACTCTTTGCAACGAACTCTGAACTTACTACTTAAAAAAAAATTCCATTGTAAGTCACAGAAGAGGGAAATTGATGCTTACTAATGAGAACACATGGCTTATTTTTCTACATTATTTTATTTTGCTTTACATATTCATGTCCCTTCTAAACTAAATTGGACCTCCTGTAAAAACTATGGCCAGGGCAGGCAGCTTCTATTTTTTGCTTCAAAGCTTTCCATGGCCTATCTCCACTTCTCAGGAAAAATTCCAATCACAAAACTTTTTTGGGGATGAAATATATTCTCAGCCGATGCAGCAGCAGGGACATGAAAAGGAAAGCAGGAACTTCATCAGCACATGGTCAAGAAAAGCCAAGAACAGTTAGGAATCTAGGTCAGGCTAATCGAGACAGACTATCTTTGGATTAAAAAGGTGGAAAGATGGTAGTGGGCATGTTAATGACGATAGCCATGAGAAGTAAAAGTTTTGAGAACCTGCATGTCTGAAAATGTCTGTACTCTGCTTTTAGGCTTAATGATCGTTTGGTTAAAGAATTCTAGGTCAGAAATCCTTCTTTCAGAATTTTGAAGGCCACATTTCACTGTCTTCTTGTTTCTAGTATTGCTGTGCAGGGGTTGGAGCCATTCGAATTCTTATTCATTGCATGTAACCTGTTTTATCTCTGAAGCATTACAGAATTTCCTCTTTGTTTCAGAGGGTTTGGAAACTTCTCAGTGATGTACCCTGAAGTGAGACTATTTTCACTCACTGAGGTCAACTCAATCATGTGACCTATTTCCTTCAGCCCCAGAAAATTATTCTAAATGATTTAATCACTTATTTTCTCCTCTGTGTTTTCTCTGTTGTCTCTTTCAAAACCTCCTCTTGTCAGATGTTAGATCTCTTGGACTAGTCTTCTAATTTTCTTACTTTTCTTTCCCATTTTCCCCGCCTCCATCTTTCTGCTTTACTTCAATGTAGATTTTATCAACTTTAGCTTCCAATCCTCTCATTGATTGCTTATATTTCTGCTATTATATTTTTAAATTTCCAAGAGCTCTTTTTTTTGGTTTTCAGAAATTCTTTTTGTAATGTCTTGTTCTTGTTTCACATACTGTATTCTCTTATTTCTTTGAGGATAATAAGCTTCTTTGAAAAACTTTTCCTTTCCCTTCATAGTGTATGTTTCCTCAAAATTATTTTTCTTTGTTTTTGTTTCAATGTTTTATATTAGAAGTTTTCTTTTTTCAGATGTTGGTACCCCTTGCTGCCCGCTTATGTTTAAGTGTGGAGGATTAAAAGTTGAAAGGAACGTTGAGTGTGTGTATGGCACTTGTCAACTTTGAGCTTCAGTGAATAGTCATTTGTTGGGGAACCACTAATATCAGTATCTTTAGTTCTTTCCTCTAGGCCAGTTAGGTTCTAGGAGAAAAGTTATCCTATCTCCTACCTAGAGGGTAAAGGTCTAGCTACCAGGGTGCTGGGAGGCCAGCAGGGGGAGGGGGCTGCAGCATTCAGCATGTGGTTTACATATCATCACATAATCCTGTGGTTTTGGTGACAGTGCCCACACTTGTAACTCTACCTAGCATCCCTCATTTCAGAGACCTTTCATCTGCCCTCTCCAGAAAACAAATCTTCAGACTCTGCCATGGGTTGCAGAGGTAGGTGGGTATTCATGGTTAATTGTTCACCTGTCTAAGGACTTAACCACTTTTCAAATGCCTGTTTTGTTTTGTTTTTTCTTTTTTTTAGAAACAGGACCTTGCTCTGTCACCCAGACTGGAGTGCAGTGGTGCAGTCATGACTCACTGCAGCCTCAACCTGGGCTCAAGCGATCCTCCCGCCTCAGCCTTCCTAGTAGCTGAGACTACAGGTGTGGGCCACCAATGCCTGGCTCTTTTCTTGAATTTTTTGTAGAGAAGGGCTCTTGCTACATTGGCAAGGCTGGTCTCAAACTCCTGGCCTCAAGTGATCCTCACTCCTCAGCCTCCCGAAGCTGGGATTACCTCTGTGAGCCACTGTGCCCCCTCAAATAGTTGTTTTTAAATTCTCTTTGTTTAGCACCAGATGGAGTAGGTTTTATAACCCCGTTTCAAATATGAGGCAAGGGAATCTGAAAGAGGCTAAAAATCTTTCCCAAGACCACAAGGCTAGAAAAGGGGAAAGATGGGATTCAAATTCAAGTTTCTCTGATGTCATAGAATATGATCTTAATCACAATTCTATACTTCTACACAATTCTATTACATTAGAATTATTTTTACTGTATTATAGAATTATGTTAAATTTTGAGTATAAAATTTAGAAGGCAGGTAACCAGGACAGTGAGGGGACTTGACATCTTATCTATAATAAATGGTTGATGGATATGCTAATCTTTACCCGAAAAGAGATGGTAGAAGGATGAGAGGCTATATCTAATTATTTGAAGACAATCAGAAAACCTTAATAATAATACCTTCCATTACTCTTAGTTTGCAGGAGCTAGAACTGGGATCAACAGGTAGAACTTACAGAAAACAGATTTTAGCCCACTTCATTAAAAAAAAAACTTTCTCATTGTCATGGTTCTTCACACACGAAAATAATAATGGTGAGTGATGCTCAGAGCTCATGCACAGCCTGAATAACCATTTGGTAGGGATATTTGAGGCAAGATCGGTGCATCACTTTACAGAACTTATCTATTCTTGATGAGATTCTAGGACCCGGCTGGGCATGGTGGCTCACACCTGTAATCCCAGCCCTTTGGGAGGTCGAGGTGGGAGGATAGCTTGGGCCCAGGAATTTGAGAACAGCCTGAGCAACATGGCGAAACCCCTTCTCTACAAGAAGTACAAAAATTAGTTGGGCATGGTGGTGTGTACCTGTGGTCCCACCTACTTGGGAGACTAAAGTGGGAGGACCACCTGAGCCTGGGAGTTTGAGGCTGCAGTGAGCCGTGGTCATGCCAGGGCGCTCCAACCTGGGCAAAAGGGTGAGACCCTGTCTCCAAAAAAAAAAAAAAAAAGATTCTAGGACTCAAAACATATCTGTTAAAGTACTAAGAAAAGACTCTAGAAATAGAATTTGGGTTCCTTCTAGTCAGAAAGAATAACTTAATAAGAAACATTTTAAGTAGGCCAAGACGGAAATAATATTTGAGTCAAATATTAATATCATTTTCTTTTCTTTTTTTTTTTTGAGACGGAGTCTCGCTCTGTTGCCCAGGCTGGAGTGCAGTGGCGCGATCTTGGCTCACTGCAAGCTCTGCCTCCAGGTTCACACCATTCTTCTGCCTCCACCTGACGAGTAGCTGGAATTGCAGGTGCCCGTCACCACGCCCGGCTATTTTTTTTTTGTGTTTTTAGTAGAGACGGGGTTTCACTGTGTTAACCAGGATGGTCTCAATCTCCTGACCTCGTGATCTGCCTGCCTAGGCCTCCCAAAGTGCTGGGATTACAGGTGTGAGCCACTGAGCCTGGCCCCCATGTTATCATATATATTTAAAGATACGCAGTTAGGTTAGTCACATATATATGCTGTGACTAAAAAACCTGGTATTTAAATTGATGCCAGTGGTTCTCAAAATGTGACTGCAGTAGCATCACCTGGGAATTTGTCAGTAATGAATTTCTTGGGTCCCAGATCTACTAAATCAGAAACTTGGGGGTTGGGCCCAGAAAACTAAGTTGTAACAAGCTGCCAGGTGTTTCTGAGGTATGCTAAAGTCTGGGACCCACTGCTTTCTACTATTTAGCCACCTTTCTTTTGCCTTATGACTACAACTGCTGACGAAATCGCTTATCATTGTTTACAGTTTTGCAGCTTTGAGTCATAGGCTACATGATGCTTTTGCTTATAAAAAGCCACTTCATCTATAATTGCCGCATACCAATTTACTTTTGTTTCCAAACACTCCACAGCTGTACACATACTTCAAGCTGCTCTCCAGGGTGCATCCTCACTGCCCATTTAGTTCTCCTGCCCAGGCTCACTACAGAAGTTATTTGGGTCTCTTGTTAACATTCACACAGTCTACTCAGCAGAACCGAAATAAGCTACAATAAATCGCTGTATTTTAAAATCTCATTGTGTGATATTTGCACACCAATTAATGTTGGGCTTGCTTGAAGATAGCCCTGATGAAATTATTCCAAATGCTGATGTGTTAACTTTAACTTATTATACTCATAAATAATATTGGACCAGTTAATCGTGATATTAAAACTTTCCATTTTAAAAGCATTTAGAACTGTGCTGCAAAAATAAACTGAGAAATTTCTAGAAATAATTAAAAACTCTTATGAGCTAGAGATATAAATCTTTCTGTAGGCAGAAGGTCTTTGGTCAACTAAACACTTTAAATAGTTCACTGTAAAACAGAGAAGTTTTTGTCATTCTCCAATTCACCTCTTTCAGTTTTCCTAGCTGATATACAATGTCTGTCAAGTTAACTATATACAAATTAAAATATTCTGATTTTGTCCCATGGTTTAAAATGTAACACTGAGGGGTCCTGTCCTCGGGACCGGTGATAGGTTAGCTGGGAACAGGAGGAGGCAACCATGCCGCCTAGGGAGTTACCCTGGCTGAGCGAAGGGTTCCAGGGCTGGGCACTGGGTTGATCTCACACCCCTCAGTGAGGTCATCGTTACTGCCTGTGGCCTGCAAGCTAAGGTGTGCGAGCAGACACCAGGTTGATGTCTGCGTACTCCTGGACCAGGATCAGTGCCTCTTCAATGGAGGATTCCGAGACAGGATTCATAATGTCCTCCATTTGCCATTCTGGTAGTTGCCGGAAGGCCAGCTTTTAGAGAAAGGTACCAGGAAACTGACAATGCTTCCTTGAATTGGCTTCTGTATTTGCTTCATCAGTGTCTCTCATAGTGAATATTCTGGTGTTCCTATAGATCAGGTTTTGCTGATTTGGGAAAATAAAGACTATGGATCAACTAGGAATACTGTTCATATTAATGAGAAAATGCTTCTGTTAGAACCTTGTTGAAGGCACAATTTTGAGTTGATCCAGTTCTTGAACTCTGTAGACTCTGATAATTCTGAATCTGTTGTTTTGTCTTTTGCTGATATTTTGTGTGTGGCAAATGTCGAGGAAGCCAGTTTTCTCAGATTTCAAAATAGTATATGGAAAAATGAAGAGAAAATGCAATGTGTCCATCCTTTGCAACTAGTTTGGGATCCAGTGTCATCTGCTCTAAAACACAACAAACCAGTGAAAAATGATCTGCTTGTAAATGAAGCTGCAATTAAAAAAAAAATAGGTGCCCTTGAAGATGAGCTAACTTTTCTTCACTCTCAGATTCCTGCAATTTTGGAAATGCAGGAACTGAAAAACAGTACAAATTCTAGTTCCTTTGGCTTGAATGATGGGCCCATTAGTTTGGGACAAATGCCATCATCACGGGCTGTTCAGCTGAGTGGGGAGTCACACATATATATTTGTTCTTTACTACATTTATACTCTGTTCCTTTGTAGAGTGTATAATAAGCCTTAACATAATAAAAATCAGTTTCCAAGTTCAATGCTTTCTTCTCCTCCTCCACTACCACTTCCTCCTCAGTTTTCTTCTCTCTAGCTTCCATGTTTTCTTCCCATACAACTAGGATCTAATAATATTTGTGACTCAGATAATCCAGCTACTGAAATGAACAAACAGCACCCAGGTGCTAGTATAGTCATCATCCAAAAAGCCACAGAAATAAAGATGTTCTAAACATGTTGGATGTTCTAGAGGACATAAATAAAGTGAAGCTCTGTGCAATTGAACAGTCACCTGGTGGCAGATCCATTCATAAGAGGAAAATAAAAAATTCATATTGGGATCCGATGTCTTTAACGTCTCATGCACTTAAGCAGAAATTTGCATTTCAAAAAGATGATTCATTTGAGAAAGAAAATAGATCTTAGGAGCCTTCTCCATTTTCTTGTCCAGAAACTTCAACATTTGGACATCACATTTCTCAGTCAGAAGGACAGTGAACTAAGGAAGAACTGATAAGCACAAAGGCTGTTGACCAAGGTATCAGCAACAAAAGCTGTGTCTACACTTAGAAGGAGAGACCACAGAAATATGTCAGCCTGTCTTCCACTACACTTCAAAGGATCTTCTCTTCTGTTAAACGAAGTTAAACAAAGTCTGCATACTGCAATGTATTAGTGGAGAGGTCTGAAAAGCCTTGATTCTTAAGAAGACTTGTCTCTGGTTTTGGAAGATCCAGCAATCAACTGGCTACTGATGATAATTAGATGTACAGATGTTTTTTTCTTGCATGTTAATATAATTAAAAGCTGAACACATACTTTGAATAATTTTTCTAAGCAATTATGACTTCCTGAGAAGTCATAGGCTTAAAAGCCTTTGAATCTTTTAAAAATTGGTATTGATCTGGTTTACTTGGCTTCCAGCAATTTGGAGATTTTCAAAGAGGATAAAATTAAATTTTTTTCATTAAGACAGTCATAGTTTGAATCACATAGGTTGAGTCTTCTAAAACTTCTTGCTGAGACAATAAATTATTTGTAGAAACTGATTTTGACTGTTAAATGTTAAAAGTAGAAGTATTTAAAGAATCTTGACAAGTTTTGTCCATACTTGCTATGTAAATGTGTATGTCTGTCATTTTTGTTTCCTTTGTCCTTTACTACATTTATACTCTGTTCTTTTGTAGAGTGTATAATACATGAGCCTTAAAAAAGAAAAATTTAACATTTTACACAAATGTTTGTGGCAGAATTATTTGTAATAGCCAAAAGCATATCTATTTCTCTATCTCTATAGAAGAGAGAAAGCTTTATTTCTCTCTCTCTCTCTCTCTATAGAAGATAGACAGATCTCTATAGAAGAGAGAGAGAAATAGATATACTTTTTGGTATACTATATACTATATACTTTTTGGTATACTATATACTATATTCTATTTTTCTATCTATCTGTATCTATATATATCTTGTTACAATGGAATTAGCCATAAAAAGCAATGAAGTACTGATATATGTTACAACATGGATGAATCTTGAAAATACTAGGCTAAGTGAAATAAGTCAGACACAAAAGGCCACATATTGCATGATTCCATTTATATGAAATGTTTAGAATAGGCAAATACATAGAGACAACAAGATCTGTGGTTGATGGGAATTAGAGGGAAAGAAGAATGGGGAGTGACTGCTAATGAGTGTAGGACTTCTAGCCAGTGATGAAAGTGTTTCTGAATTAGTGGTGATGATTTCACAACTGAGAATACACTAAAAGCTACTAAATCATACATTTTAAAAGGATGCATTTTATGGTACATTAATTAGATTTCAATTTTTAAAAAGTGTAACATTTGGAAATTTAATGTCATTATAAATATGCTACATAAAATAATAGATTTAGGAAAACTCTTAATCACTTATGCTAAATTTTAATTGGGAAAATTGGATTAAAGATGAGTTTTCTCACTTACCTATAAAGTATAAGCTTTGAAAATTAAATAGGTGTGGTTTTTTGCCTGTGAAACAGCAGGCAGGAGATGTATACTACAAGAGTTGCTGGGGCTTCCTCCCTGGAGGGATGATGAAGGCTGCCTTCAACTCTACTCTGCACGGTGCTTCTAAGCCAGCCTGACCAGTAACTCAGGCTTTGCCAAGACACTTTGCAGAACTGTTTTCTACCATTTTCCTCAGTTTCTGGCTCTGAAGCCTTTTACAGACAAAAAGGAAAAGTGCATGGTTAATGGGTCTTGTGTGTGTGTGTCAAGTTTGATTTCTTTCACTTTCAAAGGTGGACTGAAAAACAGGTATCTAGAACAAGTACTAGTGAAGACCATGGTAAAAAAACAAAGCCAATTGGATAGGAAAAAAGGATGAAGGCAGTGACAATGCCTACCACTATCCAATATGAGAAAGTGTAGAATACTGAATTTTTTCCTCCAAAAGAATTAGAAAGCCAAGAACAGTGTAGCTGAACATACTTACTATAAATGTGGCTTATGAGAATATACTGAAGGCTGACTGCCACCATTTCTAGCTTCCAAGAATCTACTAGCTTCCTCCTCCTTTTCTTGTGTACATGATCAAGTATCTAATAACTTGAAAGAATAGTTTGAGCTACAGATAAATAACTTAAAATTTAAACTGAGGGGAAGAAATGAGCTGTTCCAAGAACAGAGTTATTTAGAATCAAGATCAAATGAGGTTGCAGCAGCAAATACATCCCTCTCGTTTGGTACAAATATTAAGGTGTATTAGGTGGCTGCCTTCACTTTCCTGATAGTTGAGATCCACTAAAATATGAGCATACAAGAATTTTTTAATTTTCCTAACTTGTTATCTCCGAAAAGGTTATAATGCCAGACCTGGACCCTTCATATAAACAAATACTTCTTAAAACAAAACTGGAACACAGACACTATCTTATCTATTCTCCATCACCCTGAGTGACGCCAATGTCCATGGAGACTAGCCATCCATCCTGGCCTCACTGTTTCTTGAATTCCTCACCGCAATGACCTTCAGCCATTCCTCTGAGTAGTCCCTAGAACATGTCATCACTCAGTACTGCCCTCCTCTGAAACCTGTTTTCCAAAATTACTTTTCTTCTCGCTTACTTCCAGCTCTCCCATTCTTTTTAACATATTGATACTTTGGCCTCACTGAGAGAACAGATGCAACGAAAATCCTCTTATTTTCTCCCACTCTATCAACGCCTGCCTGGCTTTGCTTCCTTTCTTAACCAGTCTAGATCCCCATTCTCCACCCCTTCAACCACTTTCTTACCACTCCCTTGCTGCCATGTATTCTGCCTTACCTGCTAACTTGTAATCCGGGGGTCAGCAAACCATTTTTGTAAAGGACCAGATAGCAAATATTTTGGGCTTTGTGGGACATATAGTCTCTGTGGCAATTATTCAACTCTGCCTGTTGCAGCACAAAAACAGCAAATTAGCATGGTTGTATTCTAATAAAACTTTATTTACCAAACAGGCAGTGAGCCAGATTTGGCCCAGAGGCTGTAGTTTGCCACCCACTGCCCTAATTCTATTTTGATTTAAATATCCACCCTTTTCATTCCTGTGCCCAGGCTGCTCAGTCCCACTGGAGAAAACCACAGGCCTCTGCACACTAGGGTGGCACCAATCACGCTCTCCCAGCATCTTGCCAGCTCCTTCTTCCATTCTCTACAGTGTCTGTTCTAAACCTAAGCGTTCTCTTCATGGTCCCTATACCACTCCACATCCCTCAGGCTTGGCAGGTGACCTCTGATGAGAAGAAACTGAGGCCATTACTCACAGTGTGTGGCACACAAAGGCTCAATACATCTTATTTATTACAAATAACAAGCAGTAACAACAAACCCTTCCCTCACATCTGACACATCCTTTTTCCTCCTTCCTTACAGGCCCTCCAGATGGGGTGAGTCTCTTTCTTTCTGGATTCTTGACTCTAGTTCACCTCTCTCAGATCGTGATCCACCTAAGGCTCCTGGCTATCTCCCTCTACCTCACCCTCTGTTGTCTAACACCTCTCACCTGGTTTTTTACAACAGCCTTTGAAGTGTTCCTCACCTCCAATTTCACCGGCCAGATCAGCATTTCACATTCCTAAAACAAGGTCATTAGCCTAGCTTAAGACCTTTACTGACCAGCACTGTCTTCAAATTAAAGTTCAAATTTCTTAACCTGGCACACATAGCTTCTATCATCTGTCTGGCTTAATTTTCCAGTGTTTTCTTCTACCGCTTCTTCATGCACATTTTCCACTTCTGCTTTACTAAGCTGCCTTTGGTTCACTTATTAAATATTGAATACTGACTATGTGCAAGCTACTGTGTTTGCTGCTGGGGATGCAATAAGAAACAGCAGACACGGTCTCTTCTCTCATGAAGATGACATTTCAGTTGGGAAGAAATATTAATATATTAAATAACTTAGCACATATGCAGTCAACTAGAATGACAGTGTGATGAGGATAATTATAGGGTACTAAGATAGCATATGGTTAGGGGGATTTGAAATACCCTAGGAGGTCAGGAAATCTTAAAGAAGTGATATTCGAGCTGACCTCTGAAGGATGAGTAGGAGTGAACCAGGGGAAGGGGTGGGCCGGGAGTGTTCTGGTCAGAGGGAACAACCGTGGTGAAGCAAGATGGTTTATCTGACAAATTGAGAAAATATCAGGCTGGTTAGAGAGGCAGAAGCTAGGCTTCCCAGGGCTTTAAGAACATGGTGATCAGTCCACTGTTTAAGTTGGGGAATACTAGTGATCAAACTACTCCAGCTGCTTGATGGAGAACTGGAGCTCCCCAGAATCTCTTTGCTTGGTTACAATTCTGCATCATTCCTTTGCTTGGAATGCCCTTTCTGGAAGGATAGGCATTTACTTGTTCCTGAGCATAAAATGAGAAACTCCTGGGTACTTTTGGAAACAACTAGAGAGGATTTTGAGGGTTAGGATGGGACTGAGGTTCTGCAGTTCTAAAGGCGGAATTAAAAATATGTACACTTGAATAATAATAGCAAATTTTACATTACACTTATCCTATCACCAGGTTCCACTCTACACACTTCGCATTTGTAAATTTATTAAATCCCCACAATATCTCAATGTGGTAGTTCCATCATTATCTTTGTTCTATAGATGAAGATACTGACCTGCAAGAGGTCAGGTGTCTTGCCTAAGGTTGCACATTTAGTGGGTGGGCTGGGATTATGATCCCAGGCAATCTCACTCCAGAGCCTGTGCTATCAGCAACTATGCTATTCATCCAAGTAGGAGCCTAGCTTGAATTTATGGTGAGGTTTAAAGGGACATTCGATTTATTCTCCGATCTCCCTCTAGGACTGGGAGCTTTGCCATCCTCTCCTATCAGGCTCATGCTGCCTCTTCTGTGGAACTAGGCAACTTTCAAATTGTGGCCCTCCGTCATGGAGCCAAGCCATGCTCTGACCAATTCTGAAATAATTTGGCCTTAATTTATCAACAGAGAAATACTGTATTTCACCCTATTAAGAATTTGTTAAATGTTGTTAAACCTATCAATGTCTCTGTCTCTCTCTCTCTCTCTCTCTCTCTCTCTCACACACACACACACACACACACGCACACACTTTTTCAGAGAGAGTCTCACTCTGTCACCCAGGATGGAGTGTAGTGGCGTGATCTGGGCTCACTGCAACCTCCGCCTCCCAGGTTCAAGTGATTCTCCTGCCTCAGCCTCCTGAGTAGCTGGGATTACAGGCATGTCACCACACCTGGCTAATTTTTGTATTTTTAGTAGACACAAGCTTTCACTATGTTGACCAGGCTGGTCTTGAACTCCTGACCTCAAGTGATCCTCCTGCCTTGGCCTCCCAAAGTGCTGAGATTACAGGCATGAGCCACAGTGCCCGGTCACACACACATATATTTTTACAAATCAATGTTAAAATATTATAGTTAAGCAATTACATAAGCAAGTTAAGTACCACAGCAATGACTGGAGGAAAATATTATTCTATTATTCAACCAATCACCTTACCTGATGTTCAAGAAATTTCAATCAGAGGGTCAATATTTCAACATTTATAAAAGCTTCTAAGTATAAAAATGATACAAAAATATATGTACAATAGAGACAATATCACACTATTTTGATTACTATAGCTTTACCGTAAGACTTGAAATTAGGTAGTAGGAGTCCTCCAACTTTGTTCTTTTGCTTTCAGGATTGTTTTGGCTATTCTAGACACTTTGTATTTCTATTTAAATGTAAGACTCAGCTTGTCAATTTCTACCAAAAAAAAAAAAAAGCCTTCTGGGACTGCATTGAATCTGCAGAGCTATTTGGAGAAAAATTACATCTTAACAATACTGAGTCTTCCAATCCATGAACACTGTGTATCTTCTCAACTTATTTAGGTCTTTAATTGCTCTCAGAAATGTTTCATAGTTTTCACTGCAGAGGTCTTACATGTCTTTTGTTAAGTATTTTGTTTTTGAAAAATGCTACTGTAAATGGTACTGTTTTAATTTCAATTTCTAATTATTTATTATTGTTGTTTGTTTTTTGAGATAGGGTCTCACTCTGTTGCTCAAGCTGGAGTCCAGTGGTGCAATCATAGCTCACTGCAGCTTTGAACTCCTGGGCTCAAGAAATCCTCCCACCTCAGCCTCCCAAGGAGCTGGGACCACAAGGTGTGCACCACCATGCCAGGCTAAATTTAAAAAAAATTAAAAATTTTCGGCCAGGTGCAGTTCGACCAGCCTGGTCAACATGGCGAAACCCCATCTCTACTAAAAATGCAAAAATTAGCTGGGCATGGTGGCACGTGCCTGTAATCCCAGCTACTCAGGAGGCTGAGGCAGGAGAATCACTTGAATCCAGGAGGTAGAGGTTGCAGTGAGCCAAGATCACCCCACTGCACTCCAGCTTGGGTGACAAAGTGAAACTCCATCTCAAAAAAAAAAATTTAAAAATTTTAAAATAGGGACAGGGTCTCCCTATGTTGTTGATATGGTTTGACTGTGTTCCCACTCAAATCTCATCTCGAATTGTATTCCCCACGTGTCAAGGGAGGGAAGTGACTGGATCATGGGGTGGTTTCCCCCATGCTGTTCTCATGATAGTGAGTGAATTCTCACGAGATCTGATGGTTTTATAAGTGTTTGACAGTTCCTCCTTCATGCACTCTCTCTCCTACCACCTTGTGAAAAAGGTGCCTGTTTCTCCTTCCACCATGATTCTAAGTTTCCTGAGGCCTCCCCAGCCATGAGGAACTGTGAGTCAACTAAACTTCTTTCCTTTATAAATTACCTAGTCTTAGTCATTGATAGCAGTGTGAAAACAGACTAATACAGTTGTCCAGGTTGGGACAATACATTTTTTATGCTAACTATGTATCCTGAAATCTTGCTAAACTCACCTACTAGGTCTAGTAGCCTGTTTGACAGACTCTTTGAGATCTTCCACACAGATAATCCTATCATCTTCGAATAAAAACATTTTATTTCTTCCTTTCCAATACATATGCCTTTTATTTATTTTTCTGGCCTAACTGCACTGCCTAAGACCTCTAATACAATGTTGAATAAAAGCGGTGACAGCAGCCATCCTTTCTTTGTTGCTGATCTGAGTGGTAATGCATTCAGTCTTTTATCATTAATTATGTCAGCAGTACATATTAGGGCTTTTTAAAAAACATTTTATTTATTTATTTATTTTGGAGATGGGTGTCTTGCTCTGTTGCCCAGGCTGGGGTGCAGTGGGGCAATCATAGCTCGCTGCAGCCTCAAACTCTTGGGCTCAAGTGACCTTCCCACCTCAGCCTCCTGAACAGCTGGGATTACAGGCGCATGCCACCATGCCTGGCTAATGTTTTAAATTTTTTGTAGAGACAGGGTCTCACTATGTTGACCACTCTGATCTTGAACTCCTGGCCTCAACTGATCCTCCTGCCTTGGCTTCCCAAAGTGCTGGGATTACAGGTGTGAGCCACCATATCTGGCCTAAAAAGTATACCCTTTAAAAATATATACCCTTTATCAGCTTGAGCGAAGTTCCCTCTTATTCATAGTTTGCTTAAATTTTTTAAAGATTGTAAATGAGTGTAGAATTTTGCCAAATGCTTTTCTGCATGAATCAAGATAATTTTATCATTTCCATCTGATTCTGTTAATATGGTAGATTACAGTTACAGATTTTCAAATGTCAAACCAACCTTATAATTCGGGGAAAAATCCCACTTGGTCATGATGTATTATTATTTTTCTATGTTGCTGGATTTGATTTGCTAATATTTTACTGAGGATTTCTACATTTGTGTAAATTTTTGAGGAATATTGGTCTATAATTTACTTTTCTTGAAATGTCTTTGTCAGATTTTGGCATTAGATTCTGCTAGCTTCATAAAATGAGTTGGGTAGTCCTTCCTTTTCTACTTTCTGAAAAAATTGGCACATGATTATCATTACTTCTTTCTTAGAATTCACTAGTAAGACTATAGGGGACTGAGGTTTTCTCTGTGATGTGTTTTTGATAATATATGTATATGTGTGTTTGTGTATATGTGTGTATCTATATGTCTTTTTTCCCCAGCTTATTTGACGAACACAAAGGTCTTCGCAGGTCAATTTTAGCCAGTTGTCTTATCCATTTCAACTAAGGCATCAAATCTATTGCCATAATGTTGTTCATAATACTCTCTCATAATCTTTTGGTAATCTATAGGTTTTTTAGTTATATACTATCTTTAATTCTTAGAATTGGTAATTTGTAATTATTTTTTTGATCAGTCTTAATAGGGATTTATAAATTTTAACCTTTTTAAAGAGCCACCTTTAATCTGTTTTTATTTCATTTATTCTTATTTTTGTTGTTTACTTCCTTTTACTGACTTTAGGTTTAATTTGTTCCTTTTTTCCAAGCATCTTAAGTTAGAACCTTCTATTACTGATTTTTAAGGCATTCTTCCTTTCTCATATAAGCATTTAAAGCTGTAATTTTCCCTCTAGCAATTTCCTACTAGTTTTAATGCATCTCACATTTTTTGATTTTCATTATCATTGTTTGAAATATTTTCTCATTTCTCTTCAGATTTCTTCTTTGACTCATAGATTATTTAGAAGCATATTGCTAAATTTCCAAATATTTGGAGTTCTTCTATGTATTTCATTGTTACCAATTTCTAATTTAATTCTGCTGTGGCCAGAGACCATACTTTTTTAAGATTTCAATCTTTTGAAATTTATTGTTACTTTTTGTTTGTTTTCATACCGCACTTTATTTCAAAATAGTTTTTGTTTTTAATGATGCAGTATGTGTTCTTTCTTGGTGAATGTTCATTTTGCACTTGAAAAAGAATGTTAAAAAAAAGAAAAATAATGTATTCTGCAGTGATTGGATGTTGTGATTTAGAGATTTGAAGTAGGGTAATGTTTTTGAATAGTTATTCATACTTTCTACATACTCATGGATTTTTATGCCTAGTTCTATCAATTGCTGAGAATAATAAAATCTCAAATTAAAACTGCAGATTTGTGTAATTTCTCCCTATAATTCTGTCAGTTTTTGCTTCATGTATTTTTGAAGTTCTTTTATTAGTTACATACACACATTTAGTTGCTGTATATCCCTCATGTTTTGGCCTATGTATCAATATGAAATGTTCTTTTTTAGTAATAATCCTTGTCTTGAAGTCAGTTTTGTCTGGTATTAATATAGCTACTCCCACTTTATTATGCTGCTTGCACAGTACATATTTTTAATTGTTTTACTTTCAATCAATTTATGTCTTTGTATTTAAAGCACTTCCCTCATAGATAGCATATAGTTGACTCTTGCTTTTCTATCCAATCTAAAGTCTCTTCCTCTTAATTGGAAAGTTTATTCCACTTCCATTTAATGTAATTATTGAAATGCTTGGATTTAGGTCTTCTATTTTGCTATCTGCCTTCTATTTGTCTGTTTTTGTCCCTCCTTTCTTCTTTTGTGTTGATCGAATATATTTTTACTATTCCATATTAATTCCTCAGTAGGACTTTGGCTATACCACTATTCTTTCTACAAGCGTAATTAAATATGCATGCTTAACTTATCGTGAGTTAATCATAGTTAATACTGTACTATTTCATGTAAAATATAGAAATCTTTCAATGGTATAATTCCATGAACTTTCCATTCTTGGTGCTATGTTGCAATATATATCTACATATGTTTTAAACCCCAAAATACAGTATTATAAGTTTTGCTTTAGTTACATGTACTTTTTAATTAGAAGAAAAATATGCATAGTATTTTATATTTATCCACATATTTATAATTTCCAGTGCTCATCATTTGTTTCTGTAGATTCAGGTAACTAGCATAATTTCTCATTAGGCTGAAAATAATCCTTCAGTGTTTCTTGTAGTATGGATTCCCCGATGATCAGTTTTTATTCACTTGAATTAAGTCCTGTTTTCATCTTCATTTTTTTGGTTCTGCTAGATATAGAATTCTGGGTTAATAGGTTTTGTCATTTAACACTTAAAAGATGACTTTTCATTGTCTCCTGGTATACACTGCTTATGATGAAAAATCAGGTGTCATTCATATTCTTGGTCCTCTGCATGTAATATGATAATTTTGCTTGCTGCTTTCAAGATTTTGTCTCTGGAATTCAGCTGTCCAACTATGATGTGTCTAGACATAGTGTTTTTTTCTTTAATTCTGTTTGAAATTCATTGGGCATTTTGGATCTGAAAGTTTATTTCTTTCACACATTTGGAGAGGTTTGAGCATTGTCTCTTCAAATGATTTTTTCTGACCCCTATGTCTTTTCCTCACCTTTTAGAACTCCAATTACATCAGTGTCAGACTGCTTGACACTGTTTCACAAGACTGAGTCTCTCTGTTTCTTTTTCTTTAATCTTTTTCTTTCCATTTTTCAGATTAGATGATTTCTATTGATCTATTTTCAAATTCACTTGCTCTTTCTTTCATTTTTAATCTTCTGCTAAGCCCTTCCAGTAAAATTTTCATTTCAATTATTTATCTTTCAGCTCCAGAACTTCCATTTAATTCCTTTTTACAGTTTTTTGCCTGCCGAGATGCTCCTTTCTATTCATTAGTTGTGAGTACTTTAAGTTCTTAAATGGATTTGTAATAGCTGCTTTTAGAATTTGTCTGCTAATTGCAACACCTGGGTCATCTAAGGGTCAGTTTCTACTGACTCTTAATATCTTCATTATGACCCATATTTTCCTATTTCTTCAAATGCCTAGTGATTTTTAAAATTTTATACTGGACATTTGGATGATACATTGTAAAGTGTCTGGATTCTGTGATACTCCTCTAAAGAGCACTGATTTTTGTTCTGGTTGGAAGATAACTTGCCTGGCCTTTTCAAACTCCAGTAAGCAAAAGCTGGTCTCATCTCAGTTCTTTTGGCTTCCAGTAGGATTTTCTTTTCTGGTCAGACTCGCTGGGGTCCCCCTATACGTATAGTTTAGTGGTCGGTCAAGAATTTGGGAAGAGTTTATACACAAATAATGAGGTTTGCCCCTTCTCAGTCTCCTCTTTTAGGTTTTCATTGATAACTTTCCAGCTTCCCTGCCAGAACTGAACTCTCTTTTGACACTCCAGGCTATGAGGACTGAAGAGTACCCTCAGAATCTTAATTTCAGCTACTGTATTTTTCAGCTCTACAATTTTCATTTGATTTTTTTTTTTTTGACACAGGATCTCACTGTGTCACCCAGGCTCTCACTGTGTCACCCAGGCTCTCACTGTGTCACCCAGGCTAAAGCGCAGTGGCATGATAATGGCTCCCTGTAGCCTCAACCTCTTGGGCTCAAGTGATCCTCCTGCCTCAGCTTCCAGGGTAGCTAGGACTACAGGCACATGCTACCACATCTGGCTAATATGTATATTTTTTGTAGAGATGGGGTCTCCCTATGTTGCCCAGGCTTATCTTGAACTCCTAGCCTCAAAGCATTCTCCCTGCCTTAGCCTCCCAAAGTGCTGGGATTACAGGCACAAGTCACTGTACCAGGTCCATTTGATTTTTAAAATAGATACTAGTATTCTGATGAAATTCTTCATCTTTCCTGTCTTCTTGATCATATTAATATTAATCATAGTTTTAAATTACCTATCTTATACATTCAGAATCTAGATTACTGTGGATCTGTTTCTGTTGTCTACTTTTCTCCTATATTTCTGGCCGTTTTTTCATATCCTAGTATGCTTGGTAACTTTTTGTTGAAAGTCAAAATTTTCAATGAAAAATTTTAAGAGCTCTCTGGAAAGGATTGAATTGTCTTCTGGAAGGCAGATGGAATACAAGTCAATCACTTTGCTCTAGGTGAAATAGGTTTTATTAATAGTATTTGTGAGGGCTGCTCAACTTCTCATTTGTCCTTACTCCTAGAGTATAGTCCTGAGGCCTAGGGTGTAGGCTATCAGGGGTCCCAGTGGAAAGCCTGGAGTGTTTCCCATGGCTCCTCCCATTTGCTATATCCTGAACTCCAACATTTGTTTCCTTGTATCATCAGAATCATCAGAATCTCTGCATAGCTCACTGGCCTCTTAGAAGCTGCTTCCCATTTAGTTTCTTGGCATCTCATCCTGAACGCATGTAGCTTAGCAGTAGGCAAATGTTTTGAAATGACAAAAAGGTTTTAGGATTTCTTCTCTGTGATTCCCTCCCTCTGGAATACAGGCCCTTCAAGTCCCTGACACCTTGAAAGCTCAAACTCCTACCGTGTCTCCCAAGCTCAGTGAGACTGCGGAAAGCCTACGCCTCTGATTTTTCTTCAGCTTCTATTATCTTGCTCTGAGAATTGGCAAATGACTCAAGGTGGGGAAACTAAGGTGACTGAGGGACTCATCTCAATTTCCTTCCCCCTGGGATCTTAACCTATTATGTATTTTCTACTTGGTTGTTTGATGATGACTTCAAACCAGCTTTTAATAATTTCCTAGATTTAATAATTATTTTTGGTAGTAGAATTAGATCAATACTATCTATTATAAGCAGACAAAAAAGTTCTCCTTGTTAACCAGTTTTAGAGGAACTTCTCGCTAAATTTTAAGTGTACTTGGTACACTCACAGCGACCAAAAAGTATTTTCAATGATCTTTTTGTGGTATTCATGAAATAAAAAAACCAAACGTATCAACTTCCCAGCGACAGCCAGGCACATAATCCATCAGAGCCATCATAACCAGTACTAACAGGTTTCCACATCAGCAGTCTCAGAAGAAAAGTTAATTGGTTGACAAAACTGAGAATCAGTTTTACTACCTTTAGGCTATTCAGTATCAAAAAAGTCTTGAAAGAGCACCAAGGAAAATCTTTTGTTACTCATTGACCTTACTAATACCAATATAAATTTCTTTAACTTCAACATGGTGGCTTCCATTGTTTATATTTATATGTACTTTTGATCTGGGTTTGAGTCTGTTTAAAAGATTCACGTTAAAATCTTTATTGGCCAGACACAGTGGATCATGCCTGTGATCCCAGAGCTTTGGGAGGCTGAGGCAGGAGGATCACTTGAGGCCAGGAGTTCAAGACCAACCTGGGCAACATAGCAAGACCCCACCTCCACACACACAAAAATAAAATTAGCCAGGAGTGGTGGCATGCACCTGTAGTCGTAGCTATTTGGAAGGCTGAGGGGTGGAAGGATTGCTTGAGCCCAGGAGTTTGAAGCTGCAGTGAGCTATGATTGCACTGATTGCAACAGAACAAGACCCTGTCTCTAATAAAAATAAATACATTTAAAAAGCTTTATATTTATATGAGTTGGTTAGCACTATTATATGTAAGAACCAATAAAACTACTACTTAGTCTTTGAAAAATTCATAAAAATTATTATTTTACTAGTAAACTTTAAAGTAGAAAGCATAATTATATAATAGAGGATTTAGTAACTGAGAGCCAATAACCTGAAATCTCAACTGGCTTTATCCTTTATTACCCAGTCTAAACAATACTGCAATCTTCTTAAGGTTTTTTATATCTTTATAATATAAAATATATATAATATAAAAAAGACAAGATCCCCTGCCCCTTTTGTGCAATCAGTACACAGCCCTTTTTAAAGGGGCACACATACACCCGTGTGTATGTGGGGGTGTGTGTATACACCAATACACATAATAACCAATTCTTTTTCATATAATCTCTTAATAAGTAACCTACATGTCTAACAGAAAGCACTTACTTCACACTAGTTCCTTCTAATTTGGTCTGCACCAAAATTGCTCAGATCTTATATTCAACCAAGGACTCAGAACCCACGGTGATGAATTATCTATTAGCCCTTTAATAAAAGGGGGACTTTCCCAACTAAGAAGTATGTGTATGGCATGTACATTTTAATATCAATGATGAAGAGTGAAAGGAGGGAACAAAAAAAGGAGACAGAAAGCAGAGAAAAGTAAAATAATGCTTCAAAAGAGGTTTTTTGTTGTGTGTGTGTGTGTGTGTGTGTGTGTGTGTGTTTGGCAGACTCACCCCGTGTGGTTGTCTTGAGGATTTTATCATCCATCTGAATGCTGGATTGTGCTGGTTTCTGGTAGGCCTTGTTGATTACAATCTCCTTCACTCGGTCAAATATTTTGAATGAGGGAGAGAGACAGAGTGTTTCTACAGAGGCCTGGTTATGGAAAGTAGAATCTGACTTTGATACCCTTAAGTCGGGGCTGATAAACTCCTCTTTACTTGACCAACATGCTGGTAAAATTGTCAATGTTTTAAGACCTTCTGCAGCTGATTGCTTTTCTAAAGGTGTTTCCAAGAGGTTTTCTGTGACAGTATTTGTAAAGATACCATCTGATCTCTTGTCCAAACTCACATCTCTCTGCCCAGAAGGACTATTTTCTGAGAGAGTAGGCACAGCATCTATAAAAGAACAAATAAGAGCTATAATCAAAAAATAAAACTGAAAATACTCTATTTCAAATCTGTTATAATTTTAATAAATAGGATTTTTTAATGTCATAACAGAATTCTTTCCTATTTAGCCCTCTGCTTTCTTACTATGCTTCTATATTCTGCCTATTTAAAGTACACCCAAGCTATAATTGACGCCTTAGTCATTTTGGTAGCTGCCTTCTCCCTCTCTCCTCACTGAAGCACAAAGCAAGGAAAGCTTCAAATAACTTGTCTTTAAATATTTCTCCCTTCACCCACTTATCTGTCGCTGAAACCACCATATTTTTAGTACTTTCCAACTTTCATCTTTTTTACAAGATAAACTAGGGAAAATATGCCACATCATACTGGTCTATCCTTACAGAACCCTCAGCTACAAAAAAAAAAAAAAAAAAAAAAAAAAAAAAGAAAGAAAAAGAAAAGCTTTCTCCCCAAAAATAAAGAATGTCTTCTTCCACACAGTTTCTATATGCAAGGCACATTAAAGAAACTCAGTACTTTAGGTAGAAGCTTAATTTTAATAAATGCTTTGTCTATACGGAAGAAAGGAAACAATCTTTCAGAGCTGTTCTGACAATTAGTAAAATATAAGTTCCACTGGGCTGGAGATCTTTGTCCATTCTAGTGGTTAATATCACCAAAGTACATAAAATAGTCCCTAGAATATAACAAACAATATTTATTACAAATAGAAAACACTGAAGGAATTGTAAGAAACTGAAACTGAAGGTGGGCCTGATCCAGGAATGTCTATTGAATCTACGCATTATAGACCTGGTCCGAGTTTCTAGATGCAAATTCTTAGGAACACCCTCAGCGCCAGGGCTTGCTCTGTAACAGCTCCATCTGAACCGGGATACGAAAAGAAAGACCGTTATTTTTATGAGGTTGTGTTCATGAAACGAGAAGCATGATGAGGTAGAAGAGGGCCAAAGGAAGAGGCTATCTTTCGAAGCTCCCAAAAGAGGACGCAGAAATTGTGTGATTCACTATTGAGTGATTATACATCACAATGTATGTCATAAAATACTTCAGAATGCACATTTACATGCTATCCTCATCACTTTTGGGCTCTGAGTTATTAAAGAAAAGAAACTTTTCTTTGTCTCTATAAAGCTTCCTTTTCATTTTCATCTGCAGTTGGAGGTTAGCCTTAGCAAAAATACTGCTGGTATGTACCACAGAATTAAGACAGTTCAAGAAACTTACATTGCTATCTTCACCAGAAATTCCATTTTTCTTCCATCCTCTCATCTTTTAAAACTCAATTCAAGTATCACTTTCTCTTTAAAGCTTGCCCTGACCCTTTTCTTTCCTCACCCTATCCTATTATTGTCTATCTTCACATGTCCTGTTTGAAGCTCTGTGAGTAATTATAACACTTCATATCTCATTTATCTTGTCCCCTACCTGACAAAAGTCTCCTTGAGGAGACCTTGCAAGGAGTCATCTTCGTGTCTCAGCACCTAACAGTGCCATTCCCAGAGGACAGGTTCAATGAATGCTCATTGGGTGCAAGGGAAACTGAAGCACAAAGATGAAAGAAAAAGTAACGCCTTCATTTTTCTAAACTGAATATAGTTTAACTGCTTAATAATGATTAAAGGAAATAGGTAGATGAAAAGAACCTCTCCTAAAATATTCCTAATTTGCATATGACTGAATTATATTTAGATGATTGAAAGTCTGTTAAAAATACCAAATATAAGCCAGGCGCAGTGCCTGTAGTCCCAGCTACTGGGAGGCTGAGGTGGGAAAATCACTTGAGCCCAGGAGTTTGAGACCAGCCTGGGCAACATTGTGAGACCCCATTTCTATGAAAAACAAAACAAAACAAAACAAAACACCCAAACGAATATATTCCTAGTTGAGTACTAGATTACTAGATTTATGGTATTTCAAAGTGACTTTGCATATCACCACATTTACATCAAATCATTCATTAAAAGTGAATTTTAGTTAAATATTTTTCCATTGACTTTCATTTTACATGTGAGAAAAACAAGACAAAAATGTTTTGCTCTATATGTAATAAGATCATCTTAAAATTTAGCAATATTAAACTAGGACATTTCAGAATGACCAGAACTTTCTGATGAAAATATTCACAATACTTAATCTAAATCTCAAAATTCAGATGCATAAAGTTGTCTGTATGGCTGCCATTTTAAGGTTTAGTAAAAAAGTTTAAAATGAAACAAATGAACAAATCCTTAAAATTCAATGAAGCAAACCAGACAGAAGTCATTCCATTTCTACCCACCCCCTTTCCCAATAGCCCGGGAAGAATAGGCTGCAATCTTTTGGTTGCTTGGACTTTTGCTAAAGTTGCTAACTTTTTAAATGAATCAAATACTATGACCTAGAAGAAGCCAAATGAAAAATAATGATTTGAAATGGATAGTACATTATTTCAAAGAGAAAAATGTTTACTTATACAGAAAGCTAAAGAGTCTTGAAGATTCTAGAAAGCAAGTTGTACCAGGTTTCTCTTCCATCAGCCTTCATCCACCCCTGCTGTCTATGCAATGCGTCAAATTATTCCTCTCCAATTCAATTACTACTTTATAGTTTATATTTGAAAATCCTTCAAAAATTGCCTCTTGTGTCAGTGAGAAAGTCCAAATTCCTTGGGTTTCAAAGGCCCTTCATTGCTTACTTTCTGTTGCTATTCAACAGGAAACAAACCCTCAGTCAGGCCATTCTCCCTGTCACTCCACACGCCATGAGCATTTAGGTCCATTTAGCTTCATTCTCCATGTTAACACAGGGCTCTTGACCATCACCACTGATTCCCCATCCTGGAATACCCTCTTCTTCTCCACCTGTTTAAATCCTATTAAACCCTACTATTCCTCAAATAACTACTACTTCTAGAAGCTATTTCCAATCATGTCTACCACTCTATCTTAATCTCTCCCTTCTCTGAGGTAATATTTCTATAAACTCATTTTTCACTTAATTATATGCTATTTAGTGCCTATCACATATCATATTAAGTTCCTGCATTCTGACTTTATAACTGCATCATGCTTTTGCATATAGGAGGTGTCAAATGTTTGTTAAATTTAACTATATCTTAATTTATAAATTATTTAATATCAACTTTATATGTTGATTTTCTGTATAACAATGTATATTGTATTTGACGCCTAAAAATAGGAATGGTCCATCAAGAAATCATTGTTAGTACCCACTGTTTGTACTGAACTGTATTAAATGCAGGAGATATGCACAAGCAGAAGTCACAATTCCTACTGTCGATGAACTAATGCCAATGAACGATGAATTCCTATTGTCAATAAACAAAGTATGGATTATGTATATATAGATAGATACATATACACACACTAACTTGTGTATATGTACATATATACACACTAACTTGTGTATATGTACATATATACACACACTAACTTGTGTATATGTACATATATACACACACAAACTTGTGTATATGTACACATATACACACCGGTGTATGTACAATAAACACATAAAAATTAATAATGTAAGTTACCAGTTCGATTTCACAGTGTCTAGAAAATTGTAGCCTCCCAATAAATGAATGAACATGAATATATTTGCTCAGCAACAATTTGAACATGTTTTAGTTTGGATACCCCAAAAGGCAGACTTGGATGCAAGTAATTTGGCCAGTGATTTAAAGAAGCACAAACGAGGGACCGGGAAATTTAAAACAAAGAAGGGACAAAAGTCAATAAAGAGTATATGAACAAGCAATTTACTGTTGTGGGAAAATGAGAGCCACTCCTGTTGGGTTGCCTCAGAACTGTCCTCCCAGGGATGAGAAGGTGGAATATTTTTTCAATAACTCTTAACTATCACTGGTTGAGGGTTGACTCTGGGCATTAAATCCCTGCAACTTCCAGGCTACCCTGCACTTAGGATGAACAAGTCTAAGGGCTCTGGAGAAAGCTCCGGGGTGGAGAAGAAGAGAGATACAGGTACTTTCAGTGTAAATGGAACTGGTCACCAAGGCTGCAGTAGTACTCAGAGGAAGGCCAAGAGAGTATGGGGTGGAGCATCAACAGTACCATCTACAAGATATAATCACTCCCCCTCCTTTCTCAAAACCCATTGAAATGACAGAAGTGGAATAAAAAGGCACCAACCAGAGGGGAAATAGAACAGAAGAGACAACAAAAGATAAGAAATGTCAACAAATTTTGTGAAAAGGAAAAGTTTGTGGAGGAGTAGAAGCAGCAAAACCTAAATGCCTGTAGAGGGGAAAGCCAATGTGATGGAAACTGATTCTCACAACATAACTCCAGAAAGTTTTAGGAATTGGGGACTGGGTATCTTAGAGGTCTGAGAACTTTGTGGCTTTGTTTTGGGGACAGCATCTTCATTCAAAGATAGTTGTATCTTGTTAGGTAGACAAAGAGGGTTGTTGTTGTTGCTCGGAAAGTTAAATATGTGTAGAATGTGTATGATGCTGAGTAGGCAATGGATGGGCTGTGGCAGCTACTGAGCTGCTGTGTCAGCTTCATACTCACACCCTTCTATACTCTTGCTTTGTGATACTGGAGCTGTGACACCACATACCGTGTTCATACTTTGCCAGTTAGCTTTTTGTTAGGTGCTGCCAACAAGAGGTGCTAGAGGGAGATGGGAAGGTTAGAGTAGGAAGAGAGGACTTGCTCCTTCCTGTTTGTCCTCTGCTCCTGACTGCAACACCCTTGCAACGCTTCTCCACTCCATCGGTGGAGAAGATAGAAAGAATGCGTTCTTGCCAGTTTGCATTTTTCCAACACTTGTAGAAGCAACCTTATCATACTCTCTTAACATTAGCACCCGCCAACAAGCACCCCATCCTAAGAGGCCTGGGTCACCACCCCACAGAGCCCCTTCTTCAAGCTTCTAAATTTGAATAACTCCTCCAGCGTTAGGGCTGGTGACTTATCCCTGCAGTTGCTACCTTGATCATACCATGGGTATGTGTATGATAAACACATAAAAATAACTAATAATATAAGTTACCAGTTTGATTTCACAGTGTCTAGAAAATTGTAGCTTCCCAATAAGTGAATGAACATGAATATATTTGCTCAGCAACAATTTGAACATGTTTTAGTTTGGATACCCCAAAAGGCAGACTTGGATGCAAGTAATTTGCCTGTACCCATGATATCCTTGGATGCAAGTAAATCAGCCTGTACCCATGATATCCTGGTACAGGCTGAGTGTCCCATATCTGAATTGCTTGGGACCAGAATTGTTTTAGATTTTGGACTTTTTCAGACTTTGGAATATTTGCATTATACTACCAGCTGATCATCCCTAATCTGAAAATCCCAAATCTGAAATGCTCCAACTAGCACTTCTTTGAGCATGATGTTTGAGCATCACGTAGTGCTAAACAATTTTTGGATTTTGGAGCATTTTGGATTTTCAGATTAGGTGTGCTTAAGCTGTACTCTTTTTTTTTGCCCTTTCAGTTTTTAATACTTAATGTTTTTGTATTAAATTCTGTGTATTGTATCATATTTTTGTGATAATGGCAGAGTAGTTTCAAGTGGACCAACTCCTCTGTAGATAACAGCCAGAAAATTAAAAAATGTAAAGAAACCAATAACCTGAAGGCATAGGAGGGGGACCAAAAATAGGCAGAAACTGGAGAGGGAGAAGAGTTAGAAGGCGGAGAACGCTGGGGAAGTTTGCTGTTTTTCCAACTTGCTACCCTGAATCCAGCCAGCTCTACAGTAATTGGCTAAAAGTGGGCTGAAACCACAGTCTTAACTGGCCTGAAGAACCAGAAAACAAGATTCAGAGCTACCACAGCACTGGAAAGGGGAGAAATCTGGTTAAAAAACAAAACAAAACAAAACAAACAAACAAAAAAACTCAGAGAAAACCATACCTGTTATCATCATAGTCAAATTGCTGATAATCAAACATAAAAATGAAAATCTTGAAAGTACCCAGAGAAAGATGACCCATTCTATATAAGGGAAGAATGAGATGAATGATGACTGACTTCTCATCAGAAACAACAGAGGCTAGAGGATAGCAGAATGACACCATTTTTTTTAATGCTGAAAAAAAACTGTCAATGCAGAATTCTATATCCAGCAACAATATTCTTCAAAATTGAAGGCAAAATCAAAACATTGTAAGATAAACAGAAACTAAGAGAATGAATTGCCCGTAAAACTTTATAACAAGAATTGTTAATGGAAGTACTTCGGGTTGAAGACAAAGTACACCAGATGGAAAGTTGGATCTTTGGGAAGAAATAAAGAGTTCTAGAAATGGAAAATATATAGGAGAATGTAAAAGATTGTTTTTACTCTTAATTTTTTAAAAATAAAATATATGTAACTGTTTAGAAAATGTAACAATATGTGTGGAGTGTTATAACAAATGTAAATATAGTTTAAACGACTATAGCAGCAGTCCCCAAGCTTTTTGGCACCAGGGACTGGTTTTGTGGAAGACAATTTTTCCACAGAACAGGGTGTGGTGGGGATGGTTTGGGGATGAAACTGTTTTACCTCAGATCATGTGGCATTAGATTCTCATAAGGAGTGTGCAACCTAGATCCCTCGCATTGCAGTTCATAATAGGGTGCTCCTATGAGAATCTAATGCCGCTGCTGATCTGACAGGAGGCGAAGCTCAGGTGGCAATGCTAGCCCACTTGCTTCTCACCTCCTGCTGTGCGGCCCAGTTCCTAACAGGTCACAGACTGGTACCAGTCCGTGGCCCAGGGGTTGGGGACCCCTGGACTATAGCATAAATGATGAGATGGTAAATAGGCCTATATGGTTGCAATGGTGACACAATATTAACTCTAAATAGACCGTGAATACCTAAAGGTGTATAATTTAATCCCTTGGTATAACTACCAAGTCTAATAGGTAAAGTGGAATTCTAAAAATTATTGACTTAGCTCAAAAGAAGAAAGGTAGGTAGGAACAGAGGAACCAAACACCGACAAAACAAGGAGAAAGTAATAGAAAAATAGCAGTTGTAAAGCCAACCATTTCAATAACCACAGTAAATGCAATTAACAGGCACAAATTTTCAGACTGGATAAAAAAGATCTAATTATATGCTGTATACAAGAGACACCCTATAAAAACAAAATTGCAAATGGGTTGAAAGTAAATGCTTTATAAAGATATACCATGGAACGATAAGTATAAGAAAGCTGAGTGGCTATAATAATATCAGATAAAATACACTTTGAGACCATGGTATTAGTAGAGATAAAAAGGGATATTTCATAATGACAAAAGGGCCAATCATCTGGAAGACACAAACATAAATGTATATATGCCTAAGAACAGTGCTTTCAAATACATGAAGCAAAATCTGACGGAATTAAAGAACTAGCTAGGCGCAGTGGCTTATGCCTGTAATCCCAGCATTTTGGGAGGCCAAAGCAGGTGGATCTCTTGAGCCCAGGAATTTGAGAACAGCCTGGGCAACATAGTGAGACCTCATCTCAAAAAAAAAAAAAAAAAAAAAAAAAAAAAGAACCTCAAGAATTAAAGAACTGGCCAAATCCAACTAAGTCATATTTAGAGAGTTTAACATCCTTTGCTCAGTGATTGATAAAACAAGTAGACAAAATATCAGCGGGGATCTAGAAGACTTAACATCAACCACCTTGACCTAACAGACATTTATAAAGCTCCTATGGCAGAAAACACATTTTCTTTGCAAGCGTGCAGGTACACATGGTCTATTCACTGAGATGGTCCATGTGCTGGACCATAAACCAAGTCTCAATAAGCTTTAAAAGCCCAAAGCCTTCTATTAGGTTCTCTGGACACAATGGAATTGAATGTAGAAATAACAATGTACTTAGAAGAAACTCCTAAATATTTGGAAATTTAGAAAACATACTTCAAATACCCATGGGTCAAAAAAGAAATTTATACATTTTAAGCATGTACAGTTTATTGAATGGTAATTATACCTCAATAAAGCTGCTAACCTCATAGCTGGTGTATTTTTTGGTTTCCTGACCAGATTCTGACAGATATAATGCTTTAGGAAAATTATTGCTGTATCATTCATTGCAATTCTCTGGGGTTGGGAGATAATAGAAATAAGAAAACCAGGAGACCAATGAAATAATTCAGATTGTAAGGTTAATTTAATACCAAAACAAGTACTAAGCAACTACAAATTTAGGCATTGCTTTAGGTTTAGAGGTATAAAGATGTGTAAGAGATTCAAACAAATGATGTCTGAACCAAGCTAAAAGCATGAGAAAAAAGTCAAGAGAAGAAGGACACAAAAATTTCCAAGTAAAGGGAACAATTTCAGCAAAGAAATGAAGGCTGTACACAATGTGCTGTGTGGTAGTGGCAGGGCAGGTACAAAGCATTCAGCGTTACGAGTGCACAGTGCACACAGAGAGCAGAGGAGCTCAATCTAGAGACATAGACAGAACCAGGGCTGGCAGACGTCTTGACAGACAGGATTGATGAGAAAGAATGAAACTGAAATCTTAAGACCATTTCTTTGAAACTCATTCCTCTTCAGATGCCTCCAACGAACTTTGCTGGCTCTCCTCCTATCTGTCTAGGCAATCTTCTCAACATTCTTCCTGGCCCTGTTTCCTGTGAAATGTAAACAGTCTGTCCTTGACTTTCCTCTTCTGCCTTTACAATCTCCCAGGATGATGTCATCTATTATTATACTTACACTAGATCTAGATGGTCACCTGTGGGCAAGTAATTCACACATATTAATCCTGAACCCTGACCTCTGCTGATTTTTAGCCCTAAATATCTACCTATTTCTGTGTTCAGGGAGGTCTTATCATCCTCCAGCCTCCTCATCCTTGGGTGTTTGCTTTACCTCTGTTAATATGACCATCAGCTTCCCAGTCACTCAGGTTATTTTGGAACTATGGTTGTTACCACAACTTCTAAGAGGTCTCTCCAGCTTACCCCCTCAGTCCACTCTACACAGCCCAGCCAGAGTGACCTTTCTAAAATGAAAGTTAGATGTTATTTCTCCCCAATACTTCTTCAAATTATTTAACATGGTTTACAAGGCTCTGCATAAATTAGTCCCCATTTACCTCTCTTGCCTCATCTTGTGCTACTATTCTAAAGCTGTATGATCCAGCTATACTTCTTTCAGTCTTCAAATTCTATGCTCCCTCTCAGCACTAAGCCTTCACCCGTGCTGATATTTTTGTCTGAAATGTTCCTCGTCTCTTTATATCGAACTGATTTTCAGCTTCCAGATTCACGTCCCTTAAAAAAACATACATTTCCATGCCTCTGTGTTTTTGCTCATGCTGTTCCCTCAGCCTAGAATATCCTCTTCCTCACCCTTCTTCTCCATCAAAAATGGTTTCATTCTTCAAGGTCTCATTCAAACACAACCTCCTTAGTGAAATATTTTATCCTTCACGTTAAAATGAATCCATTTTCTCTGCTATTACATAGTACAATGTGAATACTCACATTTTTCATTGATTTCATTATTTCAAATATTATTCATTCATTTGACAAATACTAAGTACAAGGATGTCTTAGACACTTTTATAAGCTCTGGAAATACAGGGGTAAACAAATTTATTATTTATAACTTCTTATATGTTTATAGAACTGTCACCTATAGGGTACTGCAAACCCCTCAGGTCACAGATCCTATTCAACTTGTTTAACCCATAGGCAACTAGCAGAGTATACCTGTATTCACTTGATAAGTGTGTGTTCAATGAATCATAAGCTGGATGATTTGGTCATTAAAAGACTCAACTGTAGAGAAAGGAGAGGTCTTTATTTAGTCCCTTTGATCCCAGAGATCAAGTGACTTGCTCGGGATCACACAATGATTAAAGAGCAGAACTAGAACTAGAATCCCAGATTCCCAAATCCCAAATCAATGTTATTTACTAGGGGAATAAAAGAAGGAACAAAAAAAGTATGGGAGAATCAGCTGCACCAGGTTTTTCTTTACTAACAATTCTAACAGCTTGATGTGTACATGTTCATAACGTAAAGAGACTCGATTTCCCCTCGGGCTCACTCCATTTGTCCCTGGTGCTACTCCTGGAGGTGCAGGACCGTGGGAATGGGAATGGAGTTGAGTCAGCACACAGCTGGCCTCTGTATCTGTGCTGCTTGCCTTCTCCCAGGAAGATGGCTTTGGGTAGATGCTTTCTTGAATATATATAATGCAGCATTTGTGGAAACTTTTCTGAAGTCCACAAGAACTTGAGGAGATTTGATGGAGAACTGCAATGAATACTGTCTTTTTTTCTTTTTAAGGGGTTGGGGGCAGGTTCTCATTCTGTCACCCAGGCTGGACTGCAGTGGTGCGATCATGGCTTACTGCAGCCTGGCCTGCCCAGGCTCCCACCTCAGCCTCCCAAGTAGCTGAGGACCATAGGCACATGCCACCACATCTGGTTAATTTTTTTTTTTTAATTAGTTGTAGAGACGAGCTCTTGCTATGTTGCCCAGGTAGTCTCGAACTCCTGGGTTCAAGTGATCTACCTGCCTCAGCCTTCAAAAGCGCTGGGATTACTGGCATGAGCCACCACACCCAGCTAAATACTGTCTTTGTATGTTTGAACACAAACATGTAAATGTATACTCTGTAAACACTAAACTGATTGTTTCATGAGGACTTTCCAACCTTTGCTGGGAGAGAATTTCTCTGAATTCCACTGAAAAGGCAGAGAGGAGTACAGGTGAATTAATGTAGTTGGCTTGCTTTATCTGCCTTCTCATTTTCTTTCCATTTGAACCTGAATGTCAAAGAGCTTTGTTCTCGAGGATCTATCCAGCTGACTCCTAGACAGGAAGCCCAGTATTGAATTATGAGACTATACCCAGTATTCTTTATCATACAGTGCTTTTATACCTGCCAATATAATTGACTGATGCAAAATGGGACTTTGACACATGAGTCTCATTAAAGCTGGCTTGATTATTCTTGACAGTTATCTTTTAGGTATCCTTTAGTTTGTTCCCTATGTAAGACATCAGGCTGCAAATTTAAATACAGACTATCATGAAAATGACTGAAGTAGGAAAAACAACAAAAACACCTCCATGCTTTGAGCCTAAGGACAAAAGAGAATAGCTAAGCTGTTAAAGTAACTAAGAATACTTTTGCCAGTTTGCAGATGACGATGAAATCTGTTGAAAGAGAACTTCAGATTTGCTACTGAGTTAAGAGATTTTGCCTGCAGATAGGAACATTCCACCCTGCTACCTCTTTTTCATTTTGCAATAATACCATTGCATTGTTTCAGGTGTTACAATCATTGTATATTATTTTGTATTCATTATTGTGAATCTTAGTAGTGGGGTTATATTCCAACAGAGTTATTGCTATGATCTTGCCCTTGTTCTGATACATAGTATCCAATTACAGCTACAAAGCAGAGAGCTGGCAAGCAGGACAAAAGATGGATGCCAAAATATGTCTTTCTGTAGTTTAAAAATGTGTAACTGAAGGAGCTTCTACTTTAGTAATTAAGTCAATCAGAGGAAATAGAATCTGAAGGTAATAATAAGACCATTTTGCTAAGAGGCCACAGTTATAAATTAATATAGAGGGGTGACTTAAATTGCTTATTAAATGTATTGGTTTAAAAGACAAGCAACCAAGTTAAAATGAATATTGAATGTGCAACTTAAATAACATGCTTGACATGAAAATTTTAATATATTTTTTCTTACAGTACATGCATAAAACCTAAATAATCATAACAAGTTAGAATAGCTATAATCTCCCTATGATTGTGTGCGTGTGTGTGTGTGTACACAGTTGTAGGTCCTGAGAGTTTTATCATATATCATGACATATAATTGTAGTGTATATTATACTCAAGTATTAAAATAAGAAAACATAGTTTTAAAACACAGTGATGAAATATGGCAAGCACCATTTACTACCACTTCAATATAAACTTGAAATAATGGCTTAATTTCTCATGGACAAATACAGATCTGGACACATGTAAAGGTGCTTTTTTTCATGTAACTTGCTTCTTCTATAAAGGTGCTTTTTAAAAAAATAAGTGGGTCAGCTAAAGACTTTCCTGCCATTAAAATGGATTATAATGAATGGATTATAAAACAGGTAGAGGGTGCTCATTGTTAAATTTTATACCATAGTTAAGGTTCCACCAATTATAAAAACCATAATTTCCCTCAATAGATTATAGTTATAAAAATGAAAGCTGAAAATGTCTTTGTGAAGCTGGCAATCTTTATCTATTGCAACGTTTCCTGTCTTTCCGCTAGTGAGAGTTTCAACGGAGCCTGGTCTCTGGTATGTGGATGGTCTCCCTGCTTTATAAAGCATGCCAGGCTGAACAAGATGAGCAGGTGCCTGAGGGCACAAGAGTATGTGGCCATCAGGCAATGACAATAAAACCCTACAGGTGATTATAGAAGACTGAAAATGTAAGCTAAATTGGGTCAGAGGTTTAATTCTGACGTGAATTAAATATATGGAATGCTTGAAAAGGTGCCTGGCACACAGCAAACTCTATTTAGTCATGGTTATTGGTATCATGAAACAGTCTGAAGAAGTGGGATTACAGGGAGTTCCTGCCATGGCCCTGACTGGAAGTGGATGGGAATGTCAACAAACCAGGTGCTCTCCCTTCCCCGTAGATACTCCTGTATTTATGATCTGCAAGCATGATGCATTCTCTTGAACCTGCCAATTCTAGGAAGGGGGGTATTTGAGATCAAGAGAACTGGTATACTATGTAAATATGACAGTGATATGAAGAACTATAACTCTCAGACATATGCCCTATTAGATATACAGACCACTAATACACTTTTAAACTTCGACACAGAGTAAAAATCACGTCTAAGTCTGCAACACTGAAACAAGCCTTTAAATATCATTTCGATCATAAATTCAGATAAAGTATTATTTCTTGTGAAACATAAATGTTCTATTATTCAAAATAAGCAAAAAAGACACCTATTAAAACTTTAAATATTACAGTATACCAGAGAACATGCCCCTTTGGAAACACCTTACTGAATACCTAAGATGGCAAATACCATTTCTCTTCTTCCAGACAGAGGCAGTTGTATGGTCCTTGTTCTTACAGCTCTTTCCTTATATTTTTATAATATGACTTACAGGACTATACTATAATTTATCTACTAATGTTTCTCTTGCTTTTTTTATTCCCATGCCTTACACATATTTTCATTCATGCAACAAATATTTTTGAGGACAGACCATGTACTACAAACGTGCCCAAGAATACAAAAGCCAGAATCATTAGGCCAGTGAAGCCTTTAAACCTTAAAATTATTAAGCACAGAAGATAAAATAACTACAGATATACTTAATGTGGTTAGAGAAATAAAGTATTTCTGAAAGATGTGCAAGGTATAAGAGATTATAAAAACAGGCCAGGTGTGGTGGCTTATGCCTGTAATCCTAACACTTTGGGAGGCTGAGGCAGGTGGATCATGAGGTCAGGAGTTCGAGACCAGCCTGGCCAACATGGTGAAACCCCATCTCTACTAAAAACACAAAAATTGGCCGGGCATGGTGGTGAGTGCCTGTAATCCCAGCTACTTGGGAGGCTGAGGCAGGAGAACTGCTTGAACCCGGGAGGCAAAGGTTGCAGTGAACCAGGAGGCGGAGGTTGCAGTGAGCCAAGATCACGCCACTGCACTCTAGCCTGGGCGACAGAGCAAGACTCTGTCTCAAAAATAAACCAAAACCAAAACCAAAAACAAAAAACAAAACCAAGCAGATTTAACAAAGATCCAAATAGAACTTCTAAAAATGAAAAATAACAACTGAAATTTTAAAATAAATTGGTGAACAAGAGCTGGGAGAATTCACTACCATCAGACCTGTCTTACAAGAAATGCTAAAGGGAGTTATTTAGTCTGAAAGAAAAAAGACAGTAACATGAAAGAAAAAAAAAAAAGAAATTTGAAGGTATAAAACCCACTGGCAAAATTAAGTACATGGACAAGCCAGAATACTCTAATACTGTAACTGTGTTGTGAAATCCACTTCTAACTCTAGTATGAATCCCCAAAGACAAATCTATCAAAGACAATAATAGCTATTGCCATCTGCTAAGAGATGGGTAATATAAAATATGTAAATTGACACATACAAAAGTCAAAATGTGGAGGGGATAAAGTGTAGAAAGTTTTTTTCATTTTTTCTTTGTTTCTATTATTTTCTTTGTGATCTAAAATAAGTTGTCATCTCTTTAAAATAACTTGTTATATCTATAAGATGGGTTTTTTTTGGTAAGCCTTGTGGTAACCGCAAGGCAAAAACCTATAATAGATTCACTTAAAATGAAAAGCAATGAATTAATACATACTACCAGAGAAAATCACTTAACCGCAAAAGAAGATAGAAGTTACAAAAGAACCAGAAAGCAAGCAACAAAATAGAAGTACTAACTCCTTACTTAACAATAATAATACTGTGGGGGCTGTGTGTGGTGGCTCATGCCTGTAACTCCAGGACTTTGGGAGGCCAAGGCAGGTGGATCACTTGAGGTCAGGAGTTCGAGACCAGCCTGGCCAACATAGTGAAACCTTGTCTCTGCTAAAAATACAAAAAAAATTAGCTGGGTGTCATGGCATGCGCCTGTAGTCCCAGCTACCCAGGAGGCCGAGCCAGGAGAATCACTTGAACCTAGGAGGCAGAGGCTGCAGTCAGCCAAGATCACACCACTGCACTCCAGCCTGGGTGACAGAGCAAGACTAGTCTCAAAAAAAAAAAAAATACTGTGGACTCAATTCTCCAATTAAAAGGCATAGAATAGCTGAATGGATAAAGAAATAAACCCAACTATATGTTGCCTATAAGAAACCTACTTCACCTATAAAGACACATATAGACCAAAAGTGAAGGGGTAGAAAAAGATACTCCATGTAACTGGAAACCAAAAAAGAGTGGGAGTAGTTATACTTATATCAGATAAAACAGACTACAAACCAAAGTCTGAAAAAGAGACAAAGACAGTCACTATATAATGATCAAAGGGGTCAATTCAGCAAGAGGATATAACAATTATAACACTGAAGCTCCCAAGTATAAAAACAAATATTAGGCCGGGCACGGTGGCTTGCGCCTATAATCCCAGCACTTTGGGAGGCCAGGGCAGGCACATCATGAGGTCAGGAGATTGAGACCATGCTGGCTAACACAGTGAAACCCCGTCTCTACTAAAAATACAAAAAAATTAGCCAGGCATGGTGGTGGGCACCCGTAGTCCCAGCTACTCAGGAGGCTGAGGCAGGAGAATGGTGTGAACCCAGGAGGGGGAGCTTGCAGTGAGCCGAGATTGCGCCACTGCACTCCAGCCTGGGCAACAGAGCGAGACTCCATCTCAAAAAAAAAAAAGCAAACAGTAGATCTAAAAGGATCAACAGACTGCAACACAAATAATATTAGAGGACTTTAATACCCTATTCTCAGTAATGGACAGATCATCCAGACAGAAAATCAACAAAGAAACATCAGAGTTAAACTACACCCTAGACCTAACAGGCCTAACTGACATTTATGAAACATTTTACCCAACTGCTCCAGAACATAAGCTCTTTTCTTCAGCACAAGGGCCGTTGTCCAGAACAAACCATATCTTAGTCCACAAAATGAGTCTTAACCAATTCAAAAAAGTAGAACTAATATAAAGTATCTTTTTGGACCACAATGGACTGCAACTAGGAATCAATAACAAAAGGAACCTTGGAAAGTTCACAAACACATGGAAATTAAACGACATGCTCCGGAACAACCAATGGGTCAATGAAAGAAATTAAGAAGGAAATTTAAAAATTTCTTGAAACAAATGAAAATGGAAATACAACATATGAAAATCTATGGGATACAGCAAAAACAGTGCTAAGAAGGAAGTCTATAGCAATAAATGCCTACATCAAAAAAGTAGGAAGACTTCAAATAAACAACCTAACAAGGCACCTCAAGGAACTAGAGAAGCAGGAATAAACCCAAACCCAAAATTAGTAGGAGGAAAAAATAATAAAGATCAGAGAGAACTAAACAAATGAGAGACTAAAAAAGCAATACAAAGGATCGATAAAACAAAAAGTTGGTTTTTTGAAAAGATAAAAAAAAATTGACAAACTTTTGGTTAAACTAAGAAAAGAAAATGAGAGATGACCCAAATAACATCAGAAACAAACAAAAAATAGACATAACAACAGAGACTACAGAAATACAAAGAATCATTAGAGACTATTATGAACAACAATATGCCAACAAATTGCAAAACCCAGAAGAAATGGATAAATTCCTGGACATATACAACCTACCAAAATTGAACCATGAAGAAACAGAAAATCTCAATAAGCCAATAATAAGTAACAAGATTGGCCGGGCATGGTGGATGATGCCTGTAATCCCAGCACTTTGAGAGGATGAAGTGGGAGGATCACTTGAGGCCAGGAGTTCAAGACTAGTCTGGCCAACATGGCGAAACCCCATCTCAACTAAAAATACAAAAATTATCTGGGCATGGTGGTGCATGCCTGTAACCCCAGCTACCCGGGAGGCTGAGGCACAAGAATCGCTTAAACCTGGGAGGTAAAAGTTGCAATGGGCTGAGATTGTGCCACTGCACTCCAGCCTGGGCAACAGAGAGAGACTCTGTCTCAAAAAAAGAACCAGTAACAAGATCAAAGCCGCAATAAAAATTTTCCCATCAAAGAAAAGCCCAAGACCTGATGGCTTCACTGCTGAGTTCCACCGTAAAAAAGAACTAATAGCAACTCTACTCAAACTCTTAAAAAAAAAACTGAAGAGGAGAGAATACTTCCAAATTCATTCTATGAGGCCAGCAGTACCCTGATACCAAAACCAGACAAGGACACAACAAAAAAGAAAACTACAGGCAAATATCACTAATGAATATAGATACAAAAATTCTTAACAAAATACTAATAAACCCAATTCAGCAACACATTAAAAAGATCATTCACCATGATAAGTGAGGTTCATCTCAATGATGTAAGGATGATTCAGTATAAACAAATCAATAAACATGATGCATCACATCAACAGAATGAAGAACAAAAACCATATGATTATTTCAATCAATAGATGCAGAAAAAGTATTCAATAACATTTAACATCCCTGGAACATACCTCAACATAATAAAGGCCATATATAAGAAACCCACAGCTAACATTGTACTGAACAGGGAAAAATTGAAGGCCTTACCTCTAAGATCTGGAACAAGATAAGAATGCCTGCTTTCACCACTTATATTCAATATAGTATTGGAAGTCCTGGCCAGAGCAGTTAGGTAACAGAAGAAATAAAGGGCATCCAAATTGGAAAGAAAGAAGTGAAATTAGCCTTGTTTGCAGATGACATGCTCTTATACTTAGAAAAACCCAAATATTCCACAAAAAATTGTTAGAACTTATTAACAAATTTAGTAAAGCTGGAGGATGTAAAATCAACATACAAAATTCAGTAGCACTTATATATGCTAACAATGCACAACCTGAAAAAGAAATCATAAAAGCAATCCCATTTACAATAGCTACAAGAAATATAGCATACCTAGGAATAAATTTAACCAAAAAAGTGGAAGATTTATACAAGAAAAACCACAAAACACTGATGAAAGAAATTGAAGAGGACCTAAAAAATTGGAAAGATTTTCAATGCTCAATGACGATAGTACCAAAAGCAATTTAGGATTCAATGCAATCCCTATCAAAATATCAATGACATTCTTCAGAGAAGTAGAAAAAACAATCCTAAAATTTATATGGAATCACAAGAGACACTGAATAGCCAAAGAAGTCCTGAGAAAAAAAGAATAAAGCTGAAGGCATCACACTACCTCACTTTAAAATTTACTACAAAACTAGAGTAACCAAATCAGCGTGAATAAAAAAACAGATGCACAGACCAATGGAACAGAATAGAGAACCCAGATATAAATCCACATATTTACAGCCAACTCATCTTTGGCTGTAAAAGGTGCCAAGACACACAATGAAAAAAAGACAGTCTCTCCAATAAGTGGTGCTGGGAAAACTGGATAACTATAGGAAAAGAATGAAATTAGATCCCTATCTCTCGCTATACACAAAAACCAAATGAAAATGGATTAAAGACTTAAGCCTAAGACTTGACACTATGAAACTACTGAAGAAAACATTGGGGAAACACTCTAGGACATGGGCCTGGGCAAAGATTTTTTGTGTTAAGACCACAAAATCTCAGGCAACCAAAGCAAATTTAGACAAATGGAATTACATCAAGCTAAAAAGCTTCTGCACAGCAAAGGAAACAGTAAACAAAGTGAAGAGGCAACCCACAGAATGGGACAAAATATTTGCAAACTACCCATCTGACAAGGGATTAATAATCAGAATATATTAGGAGCTCAAACAACTCATTAGCAAAAAAAGATATGATTAAAAATGGGCAAAAGATCTTAATAAACATTTCTCAAAAGAAGACAGACACATGGCCAACAGGTATATGAAAAAAAATGCTCAACATCACTAAACACTCGAGAAATGTAAATCAAAACTACAATGAGATATCATCTCACTCCAGTTAAAATGGCTGTTATCCAAAGACGGGCAGTAATGAGCGCTGGTGAGAATGTGGAGAAAGGGTAACTGGCGTATACTGTTGGTGGGAATGTAAAAACAGTACTGCCACTATGGAGAACAGTATGGAGGTTCCTCAACAAATTAAAAATAGATCTACCATATGATCCAGCAATTCTACTACTGAGTATATAACCAAAAGAAAGGAAATCAATACAACAAAAAGATATTTGCATGCCCATGTTTATTGCAGCACTATTCACAACAGCCAACATATAGAATCAACCTAAGTGCCCACCAATGATGAAGAAAATGCGCTCTCTCTCTCTCTGTATACACACACACACACACACACACACACACACACACACACACTAGAATATTCAGCCATAAAAGAGAATGAAATCTTGTCATTTGCAGCAACATGGATGGAACCGTAGGTCATCATTTTACATCAAATAAGCCAGGCACAGAAACACAAATATCTCATGTTCTCACTCATATGTGGGAACTAAAAAAGTGGATCTCATGAAGATGGAGAGTAGAGTGGAAGTTACCAGGGGCTGGGAAGGGTGGAGTGGGGATGCAGGGAAGTTGATTAATGGGCACAAATATGTACAGTTTGATAGAATAAATAAGACCTCATGTTAGATAGATCAGTAGAGTGACTATAGTTTACAATAATCTATTGTATATTTCAAAACGGCTAGAAGAGAAGAATTCAAATGGTTCTAGCATAAAGACAAGTATTTGAGGTGATGGATATCCCAAGTACACTGATTTGATTTTTACAAATTATATAAATGTATCAACTTATCACATGTGCCTTGAAACTGTGTATATTTATTATATATCAATTAAAAAATAAAATGGTGGATTAAGACAACAGATTAACCCCAGTTGAAGAGGAAATTGTGAACTGAAAGATGCAAAGAAATGATTAAAAAATACAGCACAGAGCTCAAAGAGATAGAAAATATGGAAGCTGAATTAAGAGAAATGCTGATGGAGTGAGGTCTAACATCACATCTAATCAGAGTTCCAGCCCTCCTCAAGTCTGAGTACCTGCCCCATTCCACATCAGCCACTCTGTATTTGAAAGGTTCCCCGATATATCCGGTGCCATCTCACCTCTGTGATTTCACCCTGGCTGCTCTCTCATCTTGGGCAGCTCTTTTATTTCTTTCCCTTTTCTTATCTGGAAGTCGGCTTTGATCTGCTTTGATCTTCCCCCACACCCTCTGAGCTCAGCTCCTCTAGGGTGTTGGAACAGAGGGTGGAGAGTAAAAGAGACAACTATCTCTCTTTCTCATCTGGCCATGGTTGTAGTCACCTTTGTGTTGGTTGTTGCTGCCTCTTTGGCTAATGTGGCCATCCATGCCGTCTGTATGGCGGGTCCAAATGCTGGCTTTCTCATAGGTTAAACATGAGAGTTCTTTAGGGTAACTTGGAAAGGCCCCTAACCTCCCAGTCCCCAAACATGAGACATCCAAGCCTGGTTCAACTTGTTCAACTTATTCCGACCCCCTCCCCAATTTTTAATCTTCGCATCTAGCACCTTGGGACTGGGTGACTGACCAGTGCTGGAGGAAATTCACAATGTCATTTCATAGTGCCTAGGTCATCTGGGGTCTCAGGAGTGCCCATAAATCCTTTGGCTCAGCCTTGGCTCTTTGATTTCTCTCAAAGACAATTTCAAACCCTCTCTGCTCGTCTCAAGTACTTTTGTCAACTTGACCTTTCCCTCTTCACTTTTGGTAGATGACCTTCTTTCCTATTCATCAAGAAAAGAGAGGCTTTTAAACTGATCCACTTCAGCTTCTCATCCTACTGCTTATAAAATGAACCACGCCCATAGTATTCCTTCCCTTCAGACCTGAGGTTCAGAAACCTCCTTTCTATCCAGGCCTGTCCTGCCATCTGTCACAGAAAAAACCCACTCAAGTCCATTCTACTCCCTGTCTTCAACTTTTTCTCATTAGCTTTCTCCCCCTAGCTCACAGAGATGCTCAGTCTCTTCCATTTTATTTCTTCCCATCTTTAAGGTATGTGACACAAATTATATATATTTACGGTGTACAATGTGATGTTTTGATCGTATATACATCGTGAAGTGATTAAATCAAACTAACGAATATCTACCACCTCATATACTTATCATTTTTGGTGAACATTTAAGATCTACCCTCTTAGCAATTTTCAAGTATTACAATACATTTTTACTTTCAAGTGCAGAGTGGCTGACGTGGAATGGGGCAGGTATTCAGACTTGAAGGAGGGCTGCAACTCTGATTAGATATGATGTTAGACCTCACTCCATCAGCATTTCTCTTAATCTGACTTCCATATTTTCTCTCTCTTTGATCTCTGTGCTAAATTTTTGAATAATTTCTTGGCACCTATCTTTCAGTTCAGCTGTACAATAGATCTCCAGGACATGTTCATCTGAAGTGAAACTTTATACACTTTAACCAACATCTCTCCAATCCCCTCACCACCCAGCCCCTGGCAACCACCACACTACTCTCTGCTTCTGTGAGCTCGACTGTTTTAGATTCCACACACAAGTTAGATCATGCACTATTTGTCTTTCTGTGCCTGGCTTATTTCACTTAGCATAATGTCTTCCAGGTTTATTCATGTTGTCACAAATGACAGGATTTTTTTAAAAAGACTGAATAGTATTCCATTACACACGTGCATGTGCACACACACGCATACCTCATTTTATTGTGTTTCTCAGATATTACGGTTTTTCAAAAAACAAAATTGAAGGTCTGTGGCAACCCTGAATCTAGCAAGTCTGTCAGTGCCATTTTTCCAACAGCTTGTCACTTCATGTCTCTGTCATATTTTGGTAATTCTCACATTTCAAACTTTTCCACTATTATAATATCTGTTGTGGTGATGTGTGATCAGTGACCTTAGATTCCTTAGATTTTTCTACAGTAATCATTTTGGGGTGCCATGAATCTCTCCCACATAAGACAGTGAACTTAATCGATAAATGCTGTGTGTGTTCTGATGTTTCCACCGACCAGCCATCCCTCATCTCTCTCTCCCTCTTCTCCAGCCTCCCTATTCCCTGAGACACAACAGTATTGAAATTCAGCCATTAATAATCCTACAGTGGTCTCTAAGTATTCAAGTGAAAGGAAGAGTCATGTGTTTCTTAGGTTAAATTAAAAGAGAAAAACAATTAAGCTTAGTGAGGAAGGCATATTGAAGGCTGAGAGACCAAAAGCTAGGCCTCTTGTACCAACACTTAGCCAAGCTGTGAATGCAATGGAAAAGTTCCCGAAGGAATTAAAAGTGCTACTCTAGAAAACACAAGAATAATAAGAAAGTGAAACAGCCTTATTGTTGATATGGAAAAAGTCTGAGTGGTCCAAATAGATCAAACCAGCCCCAACATTCCCTTAAGCCAAAGCCTAATCCAGAGCAAGGCCCTAGCTCTCTTCAATTCTATGAAGGTTGAGAGAGATGAGCAAGCTGCAGAAGAAAAGTCTGAAGCTAGCAGAAGTTGGTTCATGAGGTTTAAGGAAAGAAACCAACTCCCTAACATAAAAATACAAGGTAAAGCAGCAAGTGCTGATACAGAAACTATAGCAAGGTATCCAGAAGATTAGATAATTGATGATGGTGGCTACACTAAACAACAGATTTTCAATGTAGATGAAACAGGCTTTTGTTGGCAAAAGATGCAACTGGTAACTTTAAGTGGAAGCCAATTGCTCCTTTCCCATTCCAAAAATTCTAAGGCCCTTAAGATTCCTTTCAAAATATTACTGCTCATTGACAATGCACCTGGTCACCCAAGAGCTCTGATGGAGATGTACAAGGAGATTAATGTTGTTTTCATGCCTGCTAACACAATGTCCATTCTGCAGCCCATGGATCAAAAAGTCATTTTGACTTTCAAGTCTTATTATTTAAGAAATATATTTTGTAAGGTTATAGCTGCCTTAGACAGTGATTCCTCTTATGGATCTGGGCAAAGTAAATTAAAAACCTTCTGAAAAGGATTCACCATTCTAGATGTCATTAAGAACATTTGTGATTTATGGGAGATCAAATTATCAATATTAACAGGAGTTTGGAAGAAGTGGATTCCAACCCTCATGGATGACTTTGAGGGGCTCAAGACTTCAGTGGAGGAAGAAACTGCAGATGTGGTGGAAATAGCAAGAGAACTAGAATTAAAAGTGGAGCCTGAAGATGTGACTGGATTGCTGTAATCTCATGATCAAACTTGAACGAATGAGGAATTGCTTCTTATGGATGAGCAAAGAAAGTGGTTTAGGAGATGGAATCTATTAGTGAAGACGCTGTGAACATTGTTGCAATGTCATCAAGGAACTCAGAATATTACATAAATGTAGTTGATACAGCACTGTCAGGGTTTGAGAGGATTGACCCCAATTTTGAAAGAAGTTCTACTGTATGTAAAATGCTACCAAACAGCATTGCATGCTACAGAGAAATCTTTTGTGAAAGGAAGAGTCAAATGACCTGGCAAACTTCATCATCTCATTTTTTTTAATTGCTGCAGCCCCCACCCCCAACCTTCAGTAGCCACCATCCTGATCCATCAGCAGCATCAACATGGAGGAAAGACCCTCCACCAGCAAAGAGATTACAACTCACTGAGGGCTCAGATGATTGTTAGCCTTTTTTAGCAACAAAGTGTTTTTTAATTAAGGTGTATACATTGTATTTTACATATAATGCTACTGCACATTAGTAGACTGTAGTATGGTGTAAACATAACTTCTACATGCAGTGGGAGACCAGAAAATATGTGTGACTCTTTATTGCAATGTTGGCTTTATTGCGGTGGTCTGGAATGGAACCCATAATACATCCAAGGTATGCTTGTGTATGTATGCATCACATTTTCTTATCTATCCATCTACTGATGGACAGCTAGACTGGTTCCATATCTTCACTACTGTGAATAATGTTGCAATGAACACAAGAGTGCAGGTATCTCTTCAACATACTGATTTCAATACCTTTGGATATATACACGGTAGTTCTATTTTTATCTCTTCCATTTTAAATACATAGGCCCTTTTCATTATTGTGTTTCATCTTTCTCTTGCTCCCCTCACCAAATACACTGAAAAAAATTTCTCAATTGAATTTTTTTTCTTCCTTAACTCCTCAAAACACCATAATCTGGCTTCCATTCGTACCTTTCAACTGAAGCTGCCCTCTGTTAGGCCATCACTGATGTTTTAATTGGTAACTCCAATGGGAAATGTTCAGTCCTTAGGCCTCAGGACATCTCTGTGGCATTTAACATTGACTGATTCCTCTCTTCCCTCTTCACCCTTCATTTTTTACATTCATTCATTCAAAATATATTTCTTAGGCAGTTTGTCATATTCAGGTACTAAATTATTCTGGGTACTAATTCTAGGTACTATTACTCTAGGTACTAAAAATACAACAGTGGACAAAAAGACAAAGTCTTTGCCCTCTTAAAGCTTACATTACAGTGGGGGAAGAACAAATGTGAACAACTGAACAAGTATTTATATAAAAGCAGTTAGGCAGTGACAAGTTTTATGGAGGAAAACAAAGCAGCCAAGGGGTATAGGGAAAGCTGGGGAATGAGCAGGCTGGTGGGGAATGAGCAGGAAGGGGTGGGGCAGTGTGACTGTTTTATATAGGGTGATCGGAGGCCTCACTGTTAAGGTGTCATTTGAGCAGTAAACCAAAGGAGGTGAGAGAGAAAATCATGTGGATCAGTGGAGGGCAGAGTGTTCTAGTTGGAGGGAAGAGTCACTGCAGAGACCCACAGGCAGGAGGGGGCTGGACACGTTCCAGGAACACCAACAGGTCTAAGATGGCTGTGGCTGAATGTGCAGAAGGAGAAGGGGTGGGAGAGGAAGTCAGAAAGACAGTTGACAGTCAGATCAAAGATGTCCTTGTGTGAGATGAGAAGTCCCTGGGAGGTGCTTAAGCAAAGGAATGGCATGGTATGTCTTCTTTTTCATAAAATCACTTTGGCTTTTATGTGAAGAGGGCTCCATGGAGCACAGGGAGAAGCAGGGTCACAGGTTAGGAGGCTGCTGCAATAATTCATGGAGGCAACAATGGTGGACAGGATATCTTGATCCTGCAACTGCAGTGGAGGTGATCTGATTCTGGACATGTTTCGAAGGTAGAGCTGGTAGGAGAGAAAGAATTGAGTCAGGGATGACTCTGAGGTTTGGGCTGGATGCACCTCTATTCCAGGTGGCTATTTTTGACACCTTCTTCTCAGACCTCTCATATCTTTCTGCTGAGGTCTTTCTGCCCTCCAGGCAGCCCTACTGGACAAGCCTCTATGACAACCATGACAGTTCTCTCCTACATAACTCACATCTGTGCAGCCCTTGCTTTGACCAGCTTGGGGCACAGGCCAGTCCCAACTCACCAGGCTTCTGTGGCTTCACCACCAAAGAGCTACTGGTCAGATCGTCTGTTTCCCAGGTTAGAATCAGACCCTGACTACACTCCCAGGCATGAGTTAGGCACTAGTTCTTGGTGTCTCCAATTCCAGGGAACCTATTTCAAAGCCTCTCTCACTAGGGTTGGGATTAGCAAGTAGCGGTCTTCCCACTGCTTCCCCACAAGGGAGTTGGGTGAAGACTCACAACATGGTAATAGCTCCTTCCTAAGAAATCTCATCACCTACCTCCTCACACTAGATTCTCCCTCTTCCACCACACTGTCCCTTTATAATATTTTCAAACTGTGTGAGTGGGTGGGTGAGAATGTGTGTACGTGGCGAGGGCAGGGCTCAATAATCATGGGGCAGGTTTTCATCCATTTCCTTTAAAAATCTCCACATGTGGATTTGATATCTGATATATATTTTATTAGTAGTATCCACAGCAAAAGAGAAAAAGAATCCCATTTTAATATCCTAATACATATAGATAGCCTGGTAGAGTCTAAAGTTATATATATTATATATATATATAATTTTAAAGATATAAAGTCTAATATCTTTAGACTATATATTTAGACTATATAGTTTTAGAGTATATTTAGACTATAGTCTAGACTATATATAGTTTTAGACTATATAGTTAGACTACATAATTTTATATATAAAGATATATTAAATATATATAAAGATATATTAAAAATATATGAAGATATATTAAAGATTAGACTTCATATCTTTAACATCATAATTTTTTTGTGGGGGGAACAGTCTCGCTCTGTCACCTAGACTGGAGTGCAGTGGCATGACCTCAGCTCACTGCAACCTCCACCTCCTGGGTTCAAGCAATTCTCATGCCTCAGCCTCCTGAGTAGCTGGGACTACAGGTGTGTGCCACCAGGCCTGGCTGATTTTTTTTGTATTTTTATTAGAGACGGGGTTTTGCCATGTTGCCTAGACTGTTCTTGAACCCCTGAGCTCAGGTAATCTGCCTGCCTCAGCCTCCCAAAGTGCTGGGATTACAGGCATGAGCCACCATGTCTGGCCTAACATTATAATTAAATCACAATTATATATGTAATTTTATTTTAACTTTTATTTTTGGTTCAGAACACAGGTTTGTTATATAGATAAGCTTGTGACTTGGGTTTGGTGTACAGATCATTTTGTCGCCTGGGTACTATGCTCAGTTTTTTTGTTTGTTTGTTTTGTTTTTCCTGAACTTCTCCCTTCTCCCACCCTCCTCCCTCAAGTAGGCCCTAGTGTCTATTCTTCCTCTCTTTCTGTCCATGTGTTCTCATTATTTACCTCCCACTTATAAGTGAGAATATGCGGTATTTGGTTTTCTGTTCCTGCATTAGTTTGCTAAGGATAATGGTCCCCAGCTCCAACCATGTTCCTGCAAAGGACATGATCTCATTCTTTTTTATGGCTGCACAGTATTCCATGGTGTATATGTACCACATTTTCTTTATCCAGTCTACTGCTGATGGGGATTTAGGTTGATTCCATGTCTTTTCTATTGTGAATAGTGCTGCAATGAACATACGTGTACATGTGTCTTTATGGCAGGATGATTTATATTCCTTTGGGTATATATCCAGTAGTGGGATTGCTGGGCCAATGGTAGTTCTGTTTTAGTTCTTTGAGGAATCGCCACACTGTCTTCCACAATGATTGGACTAATTTACACTCCCACCCCACCTCTGAGACTTTAGACTCCTGTGACAAATTTACTCCTCCCTCCTCAGTTACATGCTATTGTTACCTCGCATTTTAGTTCTTTTTCTAATACCACAAATTAGATGTTATAATGTTATTTTTTAATCTGTGATTTTTGTTTTTAATTATCTTAAGCCTTATGATCAAAAAAATTGCAAATCTGTGCTGATGGTATATCTCCTTTACCTGCTAATGAGTTGGCAAAAAAAAAGCACCATTACCAGCTGGGTGCGGTGGCTCATGCCTGTAATCCCAGCACTTTGGGAGGCTGAGGTGAGAGGACTGCTTGAGCCCAGGAGGTGCACTAAACTCTTTCTCTATTGCAATTTCCCTGTCTTGACAAACTGGCTCTATCTGGGCAGCAGGCAAGAAGAACCCATTGGGTAGTTACATCGTTTTTCTTTGAATGTCCGAGTATCCCATTGTGTATATATACCACGTTTTCTTTATCTAGTCATCTGTGATGGACAATTAGGTTGATTCCAAAGCTTTGCTATTGTGAATAATGCTTCAGTAAACACGGGGGTGCAGGTATCATTTTGATATAATGATTTTCTTGCTTTTGGATAAATACCCAGAAGAGGGTTTGCTGGATCATATAGTAGGCCTATTTTTAGTTTTCTGAGAAATCTCCCTATAATTTTCCATAATGGCTGTACTAATTTACATTTCCACCAATAGTATATGAGGATTCCCCTTTCTCTGCATCCTCGCCAGCATTCATTATTCCCTATCTTTTTGATAAAAGCTATTTAAACTAGGGTGAGATGATTTCTCATTGTAGTTTTTATTTGCATTTCCCTGATGACAATGATATTGACTATTTTTTTCATATACCTTTTGGCCATTTATATGTCTTTTATACTTTTTAATGTTTTTACAAGGGTGCCAATTACTCTATATGTATGTCTTCTTTTGAGAAATGTCTAATCATGTCCCTTGCTCACTTTTTAATGGGATTATTAGTTGTTTTTTTTTTTTTTGCTGTTGTTTGAGTTCCTTGAATATTCCAGATCCTAGTCCCTTGTTAGATTAATAATTTGCAAATATTTTCTCCTATTCAACAGGTTGTCTCTTCACCTTGTTCATTGTTTCCTTTGCTGTGTAGAAGCTTTTCAGTTTAACATAATCCCATTTGTCTATTTTTGTTTTTGTTACCTGTGCTTTTGAGGTCTTAGCCATAAAAATTTTGCCTAGACAAATGTCTTGAAGTGTTTCCCCTATGTTTTCTTCAAGTAGTTTTATAATTTTGGGTCTTACATTTAGCTCTTTAATCCGGGGTCTAGTTTCATCCTTCCGCATATGGATATCCAGTTTTCCCAGCACCATTTATTGAAGAAGGTGTTCATTCTCCAGTGTATATTCTTGGCATCTTTGTTGAAAATCAGTTGGCTGTAAATACATGGATTTATTTCTGTGTTCTCTCTCCTGTTCCATTGGTCTATGTGTCTGTTTTTATACCAATACCATGCTGTTTGGTTACTACAGCCTTGTAATATATTTTGAAGTCAGGTAGTGAAATGTCTCTCCTGGTTTGTTTTCTTTGCTCAGGATCACTTCGGCTATTTGGACTCTTGTTTGGTTTCATGTGATTTTAGGATTGTCTTTTCCATTTCTGTAAAAAATGACACTGATATTTTGAGAGAGATTGCATTGAATCTGTAAATTGCTATGGGTGGTATGATCATTTTAACAATTTTTATTTTTCCAATCTATAAGCGTTGGATGTCTTTCCATTTGTTTGTGTCCTCTTCAACTTCTTTCATCAGTGTTTTGTAGTTTTCCTTGTAGAGGTTTTTCACCGCCTTGGTTAAAATACTCCTAGGTATTTTATTTTATTTGTAGCTACGGTAAACGGGATTGTCTTCATGATTTCTTTTTAAGCTATTTCATTATTGGTGTATAGAAATGCTACTGATTTTTGTATGTTGATTTTTGTATCCTGCAGCTTTATAGAATTTATCAGATCTAAGAGTTTTTTTGGTAGAGTCTTTAGGTTTTTCTAAATATAAGATCATGTCATCTGCAAAGACAAACAATTTTACTTCTTTTCCAATTTGGATGCCTTTTCTTTCTTTCTTTTGGTTGACTGCTTTGGCTTGGACTTCCAGTACTATGTTGAATAGGAGTGGTAAAAGTGGCATCCTTGGCCGGGCGCAGTGGCTCACGCCTGTAATCCCCGCACTTTGGGAGGCTGAGGCAGATGGATCACGAGGTCAGGAAATCGAGACCATCCTGGCTAACATGGTGAAACCCCGTCTCTACTAAAAATACAAAAAAAAATAGCCAGGTGTGGTGGCACATGCCTGTAGTCCCAGCTACTCAGGAGGCTGAGGCAGGAGAATGGCGTGAACCTGGGAGGCAGAGCTTGCAGTGAGCCAAGATCGTGCCACTGCACTCCAGCCTGGGCAACAGAGCAAGACTCCATCTCAAAAAAAAAAAAAAAAAGTGGCATCCTTTTCTTGTTCCAGTTCTTAGAGGAAAGGCTTTTATCTTTTCCCCATTCAGTATGATGTTGGTTGTGGGTTTGTCATATATGGCCTTTCTTATGTTGGGGTATATTCCTTCTGTGCCTAGTTTGTTCAGAGTTTTTTATCATGAAGCGTCATTGGATTTTATCAAACGCTTTTTTGACATCTATTAAGATAATAATATGGCATTTGTCCTTCATTCCACTGATGTGGTATATATTTATTGATTTGCGTATATTGAATCACACTTGCATCCCTGGGATAAATTCTACTTGATCATGGTATATTATCTTTTTGATGTGCTGTTGGATTCAGTTTGCTAGTATTTTGTTGAGGATTTTTACAACTATGTTCATCAGGTATATTAGCCTGTAGTTTTCTTTTTGTCGTGTCATTCTCTGGCTTTAGAATCATGGTAATGCTTGTCTCCTAGAATGAGTTAGGGAGAATTTCCTCCTCTTGAGTTTTTTGGAATAGTGAGAGGAGAACTGGCGTTAGTTCTTCATAAGTTTGGTAGAATTTGGCAGCGAAGCCATCTGGTCCTGGGCTTTTCTTTATTAGAAGGCTTTTTTTTTTCTTTTTTCTTTTTTTGTTCTTTTTGGGACAAGGTCTCACTTTGTCACCCAGGCTGGAGTACAGTGGTGTGATCATGGCTCACTATATAGCCTTGACCTTCTGGGCTCAAGCAATCCTCCCATTTCAGCCTCCCAAGTAGTTGGGACCACAGGCACATGCCACCATGCCTGGCTAATTTTTTTTTTTTTTTTAAGAGACAAGATCTTGTTATCTTGCCCAGGCTGGTCTCAAACTCCTGGGCTCAAGTGATCCTCCAACTCAGCCTCCCAGGTGCTGGGATTACAGGCATGAGACACTGTGCCTGGCTGGAAGACTTTTTATTACTGATTCAATATTGTTACTCACTATCAGTTTGTTCATATTTTTGGCTTCTTCCTGATTCAGTCTTAGTAAATCAGGAATTTATCCATTTCCTCTAGGTTTTCCAATTTATCAGCATATAGTTGTTCGTAATAGTCTCTGGTGATCTTTTATGGTTCTGTGGTCTCAGTTGTTATGTCTCCTTTTTCATTTCTGATGTTATTTGGATCTTCTTTTTTATTTTCTTATTTAGTCTAGCTAGCAGTTTATTGGTTTTGTTTATCTTTTCAAACAACCAACTTCTCATTTTGTTGACGTTCTGTATTTTTTAGTCTCTATTTCATTTAGTTCTGCCCTGATCTTTATTATTTCTTTCCTTCTATTTTTGGGTTTGTTCTTCCCTTTCTAGTTCCTTGAGGTATGTTGTTAGATTGTTTGAAGTCTTTTTACTTTATTGATATAGGTGTTTACTGCTATAATCTTCCCCCTCTTACTACTGCTTTTGCTGTGTCCCACTAATTTTGGTATGCTCTGTTTCTTTCTTTTTCTTTTCTTTTCTTTTTCCTTTTTTGAGACAGGGTCTTGCTCTGTGGCCCAGGCTGGAGTGCAATGGTGTGAACGTGGCTCACTGCAGCCTCAACCTCCTGGGCTTAAACAACCCTCCTGCCTCAGCCTCCCGTGTAGTTGGGACCACCATGCCCAGCTAATTTTTAAATTTTTTTGTAGAGATGGTGGAGGTGGGGTCTCACTTTGTTGCCCAGACTGATCTCAAGCTCCTGGGCTCAAGCAATCCTCCTACTTTGGCTTCCCAAAGTGCTGAATTACAGGTGAGCCACCATGCCTGGCTGGTATATTGTATTTCTATTTTCATTTGTGTCAGGAAAGTTTTAAACTTCCTTCCTAATATCTTCATTCATTTAGTGATCATTCAGGAGCATGTTATTAAAGTTCCATGTATTTGTCTAGTTTCCAAAGTTTGTTACTGATTTTTAGTTTTATTCCATTGTGGTCTGAAAAGACATTTCATACAATTTTGATTTTTAAAAATATGTTGAGATATGTCTGTGGCCTATTATCTGTTCTAAAGAATGTTCCACATGCTGATGAGAAGACTGTGTTCTGCAGCTGTTGGATAAAATGTTCTATAGATGGCTGTTAGGTCCATTTAGTCTAAAGTGTAGTTAAAATACAACGTTTCTTTTTGATTTTCTGTCTAGATGATCTGTCTAATCCTGAGAGCAGGAGGTGTTAAAGTCTCCAACTATTATTGGAGCCTATCTCACCTTTTAGATTTAATAATATTTGCTTTATATATCTGGGTACTCTAGTGTTGGTACATATATATTTAGAATTGTTATATCCTCTTGCTCAATTAATCCCTTTATCGTTACATAATGACCTTGTCTCTTTTTACTGTTTTTGACTTAAAGTCTGTTTCATCTGATATTAGTATAGGTATTCCTGCTCAATTTTGGTTTCCATCAGCATGAAATATCTTTTTCCAACCCCTTAAATCTGTATGTCTTTACAGGTAAAGTGAGTTTATCGTAGGCAGCATATAGTTGGTTCTGGGGTTTTTAAACATCCATTCATTCAGTCAGTCTATATCATTTAAGCAGAAATTTTAATTCTTTTACCTTCAAGGTTATTATTGATAATGTGAGGACTTATTTGTCTTTTTGTTAATTGTTTTCTGGTTGCTTTGTATATTCTTTGTTCCTTTCTCTCATTGTTTATCACTGTAGTTGGGTGGTTTTCTGTAGTGGTAGCATTTGAGTCCTTTCTCTTCCTCATTTGGGTGACTTTTCTACCAGTGGGTTTTATACTTTCATGGTTTTCATGATGGTAGAAATCAACATTTTGCTTCCAGGTGTAGGACTCCCTTAAGTATTTCTTGTAGGGTTGGTCTAGTGGTGATGAATTCCCTCAGTTTCTGCTTGTTTGGGAAAGACTACTTCTTCATTTATGAAGGATAACTTTGCTGGGTATAGTATTCTTGGCTGGAAAGTTTTTTTCTTTTATTTCAGGACTGAATATATCAACTCAATCTCTGCTTGTCTGTAAAGTTTCTGCTGATAAATCAGCTGTTGGTCTGACAGGAGTACCCTCATATGTGACTAGATGCTTTGCTCTTGTTTTTAGAATTCTCTGTTTTTGATGTTTGACAGTTTGGTTATAGTGTGTCATGAAGAAGACCTTTTGGGGTTGTATCTATTTGTGAATTTCTAAGCATCCTGTATCTGGATGTCTAAATCTCTTAATAGACTTAGAAAGTTTTCAGCTATTATTTTGTTAAATAGGTTTTCTATGCCTTTGGTCTCTTCACCTTCTTGAACATCCCAGATGTGTATATTTGTTTGCTTTATAGTGTTCCATATGACACATAGGTTTTGTTTGTTCTTTTTAAAAATTCTTTATTATAGGTTTTTTTTGAGTGTGTCTGATGGGGTTATTTCAAAAGACATCTTCATGCTTCCAAATTCTTTCTTCTGCTTGTTCTAGTCTATTGTTGAAGCTCTTTAATAACTTTTTTATTTTATTCATTGGATTTTTCACTTCTAGGATTTTGGTTTTGTTCTTTATAATATCTATCTCTGGTAAATTTCTCATTTATATCCTGAATTGTTTTTCTGATTTCTTTGTATTGTTAAGTATTGGATTGGCTTTTGTAGGTGAAGACTTCTTTCTGAGGATGTATCTATGGTGTTGGTTGGGTAGGACATGTTAGCTTTGATTCTGGGTGCATGCAGTAGTGTAGTCTTCCATATTATTTCTTTGGCTATAAACAGCATCAGTGGTGTCTGTGATTTCCTCAGTGGCTTAGGCTGTGGTTGTTAGTAGGGGGCTGTGGCAAGCTTTTTCTCGGGACAGGAGTGTCAAGTCAGCCAGTCCTTGGGCCCCAGTGGTGGCAACAACAAGCTGAGGGTGCCTGTCCTTGGGCCCCTGGGCAGTAGAAACAGACACTAACGGAAGCAGGTCCAAACAGGCCTATTCTTGGGCTTCCACGTGGCTTGTTCTGGAGCCAGCAGTGGCAGTGGTGAGCTGGATGGGTGGGCAAGTCCTCCGTCCCCTGGGCAGTGTGTGATGGCAGTAGCAGTGGTGGGACAACCGTTGGTCTCCAAAGTGGTATGTATTGATGTTAGCAGTAGCTGTGATGGAGTGTGCAGTCCACTCCCAAGGACTCTAGGTGGCATGTGCTGGCTGTGGTGATAGTGGCAGGCTGGGTGGGCTCATCCTCAGGCCCCCAGAGGGAATGCACAGATGCCAGCTATGATGGACAGGGCAAGATAATCCCCAGGCCCCTAGGTGGTGTGTCTGGGCCCTGGAGGTCACTGGTGCTAGGCCACGCAGGCTTGTTCTCAGGCCCTCTGGTTTTATACTCAGGCACTGGCTGTAGTGGGGTGATCTCCAGGCTCCCTGCAGTGGAGTGCTCAGGTGGCTACAGCAGTGGTGGCAGTGGATGGTGGGAGCCTGTCCCTAGTATGTGCACAAGTATACCTCGGCCCTACCGCAATTGCGGGGAGGGGAGGGTGTGCTCACAGTGGTTTCAGCCATAGGCAGGTAGTTCTCAGGCTCTAAGGAGCATGCACTATGGCTTGTTTTGTGCCATGGGCAGCCTCCCTAGTGCACCTCCATTCCCCTGGGCTGCAGGACACTGTGTGTTAGAGCGGTGGTGATGCAGGATTTTTTGCTCCTTAGTTCAGCTAAAATCCAGGTTCTTGTCTCATGACCAGGAAAAAGTAGGTACACAGACACATTGAAAGGTGAGGAGGGCGGAATTTATTAAGTGAAAAGAAAGGTCTCAACAAAAAAAGACGGGTCCTGCACGCAGGTTTTCCACCTCAAAAAAATTGAATACCAGGCCACCACACACGAGCTGAAGAGGCTAGACTCCCCTGCAGCGTAAGGTGTGAATTCCTGGTGGCTCCAGCCCATTCGTCCAGTGCGCATGCAAGCTCTTAGTCTGAGCCACTCCACGCTGATTTACTTCCCTTACTGCGCATGTGTTAAGAGACAGAATTTTTCACTGTGGGCATGTTTAGGCAAGCCTCCTGTCCACAATGACCTGGGCAGCATTCGGTTGTCTCCTGTCTCTATCACTGGGGACCCTGTCACTTCTGCTGGGTCCAACAGTGGCACACTGCTGCAACCTTCTGGGTAGTTGGGGGTTGGAGGACTCCCAGGATGTGGAGATGCAGGGGCTGTTAGGTCCCAGGTCAGGATGTAGTCTGGTGGGGGCTGGGCTCTGAAAATGGCACTGTGCTACAGCTGCTTAGGACTTAGGGAATATGTGGGAGCCAGCACAAGCTCCCTCTCTGGAGCAATCTATTGCAGTCTCTAGGCAGCTCCCTATGCTAGTCTTGGGGACCACAAGGTTGAGGAGTTCTCCTGTAGCTAAGGTTATAGGAGTCCATACTAGGAATGTTGGCCATGAGGATTTCTCACTTACTTCCACACTGGGGAGCCTCTCCAAGCTCCCAGCCAATCCTGGCCAAGCTGGCTGCCTTGCTTCCCTCTGCTCCTATGCCTTAGGTGTTTCCTGTCATTTCTCTGTTAAATTCCAGTGTTTTCATTTTGATGTTCTATGTGAAGTGTGATTATCTACTTACTATTTTGGTTCTTTGTGGAAGAGATGATTGCCAAGATGCCTTTAGGCAGCCATTTTGAAGCCCCTCTCTATTCTCTTATTCTTTTGGCAACTTCCAATCATGTCAGGATGAGATTAATCTGCAAGAATCCTGCGTGTCTAACCTACACATGCTTTCTTCCAGAAAGGATCTTTGTTTTTCTCAGGAGCCTGGGACCTAGAGTCAGTTTAGCCTCCTTGAATGCTCTAACTTCATGCAAAAGTCTGAGGCCCACCTTCCTCTCTTGCTACTGGCTTGAGGCTTAGTTTTCTGATTTGTTACTGATATAGCATTTGCCTTCAGGCAAACCTGCCTTTGGATTCATTTACATTCATAGCTCCCTGCTCCAATCAGGTTTCAGCTTTGGGTTTATTTGGTTTGTGCAATTTTTGTTCTGTTTCGCCCTTAGAGATTTCCTTTAGCTCCCATGGATGCAGCAATGCATTAAAAGATATCTTTCATCCAGAATCTAGGTTTGCTTTTTAATGGCATGAGAACCTTGAGGTTGTCTAGTCCACCACACTGCTGAAAATGTAAGGAGTCAGTAGTATAGTTTTTACCCTGGCGACAATGAAATGCCATTAAAGGCTGTTTGAAGAGGAAGTGACATGATCAGATAGATAGGAGTGAGGCTCAGATGAGGAGGTCACTAACAAAGGTATTCTAACAGCCCGGGCAGGGGATGATAAGGGTCCAAAGTAGGGAGAGAGATGACAGTTAAGATATGATTATCATAGACTTATCACAATTGAGTGATTATTTCTGAATAATTAAGCTGTTCCAAGTTTATAGGTAGCAAAGCAATGGTAATTATCATTACTAAGCACTAAGCACTCCTAAGTTAAATGAGTCAAATTCTTACAAGGAAGCAAAACACCTTTTAAATCTGTATTTATTCTAAACATTTGACCTTGGCAAGAGCCATGGCTGAGCTCTGTAATTGCTGTAGTAATTGCTGTAACCCTTTGCTTATCAAGATTTGTAATTGCTGTAGTCCTTTGCTTATCTTAAGGCCACATTGCATGTGGATCCAACAATACAAAAGAAACATCTGCTGCAAAACTCTCTAAGGCACTTCTAGAGTGGCTGTGTTGTACAATAGTGCTATCATATTACACACTTACAGACACATACACTCATACAAAGAGATACTACAAAATATTTAGAAAGGAAAAAAGAACATTTGCATGAGCGTAATCAACCCATCAGAAACAAGCTTATTCACTGTCTACTTTGCCTAGTCCTCTAAAGCATCATATTCTGTTGTATGGGAGGTAGTAATGTAAAGAGGAAGATGCCTACATTTTGTTAAAACTGCTAACTTCAGGAAGAATGAAGCTGTAACTTAAACATGTTGAGCTGTAATCAGAAACATGAGCAAAGACTACTAGATTTCTCCCAGAATTTTAGTAAGGGACTGGGCATGTTTGTTAATGACCTACATTCAAGGTTTGTTGTGGTTTTTTTTTTAATAGTAATGAAAGGTTCAGATTTCTAAATTGCACAGCAGACATACAACCATCATCCAGAAAGCACAGTTAACATTTTTTTTTAATTTGTTTTTTCAAGGAAGGAGAGCCATATTAAAGAAATAGGGAAAACAATCATCTAAGTTCTGATTTAATTATTTTAGTGCATTGATGTTTAATATTCCCAGAAGAGTAAATATAGGATTTTAAATGGGTGTCTCATAGCCAACTCAAATGTAACAAGACATCTAAAATGTAGCTCTTCATATATCCCCAAACCTATTCTCTCCTCCACCCTCCCTTTCTCAGTAAATAGAACTATAGGGTGAAAAAGGTGTGATACCCTTCTTCCCCATCATGAGGGTCATGGCCAGCACTCCTGTAACAAAAACATGTTAACAAGAGGAAAGTATAACAGATTTATTTAATCACAATTTTATATGACATGGGAGTCTCCAGAGATAAAGACTCAAGACTCAGAGAAAACCGTCTGTTTTTAAGCTTAGGTTGGATGAAGAATTAACAGCCATGTAGAAATGTGATTGGACAAAAGGGAATGGTCAGATGCTAATAGTCTGGGTGGGGAAACCCAGCAAGGCCTGTGTGTTCAGATTCTTTTTGGTCTCTTTGTGTGACATTCTTTCCTCCCCAGTACAGGGCAGGACCCCTCTGGAATGAGGGTCTTATAACCTATTATCACACAAGGTAGGTCAGAGAATTTCTTTATAGCTGGCTCCTACGCAGAAAGGCAGGGGAAGGTTCAAGTAGTATTTCTAGTTTCTATGACCCACCTTGGGGAAGAGGAATTCTAGTTGCTATGGCCTGCCTTGAGAGAGAAAGGGAAACAGGAGAAAGAAGGGCAAGAGAAGAGCAAGGAGAGCCTTTGCTTCTGAAGCTCTTCCGATGTCCCTCAGTTCAAAGTACTTGGCACACCCAAGTGCCATGCTTTGGGGTATTGTTCTCTGATCCCCAACAGAGTGCCATCACACACTCACTTCTCAGAGGCAGAACACTAAGAGCCATCTTTCTTTCCATCACTCTGACAATCAGTCATGAGGAAATCCTCAGGGCCAAACTCCAAAGTCTATCTCAAATCTGCCCACTTTCTTCCATTGCCAGTGCCTTTGTCCTCGGTCACGGTCACTTGGATAGTCAATATAGCTTCTTCCTTATCTTTCTGCTTCTGCTCGCACTTCCTCCCCTATCTCCAATTTATCCTCCCCAATTTGTGTTTAAATAAATACAAATCAGATTCTATCCCTCCTCTGCTTCTTATGTTCCTGCTGTCTTCGGAACTCAGTCTAAATCTCCCCACAAGACTTCCGCTGCCCACATGCCATTGCCCCTGCCTGTCTTTCTCTGATCTCTCACACCACCATCCCCTCGTTTGCTACGTTCTAGCCACAACGGCCTCCTTGCAATTCTAGAAGCAAACTAACCTTTTCTCCATAACTGAATCTCTCGATTTGCGCTTCCCTCTGCTTGGAATGTTCCTTTCCAGGTTTCTTCATCCTTCTCGTCTCACCTCATAACATCTCTGCATAAAGGCTTTCTCTGACTACCCTAACTAAAGTTGTTGCTCCCATCATTGCTTCATGAAGCTCCTTGTTTATTTCCTTCATAGCACATGTTACAATCTATAATTGTTTTGTTTATTATCTATCTTCACCAGAACAGAAGCTCCTTGAAGGCAGAGTCTGCCATGTTTACTGCCATAAATCCATGCTGATTACAGTGCCTGAGAGAAACTCATTAAGTATCTACTGAATTAAAATCTAATTTCTCAATCTTTCCTTCCAGAATTTTACTATTTTACAATTAACACCTAGATGCTGATAACCATGCTTCACTTGATGCTTATAGCAAGTTGAACAATGTCTGGGTTTTGACTCTAATTTAGGGTGTTAATTTACTAAGTTGGGGTCTAGAGATCACCTACTATATTGCCAATCAATAAATATAATAGCAATACTTCTCATCAGTATCAAAATTAACAGAAGGCTTTATTAACAAATTATATGGCTTTATTGAATGGAAGTGTTTCAACAAAGAATCAATGATCTGGTCAGGTGCGGTGGCTCATGCTTGTAATCCTAGCACTTTGGGAGGCTGAAGCAGGAGGGTCACTTGAGCCCAAGAGTATGAGACCAGTGTAAACAACATAGTGAGACCCTGTCTCTATAAAAAATAGAAAAAAATCAGCTGGGCATAGTAGGATGTATCTGTTGTCCCAGCTACTCAGAAGATGGAGGCAAGAAGATCCCTTGAGCCTGAGAGGTTGAGGCAGCAGTGACCCATGATCACACCACTGCACTCTAGCCTGAGTGACAAAGCAAAACTCTGTCTCAAAAAAAAGAAAAGAAAAAGAAAAACAAAACAAAAGAAAAGGCTGAGTGCAGTGGCTCATGCCTGTCATCCCAGCACTTTGGGAGGTTGAAGTGGGAGGACTGTCTGAGTCCAGGAGTTCAAGACCAGCCTGGGCAACATAGCGAGACCCTGTCTCTACAAAAAAGTAAAAAATTAGCTAGGCGAGGTGGCACATGCCTCTAGTCCCAGTTACTTGAGAGGCTAAGGTGGGAGGATCACTTGACCCTAGGAGTTACTGCACTCAGCCTGGGTGACAAAGACTCTGTCTCAAAAAAAAAAAAAAAAAAAAAATTGATAATCCTGAGCACTTCTCAATATCCCATTTCCCTCTTTAACCTCAGGACATCCCCAACCTTTTGCTCTTTTCTCTTCAATACATTACCAATTTCTGATTCATCCAATATTCAGTTCAACAAAAATTAATTCAAAGTCTACTATGTGCTGGGTACCGTGTTAGGAACTGGGTGTACAAAGGTGAAAGGATAACAAGTGGAGGATTAACAGACATGGTCTCCCTCCCCACAACTCCACATGTCACTGAATCCCCAAGGCCCTTCCCCAAGCACAGGCTCCTAAAGATGAAGCCACTATTGCCCAAGGGGAAGGCACATGATGTGTCTAGGAGATGAAAGACTTAAACAAACAAAAACTAGACTCGTATGTAACAGATAAAGATTTGGGAAGTATACTGGCTGAGCTTCCCCCTCCCCTCATGCCCACCCCTCCATATAAGCTTCTAGCCCAGACTGAGAATCCTGAGGATAGAGATCTGCAGCAAGAGTCAGATCCTGGCAAGGGCACCAAGGATGTCCCTGGCGAGGGAGGCCTTGCATCTCGAGTCTGTCAAGGGCTAAGTCTTGGGAGCTGGGGAGACCAGGGAGGGGCTGGTCATCCATCTATCCAACAAGTATTTCTTGAGCACCTACTATTAGCTAGCCACTGTTCTAGGTACTGAGTGTTCTGTGAATGAAATAGAGAAAAATTCCCCCTCATTCTTCTTTCATTCTGAGGGCGAAGAAGATTTCTATTTGTTTCCCAGGTGGAGCCTGAAAAAGTGAGCAACACTGCAGAATTCCCTCAACCCTCTTCACCTCACAGCTGAAGGATGGAAGAAATAGAACGGAAGTAGGAGTTGGGAGGGTGTGGGAAGGGAATATCTGCATCAGTCACTCAAAGTCCCTTACTATGTGAGATGTGTGAGAGACTAGCAGTTTTTGCGCATTAGAGAATTAGCTGAGCGAGGGTGGCAGAAGTGAAAGGGCCTCAGGTTGGGGACATGGAAGATGCAGAGTGCATGGCTTAACTGTGCTAAGCAGGGCAGTGCTGCTAACGTATCAATTAATGTGGGCAGAAACACAGCTGCACAATTAAAAACAATGGGATCAGTTTCCCCTTAGCAGAAGTCAGTGTGAAGAGATGCCCAACAACCCACGGACCAGATATTTCCCCCATCCCCAAAGTTATGATGCCAAGCAGGTCCCCAGAACTTTGAGGTCGTTCTCAAGAGCAAGAGGGAGAAAACAGGAAATCCTGAATTGACTGAGTTTAAGATGGAAGTAACTAAGAAAACAGAATAACCAAGGTTGTATTTTCTGCCACAGGAAATTTAAGATTTTGGTTTGTTTGTTTTTTTTTGAATTACAGACATATAGCTACTCCTTTGGGCACACTTGAGGTCATGGCTTGAAAATATTGTGTCCACAACTAAGCATGAATAAGATGCCATCTTGCCTTTGGGGGGCTCTTCCAGCTGCCAGACGGCCCTCTGTCCTTTCTCCAACCACCTCTTCTAAGTTACTACTAAGACAGCTCCTCAGTCTGCTCTCTGCCCTCTAGCCTTTCCTCATTCACTTGTAGCCCTCTACAACCTACTAATTTCAGTGAATACCCCAACATCTAGAAACTCGGGGGAAATCAATGCTACATCTCTGGGTTCCTGCCACACTACAGACAGATCCTGGCTTCAGATCAGACTTGAAGTGGTATGAAAGGAAAACCTAAATAAATAATATCGGGGCCAGTGCCAATGCCCACATGCATTCCCTCACTATTTCCTTAAACATTATTTAAAATTCTATGTGTTTTGAGCACTTCCTCCTTTTCAATAGACTCTCTTTAGCTAATGTTAACAATCAAGTGTCAACTAGGGATGAGGAAAGTTCTACAAAATTTCAAAAGACAGCCCTGCTGGTGGGGAACCTCGCTGGTGAGCTTAGAGGACTCCCAGTGTGCTGGCCATGCTGCTCTTCTTTTAAAAAGCCATGATGAATCTTCTTTGAAGACACTTCTAAAGTATATGCAAAAAATACAAAAAGCACTGAGAGGATGGCTGTATTCAATTGAGGGGCATTTCCAATGATACTTATTCAGCTAACAGACATTTACTGGGGCATTTACTATGTACTAAGCTCTGGATTAGAGGCAGAAACTAGAATGATGAACAAGACACAGCCCTTGCTCTCAAAAAACTACAGTGGCTTTGGTTTGATGGTGAGGGAAATAACAGGCAAGGACAACCCAGCAGAATCGGCACCAGATCTGAGGCAGGCACAGGGTGTCTTCAGAGCCCAGAGGAGGAGAACAATAGCCCCTGCCTTCCAAATGCCAGTGAAGGCTTTCTGGGAAAAGTGACATCTTAGCTAAATCCCAAGAATGAGCAAGATTCAGACAAATGAATAGGAATGGAGGACGGAGGCAAGGGGAGGGTTTTCCCTGCTGAGAAGTATGCAAAGCATGAGAGAATATGGTGTTTGGGGGAAGCAGTTCAGTGTACCAAGCTGGAACATCAGAGGCTGGGGGAAGAAAGGAGGTTAAAGGTGAGGCTGCAGGGGTGAGCACAGGCCAATGTGGGAAGGAGCTTACCTGCCACACTAAGTTGTTAGAACTTTATCCTAAGGGAGCTTCTCAGAATTGTGACTGATCAGAGCTTCATTTTAGGAATGTCCTAAGTCTCTAATTCTGTTTTGACCCCTGATTGCTTCCCTAACTTGCTCACCTCCAGTCCTTTCTTTACAATGCATTCACAGTCATCTTCCTACAGCAAGGATCTGGCTGTATCATGTCCTTGCTTAAAACACATCAAAGGCTCCCCATTGTTTTTCAGACGCAATAAAAACTCCTCAACATGGCTTATCCTACGTGCCACTTTGCCAGGGAAGCTCCAGGTTTACATCTGTTACCCTGGCATAATTTTTCACTTTCACTCTCTAAAGTGGCCTGACTGAACAATAAACATATGGCCACCTCTTCTACACCTGATCTTAGCCCAAAGGCCGGGAAGCAATATGGTCACCTTTACATATAAGACCTTGCTCACCTCTTCAAGGCCTCTCCTGCCATCCACCTCATCCTGAGGCTCTGCTAAACTTCCTTCCATTCTCCCAACTGGCCAAGTCTCTCTTGCCCACTCCTCCTGTTCCTCCCACCCCAGCCTCTCACATTGTTCATGCTGCCTGAGATTCTCTTCTCTCCTCACTTGGTTTGGCTCATTCTGCGTAGTAGGCAAAATAGTGCAGTGAACTGTTTTTCAAAATGTGGGTTGTGACCAATTAGTGGGTAGTGAAATAAATTTTGTGGGTCACATCTAAATTTTTTTAAAAAGTAAAATGACTAAGATAGATCAGAGTACACTGTCAATAAACATTGTTTTGTGAAACTGTGAAACTCTTGTTTTAGGGGTGTGTGTGTGTATATATATATACGTACGTGTGTGTGTGTGTGTGTGTGTGTGTATATATATACTGGGTCATGACATAAAAGGCATTTCTGACTGTGGGTCACAGTCAAAAGGTTTGAAACACATCAGCGTAGGCTCTGGGGTTACACCAGCAGCTTGGTCTAAATGCTGACTTTGCCACTTCCTAGTTCTGTGACTGAGGGCAAATTTTTAAAAATCTCTTTGTGGACTTTCTTCATCTGTCTCATAAGATTGTTATGAAGATTAAATGAGCTCGACCATTTAAAAGTACACCCAGCACACACAACATGAGTGTTGGCTACTGCTACTATCATCACCCATCCCTCTCATTCCAGCTTGGACATCACTTTCTCCAGAAAGCGCCCCCTGCTGTCCTAAGGCAGGGTTAGGTGCCCTCCTGTACATGTTCGTGTCCTCTCCCTATCCTGATACCTCATTTGTTTGATTAGGTCTGTTAAGCCACTAGACTGGAAGCTGCATAAAGGCAGGAACTTGTTCACCATTGACTACCTAGCAGTTAGCACAGTGCTTAGTACACAGTAGGCATTTAGTAAATTTCTGTGGGATGAATAACTTACCCTTTGAAAGAAACATACAGCTGTTTCATTCTAATAAAAAGTCAACTTGGAACTTCCACACTTGAGAGGTCATGGTCATTTTAATCAAGAATCTCTCAGTTTAGATTAGTCTTCGTTCTCCTAATTTGAACTGTCAAAGGGGTTGTATGACATTGTTATAATACATACACTCATTAGTAATGGGAAAAAGTTTAGGTTGGATGGCTTCTTGACCTAAAATTCATAAATAGTTCAAAAGTCAGTGTCTCTTAATATTCTTTTAATTATCACAATAATGAAAAAAGTTGGCCACTGCAGATAAAGAATGGCATGTTTAAATGTACTTACCACCCTTCTGGTCTTTTAATTGACTTCTACTGCAAGTGTGGCTTTGTTTTATTTATTCATTCTTATCAATGAAAGCCTTTAGTAGTCTCATTTATCTGTTTTTCATGCATGAATCATGCTTTCCCATATTTTTAAAGTAAAAAAGAGGGGGGAATTAAGTTTAAAAAGGTTTTAATTGGATGTCTTAATGTCAACCACATAATACACAGTTACTATGTTGATACCCTCTCGAATTTCTACAGTCAGTTCTATAATTTGAGGCACACTTTGCAATGCTCTGATGATTGATATAAAGACACTTTTAAGGAAATGTGAAGGCAGGCAGCAACTTTCCCCAAAATGGAGGACATTGTAAATGCATCCAATTTATGAACAACACACAAAAACTGTATGCAATGGCTTGAAAAGCAGCCTATATACCTAGAAGCAGCCAAAGAACACAGGCCAAAGTCAGTGCTGTGCTAGTGGCAGATTCACTAGGATATCAGAGAGTGGTCTGGGGACTCCTGGGTCACACTACTCCTTCCTAAATCAGACAAACACATAGTTACACAGTAAGTCAGATGCTGATAAGTGCTATAGAGTGAATGAGCAGAGAAGAGGGAGGAGCACCACTGGCAGTGGGAAGGTGTTGATTTTGAATAAAATGTCCAGGAAAGCCTCCCTGAGACTGTAACATCTCAACAGGATGTGAAAAGAATGAGAGCGTGAGAATGTGCCATGTGTGTAGGACTCAGAAAAAGGGCACTTCTCTGGCACACTGGAGAGGGAGCTTAAAAGCTCCATGAGATGGGACTGTCGGGATGGATCTATTACATACAATTTGCTCAGCCACCTTTTAATTGCCTTGGAGGACACTCTGTTCACTAAGGCATTTAAAAAGCATACTTTGATGGGGCACCAGCATCTCTGAAGAGCTCTGTAGTGGTTGTCATCTGTAGGCTGAGATGACCAGGGATAACAGGGATGGTGCAATGGAATTGGGTTTCCTGATCTCACTGGGAATACTGGGGTCCTGGAGCAGTAAAAGCAAATAGCAGTGCTTAACTCTTGGAGACAAGCTAGGCATGATAATCATAGTAAGCCACAGGGATGCCGTGGTATCCATTTTCTGTTTTTTGTTTTTTGTTTTCTTACTTTCAGGATGTGTGGTGGTGGTTAATGAATCACAGGACCTGTGGAAAATACATAGGCAGCCTACTAAGTGAGCTTAATATAAATAGACAGAAAACCTAACTACTGTCATTATAGGGGATTCATGGCCTCTTATCCAGCTCCTAAGCCTAGGCCAGTTCACAGAGCAAGAACTTCTTGAGGGGAAGGTCTGAGCCCTTTGAGAATGAATCCTGCAATGTAGCCACAGGTGTGTACAGTAAATCTTCCCCTAAGCCTCCCCTAGAGGTACCTGAAGCTATTCACAACAATGACTGTACTTAGATAAGTACTTATCCGATATTGGCTCTGAACTGACACTAATTTCTGGAGATCTAACAATGCCACCATAGTCTACTGGCCAGAGGAGGGACTTAAGAAACCAGGTGACACATGAAGTCTTGGCCTAGGAGCTACCTCACACCGAATCCAGCTAAACCACAGACCTACCTCTAGTTATTTCCATGGTCTCAGAATGTATGGTGAGAACAGACCTGCTTAGTAACCTGCAAAATTCTCCCCTCTGCTTCCACCACCCATGGAGTTCAGGTTATTAGGGTATTAGAGAGATCAGGCAGAACCGCTATAATTATACCACTTCCCCTCTAAAAATCTTTCTGGGGAAATTACAGAAATTAATGCCACCATCAAAGATTTCAAAGTTGTAGGGGTAGTGATTCTTACCACATTCCAGTATAACTTGCCTGTTTTTCTGAAAAGCCATGTGGACTGTCAAGGATGACGGTAGATTATTGCAAATATAATCAGGTGATGGTACCATGCATAGCTATAGTTCCAGTTGTGGGCTCTTTACTAGGGCAAATCAACACAGCCCCAGACATCTATAGTATATAGGTGTCAACCTAGACACTTTCCTAAAATCCCTATTAATAAAGATAATGAGAATCAGTTAACTTTCATGTGACAGGGACAACAGTATACTGTCTTTACTGTCTTGCCTTATGGCTGTGTCAACTCTGCTATGTCCTTCAATAGAGGCAAGAGGGACCTTAAATCTCTTGATGTCTGTCCCACAGAGCAACACACTGGCTATCACATTGATGATACAGTGCTAAGTGGACTTATGCAAGAAGTGGCAAGCACTCTTGATGCTACATGTATGTAGAAGGTGGCCAATAAGTCCTGGGAAAGTTCAAGGGAATGCCACATCTGTGACGTTTTTAGAGTATCCACTGGTCTGGAGCATGTCAGGATATCCCCTCTAAAGTCAGAGACATGTTATTGCATCTTGAAATGCCCAACATAAGGAAAGAAACATGATAATCATGGGCCTCTCTAAACTTTGGAGGCCATGGGTATGCTGCTGTCTCTATTTACTGCCAGTTTTGAGTGAGGACCAAAGCAAACAAAAGGCCCTGCAGCAGGTCCAGGCCACTGGATAAGCTGCCCCGACACCTGGATCATATAACTTAGCAGAACCAAGGGTAAGGGAAGTGCCTGAGGCAGACAGGTGATCAATGGAGCCTCTGACAGGCAGCAGTAGGAAAATCACAGAGCAGACCCCTGGGAGTGGACCACTAGGGCTTTGGAGTAAGGTCATGCGTTCTTCTGCCTACAACTATTAGCCACCTAAAAAACAACACTTGGCTTGCTACTACACCCTGATAAAGACTGAATGCTTGACCACAGGACACCAAGTGACTCTGTCAGCTCACATTATGGGTGTTACCTGATCCATAGAGATGAAACTGGATGTACGCAGTAGCATTCCACTGTCAAATCAAAATGACATAGATGAGGGCTGGGTGTGATGGCTCACGCCTGTAATCCCAGCACTTTGGGAGGCTGAGGCAGGTAGATCACAAGGTCAGGAGATCCAGACCATCCTGGCTAACACAGTGCAACCCCGTCTCTACTAAAAATACAAAAAATTAGCCGGGTGTGGTGGTGGGCGCCTGTAGTCCCAGCTACTCGGGAGGCTGAGGCAGGAGGATGCTGTGAACCCGGGAGGCGCAGCTTGCAGTGAGCCGAGATCAAGTCACTGCACTCCAGCCTGGGCGACACAGTGAGACCCCATCTCATAAAAAACAAAAACAAAAACAAACAAACAAACAAACAAAAAAAAAACGACATAGATGAAACCAGTCCTGAAGCCCATGTAAACAATGCAAGCAGGTGGCTCATACTCCATGGAGCATGATCCCACTCTTTCACTGCCTCTTCCTCAACCTACACCTAGAGCTAGAGCTTCATGGATAATTCTCTATTGTCAATCAAAAGGAGTATGTATAGGATTGGTTTAAACATGAAATTAGCCAGGATTGCTAATACGTCAAGTATGCCAGCGCTACCCAGAAGTGGGTAACTGCAACACTACAGCCCACTCAGAAGTGCTCCTGAAAGACCGCAGGAGAATCCTCCTAGTTGACAGCATTGGAAACAGTATATCTTCACACAGGACATCCTGGAAGACAAGATACCTAATGGGTATTGGCCGGGGACTTAGAAAGAGTAACAAGGAGGCATGTGGATGGACTTTTCAGGATGTGCACACAATGTGAAGATATTTATTTCACTATAAATGCTTGCTAGGGGACGTTCACTGTGGAAGAGGTCTCAAAAATCAGGTGGGAAAAATGCTCGACTTAGTGGCTGTCAATAATCTTCTTTCCTAGTCATTCCAGTGGTTCTTCAGTGGGCCATGTAGCAAGGATGACCTCAACAGGCAGGGGCTCAACAACATGACTGCTCCTCACCAAGGTGACCTGGCTGCCACAGATGCGGAGCATCCAGAATGCCCGGAGTGGTAGCTAATGCTACATCACTAGCAGGGAAAACAGCCAGTTACCAGGTGGCAGGTTGATTACATTGGATCCCTTTGTCTTTTTTTTTGTTTTGTTTGAGATGGGAGTCTTGCTCTGTCGCCCAGGCTGCAGTGCAGTGGCACAATCTCGGCTCACTGCAACCTCTGCCTCCCAGGCTCAAGCAATCCTCCCACCTCAGTCTCCCGAGTACCTGGGATTACAGGTGTGCACCACTATGCCTGGCTAATTTTTGTATTTTTAGTAAAGGTGGGGTTTCACCGTGTTGGCCAGGCTGGTCTTGAACTCCTGACCTCAAGTGAGCCGCCAACCTCAGCCTCCCAAAGTGCTGGGATTATAGGTGTGAGACACTGTGCCCGGCCCAGTGCTTTGTCTTCACAGGGAGAGACACATTGTGGGTGCAGCTTCGCCTTCCCTTCCTGCAGCCCTCTGCCAGCACCACCGTTTGTACACTTAGAGAACACCTTATTTATTTTCACAGCACCTTACAAACAACCCTATGCAAACTAGTCCAGAGTATAAAAAAGAGCAAATATATTCCAACTCTTTTGTGAGTGTAGCATGACCTCAGAATCAGAATATGACAAAGAGAATTTTAGAAAAAACAGCCCTAGCTAATTTACTCATAGACATAGATGCAAAACTCCTAAACAAAATATTAGCAAATCAAATCCAGTAATACATATCAAAGATAATATATCACAGCCAAATTCAGCTTATTCCAGGAATTCAAGGTTATTTTAATATCTGGAAATCAACTAATTTATGAAATTAACAGCCTAAAGGAGAAAAACCTGTAACTATCCATATAAATGCTAAAAATGGAGAAACTCAACATATAGTCAAGATAAAACTGTTAAGGAACGGAGAGCTGCAAAAACACACATTAAGCCTCTATCTTAATGACAAAATGTTTAAATCATTCTCATTAAGTCTAGGAAGTCCACGATCACACTTTCATTCAGCACTGTGTAAGTCATTCCACCTAGCATGGTATGGTAAGAAAACAAAATACACAGTGTATGGCTTGAAAATTAAGAAATAAGTTCATTATTATTTATAGATTAAATGATTTTCAACCTAAGAAACCCAGAAGAATCTACAGATAAACTGGGAAAACTGGTAAGAATTAAGCAGGTCTGCTGGATACAAAATCAATATACAAAACTTAATTCTATTCATTTTCATCAACAAACAGAAAATGCAATTTATAAAATGACACATTTTAGAGTAGCAATGAAAATACATAAGTACCTAGGACTAAACCTAACGAAAGATATACAGAACCTATATGAAAAACTATTAAAAAAACACATTAAGGAAGAATTAAATGAATAGAATGATTGGATATCATAAAAATGTCACTTCTCCGAATTGACTTAAAGATTCAATGTAGAGCCAATCAAAACTCCAATAGGTTTTATTCAAGAAACTTGACAAACTTTCATGTGTGAAAGCAAAGGGTCAAAAATAGCCCAAACTAATCCCACCACTTTGGGAGGCTGAGACAGGCAGATCCTTTGAGTCCAGGAGTTCGAGACCAGCCTAGGCAACATGGCAAAACCCCATCTCTACAAAAAAAAAAAAAAAATAACCAGGTGTGGTGGTGTGAGCCTGTAGTCCCAGCTACTTGGGAGGCTGAGGTGGGAGAATCACCTGAGCCCAGGAAGTTGAGGCTGCAGTGAACCGCAATTGTGCCACTGCATTCCAGCATGGGCGACAGAGTGAGACCTTGTCTCAGGGAAAAAAAAAGAAAGCCAAAACATTCCTGATGAAAGAAAAGTCATCAAGAATTATTACAAAGGTGGCGTGATTAAAACTATTTATCAATGCAGGGTTGGTCATATCACTGACGGAGCAGAATAGAGAGGCTATAAACAGTTCCATGCATATGTGTAAATCTGCTTTAGGTTACAGATGGCATTGCAGTTCACTTGGGAAAGGACAGACTTTTCAATAAATGATTCTGGGACAGCTGGCTATCCATTTAGAAGTAAAATTGGACTTCTACCTCAATCTTACACCAAAATTAATTCCAGCTGCATTAAATATTTAATTGTGGGAAGCAAACTATAAGAAAATGTTAGTCTATATAGAATTATCTTTATAGTCTTGAATAAGAATTTCTTAAAATAACACAAGATACATATGAAAAGTACAAACCATAGAGAAAAAAAAATCTACCTCATTAAAATTCAGAACTTCTGTTATTCAAAAACTCCATACAAAGTGTAAAGACAAGTCACAAACTGGAAAAACGTTTAAGAGATGTGATACTTAGGCTCCAGAATAAAGAACTCCTATAAATCAATTAAGAAAAAGACAAACAACCAACTGAAAAATGACCAACAGACATGGACACGTCAGATGAGGAAACATGAATGAGTCACACCTATGAAATGTGTCGACATATGAAAATATGCTGAATTTCATTATAAGAAATACATTTTAAGGCCTGGTGCAGGGGCTCATGCCTGTAATCCCAGCTGAGGTGGGTGGATCACCTGAGGTCAGGAGTTTGAGACCAGCCTGGCCAGCATGGTGAAACCTCGTTTCTATTAAAAACACAAAAATTAGCAGGGCGTGGTGGTGCGCGCCTATAATCCCAGCTACTTGGGAGGCTGAGGCAGGAGAATCGCTTGAATCTGGGAGGTAGAGGTTGCAGTGAGCCAAGATCGTGCCATTGGACTCCAGCCTGGGCAACAAGAGTGAAACTCCGTCTCAAAAAAAAAAAAACAAAGGTAAACATTTTAGAACAAATGATACCCACCCAATAGACTGGATTTTTCTAGGGGAAAAATTGGTGAGGACATGCAGCAACTGCAACTAGAACTTTGGAAAACAATCTGGCATTACCTAGCAAATTTGAAGATGTTCATATCTAACCGTACGGCAATTTCGCTTCCAAATATATGCCCTAGAGAAACTCCTGTCCCTGAGAACCAGGAATCTTGTACAAATATACAAATGCAAAAACAGCATTGTTTACAATACAATAACTTGATACATAATGAGGATAGTATTCCACAGAAGAATAAACAAATGCATTATAATATATACATACAATGAAATACTGTACAGCGGTGAAAATAAATAGGTGAATCTTAAGCAATGATATTGAATGATAAAAGTCACAGAAAAATAAATTCATAATGACTCTACTTATATAAAGTTCAAGAGCCTGTGAAACGAAATATATATTGTGTAGAGTATAAACATGTAGTAAAACTATAAAGAAAAGCAAGGAATAATGAGTAAAGAGAGGTTCCTCTGGAGGTGAGGATAGGGGCAAGTCAGTGAGACAAGTCCCTAGTGCTAGTGGGGGTGTGAGGGAGTAAGACCTCTCTACTGCAGGCCAGAGTGTGAACAGCAGATCGTCACGTGCCTATGGAGGGCAAAGGCAAGGGAGAAAAGGAGAACTGAGGATTCTGTACCACAATAACTCTCCTACTTTATTTTTGTCTTGAGCTGAAGTTGCCAAAATCATAACATGGAAATTAGAACCATCTGTTGACAGGATAAGTTAGTGAACTGGACAGAATTTACCAAGAGAAATTCAGAATAATGTATTTTAGAATCTGTGTCAAATCAGGGAAAAATATAAAGTCTATTTTATTTGGGAGGGGAAAATAACGCCATTTCATCATTGTTTATAAAAGCAAAAATACAGAAATAACCTAAATGACCATTATGACAATACTAGTTAAATAAAATAGTATACATTAACACTATGGTACGCTGTTATAGTTGTTGCAAAAAATTAAACAGACCAGAACAAGAAAAGTGAACCAATGGAATAGAATAGAGTTGTTAAACAGATACTATTTAGTGCAGGTTAAAGAGTCATTTCAAAGCAGTCGAGAAAAATGGCCTAGTCAATAAATGTTGAGACAACTGGCTGCCCATTGCCCTTATCTAAAACCATTCGCAAATACTTTAAATGCACATGGATTACAGAATAATTAAAATAAAATATGGGCAAATATGTTCTATTAACTTGGTATAAGAAAAGCCACCTTAAAAACACAAAAACTAAAAGCCATGAAGAAAAAGAGGAATAAATATGACTAAATAAAACATAAAACTTCTACAAAGACACCATTAAGAAAGTTGAAAGACAATTCACAAGCTGAAAGATATTTGCAACATAAATAGCAGAGAAAGAATCAGATATCTATGTATATATCTATAGATATATAGAAATATATCTGATATATATCTCTATATATATAGCTATAAAATCAATTTAAATGAAAAAAATAAAAAATAGGTTAAAAAACAGGTAATCCATAGAAGAGGAAATAGAAATATCTACTCAATATGTAGCTATATGCAAATTATACCTACTATGTAATGCAACTTTTTACCCAAGTGATAAAAACATAAGGCTTGAAAACATCAAGTGTTGGTGAGAATGTGAGTGAATAGGCTGCAAACCAGGCTGTGAATTGATACTGATATTCTGAAGGGCTGTTTGGCTGTATGAATTACGATGAAAATGGGCACAAATTATGACCAAGAGAATCCATTTCTAGGAGCACATCCTAAAGAAACACTCACATATGTGCACAAGGTTATTCACTGAAGCATTCTTTGTAACAGTGAAAAACATCAAAATGTCATCAGCAAGGGAATAAACTATGATAGCCAGGATTGCAGGAGTTTTTAAAAATATGGCAAATCTCTACACATTGACATACACCGAAGGATAGTCAAGTGATATTCTTAAGTTAAAAAAAGCTTCAGGAAAATGCAGAATAAGGTTTTAAAACAAAGTGAATTCTATATATTTCTAAAGGTACACGTATGTATGTAATACACACAGAAAGGTATGGGAGGTAATCACCAAACTGGTAATAGTTCACTCTGCGGAGGGGACTGTGTTGGGGTAAGGGACAGTCAAGGGAGCTTTTGACTTTCTCTGTATTTGAATTTTTTTAAATTAAGAGTATATTCACTTATATAATTTTAAAATAAATATTTATTAAATAATTATGATACAAAATTATAAACTGTATAATGGGGAAATGGGCAAAGTCTTCTGGGAACATAGTGAAAGGAGAAACTAGTTTAGCATGCAGAAAGATTTTATAGCAGTTGTGACATTTTCATTGGACCTGGCTATTCAAATAGGATTTTGTCAAGGATTTATAATTTGATGGAAGATTGTTGCAGATTATATTTTCCAAAGATGACTATACCAACATATGTCTCATCCAATATGCCTTTCTTTCAATATGACACTGACACTCCTTCCTCCATGGAGAGGTTGTAGGGGGGTCTATGTCCCCACCCCCTTAAACTTGGGCAGGACTTTGTGATTGCCTTGTTGAACAGAATGAGGTGGAAGTATTACAGCATGACTTCTGAGATGATTCAACTTCTGTCTGGTCCTTTCTTTCACAAAATACTCATCCTTGAAACACAGCCACGATGCTGTCAGGAAACCCAAACTAGCCTACATGGAAAGACCACATGAAGAGGCTCATATGGAGAGGAACTGAGGCCTCCAGCCGATAGCCAGCATCAACTGCTAGACACGTGAGTCAGCAAGCCTTCAGATGATTCCTGCCCCAGCCTTTGTGTTCCCTGGCTAAGGCTAGATATGCATCATGGAACAGAGACAAGCCATCGCCACTGTGCTCTATCCTAATTCCTGACCCAGAGAATCCTTGAGCAGAAAAAATGATTATGCCACGAAGTTTCAGGGCAATGTGTTACACAGTCAAAGTAACTGGAACAAAGACATTCTAAAGAGAAGAAAGTACACAAGCAATGGAATGTCACAGGGCATTGTGAGTACTGGCAGTTTTAGGTGATGAAGCCCATAGTCTGGCTGGGACCAGACTATGAAAAGTACTTGTCTGGTACTATTTTAAAAATTAGACTTATCCTATTGCCAGTGGAGAACTGTTGAAAGCTTTTAAGCTGGGAAGTGAAATGCTAAGATCTGCATTTTAGCAAGATATCTCTGAGACTACTGTAAAGGAAAGATTGCAGAAATGAATGACTTAAAAATAGAAAAAGCCCCTCTGATTAAGATGGGTCCAAGCCAAGTAAAATGGTGGGATCCCCCCTCCGGCTACATTTTTTACTTTTTTCCTCCTTAGGATTGCTTCTTATGCTCATTTATACTCAATTTCACTTGTATTAAAATGTTAGGAGGGAAAACTTTTCTCCACACAAAAACCTGCCACAGATGTTTAAAGCAGCTTATTCATAACTGCCAAAACTGCAACCAAGATATCCTTCAGTAGGTGAATGGATAAATAAACTGTGGTACATTCTATTCAGCATTACAGTAGGCGAATGGATAAATAAACTGTGGTACATTCTATTCAGCACTAAAAAGAAAAGAGCTATCGGCTAGGCATGGTGGCTCATGCCTGTGATCCCCGCACTTTGGGAGGCTGAGGTGGGTGGATCACAAGGTCAGGAGATCAAGACCATCCTGGCTAACACGGTGAAACCCCGACTCTACTAAAAATACAAAAATTAGCCAGGCATGGTGGCGGGTGCCTGTAGTCCCAGCTACTTGGGAGACTGAGGCAGGAGAATCGCTTGAACCCGGGAGGTGGAAGGTGCGGTGAGCCGAGATCGCGCCACTGTACTCCAACCTGGGTGACAGAGCGAGACTCTGTCTCAAAACAAAAACAAAAACAAAAAAAGAAAAGAAACAAAGAAAAAAAAAAGACAGAAAAGAGCTATCAAGCCGTGAAAAGATATGGAGGAACCCAGAGTGTTAATTACCAAGTAAAAAAAAAAAATCTAAAAATCATACATACCATCTGATTCCAACTATATGATGTTCTGGAAAAGGAAAAACTATGGAGACAGTAAAAAGATCACTGGTTGTTAGGGGTTAGTGGGAGGGAGGGATGAATAGAGCACAGAGGATTTTTAGGGTAGTGAAACTACTATGTCTGATACTATAATGGTGGATACACATCATTATACATTTGTCCAAACCCACAGAATATATAACACCAAAAGGGAAGCCCAATATAAACCATGGACTTCAGATGATTATATGGCAATGGAAGTTCATTGATTGTAACAAATGTACCACTCTGGTGTGGAACAGGGGTACGTGGGAACTCTTTACTTTCTGCTCAAATTTGCTGTGAACCTAAAACTGCTCTAAAACAAAGTCTATTTTTAAAATTTTAGGAGAAAAAACTGTCAGGGGGTGCAGAATACAAAACATTTTCCTTAATGCTCTTCTTTCAAGCTTCTGGATCTAAATCTGTTTAAGAATACAAAGCAAGCTTTCTAAAAATTATAACCACTTATAACTAATTATCCATGTGACTAATGCCATCCTTATACAAACATCACTATAACCCCCAATTTCTTGTTTTTGTGTTTATTAAAATATCCTCATCATTCTCACAACTGGCTTTGTAAGAAAACTCTATAAATATGAACTTGAACAAGAAAATAAACCCATACTAATAAACTATAGCACTTATACACTGGATATTATAGATCTATATAAGGAGAAAATGTGAGATGCATGGTCCAAGAAGAGTGGGAAGATATAACTCAAAACATAAAAAGCCACCTCTGTGGTAAGGGAAAAGATGCCTGTATGAATATAAAAGCAAAGATTTATAAGGTGATGAAAGATACTAATGAGAACGTTTCGTTCTCATGGTGGCAGAAGATCTTCCATTCTACTTTCTGAGAAAATCAAGAGGAAGAATGCATTGAAAATTGAGAGTTCATGGAGAATAGAGACAGGATGCAGTGACTCAACAGTGAGTCAGTCAGATCCTCAAGGATCCAGAGTAGTCGCAGAGCCCAGTTGGAACTCAATCGTGTAATTTATTGGAGGCTAGTTTTGTATAATTTTATACTGTGCCTTTCTCTAATGTTAATTACTCAAGAGATGATTAACCAATTTGTGGCTACTGTGCATCTTAGCTCTTCACATTTTCACTTGATGCCTGCTTTTGAAAGAGTTCATAATTTAAATTCTTTATGAAAAAAAACAGGAACTAAAATTAATTTTCTGCTATTAAAACTACTTGTAAAAGAGTTAAAGCTTGTAGTCAATTTTTGAAACAAACAATGAAAAAGGAAAAAGTAAAACAGGAAGAGAGAAAACACTGAAACAAATGGTAAAACAAGATTATAGGACCATGTTGTGGGTTGAATTTATCCATGCTAGTTCTGTCCCTCATTAACAAAGTTAAATAGAAGCCAACGGTTGCTGTACTTCACAAAATAAAATCTGATAAGTAAACTTCCTATTCCTTAACCAATTTACCTGCACCCGAAAGATTACAAACTTCTTCTGCTTCTGACAAGCAAGTGATTGGAGAGACAATGGAAGGAGGTGTTGCTAGTAAAGGCAGCTCTGGATCATCATCCAAAAATGTCATCAGGTCCTGACAGAAAACACAAGAACATGAGAATTGAAGAAAAAAATTAATATCCCTGGATGGACAATTTATTGAGCTACAAAGTATCTAAATGTGCTAACATCATCATAAACACATTCTAATTTAATTAACTCAAACATACATCTATCACTTGGCTGTCTACTGGGTGTAGGGAGGTTTTGTGCCCTCGGGAATCCCCAGACCTTGCTGAAGACACCGTCGGTAGATAGCAAGGATTTTGCTTAGGGCACTACCTTTACCTACCACCCTTCAGCATCCTTACAGCATACTATCTCAGAGGCCAATTATCTTGTCTCACTGGCAATCATAAAGTCACCTGTATATATCTTTTATTCATATTTAAAACTTTTAACTTTTTATCACCAAGTAAAAAGTAGACACAAAAGATAATCAATCCAATCATGCAGGTTAAACAATAATCAACTGATGGCTAATCTTGTTTCATTTATATCCCTACCATGCCTCATTTGTGATCTGTGACAACCTGTTTCACTTTGAAGCAAATCCTAGAATAATCCCTTATTTCATTATGTATCTCTGCCTTAGTCCATTCCGGTCACTATAACAAAATACCATCAACTGAGTGGCTTATAAACAACAGAAATTTATTCCTTACAGTTTGGGAGGTTAGCAAGTCAAGGTGCTGGCAGATCTGATGTCTGGCAAGGCCCCACCTCCTAGACAGTCATTTCTTCACTATAACCTCTCATGGCAGAAGGTGACCAAGGAGTTCTCTTGGCTTCTTTTATAAGGGCACTAATCATATTCATGAGGGCTATGCCCTTATGACCTAGTCACCTCCCGAAGATCCCGCCTCCTAATACCATCACTTTGGGTGTTAGGATTTCAACTAAGAATTTGGGAGGAAAACAAGTATTCAGACGACAGCAATCTCTAACTGATAATAACTGCATCAAACTGATAAACTTCATAGCTCCTAATGTCATCAATTACCATAAACTGTTCATATTTCCAACTTCTCCTAAATGTCATAAACAGGTTTTTCTACAGCTTGTTTGAAAAGGATCCAAATCAAGTCTATAGAGTGGGTTTAGCTGGTATGTCTTTTTTTTTTTCTGTGAACTAGGGATAATTTTTCTCCATTGTAATTAACATACAGTAAAATACACAGACCTTACATGTAGAGCTCGATAACTTTTATCATATGAGTATTCAATTATATAGTAACCACATTTCCTGCACCCAGAAAGTTTCCTCAAGCTCCTTTCCAGCTGATACCATCCCACCAGCCTGCATCATGACCACTATTCTATCATATCACCATTATTGAATTTTGTCTGTTCTTGAGTTTCATATGAATGTAATCATACACTATGTATACTTTTGTGTCTGGTTCCTATTGCTCAACATAATGTACATGAGATTCATCCATGTTTTACTGTGTAGTTCCTCCCTCCTTTCCTACCTATAAGAAAGGAGGGAGAGATTGCACAAAAAACAGATGTGAATGTATCACAATTGTTTATCCATTCTCCTGCATACGGATTATTTCCAAAGTTCATCTATTATGAATAAAGCTACTATGAACATTCTTGTATAAATCTTTTTGTGGACAAATGCATTCATTATTCCTGGATACTACATAGTAGTAGTATAGCATTTCTAGCTTATAGGACAGGTCTATTTTCAACTTCATTAGAAACTGCCAAACCATTTTCCAAAGTGATTTGCCCCTTTTAAAAACTCAACTTTGAGCTCATTTTAGATCCACATGTAAGAAATAATAGAGCCTATGTAACCTTTACTGTGTTTCCTCCAAAGGTAACATCTTGCAAAATTATAGTACAATATCATACTCAGGATATTGACATTGAAATAGTCAAGATACAGAACATTTCTATCACAATCACAAGAATCCTTTCTGATGCCCTTTCATAGACATACACTCCCTCAACAGAACTAATCTGTTCCTAATCTCTCCTTCATTTCTATAGTTGTGACATTTGAAGAATGCTATATAAATGGAATCATACAGTATGTAACCTTTTGGGACTGGCTTTTTTAGCCTTGCATAATTCCTAGAGATTCATCCAAATTATTTCATTTCAAGTTTCTTCCTTTTCATTGCGAGTAGTACCCTTGATATAGATGTAACATAGTTTAACCTGTTAAAGGACCTCTGGATTGTTTCTAGATTTTGGCTATTACAAATAAAGCTGCTGTGAACATTTGTGTACAGGTTTTTGTATGATATACATTTTCTTTTTCTTTTTGAGACAGAGTCTCAGTCTGTCGCCCAGGCTGGAGTGCAGTGGCGCCATCTTGGCTCACAGCAGCCTCAACTTCCCAGGCTCAAGTGATCCTCCCACTTCAGCCTCCCAAGTAGCTGGGACTACAGGTACGCATCACCATGCCCGACTAAATTTTTTTTAATTTTTTTTTTTTAGAAATGATGTTTAGCCATGTTGCCCAGGCTGGTCTCAAACTGCTGAGCTCAAACGATCCACCCAAACTTGGCATTCCAAAGTGCTAGGATTACAGGCATGTGCCACTGTACCAGCCTAGATGTTCATATCTCTGGTATAAATTCCTAGGAGAGCAATTGCTGTTCATATAGTAGCCACGTTTAGATTTATTAAAAACTACCAAACTGTTTTCCAGAGTAGCTGTACCATTTTGCATTCCTACCAGTAATATATTCGTGTTTTAATTTCTCCATATTCTCACTAGCATTTAGTGTTGTCACTATTTTTTAATTTTAGCCATTTTAATATTCATTGCATGTTTAAGTTACATTTTCCTGAAGGCTAATAACGTTGAACAACTTTTCGTGCGCTTACTTACCATCTGTATTTGTTAAAATGACTGTTCATAACATGTGCCCATTTTCTAATTGGACTGTTTGGTTTTAAACTGGTGAGTTTTAACAGTTCTTTAAATGCTCCAGATATTAGTCCTTTGCCAGATACGGGGTTTACAAATATTTTTTCCCAGTCTGTAAATTATCTTTCCATCCTCTTAACAGGGTCTTTTGCAGAGCAAACATTTTCAGTTTTGATGAGGTTTAATGTATCATATTTTTCCTTTTAGGGATCATGCTTTTGTCCAGTTCTTTTTTTTTTTTTTTTTTTTTTTTTTGAGACAGAGTCTCGCCTTGTCACCCAGGCTGGAGTGCAACGGCACGATCTCGGCTCACTGCAACCTCCGCCTCCAGGGTTCAAACGATTTTCCTGCCTCAGCCTCCCAAGTAGCTGGGATTACAGGCGCATGCCACCACGACCAGGTAATTTTTTGTATCTTTAGTAGAGACGGGGTTTTACCGTGTTGGCCAGGCTGGTCTCAAACTCCTGACCTAGTGATCCGCCCGTCTCAGCCTCCCAAAGTGCGGGGATTACAGGGGTGAGCCACCGCACCCGGCCCCAGTTCTAAATCTCAAAGATTTTTCTCCTGTATTTTCTAAAAGTTTTATAGTTTACATTTAAGTCTGTGATTAACTTGGAGTGAATTTCTATACAAGGTTTAGGTTGAGATTCATGGTTGTCTGAATGTCCAATGCTGTAGCACTATTTTTTGAAAAGGCTAATCCTCCTACATTGAATTTCCTTTGCACCTTTGTCAAAAATCAGTTGGCCATGTTTGTGTGTGTCTATTTCTGGGTTCTCTATTCTGTTCCACCGATCCAAGTGTTTGTCTCTCCACCAATACCGCACTCTCTTGATTACTGTAGCTATACACAGGCATTAATATCAGGCAGAAGGATTACTCCCATTTTGTTCTTCCTTTTCAAAATTGTTTTAGCTATTCTAGGGCCTGTGCCTTTCCATATCAATTTTAGAACAAGGTTATTATCTACCCCTATAGAAAACCTTTCTGGGATTTTAATAGGAATTACATTAAACCTATAGAATAATTAGGGTCATCTGTACTATGACCTTTACTATGTTGAGTCTTCCAATCCATGTAACATGATAGGTCTCTATTTGGGTCCTCTTTAATTTCCTTCATCAGTATTTTATAATTCTCAACATATGGACTCTGTACATGTTTTGTTAAATTTATACCTAAGTATTTCAATTTGGATTTATACATAAGTATTTTAATTTATACTTCAGTATTTTAATGCCTAAGTATTTAAATTTATACCTAAGTATTTCAAATGGTATTGTCTTAATTTAAGTTTCCACATGTTCATTGTTAGTATGTAGACATTCAGTTGATTTCTGTATGCTTTTATATATTGCTGGATTCAACTGGCTAATATTTTGTTGAGAATTTTTGCATCTAGTTTCATGAGAGATATTAGTCTGTAGTTTTCTTTTTCTGTACCTTCTTTGTTTAAACTTGGGATCAGGGTAATACTTGCCTCATAAAATGAATTGGGAAGTCTTCCCTCCTGTTCCATTTTCTGGAAGACATTGTGTAAAACTGCTGTTAATTCTTCTTTATTTTTTTATTTTTTGAGACAGGGTCTCACTCTGTCACCCAGGCTGGAGTACAGTGGTGCAATCAAGACTCTCATTTTTAAAATGATTGTAGAACTATTGAGTTTGGGTAGTTTACATTTTCTGAGAAAGTATTCTATTTCTTTTGATTTGTCAAAGTTATAAAGTTTTTGTGGTTTTTTTTTTTGTTTTCTTTTTGAGAGAGTCTCACTCTGCCTGCCTATTTTGATTATCTATTTGGTTTGTTTGGTTTATATCAGACATAGTAGTTTCACTACCCTAAAAATCCTCTGTGCTTTATTCATTCCTCCCTCCCACTAACCAAACAAACCAAATAGATGTTCTTGGTTTTGTTTTTGAGACAGAGTCTCACTCACTCTGTAGCCCAGGCTGGAGTGCAGTGGCATGACTTGGGCCCACTGCAAGCTCTGCCTCCCAGGTTCGAGTGATTCTCATGCCTCAGCCTCTTGAGTAGCTGGGACTATAGGCGCACACCACCACGCCTGGCTAATTTTTGTATTTTGCATTTTTTATAGACACATGGTTTCACCATGTTGGCCAGGCTGGTCTCAAACTCCTGGCCTCAAGTGATCCGCCTGCCTCGGCCTCCCAAAGTGCTGGGATTATGAGCATGCCTGGCCCGTAAGTATAAAGTTGTTGATAGTAATCCCTTACTATCCTTTTAGAGCTGAAGCAATTGTAGTGGTTATCTCTTGTCTCATCCTGATACTGGTGATTTGTGTCTTCTCTCTTTGTCTTTGCCAGTCTTGTTAGAGGTTTATCAACTTTTATTGTTTTTTAAATTTTTTAATTATTTTTACTTATTTATCTTTTTTTTCAAAGAACTGGCTTTTTGTATCATTCCTTTTTCTCTGTTGTTTTCCTGTTTTCAATTTCATTAATTTGTTCTTTATGATTTCCTTTCTTCTATTCCTTGTGCATTTATTTCACTTTTCTGAGTTTCCTGAGGAAAGAACTTAGATTATTGATTTCAAACCTTTCCTCTTTTCTACTGTAAGCGTTTAAAAAAATGTTTACATTATAAATGTAAGTGCTGAAAAGTTCCCGCTCACCACCGCTTTAGCTGTATTTCACATATTGCTAATATTGAGTGAACCTTAATGTAAACTGGACTTTGGGTGATTACAATATGTTAATGTAGATTGATTGATTGTAAAAATTTGACACTCTGATGTAGGATGTTGGTAGGGGTGGGAAGGGTATACTTGTAGGAGGGGTAGAGGACATAAGGAGAAATCTCCGTAGCTTCCACTCAATTTTGCTGTGAACCTAAGATGGCTCTAAAAAATAGTCTGTTAAAAAAAAAAAAAAAGATCAGAGTGACTTTTTTTAAATTTTGAGGGAGAGTCGTGCTCTGTTGCCCAGACTGGAATGCAGTGGTATAATCTTGGCTCAAGCTGTCCTGCCACTTCAGCCTCCCTGGCGGCTGGGACTATAAGCGCATGCCACCATGCCCAACTAATTTTTTTTTTTTTTTTTTTGAGACAGAGTCTCTCTCTGTCACCCAGGCTGGAGTGCAGTGGCGCGATCTCGGCTCACTGCAAGCTCTGGCTCCCAGGTTCACGCCATTCTCCTGCCTCAGCCTCCCAAGTAGCTGGGACTACAGGCGCCTGCCACCACGCCTGGCTAATTTTTTGTATTTTTAATAGAGACGGGGTTTCACCGTATTAGCCAGGATGGTCTCGATCTTCTGACCTCGTGATCCACCCGCCTCAGCCTCTCAAAGAGCTGGGATTACAGGCATGAACCAGTATGGTCAGCCCAGGGTAACATTTTGTAAAGATTTTTTAAACATTTAATAAAGATTTTATAAACATTTTATAAAGATTTCTATAAAGCAAAAAAAGTCATAAATAAAAATTTTAAATCAAATGGAAAATAGATAAAGAACCAGGAAGTGGGCTAATTCTCTAATACACAAATTGCTCTTAGGAATTGCTAAGACAAAGATGAGAAACCAAAAAGGAAAATAAGCAAAGGACATGAATAGAGTTAACAGTAAAAAGAAACAAACATGCCCAATAAACACATAAAAAGTTACAGTAAAAAATTAAAATAAAAATTTTCTTCCTCTCAGATTGACAAAAATGAAAACTTTTGATAACAGTATTTGCAAAGATGAGGGGAATCAAGATGATAGACTATATAAACTGTATACCAGTACTGTGTACCAATAAACTGGTACAACTTTTAGGAGGATAATTTGGCAGCATTTTTCAAAATTAAAAATAAGCATAACCTTTTGGCAATTCCCCTTCTGAGACAGCATAATAAAAATATATGTACAAGGATTATTATTGCAACTTTGCTTTAACAGGCAAAAACATGAAAGAGCCAAGTGATTACCAATAGGAAATGGCTAAGATTATATATATATATGTATGTGTATACGTATATAGATAAAGAATACAGCACAGCAATATGTACTGATATAGAAAAATGTCTATAAGATGTAGTTTACTAAAAAAGCATATCTTGAAATATACATTGAATGATTACATTTATTATACAGAAAGATGTCCATGATATATTGTTCAGTTCAAAGTGTGTTGCAGAGCAATACATATTGAATGAGACCAGTCAGGTAAAAGAAATGTGTAGACACAAAAATTTCCCCCCAAAATCACTGGAAACTGCTGGAGTTGCCTCTGGGGAAAGGAACTTGAGAAGCATGGAGGAGTAAGGAGCCACCCTGCTCTGTACTCTTTACCCTGTGATGTTGTCTGAACACTTTTCAATAAGTGCTTTCTAATTTAAAAAGAAGTAACAAGAGTACAAGCATGAAAATAAAAAAAACCTTTTAAGCATAAAACAATGATGTAGCAAAAAGATACAAGAAAAATGAATTAACATAATTAGAATAAGTAGAATTTCCATTTCTCTAACAACTTTGGTGAGATCAAATTTTAGGAAATATAATAAATGGCATCCCAATAAACCAAAAGATAAAAATGTATACTCTTCATTTAGCAAAATAACAAATGAAGGCAGTAGGAAACAAATATTTATCGTGTATCACTATCAATTTAGTAAATCACAACTAGACTGAAGGTTTCGGTCAGCTTTAATTTTGTGTGAACCAATTCATAGTATCTCTATCTGTTTCTATGGAAACAACTGAGACCAAAAACATCACAACCTCATTGTTGAATCTCCTCAAACAGGAAAAGAGTAAGGTCTTTTGAGGTGATGAAAAGCTGCAAATAGCCTTATTCATTAGCAAATCTAATAATAAAAATCCTGGGCAGTATATATAGAGAAAACAGATCATGTCAGTCATAAATTTAAAGTCTTTCCTTAGTTTCAAAAGTAACATTTAGGCAAGCCCTGTTCTGCTTTTAAAAGCTCTATTCTGTTATGAATTTTGTTTACTGCATTTAAGATAATTTTTCTTTCATTTATAAAATGAGAATAGTTAAAGAGGTTTCTACTTACATTTTTAAGAGATATTTTAAGCGCCCCTCATTCTGCCTAAGCAATCATTTATTTCTCATTCTGTAGATGTAGTACATTTGACAACAACAATTAGATTTACTGTTCAACTTACTAGGTTTTGTCTTCTGCTACAAGAGCAGACTACTGAAGAGGACATATTGGAATGTAACAAATGCTCCTAATAGTAATAAGAAAAGATGCTTGTCAAGAGGATAATGGGATATTGTTATAATACAGTGATGCTTTGAAAAAGGAAAATCCAACTTCTAAACTTCTTTTGAGAGAAATGCAACATTTTTTCTCACTGAAATAAGATGTAATGTAGATCAATAACACTGAGTTTCTCTGAAGTAAGAAAAAAACAATAGTAATCAGGATTTAAAGACAGATACAAAAAAAAAAAAAATAGGTGACTATTTCTTTCATTCCAAAGCACATAGGATTATTCAAGTCTATTTTCTACCTCAAAAGCCATCAGCAGAAAATAGGCTGATCTCAAATTTTAAAATCATTTTGGCTGGGCACGGTAGCTCACGCCTGTTATCTCAGCACTTTGGTAGGCCAAGGCGGGTGGATTGCCTGAGGTCAGGGGTTCAAGATCAGCCTGGCCAAGATCAGCCTGGTGAAACCCTGTCTCTACTAAAAATACAAAAATTAGCCGGGCATGGTGGCAGGCGCCTATAGTACCAGCTACTTGGAGGGCTGAGGCAGGACAATCACTTGAACATGGGAGGCAGAGGCTGAAGTGAGCCGAGATCATGCCAGTGCACTTCAGCCTGGGTGGCATAGAGAGACTCTGTCTCAATAAATAAATAAATAAATAAATAAATAAATAAATAAAATAATTTTTGACTTAATGTCTTATCTTTAAATTTTATTTATTTATTTATTTTACAGATGGGGGTCTCACTACGTTGCCTAGGTTGGAATGCAGTGGCTATTCACAGGTGTAATCATAGCATACTATCTACAGTTACAAACTCCTTGGGCTCAAGTGATCCTCCTGCCTTAGGCTCCCAAGTAGCTGGAACTACAGACACACATCACTATGCCCTGTTGTCTTATCTTTTAAAACAATCTATGTGTGTACACACAAACACACACCTGAGATGGAGTCTCACTCTGTCACCCAGGCTGGAGTGCAGTGGTGTAATCTTAGCTCACTGCAACCTCTGCCTCCCAGGTTCAAACAATTCTCCTGCCTCAGCCTCCCAAGTAGCTGGGATTACAGGTACACACCACCACGCCCGGTAATTTTCGTATTTTTAGTAGAGATGGGGTTTCACCATGTTGGCCAGGCTGGTCTTGAACTCCTGACCTCAAGTGATCCGTCCACCTCGGCCTCCCAAAATGCTGGAATTACAGGTGCGAGCCACTGTGCCCGGCCCCTAAAATAATCTGTCTTTTCAGTCAGTGAGCTATTACGAAATTAAAGAACAGCGAAATTTTAATTTTATGTACCTTTCTAAGCTGTTAGAAAAACAATTGAATCCGATACCTAATTGGGTTGGGGAAAGGCATCAGGAACAGAAAGTAAAAAATAATAATAATAATTCCAACCTTCCTTATAGGAATTCCAGCAGGGAACACTAAGAAAAGCACTCTGAGCACAAGACTAAACAAGCATCTTTCACAGGAAAAAAAGAGAAGCTAACGTTCATTTACTGTCTATTATTCATTCATTTCTTCAGTTGACAAAAATTTGTCAATTGAAGATTCAGCAATGAATAAAGACTAAACAGGTCTCTACTCAAGAAGATTTCCTTCTAGTGGGAGAAACAGACAACAAACAGAAAAACGAATTAATGAGATAATTTCACAGTCATGAGTGAAACGGATTTCTAGCCAAGATGGTTCTGTATGTTCATACTTTGGGGATGTCTCCCTTCTCCAAATATAGAGCAATGAGAGAGAAAATGCAAATGTGAAAATTAAAAAGATACAGTCATGCTCAAAACCAAGATTAACATCTTCATGGAACAGAAACAAATAATGGTAAGGAGAGGCTGAAGCTGTGGACCTTTGGGGCTCTGGGTACAGAAAATGTCAGAGAAAATCAGGAGCTCAACTGCTGAAGGCTACAGTGTCAATTCAAGATAGGAGTGCTGAATATGGATCCCTGCTTGAGATTATGCTCAGGTATTAGGATCCCCACTTACAAAGGAAGCTGAAATAACCTGTCATCAGTCACAGCCTGGGGTTGTGGCTTCTAAAAGTATTAGACTCGGATAGGTGAGAGAACACAAACCTCTCTAGCAATTAAAATACAGCATCCTTTGGTCTAGGGACCAGATCTGCAATATCTCTGATACCAGCAAAAGAAAGCAATCCCAAGCTGCCAGTAAGTCCTGAATGTGGATGAATAGTTCTGGGTGTCAGGAGGAGGCAAAATGAAAGACTGTTAAGCAGGAAGGAGAAAGGACACAGAGAGAAAGATTAAGAAACAAAAACAAAAACTTGAGCTACTCAAGATGAGCTTATAATCCAATACTCTAAAACACAGAAAGAAAACCAAATTCACTCCTGAAAAAGTCAATATAATAAAGAAATATAGGGGCCAGGTACGGTGGCTCATGACTGTAATCCCAACACTTTGGGAAGCCAAGGCGGGCGGATCACCTGAGGTCAGGAGTTCAAGACCAGCCTGGCCAACATGGTGAAACCCCATCTCTACTAAAAATGTAAAAAATTAGCCAGGTGTAGTGGCGGGCGTCTGTATACCCAGCTACTTGGGAGGCTGAGGCAGGAGAATCGCTTGAACCCCAGAGGCGGAGGTTGCAGTGAGCCGAGATCATGCCACTACACTCCAGCCTGGGTGACAAGAGCAAAATTCTGTCTCAAAAAACAAAACAAACAAACAAAATATATAGAAAGTATTTAAAACTGAGTACACGTAGTCTTAAAAGATAATGAAAAGGATAACATTTAATTTACCGGAATAAATCAAGAAATAAAAACAGGCAGATATGAAATAAGTACAAATGGATATACTTAAGAAGCAATGAGAGGTTCTCTAAATGAAAAATAGAGTTATTGAAATAAAAACCTGGCAGAATGTGGTGGCTCATGCCTGTAATCCCAGTGCTTTGGGAGGCCAAGGCGGGAGGATCACTTGAGGCCAGGAGTTCGAGACTAGCCTCGGCAATATAGTAAGACCTCGTCTCTACAAAATATTTTTAAAATTAGCCAGGCATAGTGATGCACTCCCAGCTGCTTGGGAGGCTGAGGTGGGAAGATCGCTTGCACCCATGAGTTTGAGGTTACAGTGAGCTATGATCATTCCACTGCATTCCAGCATGGGCAACAGAGGGAAACTCTGTTTCTAAAATAAATAAATAAATAAATACCTCACTAGACAGAAAAATTCTAAGTGGGCACCTACGAAAGGAGAATAAATGAACTGAAAGATGATCTAATCACAATGCAGCATGGAGATATGAAACAAAAAAAAGTTTTAAAAAGCTGCTGAAAGCCATTAAAAATGACAGAGTAATCCAATGTATATTTAACGGAAATTAAGCAGAAAAAGTGTTCAAGGAGATGGAGGAAAAGTAATGTTTTAAGAGCTATATGCTAAAATTAAAGATGTGAGTTGTCATGTGAAAGTGCAAACAGGAGTTAAGTAGATACTATGTCTGAGAAGGTCGCAGAACACTGCAGAAAGAACAGCAAGTCCTGCTTCTGGTTCTGGTGGCTCCCTCTCACAAGATCAACCCAGGAGGTACTATAAAGGAACGACATCAAAATGAGAAGAAAACTGAAAGGCCCCCGGGGAGACACAGAGCTCTTTTGAACTGGTAAATGTGTGTGAGAGTGAGTAGGGGTGTCGGTGCTGGCTTTATCCTGGGACGGAAGGAAGGGAGTCTGCAGTGACAAGATAACATAGGAAGAAAAGTATCATAATGACACTCCATTTGCTGCCCTGCAACTGGCCTCCACAGCTACTGGGACTCAGGCAGCTGTACTCAGGAGTACCTTCCAGTCTGTGCAGAAGCCGAGTGGGCAAGGAGCTGAGAAAATCTGGGGGCGACTGGGGTAGGCTTGGGAAGATGCTTCTTCACCCTTCCTCTTCCTGTCCCCCAGGTGGGCATGTGGTTTGCAATTTAAGAAGTGTCTCCCCCTAAGGCTACTTCTTCTTGGGGTATTAAGAATTAATTCATAACTTGAGGCATTGATCCTTAGGGTGAGAAATGATCAGCTTAGGTCTTATGGGGGTGAAGGGGAAGAAATACTCTTCACTCTCGAGTCCATTTCCTTCACCTCCCACTTAAGCTGATAGGGAGCAGACAGATTAAGCTCTAGCCTTTAGCAATACTTAAAAAAAGCAGCCATTACCTCTAAAGATAACCAGCCATTGGAGGAGCATAACTATTTCAAAAGAAAAATTAAAAACTGAATCACTGATTTCATCAGAAGCCCAGATATTAGAAAACATAGACCAAGAATTTAAAATAAATTTACTAAACATACCAAGATAAATAAAAAGGGATATAAGTAATATGAAACAGGAAGACATGATATAAAGAAGAAACATAAATACTGAATATTACATATAAAAATAGAATAGTTGAAATAGAGAATATAGATGATATTTAAAATTGAATGGATATAGCTGAGAATAAATTACTAAGCTGGAAGATCAAATTGAGGAACTCACAGAAAAAAGAAAACAAATAGAAACTATAAAGAAAAGTGAAGAGATATAAAGATAGAGAATTACTAATATCCAGATAATAAGAGTCCAAGAAAGATAAAAAAGTGAAAATCAACAGTAGAAAATGATTGAAGAAAAATCGAGATAACTTTCACAGGACTAAATAGAGATGAAAAATCCTCCAACTGAAAAGTCCCATGGGTGAGAAAGAGGAAAGAAAAGAAAACCACACTTACGCATACTGTAGTAAAATTAAGTCTTTTCAACAAATAGTGTTGAAACAACTGGATATACTTGGGCAAAAAAAAAAAAAAAAAAAAAAATTAAAAGCCCTTTATCTATACACTTCACACCTTACACAAAAATTAATTCAAAATAGATCACAGACCTAAACGTAAAACATGACACTTTTAGGAGAAAACCTGTGTGACATTGTTTAGGCAAAGAGTTCTTAGATATGACACCAAATGCATGATTTTCAAAAACTGAAAAATTTGACTTCATTGAAATCTTAAAATTTTGCTCTGTGAAAGATATTGTTAAAAAGAAAACACAAGCCACAAACGGAGAGAAAATATACACAGATCACATATCTGACAAAGAACTTATATCCAGAATATGTGAAGAACTCAAAACTCAATGGTAAAAAGAAAACCAATTCAATTAGAAAATGGATAAAAGATGTGAACATATGAATAAGGTCAAAGATAAGTTATAATGCCACAAATAAGCACATGAAAAGATATTCAACATCATTAGCCATTTGGAAAATGCAAATTAAAATCACAATGAGATATCATTACAGACCTATTAGAAGAGCTAAAATTAAAATAGCAGTAATACCAAAAGTTGGTTAGGATGCAGAGCTACTGGATCTTTTATGCATTGCTCATGGGAATATAAAATGGTATAGCCACTCTGGAAAATAGTTTGACTATTTTTGCAAAACTTGGCACACACTTACCGTACAACCCTACAACTCTCTGACATTTATCCCCGAGATATGAAAACTTCACACAAAAATATGTACACAAATATTCACAGCAACTTTATTCATCATAGCTAAAGAAGGAAACATCCGAATATTCTTCAATGAATGAATGGTTGAACAAAATCTGGTATATCCTGACAGTGGAACATACTCAGCAACAAAAAGGGATGCATTACTGATTCATGTGACAACCTGTCGGCCCCCCAGGAGCATTACACTGAGCGAAAAAATTCCATCTCAAAAGGCTGCATACTGTCTCATTCCATTTATATAACGTTATAGACATGACAAACACTGCAGAGATGGAGAAAATATTATTGCCAGAGGATGAGTTGGGAGTGGGGTGGGTAGCACGAGGCACTTCTTTTGTGGTGATGGAACAGTTCTATCTCTTCATTGTGGCTCTGTTTACACGTATCTATACATGGGATATAATTACATAGAACCACACACACAAAAACACAAATACAAGTTTAAAAATCTGAACAGTGAATTGAAAAGTTGAACAATGAATAAGGGCTGCAATCCAGTTGGTACTAATTAATATACCAATATCCGTTTTCTGGTTTTGATGTTGTGCTGCAACCATACAACATGCCAACAGTGGCACAAGCTGAGAGAAGGGCATACGGGACTCTGTACTATTTTTGCAACTTCCTGTGAGTATACAATTATTTCATAGTAAGAATTCTTTTTAATGGGTAGAAAAAGACTATTCAACAAATTAAATATTGCCTATCCACAAGGGTACAAAGAAGGACTCTATCTTCTACTATACAGAAAAATTCTAGAGGACATAAGGACCTCAACACTTAGAAGAAAAAATAAGAGATTTTATTATATTAGGGTAAGAAATAATTTCTCAAGATTTTTTTAATAGCACAGACCATAAAACTTTGATAATTTGACCTTATTAATATTTAAAGCCTTGAATAACAAAAGACACCAAAAGCAAAGTTAAAAGACAAGCACAATTTCTCTTGGAACACATGAAGCTGCAAAAGACAAATTTAAAAAAAACCCAAAACATAAAAACACATCATCCGCTAGGGCCTCCAGAAAGAACACAGCCCTACGGACACCTTGATTTTAGCCCAGTGAGCCCTGGGTCAGGCTTCTAACCTACAGAAGATAATAAATTTGTTTGTTTTAAGGCACAAAACTTGCAGTGATTTATTACAGCAGCTATAGGAAACTATAGACTTACCTCTGTTGATTTCCAACCATGAATCTTGAGTGGAAGTGTTTCCTGGGACAACATAGTTTCTGTAGGCAAATGAACATCTTGGCAATGCTCTTGTTTCAATCCTGCCTTGCACACATTTCCTGTCAACAATATAAAGCTTAAGATTTTACTTTGGCAAAACACAGTTATGTTTTTATATTAGTTCCCAATTTGTAAGTTAATCACTTCTGAAGATACCTTTTTTTCCTGCTAAATATAAACCATCTGCCAGTGGTAACCTATGAGTGTTAATCACTTTAATATGTCTCTTTGTAATAAGTGAGAAGTTCAGACTGATTTTAAAAATACAACTTAAATTCTTAAGAAAATAAAATTATTTTCTTTATATTTGACAAATATTCATACAAATTTATAATGCACTTATGTGGTTTTGATTGACTGCATACTAACAATAATTATGATAAGTCAATCTAGAATAAATATTAAAATCTTTGGTCAGAGAAAATTTAGAAAAATAATTTAAATTCTAGCCCTTTCCTACATCAACAACTCTGTTATAACATTACTTAGTCATCTTTTCTAAAAAATAAGGTTTAATGTAGTATAGAAAATAGAGTTTGAAAAAGTGAAAAGTATTCAAATAAAATTTTAGCAAAGCAGGAATGAGAACTGTAATTATTTTAATTAATATTTTAAAGAACTTTATTACTGCAGTGTGAATTTGATGTGTTCTAAGAGAAACTAATCAGAAATGTATAGATTATTAGATAAAAGAACTCAACACAATTTTTAAATTTTGATTTGAACATAAAAGAATACACCTGTGATATGGTTTGGATTTGTGTCCCCACCCAAGTCTCATGTCATATTGTAATCACCAATGTTAGAGGAGGGGCTTGGTGGGAGGTGATTGGTTCATGGGGCAGATTTCCCCCTTGTTCTTGTGATAGTGGATTCTCATGAGAGCTGGTTGTTTAAAAGTGTGTAGCACCTCCCGCTTCGCTCTCTTCCTCCTTCTCCAGCCATGTAGGACATTCTTGCTTCCCCTTTGCCTTCCGCTATGATTGTAAGTTTCCTGAGGCTTCCTCAGCCATGCTTCCTGTACAGCCTGCAGAACCATAAACCAATTAAACCTCTTTTCTTTATCAATTACCCAGTCTCAGGTAGTCCTTTATAGCAATTTGAGAATGTACTAATACAACCAGTGAAAATAAACTGATATTTCTGTTTATATCTTTTTGCTAAACAATATTTTTATAGTCCTAATCTTTCCCTTGCTATGTTAATTACTATATATTAGTACCAACTCTAAAAAGTCTAATCTGAAAGTATTAGTACCAACTCTATCTCAGCATATCATTGGGCACAATAAAAAGTATAAGAAAAACTACCTTCAAATTGGTATATACACACTACTGGAGATATGTAAAGATTTCCCAAGGGCTAGGTGGGCATAGATAGTTTTAAAGGAAGCAATTTCCAGATCCGCAACTTCCACCTATGTTCTTACCAAAAACTGATCTGCCTGAGAATGCAACTATGCAGAGGTATCAGGCTAGTTCTTTCCCCTTTCCCTCTAATAATCAATTTTCTCCCATTTTACAAAAGAAAGGCATATCTTCACCCATCTTATTATGATATCTTCCCAAGCATAAGAACCTCTAAGGCACCAAATAATAGTTAAAAATACGAACATAGAGGAAGCCTCCTTTAATCAAAGCAGAAAAAAACTAATGGTCTGTCTGTCCAGACATTTCTTTTAATGGGAAAGCATGGCATAAATAACAAGGTATTTTGGTCCACACCAGCATGTTTGGTATTCTGATATATTACAGTACGAGGCAGCAGGACAGATGACAAGTTTTGTTTAATGTCCTTGTGTTTTTCATTCCTCACCTATTATCAAAGAATGCATTATTCCTAAGGAAGAGTCCCCTGAGAGTAAAGCCAGGCAAGCATGAGAGGCAGGGGTGCCATATGTCACCAATGCAACAAACTCCTGATGAGGCTGCATGCCTTTGCCATCCATCTTAGGAAAGGATTCAGGAGTGTGAAGACAATCAGGACAACATCTGTTTATACATTTATTTGAATAAAGTAAGACATTTTCTGAAGGAAACTTTAAATCTGATTTGGCTAGTTGTCTTAACAATGAGAGTTGGCTTTACCAACCTAGATTATATGGTAAATATTTTCCAAAAATTGAATGAACCAAATCTGAGGTTCTGTAGAGTTGATGAAAGTATATTTACAGCATATGATACAATAAAATTATTTTCTCAAAAAATTGTATTGACAGATATACTGCAATTAATATTTTAATTTTTCTCACACTTTCTGAGTATATTCGGTTAAATTAAAGTATAACAGGTTTAATTAATAGTTATTTAATAAATTTTAGTATGAATTTTTTTGGTATTCTTCCCAGAAATTGAGAAAGTAAATTACTCCTTATGACTGTTTAACAAGTCTTTTTCTAAGTAGGGTGTTTCTAATTCTTTGCTTTTAGCAACACTGAAAAATGACTTCATCAAGTTAACAGTCAACAAGAGATAAAAATATATTTTATAATAAATCACTATATAATTTCCAGCATATTACTTGGAAGAAATTCATAGAATTGACTGACACTATTATAATAAAGCACCTTCTTGTCCCATCTATGATTTAGGTGAACAAGTTTTCTCAGCATTTATCTTTATACAAATATAAATAAAATAGAGGCAGGATTTCTGCTGAGCCCTGCTTGTAGCTAGCAATCAGTCACACTCCTATGTGGGCAAACGAGCAGTTCCAATTATCTCATAAAACCATATATTTCTAATAAAATTATATTTAACAAATATTCATACAAATTTATAATGCATTTATGTGGTTTTGATTGACTGCATACTAACAATAATTGTAATAAGTCAATCTAGAAGAAATATTAAAACCTTTGGTCAGAGAAAATTTAGAAAAATAATTTCAATTTTATATCTATTTGATGTAGAGAAGATTTCCAAGCATAAAAATATTTTATATTAGAATAAAATTCTGCAAGAAATGTAGAATAAACATATGACTTCAGAGAGAAAAGGGAATAATGTAAAATTTCTAACAGTTAAGGACTTCATGTATTTTTTTTTAAATGAATGACTACAGTTATCAATCACAATGGTATTTAGATTCCCTTAGATACATTTAAAAGATGGATATAACTTAACAGTTTGCTTGTTTTTTCTTTTCTTTTGTCCTTAATGTCAATATTTACAACGTGCCAGAATTATATCCTTTGCAGTTATTTATACTTATAAAACTTCATATATCAACTCAAAAATGTGTGAGGAGGTACATAGTGTTTCAAAATCATTTTAGGGGTTATGCAAAACAAAAAAAAATACTGAAAAGCGGTAATATAAGGCACAGTCTTTACCTTCTAGAAGTTTATAGCCTGACTAGGTATATAAGTCTAACATACAGACTTACAGGAAACAGAGAACAATTATATGCTAAACGTTCTTGAATTAATTAATTTTAGGAACAGATACTCTAAGGAGGAAAACAACAATGTGCACCAGAGTAATCAAAAACAACCACAAAGAGGAAGTAAAATTTGAACAAGGCTTTGAAGGACGGCTAGGATTCCAATAAGGGTAGAGGCAAAGATAAATTACTCCGAGCAGAAGGACCTACGTGGGCAAAGGGAGAAAGTATGGTAGATGCCAGAGATACTGAAGAAATAAGAATCTTTCATTTATGGTTGTAACTTTTCATTTTGTTTTAACTTCACATAAAAGTGAATAATTAAAATGAGCTTATTTGGGGCTTGGAGATTTTGTAGCTAATATTGGCAAAGAGTGGTGACTTGGGGCTTAGATCATCTATCTACTTTCACTGGATTTAATCAACTACATTATCACTTGCTCGGCATTCAGCAACTAAATTATCTTGGAAATCATATGGTCTTAGGTTTTAGACATTACAGAAGTAGATTAGTAAAAATGTCAGATGGTCAATTTTGAAGTAAATTTTGAGAGAAACTGAAGAATAGCAAGAAATGTGAAAGAAAAAATATCTTGCATGTTGGAGATGCATTTTGGCCTAGAATAGCCTAAATGTAGTAAACCTATCTTATGAGGCAAGAAAGAAAGCAATTAGAATATAGTGGGTCTATGGAAACTCATTAAATTTTTCTTTCAGTATCAGATAGCATAACACTGGAAGTGAGGTGTGCTTAATTAGATTTGGTAATTACACAACATTTATTTCTGGATTTTCACAAGCAAGTAGGAGAGAACATACATTTAGTTCCTTATAGTTCCTTAGTGGAAATGAGATCCCTTTGGTCTTGTAAGCTACTTATCAATTGACACTGTGAAGTCACAAGCCAGTGAAGACTAGTATGTGAATGAGAAACCTCAGAGGAAAAAGTAATGATGCTGCAGGAAATGAAGCCATTGAGTCATTCAAAGATGAGTGCTTCGATACCAAGGTTGTAAGTACTTTGTGGAAACTATCTAGAAAGAAGCTGTACATCCCACTGAGCCCGCACCACTCAGATAATACCACAAAGCAGAACTTGTGAACCCTCCGATATTTCTTAGATGAGATATCAAACTGACGTTCAAATTATCAGGCATTAGCAATGCACCATACATTTTGGAAATGCAACGCTCCATAAGTTGAACAGATTTCCAAATTGTTCCATTTATTATTTAGCATATAATAACCATGTCCTTTTAGGTGTAATGTAAGTGAATTAAATAATTTGCTTAAAAAATTAATTTTTAGTAACAGACAGATATATTGCATTATAGAAAATATTCAGTGGGCTAAGGAAGAGCTAGTAAGATCTAAAAGTCAAGTCTCATGGTGCTTAAATTTATATCTAACTTTTACAGAATTGTGAATTTGGAACCTTGACTCCAATTTCGTTGTTTTGGCACATAGTTAAGCATCTTTTTTTTTTTTTGAGACGGAGTCTCGCTCTGTCGCCCAGGCTGGAGTGCAGTGGCGTGATCTCAGCTCACTGCAAGCTCCGCCTCCCAGGTTCACCATTCTCCTGCCTCAGCCTCCCGAGTAGCTGGGACTACAGGCACCCACCACTGCCCCTGGCTAATTTTTTGTATTTTTAGTAGAGACAGGGTTTCACCGTGGTCTCGATCTGCTGTCCTCGTGATCCACCCACCTCGGCCTCCCAAAGTGCTGGGATTACAGGTGTGAGCCACCGCGCCTGGCTAACTTAAGCATCTTAAAGTAGTTGGTATTTGTCATATTTTTTTTAACTTTGATTTTGTAATAATTTTAAGCTTACAGAAAAGTAACAAGAATAGTACAAAGAATGCCCATATGGTCTTCATCCCAGATTCACCAATTGTTAACATTTTGCCCCATTTGCTTTATTCTCTATTCTCATTATCTATTTATGTACACATATTATTACTGTCCTATATTTTAAATCTAGAGGAAAAGCCATTGTAGGTTGGGTTCCCTAGGAAACAGACTCTCAGACTCAGATTTGCATGTGGGAGAGCCATTAGGGAGCGCTCTTAGAAACTACCAGTGAGTCTAAGTCTCTTTGTAGGTCACTCAGGACTTGCTTTATGAATCTGGGTGCTCCTGTATTGGGTGCATATATATTTAGGATAGTTAGCTCTTCTTGTTGAATTGATCCCTTTACCATTATGTAATGGCCTTCTTTGTCTCTTTTGATCTTTGTTGGTTTAAAGTCTGTTTTATCAGAGACTAGGATTGCAACCCCTGCCTTTTTTTGTTTTCCATTTGCTTGGTAGCTCTTCCTCCATCCTTTTATTTTGAGCCTATGTGTGTCTCTGCACGTGAGATGGGTTTCCTGAATACAGCACACTGATGGGTCTTGACTCTTTATCCAATTTGCCAGTCTGTGTCTTTTAATTGGAGCATTTAGTCCATTTACATTTAAAGTTAATATTGTTATGTGTGAATTTGATCCTGTCATGATGCTGTTAGCTGGTTATTTTGCTCGTTAGTTGATGCAGTTTCTTCCTAGTCTCGATGATCTTTACATTTTGGCATGATTTTGCAGCGGCTGGTACTGGTTGTTCCTTTCCATGTTTAGTGCTTCCTTCAGGAGCTCTTTTAGGGCAGGCCTGGTGGTGACAAAATCTCTCAGCATTTGCTTGTCTGTAAAGTATTTTATTTCTCCTTCACTTATGAAGCTTAGTTTGGCTGGATATGAATTTCTGGGTTGAAAATTCTTTTCTTTAAGAATGTTGAATATTGGCCCCCACTCTCTTCTGGCTTGTAGGGTTTCTGCCGAGAGATCTGCTGTTAGTCTGATGGGCTTCCCTTTGAGGGTAACCCAACCTTTCTCTCTGGCTGCCCTTAACATTTTTTCCTTCATTTCAACTTTGGTGAATCTGACAATTATGTGTCTTGGAGTTGCTCTTCTCGAGGAGTATCTTTGTGGTGTTCTCTGTATTTCCTGAATCTGAACGTCGGCCTGCCTTGCTAGATTGGGGAAGTTCTCCTGGATAATATCCTGCAGAGTGTTTTCCAACTTGGTTCCATTCTCCCCGTCACTTTCAGGTACACCAATCAGACGTAGATTTGGTCTTTTCACATAGTCCCATATTTCTTGGAGGCTTTGCTCATTTCTTTTTATTCTTTTTTCTCTAGACTTCCCTTCTCGCTTCATTTCATTCATTTCATCTTCCATTGCTGATACCCTTTCTTCCAGTTGATCGCACCATTCAGGACATAGGCATGGGCAAGGACTTCATGTCTAAAACACCAAAAGCAATGGCAACAAAAGACAAAATTGACAAATGGGATCTAATTAAACTAAAGAGCTTCTGTACAGCAAAAGAAACGACCATCAGAGTGAACAGGCAACCTACAAAATGGGAGAAAATTTTTGCAACCTACTCATCTGACAAAGGGCTAATATCCAGAATCTACAATGAACTCAAACAAATTTACAAGAAAAAAACAAACAACCCCATCAAAAAGTGGGCAAAGGACATGAACAGACACTTCTCAAAAGAAGACATTTATGCAGCCAAAAAACACATGAAAAAATGCTCATCATCACTGGCCATCAGAGAAATGCAAATCAAAACCACAATGAGATACCATCTCACACCAGTTAGAATGGCAATCATTAAAAAGTCAGGAAACAACAGGTGCTGGAGAGGATGTGGAGAAATAGGAACACTTTTACACTGTTGGTGGGACTGTAAACTAGTTCAACCATGGTGGAAGTCAGTGTGGCAATTCCTCAGGGATCTAGAACTAGAAATACCATTTGACCCAGCCATCCCATTACTGGGTATATACCCAAAGGACTATAAATCATGCTGCTATAAAGACACATGCACATGTATGTTTACTGCGGCACTATTCACAATAGTAAAGACTTGGAACCAACCCAAATGTCCAACAATGATAGACTGGATTAAGAAAATGTGGCACATATACACCATGGAATACTATGCAGCCATAAAAAATGATGAGTTCATGTCCTTTGTAGGGACATGGATGAAACTGGAAATAATCATTCTCAGTAAACTATCGCAAGAACAAAAAACCAAACACCACATATTCTCACTCATAGGTGGGAATTGAACAATGAGATCACATGGACACAGGAAGGGGAACATCACACTCTGGGGACTGTTGTGGGGTGGGGGGAGGGGGTAGGGATAGCATTGGGAGATATACTTAATGCTAGATGACGAGTTAGTGGGTGCAGCGCACCAGCGTGGCACATGTATACATATGTAACTAACCTGCACAATGTGCACATGTACCCTAAAACTTAAAGTATAATAATAAAAGAAAAAAAAAAACTACCAGTGAGGAGGGAGGCAGGCAGGAAGGATCGGGTCAAGCAAGCACAGTTGCAATAACTGTAGCACACTTGCAATAAAGGACTCAGCTGATCCTTATAGGAGCTTTGAGGCTGGAATGGCTCTTCACAGTTGTCCTGCCTTGATGTAGGATTCCTTAGCTAGGGGGCATGACCTTGAACGAAGAGGCTGTCTTCAGCTGTTGGGAATTCCCAGAGGAGGATTCAGTTGAGAGCCCACAGCCAACACCCTCCCACAACTCAAGAGTGCCTTGATCTTGAAGCAAGGATCTGGGAGACACACCACAGTATCCACTACAGACACAATCTCTATGTTTCTGCTTTATTGCTCTGCTTCCATTTACCTGAGAAATGCTTCAAAACACAGGAGATGGAGTGTACAATTACTGTACATCTTTCTTGGTAGATGAATTTTGAGATTAAAGATGTACAATTACTGTACATCTTTCTTGGTAGATGAATTTTGAGATTAAAGATGTACAATTACTGTACATCTTTCTTGGTAGATGAATTTTGAGATTACTAGGGGAAAGGCATTTTTAAGGTGAAAAGAGAAGAATAAGAAAGCAGAGATGTTTAAGTAGATTTTTAAAATTAAATTTGAAATAGGTAGATAAGAAAAGTGAAAAAGAACCAACTTTACTGCTGGAGATCTTAAAAATGGAGTTGAGACAATTTTATTTCAGTATTTTGCTAACAATAGCATATAAAATTTGAGACACTGCCAGTAGTTCTCACTTAAGAATAATGAGAAACAGGGAAATTCACAAACCAAGTTAGAAGCTCAGCTCCAGGGACAAGGAAAAATAAACAGTCACTACAAAAGCAAGTTTTAATATTCAGTAGCTGACTCCTGGGTTAAGATAGCAAAATGAAACTGCAACACAGAATTCCCATCACCCAGTACGCAATGAGGTTTTTTTAAAAAAGTCAATAGTAATCTAACATAGAAACAGATATAACTAAAATTTCTAAAAGAAAAAGAATCAAAATAACTGGTGGCCAAGCAAAGAAACAAGATCTAGGACATCCCTTCTCCCCCAAAAGCAATACTGGTAAGATGACAAAAATCTTAGAGTTCTCATCAATATCCACATGTCTGGAAAAAAAGAGAACTGAATGGAGAATGCTTTCTTCCCACTTATGACGGAGGAGAGGTGAAAATAGCTAGAGAAAAAAATGGGTGTAACAGAGTAAATAAAGGTGCTTACACTTCAATGGGCATGAAAGCTACAGTTTGACACTGAATTGGGCGAAGGATCTAAAGCTTGAAGGCATCTCTCCCCCACAGGAATAGGATACATACCTCAACTAGGTAGAATGAGCAGGACCTCGTATAAGAGACTCAAAAACAGAACAGAGTTCAGGTATTCTAAAGAAGACCATACATGGCCTCAGCTGAGATCTGCTACAGAAAAATGGATTAAAAAAAAAAAAAAAGCCCACAGACTGCAGCCTGGTGGAGAAAACAAACTGATCTCAGATATGGCGGGAAGAGTCAAGAAATCACTAAGTGTTTCTGAACAAACAACAGCCAAAGTTTATTGTGCTGACTCTGTATTAGCCCATTTACTTCTTATAACAACTCCATCACAGGGCCCATGTTAACCCCATTTTACAGAAGGTGAAATTACAGCACAAGGGCTTAAGTAGCCAGTCCAAGGTCATACAACCAGTCAGGATTCAAATGCAGACAGTATGGCTCCAGGACCTGAGCCCTTAACCGTTATACTCTACCACCTTCAAGAGACAGTGCCTAGTGAGAGCTGCCTAAGCATCAGCAAGATGTGAAGAAATGGCCTGGCAACTAAACAAACACATTCCGGTAGAAAAACGAGCAGAGAAGGAGGGAAGGAGAAGCATGAAAGGGAAAGAAAGGGAGATGGCATGCATAAAAGAAAGATCCCAAATGCAGAAGAAAATGTAGCTCAAGAAACAGAAGGAAAATTCCTCACAATATGGCATTCATTTTTGAAGTTATTGTAAATTATATCTTTCATAAAATTCGTAATTGTTTCTTGTCACTACATAATACAAAGCTAAGCATTTAAAAAATGTTTCTTGGCCTTACATGTTTCCTGTTTTTCTAGAAATGATTTTCATATTTGCTTCCTCTTTTTCTGTTGAGCTACTCTTTTCTCATTGATCTGCAAGAATTTTTTATATATTCTGGATACTAATCCTTTGTCAGTTATATGCGTTGGAAAATTTTCCCATTTTGCGGCTTTTTTTTTCACTTTTACATGGTGTTTTTTTTTCCCCTCAAAATCTACTACAAAACTATAGTAATCAAAATAGGGTGGTTCTGACACAAAACCAGACATATAATCTGTTCCAATGGAACAGAACAGAGAGCCCAGAAATAAATCCATGCATTTATGGCCAACTGATCAACAAAGGTACCAAGAATACACAATGGGAAAGGACAGTTTCTTTGATAAGTGGTGCTGGGAACACTGGATAATCCACCACACATATAAAAATCAACTAAAAATGGATAAAAGATTTAAAATGCCAGACCTGAATCTGTAAAACTACTAGAAGAAAACATAGGGAAAAGTTTCTTTTTGAGACAGGGTCTTGGTCTGTCACCCAGATTAGAGTGCAGTGGCGTGATCACAGCTCACTGCAGCCTCTACCGCTCAGGCTCAAGCGATCTTCCCATTTCTGCCTCCTGAATAGCTGGGACTGCAGGCACATGCCACCATGTCCAGCTAATTTGTTTTTTTTCTTAAGAGACAGGGTCAGATGAGTAGGTTGCGAAAATTTTCTCCCATTTTGTAGATTGCCTGTTCACTCTGATGGTAGTTTCTTTTGCTGTGCAGAAGCTCTTTAGTTTAATTAGATCCCATTTGTCGATTTTGACTTTTGTTGCCATTGCTTTTGGTGTTTTAGATGTGAAGTCCTTGCCCATGCCTATGTCCTGAATGGTAATGCCTAGGTTTTCTTCTAGGTTTTTTATGGTTTTAGGTCTAACGTTTAAGTCCTACTCATCTGACAAAGGGCTAATATCCAGAACCTACAATGAACTCAAACAAATTTACAAGAAAAAAACAAACAACCCCATCAAAAAAATGGGCAAAGGATATGAACAGACACTTCTCAAAAGAAGACATTTATGCAGCCAAAAGACACATGAAAAAATGCTCATCATCACTGGCCATCAGAGAAATGCAAATCAAAACCACAATGAGATACCATCTCACACCAGTTAGAATGGCAGTCATTAAAAAGTCAGGAAACAACAGGTGCTGGAGAGGATGTGGAGAAATAGGAACACTTTTACACTGTTGGTGGGACTGTAAACTAGTTCAACCATGGTGGAAGTCAGTGTGGCGATTCCTCAGGGATCTAGAACTAGAAATACCATTTGACCCAGCCATCCCATTACTGGGTATATACCCAAAGGACACATGCACACGTATGTTTATTGCGTCACTATTCACAATAGCAAAGACTTGGAACCAACCCAAATGTCCAACAATGATAGACTGGATTAAGAAAATGTGGCACATATACACCATGGAATACTATGCAGCCATAAAAATGATGAGTTCATGTCCTTTGTTAGGGACATGGATGAAATTGGAAATAATCATTCTCAGTAAACTATCGCAAGGACAAAAAACCAAACACCGCATGTTCTCACTCATAGATGGGAATTGAACAATGAGAACACATGGACACAGGAAGGGGAACATCACACTCTGGGGACTGTTGTGGGGTGGGGGGAGGGGGGAGGGATAGCATTAGGAGATACACCTAATGCTAAATGATGAGTTAATGGGTGCAGCACACCAGCATGGCACATGTATACATATGTAACCTGCACATTGTGCACGTGTACCCTAAAACTTAAAGTATAATAATAATAATAAATAAAAATAAAAAAATAAAGTCAGCTGATTAGCAAACTTAAAAAAAAAAAGACAGGGTCTTGCTGTGTTGCTCAGGATGGTCTCAAATTCCTGGGCTCAAGAAATCCTTCCGCCTTGATCTCCCAAAGTGCTGAGAGGCATGAGTCACCTGTAAAGGCATGAGCTACCACACCCAACGGGGAAAAACTTCTTGATATTGATCTGGGCAAAGAACTTTTGTATATGACCCCAAAAGCACAGAAAATAAAAGGTAATACAGTTTTATTAGTTTTCTAATGGTGCTATAAGATCATTTGTTCTAATGATGCTATAACAAATTACCACAAACTTAGTGGCCTAAAACAACAACCATTTATTATCTCGCAGTTCTGTAGTCAGAAGTGCAGGCAGGTTAAATGGGTTCTCTGTTTCTGGTTTCACAAAGCCAAAGTCAAGGCGTTGGCCAAGCTGAACTGTCATCTGGAAACCCTAGGGAAGAATCCACTTCCAAGTTCAATCCAGCTGTTGGCAGAATTCTGCTCCTTGCAACTGTGGGACTAAAGTCCCCATTTCCTTGCTGGCTGGCAACCAGGGGCCACTCTCACCTTCGAGGCCACTTGCATCCCTTATTACTCCATCTTCAAGCCAACAATAGTGCTTCAAATCCTTATCACACTTGGAATCTTTCTGACTCCCTCTTCGGCCACCAGCTAGAGAAAACTCTCTGCTTTTATTTTTTTTTAATTAATTAATTTTTTTTTTTTTTGAGACGGAGTCTCACTCTGTCACCAGGCTGGAGTGCAGTGGCACAATCTTGGCTCACTGCAACCTCCGCCTCCTGGGTTCAAGTGATTCTCCTGCCTCAGCCTCCAGAGTAGCTGGGATTACAGGCATGCACCACCATGCCCAGCTAATTTTTGTATTTTTAGTAGAGACAGGGTTTCACCATGTTGGCCAGGATGGTCTCAATCTCCTGACCTCATGATCCACCTACCTTGGCCTCCCAAAGTGCTGGGATTACAGGCATGAGCCACAGCGCCCGGCCAACTCTCTGCTTTTAAAGGACTCATCTGATTAGATAGGGCCTACCAGCATAATACCTTTTTTGCCTTAGAATATAACAATCATGGGGGTGGTAATTCATCATATTCACAGGTTCTGTCCACGCTCAAAGGGGAGAGGACTGTATATAGGCAAGGGTCATGGGGCTTATCCTCAAAACTCTGCCTACCACAAATGTCAAATTCATAAACACTTTTAAAAAATAATGTGCACTTTTTCTGTTTATGAAATATTTCCCTATTTCAATGTAAAAAATATATTCTAAATTTTCTTCTAAACGTTTCAAAGTTTTGCCTTTTTACCTTTAAATCCTTAATTCATCCAGGTTAGAGACCTCATTTCATTTTTACAATATGGATAAAAAATTATCCGAGTATTATTTATTGAGCAGTTCAGTTTTTCTCCACTATTCAAAAATGCCACTTCTGTCATTTACTGATTCCATAGTGGCCCAGGTCTGTTTTCTAGGGTTATGGTTTGTTCCATTGGTCCATGCACCTATCCTGCATCCATACCACAGTGTCATGATCAGTAAAATTTTAGTCTTGTTATTTAGAAAGGCAAACCCTCCACCTTACTCTATTTTAGGAATGTTTTGGATACTCTTGAACTTTTGATTCTTCCAGGTAAATTCTGGAATCAGTACATCAAATTCAACTCTTAAAACCCTTTTTGGATTTCGATTGTAACTGCACTGAATCAGCGGTTCTCTACTGGGAACAATTTGGCCCCCAGGGGACATTTGGCAATGTCTGCAGACTTTTTTGATTCAATACAACAGAAAGGGATGTTTGCTAATAGCATCCAGTGGGTACAGGCCAGGTATGATGCTAACTACCCTACAATGCATAGCTCCCACAACAAAGAATGATCTGTTTCAAAATATCAATAGTACCAAGGCTGAGAAACCCTCCACTAAATCTAGACAATTTGGAGAGAACTGACATGTTTACATTATTATTTTGATAAACATGGAATATCTTTCCATTTATATAGGTCTTTAATGTATTTCAATTAAACATTATAACCTACAGTGTACAGATTTTGTACTTCTTTTGTAAGACTTATTCCTAAATCAAGATTTTTGGCTATTATAAATGGTATCTTAAAAATTATGTTTAATATTTGTTACTGATATATAGAATATAACTTGATTTTATGTTTTGATGTTATAGCCAGCCATCTTTCTAAAACTCACTATTTTTAGTATGTCTGTAGATCTTTCGAAGTTTTCTATATGAAAATCCTATCGTTTACAAATGATGCTCGTTTCTTCCATTTTGATACTGACATTTTTAATTTCTCTTGCTTGTTTTACTGTGATGGCTAGGACCTCCACTACAAAGCTGACGTAGCAAGGAGAACTGATGTCCTTTTCTTCCACCTTATTCTAAAAGAAATAGTCCCACATTCAAATGTATGGAAATTTTTTATTTATATTTTTTGTTAACTTCAAATTTAATGGTATTTTGGTAAGAAAACGTGTCCTCTATGAAACAGATTTTTGGAAATGTAAAGACTTCCTTTATAACACATATCATCAATTATAAAATCCATATTAAAAAAAGTTTCATGTCCTTCACCTATCAATAAAGATGTTTTGAAATTATCTACTATGATGGTAGATATTTCAATTTATTCCTGTAGTTCTACCAACTTTTGCTTTATATACTTTGAAGTTATTTTACTGGGTATATTCACATTTAGAAATACTACATCTTCCTGGGAAATTGAGCATCTTATTATTATCCTTAATGCTCTTGGCTTTAAAGTCTCCTTTGCCTGTTATTAAGTAGCTACACCAGCCTTCTTTTAGTTTGTATATGCCTGACTTACCTTTTTCCATACATTGCTTTCAATCTTTATGTGAATTTATGCTTGCAGCATATATCTGGATTTCTCTTTCCCCAATCTGATAGTCTCTGCCTTTTAATAGGTGAGTTTAATCTATTACTATTTACTGTGATTATTAATCTATCTGGGCTTATTTCTATTATTTATTTTACTTTTTAATTTCCATTTGTTCCACTTTATGCTTTTTGCCCTTTATAAAATTTTATTTTTTTCTCATTCTACTTCTTCTTGCTACTTGTCTGGAATTTATGCACTCTATTTCTCTTCTTTTAAAGTTTATTCTTGAAAGTTTATCATGCACGTTTACCTTTAAAAGTTTACAGTCAAAGAATATTCATTACCTTCTCTTAAAAACACAAGGACCTTTAGAACACAACTCTGGACCTGCCCACCCCCACTTACATACCGTGGCTACCCACTATTCTAGTTGTCTTTTTCTTAACTCAAAAATTAGATTTATATATCAAATGTTTATTATACATACGTATCTATATTTATGTGTGTGTTTACCATTTATTCATTATTCTCTCTTGAATTTTCAACTATCTTTCTGGAATAATTTTCCTCTTTTTGAAGTATACCCTTTAATGCAGGTCTCATGGTTGTAAACTCTCTTCGTTTTTTTATTCATCTATAAATAACTATTTCACCCTCACCCTTAAATCATAGTCTTGCTGGTACACAATTATAGGCTGTTATTTTCCTTCAGCATTTCTAAGATACTATGTCACTGTCGTCAGGCTTCTACTGTAGAAGATGAGAAGCTTTCTGGTACAGTAATTAATTGTCATTCCTTTGTAGCAGTATCCTCCATATGGCTTAATTAATATTACTTTCATATTTTCCATTTTCTTTAGGCATATCTTCTAGCTCACTAAATACATTTTTTTAGTTCAGTAGTATTTCTCATTTCTGCAAGTTCCCTTTTTTCAAATTCATCCATTCAGTCCTAATAATCTCTTGATAACTGGTGATGCATGCGATTATATCCTTTATTTATGTAAATACACAGCTGTTCTGTATCTGACCTTTCCAATATCTACACTCTTTGGGGGATTAAGTATGTTCTTTGCTGCTTACCTCCTCCTGTTTTGGTGATATTGGATTTTGAGCTCATTGCTTGTCTTAAACTGGTGAAAATCCTATTGGACTTAACTTATGAAATGAGTACACTTTCTCAATTCAGTCCCCTTGAGGGTCTGGGTTCAGCATAGTGACCCAAGGCTTTCCTTCCCAATGCTCAAGACAGCCCCCAAACTCATTCTCTGATCTACTAACAACTGCTCTTAAGCAACTCAACCCCTACAGTTACCTGCAGCTTCCCACAGGCAGAATGCCAAGTCACTCTGACTTCAGCTCACATGTACTGTTCTTATTTTATTTTACATTTTTCAAAAAGAGAAACTTAGAGACTTCCCATACTTCTTGTGAGGCCAGTAGTGTCGCAAATAGTGTGTCACTTCCAGTCTTTGGTTATTGTGCAGTAAATGGAGTTCCTAGTCTCATTGCCTGAAGGAGACCTTTAATATTTTTTACTAAAAAACAGCATATAATTCCATTTTTATAAAAATAATTTCTCTCTAGCTATCCATCTCTCTATATGCATGTATAGATTTTTTAAAAATGCTGTCCAGGCATGATGGCTCACTCCTGTAATCCTAGCACTGTGGGAGGCTGAGGCGAGCAGATTGCTTAAGCCAAGGAGCTTGAGACCTTCCTGGGCAACATGGTGAAACTTTGTTTCTACCAAAAAAAAAAAACCCAAAAACCCAAATTTAGCCGGTGTGGTGGCGCATGCCTGCAGTCCCAGCTACTTGGGAGGCTGAGGTAGGAGAATCACCTGAGCCCAGGGAGGTCAAGGTGGCAGTGAACTGTGATGGTGCCACTGTACTTCAGCCTGGACAACAGAGTGAGAGCCTGTCTCACAAAAAAGATGCCTAGAATTGCAATCATCTGATATTAATGATGGTTATTTCTGAGTAATTATATAACAAGCCTATATTGTTTTTACAAGAGTATAATGGTTTTCCGAAACAAAAATAAAAAAGAAACAGTTATGCATACCCTAACAACAGGGATGCTTTCTGAGAAATGCATTGCTAGGCAATTTCATTGTTGTACAAACATCATAGAGTGTACTTACACACATTGAGATGGTAGAGCTTACTATACACCTGGGCTATATGGTATAGCCTATTGCTCCTAAGCAATGAACTTGTATAGCATATTACTGTACTGAATGTGGTAGGCAATTGTAACACAAGGACAATTGTAACACAATGGTAAGAATTTGTGTGTCTAAACATATCTAAACATAGAAAAGGTACAGTAAAAATATAATCTTATGGGACCAGTATCATACACGCAGTCCACCATTGACTGAAACATCATTATATGACACATGACTATTCTGAGATGTTAACAGTGGTCGGTTTAGGGTGGTACAGATACAAATTATTTTTATATATTTATTTTTAAATTTAAAAGATCAGCTGTTTGACATTTATCAATGCAAATGTTTTAGTTACAACCACAGTTTGTACCATTAGCCCTGCCATCTCATCTACATGTGGCAAGGCAACCAAGCATGACTCCACATCAACTCTGTTAGTACAAAGCTCTTTGTAGGAAGTAACAACATCAACGTTGCTGTTTTTTATTATAAAAGCATGACAACTACTTTGCAGTACAGCAAGTCCTCATTTAATGATGTCCATAGTCTCTTGGAAATTGCTACTTTAAGGGAAACAATGTATAATGAAACCAATTTTACCATAGGCTAATTAATATAAACAAGAACTAAGTTCCTACAGTGTATTTCTAGTCACAAAAATTTCACCAAACTTAAAAATAAAGACCAAAACATTTGGGAGGCCGAGGCAGGCAGATCACAAGGTCAGGAGTTCGAGACCAGCCTGGCCAATATGGTGAAACCCTGTCTCTACTAAAAAAAAATACAAAAGTGAGTCGGGTGTAGTGGCAGGCACCTGTGGTCCCAGCTACTTAGGAGGCTGAGGCAGGAGAATCACTTGAACCTGAGGGGCATTGCAGTGAGCTGCAATCGTGCCACTGCACTCTAGCCTGGGCGACAGAGTGAGACTCTGTCTCAAAACAAACAACAACAAAAAAAACCAAAACACTTTTATTCTTCTTCTTATTATTATTTTTTGAGATAGAGTCTTGCTGTGTCACCCAGTCTGGAGTACAGTGGCGTGATCTCAGCTCACTGCAACGTCTGCCTCCCAGGTTCAAGCAATTCTCCTGCCTTAGCCTCCTGAGTAGCTAGGACTATAGGCAACTGCCATCATGCCTGGCTAATTTTTGTATTTTTACTAGAGATAGGGGTTTCACCATGTTGGCCGGGCTGGTCTTGAACTCCTGGCCTCAGGTTATCTGCCTGCCTTGGCCTCCCAAAGTGCTGGGATTGCAGGCATGAGCCACTGTGCCTGGCCCACTTTTATTATTAAATGTTGAAATAAATGTGAGCTATACATACATTTAAGGAAGATTAGTAAAAATAAGTAAGATGATTCATGTGCTCCCTTCAGGGTCACAGGTGGCTGGAGCCCATCCTGGAAGCTCAGGGCACAAGGTGGGAACCATCCCTGGACAGGGATGCTGCTTCATTGTGGGGTGCACTCACACCCACTCCACACTCACTTGGATTGGGACCATTCAGACATGCTGATTCACCCACCGTGCACATCCTTGGGAAGTGGGAGAAAAGCAGAGAACATGGAGAAAGCCCAGGCAGACAGGGGGAGAGTGTGCAAACTCCACACAGACAGGGACCTCAGCCGGGAATTGATGTTTTTCTCATCAGTTATAACAACATTGAACAAAAGGATGTTATTCAAGGACCTACTGTATAATTTTGGTTCAACAGCAATGATAGTTTTCAGGGAAATTTTTCCATGATATGGAATGCTATTACATTTGACACAGACCAGAGTAATCCTTAATACAGGTAAAGTTCTGTTGCAAAGAATGATGCTAGTGAAGAGCTCTTTATGGAAGATCAGATGACCAACACAGGTAAAGTTTTGCTGGTCTGGCTGTAAGTAGTGCCTCTGGAGATCATTTTTGTAATAACTGTTGCCTCTACAAAAATGGCCTGATGCTTAGAGCTGAGTTATAATTGTCCTTTTTGTATTGTTCTGTCTTGCCATCAAGCAGCAATGATCCTTCAGTCCATCTCTTCCTTCAAACTTCAAAAGCATCGAAACAAAAACCACCCAGGCTATCTACTAGAATTAAAACTTGGGAAAACATCCAAGAAAAGAAAAAAAAAAAGAAGTAGAAGTGGTGATGTGTATATAACACCTTCTTTAAAGTGCCTCTTTTCCCTTGCTGATTCACCATAAAGAAGGGAAGCACAGCTGTTTCAGCTCTAGGTCCTAAAGGCTGGAAATCACATTTCCTGCATTCAATTTTACATTTCACTGTAACTAAATAACTTAGAGACATCTTTAGACTCCTTCTAATGAAAATTTACCTGTATGATATCATCACTTGCCTCCATTTTCTCTAATGCAAATGTTAGTCAATTTCAATTTCTCTCTTCTCCAGTACATCATCCACTTACCCCCATTGCCTCTCTACAGTCTATCTTTAAACACTACTGTTTCCTCATTTCTATAACCCTAGGAGCAGGTCCTGGATGCCTGGATTGAAACAACTGTCTCTTACAAGCTTCGTTCAATTTGTATCTCCTTCATTTCTACACAAAGCAATAAGAATTATCTTCCACAAATAGCTGTTTTCAGTAATAAGGAAGCTCAGTTCTGTGACTAAGCTAAACATTCCTTCTGTTCTCCAAGGCCTACAATGGTTCCTAGTTGCTACTCATATCAAACTGAGTTTATTAGCTCATTTATGAATTGCTCTGAGTACTCTCAGCTATCTACCCCTACTGTTTTACATATTCAAATTTATATTTTTATTCCATTTAGTCAGACAACTCTGTATTACCATGCTTAATCTGTGTCTTGCTTGTATTCTTTACCATTATTGTAGAAATGATTTGTGGTCCCGAGCATTTATTCTCTCCATCTTCCTTAATAACAGAATCTCTTAACTTTCATCTGGGCACATGATATTTCTCAACCTCCTTTGTAGCTAGGAGTGTCAGTGGGACTAAGTACTAAACAATAATATGTGACTTGTTAAAAAAAAAAAAAAGAAGAAAGAAAAAAAAGGGAAGAGACATTCATATTTTCAATCTCCCTTCCTTTCTCCTGGCTAGAAGGCAGATGTGATGGCTGGAGCTCAAGCAGCAATGAATCAAAAAGTGGAAGTGGATCATGAAGTGGAACTTAAACGCTGAGTTTGGTGGAGCAATGAGACTCAAAAATAGCCCTGAAGCCAACAGTGTAGAGAGCCATATCAGTCATAGAACACCTACAAGAGAGTATTTCAGAAGAGAGAAATAAATTTGTATGTTTAAGCTGCTAGCATTTTTGTGGCCTCTACTATCATAACTTGTGGATGCACCTCCTTCTAACTAATCTACCTATCTTTGAGTTTTAATTTGCTACTTCTCCTGTCCCATTAAGAATGTCCCCCTCGTGGCCGGGCGCGGTGGCTCAACGCCTGTAATCCCAGCACTTTGGGAGGCTGAGGCGGGCAGATCACCTGAGGTCGGGAGTTCAAGACTAGTCTGACCAACATGGAGAAACCCCGTCTCTACTAAAAATACAAAATTAGCCGGGTATGGTGGCATGTGCCTGTAATCCCAGATACTGGGGAGGCTGAGGCAGGAGAACCACTTGAACCTGGGAGGCAGAGGTTGCGGTGAGCCAAGATTGCACCATTGCACTCCAGCCTGGGCAACAAGAGTGAAACTTCATCTCAAAAAAAAAAAAAAAAAAAAAAGAATGTCCCCTCAATTTCTTATTTTTTCCCACCCCAACTCCAAACTGTCAGTTTTCTTTCTTCCTTTAAAATACAGCTTCAGATTCAAATGCCTACATGGAATTGGTTAGTATTGCCAAGTTTACTTAATCCAATTACTCTTTTTTGAACACAAACACAGACATCTGTATATCTAGGATGTACTCATATAGAAAGCAGATAAATGAAATAAAAATAACAGATTTAAAACAAATTTACTATAGATTTTACATCCAAACATTCACTGTTCGCTTTAAATGGTACTCTTACTATAGATATACAATAATGATGCCATCATTGACTAAAGCTTTTTTAGAACATCTTTTTTGTGAAACATACTTAAAAGCACATGGTAGCAAGATCTTGTCTCGAAAAAATATTTTTTCAAGTCAGCTGGGTGTGGCGGTGTGTGCCTGTAGTCCCAGCTAGTTGGTAGGCTAAGCCAGGAGGATTACTTGAGTCCAGTAGTTCAAGGCTGCAGTGAGTCATTATCACACCACTGCGCTCCTGCCGGGGTGACAGAGCAAGACCCTGTCTCAAAAAAAAAAAAAAAAGAAAGAAAGAAAAGGAAAAGAAAAAGCACACAGTACATCACAAGCTATAGCCTCCAATAGAGCAGAAATACAGTCAATTTACTTAACAGGCTTAGAACAATGTCTGGCATTATAGTGAGGAGACACTCAATATGTGTTTGTCGTATTAAAAAATAATAAATTGTAGCAAAACTTCATTTGAAAGTGGATTCACTTTTTTAAAATAGTCAAGTCATTCATAGCTCAGTGTAGTGAATGAGACATGTCATAAAGATGGAGAATATCATTTTAGGTTTAAAAACGCAATCTGTGGGGCTGGGCGCAGTGGCTCATGACTGTAATCCCAGCACTTTGGGAGGCTGAGGCAGGCAGATCATCTGAGGTCAGGAGTTCGAGACCACCCTGACCAACATGAAGGAACCCCGTCTCTACTTAAAATACAAAATTAGCCAGGCGTGATGGCGTATGCCTGTAATCCCAGCTACTCTGGAAGGCTGAGGCAGGAGAATCGCCTGAACCCTGGAGGCAGAGGTTGCAGTGAGCCGAGATGGTGCCATTGCTCTCCAGCCTGGACAGCAAGAGTGAAACTCCGTCTCAAAAAAAAAAAAAAAAAAAAAAAAAAAAGCAATCTGTGACTACAAAACAATAAACTAGAATTTCTTGCATGAATCATAAAATCAGAGTTGGGTTACTTCTGTATCAATTTAGGGATTCATTTCTTAAGCTTACGATTCACCAGGCCAAGTTTGCTCCAGTTTCAGAGCATCTACCCTGCTGTTCCCTCTGCCTGATATACAGGCACACCTTGAAGATACTGCGGTGGGCTGGGTTCCAGATTACTGCAATAAAGCAAATATTCCAATAAAGCCACTCACACAAACATTTTTGTTTCCCAGTGCATATAAAAGTTATGTTTACATTAGACTGCAGTCTACTTAGTAGACTAAGTATGCAATACCATGCTGCCTAAAAAATATATATACATAATTAAATAATACTTTATTGCTAATTTAAAAAGGCTAACAATCATCTGAGCCTTCAGCGAGTCTTCATCTTTTTGCTGGTGGAGGGTCTTGTCTCCATGTTGAGGGCTGCTGATAGATCAGGGTGGTTGCTGCTGAAGGTTGGGAAAGCTGTGGCAATTTTTTAAAGTAAGACAACAATAAAGCCTGCAACATCAACTGACTCTTCCTTTCACAAAAGATTTATCTGTAGCATGTGATGCTGTTTGATAGCATTTTACCCACAGTAGAACTTCTTTCAAAATTGGAGTCAATCCTCTCTAATCCTGCCACTGGTTTATTTACTAAGTTTATGTAATATTCTGAATTCTTTGTTGGCATTGCAACAATGTTCACAGCTTCTTCACAGGAGTAGATTTCAACTCAAGAAACCATTTTCTTTGCTCATCCATAAGAAGTATCTCCTCATCTGTTCAAGTTTGATCATGAGATTGCAGCAATCCAGTCACATCTTCAGGCTCCACTTCTAATTCTAGTTCTCTTGCTATTTCCGCCACATCTGCAGTTCCTTCCTCCACTGAAGTCTTGAACCCCTCAAAGTCATCCATAAGGGTTGGAATCCACTTCTTTCAAACTCCTGTTAATGTTGAAATTTTGGCTTCCTCCCATGAATCACAAATGTTCTTAATGGCATCTAGAGTGGTGAATCTTTTCCAGAAGGTTTTTAATTTACTTTGCTCAGATCCATCAGAGGAATCACTATCTATGGAAGATATAGCTTTATGAAATGTATTTCTTCAGTAATAAGACTTGAAAGTTGAAATCACTCCTTGATCCATGGGCTGAAGAATAAACACTGTGTTTTAGCAGGCACGAAAACAATATTAATCTCCTTGTACATCTCCATCAGAGCTCTTGGGTGACCAGGTGCACTGTCAATGAGCAGTAATATTTTTAAAGAAATCTTAAGGGCACTAGGATTTTGGGAATGGTAAAGGAGCAGTTGGCTTCAACTTAAAGTCACCAGTTGCATTAGTCCCTAACAAGAGAGTCAGCCTGTCCTTTGAAGCTTTGAAGCCAGGCATTGACTTCTCCTCTCTAGCTATGAGAGTCCTAGATGGCATCTTTTTCCAACAAAAGGCTATTTCACCCACATTGAAAATCTATTTAGTGTAGCCCCCTTCATCAATTACCTTAGCTAGATCTTCTGGATAACTTGCTACAGCTTCTCCATCAGTACTTGCTGCTTCACTTTGTACTTGTGTGTTATGGTGACAGTTGCTTTCCTTGAACCTCATGAACCCACCTCTGCTAGCTTCAAGATTTTCTTCTGCAGTTTCCTCTTCTCTCTCAGTCTTTGCAGAATTAAAGACAGTTAGAACCTTGCTCTGGATTAGGCTTTGGCTTAAGTGATAATGGGGCTAGTTGGATCTTCTATCCAGACCATGCAACCTTTCTCTATAACAGCAATAAAGCTGTTTCCCATTCTTATCATTCCCGTATTCATTGGAGCAGCACTTCTAATTTCCTTCCAGAACTTTTCCTTTACATTCATAACTTAGCTAACTGTTTGGCACAAGAGGCCTACCTTTCAGCCTGTTTCGGCTTTCAACATGCCTTTCTCACTAAGTTTAACCATTTCTAGCTTTTGAATTAAAGTGAGAAACCTGCGACTCTTCCTTACACTTGAACACTTAGAGGCCATTGTAGGGTTATTAATTGGCTTAATTTCAATATTGTTGACCCTCAGGGACTAGGGAGACCCAAGGAGAGAGAGAGAGATCGGGATCAGTGAAGCAGTCAGAACACACATGACATCTATCAGTAAGTTCACTGGTCTTCTACAGCCATGGTTTGTGGTACCCCAAAACAATTACAACAGTAACATCTAAGATCACTGATCATAGATCACCATGACACATATAATAATAAGGAAAAAGTTAAAAATATTGCAAGAACTACCAAAATGTGACACAGACACAAAGTATGCACATGCTATCAGAAAAATGGTGCCAATAAACTTCTTGGGTACAGGATTGCCACAAACCTTCAATTTGTAAAATATACGTTATCTGTGAAGTGTAATTAAGCAAAGTGCAATCGATCGAGGTATGCCTGTATGTGGGTTGCTCCCTCACTTCATTCAGGTCTGTTTGAAGATTCACTTCCTCCAAAAGGCCCTCTCTCATTACGTGACCTAAAATAAACCCACCCCTGTCACTCTGTTCCCTGACCCTGCTTTCCTTTTCTTTACAGGACTTGTTATTATCTGACATATTTTATGCTTGTGACAGAGACATCCCAGTCTCTACCACTAGAATGTTAGTTCCATGATAAAAGAAAACTTATTTTACTCACTCCTATAGTTCCAAATTTCTGCTGAATATCCAAATTTTAAATAAATTCAATAATTATGTGTTTACAATGAAAGAAGAAAGAACTGACAAAAGAAAGGAAGAAGGAAGAGTAAGAAAGGTAACATCGAAGAAGCAAAAGTGGGGAAGAAACTCTGGATGAGTCATAATTGGTTATTCTTCTCTGTTACTCTGTTTTTAGCATCAGTTTGATTTAAAGGCTCCCATGAGAAAATTTCAGAATGAGTGGCTGTCTCTTTCGGAGATTTATTTCAAAAGAATCAGATCCCCTAAAGATCCCACCACTTTTAGAAGCCGGTAGGTAGTATTTGCTACTATAATTACAATGGCTACCCTCTTATAATGTCTCTCTCCAATCCCAAGTGTGGATGTTCACTCTATGTCTCACTGGGTGAACGTTTGAAACTCTTGATTAAGACAGAAAAGTACCTGAATGATTTTTAGCAAGCTTAACTTGTGTTGGTATTACTAGTAACATTGTTACATTTTTGCACTTAACTGACAGTTGGAATTATCTATTTGTACTGAATACAAAGGGACAGTTCTCTAAGTCACATTTCACTAATGTTTTTGCTTCCTCAAGCTGTCCATTTCTCATACACAACTTATCAACAGGGTTTCTACTGGAGAAGTTAGAGCAAAATGACATTTTTTAAAGTTTTAGCAAATTTGGTAGAAAAGATGATAGCATTTTTCTACTCATGTCTATTATAACATTATAAATAAATCCCTCTGTTATAAAAGTTCAGTAGTCCATATTTAAAGTTTTAAGCAAAGGAAAGGGTAAAAGGTATTGTCCTAGAATAATTTTAGAGCACTTTTAGGATTCTGAAGCATACTTTAGAAAATTTCAATTACTTGATTTATGTTACAGGATCAAAGAGACCTCATACGCACATAACTAGACACCTAGTCTTAGAAAACTGTACTCCTTCACTTTCCAGTTAAGGATAAAAAACTTAAAATTGAATCACGATGCCAAATAGGGTAGTCACTAGTTTAATACCTTAAAAGCTCAAAAACATTTTATTTGAATCAAAGATAACTGCATTCAGAAAACAGTCATAAAACTGGGCTGGGCACAGTGGCTCACGCCTATAATCCCAGCACTTTCGGAGGCCAAGGCAGGAGGATCACTTGAGGTCATGAGTTCGAGACCAGCCTGGGCAACATGCTGAAACCCTGTCTCTACTAAAAATACAAAAATTAGCTGGGCATGGTGATGGGTGCCTGTAATCCCAGCTACTCAGGAGGCTGAGTCAGGAGAATTGCTTGAACCCAGGAGACAGAGGTTGCAGTGAGCTGAGATAGTGCCACTACACTCCAGCCTAGGAGACAGAGCAAGATTCCGTCTCAAAAATAAATAAATAAATAAATAAAGCAAACAAATAAACTTTAAAAAGGTCATAAAATCTTCTATTGAATATTCTTCGTTGTTGTTTTCTATAGTATGAAGCCTAATATGGTAATAGTAATACTAAATAATATTAATAATTTAGTACTAAAACATAATATTTTATATTTTTAAATCATTTTTAATGATACCTGTTGCATTTTAGGCCAATGTTCATTATACGTACTTTTATTATGTAACCTTCCAAACTTAGGAAGCTTATACTTCTTCTCTGAAGCAGAAATATCCGGTGTGGGGGCAGAAGTGCACGCTGTCAGTGAGTTACTTGAACCAAGTTGTCTTTTAGAAAACAATATAGAGTGGGAGGTACGCTGTCTAGTCCGACATGCCACTTCCCTCTCTTTACACAGCAATGGTTCATCCATCAGCAATGTGATGACTTGCTTAGATTTTTCCCGGATATAATAACCTGAAAAATACATTGACTCTGCTTAGAAAAGGAAATACTAGTTAAGGCTATAATTAATTTTTTTTCTACAGAAATTTTTTTAAAAATAAAAATCTCAGCAGTGAAAAAACCTGCAGCAAATAAAGAACTACTGATAAGTATATTCCTTTTCTTATACTTTAAAAGGTAAATAAGTCATTAATATATGATAAAATTATATACTGGCATTACATTTTTCACTTTAAATACATTATTGGATTTTCCTTTTAAAAGCAATATATGGCTGGGTGCGGTGGCTCATGGCTGTAATCTCAGCACTTTGGGAGGCTGAAGTGGGCAGATCACGAGGTCAGGAAATCAAGACCATCCTGGCCAATATGGTGAAACCTTGTCTCTACTAAAATACAAAAAACTAGCTGGGCATGGTGGCATGTGCCTGTAGTCCCAGCTACTCAGGAAGCTGAGACAGGGGAATCACTTGAACTCAAGAGGTAGAGGTTGCAGTGAGCTGAGATTGCACCACTGCACTCCAGCTTGGCAAGAGAGCGAGACTCTGTCTCAAAAAAAAAAAAAAAAAGAAAGAAAAAGCAATAATACTTTGCAATAATCAAACAATATAGGCATACAAAGAAGGGGTATGAATTAGATCTAGATATACTGACCTAGATGTATGACCAGGACACATGGTTAAAGATTTAGAGTAACATACACAATAGGATTTGAAGCTGTAACATATAGAGGAAAAGAAATCACCATATATGTACACGGAAGAGAGAAGCAGATAAAGAAATACATACAACTGTGGTTTGAATGTATCCCCTCCAAAATTCAAGTACTGCCAATGTGATAGCATTAAGAGGTGGAGCCTTTAAGAGGTGATTATGCCATGAGGTCACCTCCTTTGTGAACAGACTAAAGGTCCTTATAAAAGAGGCTTCCCACAGCATTTGTCTCTTGCTTGCCTTCCACCATCGCCTTTCGGACCTTCTGTCACATGAGGACACAGCATTCCTCCCTTCCAGAGGATGCAGCATCAAGGCGCCATCTTGGAAGCAGACAGCAGCCCTCACTAGACAACTGAACCTGCCAGTGCCCTGAACCTGGACTCTCCAGCCTCCAGAACCATGAGAAAATAAATTTCTCTTCTTTCTAAATTACCCAGTCTGTGATACTCTGTTATAGCAGCACAAGCAGACTAAGACAGATAGACAGACAGGCAAGAATATAGGAAGGCAGGCAGGCAGGCAAACAGATGGCATACTCAGAATATTGTTAACATCTGTTACCTTACAGGGGTACAGTTGGGGTGGGACAAGAAAAGGGAGAGCAATTGGCTTTTCTCTGACGTAACATCCTATCAAAACAATTTGCTGCTTTTTAACAGAGTGACAGAGCACAGTCAAAGACAAGAATTCTAGTGAGAGTGATAGCTCTGTCCTTAACCATCTGTGTGACTTTCAGTCAGTCAGGTGGTCTATCTGGGCCTGAGTCTTCTATCTGAAAAGCAGCACAAGCAGTATCTGTATGGTTGAATTCCCAGATACAAAGGTACACTGTAACCTATAACTCACTCGAATATAAGGTATTACTATTTTTTCAACCTTCTTCCTAGAAAAACGATAAAGGAAATCACTTACCTTTCTCCATCTTGGGATGAACTCACAAACATGGCTTCCCAAGCCACCTTTCAAAAATAAACTGAAAAGTCCCTAATGATCCACTTGTATGTTCATTTTGGGCTCTAGGTGTGATGAATTAAAGTATTAATGTTTTCTAACTATAATTTACTAGCAGTGGAAGTGATGAGAAATGGTCAAATTTGGGGTATATTTAGATGACAGTGGCCAACGATGTTCTCTCACTGCGGGTCACTTCATTAAGGACTGGTGTGGACAGTGTCAGCAACCTTTGCTCAAGTTGCCATCTTTTCCAAGATTATTTTATCTAATCTCACTTCTTAGTTATTTCTTCCTTCCAAATCTACTTTATAACTGCTTCAAATCATATCATTCTAAACACTCTTAGCTTCCTATGATCAGTTTGCATTCCATAACCCGAATTTCCACAATGTTTTGGGTAACCATTCAGTGTCGTGTGATAAACAGAAGTCGGCTGTGAATTTTAGCCTTTGGGAACAATATGTCAGACACTTATCTTTCCCCTGAAAAATGGACAAAGATTGGTTTTGGAGGCACAAAGAACATGTTTTCCCATTTTTAACATCAGGAACTCATCTCCTTCCACCTTCCCCCTCATTCCTTCTACTCTAGCTACCCTGGTGCTTTATTCTGCAATCCCACCAAGCTCTTCATCTACTTAGAGCCATGTTTTGGCTGTTGCTTCTGCCAGGAACTCTTTGTGTGGCTCTATCCCTGATTCATTCAGGTCTCAAGTGTCACCTCCTCAGAGAATCTCCCTTCTGCCTACCCTTTCTAAAATAGCCCCACCCTCATCACTCTCTATTCCTTTATCCTGCTTTATTTTTCACATTCGCATTTATCATTACCTAATATTATATATTTATTGGTTTACTTATTTATTGTTTGTTTCCTCACCAAAAATATAAGCTCCATGAGGGGCAGAGAAGTCTCATTTTAGACACTGATATCTTCAGTGTCTGCAAGAGTGACTGGCACACAGTAGATGCTCAGTAAATATTTACTGAGTGACCAAGGTGGATAGATCACTTGAGGCCAGGAGTTTGAGACCAGCCTGGGCAACATGGTGAAACCCTGTCTCTACTACAAACACAAAAGTTAGCTGGGCACGGTGGTGCACACCTGTAATCCCAACTACTCAGGTGGCTGAGGGATGATAATCGCTTGAACCCAGGAGGCAGAGGTTGCAGTGAGCTGAGATTGGGCCACAGCACTCCAGCCTGGGTGACAGCGTGAGACTCAGTTTCAAAAACAAAACAAAAAATTTACCGAGTGAATTAATCATAAAGGAATAAATTACCAAAAAGCTGCTAATTTTCTTCTTGACATAGTGTAACTGGAACCAGATTGATGAAAAATACTAAGTCAATTTACAACTTAGCTGCCTAAGACAGTTGCTTGGCCTGAAATAATTTCTTGTAACACTGCTCTCATTAAGTTAGAACTAGAAATTATAGAATAGATATGAAATATTCTCCTTGGAGTCTGTGTGGATTGGTGGGATTTGAGGACAGCTGCAATAGTTCTAAGAGACAAGCAATTACACCAAGCAAAGAGCCAGTTGCAATAGTGGAGGACTTCTCCCCAGATCATCAGAGCCCCTCCCTGAGGTAGGACTCAGCAGCACCAGGAAGATCAGGCCACAGCAGTTCACCAAACATAGGGAATAAATCACCCAGAAGTGAGCTTCTGCCCACTACCCTAGCTTGCTATCATCCTAGAGAAGGTACTAGAGATACTAGATACTAGCCTGGCTGTTCAAAAGCATCAAAGTTGAAAGTGAGAAAATCTAAGAAGAACGTAATAAACCTGCTTCAAGGATGAGTTAAATAACAACAACAGTAATAATTAGCACCTTCTTACTACTAAACAATATGTTTCTGAAAAGAAAGGGAGGACAGCATACCAACAAAGAATAGTACTGGAAGTAGAAAACTTAGGCAGCAAAATTAAGAAATGGAGTTGGAAGTAGAAAACATGGATTCTCTGAAATCAGAAATTAAACTAGTCCAACAGATCAATACCCAAGGATATTACATAAAACACATCAAGATAAAAAGGTTGTTAGATGAGGTGCAGGTTAAAGTGAAAATAAAGCTATATACAGTTTTAATTGGGAATCTTTTGGCTCTAAGTGACAGAAACTCCATTTGAACTGGGTAATGCAAAAGCTAGGGAAAACCAGGGGTTGCAACTGAGCCTCAGGTACAAAGGAAGCCAAGACTGGAAAACTACCAGGACATCTCTCCCCTGCCATCTCTGCTTCTCTAGGAAATGCTTGCATTTTCTCTTCTTGCAAGTTGGCTTCTTTTATCTGGATGGTTATGGCCACCAACAGCTCTAGATTCACACTGCCACCTGAGAAGTCTCCCTCTTCAAATTTGGAGTATCAGGAGAAGGACTCCAAGTGACCCAGCTTGAAACAGTCACATGCCCATCACCATGGCCATAGGGTGTGATGCCACGATTGGCAACCTCAGTTAGAGCACAACGGGGGCGTGAGGGTAGGGTCCAGGTGACAGAAAAATGAACAAGTAGACAGCCAACTTGAGGAGTCCTCCCAAACAAACAAAAAAAGGACAAGGAAATCAAATTAGTAGAGCAACTATGCAAGAGATCAAGGCCCAAGGACATTCATTTATGCAGTCCATTAATAATTTCTGGAATACTTATGTTTCAGGAAGTATTCTAAGCAATGGGGGTGCAAGTCAGAAAAAGACAAGGTCCCTGCACTTGTGACACTTACATTGTAGTTGGTTGAAACAGCCAATAATCATAAACAAGATAATTTCAGATAAATGCTCTAAAGGAAATAAAGAAGGGTGATGTGCCAGACTTTAATTTTGGGTGTGGTCACGGAAAGTCTTGCAGAAGAGGTAACATGGCTGAGTCTTGAATAGTAAGAAGCAGCCAGCTCTGCACAGACATTAGGGCAGAGTGCGCCAGACAGGGAACAGCTCCAATTTCTTCAGGAAAGCCTTCCACGGACAGTGAACACCCTCTCCCGCTGTGCCCTATGCAGACATGGGCCTCTGACTTGGCCAGGCCCTGCTTTCAAACACTGTCACAGTACCTTACCCTTGTCCTTCACAGCACTTCCACAGTTAGTCATTGCCCATTTGGTAACTGTCTTTTCCCTCCAATTAACTGTGACATCCACGAAGTCCAGACTATGCTTGTTTAAGAGACACTTAAGAAAAGTTTATGAAATGAATGAATATGCTGAGGAAAAGTTTTCCAAATGCTGAGGAGAAATCTACATACTTTTTTTTTTTTGAGACGGAGTCTCGCTCTGTTGCCCAGGCTGGAATGCAGTGGCACGATCTCGGCCCACCGCCAGCTCTGCCTCCTGGGTTCAAGCGATTCTCCTGCCTCAGCCTCCGGAGTAGCTGGGACTACAGGCGCCCGCCACCAGGCCCGGCTAATTTTTTTGCATTTTTAGTAGAGACGGGGTTTCACCGTGTTAGCCAGGATGGTCTTGATCTCCTGACCTCACGATCCACCCACCTCAGCCTCCCAAAGTGCTGGGATTACAGGCGTGAGCCACCGCGCCCGGCCCGAGAAATCTATATACATTTACAGCTGACCATCGTGTAAAGAGATTGCAAATATGGTAAATTCAAAGATCTTTGGCATTGAGATGCACCACTAGGAAAAATATGTATCAGAAGATCTTTATACTAAAACACGTGCTAGGCTTCAAACAATCGTAAAAATCTTAATACTCCTGTCTCTATTCCTGACCTACTGCCCTACCAAAATCTACTCTTCTTCCCATATTCCTTTCTCGGTGACTTTTATCTCTACTCTAAGTTAGAAATATGAACATATACCTCCCAAATTCAGTTATCCACGTCTATTGACTATACCCACTAATTATCTTCCAAATCCATTCTCTCCTCTTCATCTTGATTCAGACCTTGATCATTTGTTGCCTGTGGTGTCCTAAATTACTTACTTAGCTTTAGTCTCCCTTCCAATCTACCCTCCACAATGCCTTCAGGTAACGCGGTGGGGGTAGAAAGGGAGGGGAGAAGTATCTAAAATATCTGATCAAGTTTCCAGGATAGAAAACCTTCAGTTGGTTGCAGTGAGCCGAGATCGCGCCATTGCACTCCAGCCTGGGCGATGAGAGCACAACTCCGTCTCAAAAAAAAAATCCCTCCAGTCAAGTTGACACAGTAAGTTCATGCTTCAAAGTATCCCCCTGTTCTATTCCAAATACACAGCAATAATAGACACTGCCAGTCTCAAAAACAAGATAAAAACCCCCACGAAGCAGAAATATAACAGAAATGAAAAAGCAGTGAGCGAGGCTGAAGCCAAGGGCTGCTGGGCTCTTGATCTGCCAGCCCAGAGTTCAGCTCCTCAGGTGTTAGGAAACCACAGCTGGTCTCACTCTTTAATGTTATGGGGGCAGTGTTTGTGAGAGAAGCCTGGGAAGAAAAGGAGAAGAAAAAAAAAAAATAGCCATCAACTGCTTCCCGGGATACAACTTATTTGTGGCTGTGGATCTAAAAGCAGGAGGATACACATGCAGTCTTAATACTTGGAACTAAATGAAGCCACCTGCTTGCTCAGCCCCTGGGTCTAGGACATTCTAGTATTATCACAGGGCATGTGCCCCAAGCCAACTTTATAAGGCCTGTACAGGAGGGAGTCTAGAAGACCTGGGTAGAGGGAACTGGAGAAACCTTTATTTTATTAAAAAAAAAAAAAAAAAGGAAGGAAATGAACATGAGTGGTTGTGGGAAAAAATCTCCCACTCAAAATAGCCTAAACACTAAAATTCTAAAATACACATTTTTAAAATCTAACGCTAAGAAAGTCAGCCAATGAAATCAGCAATCTATGTAAGACCTCAAACTATAAGAATCCCAGAAGAAAAGCTAGAAAACACCACGCTGGACATTGAACTTGGGAAATAATTTATGAGTAAGTCCTCAAAAGCAACTGCAATAAAACCCAAAAATTGACCAGTGGCACCTAATTCAGCTAACGAGCTTCTGCACAACAAAAGAAACTATCAGTGTAAAGAGACAGCCTATAGAATGGGAGAAAATATTCATAAACTATGCATCTGACAAAGGTCTGATATTCAGAATCTATAAGGAACTTAAACAATTAAACAAGCAAAAAACAAATAACCCAACTAAAAAATGGGCAAAACATGCACAGATACTTCTCAAAAGACATACAATTGGCCAAAAAACACACAGAAAAAATGCTCCACATCACTAACCATCAGAGAAATGCAAAGCAAAACCACAATGAGATACCATCTCACACCAGTCAGAATGGCTATTATCAAAAAGCCAAAAAACAACAGATGCTGGTAAGGCTGTGGAGAAAAGGGGACACTTGTATACTACTGGTGGGAATGTAAATTCGTTCAACCATGGTAGAAAACAGTCTGGAGATTTCTCAAATAACTGAGAACTGGATTCAACCCAGCAATCCCATTACTAGGTATATATCCAAAAGGAAATACATAATTCTGCCAAAAATACACATGCACTTGTATGTTCACTGCAGCACTGTTCACAATAGCAAAGACGTGGAATCAATCTAGGTGCCCATCAATGGTGGATTGAATGAAGAGAGTGTGGTACATATACCACGAAATACTATGCAGCCATAAAAAAGAATGAAATCATGTCCTTTGCAGCAACATGGGTGCAGCTGGAGGCCATTATCCTAAGCAAATTCATGCAGGAACAGAAAACCAAATACTGGATGTTCTCACTTATAAATGGGAGAATGGGAGCTAAACATTGGGTACCCATAGACATAAAGATGGCAACACCAGAAACAGGACTACTGGAAGTGGGAGGAGAGAAGGGAGGCAAGGGCTGAAAAATGCACTATTGAGTACTATGATTAGTACACGGGTGATGGGATCAATCATACCCCAAACCTCAGCATCACACAGTGTATCCAGGTAACAAACCTGCACATGTACCCCTTGAATCTAAAATAAAAGTTAAAATTGTAAAAAAAAAAAAAAAACCAGCAATCACAATATAAATCCACACCAAATGAAATCAATGTTTCTATAGGATCTTCTATGGAATCTATATTCTATGATTTGAAAACCCTCTAACAAAGATTTTTAAATAAAGAGATTAATACATGACTCATATTGACAACAAGGAATATAAAAGTATAAAACAAAACAAAGGCAGATATGAAACAGGAACAGATGGATATGAAAAAAATCAATTAAAATCCTAGAAATGAAAACTACAGTCATTGAGATTTTTTTAAAAAAATTCAACATCCAAGGTAAAAACCAGACTAGAACAGCTGAAGATAGATTTGGTAATTGGAGAACAGTACTTTATTTATTTATTTATTTATTTATTTATTTATTTATTTATTTTTGAGACAGTCTCAATGTCTCAACCTGCCACCTAGGCTGGAGTGTAGTGGCACAATCTCAGCTCACTGCAAACTCCGCCTCCTGGGTTCAAGCAATTCTCATGCCTCAGCCTCCCGAGTGGCTGGGATTACAGGCAGACACCACCAGGCCTGGCTAATTTTTGTATGTTTAATATCTTTGCCATGTCGGCCAGGCTGGTCTTCAACTCCTGGCCTCAAGTGATCCACCTGCCTTGACCTCCCAAAGTGATGGGATTACAGGTATGAGCCACCGTGTCCAGCCAACAGGAGAACAGTACTAAGGAATTCTCCCAAAATACAGCACAGAGAGGCAACAAGATTAAAAAGATTAATTAAAAGTCATAAAGAACAGATTATAGGCCCTAATATTCGTCTAGAGGAAGTTTCAAAAGAAAATTAAGGTAATAGAAAAAAAGCAATATTCAGAGACAAGAGTTGAGAATTTTACAGAAAAGACATAAATTTTCATGTCAAAAATGATCTCCAAAGACGAAGTAAGATAAATAAAAATAAATCTATACCAGAAACACTTCAGAAAAATAGAAGAATATTTAGGATAAAGAGAAAATATTAAACCTACAAATTCCTTCTTTGGGTTTATAATAGCATACTTGCCATTCAGTCGGCCCATCAGCCATTGTCAGCAAATGCTGATTTCCCACTTCCACCACAGAAAGAGAAGAAACTGAGATACAAATAAAGTATCCTCAGCCCTCCAAACCTAGTAAGGGAGGCCAATGTGTGAATCAATAATTATGGCAGTGTGACAGGGCTACAATGTATACGTGGACAAGGTGCTAGGGACAAGTAGAGGGTGACCACTTTACAGAACAGTAGAAAAGACCTCCTTTTCTACTGGCTCATATCTGTAATTCTAACATTTTGGGAGGCCGAGGTGGGAGGATCACTTGAGGCCAGGAGTTTGAGACCAGCCTGGGCAACATACAGAGATCCCTTCTCTACATTAAAAAGAAAGAAAGAAAGAAAATTAGCTAGTCATGGTGGCAAACACTTGTAGTCCCCACTACTCAGGAGACAACTTGAGCCCAGGAGTTGGAAGCTGCAGTGAGCTGTGATCACACCATTACACTCCAACCGGGGCAATGGAGTGAGAGCCCATCTTCTAAAATAAATAAATAAATAAATAAATAAATAAATAAATAAATAAATAAATACGGACCTTCCTAGTGAGTATCTGAATGGAGCTTTATTTGAACATGAATATCTGTTCTAGGAAATGAAAATAATAAAAGTTAAAATCTATCAAGAGCTGATAGTAGTAACTAATATCGACAGGTAACTTACTATGTGACTAACTCTCAGACATATCTCTAATCCTCACAACCATCCTCAGAGTTAAGTCCATTTTACCAAAGAGAAAAGTAAGGTTTAGGGTGATGAAGTAACTTTCCTGAAGTCATAAAGCTAATAAACTAGAAAGTGGAGGTTGGCTTTAATTTCTTTGACTGACCTTAGCATATACTTACCAGTGATTTCATTTGATGAGAACCTTAAGAGAGAATAGTTCTGTTGACACAGCACTGAAAGGGCTAAACTGGTTGCTTTCCCTTTTTTGTTTACTGTGCTTTGTCGTCCATCTGAGTACAATAAATAAAGAGCTCCGTGGGAAGACTAGCCAGCTGGGTAAAAGTCACATTTAAGCTTAAAAGAATTCATGCTTTGCTTCTTGCTATCATGATTACCAACAGGATTACATTTGTTGAAAAGGAACACAAGGCTAAATATTCAACTATTTTAAATAAAAGTTTTTGGTTTAAATTCACAATGATACAACTTCTAACAACAAGGCTTATGATGACCTAAAGCCTGTAACATATGTTTGTTAAAGGAAACTATTTGTTCATCAAAAATATTTGTTACAGGAAATTACATTTGCTCACTTAAGCTATAAATGAACTCAGAAGCCTGTGTTAATTAACCCACCAACCATGAGTGCATTGAAATTGCACTAATTTATTAATCTAATCCACCATCATATATTAGGTGGGTTCACCGATTAGAGAATTCTGACTCTCGATGTCTGACACTAGTCTGAAAATTAAATCTGATCCACTTTTAAGCTAGAATGTTTCCTATAATGCTTGGCCCCTGTATCATACTACTAGGAACTGCCTCATATACCCCAAATCCATCCCTTCTGTGAGTGTATTAATGCCCCCAAATTTTAGTTATTTGGCTTTATAGCCTTGACATGGCTAATCAACATCTAGAGCAATTTAAAAAATATTTCCTATTTTATTTTTCTTGAATGTATTTTTTCCAGATATCTTGGCTTTATTCAATTCATTATAATTGCCTTGAAAAGGAAGACCTCAGACATTGCTTTTTCCTTCTATTCCTAGGGTTCCCGCTTTGTCTAAACCTTTTTCAAGGGCCAAATACTTGATGTTTTCTCTCTTTCTATGAGAATCTAAACTCAAAAAACAACCTCCCCCCACTGCCCAACAAAACCTAGTGTAAATATAAATAAATGTATTATGTCTTCCACAGTATTTGCCTTTCATATTTTAATTTATATCTCATCTATAGCTTAAAGGCTTAGTTCTTAGTCTAAGATATTCAAAATCTGGTGAGCAAATAGGTAGGCAACTGGTATGAGCACATCCCTGAGTGTTGGAGGATACAATGGGAGAGGATACAATGGGGAGTATTATACTAATACAGAAATCGGTCATTAGTATAAATGTGAAGCACCTCATTCCTAAATTAGGTGACTGAAAATGAAAATGAAAAGCTACAATGGCAAGAATATCACCAATGAATGCTACTTCTAGTAAAATCACTTTTTTTTTTTTTTTTAGAGACAGGGTAGAGTGCAGTGGCACAATCATAGCTCACTGCAACCTCAAACTCTTGGGCTCAAGCTATCTTTCCACCTCAGCCCCCCATCAGCCATGCCTAGCTAATTTTCTTTTCTTTCTTTTTCTTTTTTTTTAATGTAGAGACAGGGTCTCACTATGTTGCCCAGGCTGGTCTTGAACTCCTGACCTCAGGAAATCCTCCCACAGTGCTGGGATTACAGGAGTGAGCCACCACACTCAGCCTAACATAACTTTTAATAACAACATTGAAATCTGTCTCTTTAAAATGTGGCCCTGTTTTTAAAATTATACCTTTAATTGAAATGTATGTGTGTATGTGTATATGAAATAGTTTATTTAAATAAAATTAATTGCAGTTTCATGACTTAGCTAATTGAGAATTAAAAAAACACACAAATCTATAATCCATACAATTCCTAGAATCTGAATTGGTTTTAAAAGAATACTGTAATTTGTGTAAATAATTTGATGATATTTTAAAACTTTCATATTTGATTAGATATTTTTCAGATAATTTTAATTAAGTTCACACTAGTATTTCAGTGAAACCCCATTTGGATATTTTTAAGACTCAACTAGGAGAGGCTGTTTAGTATACTAATAGCATATGACTAAATATCAGGATATATTATTTAGATGAGTTCTAATTGTGTTCAGCCATAAATTGGATATGTAACCTTACCTAAATAACTTAATATCTCTGAGCTTTGCCTCCAAGTCTCTGTAAGAGAGAAAATACCTGCTCTTCATTTTTCATAAGATGCTTTAAGGAGATCAAACAAGATCATGCATATGGAAATACTCTATTATTAAAATCTAATACTTCTCAAGCAATTGGATACCATACAGATAAGAATGAACTCTATCTCACAATATACACAAAAGCTAATTCTAGATGGATCACAGACCTAGTTAAAACTATAAATATCTGGAAGAAAACATAGAACATATTCCTTGGGATAGGCAAGTTTCTCTGACAAGGTAAAAAAGGCATTAACCATATGTATTAGTCCACTTTCACACTGCTGATAAAGACATATCAAAGACTCGGCAATTTACAAAAGAAAGAGGTTTAATGGACTTACAGTTCCACATGGCTAGGGAGGCCTCACAATCATGGCAGAAGGCAAGGAAGAGCAAGTCACATCTTATGTGGATGGTGGCAGGCAAAGAAAGAGAGCTTGTGCAGGGAAACTCCCCCTTATAAAACCACCAGATCTTATGAGACTTATTCACTATCATGAGAACAGCACACAAAAGACCTGCCCCCATGATTCAATTCCTCCCACAGAGTCCCTCCCACAAGACATGGAATTCACGATGAGATATGGGTGGGGACACAGCTAAACTATATCACCATAAAAGAAAAACAGATTGAACTTCATGAAAATTACCAACTTAAAACTATTTTTACCCCATGTTCTCCTACAAATAGATCTTGAGAGCTTGTTTGGAGGTCCTAAAAAGGGAGTGCAGCTACTCCTATACCCTTGACCAAAGAAAAATCCTCTTCTATCAGCAAAGGTCATCCTCTTTGACCAAGAATCCAACTTTAGGAGAGACACACATACAGCGGTGAGGAAGGAAAAGGACTCCTGCCTAGCCAGCCAGATTGCCCTCACATCCAAAATGACAAACTTCTACTCATCATAAGACAACATTAGAAATGGAAAAGACAAGCTACAGAATTTTTGTAGCTTGTAGGATGGCAGAAAATATCTATAATATGTCTATCTGACAAAGAACTCATATCCAAAATATGTAAAAATTCCTAGAAATCAATAATAAAAAGATAAAATGTTAAAAATAGGCAAAATATTTGAGCAGGCAATACTTGAACAGGCAAAAGATGTCCTTGTGGGCAAAAATCATATGAAAAGGCACTTAACAACTTTTCAGGGAAATGCAAATTAAAACCAAATTGAAACAACATTATACTCCCAACAAAATGGCTAAATTGAAAATAATAACATTCCTAAGTGTTGATAAGGATGTGAACAACAAATTCTCATATATTGGTAGTGAAATCACTTAAGAAAACTTTAGTTTCTAGTCATATTTAATGGTTTCTACAACCCAGAAATTTCACTCTTCAGGATATACCAAAGAGAACCGAATGCATATCGCACAGGAATGTTCATAAGAGTTTTATTCACAATAACTCAAAGCTATAAGCATCCCAAATATTATCCATCAGCAAAAGATGGATAAACTGTGGTATGCACATACAATTGAATACAACTCAGCAATAAAAACAAATGATATTCTGATATACATAACAATATGGATGACTCTCAGAAACATTATGTTGAGAGAAGCCAGAAACTGAAGAACACATACGGTATGCTTCCATTTATATAAATTTTAAGAACAAATGCAACAAATCTATACAGTTAAAGAAATTCGGTCGGTCGCAGCCCGCTCGGGCCCGTTCGCGCCCGTCCTGTCGGCCACGTCCCGCGGGGTGGCGGGCGCGCTGCGGCCCTTGGTGCAGGCCACGGTGCCCGCCACCCCGGAGCAGCCTGTGTTGGACCTGAAGCGGCCCTTCCTCAGCCGGGAGTCGCTGAGCGGCCAGGCCGTGCGCCGGCCTTTGGTCGCCTCCGTGGGCCTCAATGTCCCTGCTTCTGTTTGTTATTCCCACACAGACGTCAAGGTGCCTGACTTCTCTGAATACCGCCGCCTTGAAGTTTTAGATAGTACGAAGTCTTCAAGAGAAAGCACCGAGGCTAGGAAAGGTTTCTCCTATTTGGTAACTGGAGTAACTACTGTGGGTGTCGCATATGCTGCCAAGAATGCCGTCACCCAGTTCGTTTCCAGCATGAGTGCTTCTGCTGATGTGTTGGCCCTGGCGAAAATCGAAATCAAGTTATCCGATATTCCAGAAGGCAAGAACATGGCTTTCAAATGGAGAGGCAAACCCCTGTTTGTACGTCATAGAACCCAGAAGGAAATTAAGCAGGAAGCTGCAGTTGAATTATCACAGTTGAGGGACCCACAGCATGATCTAGATCGAGTAAAGAAACCTGAATGGGTTATCCTGATAGGTGTTTGCACTCATCTTGGTTGTGTACCCATTGCAAATGCAGGAGATTTTGGTGGTTATTACTGCCCTTGCCATGGGTCACACTATGATGCATCTGGCAGGATCAGATTGGGTCCTGCTACTCTCAACCTTGAAGTCCCCACGTATGAGTTCACCAGTGACGATATGGTGATTGTTGGTTAGAGACTTGGACTCAAGTCATAGGCTTCTTTCAGTCTTTATGTCACCTCAGGAGACTTATTTGAGAGGAAGCCTTCTGTACTTGAAGTTGATTTGAAATATGTAAGAATTGATGATGTATTTGCAAACATTAATGTGAAATAAATTGAATTTAATGTTGAATACTTTCAGGCATTCACTTAATAAAGCCACTGTTAAGCACTGTTATGCTCAGTCATACACGCGAAAGGTACAACGTCTTTTAGCTAATTCTAATTAAAAATTACAGACTGGTGTACAAGATACTTGTGAAATCTGTAACTGACTTTATTTTCTTGCCCAAATATTTGCTTCCTGCTTTGCGTCAGGGACGCAGATTCTGCAAGGTCATTGTTGGGATGAAGTAAAATTAACGGGTCATCTAAAAAAAAAAAAAAAAAAAAGAAATTCAAAAAGTAGTTGCCTCTGGAGAGGAGGGAAAGCAAGCAGGGATGAAGGAACTGGATGAGGTGATTAAAATGTTCTTTATTGTGCTATGGGTGATGGTTCCACTCATCCAAATTCATCCAACTGTATACTTAAGATTTAAGTATGTCATAATATGTAAATTATATTTCAATAAAGTGGTTAGCATAAAACTATTTTAAAAAGTAATTTGTAGTGAAGAAAGGGAAATTTTTGTATTAGTCAACTCTGACATTTCTATTTTTTATCTTTCTAAAAAAAGTCAATTGCTTTAAATTTGCTAAAGGTATAAAAATATCAAGGTATTAATCATTCATTCATCAAATATATATTGAGTGATCCTACCCCAAGGCAAGGTACTAAGTGCTAGGAACACTGTTCTTGCCCTTGAAAAATTCAGAGTTTTGCAAGGGATAAAGATGTGTACATAAATGGACTGTGACAGAGGCATACAGACATTGTAGGCATAAAAGAGAGAATGTCAGACTACCTGCGAATGTTAACGAGATTCAGGACGATCACTTGGGAACCTTGAATCACCTGTGGTAACTATGGTGCCCACTCCTGTGAGGTTGAGCCTAAATTGTAATGGGTCTTAACCTAAGATAAAAGAGACTGACCCAGCCTTGCCAACTGTTTCTAGCTGTCCACCCAAGACCTTCAAATTAGTGAAGGATTTTTAAAGCCTCAAGAGCCACAATAAAGAGCACATGGTGCATGCTTCTTGCCATCCTTGACCTAAACAACTTAGAAACGGATAAAAAAAAGGATAAACCTGACTTCTGATCCAAAATGTAAAAAGTTGGAGTCGCCACTCCATCCTAACAAGTAAAAAGCTGAACATACAGAAAAATCAACTCTTCTTGGATCCGTCAGAGAGGTGTAGTCACAGGGCAAACCACTTAGCCCCACACTGAGACTGACAGGCAAATACAGTACAGAGAATCATGGCTTGCTGGAGCAGAAACCTCCAAGGAAACAAGTGCTGAGGTCGGGAAGCCTGAACTATAACTGAGAGATAAAAACTCCAGGGGAAGTCTTCAGGGCCTCCCTCACTTTTGTTTTACCTCAAGGATCTCGACCAAGTTCTCGCAGTAAATACTGGAGAAAAATCCCCTGGTGCTTCTAGCAGGGGAAGGAAAAAAAGGAACCATTCAGAATTTTCCAGAGCACTCTGTTCTTAACAAGTTCTGCCCTTAGGAGAAGCTAGTTAACCAAAGCCTAACCTGATGGGGTCTTAACAGAGCCTAACTGATCTGGAAGATCAGTAAGCCTAACTTACTGCCACATCACTAAAGGCTTATTTACCTGAGATCCTCTTACTGTATCTCATGCCCAGCTATCAAGAAAAAATCATAAGACATACTAAAAGGAAAAAATCACAGTTTGAGGAGACAGAACAAGTAACAAAACCCGGTGCAGATAGGGCCGAGATATTAGAATTATTAGACTAGGAATTTAAAATAACTATGATTAATATGTAAGGGCTCTAACAGATAATGTGGACAGCATGCAGCATAGATGGGTGATGTAAGCATGAGACAGAAATTCTAAGAAGGAATCAAAAAGAAATGCTAGCGATCAAAAATATTGTAACAGAAATGAAGAATGCCTTTGGCAGGCTTTCTGGGAGACTGGACACAGCTGAGGAAAGAATCTTTGAGCTGGAGGACATCTCAATAGAAACCACTAAAACTGAAAAGCAAAGAGAAAAACCGAATGACAACAACAATAACAAGAACAGAATATCCAAGAACTATGGGACAACTATAAAAGGTGTAACATATGTGTAATGGAAATTAACAAAGAAGAGAGACACAGTAACAGGAGAAATATGTGAAACAGTCACTGATAATTTCCCCAAATTAGTGTTATACACTAACCACACATCAAGGAAGCTCAGAGAACATTAAGCAGGATAAATGGAAATTTTTTTTTCAAAAAAAAAAAAATACTCCTGAAAGAAACCAGAGGCAAAAAACACCTTACGTATAGAGGAACAAAGATAAGAATTACATTCAACTTCTCAGAAACCAAAACTAAGAAAGTGAAGGAGAAATAAAGACTTTTTAGCCAAACAAAAATTGAGGGAATTTGTGGCCAGTAACCTACCTTGCAAAAAATATTCAAAGAAATTCTTTAGAGAAACAGAAAATGATAAAGTTCAGAAACTCAGATCTGCATAAAGAAATGAACTGCATCAGAAAAGGAATAAGTGAAAATAAAAACTTTCTTATTATTTATTAATAAAATAATAGCAACAATGTATTTGATTATACATGCTTACACATATGCTTATGTATAAGCAAAATAAGTAACAGCAATGATACAAGGGACAGGAAGAAGAAATCAGAATTATTTTATTATTATAAGGTACTAGCACTACCCATGAGGCAATATAGTGTTATTCATTAAAATTAAAATTTCTGATCTGCAAAAGACACGGTCAAGAAAATGAAAATATGAGCCACAGACTGGGAGAAAATATTTGCAAAAAAAAATGAGACGAAGGAGTGTTATCTGAAATATACACAGAATTCTTAAAACTCAACAGTAAAAACAAACAACCTGACTTAAGAAAGGGCCTAAAACCTTAACAGACACCTCATTAAAGAAGATATACAGGCCGGGCACGGTGGCTCACTCCTGTAATCCCAGCACTTTGGGAGGCTGAGGCGGGCGGATCACGAGGTCAGGAGATCGAGACCATCCTGGCTAACATGGTGAAACCCCATCTCTACTAAAAAATAAAAAAAATTAGCTCGGTGTGGTGGTGGGTACCTGTAGTCCCAGCTACTTGGGAGGCTGAGGCAGGAGAATGGTGGGAACCCAGGAGGCAGAGCTTGCGGTGAGCCAAGATTGCACCACTGCACTCCAGCCTGGGTGACAGAGTGAGACTCTGTCTCAAAAAAAAAAAAAAAAAAAAAAAAAAAGATATACAGATGGCAAGTAAGCATATGAAAGATCCTCCACATCATACATCATCAGAGACATGCACACTAAAATAACAATAAGAGATGCTACATACATACCTATTAGGATGACCAAAATCCAGAACACTGACAACACCAAATGCTGGTAAAGATGCAGAGCATCAGGAACTCTCATTATTGCTGGTGGGAATGCAAAATGGGGCTGCCACTTTAAAAGACAGTTTGGCAGTTTCTTATAAAACTAAACACTCTTGCCATACAATTGAGTACATCATGCTCCTTGGTATTTACTCCAAGGAGTTGAAAATTATTGTCCACATAAAAAACTTCATACAGTTGTTTATTTGTAATTGTCAAAACTTGGAAGCAATCAAGGTAACGTTCAGTAGGTGAATGGATAAATTTACTGTGATTCATCCCAACAATGGGCTACTATTAAGTGCTAAAAGGAAATGAGGCTGGGCGCAATGGCTCATGCCTATAATTCCAACAATTTGGGAAGCCAAGACAGGAGGATTGCTTGAGGCCACAAATTCAAGACCAGCCTGGGCAATGTAGTGAGACTCTGTCTCCACAAAAAATTTTAAAATGAGCTGGGCATGGTGGTGTGCACCTACAGTCCCAGCTACTCTGGAAGCTGATTCTCCTCTGAGAGGATTGCTTAAGCCAAGGAGTTCAAGGCTTCAGTGACTTCTGATAATGCCACTGCACTCCAGCCCAGTGACAGAAACCTACTTAAAAAGGGTACATGTTAAATGATTCCAACTAAATGACATTTTGGAAAAGGAAAAATTATGGAGACAGTGAAAAGATCAATGCTTGCAGGGGCTGAAGGAGGGAGGAAAAAATAAGCACAGCACAGAAAAATTTTAGGGCAGTGAAACCACTCTGTGTGATATTATAATGATGAATACATGTCATTGTACATTTGTCCAAACCTATAAAATGTACAACACCAAGAGTGCACCTTAAAGTAAGCTATGGACTTTGGGTAAAAATGATACATAACTGTACGTTCATCGATTGTAACAAATGTACCACTTTGGTTGGGGATGTTTATAATGGGGGAGGCTACGCATGTACAGGGGAAGAGGGTATTTGGGAACACTCAGTATTTTCCTCTCAGTTTTGCTGTGAATCTGAAACTGCTCTAAAAAACGAAGTTTATTTTTAAAAAACTTTTTAATAAAAAGGATACATTTCTGAATTCTTGTCCCAGGATAGTGATCAGTATTAGTTCAGTCTCAGTCCCTTCCATCCTGCTATATGTAACTGGTTAAATGTTTGGTCAAAGCTGGAAACATGACACATGCTGACAGGATGGAGTAAAGGAGTGAACAGAATGATCAGGATGAGGATCACATCCTTAATTCCTTCATTCAACAATATACTGTAGTTGTTGAGAACATGTATTCTGGAGCCAAAATGCTTAGATTGCAATCTTGACTCTGCTAACTAGCTGTGTGGAGAGTTATTCAACCTCTGTGCACCTTGGTTTCCCCATCAGCAAAAAGGAGCCAACAACATTTCCCATCTCAAAGGGTTGTTGTGAAGATTAAATGAATTCATACATGCCAAGTGTTGAGAATGCCACTTGTTACAAAGTGCAGTAAACATGCTTGCTAATAAAAGAGCCCAAAAGTTAGCAAATATAGAACAAATTTATTTTTAAACGCTACGTTAGTTACATTTTCAAACAATATGCTCAATATGTCCTTCTATAGCCTAGACACTGTTTCCTGTGAAGTACCTCTAACTTTAAAGCAATGTATCCAACTGGTGACTCTTTTAAAACTACAATAAGTACAATATAGAATATCACCAAAGTCTGGAAACACAGGGAAAATCATGAATTTATTTTTTCAGATTAACAATTAGACTCACTGCTTAAATTCAGAGATATATCACCTGAAAAGCTGTCTAGAGATTAAGGAAAAATGCGTTGAGAAATTATTTGAAAAAGTAACTTATTATTCTCCGATGTTTCCCAATTTTTCTGATTTGTTTTCCCAATGTTTTTCCTACTAGTATAACTATTATTAATTACTGAGCATGTGCCATGTGACAGGCACTGCTGAGGATACTGGAGATGGGGCATAGACAAAGCGGATATAAAAGGCAAAATGTCCCTGCTGTCGTGAAATTTACACTTTAGTAGGGATAGACAATAAACACATCCTAAAATAGAATATACACTATGTCAGATGAGAAGCGCTATGGGGAAAAACGAAACAGAAGGTGGCCAGGGCATATCAGTACAACAAGGAGGCCAGGCTGCTTTTTTATAACTAGGGTAGACCTAGAAGGCCTCTAATAAGACTTTCTGAGAAGAGATCCAAAGGAGGTGGAAGAGCCATGCAGGTTTCTGGAAAACAGCATTCCAGGCAAAGGCAACGCAAGTGTAAAGACCAAATAAGAGAGCCAAGAAAGCCTTTTTTTCTATAGTATCTTCTTTTGTCTTCATCTCTCTTGATAACCTGTAACTAGGGCAGACTCCAGATATAGATTACTCGGACCAAATAATTTCTCTTTCATTCATTTCTCAGTACAGACTTGACACTGCCTTCTTTCTTCTCTGAGACAACAAAATCATTTTTATCTAGCAGTTTTTCTTTCTTGTTTTTTTCTATGACTTCCATTTGATAAAAATTTACTGTCTACTCTGTGCAGGCCTGATGGTGAAAGGATGATTAACATATGGTACATGCCCTCACAATCTAGTTAAAATGAGACATATAAAATCAATAAAATATACCATAAAAAGCACTGCTTTGATATTATGAATAAAGTACTACAGCAATTAATTCTGCCCATTGAGGGAAAGAGTAGTTGGGGATAGAGGGAAAAAGGATTCTGAGCTAGGATTTGGAGACTAAGTAGGAGTTCAAAACATGGACAGCGATAAAAAAATATTCCAAGGGGAAAGACAAATCTTAAGCATAAGCACAGAAATGTCTAAGCATACAATATATTAGGAATGATTGTTAATGCAATGTGCTACATTGAAGATTAGGGAAATAAGAGCAGAAAAGTAGATTGGAAACATGTTAAGGGGCCTGACTTTATCCTGAGAGCCAGTGGTTTGCAAACTATTTTGACTGTACACCTCAGCAGTAACAAATTGTTGTGCATGCATATATCCTCAATAAATGCACATTTATTTAAGTATGAGTGAAATTATGCCAAGAGCTACTCTTCTAGTATATCACATTCATTAGAAAATACACAAAGAGGGCTGGGCACGGTGGCTCACACCTGTAATCCCAGCACTTTGGGAGGCTGAGGTGGGTGAATCACTAGGTCAGGAGTTCAAGACCAGCCTGCCCAAGATGGTGAAACCCTGTCTCTACTAAAAATACGAAAATTAGCAGGGCATGGTGGCAGGTGCCTGTAGTCCCAGCTACTTGGGAGGCTGAGGCAGGAGAATCACTTGAACCTGGTGGGGCAGAGGTTGCAGTGAGCCTAGATAGCGCCACTGCACTCCAGCCTGGGTGACAGAGTAAGACTTCATCTCAAAAAAAAAAAAAAAAAAAAAGAAAGAAAGAAAAGAAAATACACAAAGAGAAATATGTAAAAGATAATATTTTCCCCTAATGGAATCTTTTTCATTAATTTTTATTAGTGAATAATGTGTACAATGTTATCAATCAATTGCTAATGTACCTTCCATAATCAACAAATGAATGCACTATGCTTCTGTTGACATTTCAGTTCTAACTTGTATTTTTCTTGCTCTCTTGGTGGTCATAAATCATCAAGAGTACTCATAAAGTCTAGCATAGTGTACTTGTACTTACTTTTTTGGTGCTAAGATCAATTGTTAGGGAATCTGAAAGATCTTTATGATAGTCAATTTAAACACATTCATGTATACCTTATCTTATACATATAAAAGGTACAAATGCATAAAAAGACAACTTCTTTCATGATAAAAACACTCGACAACTAGGAATAGAAGAGAACTTCCCCACCCTGATAAAGGACATCTATGAAAAAACCCATAGCTAACATCATACTTGATGACGGGAAGCTTTCCTCCAAAGAGCAGGAACAAGACAGGATGTCTGCTCTCAACACTTCTTTCTAGCCAAGGAATCTAGATTGGAGAGGAAGAAGTGAAACTATTTGTATATGACAGGATCTAGTATATAGATCAATATACAAAAATCATTTAATCAGGTTTATTTCTATACACCAGCCATGAACAATCTGAAAATGAAATTAAGAAGACAATTCCAGCCTGTAGTCCCAGCTACTCGGGAGGCTGAGGCAGGAGAATGGCGTGAACCTGGGAGGCGGAGCTTGCAGTGGCTGAGATCATGCCACTGCACTCCAGCCTGGATGACAGAGCAAGGCTCTGTCCCACAAAAAAAAAAAAAAAAAAAAGACAATTCCATTTACTAGAGCTTCAAAAAGAATAAAATGCTTAGAAATAACTTTCAGAAATGCAAGAACTTCTGAAATTAATTGGAAAATAATCTTTAAAATGAAAAAAACTTAAGACATGAAAGACTTGTACCCTGAAAACTACACAGCACTGTTGAAAGAAATGGAAAAAAGATCTAAATAAAAAGAAAGACATCCTGTGTACAAAGATTGGAGAAATTAGTATTGTTAAAATGACAATATACCCCAAATTGATCTACAGATTCAATGTAAGCCCATCAAAATTCTAGCCAAATTCTAGCCATCTTCTTTTTTTTTTCTGAGACAGAGTCTCACTCTGTTGCCCAGGCTGGAGTGCAGTGGTGTGATCTTGGCTCACTGCAACCTTCACCTCCTAGGTTCAAGCAATTCTCGTGCCTCAGCCTCCCGGGTAGCTGGGATTACAAGTGCACGCCACCATACCTGGCTAATTTTTGGCATTTTTAGTAAAGATGGGGTTTCACCATGTTGGCCAGGCTGGTCTTGACCTCCTGGCCTCAAGTGATCTGCCTGCCTCCACCTCCCAAAGGGCTGGGATTATAGGCGTGAGTCACCGCGCCTGGCCCTAGCCATCTTTTTAACAAAATTCGTAAGCTGGTACTAAACTTCAAATGAAAATGCAAGAGACTCAGAATAGAAAAAAAAAAAAGCTTATGAAAGAACAATGTTGGAGACTCACACTCCTTAATTTTAAAACTTACTACAAAGCTACTGTAATCAAAACAGTACAGTACTAGCATAAGGCCTGACATACAGATCAATGAAACAACTGGGAGTACAGAAATAAGCCCATACATCTTATTTGGTTGATTGATTTTTGCAAGGATGCCAATATAACTCAACAGGGAAAAAATGGTCTTTTCGATAAATGGTAGCAGGGCATCTTCATGAAAAAGAATGAAGTTAAACTTCACAGCACATACACAAATTAATTCAAAAAGGACCCAGGATCTGAATCTACAAGCTAAAACTATAAATGTCTTAGAAAAGATAGGTATAAATCTTCATGTTCTTGTATTGGACAATGGAGCCCATAGTTTCTTATATATGACACCTAAAGCACAAGTAACCAAGGGGAAAAATAGATACATTGCACTTCAAAATTTAAAAATTTAGTGCATCAAAAGACACCTCCAACAAAATTAAAGGAATCTACAGAATCGGAGAAGATACTTGCATATCACCTTTCTGATAAGGGTCTTGTATCCAGAATATATAAAGAACTTTTAATACTCAAACAGTTGTTTTAAAAAGTTAATAATGGGCAAAGGATTGGAATAGATGTTACACCAAAGAAGACATACAAATTGCCAACAACGACATGAAAAGATGTTCAGCATCATTAGTCTTTAGGGAAATGTAAATCAAAACCACAATGAGATACCAATTCACAACCAGTAGGATAGCTATAATCAACAACAACAAAAAAGGATAATAACAAGTGTTGGCAGGAATACAGAAAAACTGGGACATTTTTAAACTGCCAGTGGAGATGTAAAATGGTACAGCCACTATGGAAAAACTTAGCAGCTCCTCAAAAAGCTAAACACTGACTTATCATATGATCCAACAATTCCACTCCTAAGTATACACCCAAATAAACCGAAAGCCAGAACTTGATACTTACACTCCCATGTTCAGTGCAATAGCTAAAAGAAACAACCCAAGAGTCCATCAACAGATGAGTAAATTTTTTAAAATGTGTAATGTACATACAATAGAATATTATTCAGACATAAAAGGAATAAAGTTCTGATACATCCTACAACATGACAACGCTGAGGACATTATGGTAAGTGAAATAAGCGACACAAAATAACAAATACTGTATGATTCCACTTATAAGAGATACCTAGAACAGGAAAATTTAGAGACAGATAGGGCCTTGGTGGAACGGGAATGGGGAGCTATTGCTTAATGCTTACGGGGTTTCTGTTTGGGGTGATGAAAGAATTTTACAAATAGTGGTGATGGCCGCACAACACTGTGAATGTAATTAATGCAACTGAATTGCACACTTACAAAGGCAAATTTTATGTTATAGTTACAATTCTAAAAAATTATACTGTAATACACCAAAATCCATATAACTGTACACCTTAAATGGGTGAATTGTGTGGTATGTGAATTATATCTCAATAAAGTTTTTTTTTTTAAAAAAAGGGAAGAAAAAAATAAACTCTCAAGCTATGAAAGAACATGGAGGAATCTTAAGTACATATTGCCAAGTGAAAGAAACCAGTCTGAAAAAGCTACATACTTTAAGATTCCAACTATACGACATCTGAAAAGACAAAACTATAGAGATGATAAAAAGACCAGTGGTAGCCAGGGATTCAAGAGGAGAGGAAAAGGATGAATAGGTGGAACACAGGACATATCTACTCTGTATGATAGTGGAATGGTGGACACATGACACCATGCATTTTTCAAAACCCACAGAACTGTAGAACACAAAGAGTGACTCCTAATGTAAGATATGAACTTTCATTAACAATAATGTATCAGCATTTGTTGATAAACTGTAACAAATGGACCACACTAATGCAAGATGTTATTAAGAGAAATTGTGTCTGAGTGGGGAAGGGTATGTGGGAACTCTGCGTAACTTTCTGCATAATTTTCCTGTAAACCTAAAACTGCCCTTAAAAAAAGGTCTATTTTTAAAATGCATGCTTCCCAGAGAGAATGCTCTGAATTTTATCCTCTTCTCATGATTCATAAGACTATTCATTTTGAACACAAATTATAATTCTACAGTAGCTAGAGAGGAAGCACTGAGCCTTTTGTCACTGTAGAATATCAGGCACTACTGAATCATCTCAGGATCCTATCCTTTCCCTACTGCACCTCCTCTTCCGCCCCCGAAAGAATTATTTTATGATCTAAATTTTTGTATTCATATAACTGCTTCCATCTAGATAGTCTTTGAAGATTCCAGCCTGTGGAAATATTTCCTTAATTTATGACTAAATTCCAGTTTAATTATAATTATAAATTACAGTGACATTATTACACCAAATTGCCATGCCTCCTATTTTATTCACTTTTTTCATTTTCTATGAGGTATCATTTTATCAGAAACCTAAGTGTGTTCACTTTTTTTTTCCTTTTGAAAAAAGTATTGTTCTCTAAGGCACTGAAGACTCAATACAGAGGATTAAATTGGAAACTATAACCGTCCCAGAGGAAAGACAGCTAGTACATTTAAGTACAACTCTTCCCCACCTCCTGGTATAAAATGATCCCCCAAAACTCCTAATCTTTATTGGCACATGCTATAAACTTTTTAAAAAAACTTTAGAGATCGGGGTCTCTCTATGTTGCCCAGGCCGGAGTACAGTGGCTATTCACAGGTGCAATCTTTCCTCACTACAGCATCAAATGCCTGGGCTCATGCAGTCCTCCCACCTCAGCCTCCCATGCACCAGGATTACCGGTGTACACCACCACACCCAGCTTATATAAACTTCTTTAACCATTACCTTGGTCTTTTCCAGCTTCATCTATGTGCTGAAAATCTTTTAGTGTTTGAAGGTTACAGAACCCCTCTCTGCAATGCTGAATAACTTTCTTTGATCCATTCTTGATGAGATAATCCATTAGGGTAAGGGATTTATACACGTGGCGCCAGTTCTTCCCATGGTCATTGAGTCTGTGCCACAGCATATTCATAATCTCTGAGAGAGAAATTGTGTTGAAAGTCAAGTCACTGATATCTAACATCAGAGAACTAGAGGGACCCCAAGGGTCGTTAGAAGTTGCTTCCCTGACTTTTATTTCAGCATCTGAGTAATTTTTCACAAAGTTTTTCACTTGTCTCCTGAACGCCATAAGTAATACAAGTTCCAAGGTGAGATGGAGGATGAAAGCAATGGAATAACAGTTTATGTCACGGGTTTATAAAACTCTTGACAGGTAATTGGTCCCCAGTTCTGCTGCTCCCAAATACAAATAATTAATCTCTATGTTGATAAAGTATCAATTTCCTGCAAGGAAAGCACAAAAAAATTTACATTAAACTTTTTTTTAAGTCTATAGAAGACCAAATCAATCTGAAAATCTAGGTTTTGTTTCTAAATCAGCCCCTCACTTACAGCAGCCAGAATTGAGGGTACCATATAACTGTTCCTAGGATAGGCATGGGAAAATCCCTCATGAGAAATTGGCCTATATTATTTAAAGAAATATAGGTTGTCTTTCTAGTCATAAAAGTTCCTGGAGAAAATATCATTCAACCTCTTTGGCCAGAAATATAATGGCTATAAAGCATTACATGGACAGCAGACAAGCAACATTTTAAAAAACAGAACTTGCACTCTGACATCTCTTTCTTTCTTTCTTTCTTTTTTTTTTTTTTTTTTTTTTCCAAAGACAGGGTATTGCCCTGCTTCCCAGGCTGAAGTACAGTGGTGCAATCATAGCTCACTGCAGCCTTGAACTCCTAGGTTCATGCAATTCTCCTGCCTCCGCCTCCCAAGCAGCTGGAACTATAGGTGTGCGCCACCATGCCTGGCTATTTTTTTTTTTGGAGATAGAGTCTCCCTCTGTTGCCCAGGCTGGAGTGCAGTGGTGCGATCTTGGCTCACTGCAACCTCTGCCACCCGGGTTCAAGCGATTATCCTGCCTCAGCCTCCTGAGTAGCTGGGATTACAGATGCACGCCACCACACCTGGCTAATTTTTGTATTTTTAGTAGAGACGGGGTTTCACCATGTTGGCGAGGCTGGTCTCAAACTCCTGACCTTGTGATCCTTCCACCTCAGCCTCCCAAAGTGCTGGGATTATAGCCGTGAGCCACCGCTTCCGGCCTGCCTGGCTAATTTTTAAATATTGTGTAGAGATGGGGGTCTCAATATGTTGCACAGGCTGTTCAAAAATTCCTGGCCTCAAGTGATCCTCCCACTTCAGCCTTCTGAAGTGCTAGGATTTCAGGCATCTCTTTATATTGTCACATATAAAAATATTATATTCTGAGAGTAATTAAAATGGGGGTAAAATTGAGTCTTAGAATCACCCACTGACCCTATGACTGTATTCTTTTTAGAACTACAAGTCCCGAGAATCAGATCTAAATATAGTCTGCTTTCTTGCTAAACCTAAAAGAAAGGAGGATCAACTATGAAGACAAACAGCTGTATATCAGTGGACTCCACAGCTAATTCATGGTACCCTAAAACCTCTATTTTAGTCCAGATAAGCCTGGTAAATTAGAGGGAAAGGTTAAATTACTTTATTTGTTCACCTTTGGAAAAAGAAGAATGAGTTTAGGATTAAACAGTGTCAACAGTAAGACTCAAATAATGCAAGGATTTCTCTAAATCCTGCAGTGATCAGCCTGTGTCTATCAGATCTCAAAACAAGGACACACAGAGAGGCCCATATACTAAAACTTAAAAGGGAAATGCAGCCCCCAAACTTTACATAATGCTTGTGAATGATCAATTCAGTTTATAGGAAACCATTCCCTTTCTCTTTTTCATTATTTTGTATTAAGGAGGGTCAGTCAGTTTGCAATTTCTCTAGTGATTCACCACTGCTGGCTGCCAAGACAGTGTACCAAATTGATTTCAAGCCCTGACGAACATCCAGACCCAACGAAACCTAGAAGATCTATAATCAGATTTTACTAGAGAAACTGCACACATACAAAAGAAAAAATGTTAAAATCCATAACAAATGTGTTCACTGCTTTTAGTTTTGCTTCCCTTTCTTGACCTTCTCAGGTAACTAGCTCAGCCTTGATTAATTTCTGTATGTGTATTAAAGGAAGACATAAATTTTTAGAAGCATCCCAAATAAACTATCACTTCTTTTTTTTAAAAAAATGAGATAACCTCTTTTTGGTAAAAATACAACACACTCTTAACTAAGCAAGACAGAAAATGTACCTGTATAAGTGGTTGGGCGTGGTGGCTCACACCTGTAATCCTAGCACTTTGGGAGGCTGCCGCGGGCAGATCACCTGAGCTCAGGAGTTCAACACCAGCCTGGACAACATGGTGAAACCCTATCTCTACTAAAAACACAAAAAATTAGCCAGGCTTGGTGGCACACACCTGTAATCCCAGCTACTTGGGAGACTGAGGCATAAGAATCACTGGAACCTGGGAGGCAGAGGTTGCACTGAGCCGAGATTAGGCCACTGCGCTATAGCCTGGGAGATAGAGTGAGACTCTGTCTCAAAAATAAATAAATAAATAAATAAATAAATAAATAAATAAATAAATAAATAAAAAAGAAAATGTATTAAATATCTGTTTAATTAAGATTTCTCAGAAAGACACTATCATTAACCCTAGGAAGAAAAAGAGAAGTTGTGTTTCTACAACTTTCTGATTTTCTCTTTTTCGTACTTCAAACACAGTCATTTTTATTTGGCACCTTCCTGCAGTGAAAAACTGATTTATAATATTTCAGCAAAGCTATTAAAATTGTCAAGCAGGAGGGTTTTTTTTTCTATTGTCCTTTTTTTCCTTCTACCAAACTCACTCAATGCAGAGATGCACTATGACATTGGCTTAGAGCAACAAATATCGATCTGTTTCTTCACGATTCTATTTTCTTTTAAAGCCCTGTTAGAATCATAACTTGCTGGAATTGAACAACAAATGTTAATTTTTTTTTCTTTTTTGGATAGCTATCTATCTATATTTTGGAAGAACAATCGTAATTTTTAGGTTTTTCTACATTCTCTAACCTATATTTTAAACTTTTAAAAACTGTTTTCTTAAATGAATTTTCTAACCCAGAAAAATATCAAAATAATAGCCTTCTAATCCAATAGAGTAGTTTAAAATGAATTTACATGACACCATATCAGAATTAAATACAACCCCAACCATTAGAAAAATCGCAAGGAAAAAGGTCTAGAGAAGTGAATTCTTATCACTTACTAATGTACAATGACTTGAACTTTACCTTGTGATATGAACGTAGAATATGTAAAACACCATTCTACTACTGCTGTCTTTTCAAATTGACAAGGAGCTCAATTAATTGGTGTTAGTTGTAAATTATATGTTGGTTTATTATGTGTTTTAGACACCTGACTACATGAAAATGCTGTTTACATACAGCATCAAATAACTGTGAGATTGTAACTACAGTGATGTGACAAAAATTGACATGAGACAAAATTAGTGCCCAAGAGGGTAAATTTCCACATTTGAATCTTGGTTGTCTGGCTACCCAACTCACTATAATATTTAGAAATAGAGGGAAGAAGTTAGGTATTTCATGTCACAAATCTGAGAGGTCTTCACCGACCTCACTAACTACTTAGGTCTCCCCAGAACCTGGTTAATTTCCTTCATTGCACTTGTAACAATCTGTACTTACCTATTTGTCATTTGCTCAGTGCCTTTCTTCACCACCAAACTGGAAGCTCCTTGGGGGCAGGGACCTTGACGGTCTTATTTACCACTGTAATCCTATCCCTAACAGCTAATTAGCAACAGTAGATACTCAAGAAACATGTGTTGTGCAAATAACACAATGATTGAATGATTCTGCCTTGGGATAAACCTGCACTGATTCTATAGCTTTATAATTATAATCACTTTTTTTTTTTTTTTGAGATAAAGCCTCACTATGTAGCCCAGGCTGCTTGCAAACTCCTGGGCTCAAGCAATCCCCCTGCCTCAGCCTCCCAAGTAGCTGGGACTACAGGTGCATACCACCAAGCCTAACTAATTAAAAAAAAAATTTTATTTTTTTTTTTGAGATAGGGTCTTGCTCTGTCACCCAGGCTGGAGTGAAGTGGCACGATCTTGGCTCATTGCAACCTCCACCTCCCAGGTTCAAGCAATTCTCCTGCCTCAGCCTCCCAAGTAGCTGGGACTGCAGCCATGAGCCACCAAGCCCAGCTAATTTTTTGTATTTTTAGTAGAGACGGGGTTTCACCATATTGACCAGGGTGGTCTTGAACTCCTGACCTCAAGTGATCCGCCTGCCTCGGCCTCCCAGAGTGCTGGGATTACAGGTGTGAGCCACCGTGCTTGGCCTCAAAAAAAATTTTTTTTTTAGACACGAGTTCTTATTGGTTGCCCAGATGGTCACAAACTCCTATAAAGCATGATATTAAAAAAATAAATAAATAAAATCTAGCTCTCATAATTGTCAAGTAAAATTCTATAGTTTTGAGCAAATATTTTCAAATCATCAACAGATATTTCTTGAGTACCTACCATTTGTATAGCTTTGTGGAGAAATATAAAACATGAACCTCACATTAAAACTTACCATTCAGTTAAGGAGCTTTCTCTCCTAAATAATTCCCAGCAAAACAAATGATTACGTAGAAAAGGTCTTTTAGTGTTATTTTTAGATCTGCCCACTTTCACAATGCTGTTTCCTTCCCCCCATTTCATCTGAATTCTAACAGGAAATGATTTATCAGCTGGCATTAAACTATTGGTCCACGATCTTTTATCCCAATCCTTTGAGGCCAGATGATTTGTGGAAATTCTCTTTTGGGTGCGGTGGTAGGGGTGGAATTTTCAAGAGTAGTGCCATGTCTATACCATATATTACATGATACCCACAGTAAGGTGTGGAGCTGCTCTGAACAATTAAACACATTAACATGTCTGCAATAAAAACATGTAAATATTTGGAATAAAGACTACAAATGGCCTCAGGCCAAGTTTTACCACCAAATGAGTTGGAGGAAAAGTTGATTTCCAAAAGTTTTTGGATTTCAGGATTGAGAATAAGGAACAGAGGAGCTGAACTGACTTTATCCAAAGACTTGGGACAATAATGACAATAGCATCTAAGAGGCTGAGTGTCCAGAGCTATCTCTGAAAAGATGCATTTAAGGTGGAACTATGAGAAAAGAACAGCTCTTGTGTTTGTACAGGTTCTGCCTATAGACATGAGTTTGACTCGTAAGGAAATGAGCTCTGGCCAAGAATGCTACGGGAAAATGGTTATAGAGACTACCATGCCATTAGGAGGTGTTACTGTTTTGATGAAAAGAATACTGTCAGAGGCAGAGAATCTAATCTTTTCCAGCCCTAAGTGTGTGTTCATTAATTTATTCAACTAATAATCTTCCAGAGCTTACCATGTGGCAGGCTCCATTCTAGGAAATGGAGAAACAGGTGCACAAGACACAGTCCTCACACCCTGGAGTAAACAGCTACTCTTCATTGAACGCTCACAATGTGCTCACACCTGGGCCTTCACATGCCTCATCTCTCTCCTTTAATTAGGATTCAAAGCCATGATTTGAGGTCCTGCTTTGCCATTTCCTAACTAAGACTTAACAACTTCTCTAAGTCTCAGTTCCCTCATCCGCAACACAAAGAATAATCGCCAGACAGGGCCGTGGGGGAGGAAGAAACGAGATGCTTTGGAAAGAATTTTGAAAATGGCGGGTGGAGGCTGAGCAAGAATCAACTTTCTGTGGGCAGGGCCTTTCCTCGGCATCCTCGTCTTCATTCATACAACCCCCACTTCAGATGACGACTGTGTACCAGATGAGCCAGGTGCTGGGCGTTCGGCCACACAGAGAATCAGACCAGCAATTACCCTAGGAGAACCGGCAGTGGAGGGGAAGGCTGGACCTCAGGAAAGCCTCTAGAAGGAGAGAGGGACGTGATGGCGTCACGTCACGCCACAGGGATTTCACCTCCTGCGGATGGTAATGGCCTCGCCGCCCTCCCGCCCCCACCTGGACTCCGACGGTGCCGGCAAGAAACGGGAGGAGGGAAGGCAACCGATGTTTCCAGACCCGCCTTGAGCCCCACCACCACTCCCAAGCAGAGGCTGTTACCTGAGAGGAAAGTCGGCCGCTGCCCAACGACCAAACTTCCTCTCCCCAGGATATTCCACCTACTCCAGCCAGGCTCAAGGGCCCAGGCCGGTCCCCACTTCCGCTTCCTCACTTTCTGGCCTGGTGCAGTTCCTGTCAGGGCGTCAAGCAAGATGGTTGCAGATACCTGAGCTGGAGGGTACCAAGGGGAATGAAGGTAAGTGTCTTCGTTTCACAGGCTGCCGGGCTGTGACACTGCCCTAATCCTCCTTTCAAAGAATAAATTTTTTTTTTTTTTTGAGATCTGGGAAATAGTTTAATCAGACACTAGCATTTATTCTTAGCTGCTTTCTTAATTAAATAAAAATGAGTATAAATTAATTTACTAAATGTTCACAACGTAAAAACGGACATTAAAAAAAGAAAAAAAATGCCAAGGTAAGCTGATAATGTTTTTAAAAAGTAGACAATAAAATAATGTATGTAACTTAAAATTTGCCATGATAATTTATTCTTAAAATGGAAAATCAGTAAAATACTCAGACTTCTAGCATAATATCTCTTTTTTTTTATTTATTATTATTTAAGTTTTAAGGACATGGATGAAATTGGAAATCATCATTCTCAGTAAACTATCGCAAGAACAAAAAACCAAACACCGCATATTCTCACTCATAGGTGGGAATTGAACAATGAGAACACATGGACACAGGAAGGGGAACATCACACTCTGGGGACTGTTGTGGGGTGGGGGGAGGGGGGAGGGATAGCATTGGGAGATATACCTAATGCTAGATGACGAGTTAGTGGGTGCAGCGCACCAGCATGGCACATGAATACATTTTTAAAAGTGTGTTACTACTGTCATTTCAACTGACTAGAAATACCACCAGCACGTGATTGCCACCTCAAAGGACTGAGAATGTAATAGTAGTCTATGAAGAGCAGTGTGTGTGATGGACAATGATGGGGTAGCTCCAGTGACTGATGGCTTCAGGTGCCACTGACGGGTAATTGTTGATGTATTCAACTGATTTTCCGTGAGCACCCACTTTGTGCCAGACAGTAAGGACTCGGAGATAAAAAGCAGCCCTCTGCTGGATACGTTTACAGGCTAGTGGAGGTGACAGGCACCGTCAGAGAAGATTGTAACAAGATATGTATGGCATAGTAAGAGAGAAGAGATCATCTAATTCTGCCACTGAGTATTTAAGGGCAGGTTTCACAGAAGAGTTTACATCTGAATTGAATCTTAAAGGATGACAGGGAGTTCACTGGATAGACAAAGTAGAGGAGGACGTAAGAGGCAAAGGACACATCATGTGTAAAGGCATGAAAGCTGAGCCAGCCTATTATCTTGGAAAAACTACATGTACTGTAGTTACTACAACTGTCACAAAGGCTATTAGTGGAGCAGCAGAGGAAGGTTAAATAACAGAGGGAAGTTGGATCATGAAGAACCTTATCCATACTACAAGGTGATTTTATCCAGTAGGCATTGAAAAATGTAATCGAACCTGTGTTTTAATGGAATATTGACTAGGATGAGGGGAAAAGACAGAGGATAACAAAACACTTAGTAGACAAAAGCAACATTTGTTTCTATCTCCTACTACTTCAGTCATAATTATAATAATAATAGCCCACATTATTGATACTGACATGTAGATAGGTGAATCCAATATAAAATGATAGGAGGTATGAAAGAAGTTGGTGAGTTTGGAATATTATTTGACTGGCTATAATATAGAGTAATGGGGTGGGAGCCAGAGGGAAATCGAAAAGGTGACCTGGAAAACATTGTTCAGGGCCTTGAATGCTATGTTGAGGTATTTTGACTTTATAAAATAGTGGGGGACAAACTACAAGTATTTTATACATTGAGGTATAGTTTATGAAGTTTTTTTATATGTATAGCTTATGTAAATCTCAAAGGAATGCTGAGAAGTAGGCGTTATTATCCCATTGTACAGGTGAGAAAGCTGAGTTTGTGGAATATGCATACATTCTACATTATTGAGCACCTGCTATTTGCCAAGCACTATGCTGAGCTATGAGACTAGAAGGAAGTTGTAGTTTAATACTCTAATAGAGGAAACAGGAATAAATCAGCAATTGTAAGTAGTTGCTATAATAAAGGCAAACAATGTTACGGGAGTGAAAGGGGGACTTGTCTATATTTGCATAGTCAGGGAAGGCTTCCTGGAGGAGGTGAGCTTAAACTGAGTTTGGAGAAACAAATAGATTACAGTAATTGCCCAGAGATATTTAACTAGGAAGCAGTTTACCTGAAACTTGAACCCAAATCTCCTGTGTCTAGCTCTTTCCCCTACTCCAAGGACCAATCTTTGGTCCTTGATTTTAAGCTCTATCAGCAACTCAGTCACAAGTGGACTTGTTATGTTTGGAGAAGGTCAGAGATTCCAATTTTTTATTTTTAAATTCATTCATTTTCTCCTTTTAAAATCTCTGTGTGTGCTCAAAGAGTAGATTGGAAGCAGAGGAACTGGAAGAAGAACAGAATGTTCTGATAGTTCAGGCAATAAGTGATGAAGGCCATAACTAAGGCAGAGGTCATGGGCATAGTGTGAATCTCCACTCTGTTCACTCTCCTCACACATATACTTTTACATGTAATGTTAAAGTGTAGCAGTTATGGGATCGGGCTCTGAATATATGTGGCAATGAGAGAGAAGGAGGAGTCTACAGGGACTAAGTTTCTTTTTGGGGTGACCAAGTAAATGACTGTTGCTGTTCACCAAGATGAACATGATCCGAGGGGTCAGTTTGGCAGGAAAGCTGGGGAATTCTGCTTCGGACATTTTGAATCTGAGCAACAGGTGGGAGATGTTCAGGGGACAGTTGAATAGAGATAACTGAAAGAAGAGGGTTTGGGGCTAGGTTCATAGACTTCAGAGTAGTCAGCATATAGAAGGTGATTGAGGAGGCAGATGGGAAGTAGGAGACAGGGTAAGATTAAAGACTGAAGTCCCAATAAACAGTGAGGGAGTTGGTTAGGCTTGGCAAAAGTGTCAAGTGTTACCAGCTTAGTGGAATTAACCCTGTTCAAGTGACAATATGTAAGGGGTCCTTCTTATCTGCTTTCCTCCATTTGGGGGCACAATTTAGTTGCAATACCGTAACATCCACTAAATACAAATATTGCTCTATGGTAGCTTGGTTGGTTTTCTCCTTTAATTTTTTGAACTTGAGGTTCTATAAAAGTGAACACAGTTTGCTTCACCTGACTTCCCGGACACCATTTCTCCTTCTCATCTCCTTGACTCATCCGTTCTCAATTCTATGACCTCTCAACTTTGAAGGAGCCCATTCTCTAACCTCTTGTCTTCTCTATCTATATTCACTCCACAGGTAGTGTTATCCACTTGCAAAGCGGTAAATACTCTTCGATTCTGACAACTCTCAAGGTTTTCTCTTCAGCTTCTCCTGACCTCCAAACTCGTGTATCTAACTACCTTGACCTCTACTCCTGGTCTTGCCTTCCAAACCTTCTCTCCCACGGTCTCTCCTGTCTCAGTAAATGACACATCCTTGCTTCTAGGTTCTCAGGCCATGAACCTGGGAGTCACCTTAACTCCTGTGTTTGTCTCTTATAGCTCTCATGATATCCATGAGCTTACCTTTGAAATACAAGGTGGCTACCCAGTCTAGATAATAAATGATTTATTGATGCTACATTCTAATACAAGATACAATAACATTATCTATGTTTCTAGACTTTATGATCACCCTGTATATTCAAAATCCAACCACTTCCCACCACTCACATCATCCTGTTTTAAGCCACAACCATCTCTGGTCTGGACTATGAAAGTAGCCTCTTTTTTTTTTTTTTTTTTTTTGAGATGGAGTTTTGCTCTTATTGCCCAGGCTGGAGTGCAATGGCGCAATCTCGGCTCACTGCAACCTCCGCCTCCCGGGTTCAAGCGATTCTTCTGCCTCAGCCTCCCTAGTAGCTGGGATTACAGGCATGCGCCACCATGCCTGGCTAATTTTGTATTTTTAGTAGAAATTGGGTTTCTCCATGTTGATCAGGATGGTCTCAAACTCCCGACCTCAGGTGATCCATCCGCCTCAGTCTCCCAAAGTGCTGGGATTACAGGCATGAGCCAACCATGCCTGGCCAACAGTAGGCTCCTAACTGGTCTCTCTTCTTCTGTTCTTGCTCCCTTGCTATCTAATTTCAGCACAACAGCCAGAGCTACCCTTTTAAAACTTAAAACCCAAGTCAGATCATACTACTCCCCAGTTCAAAATCTTCCATTGGCTTCCATCTCACTCAGAGTAAAATCCAAAGGCCTCGCCATGGCAACAAGGCCCTACATGTTCTGCTCTCTCTCTGATCTCCATCCCAACTCCTCTCCACCTCACTCACAGTGTTAAACATGTCTCCACCTGAAGTCTTTGCACTTGCTAGTCCCTATACCTGCAAAAGCTATTTCCCCAGATGTCCATCCAGGAAGTACTGGCTTCTTCACTTTGTTCTAGACTTTGCTCAAATGTCCTTTGATTTCCCAACGTAAAATCGCAACCCCCATCTCAGCCACACTCCCTGTGGCTCTTGCATCATTTTATTTTTCTCCCTAACAGTAGGACCATCTGATGTACCTTCTGTTTCTCCCTTTACCAGAATGTAAGATCCAGGAGGGCAGAGATTATGTTTTGTTCACTGATAGTTTTCCAGCACCTAGAACAGGACTAACACAGAGTAGGTGTTCAAACTTTATTTATTGAATAAATGAAACGAGAATGTCTGAATGCACACTATTAAATAAGAAGTACATATTTTACCATAAAGTTAAATTGAGCATAATTATGGCAAGAAGTTCAGATATTGGCCAGGCGCAGTGGCTCATGCCTGTAATCCCAGCACTTTGGGGGGCCAAGGTGGGCAGATCACCTGAGGTCAGGAGTTCGAGACCAGCCTGACCAACATGGCGAAACCTCAGCTGTCCTAAAAATATACAAATTAGCTGGGTGTGGTGGCAGGTGCCTGCAATCCCAGCTACTCGGGAGGCTGAGGCAGGAGAATCATTTGAACTTAGGAGGTGGAGGTTGCAGTGAGCCAAGATTGCGTCACTGTACTCTAGCCTGGGCAACCGAGCGAGACTCAGTCTCCAAAAAACAAAATAAAACAAAAAACAAAACAAAACAGAAGTTCAGATATAAACAAATGACCCCTCAAAAGGAATTGATTAAAAAAATTTTAAACAAAGTATGGTTTAAAAAAGAAACTTCTCCACTGTGGCTAAGTCCATATTTCACATGTTACTGTATCCTCCTCATCTTGCTGCTATTTTTCTGAGTATCTCATGATAGTGAGTACTGAAATGCTGGCATTCTCACATTAGGGTCTTTATTCTTAGGATCTGCCTTTGCACTCGTTCAGTTACAGAGCTGTTATGAAATAAACCACTCAAGTGGCCTTGCTTCCCTCCCACTATGCTCTACATAACATGTCTGTCAATCAGTACTTACTACCAAAATAACTTGCCTTTGAGATTTTTCTGTTCTGCAATCTGTCCCATGCTTGTAAGGGGAAGGATTATATTCTGCTCCCTGGGGAGTAGTGCCTGGTGCAAAATTAGCTTCCTCATTAGGGTACAAGCTGAAAACACCATGATACTTTCCATGTAACACCATTCAACATTTTCCCTTCGCTCCCACTCCCCAACCATAGAATTTTAGGGACTCCTTTAACCATTTCAAAACCATCGACTTGGGAGCTATCAAAGAATAAGGACTGTAGCCAGAGGATTTCAGCATTTAAAAACTTGGCAATAGAGCTGTTCAGTGTAATGATCCAAGAAGGTCCTTAGAAGGCTGAATAATTCTGAGGTCAAGGTTGAGACGTTATTATTTTTAAAGTAGCAAGATGTTGTTATTTTTAAATTTTATCTTTATAATGTGGAAATAGCAGAGATCCTTTTCAGATATAACCAGGATTTAAGAAAATTTGACAAAGTTGCATTAATAAAAAGAAAGCCTGTTATTAAGGAGCTACAGGGCCGGGTGCGGTGGCTCATGCCTGTAATCCCAGCACTTTGGGAGGTTGAGGCGGGCGGATCATCTGAGTTCAGGAGTTCAAGACCAGCCTGGCCGACATGGTGAAACCCCATCTCTACTAAAAATACAAAAAAAATTAGCCAGGCATGGTGGCAGGTACCTGTAATCCCAGCTACTTGGGAGGCTGAAGCAAGAGAATCACTTGTACTCGGGAGACGGAGGTTGCAGTGAGCCAAGATCATGCCATTGCACTCCAGCCTGGGCAAGAAGAGTGAAACTCCGTCTCAAAAAAAAAAAGGAGTTATGGATAGAAAATTACTTCCTTTAACTCATTCGACAAATATTTACTGAGCATTTTCTGTCACCTTGACACTTTGCTGATTCTTCTTTTCTATTTCAATAAAAATGTTGGGCAATTATAACCAAGGAAAAGGTTTTAAGAAAGTAAATTTTAAGCAAGGTTTAGATATAAAGAAGCAAAGAGATGGAAAAGGATGCCGTTTCACATTGCAGAAAAAGTTTAAATTTTAGAACCCCAAATTGAATCTCTCCTTGACACTCTCCTCTTGGTATTCCAGGGATTAATGCTAGGAACATCCCAGTGAGCCAACATTTCCCTCCTCATCTTGGATCCAGTCCCCAAACTCTGAATGGTGCCACTTAGCAAGTAGCAATGTCTCTAATTTTCTGTAAAAGATGCAACGTTGGCAATCCATTTTCTAGCAAGAGCAAAGAGAAAGGAAGAGGCCTTCACAAGTTGCAGTTGATATAGGGGGAAGGGTGAGTGGTACATTTAAAGGTAAGAACTAAGGAAGTTGAAGGTAACAAAACTCAAGGTCAATGGAAAGTCTTAAATCCCAGAAAGCCTTCAGTCTAAGACTCAACAGAAATTGAAGTCCCAGAAATTGAAGGAACTGGTTCCACCTCATGCTGGACTGTGGCAAACCTGGGGTGAGAATGCATCCCAGCTCAGAATGTTTCTTCTTTTTTTGTCAAGAGTAATATTAGAGGCTGAGTGTATGAACAAAGCATCTTTCCTGGGATTTTAACATTGTGAGTGATCGAGGGTGCTCTTAAATAAGTTCCCCCAAGAAGCCCTAATGTTCCTCTGGATGCATGATTATACTAAGAGAATAAGAGTTTTCCTTAAGATCAGCTTGCTGATGGACCATATCAAGAACTATAAATTTTCTTATGTGAACACAAGTGTTCAGGGGGGATATTGTTAAAACTGAAACCAAGCATAAAGAAGCAAAAGTGTTTCAGTGAACCTCCTGCATTTTAGTTCAACTCTGGCAGCAAGAAAACAAAACCACATAATCTAAGGCTCACGCCCAACTCTCCGAAGCCCCATATGTGCTAGTTCCTGTGTGGTTTGCCTACAGACTGCAGGGCTGACTAGGGTTAGTTTGGAGGAGGGAGTAAGAGGTGGGGAGGAGGAGGCACAGTTAATGGATCTGTAAACTTGCACCCTCTTTCAGAGTGGTACATGGAAGACAGCACAAAGTGGATCCATACTCTGAAATGCAGTAACTCTGATGCTTGAATTTGTCTCCCTTCTTGCCAGAAAGGATTCTAATAACTCGGTGTCAAAGCCAAGACATAAACTCAACCCCTTCTCTTCCAAAAGGTATGTCATTATACAACATCTGTACATATACTCTAGAAACTTTGAACAGTTTTATAATTTGCAGAATGTTCTGTATGAGTTAATTAAAATGAATCTCACTAGTTCTCTAAATATTGCTTTTAAGTCCCATCAGCTAAGGTCTCTAAACCTTTTGCTGTGACAATGTTTGTGGTGATGGGATTTGACTTCTATCAAATGAACTGGGAGAACACTTGTTCCTTACCCAGTCCATAACACAAAAATCTCCACAAACTGGCTTCAGAAGCATCTCAGGGAAAGATTTTCGACCTTGGGATCATGGAGGTAAAATTCCACTTCACCATGGTCAGAATTTAATCCAAATTGGAAGGGATTGGAGGGGGTGGTAGAGGGCTGAGCAGTGATGAATGAACACTAGCACTCTGAGGTCAGGATTTCTCTCTTTGCTTGAATTTCTAGTTCTGTTCGCATTTTTGTTACCTGTACAAAGGACACCAGTTTTCATTCCTTTACGAAAAGAAAACTTTATGTTGAAGTGTATTTTGGAAGGGTATTGTCTCTCTTCGTACTAGCCGTTAGGCTCCATCCCTATGACTGTCTCTGGTTTAGGCGTCCAGTCTGAAGATAGCTGCTTTGTGTTCTTTGTCCCAACTCTTCCTGAACGTGAGGATTGAACATACCAACCAAAGGTTTCACTAATTTAAAATGTACTGTATTGCCCTGACAGGTATACTGTCAAAAAAAATTTACCGTATTTATCTACCTGGAATTAGGCCTTCTTAATAAAGTGTATGCAGCATAATTTGCACACTATTGAACATACACATCCCTAGATAAACTAGGAGTGGGAAGTGTTTTAGATCTAAACATCCAATGGGAAAAATTTCGTGTGTTCTCGTTATGTTATCTGAGGATGGGAAACTTCAGGTCGCAGAATCTTTTGTTCTATGCAGCAATGTTTGTCATAAACGGTTTAGTTCTTTAGTGGCTCCTTTTTGTTTCTTATTTTTGGTTTCGGAAAGAGTATTTAGCAGAAGTTACTCTCCTTTAACAATCCAGTATTTTATGTAAAACTTTATAGAATAATTTTATAGTGATTCTCTTTACAAAACCATCTGCTATTAAATAAGGAACACTGTGTAAATAGAGGACCACCTAAGTATATTTAATTTTCAAATACGAAAAAAATCTGACTCATACCCTTTTTTGTTTTTTTGTAAAAGAGAGGTGGCCCTATATTATTGAATAAAACTGCTTTTTTAGATTGAACTTGGAGTGTCTCCCATGTGGTAAACTGAAATCTTATTCTCCCCAAATTGTAATAGATTTTATCTTTTTAAAAATGACTTTACTGAAGCAGAGGAGAAGGAGATGATCAATCTATTCAATATGAAGAAATATCTCTGTTGCTAATACAATATCCTTTTGAATATCTCCCACATCTTAGGCCCTGGTGAAAATCCCTTTCAATTGTTCTGTCTACCTCGTAGGGATGTTGTAAGAATAAATGAGTTAACATAGATATGAAGTGCCTTAGGAAAAAGGCTCTATAAAAATGCAAGGCGATATCATGATTAGTTGTTTCTTTGACTCTTGATCATTTTCTTCCCACTTCTTATACAAAATGTCTCTCACTTATTTCCTGAAGCCATCTCTTTTAGAACTATTGCTTCCTAGAAGAGCTGAAAATGATCCTAGTTCCAACATATTTATTGATTCCCAGATAATAACACCCACTGGTGTTGATGACTGACAGGGTTCATGCCTAAGCTTGAGTAGAACTTGCCCTTTTTTCCTGGGTCAAGAAAAGTCTGCAATTGTTCGAAAATGTGTCAGTAAGTGTGATTCCATCACGATTTCTTAAATAAGTAACAGTTGCTGCTGGATAATCCTGGGGGCAGATGATTCATTTTTGTGCCCCTATCAAACAAACTCAAAACTTGTTAAAGAATCTTTATAAGTTGTTTGAATCAAACAATAGGGTCGCTAGGTCCCCATTTTGTCCATTTGAGGTATTTGCCCAGCATACCTTGGTCTGTAAAGAAATAGCACAGCCTTGGCTGGGCGCGGTGGCTCATGCTTATAATCCTAGCACTTTGGGAGGCCGAGGTGGGCAGATCTCCAAAAATAAATAATAATAATGATAATAACACAGCCTCATGAGTCTTTTTTTTTTTTTTTTTTTTGAGACAGGGTCTCACTCTGTCACTCAGGCTGGAGTACAGTGGCACAATCACAGCTCACTGCAGCCTCAACTACCCTGGGTTTAGTGATCCTCCCACCTCAGCCTCTCAAGTAGCTGAGACTACAGGTACACACCACCACACCTGGCTAATATTGTATTTTTAGTAGAGACAGGGTTTTGCCATGTTTCCCAGGCTGGTCTTGAACTCCTGAACTCAAGCGATTCGCCTGCCTCAGCCTCCCAAAGTGTTGGGATTACAGGTGTGAACCACTACACCTGGCCTGCCCTTTCTTTTCTCTTAAAAATTCTTAAGAAAGCATGGTCCTGTTTAACAAATAAGCATTTTACAAACATTTATCGATCAATTACTATATGCCAGGCCTGGCACTAGGCACCAAGTCCTCTTCAACAGTGTTAACATTAAGTTTCAATAAACTTGAGTCAGTAGGAATTCAGTAAATAATTTTTAAAGATTGTTTTCTTTTTAAATATGTATTTATAAACAAAAATTTTAGAGAATTAAAAGAAACTATCACGAAGTGCATGATGATAAAAGTCTTATATACTCTCCAAAGAAAATGTTAAGACATACCTTAAGGAGATAGTGAAGAACAGCCGGGCACAGTGGCTCACACCTGTAATCCCAGCACTTGGGCGGCCAAAGCAGGCAGATCATCTGAGGTCAGGAGTTGGAGACAAGCCTGGCCAACATGTTGAAACCCTGTCTCTACCAAAATACAAAAATTAGCCGGGCATGATGGCAGGCGCCTGTAATCCCAGCTACTTGGGAGACTGAGGCACGAGAATTGCTTGAACCCGGGAGGCAGATGTTTCAGCGAGCTGAGATCGTGCCACTGCACTCCAGCCTGGTCGACAGAGCAAGATCCTGTCTCAAAAAGAGGAAAAAAGAAAAGAAAAGAAAAGATAGTGAGAAAATAACTGAACATAAAACATAAAGAAAAGTTGAAATATTAGTACTCACTACCTAGGTTCAACAATTGCTAACTCTTTGCCGTATTTGCTCCATCTATACCTATTTCTTTCTGAATTACTTGTAAGTTGCAGATAAAATAATACTTCACTCCTAAATAATTCAGTACTCATCTAAGAATAAAGGCATTCCTCTATCTAACCACAATTCCATCATTAGGCCTAAGAGGATAAACAGTAAGTCCTTAATATCATCTGATAGCTAGTGCAGATTTAACCTTCCCCATTTGTCCCCCAAATGTCTTCTATACCATTTTTTAAAAAAAGAATCTAATTTTTAAAAATAAGAACATATTTTGCAGTTGGGTCTCATGCTTCTTTCTTCAACATTGGATGTTTTTAAAGATTACGCCAGTTCTCTTGTACCAGGTCCCACTTTCTGAATTCGTTGTTGCCTCATGGTTAATTTGTTCCTCTACCCACTTTATTTCTCATAAGCTCCAAGTTAGGACTAAAAGCATGATTTGATTTTGATTGAACGTTTTTTGCAAGGTGCCACTGGGTGCTCCATATTGCATCTTATCAGGAGGTACAGAATGCCAGGTTGTTCCACTGTGCATGATGCCAAGTTTGATCAGGGCTTGAGGTAGTGATCTTGCTCAGAGGATCTCTTGTTGTACAGGCACTTTTTCACCCTTTGCAATTAGCGAGTACTCTCAGGGGGTATCTCAAAGTGTATCTCATAAACACTTTGGCATGGTGGCAATATCCTATTTCCCAACAAACTCTCACCCGGTGACTTTAGGTAATAATCTTTGCCTAAATTGATTATTTCATTGGAGTTCATATATATTTTTAATACGCTTTGAAGATGGACTCGACATGCAAATTCATCATTATCAGCAGCAATAGTGGCTGGAAATATTTATTGAGTGCATAAGTTCAGGTAATAATAATAATAGTAGGTAATGTTTATTGAGTGCTTGCTGTGGAGCCAAGACAGCCTCGGTGTGAGCCCAGTCTTTCACTTACTAAGCGAATGAACTGGGACGAGTTATTCTTTTTGTGCTTCAGTTTCTTAAGCTATAAAATGGGATTACTAATGGTGCCTATCTCGTGGGATTGTTCTGAAGAGTAAACGATTTATACATTTAAGGTTCCTAAAACAGTGCCTGTTATTATTGTTATTTGCCAAGCATTGTTCTAATACTTTGTAGGTACTAACTCGTCTACTTCTTCTAATGGTGCAATGAAGAAAGTGCTAATAATACCCTTTTTTCACAATGAGGAAACTGAGGTACGGAGAGGTCTAGTACGTTGCACAAGGTCACTTAACTAGTACCTGGTGGAGCCAGGATTTGAACCCAGGCTGTCTGGTTCCTGAGCACTCTCTCTGATGATGGGCACATGCAGTGAGGAGTGATACAAGTGGAGCTGAGTGGAAGTAGCCCTCACACACACTCAGACTTGAAGTTATTGAAAATCCGGGAGGTTGCCACCCAAACACATTTAAGGTTTAATTCATCTGAATAAGAACAGCATTCCACTAAGCCCAGATAAGTACTCTTATTACATTTACATAGCTTAAGGCTCTGTACAAGAAACCTTGAACATAAAATACTTGGAACAGAAAAGAGTAGGAGAACTATGAAGTAATGGGGGGAAAAAATCCCTGAAAGGAACAATACAAGCGGGGAGTTATGAGACCTGGGACCTCAGAGCCTCGGGGTGGAAGATGATATTTTGATATAATCAGGAGGGAGAAATTTCCTCTCATTTTTCACATTTCTGTACTATATAAGATTTTACCATAAAACGCAAGAGTATAAGCCATTGTCAGATTTATAAAAGGCCATGGTGGATTTCCTTAAGAGACGATGGATGACTGTTGTTAGTAGGTAAATTCCCTGGTTGGTTATCTCATACACTCAGATATTCCATAAGTCAGCCTGTGGCTTCTGAAACTGTATTGAGAAAAAGCTGTATAAACTAGGTGTTGGTCCATGCTCCTTCATTAGCATTACAAAAGGGTTCGACTGCTGAGTTGAATCTTATCCACTCCTTCAGTGGCCATTACAGAAAGCTCTCAAGTGTAATTTTCTAAAGAGAACTAAAAATAAATAAGAAAAAAAAAATCCAGCATTAATAATGGTTCTTTTTGCATTTCCAACACAGTCATTGCCAAATTGGTTCTGCCTTTTTATGTTTTTTAATGAAAAGCAGCCTAATTGATCAATTGGTCATGAATAATACTTCTTCGTTTGTTTTTCTCCACACCCCCCAGCCTTCTAGAACCACGGGCTTAATGTGTCGGCCTACAAATGGTTCATGATTTGTGTTTTTTGTCTAGTGCTTTATGGGAAAATATTAGAAACAAACTGCTGAGAACTCAGTAGGAACTCAGTAAATAATAAGTAGATAGTTCTCTTGTTAAATATGATTTTAAAGAAACTCTTTCTAAATAACTAGGAAATATTACAAGGGAAGTACAAAGTGGGGTGGAAAGCCTGGCTGACTTGTAATTTGAAATTTCTCTTCATCATTTTATAGGTCACACAGTTTAACCCTTTATAAAACAAAATGTAAAGTCTGATAGCTGAAAAGGCTCTCCTCCGCTAAATAGATTTGTTTGAAAATATAGATCATTAAATCGGTAAGAATAACAGGAGAATCTCAACCAAACATTGAGACAACTAAGAAAATTGTCTAAATCTAATACCTTATATCAGTACTTTAAGTTGACCATAAATACGCTGATATCCATAGCACATAGGTTCTTACTGGCAGTGGTGGGGTGGGTGGGGGAAGGGGAGTGTCACAGACACATTCAAGATGTCAACGAAAACTATGAAAACTCTCCCCAATGGGGAAAAAAAACCAACGATGCCTAGCACTTATCCTACGCAACTTTGTACAGAATTTCCGTGGGAAATTCTGGTGTCCATCCATCATAAATCACCTGGTGTCCACCCATATATCCTGAATAGGAAAAATTGTCTTTCTCTAGAGTTATTGTACACTGATCCTGATGGAGCTTTAAAAAGAGTTGTCGTACAGGCTCATTGACTTTGGGAGGACAAGGTGGGAGGATTGCTTGAGCGCAGGAGATTGAGACCAGCCTGGGCAACATGGTGAGGCCCCATCTCTACAAGATATTCTTTTAAAAAATTAGCCAGGCCCAGTGGCCCGCACCTGTAGTCCAAGTTACTCCAGAGGCTGAGGCAGGAGGATCCCTTGAGCCCAAGAGATCAAGGCTGCAGTAAGCCGTGTTCACACCGCTACACTCCAGCCTGGGCAACAGAGTGAGATCCTGTCTCAAAAAATAAATAAGTAAATAAAAAGAGTTGCCATTATCTTGTTTGATCTGGCTATGATCTTTGAGGTAGACAGACCACAGATTTTACCTCTCATTCTGCAGAGTGGGAAAAGCAAGGCTTGGAGAGTTTCCGGGACTTGCTCAAGGTAATTTGCTAATGTCTGCCGGGACGTAGCACCAAGCCTGTCACGCTGTAGGCTGGGCCCCTTCCACAACACTGGTCCAAACACAGGATTCTGGAGATGCAGGAGCCCTCGATGGGCTTCTGGAAAGCTGAATTCTGGCTCTACCAGAGCTACCCACGTGATCTTAAACAAGTCACCTAACTTCCCTGAGCTTCAGTTTCTTCCTTAGTCAAGTGAGAGGTTAGACTGTGTGTTCTCTGAAGCCCTTTGATTTTCTGCAGAAAACCACCTAATCCCACTGGGTCTGGGAACAGAGGGAAATGACCTTTTCTGCCATAGATGGCAAGACCCTTCACCCTTCCCTGTAGGGCATAAGAGCTGGCATCCAATTCTTAACGGATTCCCTTGCAATGTCCAAATCCCATTAGAAACTACAAACATCTCAATAGTGCCTTTGTGGGCTGCTTGGGTGTCATGCCGCTGGCTGCCTCACTTGCTGCAGGGCTGACTGTCCACATCAATTATACTCCAACCCTGTGCTCTGCAATGGGCAGACATCCCATGAGATTTTATTACCCCTCTTGGGTAGTTCAGGGAGTCATATGGAAGTAAATAATGCTGATGGGCTTATTTTGGGCTGATAGATCCTTATCCTTCTAAAGAGGTTATGCCTTTCAAAGGGTACAAAACCTTCTCCTTGATTTTTTATTACGAACAGTTATATCCTTTAATGTCCCAGAATTGTTCTTGGAAGTTGGAGACTCACAAGAGGGCCTGCAGCTGTGAATGCAGAAGTCCTGAGACTAGGGGAGGACATCACCACTCTCCCTTGGCCTTTGGAGTCATCCAAGCTAAGTGCTAATATTTGTGATTAACAGGTGTTGATAGGAAATTGGGCCCCTGTGTCTCAGTCTTTTTGTGCTTCAAATTTTCTAAGTGAACTTCAGGCTGGCAAGTGGAGTTAGATCAACTTGTTGCAGACAGTATCATCTGCTCGGTACCGTGTCAGGTCACTGGACTGTGGGAGGTTATACTGACCAGTGATGAGAGTGACAGAGCATGAGCTTGGCTCCCGTATCCTGTGTTCTGTGCTCAGCCTCACAGATGACTCACTGTGCCTCATCGACTCCTCTGTCCTCGAGTGAAATTATGCCATTCTTTAACCCACTATACAAGAGACTTTTGAAGATTCATGTGTGGCTACCCCCAACAATATCTCATTTGTACAATGCAGAACATGGTGCTTTCTTGTGTAAACAAACTCATTTTGTGGAATTTTTATTTTCTAGATCAATATTTTTAAATAGACTACTAATTCATTTTATAAACCGGGTACTATAAGATTTTATGAGTTGACACTTGGTACCCTGTAAGTATCCAAATAATCAAAGAAGGAGAAAGTGTGAAGTCAAGGAATCCCCTAGCTGAAAAGAAATTCCCAATACCTGGAACAAAAAAGATGGAGCTTTTAGAGAGCAGACTTTTTCTCCAGCAAAGATCCACAACTTCCATTTTTAAATGTAAGACGTAAGGGAGATTTATGATACAGCCTACTTTGTCAGATCATATTATTTCATAAAGTGAAGGGTCAATTAGGTGTTATTATTATCAAGAAAGCATGCTGTAATGCTTCGTCTTGTAGATGCTGTAAAAATTACCTGTCTGATTACTTTAATTCATCTTTTGGCTACTGTCTGCAGAAATTCACTCAGTCCCTAGCTCACAGGTATGCAGACGTACTGAGAACACTTTGGGAAATAAAAGCAAAAAAAACATTGGGTCCTTTCCCCTAAGGAATGAACAGTGTATTTGGGAAACTAGGAAAAACAAACAAACAAAAAAATGGTACCACAATGCAAAACTGATGAGGAGATTAAAAAACAGCTCAAGATGGAGATTTTTAGAAAGAACTTCTTGAAGGAGGTGCATCTGTAGGCTGAGAGAGATGGTTTAGCAAGCAGGCATCAATGCATCCACAAAGCTTTACACTTCAAGGAAATCATAGGAGAAACAGGGTCTTCTTTGCTGAAGATCTGTTTATTTTGCAAACAACAAAGAGTCAGAAGAGCCATGTGAAGTTTCCATGGGGAATCCAGAAACTAAACTTCTGCCACTGGAAATTACCTCAAGATCTTTTCCCAGATAGCCTGCTCTTCCCCTGCTTCCAATCATGTCCCTCAAAGTCTTCTTTTTCAAGCATAAATATCCTTAGTTCTTGTAACCACTCCTCCTATGAGGCAGTTTTGCGTGCTGCCATTATTTTAAGCACCCGCCTCTGATTGGACTCTAGCTTAGGGCCTCCCCTAAGTCACGGGACTCAGAACGGAGCAACGCTCTCCAGGAGTGATCTGAGGATGCAGAACACCATGGGGTAGTTGCCTCCCTTGATCTGTAGCCTATACTTCTATTAATATGGCCCATGATTGCATGAGCCCTTTTGGCACCCATGTCACACTGCTGACTCATATCGAAATTGTGGTCAACTAAAACCCATGAGTTCCCATGCACTACTACTAAGCCAGATCTTTCTTTCTTTTTCTTTTCTTTTTTTCTTTTTTTTTGAGACCAAGTCTCGCTCTGTCGCCCAGGCTGGAGTGCAGTGGCGCAATCTCGGCTCACTGCAACCTCTGCCTCGTGAGTTCAAGTGATTCTCCTGCCTCAGCCTCCCGAGTAGCTGGGATTACAGGCGCCCGCCACCACGCCCGGCTAATTTTTGTATTTTTAGTAGAGACGGGGTTTCACCATGTTGGTCAGGCTGGTCTTGAACTCCTGACATTGTGATCCGCCTGCCTCGGCCTCGCAAAGTGCTGGGATTACAGGCATGAGCCACCATGCCCAGCCAGATCTTTCTTATTCTGTACTTACACTGTTGATTTAAAAAAAAAAAAAAACCCTAGGACAGAGGTTTAAATGTAAAGACATTTATTTCTATTTCACTCGATCATTTTGATAACAACTTGTCCAAATCTTTCAGAGCTAGGGTATTAGCTTCCCCTCCCTGCAGGTGAGTACTTACCTGCTGGTGCAGCTAATCTCATGATGGATCTCTGGCCTCTAAAGGGCCAGAACTTCATTGTCTCTTTCCTATCCATAAATTCTCTGCAACCGTGGATGAATCTGCATCCTTAGACAAACTAGTGGGCCTCAATCTTCCTAAGTAAGATAGGAATAAGTGTGAATGGCCATTTCCTCCTTGCGGTGAGGATATGCGACAATGAGTTCGATGTCTGCAAAACCCTAAGGAAATGTCACTCAGAGGCAGCATTAGATGAGGAGAGAAAAAGTTTATTTCAGGCTCTCAGCAGCTTTCAGAAGACTTGATTATCCTGATCACTACGTGTGAAAGTTAATGACTTCATTTTTGCAGTTATTTTAAAAATATAACTGGTTTATCTGATTTTTGGTTGTAGTAACATCACGTGATGGTCAGTATCATTTTACACATTATTTGTAATGTGAGCAAGTGCCATAAAGCATATCTGCAAGACTCATTTAAAATGACTCTCTTCCCTCCATCACCTCCCCCAGCCCCATCCTCAACTCTACCCTCTTCTGTTTGTAATACGGGACTACAAAGATCTTATAGTTTAGGTTTCCGTCAGACTTTTGGAAACCTTTAAAAGACTTACCAAGCTAGCTTAGAAGTTCATAGATTTTCATCCCTGGCCAGCGCAGAGAGCTCACAGGTAACTTGTATAATATTTATCATTTCAAGCTCATAGAAATGTCATATTTCAAAACACATCCCTGAGAGCAGTTTTTTTGTTCCTTATAGACAGGTGCAGGGAACATCCAAATTTTTCTAGTCTGCCATTCTAATGCACATTGTGATGTTGCTCTTGTGACCCTATAATTATTAATTTTCCAGTAGCCCCTCCCCAACCTTTCACGTGATTTTTAATCCAGGGCCTGGGCACTCGTAGCAGAGTGTGATCCTAGGACCAGCAGCAACGGCACCGCCGGGGAGCCTGTTAGAAGTGAGGATCTCAGACCCTGCCTCAAACCTATTGAATCAGAATCTAAACTGTGAAAAAATTCCCCTGGTGATTCTTATGCACAGTAAAATCTGAGAAGAACAGATCTAGAGTGAAGGGATTTTCACTCCCATTTTACCCGCTGTAGACCTTATGTTGTAATACAAAACTTACAAACTTCCATTTGGTGTTTATTAAAAGGTTAGAGTCCTTAGTTAAAATGTTACCAGATTCAAATGTTCTGTTTATATATTCAGCTATTTCTCAGTGTATGTAACTGGCTTTAAAATACTCTTGTTGACCAGGCATGGTGGCTCACGCCTGTAATCCCAACCCTTTGGGAGGCCAGGGTGGGAGGATTGCTTGAGCTCAGGAGTTTGAGGCCAGCCTGGGCAACATAGCGAGATCACATCTCTACAAAAAATTAAAAATTAGCCAGGGATGGTGATGCATGCCTGTAGTCCTAGCTACAGGAGGCTGAGGCAGGAGGATCACTTGAGCCCAGGAGTTTGAAGTTGTAATGAGATATGACTGAGATACTGTACTCCATCCAGCCTGGGTGACATAGTGAGACCTTGTCTCTGGAAAAAAAGTACTCTTGCCTTTCTGGGTTCTTGTGGAGCAGGGGTTCTCCCCCACTCCCACCAGGGACATTTGGCAATGCCAGGAAACATTTTTTGTCACAGTTTGCAGGGAGAGGTCCTACTGGTGGGTAGAAGCTAGGGATGCTGCTGAGAATCCTACAATGCACAGGATGGGCCCCCACAACAAGGACTTAACTGGCCCCAAATGTCAATAGTGACAAGGTTGGAAAACACCAGTATATGATTTATAAAGACTCAGATGTGCGACCATAAACCATAGAATGCCACAGGAAAATAGAGTCACGTGGCATGTCACTATATGACCAGGCAAAGAACAAATAGACCAGCAGTGGCCGGAGTGATGGTGGTGGGGTTGTGAGTGGCAGGGAATGGAAAATCCAGCCACAGATGAAAGGAGACATCTAGGACCAATGCTAACTGGTACTCCGTGCACAAAGGCAGTGAGCTCTAGAGGACAGGGCTAAAAGGCCGGTCACGGTGGCTCACACCTGTAATCCCAGCACTTTGGGTGTCCGAGGCGGGTGGATCATCTGAGGTCAGGAGTTCGAGACCAGCCTGGCCAACATGGTGAAACCCCGTCTCTACTAAAAATACAAAAATTAGCTAGGCATGGTGGCGGGCGCCTGTAATCCCAGCTACTCGGGTGGCTGAGGTGGGAGAATCGCTTATACCTAGGAGCTGGAGGTTGCAGTGAGCAGAGATTGCACCACTGCACTACAGCCTGGGTGACAGAGCAAGACTCCATCTCAAAAAAAAAAAAAAAAAAAGAGGACAGGGCTGATGTTCAGGGACTGGACACCAGGTATGAGCCCCAGGAGGGGTGGAAGGAGGTGTGGGAGAAATAGAGAGAGAGAAGGCTTCAGTTCTAGAGTGGATACCAGGTATGATCTCAAAATCGTGTTAGACATGGAAAACAAGAAAGGATTTCAAGTATTAGCATAGGAGTACACAGGCAGATTTCAGGTAAATCCAGTAAGATGAAGACTCAGGAACAAGGCAGAATCCTGCTTGCTAGAACTGGGGCGCCTCAGAGCCAGGCCAGCAGCAGGCATGACCGATGCTGAGTCAGCCAAGTGTTCAACTAGAGTGAGCTTCTTAAATCCCTCCCAACTGAGAAGGGGCTTAGTGCTGAGTCTACAGCATGGTTGACTTGCAAGAAGGGGTCAAGGGCTCCCAGCTATGGAGAAAGGTAGACCAGAAGTAAGCCAGAAGTAGGCCAGTGACAGTGGCCACTGAAAAATCACGGGATAAGAAATGGAACAGAACTCGAGAGGTCCTCTGGGTCATTCCCCTACTGCAGCGTGCACCTAAATCATTTCAGAAAGATTATCTACGCTTCAACTTTAACATTTTCAGAGAAAGATTTCTTAAAGACCAGTGGGTGCCTTATAATCCATCGAAGTCACAGCTTCTTCCCCATTTCTAACCCTAAACACCTCTTCCTGGGATGTAAAGCGAGTGTCTTTCATCCCACCCTGCACACAGTGTGATTTCTATCATTCAGTAATGATAAAGAACACAAACTGCCGTCTGCAACTGCCAAGCACAGCCACCCCTTTTCCAGGCTAAAGCATCTCAATTCCATTAGTCTGTTGCCCTGAGAGTCTCTCCCTGACCTTTTAATCCCCTCATTATCCTCTGGACCTGCTCCAAGCCTTGCCTGCTTGAAATAGTTACCACCAAGTATGTATTTGTTAAATAAAAGCTGTGTGCAGACTGCCCTTTTGCCATGGAACACAAAGGAGGAGGAATATAAAAGAATATACACAGTTTTGTTGGTTTTTATTAGTCTCTCTCCTCTCTCTCCAAGGAGTTGTCAATCTTCTCTGCACTTATAGTCTAGTTGGAGCACTAGTCCTTAGGCTAAATTCCACCAAAACATTTTGGTTGTTCAGCAAACGCTTTCACTGTGACCCTCACCTAAGAACAATAGAGTACACCATCAAATGGGATAGCTCTAATGTGAATTTAGCTCTAAATAAAACTAGGATAAATGCATTTGTTCAGTTCTAGAGAAGGCATCATACTGTCCTGTGGATTTTTCATTTCGAATGAGCTGCAAAACAAAGTTCTTTTCCATGGAAAGGATTTACTCAACTGAATTCACTCACTTTGCTGTAGCTGGATTAATCTCATTTCACATCATGTCTCTAAGTAGAAAAGTAAACTGATTTACAGCAGGCTAAGTGGATATGTTGATGCATCCAACATCAGTGAGATTTATTCCAACTAGATTGCAACCAGAAAATGGTGTCCTGGTTGTTTTTGCTTCTATAAAGTAGTCGCAAAAGTGCACCACTTTCGTACTCGATCTGAAAAACAGTTTATCAAAGTTACAACAGATGAGGTATTGTGGGATGCGACAGAACGTACGTACGTCAAATGAAATGAGCATTTCTGCCTTCCCAGATCTTGAAATGGTCTTTTGCCCCACAACCTTATAAAAAAAAATATTCATTTTAGGCCAGGCACGGTGGCTCACACCTGTAATCCCAGCACTCTGGGAGGCTGAGGCAGGTGGATCACTCGAAGTCTGGAGTTGAAGACCAGCCTGGCCAACATGGTGAAACCCCATCTCTACTAAAAATACAAAAATTAGCTGGATGTGGTGGTGGGTGCCTGTAATCCCAGCTACTCAGGAGGCCGAGGTGGGAGAATCACTTGAACCCGGGAGGCAGAGGCTGCAGTGAGCCAAGATCACACCACTACACTCCAGCCTGGGCGACAGAGTCAGACTCCATCTCAAAAAAAAAAAAAAAAAGAAAAGAAAAAAAAGAAATAAATAAATAAAATCATTTTATTCTATCCCCATGTTCTGAAAGCCACCCTTTTTTATTTTTGAGTTGTGTTTCACGGGGCACTGCTCAAGGTAAACACCCAGCCCCACTTGTGGTTGAGCAGGCATTGACCCCACACTGGCTCCCTGCCCTGGAGCCAGCCACCACCCTGTTCCTTGCTCCACCTTCTGCTTTCTGCAGCACACTCTTTCTTCTTTTTCTTCTGCATCACTCTGCATTTCCAAAGCCACAATCGTGTCATCCTCTCGGGACTCTCAGTCTCTGTCTATGCTGGTGCCCTCTCCTTTGTCTCTCCCAGATTGCTGACTTTATTCCAGCTTCTGCTTCTAACACAATAAGACTGCTATTGGAAATGTTTTTCTGACTTCTATAGCTGGCAGTTTCTATAAGCAGAAGTTACTTTCAAAGGAAAGAACTTGTGGAGATGAGCCTGGGGTGTCACAGGGCTGTTACATGGGTCAAATGTAATAACGTGTATCAAAAAGCAATTTGTAAACTGTAACATGCTCTTCAAAAGTAAATTATTACTGTATTATATGACTTTAGGGTTTAAAAAGCAGCTGGATGATATGTAAAAATTCAAGGCTCAGTAGCATCATTGGAAAAGAAAATTAGAAAATGGGGAGGGGCACGGACGCTTCCATCAACAAGCTAGGGGCCTCTCAACATTTTTTCCAGCCAAAGCACACCCATTTAGCTGAGAGCATACACTCTCTTCTGAGGACTGCCTGCTCACCATTCTGGACCTAAGGCCTTCCCTCTTGCTTAAGCTCCCCCATCCCTCTCATCGCCACCTTCCCAAATCCTAGCTGACCCCAAGGGCTAACCCCCAATCCACCCTCCCTTCCCAGCTCTGCCCCAGATTAAGTGAATCTCTTTCTCTCCAGCACTCAGTCTTATGTTAGAATTATTTATGTGGGCATTGATCTTCCTGGATTGACTGTGACCTGCTGAAGGCAGCGGTGGTCCTGGCATCTGCCACAGCCCCCTCCCCCAACAGCACTTCATCACCTCCGTGAACGGAAGTGAATGGAAGGAACAGCTCAATTAGGATGGCAGAGGATCAAGGAGAGAATTCCACGGACCCAAAACATCCTGCAAAAAGGCTTTGTCCCCAGAGGTTGGTCTTCAATTTGGAAAAATTCCTACCTGAGCAACTGTAGGACCCCTCTGAAATGGAACAGGGTCTATTAGACTCATAAAAAGCCTCAGTGATGAGTTGGTTATTATTATTCTCTTTACTTTTCTGTACATTTAAAGTGTTTTATATTTTAAATTGAATGTAAAAAGATCCCATCCTATTTAAAAGTTAGTGAGTTGAATAAGTTTCATTATAACTTGATTTTCTTCCTAAAGGTTTTCCTATAGTTCAAATTATAAAAGTCATTCTTAGATTCCCAGCTTAGTTCCCCCATGAAATCACGAGTTCTTAGACTGTGTTTCACACAATGCCAGGTCACATTGCACCCTTACTGAAAGGAACTTCTTGTGCAGAGTGCGGGGCTCTTGGAGAAAGAAAAGTACCACTTTTTTAGCACATTAAAAACAAATCCTTGAGCTGTTTTATTATTTTAATACTTTACCTTTAGTGGAGCAGAAATGATTTATTTGATGGTTTTGGCAGGTGATTTTTTTTTTCGGAATCTTCTTTAACACTATTAGCCATGTAACTATTGCCAAGTACATAATAAGTACTCAATAATTATTATTATCTTTTAATTAAAATGTGATGCACTTCTAAACTAAAGGTAACTTCAGTCATGTAGAATAGAAAGCAATGGGTGGAGCTTCCAATTGCTTCTCTTTGGTATTCATTAGAAATCATTTTTGAAACTGAGAAGTTGGGGGAAAGATCAGACATTTTTATGGAAACTGCATTGATGACAGCAGAGTGTAATTTTGTTGGTAGTGATTTGATACACAATTATTTGAGGGATTTACTGTGCTCATGGATTAGCGCTGTGTTGTTACTGTAACAGAGGATTGGCGCAGAGCCCTGGCCCAGTGCAAAGCTCTCTAACATCGTTTCTCTTCCTTCATCAGCAGCCCAAAGCCCCCCTCTCTACAACTCCATGCAGCACAGTCCTGGCACAAACCCCTAACCTGAAATTCCAGCCAATTTCACTAACAACACGCCTCTCCCCTTCACCTGCCAGATGCTTCTCGTTCTCAGACACTGCACCCTGAAATTGGGAGCTTTCACTGAGTTAAAAAGGCAAATATAGAATTACCTAGCTGTATCAGTATTTTAAGTGCACTTGTAGACTTAAATGAGAGCTCTTGTACAAAACCACTTGTATTCTTTCTTAAGATATGCTAATTTTTTTCTCTCTTTGATTGAACTGTTGACCTTCTGGATATATGACTAGTTATTACTTCAAGTATGTTTGGAACTATTCTTGCCCTAACTGTTCTAAAATGTAATTAGCATTGAGACATTATTGTAGAAGCACAGCACCTGGGGCTGGGATCTCATTAGATGGCAAAAATTGAGCAGAATTGTGCATGCTCCATGCTCAAAATATCTCTAAGAAAAATTAATGGCATTAGGGGGAAAGTTAAAATTGGTGATTTCGTAGGCCCTTTCTTGCTCACATATTTGATTCGTATAAGGATCCAAACAGAAAGGAGATTGTGGTTCTTCTGTTTAAAAAATGAAGACAACTCTGCTTTCTTAGAACTCTTCTTATGTAATGTGGCTGCTGTCACATCTCTGGGTCAACCAAAACCAAAATAATACATTTTCTGGCTCTAGCTTTTTCCCCCCTCAAGAAATGCATAGCATTTTTAGGCATTATCTGATTTTTCCTTGCAACAACAGATGTTACAGAGAATGAATATTCTGTAAGAGGTAGTTAACAAAGTGTGGAAAAACTGAGGCCCAAAGAGGTACTATAACTCACGGGTTTTTCACGCTCCTCCCTGAACATTCCCGCATCTCTTCTACTGGGGAGGGAGCTCTTTATTTTCTGAATTGAAAACCATTTCATGCCTCCTGCTCAGCTATTTCAGTACTGGCTCCTAAGTTTGGCACCAATCCCAACTGTTATGAAATCGCAGACGAATAATAACGAAGTTCTTCATTGCTGGGATCCCAAAAGGTTATCATTTCGAGTTCATTGCAGGGCACTTTAGACGTCCATATTGGGCCCTAAATGATTGGAACCATCAGGAGAGGGCTTGCCTGACTCTGCCATTCACCTCATTTGTAAGTCTCTGCCGTGTTTCGACACTGAGTTGTGTCTTGTTGTTTAAAAATAACTTCTCATTATAATAACATTTTCCCTTAATTGAAAAAATATTTCTGACCTGAATTTATTATTGTCATAGCTGTGTGAGCAAGCAGAGTCTTGTTTGCCTCTACAATATATTAATAATGTATTAATTAGCTTCCCAGTGCTGCCCAAACAAGGAACAAAAAGGATTTATCTAAATCATGAAAACTGAAGTGAAGCGAACACTTTGGTAATTATATTTTAAGGGCAGTCTCAGCATTTGATAGTGTGGCAAATTTTTGTCCTGCCTTTTGAGAGAAGATAACCAAAAACACCACTCAATTAACAAAACGTTGTTTAGTACCTACTATGCACAAAGTCTGAGAGGTAAAAGAGGTTAAGACAAATAAAATTGTCCAATTTATTTTTATGGCCATAGTTAAAAGGCAATAAAGGCAAGACACTGTGAGTATTTTGATTTAGCTACAATTAGCTGAAATATACTACATCAAATCATATGAAATTGACAATATCTGGGGGCTGGCTGCCGTGACTCATGCCTGTAATCCCAGCACTTTTGGGGCCCAGGATAATCACTTGAGGCCAGGAGTTCAAGGCTACAGTGAGCCAGGGTTGTACCACGGCACTCCAGCCTGGGCCACAGTGTGACCCTGTCTCTAAAGAAATAAAAATAAAAATAAATAGAAGATATTGACAATAGCTGACCCTATTTTTTACCCCAAAAGTGGTGATTTTATATAATTTAATCTAATATTAAGGTATTCTTGTCATACTGTACCAGCTCCTAAACATTATACTTTTCATTTTACTTCTATTTCTAAGCTATCATTATTACAACAACCAAGAGAAGGTAAATACAGGTCAGAGATTTGACTCCTGTTTTTTGTATGTATTTATTTTTGTAGATTCACAAATAACTTATATTTTGCAGTTTTAAGGTTTCTAATTATATTAGACCCTGTTTTTTATTTTATTTAGAGTCATTGTCCTTGCTGCCTGTCCTTCACATGTGACAAGTCAATTCTTCATGCCATTTCCTTCACAATCTTCATGCAAACTCATCATCTCCATTTCCATCTATTCTTCAGAGATGTATGATTGCAGAAAACTCCCCTTTTTTGAAATATTGCTCAATAGAGATTAAATCTAACACCCAGTTTTACCTGTCTATCCTTGAATTACAGGTTACTGAGAAGTCAGAACAGATAGCCATAGAAGTACCCCACTAAATCCATTCTTCTATCTCCTTCAATATTTGACAAATATTTACTAAGCATCTATCTTGAGCAAGCATTGGAGTAAGTCCTCCCATAAATATGAAGTTGTGTAAATAAGGATGCATGCATTCATGTAAATACAAGTTTAATGCTGGATATATATTGTTTTAAGTGCCTGATATGTATTAGTCTATTTATTCCTATCTAAGGGGATAAGTGCCATTGTTGTTTCCATCTTAAAGATGAGGAAACTGAGGCCAGAGAGATTATACGAACTCCTAAAACCCTAACTCTTAACCACAGCATTCAGAATCTATCTGGTTGTAGTGGAGGACCCAATGTCAAAAAAGCAAGTGCTTTTCCCAGACCATGAACACAATGTGTGACAAATTAGCAGTTCTTCCCCTTGCCCTAAGATAGTAAATATCCACCCAGGCCAACTTGTGTCTGTCAGAGAACAAAGAGTGGGCTTGTCACACTGTTTTCTCCCAAGAGGGTCCATCTGCCTCCGCTCCTTTGGTACACGCTAGGGGACACACACTGTCCAGCATATTCTTGCAGAGTCATATCTTACCCCACATCTTATCACAACCCTGCTGAATGTCAGGCACTATCAAGAAAATGTTCACTCATCTTCTTCCCGTTATGCCCAATGTGTGAACTGATAACACATCTAAATTCAAAGAAAATCAACAGACATCACCTCAATCAACCTGAAAAGTCTGGTGACTCATTCCCACCCTTCTCACGGGGCTCCTGCTGGGCTGCCTGGTTCTCCGGAACCAGCCTCCAGGCCTCCTGCAGCCGGGGTGCAGCTCAGTGTTCGAGCCCCCTCTCTGCTGCCCATCAGATGAGTGTTGACTTTCTTTGGCACAGGCATTTGAGTTGCATTTGAATTGCAGAACATGCTGCCCCCATTCTGTGCTGACTGTGACCCCACTTCATGTGCCCCAGAGGCAGGCTAAACAAGCTTGCCTTGGAAAAAATAACAGGGAAGAAGATGCTGACTCTCCAACCCCCAGAGTAAGTTCCGTCACTCTGGAGGTAAAGTCATAATATCTAAATATGGCTCGATTCATGTCAGGTCTTATAAATACACACACACACGTGGATGCTGAAACCGTGCATGCCCTGACAGCCAAAAAAAAAGTCAAAACGACTTACTGTCTCATTAGCAGGACAAGACCTGATAGGCCAGCTCACCAGAATAAAGAATACAAAAAATGGGTATTTAACTTCTCTACACAGACACACACACACACACACACACACACACACACACACACACACACACAATCTGATGTAACGACCTCAAGAGAGCTGGTTGCCCTGGCAATGAAGAATCGTTTGTATATTCAAGGATTTTCTTGTTTAAATTTAAGCTAGCCACTTGAACTTCTCGAGCTTTCTTGAGCTTAGCTTCAGGCCTCCATCCCCAGACAGAGGTCTGACATCTATGTCAGCCTCTAGCAAGGCAGGAAGCTTAGAAGTCGGACCAAAACCTCACAAGCCAGCCAGCCTGGATTTGAATTTCAGCTCTATGGTTTCTCAGCTGTGTGACCTGGGTTAGCTGCTTAACCACCTTGAACCTCTATTTCCTCACCTGTACAATGGGAATAATAAAATTAAAACAAACTTGCATGGGTTCATTATGAAAATTAGATTGATTGATGACATAATACATAGCAAGCATTTAGAGCTGTGCCTGATTCCGAATGTGAGTTATCTGTAATAGTGACTTGAAATGGGTTTACACTGCCTGGCAGGAAACCATTCAATTCCTTTTTGTTTTTGACTTTAATCTTTGAAGCGCTTTCATCTCATTTCTTCTTATTTTGTGTTTGTGGAGAAGGAGGATGTTTAGCCATCCTTGGAGTACAATCTTTTATTAAAAACCATTATTAAGTCTCTTCAAGTTTCTCTTTTGTAGTAAATGATCTAGATTACTTAATGGTTCTGTTTTACATGTTTTAATCATTTATTTGAACCATCTCCAGATGTAGTACACACAGAAATATTGTCTAGGAAAATGTGTTACTGAAATTCCTTATCATCTGTGGTCCATTAGCTCAAATGTTTAAAACCCATTGTTTTTATTTTTATTATTTATTTATTTAGTTATTTTTGCAAGACAGGGTCTCACTCTTTTGCCCAGGCTAGAGTGCAGTGGCACAATTATAGTTCATTGCAGGCTCGAACTCCTGGGCTCAAGCAATCCTCCAGCCTAAGCCTCCCCAAAACTTCTTATTCTTAAGAGCAAAGTTGAGTTCCATCATATTGTCAGTTGGTTTCACTCCATCATATTGCCAAAACCACCTAATTCTCAGATGCATAGTTTAGCACAAGCCAAACCAGAAGAGACCATAGGTCATTCATTCATTATTCATTCAACATTTACTAAGTGACTGCTGTATGCCAGAGGCTGGGCTATGCTGTAAAGTCACAAAGAAGATACTTCTCAGTTGGGAGAGCTTACAGCTTGAGAGAGAAGACACACAAGCAAACAAATCATTACAAATGCCTTTCCATTGGGTGCCATACTTGAAATGAGAAGATGAGGCCAGGGTACCCTTGGGGCAGAAGGGAGGGAGGATTAAGCTCAGGGAACAGCTTTACAGAGAAGGTAACATTTGCACCATATTAAAGGATGGCAAGAATTGAGGAGTACAAAAAGGAGAATAGTCCAAGAAGAAACACTCAGGGATGATTTGCACATTGTAAATTTAGGTAACCTTACATGCCTTACATGGGGCTGCTGTGACTGAGGCACAGGGTCAAGGAAGGGAGCAGAGTCATAAAGCTACCCAGGTCAGCCAAGGCCAGGCTAGGAGGCCTGAGCTTTATCCTGCAGGTGTGCAGAGCCAGAGGAGAGTGCAAGAAGAGACATGGCACAGTCTGATCTGTTTTGCACAAATCACTCTGGAAGCAATGAGGAGGGGAGAATGGAGGTATTTGAGCCTAGAGTCAGGAAGGAGAAGTAGGATGCCAGGGTTGTGGGGAAAGACGATAAAGCCCACACAAAGGAGGGCTGATGGAAAGATGGAAATCAATTTCAGGTATATTTAGGCCAGGTGCGGTGGCTCGCGCCTGTAATCCCCACACTTTGGGACGCCGAGGCAGGTGGATTGCCTGAGCTCAGGAGCTCACAACCAGCCTGGGCAACATGGTGAAACCCCGTTCTACTAAAATACAAAAAATTAGCTGGGCATGGCGGCATGCGCCTGTAGTCCCAGCTATTCGGGAGGCTGAGGCAGGAGAATTGCTTGAACCTAGGAGGCGGAGGTTGCAGTGAGCCGAGATTGCTCCACTGTACTCCAGCCTGGGCGACAGAGTGAGATTCAGTTAAAAAAAAAAAAAAAAATTCAGGTATATTTAAAATATAGTGTTTAGAGACCCATTAGTGGAAGATACCAGATTTGAGAAAGGGGAGGAAAAGACACGGAGGAGTCCAGAAGAAATTTCCAGATTTCTGGCCTGGATAACTGTGAGGGCAGTGGTGCCAGATAGTGCCAGAATGAAATATATAGATTGGCACAAATCCATCTCTCAGAAATGCACCTCTGAGACATCTGTTCTGCTGAAGGTCAGTAGGGAAGGCCAACTTCATGTGCAAAGAGCAATATGTGTGTATTTCTTACTAGCTATTCTTTTTAAAATACTTCTTAATATATGGGACATACATGAGCTAAGATAGTATTCATGCAGGAGGTTTCATTTTTCATTTTCTGGCAATTGTGTTTTCAAATATGAGATGCTAGCATTATTTCAGTTATCTATGCCTAGCATAGTATATATCTACGGTTCAAGATTATTAATTGTCTCCCCTGCCTCCCCACTAGAAGGTAAGCTTTCTGAAGCCAGGGATTTTGTCTCTTTTGTCCTCATCTCCATTCCTAGCCCTTAAAACTAAGTTTGACTCCCAATTATCGAGTAAATGATTGAATTTCCATCTGAGTAAAAAGAAACAGTCATTTCCTTTACTAATGAGGAAAGAAAAGGAAAACAACAAACAAATCTGGACTTAAAACAGTTTTTACAAAAAGATCCAATTTGCAAAAATGGAACTGAAGTTTAAAAGCTACTTTTCTCCCTGCAGCTCTACTTCTGGGAAAGTCACAGCTGCCAGCTTAGATGGTGGTTTTCACTGCCCGGTTACAAATTCTGCACAGTTGTACATATTGGCAGGGCTCAGCTTCCTTAAATGCCATTGGATCAGTAGGGAAATGGTGATTTTCCTTATTGATTTAATGCCAGTTCCTCTTTTATGAAAAATCCCACGTGCTGCTCACTGGCGTATGTACCATAAAAACTGAACGTAGGGGGCCAGAAATTAAGTAAGTCACTCATGTTCTTCTCCAGCCATGTGACGTTAAACCATCTCTACTTTCAGGCTGGAGTGTTCAATCATTCTCCCTTTAAATTTAGCAGAGTGATTATTCCTCCTGGTGGATTGCACATATGCTCCTTTGATCTATGAAATACTCATTCTGGATGAACTTTAAGCTCCCAGGAAATGCATGTAAAATACTGTTTATAAATCGCGGGAGAAATGTTTCACATTCTTATTACTCCCAAGTAATCATACCAAGCCTCTCTCTCCAAGATTCGCTTTTTTTCCTAGAAGAGGGAAAAAGAACTTCGGGCAGTAGCACTGTGACAATCATCACCACGGTCGTACTTTCCATGAGTTTTACGCAGTAGGCTCACGGAAGTGACAATGCATGGTCGGGCGCGGTGGCTCATGCCTGTAATCCCAACACTTCGGGAGGCCGAAGTGGGTGGATCAACTGAGGTCAGGAGTTCAAGACCACCCTGGCCAACATAGTGAAACCCTATCTCTACTAAAAATACAAAAGATTAGCCGGACGTGGTGGTGGGCGCCTGCAATCCTAGCTACTCGGGAGGCTGAGGCAGGATAATCACTTCAACCCGGGCGGCGGAGGTTGCAGTGAGCCAAGATTATACCACTACACTCTAGCCTGGGTGACAAAACGAGACTCCGTCTCAAAAAAAAAAAGAAGTGACAATGTAGGATACCCATTCATCAGCAAATATTTAATGTGAGCAGGACAATGTGCTAAGTCCATAGACTGCAAAGAGGAGTGAGGCTGGGTTCCCATCCTCTGGGGCTTACAAGGTAGCTGGAGAAGTAAAACTCAAACCACAAAGTGAAGTTAATAGTCACCAATGAACAACATAGTAAGCTCTGCACTGGTTCAGAAGAGGACAGGAGTAACAAGACAGTAATCCTAAAGGAGATGGACTTGAATTTGAGCTGGACCTGAAGAGTCAGGAGCTAGAGTGAGTAAAGGCAGAGTGGTGGGAACATTTGTGAATCAAAGCTCAGGTGGGGGTTACGGCAGGCAGGGTGGGGATAGACTGAGGATGACTTTGAATGCCATGCCACTCTAAGGACTTTGGACTTGACTCTACAAGCAAGGTGGAATTATTAAGAGATTTTGAGTAGAAATGATGTGAGCTGAACAGTGCTTTTGAGAAACTAAATCTAGCAGGGATCAGTGCTCCAAATTAATTGGACATGTTTCAGACTTGAGATCATGAGACCCTGACCCAGGCTGGGGACAATGGGATGTCTCCATCATACATTACATTCCTGTGAATACTTCTTACAGATTCATATGAAATTCTGCCTCAATGTGCCTACTGTCTCTGCACTGTAAGACAGTGATATTGTGATCCTGTGTGCTGCTTGGAACCAGCCTCATTCCTTTAGCACCCCAGTTTGGACTTGGAGTGGGCCCAAGTGCAGCCTGTACACAAACCTCAAAGAATCCAGGCAGCATAGATGTAAAAGCTTGGAGCCCTCCAAGTCCACCTCCTCAACTTACCAAGAAATAAGCTAACTCTTGCTCATCTCCCTAATGACGGATTCAGCATGTGGCCTCAGATCTTCCTGTGCTCCAGCAGTGCTTCTGAGGCCAGTCCAAATTCTGCTTTGAGGTGTGCGTGTGCCAATTGTGGTGCAATCCAGAAGCATTTTGGACGAATGAAGGAGCTGTTTGTGTTTTCTTGCCCTAATTGAGATAGTTGAAGCTCCTCTCCCTTACTCTACACCAAGCCCCCCAGATCCGGTACCTCCCTGAGTCCCCGACTTCATCTCTGCCTTGCTTCTTTTCCACAACACCCTATCAGTTCTTGCATCCTGCCATTGGTTGTGCTGTCCTCATTATCTGAAGCCTTTACCTCCCCTCTTAGGCCTCATCACCTCCAGGAGACTCTCCATGGCCTCAGCCCCTCCCTTAGGTGGACCAAGCTTCCTCCTTGGAGCTCCATGCTACCCTGCATAGGGCTCAGTCACTTTGCCTCCATGATGTCTTGCAATTGTCTATTTATATGTCTGCCTCCTGTCCTTCAACTGTGAGCTCCCTGAGGAAAGGAACTGTGGGTATGCATCATTGAATACTCAGCATCTAGCACGGTGCCTGGTACACACTAGGTATTGAAATGTCTGATAAATGAATGACAGTTGCATATTTGTCTTTTTGGTATATTCATTCATTTGGTAAATATTTATTGAGTAATTACTTATAATTGAATTGGCGCTGTGTAGTTACACTTAAACATCAAAATGAGCCTATCCTCTCAAGCTCCAAATTATGCATGCATAAATTATACATGTGAAGTGTTAACATGCACACGCAGCAGAGAGTGTGCGTATCTACAAATACCAGAGCTAGCAAATGAAATAAACTGTGTGCCAGATGTCCCTGAAATTTACAAAGAACCAAGAACCAAAAATGACAGTTAGCTCCGTAAGCCCAACAAAAGAAAAAAAAAAAAAAAAGGAAAAGAGCAAAAAAGCAAAAGAACAAAAGAACCTTGAGCATAAGGAAGTGGCTATGGTTTTTTCTACATGCTCTAGCTGGGGGTGGGGAAAAGTCATAAAAGCATTCTATGCTGGACCGGTTCGTGTTAAGTCTGAGTTCCTCAATCGCTGGCTCTCAGGAGCTGTTTGGAAAATTCGTTGCCATGCATGAGTCGGGGGATTGGTTTTTTTTCCACTGGAAATTGTTAATGGGGACTGCATTAGCGGCCCCTTATCGCTTTGCCTGATAGAGAGACAGCAGGTTCGCCCAAACAATTCTGGAACCCTGATCACTGCCAATTAGGGGAGTATTGTCTGGCTGACATAATCAAGTAAGTATAAATATATTTATCGTGATTGGAATGGGGAAGGGAGACTGCAGAAAGATTGAGGCAGAAGCTGCCACCCACTGCCTGGCTCCAGCCTGGATCCAGCCCAGTTTGTCACCCTGTGCTCAGCAGAGGCGGTCACTGGCTTTCTGAGGTGGAATGCACAGTTGAGAATTCAGGACTAGAATTGCTTCTCCCAGAGAGAAACTTGTCTCTTCTCATTTTTCCTCCCCTCTTCTTCTCTTTTTTTCATGCTCACTTCTGTGAGAGCTGAAAAGAGAAGAAAAAGCAGATGCCACGTTGATCACGTTTTAATTCTGCCCCCCCGGCCATGCTATCCCCACTTACCTTCTCTGTAGTGGAAAGTGATGGTGAGGCACAGTGCCCTGACTGGACCTCCCATCCTCTCGGCCCGCCGGCATGTGCAAGTTGGTCTGGCATTGGGTTTATTTCATTGTTGATTTGTGGAGCTTTTTGGGAATACCTGTGATGTGAATCAGCCCTGGGATTGAAAGACCCTGAAAAAACAGTCCCTTGCAGTGGGCTAGTGACGGGAGGAATTGCTCACATTTAAACAGCTGAAAAGCAGACATGTTTAAGTCACATCTGGTGGCATTCCTGTTGTCTGAATGGAGAGCAAGGTCTTTTTAAGCATCTGCCCAGATTTCAAAATGCAGGCTGCATCTTTTCTTCCTCAAACAAATGGTCAGGATCGGATATGAATGGCCTAATCGCATCGGGAGAGGTAAACAAAACTGATCTCATGGCTGGATTTCAACCTTGGTCCATCCAGGCCCAATCGATCTAAGGCATGACTTTTTTTTTTCCTCTCACCCATGACTACTTGATAATGGCCATTTCCGGGGCCAAGTTCATTTCGGCTCTTTTCCACCATCCCCCGTGTGCTGCCCTGTCTCACCACTTGAGGGCTGAGGCCCCTTCCCAATGGCTACAACAGGGTAAGGGGACCCTGTCCTTCTGTCTCCTTCATCCTATAGTTTGTCTTCACAGCTGCAAATTGCTCTCAGGCCTGCCTTCCTGGATTTGACAAAAACTATTTTCTTACTGGTACTATGGATACCACAAGTGGAGATGTAAGTAGGAAGGTGCAGGTCCACAAATAAATAGGGAGCCCAGATGGGAGAAATGTCATTAGAGAGATCACTGTCCCTAAAGGCATCTGACCACCCATGTTCCTGCCTCTTTCTGCGACCATTTTCCTCCTTCGGCTGCTCAGAAATTGTCGAGGCCAAACTCCTTTCACCCAGATTCCAGAAATACACTTATTTCCTTTGCTTTCCAAATCTTAATGGATGAAACACCTCTTTTTTTTTGTCTTCTATCTCTTGCCAGAAATATTGTTTTTTGAGAACCAGAGCTCATTTATCTCCAAGGGAGAAAGAAATTCATTCCATGTTTACCCATTAACAAATTACCACTTACATGAAAATACTGGGACTTCTCTCATTCTTTGCTAATAAATGGGTTATTCACCTTGGTTGAACCATGGCAGAGGCAGATGGATAGCCACTATTCCCTTCAAGTTGGCTTAATATTCTCTCGTTGGCTTTTGTCTCCTTGAAGCACAGAGATTTCTCAGAGCTTTCTTTGCTTGATTCTGCTTTTAAGGAACGTGCCCAACTTATTTGAGTCTGTTTGTTTAGTAAGCTGAATTGATTAAATCCCTGGCATTTATGGAGGAGCCTACTGTGTTGGGTGCTATGGGTTCCTCCCCACTTGAAAGTTGAATTGGAGTCACCCATCTGAATACTAACTCCCTCCTAATCCATTGGTTTTCCTGCTGTGTAGACAGGGGTATGAAGTAGCCATTTACCAAGAGATAGTGCGATGTCATAAACCGAACATGAGTTCTAAAGTTAGCAAGACCTGGTTTGTACAGTAGTGCAGGCTTGGGCACGTTGCTGCTCTCTTTTGAGTCACACATTCCTCATTATAGATGCTGATGGGAACAACAGAGCTGTCTGTTCATCTTTGCTCTTCTCCATAATGAGATAAAGCCAAACAGACAGTGAAGAGCCTGGTCTAACCACATAACGTTGGTGCAAATTATATATGGTCATAAGAAGGTAATTTTTACCTGAGCATTTAGGTGGCATTTGGTGTGGTATTTGATGCATGTCATTTAGTTACAGAGATAAAACCTCCTGAACACACATAAAGCTCTTGGCCTGGTTGAACATTACATCTCACAGATTTTTATGTTTTTTACTAAGGATACTTCCTGCTAGGAAGTTGTAAAAGAGAAGATGGAAGTCTTTTTAATGGTATTGTAGCAATATCAGTTTCCTAGCTTTGATACTGTACTATGGTGATGTAAGATGTCCCCATTAGGGGAAGTGGGGTGAAGAGTACAGGGGACCTCTGTACTATTTTTGCAATTTCCTGAGAGACAGAGGGAAAGAGAGAAAGAGAGAGAGAGAGGAGGGAATGAGTGGAGTGACATGAAAAAGGAGTGTTCATCTTGGCTTATGTCCCTGGCTGGACAAATATTTACATTTTGTTTGCCTCTTTGTATAGATTTTGTGAATAGTCATGGTTAAAAGCTAGCATTCCCTTTTCTGTGGAAGAGAAGAAAGATAATAGAATGAGCTGAGAATCCCTGCCAACATTATATTAGAAAGCCACCTACTTCCTGCCTCTCCTCACCCTCCTTACCTATACAAACTTACCTTCTGCATCTTTGTCCTCCTTCTTTCCCATTCAAAGGGGAGATGCGTCTCCTGCTGAACAAATGAACTCCTCCGCATGACCAAGGTGTCCCATCCCTCCCTGCTGTCTCCAAAGGTTCAGTCCTGCTACATAATCTCTCTAGGTGAATTCCTTCTTACTCAGGGTTTTCACAATCATCTATATTGGAATAGCACCCAAATTAATAGCTCTACCCAGACTTTTTTATTGAGTTCTATACCTGCATAGCCAATCCTTGACTGGGAGTCTCTACATAGATCATTCACAAGCATTTCAAACACCCCTTTAATTATCTCCTCTTTCTGTATTCCCTTATCTCAGAAAATGCTACCAACATCTACCCTAATGCCCCCAGCAGGAACTCAAGAGTCGTTCTAGACCTATGCTGTCCCAAGTACTTCAATGTGGCTTGTCCAAATTGAAATGTGCTGTAAGTGTAAAATACACACCAGATTTCAAAGACTTAGTTTGGAAAAAATAATGCAAAGTATCTCAATAATATTTTATATTGATTTCAAATTGAAATGATAATATTTTGGACATATTGGGTTAAATAAGTTATTAAAAATAATTTTCTTTTACTTTTTAAAGTGCCACCAAAATATTTAAAATGGCATAATGGCTGGCATTTGTGACTTGCATTCTATTTCTATTGGATAACACCATTCTAGACTCTTTTCTGTCTTTTAGCCCCCTTCCAACTGGTCATAATTCACAGTGATTCCCTTGAGTTAAGACAAGGGAGAATACTGTTTAAGTGCACAGGCTGAGTTTGAATCCTGGCTCCACCATTTTTTGATACATATGAACTTGGGTGATTATTTAACCCCTTTGAGCTTCACTTTCCTCATCTGTCAGCTGGATACAATAGCAGTTCTTATTTTGAGATTCTTGCATGCTTTAAATGAGATAATGTGTAAAGTACTTACTATGGAGATAAAAACATGTGGAAAGACCCAGTGTCAAAAGAAAGAGCATGATCTGTCACTGTTGTAGTTCAGGCCCTCATCATTACTAGCCAAGACTACTGCGATGCTTTCTCCATCTTCGGTTCACCCTGCCCTCCATTCCTTCATACTGCCATCTGATTAAACATTCCTGAATGCAAATGTTTTCAAATGTCCAATGACTTCCCATCATCCTTGGTATGAAGTCCTAAGTCCCTGGCATGCTTTCAATGTCCTCCATGATCTGCCCCCAGTCCAATCACTGATCCCATCTCCTGCCAGTCCATGATTGAACCAGTTGGGTCCCCAACTCCTATTTGCACACACCATTCTCTCTGTGTGTCATATATGAGCTCTCTACTCTGCCTAGCTACTTGTCTGCAAGACTCAGTTCAATTGTCACCTCATTTGGGAAGCTTCCACTAATCCCTCCTGCACCTGTCTCCGTCCTAGGCTAGATTAGGAGCCTGCCCTTTGGGTTCCTGAACCACTTGAGGTGTGGTTCCTTTATCATGCTGATCTCACTGGTTTGGCTGACTTGTTTTTCCTACAAGACTGAACTGTCTGAGGTCTTAAGATGGGCTGTCTAGTCCACACTGGATCTTCATGCTCTACACAGGGCTTGACACAGAGTGGGGCACAGGAAATGTTTGTTGAACGAATACACAAAGCATATGGATACTCCTGAGAGAGAGAAGGTGGGCAAGACAGCCTTGTGAAGTTAAGCAGCAGAAAATCTGAAAACGAACCTGGATAGAAATCACCAATTCCTGGAAGTACAGAGAGAGGAAGGAGAGAGAAGAATCTGTGCAAGGAGTCAGTAATGGAGGACTTGAAATGAAAGGCTATTAAAGAGAGAAGATCATTCAAACAACAGAACCACATTTGGTACTGTTGGTGGTTTTGTAACTTCCTCTGAAATGGTTCCAGGAAGAGACAAGGTTCTAGGATGGTGCAAATCATATAAAGAAAGGATGGGGTATTATAAGCCAATTCAAGGATTATTTGTCATCAGGACTAGATACATGGGTGGTACAAGTAAATGTCAACCTGATGACTACACGATGGGACTAGTAATAATTTACTGGGGCTGGTGCCCAGGAAATTTTTTGCTGTGGTGCAGATGCCAAGCATGGAAAAATTTGACGAGTTATAGGCATGAGAAAGTAGATGGCGAATTTGAGAGTAACAATGTAAAATGCCAGAGTAATCACAAGAGAAATGTCTGAATATGTAAGAGAGTTTAGAAGATTTCTGCTTTACCACAAATACGGACTTCAAGAAAAATTCCCTTATAAGAACAGAAATTCCAATATATAAAACTTATTTATCAAAACACACAGTATTCCATAATATATAATGGTAAAAGCATGCCTTTTGACCCACACAATATTAAAAGCAGCAAATAACACAAGAAAGGTAGAGAAAACAGAAGGTACAACATTTTGTGGCTCACAGGATATATGAGTGAGATTATATACTTCTATTCCAAACCACAACCTTCACTAGAACATCTAAAGGCTTCATTCTAGAACCTTCATACTGCTTATCCCAAAGGCTAGCCCACTCCCCGGTTTTCATGTAAGAAATCTTGTGGGACAGGCGTTGCATGAGGTGAGGGGCAGCAGGGAAATTCGAGATGAAAGGGTGAAAAGATCAAACGAGTCCTTGCTATTCTTCTTAACAATGCTTCAGTCCACCACTTTGAGATTTCTGTGGAGAAAGTAAAGATTTGGGATATACATATACTAAAACAACTATTGGTTGCTTATCTGAAAATTAACTTTAGCTGGGCATTCTGTATTTTATCTGACAACCCTACTTGGTGAGGTGTACATTTTCTTATTCATACTTCCTGCGAGCCACAACATGTCTTAATAGTTGTTAGCTATTAAGGACTATGCATAAAAGTGACAATAGCTGGCTGGGCACAGTGGCTCATGCCTTTAATCCCAGCACTTTGGGAGGCTGAGGCAGGAGGATCACTTGAGGCCAGGAGTTCAAGATCAGCCTGAGCAACATAGGGAGACCCCTGTCTCTACAAAAAAAAAAAAAAAAAAAAAAAGCTGGATGTGGTGGCATGCACCTGTAGTCCCAGCTATTTGGGAGGCTGAGACAGGAGAATCACTTGAACCTGGGAGTTGGAGGCTGCAGTGAGCCCTGATTGCCTCACTGCACTCCAGCCTGGGCCACAGAATGATACCTGTCTCAAAAAAAAAAAAAAAAAGTAGCAATAGCTAACAACTATTGAATTATTGAGTGCCTACTATGTGCCAGACACCATACTAAGTGGATTAGATGGATATTCCACATATTCTTCCCAAGAACATTATGAGGCAGGCACTATTATCATCCCTGTTTTTAAAATGAGGAAACTGAGGCTCAGAGATGTTAAATAACTTGCTAAGGGTCACTCAGAAAACTAGTAGTAGAGAAGGGTTTGAATGCTGGCAGCCTGACTCCAAGGCTCATGTGCTTGCCTACCTTACCCAGATGGCGGCAGCACTGAGCAAGGGGTAGATAACTTCAAGTCCCCTGGAAGAATAAGAGAAAGTGAGACCATGGGGTATGAGGGGGGCAGGCCCTGAGTAAAGCTTTAAAGGAGCAGTTGAAATTAGACCCGGTGCCTTTGTTTAAGTAAGAAGAATGTGCTAGTTCTAAACAGATGCAGCCCCATACTGGGACTCACAGCTTGATGAGAAGCGCACTGGATGCATTTCAGCCCTTACTGCAACCTCAGCCTGAGGCCTTTATGCAGTGAGCAACCTGCACAACCATACATAGCAATGTGAGTTTGATGGGAGAAGGAAGACCAGTGCAGAGACAAGGATGTCGATGGAGTGCTTAGAGAACAAAGGGAAGCTATTTACTAAAGCATGTTTGCATGGTGCAGGTGATTTTCTAAAGTTAATTTTGACAGACAGGATGGGGAAAGATTGTTGAAGGCCTGAAATGACAAGAGAGACTTGAGTGGATCTGGGAGGTCATGTGACAAACATGACATTAACAAATTCTAAATGGAAAAAATGACCCTCAGAAAGTTGTGTGTCAAGGCCGGGTATGGTGGCTCACGTCTGTAATTCCAGCACTTTCGGAGGCCAAGGCAGGTGGATCATTAGAGGTCAGGAATTCAAGATGAGCCTGGCCAACATGGTGAAACTCCATCTCTAGTAAAAATACAAAAATTAGCCAGGCGTGGTGGCGGGCACCTGTAATCCCAGCTCCTCAGGAGGCTGAGGCAGGAGAATCTCTTGAGCCTGGGAGGCGAATGTTTCAGTGAGCCAAGATTGCGCCACTGCACTCCAACCTGAGCAACAGAGCGAGACCCTGTCTCGAAAAAAAAAAAAAGAAAAGAAAGAAAGTTGTGTGTCAAAAGCTTCAACACACAGGGGCCTTTGCTCTGTCAAGCAAGGAGAATAGGGTGGAGGAGGAACAGGAACACAGTAGCTAAGGTGACAGCTGCCTCACAAAAGGAAAGTCTATGGCTTGCAAAAGAGGTCGAGGAAAGCGGAAAAGCAATTGCCGAAGAGGGACAGTAAGTGAAAAGATGAGTTTCTTCCACTTGGCATCTCCCCAAATATGGCCCTGAAGGAAGAGTTGACCCTGTTACGGTTTCTTTCTTTTTCCTGTGGGGTTATTAGAGTGACATATAAGAAAAGGGCCACAGGCACGGCACAGCTTGATTTCAGCCAGGCTTTGCATGACACCCTACAGAGCAGAATGAGGACAGATAGGCTGAAGGATAACTACTTAACTGGGTAGGTTTCAAGTTGATACTCAGAGTGTTGATTAAAGGGTGGTCAATGACAACCTGGAGGAGGTCTTTAGGTAAAGAAACTGAGTTCAAAGATAACCAACTTGCATGAATGAAGGAGCCAGGATTTGAACCCAGCCCTACCTGATTCAAAAGTCCATTTTCCATTTATTATAAAACAAAAACCAAAAAGGCATGAAGTTCACTTATGAAAGAAGAGTTGAAAGATATAACCAGAGGGTTAGGAGTACAAATCCATGCCCGAATGAATTGTGATAGGCTGAGAAATTGGCCAAAGGGGGAGAACAAAAACACAGTGAAAGTCAGAAAGGTTAAATGTGAAGCCCTGCATTTTGGTTTCAAGAAACCCGTTGCAGAGGTGGAGAGGTCCAGCTTGACCATCTTCATGTTGGGAAGCACCCGGGCTTTTGTTGTAGTTATTGTTGCTTAATTCCCAAACAGCAGCGGGGTGTGGGGGCACACGATTGTAGCCCCAGCTACTCGGGAAGCTGAGGCAGGAGGATGCCTAAAGCCCCGGAGGTCAAGGCTACAGTGACCCATGATCACGCCACTGCACTCCAGCCTGGGCAACAGAACAAGACCCTATCTAAAAAAAAACAAAAGAAAACAAAAAACCAGCCAACAGTGTAACACAATTACAAAATCTTCATGTACAAATGAAGTGATTAAATCATCCTATTCTACTCAGCCCAGCTCAGACCATATCTTGAATACTGGGTTCAAGTCTAGATAATGTATTTTGTATTTTGAGAAAAATATTGAATAACTGACAGGAGACCTGAGGAAAATGACCAGGAGATCAAGAGTTGGAACCTTGTCACATGAAGGGTGGTCAAGGACTCTGGGGTTATTTCAGCTTAGAAATGGGAATTTGGGATTTGTGATTCTCATTTTCTGTTTCTTTTGTTCGTTCATTCTTTCTTTCATTCTTTCTTTTTCTTTCTTGTTGTGGTTCTTAGCACAGAATTCAGATGAAAGAGCTTTTGATTCAACGTAAACAATTCACCAAGCTGTCAGCTCACTCCAATCCCAGCCGTCCCCGATGCCCATTGTCTATCATCTCAATGAATTAGGGAAAAAGACTGACTTTCTGGGCCACTTCCAACTTTGAGAATCTAGGATAGGGGCACTATTTAATCAAAACTGGCAAGTAAAAAGAAAGAGAACTATTTTAAACAAGACAAATACAAGAGGTGTTGAACCAAACTCAAATTAGAAAGAACAAAATTTCCCAAAAATAAGAATATTATAATTCATTTGATGAAAGGAATTTGCCATATTATCCCTTTTACTGGCATTTTTTTAGTACCTTTACTTGTAAAAATGTCAGGCCCTCCCACTTTTCTGGGATAGACTTATCGAATGAAGCAAGGGGAGCTTCTCTATGGATAGATGATCACTTTTGCAAGCTTTGAGATCAGTGAGCTGAAAAAATGACCAGCATTCCAACAACAAATGAGGGCTTGGGAGCGTAAGTAAAAGTGACAGCAAGATTAAAGTAATTGTGGTCATGCCGTCCTCTGCTGACACTTTTGTGTTTTGCCCAGATGAGAATTAAGGTAGCCCAGGGCACAGGCAGTGAGGAAAAGGAGAGGGGCGCTGAGCGTATTTGCAGCATTTGTGAACCATGTCACAGCCCTGGCGAAAACAGAGCAAGAAGATGGAGGCTTTCAAATCCATGATAAATAAGCCATGCTTTCAGAGCCCAAATCAGTAAAAACAAACATTAAGTGAACAGAAGGGAAGAGGGAAAAAAAGAGAACATGAGGCCACCATAAAATCCTGGTGATATATTCCAGGGGAAATCATGATGTGAATAGAAAATGAGAAGTAAAAGAAAATGAAGCCTGGAGATTTGTAAAATGTCTGTCTGTCTGTCTGTCTCTCTCGACTGTCATTCCCATCTACCCCTGCCACCCCCACCCCGCCCTCCACCCTTCTGATGGGGTTCATTAGATGATTTCTGATTCAGGGGTGGGGGGCGGTATTTTTAATGCTTCACTTATGTTTGGGTTTTGCCAGCAGGATCCGAGGTGTTTCTGTAGACAATTGTTATTGCTTTAGGAAACAATAAGAATAAAATGAGGAAACATCAAGTGATACATCAGTCTAGCAGCAGAGTGAGGCTCGAAGTAGCATTTCCAGCGAGGTTGGTGGTCTCTTTTTGCCTTATTTTTGTTGTTTTGGATTGATGTTTTCATGGTGTCATTTTAATAAGAAAAGTGTCAGAGAATTAAAAGTGGAAGTATGCGAGATACACTTTCTCTAACTGGATTCATGGTAAGTTATTAATGTTTCAAGGAGAAAGAAAAGAACTTGGAAAAAGCAGAATATATTGTGGGGAAAGTTGATGAAGGGAAAGGTAAGAGAACTGTGACAAATGAGACACAGACAGAAGGAGAGAGAGAGAAAGAGGAAGAGAGAGAGACAGGGTGGTGGGGGGGACCGGCAGAAGAAAAGGAAAAGAGCGACAGTTTGTAAGTCTATTAGCTGAGATTGTTTCCATTTCTGCAATTGCCTTAAAGCGCATGATTGCTTGGTCTGAGGTCTGCCAGGTCGATTGCAGTCTTTACCTCTTTGACCAAGAAGTAATGGGCTTGAATTTCCTGGGTATGTGAAAATTGCTCTTGAATGTTTTGGCTAAAGGACAGCCACCCAGGAAGGTTGAGAGGGCCTAAGCTAGTGAGCAGTCATCCTGACCAAGTAGGAGGGATTTGGTTATGTTGCTCGTAGCAGGAGAGGCAGAGCAGCAAAGTGAAGAGAACACACAGCCTTAGGTGCCAACAGACATGTACTGAAATCTCTTGCCTCCATTTCCCACCTCTAAAATGCAAAGGATGATAGTAACAATAATAAATGTTGCAACGGGTGACCGATTATAAAGTTCTTGTCACCTGATAGACCATATCAATCCATGGTAACTTATTCTTAGCTGGTTCACGTTTCTAGGCATTGGCACAGTCTGGGTGGTGTGTGTCCCCTCAAAGGTAGCATCACAGTGACTGAGCTCTGCATAGATGGCAAAGTGTAGAAGCCTGGTCAGTTTTCTGTTTCTCCATCCACCATTTCTCCCCACTTCCCCTTGGTTAGTGCTGTCTTCTCTCTTTCCTCACTGAATTGTCTTGATTAGTGTCATACTTTCTGATAACACTGCAGCTAGGACTCCACAGGCAATAGGGAGAAGCTAGCGCCTGCCCAGGGAAAGTGAGGAAAAATAGGTGCTTGAGAGGCTGAAAAGTAGTATACGCTTGGTGGCCTTACACTTTGTAGAAACAGTTTTGGATTTGTCTCTACAAGAAAGGATTGTAGATAACCAGAATGCAAAAATGCTTTGAAGAAAGAGACATTGAGCATTGGAACCAAGTATTCTACGTCCTCTTCCCTGCAACACTGGGGACTAAGGATTATTATCTGCATTTCTGGTGAAGAAACTGAGGCACAGAGAAGATAAACTATGGTTCTCCGGCTACAAAGTAAGCAGCAGAGCCTAGAGTTTGAAGCCAGGTCTGACACCTAAGTCCCGTAGTAAACCTCCCACTGAGGTAGGCAAGCCTCGCCTTGCAGAGAGTGGCAAATTAGGGAAAAAAGAATCAAATGTGCTTGAGTTTAACAGAACATATACATTATACTTAAAGAGAAAGATACTTTTCTTACAAAAAGTTTGAGGACAAATGAGACTTCATGTGATGCGTCTTGCACTAAAAAAAAAAAGTTAGATTATATAAGCCAGACTGGCGTTGATTAAAGAAGAGCAAGGTAATAAATACGCATAAGAAGAAGGAAGTGGCTGGCTCTACCTTGGGCATCACCCAAGTTACAGGCAGGGGAGGGGATAGGCCCTGCATGGGGACAGTCTCCTGACTTGTCTTCTTCCTTCTCTACTTCCCTCCCTTCACTACCCCTCCCTCCAAAACCCAAAAAACCTTAAGCAGGAAAAAAGGGAGCTAATTAAAAAAGAGAAAAACATCCTTGAGACCAATGAAGTCTCCATAATCCACAGTGACAGACAGGGACCTGCAGAACAGCAATTTGATTAAATAAGGATATAAGGGATTTAAAAGGACTCTCCAGTTGTGTAAAGTGTGTCCATACGTCTGAAAAATACCGTATTTATTTGGCTCCCAAACCTGAAAACCTTCTGACGGGGGAGATTGTTCCCATTTGGAAACTAGGAAGAAATCACAAGGCAAGGCCATGGGGTTCTGGCAGGGCTGGGGATCCCATGTTGGGTGGAAACCCCAAGAAGCCAGCCAAGGGTCTGCAGGAGGGGCCCTGGCAGAGAGAAGCATTAGAATGCAAGGGCAGGTAAAGCCACCCTCACAGAAGGTGACTGTGGGCTGAGCCTGAGGCCCTTCCCAGATGGGGAAGAGAGAACAGCACACCTCTCCTGCCCACGCCTCGGTATCTCACTCAAGAATCAGCTGCCCGTTAGTCACCTGTCATCGGAGACAGCTCTGTTGGCGGCTTTCAGAAAAAGCGAAGCAGCCAGAGGATGAATCGTTATTCGGGGAACACACCTGCACACAGGACAGGAATGGATGGGAGTGGGGAGCGCCCTGGGGCTACTGTTCAAACGCCATCCTCATGGTCTCCAAGACTTGCATCAGCAGCTCAGCCGCTGATGAATTATAATTCTCGGACAAGCTGCAGAGGCCCCCCTCGTTCCATGTGTTCACCCCTGCCGCTCATACTGGGGGATTTATGCTTCCTGGGGCTAGGAGGAGAAAATAATGAGTCACTGGGGACAAGAGAAAAACAAAAATGCCCTGTATGTGCAAAACCACCTAAAATGGAGGCTTTTAGAGGACACTCAAATCCCAGCCAACTAGCCAGAAAGGGTTTTGCTGGGGGTATATTTTATGTGTCTTTGCTATCTTTGGATGCAGTAAAGCCAGAAATGTTTATATCTCTTGGAGGGATCACCTGTGCAAACAGGACAGGTCCTCTTGAGAAGGCTGTTTGTTCTCCTGGGATCTCGAACCTGAGAAGAAATGGTCCTGGCCTGGCGCGGTGGCTCGCGCCTGTAATCCCAGCACTTTGGGAGGCCGAGGCAGGCAGATCACAAGGTCAGGAGATCGAGACCATCCTGGCCAACACGGTGAAACCCCATCTCTACTAAAAATACAAAAAATTAGCCGGGCGTGGTGGCAGGCGCCTGTAGTCCCAGCTACTCAGGAGGCTGAGGCAGGAGAATAGCATGAACCCGGGAGCTGGAGCTTGCAGTGAGTGGAGATCTTGCCACTGCACTCCAGCCTGGGGGACAGAGTGAGACTCCGTCTCAAAAAAAAAAAAAAAAAAAAAGAAATGGTCCTGCATCTCTGACTTGGGAGGTCCAATTAAGCAGAGGAACTGTTGGCTGTAAACCTTCTAAAGCAGAGGATCCTTTGGGAGGCTGAGGCAGGTGATCATCTGAGGTCAGGAGTTCAAGACCAGCCTGGCCAGCATGGCGAAACCCCATCTCTACTAAAAATATAAAAATTAGCGGACCGTGGTGGGCTGTACCTGTAATCTCAGCTACTCGGGAAGCTGAGGCATGAGAATTGCTTGAGCCTGGGAGGTGGAGGTTGCAGTGAGCTGAGATTGTGCCACTGCCCTCCAGCCTGGGTGACAGGGCAACTCCATCTCAAAGTAAATAAGTAAAGCAGAGGACCCTGATGGCCACCCCCAAGTTCATAGCTACCTGCACACTTTATGTGGTGAAGCACTGGTGGGGGGCCCAGGAAGCCCTGCATGAGTTGGTTGTAGCTGCCATGATTCCAACTCCCACGCCACCCTCTGCACCTAGCCACAGAGCCGCATCTCCAGAGAAAACCAGAAGCAAGACCCCACCAAAAAAGAATGTGAGAGTCTATTTTAAAGGCTCCGGAAGATGAGTTAGAAGTGATTCAAGAGCAGGCACAGTAAAGGAATATGTAAGCCTTGGTAGACATTCAGTAAGAAGGGTAACATTTCCAACATGACCAGCTGATTAACAGGTATTCTCTAAGCAGGGTGTCTGCTGGTTTAGAATAGAGCAAAAATATTGTCATCTGAGAGCCCAAAATGGGGAAAGGCTACTCCTTGGTCTCTTGGTGAGGCCCAGCCTGTTTTGTTTTTTGTTTGTTTTTTTTTTTTTTTTCACTTTCCCACTTTATTTTCAGAATAGATTGATTTGGGTCTCTAGAAGAATATTTAAGCAGTGGCTTACAGGCGAGCCATAAGGTAGTTGTCCGTTCTATGCTTACAAATTTTCAAGAAGGGCCATCTGTAACCTTTCTCAGTTTCCTGTTCCTATGTCCAATGCCCAATAAGAGGTAATAAACTAAGGCAGAAAGGCCCCAAACACAGATGTAAGATGCAGAGCAAAGAATAACACACAGTAGGGGTTTCAATACAGGATCATTAACCCAGAATCCAAGCAGGAGTGAGGGAAGTCCACTCAGGAGGAATGGGAACCACCTCTCCAGGCTGCTCAGGAGGAATTTAAGCATCAGACAGTGTGTAGGAGAAGATGACCACGAATTCTTTGACATCTAAGCAATTCTGTATTTTAAAGGTTTGAGTCTTTGAAATGTTAAAATTGATGCGCCTTAAAACTCATGAGAGACAATGAAGACAATCACCGAACCTGTCTAGTTAAAGGTTACCGGGACTCAAGATGCAAAGAAAAGTTACGAGATGGAATTGATGGTTTGGGGTGCACCATTGCCCTCTATTGGATTTTAAATAAATCAGACCTCTTAGTGTAGGTATGTTGCACTATCTCTGGCTGAGTTTGCTGAGAAGTCAGGGCACCTCTGAGTGGGAAGTTAATTGATCCTTTTAAATGGCTCCTTCTGTCTCCTGCTCCTTCCCTGAGGAAATCAACCAGAGTAATGCTGAGGGCAGGTCATTTGCATGTCTTCATTCATCCAACAAACATTTCCTGGCTGCCTGCTAAGCCCGGGCTAGGCATTGTAGAGAATCTAAGAAAAAATAACAACTGCCATTCGTTGGACACCTACTGTGTATCAGAGTCTACGCATTAATACAGAACAACCCCACGGAGTAACTCTGGTGACTCCCATCCCACGGATGTGGAAATAGGACACTCAGGAAGTGGCACATTTTGGATTCAAATCCAGGTTCGTCTACTACTAGGCCTATATTCTGTCCACTAAACTACAACTTTTCCCCTTAAGAAGTTTATAAACTATTAGGGGGAGATAGGATATAGATATAAATGTATATATCAGGGTTTGACAAACTACAGCCAGTGGGCCAAATTCAGCCCATCATGTGTTTTTGACCTTGAGCTAATTTACATTTTTACATGGTTGAAAAAAATATCAAAAGAATAATAATACTTCCTGTCATGTAAAAATGCTATGAAATTCAAATCTCAGGGTCCACAAATAAAGTTTTATGGGAACCCTGCTATGCCCATTCATTTACCATCATCTAAGGCCACCTTCCTGGCTACAAAAACACGGCGAGTCATTGTGACAGAGACTAGATGGCCAACAAAGCCAAAATATTTACTCTCTGGCTCTGCACAGAAAAGGTCTGACAATTCCACATCTGTACTCCAAGGTGAAATGTTCTATATCAACAGGAGAGGTGTTTTTTTTTTTTGTCTGTTTGTTTTGTTAAGTGCTTGAGGAGTTCAGAGGAGGGGAAACAAATGTTTATTTGGCCCACAGTGTGCAGAGCTGGAGGGGATAGGCAGGTGTGCTCTGTTTTAAGACTCAATGCATGAAAACCCTGACTTTAAAACAGATAAATTAAAAGGTAGTTATTTGCATAACAAATTTTCCTTTCATTTTATAAAGCGATTCACCACAGGGTTCCTTTATAGAGTGAGCCTCCATAATACATGCTAATATGATTCCATTTACAAATACTCTATTCATTATAACTTTTCAAGAATATACCTATTGTGTACAGTGAGGCTTAACTGTAATCATTTTTCCTGGCAGTATAAGGTTTCCTACTTCTGAAAAGTGATTAAGCTGACCTTGTCAATTCGACTGGGGGAGGCGGCACTCTCCTCTACTGTCTCCGAGAGGGGCTTTACCTGTCGAACAACAAGGCTGTGGATTCTGTCTCTGCATTGTGTGATGTTGAGTAGCTGGTATAATTTTACATTTTCACTAAGCTCCTCTCAGTAGTAGCAGCAGCCAAAGTCCTAAAGTGTAAACTACTCTCACTATTCTCTTACTTCATTTCGTATACAAGATACACTAATAAAAATTATTTGTTGGCTGGACCACGGTGGCTCATGCCTCTAATCCCAGAACTCCAGGAAGCTGAGGCAGGTGGATCACTTGAGCCCAGGAGTTCGAGACCAGCCTGGGCAACATAGTGAGACCCCGATCTCTACCAAAAAAAAAAAAAAAAATTAGCCGGATGTGATGACACACATCTGTGGTCCCAGCTACTCAGGAGGCTGAAGTGGGAGAATCCTGTGAGCTAAAGAGTTCAAAGCGGCAGTGAGCTATGATCACACCACTGCACATCAGCCTGGTCAACAGAGGAAAACTTTGTCTCTAAATTAATGAACTAATTAATTAATTTTGTTGCTGATGTCCTGACAAATATGTGACAAGCAATTCTTGTAAAAAGCAATGTTTCCCTCTCTTTTTAAAAAATTTCAAGACATTATCTTATCTGAATTACAACATAAACTGGGGCAAGTATTCAGATTAGAGCTCTCCCCAGCAAAATAGGAAGTGATAGCAATTTAGGACCTGTCTCCTTCTCTCACTGGGTCCTGAGCCTGAATCTTCACATAGCTTTGTGGTGTTATGCAATTGCCCTTTGTAAGAGATACATAAAATGGAAACCTTAGCTATTCATAGCCAACTTAGGAGGAGCTGAATTTGATCAAGAAGTTTCTTGCCGGGTGCCATTTTGATGGTAACTACGTGTTTCTGAACAAATCCACTTATAATCTGGGTTTCCAATGGAGGTTATTTTAAAGAGCTGTAGCATGGCTTTTGTTTTCATCCTCTGTGGTGGCTATATTTTAGAAGTAGACAAGCATTCCTGGTATATAGCCTGAATATTTTTTAAGATTTTTTTGGTAGTAAAAGAAGCTCACATGGAAAGGCAAGGGTAGAAAAAATCATGTTCAGGGCAGTCCTGTGTGGCATTACCCTCTGGTGAAGCAGATCCACACTGCATGCTGCTAATGGCTATTGCGTGACAGCTCTTAAAGGGGTAAGCGAGAGAGGTGCAGAGGGCTGGTGAGAAGCAGAGCTAGCACTGAGGCCCTACAAATGGCATCACCATCTATCAGGTTGGCGGGGTGGGGGTTGGGGGCTGCTGCTGGAGGTGGTTTGGCTGCCCCTAGAGGCTGCAGCGTCTCACACTGTATGGGCAGGTAGCATTTCAGCCATTTCTAAAGCCCATCACTGGCAGGGAAAGCACATTTAATCCGTCTGTGAGGTTCTCTAAAAAGGGGCCTCTCTTTTCTTTCTTTTTTTTTTTTTTTTTTAAGATGGAGTCTCACTCTGTCGCTAGACTGGAGTGCAGTGGTGCAATCTCGGCTCACTGCAACCTCCACCTCCCGGGTTCAAGTGATTCTCCTGCCTCAGCCTCCCAAGTAGCTGGGACTACAGGCACACACCACCATGCCCAGCTAATTTCTGTATTTTTAGTAGAGATGGGGTTTTCACCATGTTGGCCAGGATGGTCTCCATCTCTTGACCTCATGATCCGCCCGCCTCCTGGGATTACAGGCGTGAGCCACTGTGCCTGGCCGAGGGGTCTCTCTTTTCAGAAGTCAGAAGCGCTGAAATTGAAAACAGCAGCAAGAAGGCTTCATTGCATTCTTGAATTCAGGCTGTTGCACTCCGCCCCCCACAACTCTGTCTAAATTGTTGCTACCCAGTTTATATCTGCATCATATTTTTTGTTGTTGTTTCTCCAATGCAGTATGTAGTGGTGGCAGGTACAGATCATAAAACAAATGGATAATCAGATTCCTTTTTCCCTGGTGGTAATTTTTAAACTTTTCAAAATTAATGCTAATGGATATAGAGGAATGGGATATACATTTCCATGCATTTTTATGACCAAACAGAAAACCGACCCCTGAGGGTGACATATTTACTATTCTCTACTACTAGGGGTGCTTCAAGGGAAGAGTTTTTGAAGCCCTGTGGTTTAAACAAAAAGAGAACATACCCCACCCCACCCTGAACAAACAGCAGCTGGGCAGATTTCATCTCACAAATGGAAATGGGAGCAAACAAATTTTTTCAAAGCGATTTTATAAAGAGTGGGCCTGTTTAGTTGGGTTTTTTGAGCCAGGATTAATATTACAAGCTGGGGAGCTCTGTGACATGGCTGTGTCGTTGGCTTTGCCATACCGCCTACCTCCTGGGGGAAGGCAGAGGAAAGTGCTGCTATTCAGAAGCAATTTTACTTCTGCCTCGGCCTTCTCACTTCTCACTGAAGTGATTTACAGCCAGCCTGGACCCAGTGCCCAAGCCTGAGCTGAGTTACATGTCATGTTGGAAAGATCTTCCCCAAATCAAGGTCTTATCTAGAGCTTGCCTGGGATATTTTTTCATTTCTAATTTATGTAACTTTCTAATATGTTTAGCATTTGCCCTTCCCTTGTCTCCATCCTGCTTATTAAGGTGAATTTGCATACAAATGGGACCTTGGTCTTCAGGACCATTCACCTGACACTTGATCCCACGAGGCGACCACTGTCTACTGTTGATACCATGAGGATGACCCACAGAAGTCATGTCTCTCTGCAAACTAGAGGCAAGGCCTTAATTAGAAGAAGCCTTGTGTGTTAAAATGATGGGGTGAATCAAATCAGCAAAGGCATTTAGCATTAACTTAGGAGGGCAGAATACTCCTTCCTGTTGAGTGGGTCGTCCTAGGTCACAACAATTTTAATTTGCCTTCGATAGATGGATCTTGAAGAAAGTGTACAAAAAGTATATTTGTGATGGTGTTGTTTGGGAGTACGTTTTGACTCAAAGAGTTAACTGTGACATTTTACTTTGGCTCCTGGTCTATTTTTTGCTTAACATCTACCTTTGAATGGGTAATAGTCATCTCTATAAATTACCTTCGAAAGATTGAACAATTGTGGAGAATCAGAGAAATGAGCCCCTTGCTATCACCCTGTTGCAGTCGGCTTTAATCCTCTGATCTCCTGGCGTTTCACCCTCTCACTGGCAGCCACCTTCCTTATTTACCCAAATCTTGTTAACTTGGGTAGGAATTCCCACTGAGAGGACAAATGTGGTCCCAGTTGACTGGTCGCTGAAAGTCTATTAGGTTGGAGAGTATTTATTTTCTACCCTAAAGGGTTTGAAACTTAGGGAAATTTTGATCAACAAGAAAATAACAGCTTTCAAGATTGTCCTGACAGTTAAGCTGTCTTAGCAGAGAATCACAGGATTTGATAGTCATGGAGATTAGTTCTCAAATTTCAATGAGAAAAGTTCATAGGAGATGGAGTGAGGAAAGAAAACTTGTGCTGATTTTGGTCAGGCTACCTTTGCTGGGGAAAAATTCATTCCATAAAATTATTTTAAAACGTAAATACTATTTAGCTTTATCTGGTGTAATACTTTGCATCTATAATTTTTTTGTTTTGTTTTGTTTTTGAGACAGAGTCTTGCTCTGTCACCCAGGCTGGAGTACAGTGGCATGATCTTGGCTCACTGCAACCTCTGCCTCCCAGGTTCAAGCGATTATCCTGCCTCAGCCTCCCAAGTAGCTGGGATTACAGGCACGTGCCACGGCACCCAGCTAATTTTTGTATTTTTAGTAGAGACAGGGTTTTGCCATGTTGGCCAGGATGGTCTTGAACTCCTGACCTCAGGTGATCTGCCCGCCTCGACCTCCCAAAGTGCTGGGATTACAGGCATGAGCCACAGCGCCCGGCCTGCATCTATAATTTGATTTAACCTTGCAACTTTATTAATTGAATATTATGATCACCATTTTATAGATGAGGAAATGGAGACTCCAAGGGTTTAATTACTTGCCCAAGAGTCTACAGCTATCTACCAACAAAACTGGGATTGGAGCCAGCTGTCTTACCATTACATCCCCGCTGCCTCCTAAAGCACAGCTCTAGTTCATACTAAATGTATTACATAGGCCGACTCATTTATCTTTACATGGGTCTCATGCATTACAAGAAGGGGGCCACTATTTTAACTCAATTCAAAAATGTTAAAATCAAAATTCCCAAAATGTACTTGGTTTATAATATATCATAAAATAAGTAATCTGACCAATTGAGCCTCCCAACTCGAAGACCAAGAACTTCTTTCTACTCCCAAACCATGCAGAAGGAAGCTGAGTTCCCCACTGGCCAATGCTGTCTAATTCTCTTAAATGATTCAGATGTAAAAGAGGAAATGGCATCCGTCTAATTAACACTGCCTGGTTAAATATAGCTGCCAAGGGACAGCCTTGGGACAGTGTTTACAGAATAGTCTTTCCAGCCCCTCAGGCCTCAAGTTACAGATGATAGCAAGCCTTCCCTCCTTATCAGCTGCAAACAGAGATGCCCCCAAAAGTGGTGTCAGGCCAGGATGATGAAAGGAGAAGGGAAAGGCTGCGGATGGCCTTCATTTCCTGCTCCTGGCATCTGGGGATTCCGAGAATGATCCCAGGACCTAGATCCTATAGATTCCGGCAGCTCTTCCTGCAAACACAAGCCCTTGTTGTGTGCCTGAGCCTTGCTCTCCGGCCTGGAGACATCCATCTGCCCACTCTCCTAGGAACTGCTGATTACCAGGAAGCACCATCGGCTCTGCTGCCCTCCCCCTGGCAGAGAGGCACAATGACCACATTATTTCTCTTCCAGCTTCACGTTACAGCATGGAAGCTGTTGCCAAGTTTGATTTCACTGCTTCAGGTGAGGATGAACTGAGCTTTCACACTGGAGATGTTTTGAAGGTAGGTGACCTGGGGCCCCAGGGGAGCAGTAGGGAGTTTCAGTTACTCAGTAATCTGACAGTCCCTGCCTTTGTCTCTTAAGAACTGCATGTGGTTCCTTTTAAAAAGAGAAGTTCACCTTGATTCCCTTTGTGCACCCTTATACCAGACACCAACCAGGCCGGGTGATGGAAATACAGTCGGCATAAGCCACCATCCTTGTCCTGGGAGGTTCGTAGTCTGGAGAGGGGAACACATCCACCCAAAGGGCTGTTACAGATGTTCTTGGCTAAGTTCTCAGGGAGCACAGGTGAGGGAACAAGTGATTCCATCTTGAAAGATGGGGGTTGTAGGAGTGTGTGCAATGTGAACGTCAGGAATGCACTGAAGGTGACTTGGGCTTTTAGCTAAAGCTCAGAGATGTGCAAGCCCATGCTGAATGCAGGGAGCAGCGCCAGGCTCAGCAGAGCTGGAACTCAGGAGGAGAGGTTGTGGGTGGAGACAGCTTGGGAAAGGCAGCCACAGAGGACATGGCTCAACAAAGGCCATGCACACCTGGCCACTCAGGGGCTTTTTAAAGCTTGTCCTCATCCTGCACTTGAGTTGTAGTGGCCACTTGCTGAGCTGAAGTGGCCTTGGACTTCTCCCACATTCATGCACCATACTTTCAGACTCTGCATCTTAGCCCTTGGGTTTTTGTTTTGTTTTGTTTGTTTGCAAAAGAGCATAAGCCCTTCAAAAGGGCATTTGGGAGTGTGTGGAGCCAGACCCCCTCTGCCTGACCTCAGAGCACCCTCAGATAGCCTGATCCCTGGTCCTCAGATAGCCTGATCCCTGGTCCTCAGATAGCCTGATCCCTGGTCCTCAGCAGTCCCAATGAGCCTTCTCGGACGCCCAGCAACACTGAGGCCATTAGTGTCTCACCACCGAGAATTAGGTTTGTTATACAAAGAACCTTGTCAGCATGTGAGAGGGTGACATTGAAAGTGTCTGAGGAGCACAAAACACCACAGAATGGCTTCTTTTGGAATATGAACATGCCCATTAGGTAGCCTTCTAACTGCTCTCAACTTTCAAGATCTAGTAACATAGTGGCAAAGCATAGGCCTTCACAAACTTAAAATATGAGTTGGGCCTCCTGACCCAGGAAAACCTGTCTGTCACTGCTTTGGGGTCTTACGAAGCTCCTGGAGGGACTTGCCAAGCAGCGAGAAGTTCCTGCCTTCTCTGTGGGGCACTGTGATCATGTGACTGTCATCCACTGGAGACCATCCTTGTACCAACTTCCACCCTCGTCTTCCATTACAAAGAGAACCTGGTATCTTAAGTTTTCTCTATTCCTCAGAAAAGGAAAAAGGAAAGAAAAAAAAAAAAAACTTTGCTCAACTCTGCTTCCCAATCCAGCTCCTGATTTCTTTCCTCCCCTTTGTTGCTAATACTGGGAAGAATTCTCTACACTGGGCGTGCTTCACTTCCTCACTTCCCACTCATTCCACAACTCTCTGGAATCTGCCTTTTACCCTCCCTGCAACATTCTCTTGAAGTTCACCAGTGATCTCCTTAATGTGTAGTATAATGACCCTATGGAAATGTCTGTGGGATTGACACTGCTAACTGGCCCTCTCCTGGAAGCCCCTTTCTCCCTGGCTTTGGCAGCACCACCCTCTCCGGGTTCTTCTCCTCCCTTCCTGACCACTCCTACAGGTCTCATTTCCAAGCATTCTTTTTCCTCTCTTGATCCTGAAATATACACTTCCCTGAAGGTGCTGCCTTTGGCTTTCTGATTTTTCTTCTCACTCTGAGCCACCTCATCCACTTCTTCAGCTGCAACTATCACCTCTGTGCCAAAGACCCTCAAGTCTGTGGCTCGTGTTCTAGCTCTGGCCTTGCTCTTGAACTCCAGACCCAGACTTCCAATTGTCTGCTGGATGTCCCCACATGAACTCCAGCCCCTAACTCAGGATGCCGAGAATCACTCAAACCCCCATGCCCATCTCACCCCCATTTCCACCCAAGCCACTCTTCTTTCCATGTTCTAATTATTATCCTAGGTCAGTCACAAGCTAGAAGCCCCAATTATCATCAATGCCTCCTTTACCAAATCCTGGTGACCAGTAACCAACGTCTCCTGAGCTCCTGTTCAGGGCCAGGATCTAGCTAAGTGGTTTGCAGGCATGATTTCATCATCTCAGCAAACCTGTGAGGTAGGCATTCATTTCCCCTCCATTTCATAGATGAGAAACTGAGGCTAGGGATTAAATCACATGTCCACAGTCACACAGCTAGCATGTGACCAATCCAGGACCTGGACAGAACTCTGTCTGACTCCTAAGCACTAAACTCTGCTCTGAATGTATTTTTTTCCTCATATCTCTCAAGCAAGTCTCTTCTTCACCAGAAAGGAGTGTGAGGCAGTAAAAAGGAGCATAGACTTTGAGTCAGATGGATCTGAGTTTGAATCCCAGCTTACTAACCATGGAGACTGGGGCCCAGTCATCTGCCCCCTTTGAGCTTTAGTGTCTTCCTCAGCAAGTGGAGGTAGTATCCATCTTGCCGGGTTGTGGAGAGGATTCGAGGTGATGACCCTGTCCCAACGTAGACGCCCAATAAATGGTGGCCCGCATTATCGGGATCATCCATCCCCGCTGCTTCTGACTGCTCAGATCATTGCCACAGCTCCTTGACTGACCTCATTACCTCTTGTCTTTTTCCTCCTTCACTCATTCTTCTTACTAGTCCCAGAGGGATCTTTCCAGACAAATCAGATCATATCATTTCCTTGCTCAAAAGCATTCAGGGGTTTCCAATTACCAATTGATTGAGACTGAAAACATCTGGCCCCAAACCACTGTCCAGTGTCATTATGCACATGTACACATGTGTGCACACACCCACACAGAGACATCTTTGTAGATGTAACGCCCCCAGGTTGCACTGCAATGTATACACCGCCCTTTCTCAGCCTCTCCCCTATATACTCTGATTGCCCCTCTCCTACACACACATACTTGACCTCCTCTACCATGGAAACCTCGCTGGTCCTCTCCACTCCCTACCATCCCAGGGAAACAAATCACTCCCTCTTCAGCTCCTCCCCAACATTTCACATAAACTTCACTCATTTCCAGGCACTTATGACTTTGCCTCACATGGCAGCTATTTATAGGCAGGCCATGACCCTGTGGTCTCATGCACCCTCTATTTCTACCTCTCATTGCTGCCTTTGCCCCGTGGGATCCTAATTGCTCGTTTATGTGTTGTCTACTCCACTAGCAAAAGCTGTGCAAGGGCAGGGGCTGTTTCTGCCTCAATGTCTAGAAGAGCTGTGCCTAGAACTCCCTGACACTTGACGAATGAATGAACTTTCAATTCCTCTCCATTCCCTGAGAGCAATGTCATGCACGTGTGCACACAATGCCAGGTTCGTCTTTGTGTCTTCACAGCATCTAACACAAGTCATGGCCCAAAATAGATGCCCAGTACATATTTCTTGAATTGCTAAATTGCATTTCTTCCTGTTCATTTAGAATTCCATTGGAAAGCCAACCCCCTCCCTCTTTTCAAATTCTGTCCATTGCAGGTAAAGAGCAAAATGGGGAGGGCTTGTTGACTGAGCCCCACAGAATGTCTACAGGATGGTGATTGGTTCCCATGGCTGGGACTCCCCACATGTGATTGCAATGTCTGCCCCCCACCTTCCTCAATGGGTAACACACCCAGGATCCTCACAAATACTTTCAAAGCCAGCTCCTGACTACCCCAGCAATTCGCTTCTGGGATTCTCTGACTTGTTTGGCCTTTTGTGCTAAAGACTAAACAGAGGTTTTCATTAGAAAGGTACAAAAAAGTCTGAGCAGCCACCCACCCTCAACAGACCATCAGTTTCCTGGGGCAGAGGCCCCAGCTTATTTATCTCCATATTTCATGCACCTAAGTGCAATCAGCAGGTGCTCACTAGATGGTGATCTACACGGCATGTAGATCAAGATGGTGGACAGGAAAACGCTGCCAAATGACTTGATCCTGCTTCTCCTATGACGGAAACATTTGGAAACTCAGGAATCAGATTTTTTTCCTATTCATGCCACAAACCACCATACCTGCAGCTACACACAGCACCAGCCTCACATTTGAATTTGCCATTAAATTTGCCAGTAGCTTTGAAAAATATCTCTTGACCCAGTCCATTTCTGTCTCCTTCTGTAATGCAGCTAATGCGACCTCATTTCTTCCTGCTAAAATAGCAACCTAAAAGCACTAAGAGTTAATTCCACATAATTCATTTCTTCAATACTTCAGATTTTTGCTATGTTTCTAAAAGCTACAATTTCATCCAATTTAAAAATTCTTCCAGCCGTAATTTGGCCCTTCTCTTCCCACGTCTAACTTATTCACAGGCCATGTAACCCAAAAAATCATCTCTTAGGGAACATTATAAGAATTAAGAAACAGTCAAGAGTAAAACTTCAAGTGTTCAGGCTGAACGCCTTGCTCAGGTTTACACGATGGGTACACGAGATAGGGGGAACCGAACAGATGGAGAGATGAGAAGAACAGGAAGTGTGGGGCCCTGGGCCCACAACGGCAGGAGGAAACCATCTCCCCTCCCCTCAAATACTTTTCTTTGCAGAAAATGAGAATTTTTTTTAAAAAAAAACCTCACCTTCTATACATGGTAAAGAGCCTGCAAATTCACCTCTCTAGAAACACAGTGTTAGGCAGACCAAGCACCAGGTGGCGGAGAGAAATGGCTGGCATTGTGGGATAATCTTTCAGTTTCTAGAGGAGGTCTGAGGCATGATAACTAAAATTACAGAGCTGCTTTCAGGTCAGAAAATGAAGTACAAAGTGTGTGGTTTTTTTTTTTTTTTTTTTCTTTTTGAGACAGAGTCTTGCTCTGTTGCCCAGGCTGGAGTGCAATGGCGCAATCTCGGCTCACTGCAACCTCCGCCTCCTGGGTTCAAGCAATTCTCGTGGCTCAGCCTCCCAAGTAGCTGAGATTACAGGCATGCACCACCATGCCTGGCTAATTTTTGTCTTTATGGTAGAGATCAGGTTTTGCCATGTTGGCCAGGCTGGTCTCAAACTCCTGACCTTAGGTGATCCACCCGCCTCAGCCTCCCAAAGTGCTGGGATTATAAGCGTGAGCCATGGCACCCGGCCTCAACGTGTGGTTCTTACGGTGACAAGGTAGTTTCCAAATGGCCTCTTTTACCCCTTTCTGTGTGACATTTGCTACCCTGGCCAAACACCACATTCCCATGTGACGGGAGAAAGGAATTCCAATGCCATGAATTCAGAAGCGATGGATGGAGTGCAGTGTGCTCTTGTGTTTTTACGTGGCTACGAGGCGCTGCTGCTGGGTTTCCTAGTTCTTTTGACCTAGATTTTCTGCTTCCTCCCTTGCCCCCTCAGCACACACATACCCACATGTCCTTAGTGACACCAGCAGTCACATTTGATGTTAGAAACTATAAAGTTTTCTGTTCTCAGCAATCTCAAACTCAAATATGGGACACACTTTTATTCCTTCAGAATAAATGACTAAATTCAAAACATACACACATAATGCTTTAAAGAACGTATAAACCCTTCCATGTCCTATTCAGAGCTGGAGGCCTCCCTCATAAGAATACCACATTTGATGGAATTGTATTTTTTGAAAAGAGTCTACACTTTCTGAAGGACTTTCAGGTACCAGGGCTCATTTGATCCTCACATCAGCTCTGTGAGGTGCTAGGTGGCTATTATTATCTCCATTTTTCAAATGGCTGATTGACTTGGCCAAGATCACATATCTAGTGATGGAGCCAAGCTAGAAACCAGGTCTTCTCGTTCCCAACTCACAACACTGTCCCCTTCCTTCCACCTTGGAGTGATGTTAGAAATAGGTCATCATCTCCACTCAAGCACTTAGTTCTTTCCATTATCTTCCCATCTTCTTTTCTGGGAGAAAGAAGCCCAAGGGCCCTGTGACTTCAACTCCACCCACTTTCTGATGACTCTGAAACCCCAAGCCCCAACCTTAGCCTCTCTCCTGGGTCCAGACTGACATATCCAGCTGCTCCCTGAGCTTTTCTTCTTAGTTGAAGAATTCAACTCACAGTCACCCGCATGCAATCTGAAGCCCATGAGCCCTTTCTCAGCCCTGCCTCCTCTCATGTATCTTCTATTTCTGTAAAGCCGTCACCACCTACTCAGTCTCCCAAGCCAGAAATCCAGTGGCATCCCAGAGTCCTCCTCTCCCTTAGCTTCCAAGATTGGTCAAGAAATCCTGCCTGTTTGCTTCCTGAATTTCTCTAAAATATATCCTCACCTCCTCTTAGCCTAGGCCCTATCATCTCTTGACTGGAGGCCTGCGCTCATCTTCCTGCAGTTTTTCTGCCGACTTTAGCCTTGCAATCTATCTTCACATTCTGATCTCTGATACAGAGCTCTGTCGCTCTCTCGCTCTCTCTTAATTAGAGACAGAGTCTCTCTCTGTTGTCCAGGCTGTAGTACAGTGGTACAATCAGAGCTCACTACAGCCTTTAACTCCTGGGCTCACACCCTCCTCCCGCTTCAGCCTCCTGAGTAGCTGGGACTACAGGTGCGCTTCCACCACGCCTTGCTAAGTTTTATTTTTATTTTCATAGAGACAAGGTCTCGCTTTGTTGCCCAGGCTGGTCTCAAACTCCTGGGCTCAAGCGATCGTCCACTTGGGCCTCCCAAAGTGCTGGGATTACAGGCATGAGCCATCGCACCCAGCCAGAGCTCTTTCTGAACTCTAATTCTTACTGTTACTTCCCTGCTCAAAATCCTTTAAGGGCTCCCCCTACATTTCAAGATATTCACAGTCTACATTCCAGCCACCTGGAGGCATTTCATTCCCAGAACACACCACACCTCCTCAGAGCTGAAGGAGGAAGTCCATTGCCATCTGACTTGGCCTCAGTAACTCCTTTCGTTGCCAAGGCAAGTGGTCTCTCCTCTACATATGGATGCCTTTTCTATCTATTTCTGCTTTCTTCTTTATCATCACACTTCTATCAGTTAAGATATTTTCAGGAGCAAGAAACATAAACTAAAAATGGCTTAAACAATAACAAAGACTTGTAATTTCTCAAAGTCCAGAAGTAGGAAGGCTCCTGGGTATCATCTAATTCAGCGGTTCAGTGACATTATCAGAGTTCTTTCCATCTTTTGCTCTGCTATCCTTATTTAGAATTATTGTTCTAGTCTATATCAAAGACTTAAAAAAAATTTTTTTTTTGAGAGAGGCTTGCTCTGTTGCCCAGGCTGGAGTCCAGTGGCAAGATCACGGTTCACTGCAACCTTGCCTCCTGGGTTCAAGCAATTCTCCTGCCTCAGCCTCCCGAGTAGCTGGGATTACAGGCATGTGCCACCAGGCCCGGCTCCTTTTTGTATTTTTAGTAGAGATGGCATTTCACCATGATGGACAGGCTGGTCTCGAACTCCTGGCCTCAAGTGATCTATGTGCCTTGGCCTCTCAAAGTGCTGGGATTACAGGCGCGAGCCACCACACCTGGCCTCAGACTTTCAAAACATTCTCAGTGGCGGTGTCAAATATTTTGTCTTTTAATGGTGAATCTCATTTTTTGAGAAACCAGAAGCCACATACAGTCAAGTCTGGTGAGTAATATGAGTAACTGAGGTAGACAATAACATTTGGGGTCACAGTCAAAGTCAGGCCACAGAGTAACAAGACAGAACTTTTGGTTTTGTTTGGGATCTGGCTTTAAAAGCAAGTTTAGAAAAGGCATCCCAAGTATCTTGGGTTCCAGCCAAATATCTGTGAAATACACAGCATGTGAACACAAAGAGTTACTGTTTCCAAAGCTGGCCCCACTGGGATGTTTAAGTTTTAATCTGCCTGTTTAAAAAACAATAACAAATTGAATTTTTGAAAAGTTTCCTGGGCCTGGTGGCTCACGCCTGTAATCCCAGCACTTTGGGAGGCCAAGGCAGGTGGATCACTAGGTCAAAGGATCAAGACAGTCCCGGCCAATATGGTAAAACCCCGTCTCTCCTAAAAATATGAAAAATTAGCCAGGTGTAGTGGCGCATGCCTGTAATCCCAGCTACTCAGGAGGCTGAGGCAGGGGGATCGCTTGAACCCAGGAGGTGGAGGTTGCAGTGAGCTGAGATCCCGCCACTGCACTCCAGCCTGGCGACAGAGCAAGACTCTGTCTCAAAAAAACGAAAAACAACAACAAAAAAAAGAGAAAAGTTTCCTGGTTACCTGGAAGAGAAAAAAAAAAATACACCGTGGAGTAACCATTCTTCCTTCTCACCATCTGCTGAGATGAGGAACTTAAGGTGCTAACTGGGACAAATGAATTTCCAAAATAGAAAAAGGGATTCAGGGAAGTCCTTGAGTGCTGAATTTGGGAGGCCAAGCCACAGTGGGGTGACATGAGTGGACGGCACAAGTGGACAGAAATAACCTGGGGTCAGGAGAAGCTGACTCCAAAGGTAAACCCACGGCTCCTCCACAGGCCTGGGGTAAATCCTAGAACAGCTGTTGAGTTCTTTCAACTTATTAACATATTTTCCTCTAAGTCCAAAAGGGCCTTCTTTGCCTGGCAGCCCCTTTCTCTTGTTTTTTTGGTGTCCTCCCTCCAATGTCTTTGTCTTTCCTTTTCTTCCATGTAGATTTTAAGTAACCAAGAGGAGTGGTTTAAGGCGGAGCTTGGGAGCCAGGAAGGATATGTGCCCAAGAATTTCATAGACATCCAGTTTCCCAAGTAAGTATCTGCAGCCTGCTGAGATGGGCCTAGCCACACACACTCCTCTTACATTTCCAGCAGTCACTACAGTTATCCATGGGAACCCAAGACATTGTCAAAAATGGCTGCCTCTGGAGCTCTCTCCGGAGAGCCTCCAGAGCATGCAGCTGAAGGCCAGGGCAGGAGGGAGACTTTGCATTTCATTTCATTCCCTTTTGATGTTTACACCATGTGCATGTATTGCTATTTTAAGTTGTTCTTAACTTTTTTTTTTTTTTTTTGGGAGTTGGGGTCTCCCTCTGTCACCCAGGCTGGAGTGCGGTGACTCCATCACCACTCACTGCAGCCTAAAACTCCTGGGCTCAAGCCATCCTCTCACCTCAGCCTCCCAAGTAGCTGGGATTACAGGCACATGCCACCACGCCAGGCTAGTTTTTGTATTTTTAGTAGAGACAGGGTTTTACCATGTTGGCCAGGCTGGTCCCAAACTCCTGACCTCAAGTGATCTGCCGCCTCAGCCTCCCAAAGTGCTGGGATTACAGGCGTGAACCACCATGCCTGGCCTATTTTAAGTTTTGGGTTTTTTTGGGTTTTTTTATTCATGTGTTTATTTGTTTTGAGACAGAACCTTGCTCTGTTGCCCAGGCTGGAGTGCAGTGGCATGATCTCGGCTCATTGCAATTCTCCTGCCTCAGCCTCCCTAGTAGCTGGGATTACAGGTGCATGCCACCACACCCAGCTAACTTTTGTATTTTTAGTAGAGATGGGGTTTCACCATGATGGACAGGCTGGTCTCAAACTCTTGACCTCAGGTGATCCACCCGCCTCGGCCTCCCAAAGTGCTGGGATTACAGGTGTGAGCCACTGCACCCGGCCTATTTTAAGTTTTTATAAAATGAGTTTGTAAACTCAAATTATCTATAGTGATTTCAATCACGGCGTTCCCCAGAATTCCAAAGGGGACGCTATTGGCCACCCCACTTCGGGAGCTGCTCTCCTAAGCGCTTCTCTGTGACCTCCTAATCCTAACCATCCTCACCAGGCTCTCACCCTTCACTCAGTGGGTGGACAGACACTCCCTGCCTTCAGTAAAGCATGCTCACCCCAATGAGAGAAGTCAGCGGGGGGAAGGGGAAATTCTCTTCCTAAAGAGGAAATGAAAAATTGAGATTGGGCTTCGTTTGTCTCAAGAATTGACCACAAGGGTTAGATAGAAATCTAATCTTGCCTCAGAACCAGGGTCTAGCTCAAAGAGCAAAAGCTTGTTAGAAAACCACAGTAGTATTGGTGACTCCAGCAAGGTGCAAGAGCACCAGTCTTGGTAAACCTGAACTGACCACCAAACCAAGAGAATGACCACTGACCTTGACGGAACCCTTGATGCTGCCCAGGAATCTGCTAGGTGACCTCTGCATACCCCACGTGCTCCTCAAACCTTCAGCCCCTCCGTGCATCACTCTTAGCCCGTGACCTTGATTCCAGGTTCTCTGGAACAATGAAAGCCACCAGAAGTGAAGCTCCCAGACCCCCCTCCCCCACCGCATCCACCTGCCTCCTGCAAGTGTGCTCAAACAGTCGGCCTTTCCTGCAGCTGGCTGGAAGGAACTGTCACTGCTTCTAGCAGAAATTCTCCTCTCTCTCTCTTCCACGTCAACCTCCTTTCCCTCTCTGCTGGATCATTCCTGTCAGCAAACACACACGCTGCAATTTCTCCCAACTTACCAAAACACAAACAAACAAAACCAAACCCAGAGGCCAGGTGGGTTTTGTTGTGGCTGATGCCTGTAATCCCAGTCCTTTGAGAGGCTGAGGGAGGAGGATCACTTGTGGCTAGGAGTTTGAGACCAGCCTGGGCAACATAGCGAGCCCCATCTCTACAAAAAATTTTTAAAAATTAGCTGGTCGTGGTGGCATGCGCCTATAGTCCCAGCTGCTTGGGAGGCTGAGGCAGGAGGATCGCTTGAGCCTGGGAGTTCAAGGCTGTGGTGGACCATGATTATATCACTGCACTCCAGCCTGGGCAGCAGAGAGAGACTCTGTTTCAAAGAAAAAAAAAATTTAAATAAATAAATAAATCAAGAAAATTCTTAATCCCAAATCCCCTTCCACTTGCCACTCCATCTCTTCAAAAGGAGTGTGTGCATTTGCTACTTCCAACTCCTCATCTCCCGACCCTTCCCACCAGGCTCCCCATGGGCTGTAGCTCCCAGGGGTCATCTCAGCATGACCTGCCCTGGGGATCCCCCCTCCCACTGGAACACCTCTTTCATTTTGGCTCCAGGACGTCCTTCCTCCGGTTGTCCTCCCACTGCCCTGGCTTCTCCTCCTCAGTCTCTTGTGTTGGTTCCTCCCACTCCCCAGTCCCCTATAGGTTTAGAATGTCTCCTTTTCAGTGAGGTCTTTCTCATCACCATACCTTACATTAATCTCCCACCCACAGCGCCCCATCTCTCCTCTCAGTTTTCATGTTCTCCACAGCACTTACCATCATCTGGCACGCTTCAGATCTTAATTATTTTGTTCTTTTGTGTGTGTCCCCCTCGACTAGAATGTAAGCTCCCTGAGGGCAGGGGTGTGTGTCTGTTCTGCCCACTACTGTGTCCCCAGTGCCCAGGAGGGGCCCAGCACAGTACTAGATGTTCAGTAAAGCTGTTGAATGAATGAATGAATGAATGAACGAACGAATATGTATTATTGAAACCATGACCACTCATGTCTAATATGCAATGTGTGGTGATTTTTACAAATCTTTAAAGAAGCCCCCTATCAGATTGCAGTCAGAGGACAAATGTGTATTTCCTAAATCCCCTTCACTTCTGAAATGTTTCCTTTGCGATATGGCTGCTGTGGTGCATACTCCATTCCTCTTCCCATCCCCATTACATTTCCCACACGTGGCAGTGGTGTGTGTGGTGGCCTCTTGTTTAGCCCTGTAGAATTGTGTGGCAAATACTCAGGCAGAATCTCCAGGCCACCAGAAACTGCTGCTTTCAGCCCTCTCAGAGCACAGCCAAACTTCCCCCTCAGTCCCAGTGGGGGACTCAGTCTCCAGTAAGTACATCCTTCCTGCTACCTATGTCTCAGTTTCCCAAATTCTAGAAAGCACAGAGAATTGCTCACAAAGGAATCCAAAGCCAAGGCCTGACGGGCTTTTATCTTAAAGGAACATGCGTATGAGCCTTCTGGTGACAGCAATTAGAGCAGCCACCTTGAAGCAATGTGACACAGTCCCACCTTTGGCCGCTGAGTGATTGCAGACACTCATTTTGCTTGTCTGTGGTGGAGAGAGGTCTCTGGCCTCCTGCTTTGAGGCTGCAGCCACAGCTTGCCTGGCCCTGTGTAAGTGTTTGACCTATTTCATACATGCCACGCTGTATGCAGCTGTACCTCCAGGGGCTGCCACCCTGACCATTCTGCTAAAAGAGTAATTTCTCCTGTTTCTTCTTTTCCACAGTAAAGATTATTTCCCAGCCTGGATTTTTGGGGCAGGCCCAGGATCTGGTTGTATAGACGCCGCTCTCTGGCGGCTGCCAGCCTCGCTGATTTCCAAGCATGTACACTGGACTCCCTAGGAACACTGCAGCCTCTGCTAGGCACACTGAGCAAAGCCCCCTTGTGCTCCATGCCAGCCTAGGTAACGTGACGCCCTGGGCTGTAACTTTCCTTTAATAC